>NC_000007.14:26490242-27740242 GCF_000001405.40 Homo sapiens | reverse complement strand
AGAAAGTTACGCAGGCTTCCGATCCTGATCCGCCATCAGCCGCCGAACCTCTTCCGCCACTACCGCCTACCCCCAAAGACCGGCTACACCTCCCCTCCCAGCCGACAGTAGGCCTTGCGTCACTTCCGCCCACGGGGCGGTCTCTTCCGCCTCCTGCCTGGTTCGCCGCTCCCCTCCGCGACGACACGCCCCCAGCCCACTCCGCCGCGGGACGCCTCATCCCGCGGGTAGGCTGGCTCTCTCCTTACTTCGTCCTTGCTATTTTCGTTCAACTTAATCGCAGCAAAACAATGCGTCTGGATTTACATTCTGATTTTATGTTATTATTTTGACATACGAAAGGGGGAAACACACAGGAGGTTTAAGTAACTCACCAGCGATGTGGAAAGGGCAGCTCAGAGGTCCATGGACAGTACCGTATCCCTGTCTGCGTCTCAGTCGGCCTAAACTAGCCCACTCATTTTATAGATAAGGAAATAGCCAGAGAAGCAAGGGAGTGACCACACGGCTAGGGCTGCAAACCCCTGAGCACCAAGACTGTCTCTGAACTCCTGGCCCAGTCGTGTGCTTTTTTGGCTATGAAGTTTTGTTCACTGAAAGCTCCTAGGAGCTTTTCAGTTCTAATGCCCTCTGATTCTATTTGCTCTCGCTCCAGCAGAGGCCTCTTTTCTAGCCGCATTTCTGTGAGTTACCTGCTTTTGTTATCCGTATCATTTTCCGTGTGTGAATTTTCTCCCGCGTTCTGTTATTTCTAAAATCACTTTTGCTTGTTGTATATGTTGCCTTCCTATATTGGACATTCAGTTTGAATCGTAACTCCACAGAAGCAAATGTGTCCCATTCGAATTCATCATAGTCTTCTGTTGCCGTAAAACCCTGACAAACCTTGCAATAGCACCAGAAAGGATATGTAAATTAGATCGCATTAAATGTTGAAGCACATTCTAAATACAGAACATTCAAAATTATCTTTCATATACTTTCATCTTTACTTCCAGTTATTTCAGAAGACATTAGCTTTGATAACATAGGTTCTCAATATTTACAGACTGATTTGTTTCCTGTGTATTGACATTTTTGAACTTGGTCTTGTGCTGGGTATTATACTTGATCATAGAATTTCAGAAGAACCTTAATAGGCCATTTAGTCCCAGTCTCCTTATTTTATGGATGAAGAAAACGGTGTGAATAATCAACATAAGTTATCACTTGCGTTACTGGTAGCAACCTTCTGGTAGTAGAAATAACTGTGTCCCTTAAGAAATGTAAACATAGCAGTGAATTTTATAAGCACAATTTGTCAGAGATGTCACTCTTTGTTTAAATCACATTCCTATTTATATGTAATACATTTTTAATTACCACTAATTTTCAGTTAATGAAATCAGAAAAACAGTATGCTTAATAAAAACCATAATTGAAAGACTTTTTTTTTTGCCCTGAGAGGGACGGAGTTTCGCTCTTGTTGCTCAGGCTGCAGTACAGTGGCGCGATCTCGGCTCACTGCAACCTCCGCCTCCCGGGTTCAAGCAATTCTCCTGCCTCAGCCTCCCAAGTAGCTGGGATTACAGGAGCCAGCCACCACGCCTGGCTAATTTTTGTATTTTTAGTAGAGAGGAGGTTTCGCCGTGTTGGTCAGGCTGGTCTCAAAGGACATTTTCACAGGTATTTTTACTTTGTTATTTTTAATTATTTCTTGAATTTTTAGACCTTATTTTCCCCAGGAAGGTATTTGTTCTGGAATTTTAGCTTGCTTCATTCATTTTAATAATGATCCTTTAATTTTTAGACCAAGTTTTTCCCACCAAGATAAATAGATACCCTCTTAGTATTTAATTGAATTTCTGGGTTTTGGGGGAGTAGGGTTTGGGTTTTTTGTTTGTTTGTTTTTTGAGACAGAGTCTCGCTCTGTCACCTAGGGTGTAGTGCAGTGGCATGATCTCGGGTCACTGCAACCTCCACCTCCCAGATTCAAGCAATTCTCCTGCCTCAGCCTCCCCAGTGGCTAGGATTACAGGCGCACACCACCACACTGGGCTAATTTTTATATCTTTAGTAGAGACGGGGTTTCTCCATGTTGGCCAGGCTGGTCTCCAACTCCTGACCTCAGGTGATCTGCCTGCCTCAGCCTCCCAAAGTGCTGGGATTACAAGCATGAGAGACCGCACCCGGCTTTAATTGAATTTCTTAAAGTTAGCCTCTTATTTGTATGGCAGTGGACTATGGCTAGAAGAGATATGGATTCACTTCCTTTAAGTGAAATCTTTCTGCCAGATGGATTTCAGAATTCAGAATTTTTCAGACTTTAGAGAGGTGTGCTTTATGTGACATTCCTCACTATCTGGGGCAGCACCCACAGTCAACTTTTTTTTCCGGAACAATTATGAATATCACACTAAGATAAATGAAATGTATAGTCTCACTCAAGTCAAGTTTTTCAGGTCAGGTTCTGCCACTTTGCCCTTGGGTTCAGGTCAAGTTTTAATGACAAATGAGTCAGGTCAAACAGGTTTTGCCACCAAATGTTGAGAAAACATTTGATTTTCAGAGCTTTTTCTTTTTTTTTTTTTTTTTGAGACGGGGTCTCTGCCCTCTTCCCTGTCACCCAGGCTGGAGAGCAGTGGCAAGATTTCGGCTCACTGCAACCTCTGCCTCCCAGGTTCGAGTGATTCTCCTTCTGGGATTACAGGCATGAGCCACCGCACCTGGCCAATTTTCAGAGCTTTTTAGATTTCGAAGTGGTGAATATTGAGAGAATTATTGGAAAGTAAATCAGTGAGTAACCCATGATTTTTCTGGAGCAACTACAGTGTCAAGTAGTTTCTAGGCAGTTGTCCTGTGTTTGATTGGGAAAATATGCTGACTATATTTAAAAGGCACTGTTCTTTCATTAGAGGAACTTATGATAGCAAAGGGAAGAAAAGAAATGAGCCCATGAAAATGTAGGTAACTAAAGTGTAAATGAATAGGAAGACAGATATTCAGAGATGGGAGAAAGTACAGGCTTATGTTAGCAGTACACTTTTCATGGGGGAGGCAGGCCTAGACTGTCAAAGTGAGGTATGATTTCGATGAGGAGATGGAGGAGGAGGACTTTCCAGTCAGGATTTAAGAGCTTGGGCAAGGGAATCAGGCAAGAAGAAAATTGTTAACCAAAAATAATAATTTCCTCCAAAGTTCATTCATTCACCATTGTGTCATGTCGCTTCTTAATAAGAGCATTTTGTTCATTTACTATGTGCTCTGGGAAAAACAAGGAATCAAGCATGGTTTCTTCCCTGAAACTGCTTAAAATCAGGTCAAGATGTTACCGGATGGTATAGATAACTGTCAAATTTGAAGGAAATGGACTATGAGAAATAAAGTAGAAAGATATACAGAATAATTAATTTTGAAATTAGCTAGACTTTGTAAAAGAGATTGGTCTCTAAACTTCAAAAGACTGATAAGATTTGAAAAGATGAAAAAAAGGCTTACATAGTGAGAATAATATAATTTAAAAGGCACAGATGGGACAACTAGATAGCAAAACATGGATTGAAAATTTTTGAAAAAGTTCAAATAGACATGTTTTATTAGAAACATTACAGGTTTTAAAAGCCAGGCAAATGAGTTGTTCTCCTTTCTTAGAACAATGGTTTACATTAGAATTTGTATTAAAGATTCCTTTTGTTATAAATGATTCTTAATTAAAAAGAAAAAAACACCTTTGTAAACCTTTGTTTTAAAAAGAGAGCTTTTTTTTTTTTTTAGGCAGAGTCTCACTCTTTCACCCAAGCTGGAGTGCAGTGGCGCAATCTTGGCTCACTGCAACCTCTGCCTCCCGGGTTCAAGTGATTCTCCTGCCTCAGCCTCCCAAGTAGCTGGGACTACAGGTGCATGCCACCACACCCAGATAATTTTTTTGTATTTTTAGTTGAGACGAGGTTTCACTATGTTGGCCAGGATGGTCTCAATCTAAAAAGAGAGCCTTTAAAAATGAGATTTGAATAATGGTAGGCTTTGGATAGGCAGAGAAAGAGAGGATTCCAAACACTCTAAAATAGGCTGATTTTCTCTTTCCCTGTCTGTTAGATTTTATTGATGTATTCATTGCTCCTTGTTTCCCAATCATTACCTACCTAGGTGCTTGTAACACACCTTTGCTCCTTTGAGATATACACTGTTGTGTTATGCTCCGTCTTCCCTCCCTGTGGCTGTCGTCTTCTGATCTCCAAGTCACTGTTCCTCATTCAGTGAAGAGTGTCACCTAGTGCACAGTCTCCTCCATTCTAAGCCATTCATTGTCTACTTGGATGAGATTAAAATGAAAAGGCCAACATCCCAGCATTTTAATTTCCTGAATCCCTCATCTCAAATACTCCACTCCAGATACCTATTTCTGTGGTCACACCTTGGCCCTTGCCATCATCTTGAAAAGCAAGCCTCCTACTCTTTGACCACAATCTCCTATTCTTCTAACTTGTTCATTCAAATATGCCCAGCAGAACTATTTTTCAAACTCATCAGCATCTCAATCCATTTCTTTTTTTAATACTTCCCTCAGTATCCAACTTAGAGTCCATAGCTATAATTTCATTAACACGACTTCCAACACCTTAAACTCCCTTGACTTCCTATCTTGCACATTAAGGAAAATTTCCTATAACAAATGCATTACAGACTTTGTAGTCATCACATGCTTTACACTAAAGTTTACGTCTGGAAATACTAAGCAGAAACTTTGAAGTTAAAATTGAGTGTTTTGGGAAGTTTCTTGCACTATCAAAAAGAGAAACTATAATTTATGATACTAAGAAACAGAGCCTGCAGAGGTTTATATAAGACCTTTGCCCCATTGGCTCCTAACAGTGTTCTTTGTTCCTTGTGCAACTGAAAGGTCACTAGAATGTAAATATTTTCTAACCTCTCTTCCTCATCTTACTGAGAAGAGTAATAGCCAGCAAAGTACTTTGAATTTTTAAGGTACTTATGTCAACAAGATTCTTCCTTCCCAGTGTTTCTTATTAAATACCTGTATTTTGTGAGTCACTGTGTATCAATGATAATTAAAGTTAATAAAAATTATTTTAAGGAAATGTTAAGATAATCTTCAAATGTTTAATTTTAACCAAGGCTAAATCAAAGTTTTAGGCTCAAATATGTTTTTATTTCACAGATCCCAACACCTCCCACCTTCTCAGGAACTCTGCATTATCTCATTTTTATATTCAAGCCCCCTATCTCCACGAGATCTTTTCCATTGTCTTTTTAAACATATTGAAGTCTCTTCAATTTTTAAAAACTTTCCCAGCTCCCTGTTTCCTTCCAGCTCCTATTGTCTTTTGTCTTTACAAGCAACCTTCTCACTTCTAGGAAGAATTGTCTATATTATACTCCCTCATCTTCCATCTATTTCCAGCAAGTTCCAGAAGGCATATTTCTAGCAAGATGCAGAGGGCAGATTTCTAGCAAGTTCCAGATAGTGGATGTCTAGCAAGTTCCAGATGGTAGATTTCTGGCAAGTTCCAGAAGGTGAATTTCCAGCAAGTTTCACCAGCTCAGCAACACAAGGACTTCTCTGTGAGACTTCTCTGTGCGACTTTATTCAGGGACCCACAGACGTGCCCTTTCCAGGGCCTAGATGTCAGCCCTGAGAGGTGATCTTGCTTGGACACTCTATCTCAGATCTAGGGGTGGTGCCTCTCCTTATATCAGCCATTCTTATATTTTTTAGAGTTCCTTTTACTCCTGTTAGCCTTGTTACTTCAATCTCCTGTTATAGTTTATAATTCTTTATATTAAACTTTCCTTGTTCGTATTACCTATATGGTTTTTCTCTACTAATTGGACCCAGACTGACACAACCATTCTACTGCTTTGTTTAGCTTCATAGGTAAAGCCTGTCTTATTTTTCTTTCTTCCCCTGAAGTAATTGCTCAGAGTTCATTCCGTTCCGACCAAGTAGGGTTGCTGCCAAAATGTAGGTCTTTGTTGTACTGTAATTTTCTACTGCTACTTGATGTTAATTATGATGCATAGGGGCTAGAATTTCTTCAGTAAGGTATAGTTTAGGTTGCAGAATTCAATGAATGATGATTTATTGCCATTTAGCATTGGGTTTAATAGATGAAAGAAATGCCTTTATTCTCACAAGAGACCGTGGCTAGGCTGATCCTGCCATGAAGACAAAAGGAAAAATGAAATTATTACCAAGTACTTATGCTGAGCATCTTTAGAAAGTAATTTGTAATACATTTTATTAGTTAATTGTGAAAATTGACTTCTGACGTTACATAGTGCGATATAGCAAGTTCTAAGACAAGCTGTGAGTAGACAAAATTCCCCTTCCTGAATCTTTCCTTTTCTACACTTTTTCCTCTTTTTCAGGTACCCTTCACAGGTTTAACAGCCTCCACCCCTCGGGCACCAAGCAGTGTTATCCAGGAAAAAAAAAAAAAAAGAGACTGATTCTCAGTAGTAATCTCTGTGCCTGTGAGGAACTTAATGCAAGTCTCAGGATCTCAAAATAAGACCTACGAGCATAAAGTAATGAGTCTGTCAAGCTGGATTTCCATGCATGGGGGAGGATCTCTTTAAGTAAGGAAACTTCCTTGTGCTTCTTTAAGCACAGTTGCTATCATTCCGGGAGAAGCTCCTTTTAACCCATATCTTCTTCCAACTAGCATCCTATTTTTTTTCTTTCCTTCCCAGCTGAACTTCTTAAGGACCAACCTATATGATGTGATATTTTAGATATTAACCTATTTTTCTTGGTATTCCTTGTATAGCTTGCCACTTTCCCAACCCTCACCCATAGGTTTGTTGCATTGAAGAAAGGATGTAGAAGGAAAATCTTTCTGGCTTTTGTTTCTAGACTCTCAAACCCCACAAATGGGGAGAGGATTCAGGCCACAGAGAAATGGCTTCAGGAGAAGCCAAGGGCAGGGGTATATAGGTGGAGGGAGAACAGGCAGCATCTTCCTCCCCCTCAACTCTAGAAACAGATTTCTCTGGGTCTGAGAGGGTGGGAGGGTGCTTCTAGGTGGACAAAACCACACAGCCCGTTTAACCTTCCTGGTCTCCAAAATATCCCGTACCCTATCTTAGTACAGAGCAATATTTCAAAATCCTGACAAAACCAGAATGGAGACTCAAAACAGAAATTGAATTGGTGGAATATATTAAAACATATTTCTTTACAAGCTTGAGTTGTGGGCTAAAATTCATACTGCTACATGTTCATTAATCTTGCCTTCCTCACCCCATAAAATGTGCTCAGGCTGGGCATGGTGGCTCACGCCTGTAATCCCAGCACTTTGGGAGGCCGAGGCAGGCAGATCACCAGAGGTCAGGAGTTCGAGACCAGCCTGGCCAACATGGTGAAACCCTGTCTCTACTAAAAATACAAAAATTAGCTGGGCGTGGTGGCAGGTGCCCATAGTCCCAGCTACTTAGTAGGCCGAGGCAAGAGAATCACTTGAACCCGGGAGGCGGAGGTTGCAGTGAGCCAAGATCGTGCCACTGCATTCCAGCCTGGGTGACAAAAGCAGACTCCATCTCAAAAAAAAAAAAAAGTGTGCTCAACCCCCACCAGTCCACTGAAAGTTACCATGGTAAGGTCATCAATGACCCTCATTTCCCAACCTACTTTTCAGTTCTCAGACCTTATTCCACAAACTTTTCAACCAAGAAGTTCTAATGATAGAATTGTTCACTCCTTCCTGCTTAAAACTTTTTCCTTATCCCCTTTGGGATACAATTGCATCCTAGTCTTCCTTTTATTTCTCTGAATATGCCTTCTCAATTTCATTTGTGGGCTTCTCATTTTGCAGTTGCTCCCATAAGTACTAATCTTCCTCAGAGTCCAGCCATCAGTCCCTTCAGGTTTAAATTATTTCTGATTATGATTGCATATTTTCAATTGCCAAATATACTAATACATTTATTAATAACTACCAGATCTACCAGATCTATATCTCCAGCCCAGGCTTTCCTCCTGACATCAACCCTATGTATAATAGATATCCACTTACATGTCACACAAACATCCTAAACCCAGGTTTTTTTGTTCTTTTTTTTTTTTTTTTTAGACAGGGTCTCACTCTGTCACCAGGCTGGAGTGCAGTGGCACAATCTCGGCTCACTGCAACCTCCGCCTCCCAGGTTCAAGTGATTCTCCTGCCTCAGCCTCCCGAGTAGCTGGGACTACAGGTGCACACCACCATGCCCAGCTAATTTTTGTATTCTTAATAGAGACAGGGTTTCACCATGTTGACCAGGATAGTCTTGATCTCTTGACCTTGTGATCCGCTGGCCTTGGCATCCCAAAGTGCTGGGATTAACAGGCATGAGCCAATGCGAACTGGCCTTCTTTTTTTTTTTTTTTTTTTTTAAGAGACAGAGTCTTGCTTTGTCACCCAGGCTGGAAGGCAGTGGCACAATCACGGCTCACTGCAGCCTTGACCTCCTGGACTCAAGCAATCCTCCCACCTCAGCCTCCTGAATAGCTGGGATGATAGGCATGTACCACTACACCTGACTAATTTTTCATTTTTTGTAGAGACAGTGTCTTGCTATGTTGCCCAGGTTGGTCTTGAACTCCTAGCCTCACACGATCCCCTCGCCTTGGCCTCCCAAAGTGCTGGTATTGCAGGCATGAGCCACCATGTCCAGCCCCGCATTTCTAAAAGTGAATTTGCCATCTTTCTCTCACTTCACTCCCCTTCACCTGCATTCCTTTTCTATACCAATCAAGGTCCTGGCAGGAAATGGATGACACACTCTGTAAGTCATTGATGAGAGTTTAATGATAGGACCCTTTAAGAATCCAGTAAAGTTTCTCTCTAGCAGCAGAAGAAGCAGAAACAGAGAGGAAGCTGTTATCCCCCAACTGGGTCAGGGAAGCATTTGAGACCTGGATGTGGAGGAAGGGCTCTCTGTTAGAAGGTGTGGCCTCTCTCTGATCTCTTGCTAATACCACTCATTGGCCAAACCCAACCTGAAACCAGGGATAAAAAGAGCCCAGGGATTCGGTCTCTTGAGGTCAGCTTCTTGGGCAGAAAGTAGTGAGGTAAAGGGTGGAGAATAGTTCTATTGGGGCAAATGGACAAAAACCAGCCTATCTCAATGAATGGCAACACCAAGGACCCAGTCTTGCTTGCCAGGAACCTGGGAATTTGTCTCAACTCCTCGCTCTTACTTACTCCATTATATGCAATCAGTCACCAAATCCTGTCTATGTTGCATTCTGAATGTTTCTCACATTTACCTCCTCCTTGCCGTTCCCTACCAGTGCTCCCAGCTCAGGTCCTTATCTCTTTTCACCTTGATAAGTGCACACATTTCTTATCTAGTCTCTCAGCTTCTAGCATCAAACCATCCCTTTACCATCCCTTCACACTGCTACTAAAGTTTTCTTTCCAAAAGGCTAAGATCTAAGTGCTTTAATGACAAGACCATTCTTTTCTCCCAAATTTCTATTTTTTTTTGTTTTAGTTTTTAAATGACAAAAGTCATATACCATAACTCCCAAGGAAAGCCAAGCTGGACTGAAGTGTATCAAATAAAATGTAAAATTTTCTAAAGAGGTAACCGTTGTTAATAATTTTGTTATGTTTTTCCAGATAGATTTTTTTAAAATGTTTTTATTTTGAAATAATTAGGCTTACAGGTAGTGGCAAAAAAAAAAAAAAAAAAGTAAAGGGAGTCCGCTGTACCCTTCACCCAGTATCTGAGTTGAATTGAGTGTGCCAAAAACATACGCTCGAGTCCTAATCCCAGGAACCTATGAATGTCACCTTATCATTTCAGATATAATCAAGTTGAAATGAGGTCATACTGGATTAGGGTGGGCATCAATCCAGTGGCTCGTGTTCTTGTAAGAAGAGGGATATTTGGACATAGGTACACAGAGAACACCACATGACAACAGAGGCCGACATTGAAGTACTGTATGTACAAGCACAGGAACACCAGCATACAAGGATTTGATAGAAACCACTAGAAACTGGGGAAGAAGCCAGAAACGATCCTCCTCTAGATGCTTCAGAGAGCATGGATCTGCCAATACCTTGATTTCAGACTTCTAGCCTGCAGAACTAAGAGAGAACAAATTCCTATTATTTTGAGCTATCCGGTTTGTGATAATTTATTACAGCAGCCCTAGGAAACTAATACACTCGGCTTGCCCCAATGGTAATATTTAGTATAACTATAGTACAATATCAAAGCAAGGAAATTGACATTAGTACCATACTGTTAACTAGACCACAGGCCCTGTGTAGATTTCACCGCTGATTGATTTTTTAATCACACAAGTGCATACACAGACACACATGTCTCTTGCTTTTTAAATTATTTGTTCTCAGTTTAGATAAAGTTTAACCATTAGTAACATGACAAAGGATTTTTTTAATAAAGCTTCAAATTAAAAAAAAAGACTAACCAATGGAAAAATGGATTAAAATACATAAATAAGCAATTCATAGAAGGAAAATTATGAACAGTCAATGAACACATGAAAAGATGCTGAGCTACACTAATGATCAGGGAAACATAAAATCACAATGAAATGCTTTTCACCATTAAATTGATACAAATGTAGAGATTGATAACAGAAAGAGACCCTCATACTCAGAGAGGTGGGATGTAAATTGGTACAAAATGTTTTAGAGGACAATTTAGCAATATACATAAAATTTAAGGTGTTTGTACTATTTGACCAGCAACTGCACTTCCAGGACTCTTGGAAATACTTACACATATGCAGAAAAATATTTAATAGGACATATTACTTTGAATAGGGAAGAATTAGACAAACTAAATGTTGACTAATGGGGGAATGGTTAGATTAATTGTGATATGCCCATAATATGTAGCCATTAAAAGAATGAAGTAGACAATCACATATTGTAAGTGAATAAGGAAAATAATAAACAATAGGTATTAGAGAGGCTGTGTTTAAAGAGTGTATGCTCTATCTGAATTCATAATCCTGGCTCCACCACTTACTAGTTCTGGAAACCTGGATAGTTTAAATATTTACTTAGCCTTCGGTTTTCTTATAGGAAAATTAGAGTAGTAATGTTAGTACCCATCTCAGAGGATTCTGTTGTCAGCAGAAATGTGTTAGTTTACATAAGCAATATTTCAAAATGGTATCCGGTACATAGCTATTACTCAGTAAATGTTAGCTACTACCATTATTATTGTTTATATAAAATATATATATTTTTACCAGTATCTTATATATCTATATGTATTTATATCTATCTGTATATATGGAAGGATACATATAAAATTGTGATGCCTTCTGGAAAGGGGTATAACTTTTTTCATATGTCTCCTATCTTTCTGAGAAGGAGTATAACTTTCATCTTCAATAATACATACTTCTGGGCCGGGTGCGGTGGATCACGCCAGCACTTTGGGAGGCCGTGGCGGGTGGATCACAAGGTCAGGAGATCGAGACCATCCTGGCTGACATGGTGAAACCCCGTCTCTACTAAAAATACAAAAAATTAGCCGGGCGTGGTGGCGGGCACCTGTAGTCCCAGCTACTTGGGAGGCTGAGGCAGGAGAATGGCATGAACCCGGGAGGCGGAGCTTGCAGTAAGCAGAGATTGCACTACTGCACTCCAGCCTGGGTGACAGAGCGAGACTCCGTCTCAAAAAAAAAAAAATAGATAATAATAATACATACATACATACTTCTGTAGTTGACCTTTGTTATTGTTCTTGACCAATCAACTTCTGAACCACCTTGCTTTGGGGAATCCCCCACCTTATGAAGCAGATTTTGTATTCCATTATAAATATTGAAAATGGAAGAAATGTGTTTTTTCATACTCCCTTGTTATCGGGTCCTGGGCTCCACCAGTTAGCTGCATATAGAATTCATTCTGGCCCAGGAGAGGCAGCAGCTCAGTGGAAACTGTGGGGTCTCCAGAGGGAGACATGACAGTAATTGTAGCATCAGTGTTAGCAGAACCAGCTGTGTGGACGGTGGGGGAAAGGTGAGTAGTTCTTTGAAGGACTGGTCCCTCATATTATGATTTTCAAGCCTTCCCAGAGGATCTGTGAGCTGTCCACTCCCTGTTCAGTAAAAACTGTTTTCCTAGATAAGCCAGAGTTTGTTTCTTTACTAGACACTAAAAACACTGATTTTTGAAATGAAAAGCCTCCCTAACTTATTATTATGAATAATTTCAAACATATAGAAAAGTTAAGGCCAGGCACGGTGTCTCACGCCTGTAATCCCAGCACTTTGGGAGGCTGAGGCAGGCGTATCACCTGAAGTCAGGAGTTCGAGACCAGCCTGGCCAACATGGTGAAACCTTGTCTCTACTAAAAATACAAAAATTAGCCAGGCGTGGCGACATGTGCCTGTAGTCCCAGATACTCGGGAGGCTGAGTCAGGAGAATCTCTTGAACCCAGGAGGTAGAGTGCAGTGAGCAGAGATAGTGCCACTGCACTCCAGCCTGGGCAACAGAGCATGACTCCATCTCAAAAAAAAAAAAAGTTAAAAGAGTAGTAAAATGAATAACTGCATATCATCCATCCAGATTCAACAATTAGTAATATTTTTATATATTTGCCTTATATGTATGTTTGTGTGCTTTCTGAACATTTGAGAAAGTTGCAAACACCTAGGAAAATGAATAATAATTTCATAATATCTTCCTATAAATGAGCCATATTCAGAGTTCACCAAATGTCCCAAGAATGCCTTTTTTATCTATTTTTTTCAAGCCAAGGTCCAATAAAATACATTGTATTTGGTTATGTCTGCTCAGTGTCTTGTAATAAAAAATGTAATTGAAAAAAGGGCAATATATGGGTTTTGATCTTTTATTGTCTTCTACTTAGTGACTGAGTAGATTAATATGGGAGCTAACAGTTACTTATTACTAATCAAATGCCAGGCTTATGTGAGGCGATGGGCATATCAATATGAATAGGACAAGGTCCCTAACCTCAAGGAGGCGATGGGCATATCAATATGAATAGGACAAGGTCTCTAACCTCAAGGATATAGTCCCTCTGTGTTCCTCCAAATGCACACAATTTATCTGCCTCACTTTTGCCCAGCTTAAGGAACAGAAACGGACGGGGATATTAGCGTTAATCATTTTCTTGACCTAGTGCCACAGTATGGAGTAGGAGAGCTGAGCAGGGCTGGATGCACACGTCTAAGGAGTTATCTATCATCCACTTCTTTACACATCTAAGGAGTTATCTATCCTCTTTCTTTCTTCTCTCTCTCTCTCTCTCTCTACCTCCTTCCCCCTCCCTCCTCCCTCCCTGCCTCCCTCTCTTTTTTTGGCTGGAGGGCAGTGGCACGATCTCGATCTCGGCTCACTGCAACCTCCACCTCCCGGGTTCAAGTGATTCTCCTGCCTCAGCCTTCCGAGTAGCTGGGATTATAGGCGTGAGCCACCACACCTGGCTAATTTTTGTATTTTTAGTAGAGACGGGGTGCCATCATGTTGAGCAGCCTGGTCTGGAACTTCTGGCCTCAAGTGATTCGCCCACCTCCGCCTCCCAAAGTGCTGGGATTACAGGTGTGAGCCACTGAGGCTGGCTCATCTACTACTTTGAAAAGCCCATACAAACTCATGGCCATCAGGGACTGTCACAGGTTGATTCCAGTCTAACTGTCCAGCCGCAACTCTCACCACTTCCTGTTACAGAACTCAAACTAGACCCACAATTTCTAGAATATGTTTCATGTTTTCCCATCCCTACGTCGTACTGAATTACTTTCCCCCATCTGTATCTTCAAACTCCTATCAATACTGCAAGGCCCAAGATATATGCCACAAGCTTAGTGAAAATGCTCTAGAATCTACTTCTAACTAGAAGAAAGCTTTCCTTCTTTTGTGCTCTAGCTTGCATATCTCTTATTTTGCTTGTAAGTTTTATTTTGTATTATCACATTGTGCTGTTTCCCTAAGTAACTCATTGAAGGGAAGGACTTTATTTTAGTACTTATACTACTCATCACATAGTAAGTATTCAGTCGGTTTTTGTGAATTTGATTATAACTAATCATACAACTTTGAAAGTAATTAGAGAGTAACTGGCAAAACACCAGGCATTAAAAAGAATTCTAAAGAAAATGAGATTCACATGGCTGATTCTGTATACCAGGCCCTCTTCGCCTTAAACATGGCTTTCTCAGGAAAGCCTTCTGAGATGTTCCCAAACTAAGGCATATTTCCATTATAATCTTTCAGCACCACATACTTTTCTTTATTCACATTTCATAATTATATACCTTTTTGGGGCCGGGCACGGTGGCTCACACCTGTAATCCCAGCACTTTGGGAGGCCGAGGCAGGTGGATCACAAGGTCAGGAGTTCAAGAACAGCCTGGCCAATGTGGTGAAAGCCTGACTCTACTAAAAATAAAAAAATTAGCCAGGCATGGTGGTGGGCGCCTGTATTTCCCAGCTACTTGGGAGACTACGGCAGGAGAATCGATCGCTTGAACCCAGGAGGTAGAGGTTGCAGTGAGCCAAGATCACGCCACTGCACTCCAGCCTGGACAACAGAGCAAGACTCCATCTCAAAATTTAAAAAAATTTAAAAAAAAACTTTTTTGGTGATTATTTTATTAATATATTTAGCATTAGACAGAAGATTCTGTGAGGTAAAGAGTCATATTTGATTTTGTCCATCATTATGGCCCCAGCACCAAAGTGAGTAGCATCTCACAGTATTATTTTCAAATATTTTATAAATATTTGTTGAATAAATTAATGAATAAATGAGTGGATATTGTATAATCATGGTGCCCAAGAACCAAAAGCTCGTAAAGGAAAATACTAATAACTATGTAAGAAATAGTCCCAGCAACGTGACCAGACCCTTAAGCTACGAAAGGACACTTGTACATCATGTTGTGTATAGTGTCATTCTTTATTGATGATTGTAAGTTTTAAAAATTACATGTGGGCTGGGCACAGTGGCTCACGCCTGTAATCCCAGCACTCTGGGAGGCCAAGGTGGGCGGACTGCCTGACCTCAGGAGTTCAAGACCATCCCAGGCAACATGGTGAAACCCCATGTCTACTAAACTGCAAAAAATTAGTCGGGCATGGTGGTGTGTGCCTATAATCCCAGCTACTCGGGAGGCTGAGGCAGGAGAATCACTTGAGCCCGGGAGGCAGAGGTTGCAGTGAGCCAAGATCACACCACTGCAGTCTAGCCTGGGAGACAGAGTGAGATGCCGTCTCAAAAAAAAAAAAAATTAAAAAGTTTCATGTGAATTAATCTAATGGAATATCATTTTAATACAAGTATTTTTATAAACCCACTGCTACATAGTCTAAGAATAGTAGGCAGTTTTTTAAAAATGCTTTTCCTGGCCAGATGCTGTGGCTCAGGCCTGTAATCCCTACACTTTAAGAGGCCAAAGCAGGAGGATTGTTTTGAGCCCAGGAGTTTGTGTAGAGACCCTGTCTCTACACAAAAATTAAAAATTAGCTGGGCAGGCCGGGCACAGTAGCTCATGCCTGTAATCCCAGCACTTTGGGAAGCTGAGACGGGCAGATCACCTGAGGTCAGGAGTTTCGCGACCAGCCTGGACAACATGGTGAAACCTTATCTCTACTAATAATACAAAAATTAGCCGGGCATGGTAACGGGTGCCTGTAATCCCAGCTACTCAGGAGGCTGAGGCAGGAGAATCGCTTGAACCCGGGAGGTGGAGGCTGCAGTGAGCTAATTCGCACCACCGAACTCCAGCCTGGGCAACAGAGTGAGACTCTGTCTAAAAAAAAAAAAAAAATTAGCTGGGCATGGTGCACATGCCTGTAGTCCCAGCTATTCAGGAGGCTGAGGTGGGAGGATCGCTTGAGTCCAGGAGTTCCAGGCTTCAGTGAGCTACGATCATGCCACTGCACTCCAGTCTGGGCAACAGTGCAAGACTTTGTCTCTAAAGAAAAAAAAAATGTTTTTCCATATATATGTATTTAAGTATGTGTGTACTATTACTATATACATATATAATGTGTATGTATTATACACACATATATGTTTATATATTATATATATGCACATGGCTTCTTCAATTGGTTTATTCAAAGTTTTTTTTTAATTTGCAAGAAAATGATCTTGTAGGCCAGAGTAATTATTAACACTGTGTCTAATTTGAAGAAAGTAAAATGGAGATATAGCAATTGTCTGATTCATGGGATAAAGACATTCAGTTGACAATATAAGCCTAAAACTAAAGGTATCTAGATTACCAGTTTATTTACATTGATCATATTGTCTGGATGATTTATAAATCTTCATTTTCATTGTGGGGAGAGCAAGCATAGATTTTTATTCTCTAAAACTTATCATTAAAAAGAATGAATAAATTCCTTTTCAATACTTTTAAAACTCTTCAAAACAGTCTGACACCTTAGACTCCAGTACAACTACTGTCTTTGGCACAAGCTGAGATCACATGGTGTTAACATTTCTTATTAAGGAAAAAGTCCTTCTGTATGTTTTCTATTTTCATTTCTGACACTTAATTAGAATTAATAAAGTTACCCCATTTATAGATTGCAAGAGCTGCCAGGAGTCCTGAAACTGTACTAGAAAGATGGATGAAATTTGTGACTTTTCTCACATGAGACCAAGTGAGATCAGACATATTAATTCTACACATGTAGCTGAGAATGTGTGTGCCTCCGTGTCTGTGGCAAAGAAGCTCAGTGAACTTAAGGCGTGATCTTTGGCAGCTTTATGCAGCATGATGGGCATGAAGAAAAATGTTTATAAAAGAACACATTTGAATCCTTGGTACCTCTCGGTGTGATCACTACATTGTCAAACAGTAAAGGAATGTCTAAGCACAAATAAATTATGCATTCCCTGAATGAAGTCTGCTCCCTGGTGTGTAATTACTGGATGTGTACTTGGGAGTTCCAAGTTTGAGCAAGTGTTTCATTTCTCACTTAAGGGATTCAGCACACCTCCTGGCACCCACCATACAGTAAACAACAGCTTCCAGATGCCAAAAGCACACTCCTGCCAGCAGCCAGCAGATGGCTGTGTGGATGGCAGACAGGATGCCCTCACACACTGCTCCATCCTGCTGACTGGCTTGTTTTATTTATTTATTTATTTGATACCTACAAAACAAGTCACATAGTTAATTTCTGAGCTTGGAAGTGTTAGAATAAAATAAGTAGCCATTAACACACCACCCAAACTTAAGAAGAATGACAACATTATCTATTTTTTTCACCTACCTATATATGTTTCTCTCCTTTACCTCACAGAATCTTCTCATTTTTCTGCCGCCTTTTCAGAGGTAACTGAAATCTTGATTTGTTTGCATTTGTTTTTCCTATGTTTTAAAACAATGGTTTTAGTAGATAGATATAAATATATAGATATTTAAACTTTGCACTGTTTCACCTTCCTTGTTTTGTGCTTTATAAAAACAACATATTTAAAATAGTCTTCTGCAACTTGATTTTGTTCACCCAAGGGTATGTTTTCAAGATTCATCTATATTGTTGCTTGTAGCTGTAGCTCACACATTCATTTTCACTGCTGTATAAAATTCTATTGTGTGAATTAGCCGGGCGTGGTGGCAGAAGCCTGTAATACCAGCTACTCGGGAGGCTGAGGCAGGAGAATCGCTTGAACCCAGGAGGCGGAGGCTGCAGTGAGCCGAGATCACGCCATTGCACTCCAGCCCGGGAGACAAGAGCGAGACTTCCTCTCAAAACAACAACAACAACAACAAAATTCTGTTGTGTGACAATAGCATGATTTATGAACTCATTCTACTGTGAATAGAACTACAAGTATTGTTGTTTGCTGTTATGAATGAGGCTGCCATGAAAGTCTCCTGTAAAGAGGTACAAGAGTTCTCCAGGAATAAGGTCTAGGAGTGGAATTGTTGAGTCTTAGAATATGCAGAAGTTCAATTTTACAAGACAGTGCCAAGCTTTTCCAAAGTGATTTTATCAACTCACATTCTCACCAGTGATATGTAAGAGTTCCTGTTAGTCCACATCCTCACCAACACTTGATATAGTCAGCCTTTACTTTTTACTAACCTAGTAAGTATAAAATAGTATCTCAGTTGGGGTCATTCCTGAGCTGTTTTCATCTTTCCCAACTCTGACCATATTCCAAGCCATCCAAGACCTGTGGATCTAGAAAAAATTAAAGGAAGTAGAGAGAGGTAGAAAGCATCATGTTGAGCCATGGAGACACAGAAATTGATCTGAAATTGAGTTGATCCCTGCAAAAGCATTTTCAGTGAGACCCAAGGTTATGTAACATGTACATTCATACCTTAAATTAATATATATGTATATTTTTGTTTCTTCCAAGTGCCAGTTAGTTTTCTAGGTCCAAGGATATCACAGTGCATGAAACAGACAAGTCCTTGCCCTCATGAGGGGACAATAAAGAAATAGATTTAGGATATAATATCAGAAAGTGAAGGCCAGTTTTGGGGCCAGATAGGCCAGTGCTCAAATTCATTCTCCACACCACACCAGACACTTGACTTCTCTGAGCCTCTTTCATCTTTTATAAACAACAGTTATCATCTTGCAGGGCTACTGTGAGAATTAGGAGCTGGTATATAAAGATTAGTATTCTCTCCTGTCTGGGGCAAGAGGATCCAAGGATCTCAAGGATGGGGCAATAGCATCTTCTAGATTGCCCCTCCTGGAGCTGGACCCACAGGACAACACTTCTCATAAATGTTGACAGAAGCCTGTTCACCTCTGCCAACCAGCACTAGCCTGTTCATTGCATCCTCATAACTACTGATCACCTTCTCCCACTTCCTTTAACGGACATCTTGATTCCAATCCTGCTTTTTTTCCCTCTCTGTGAAGCTGTAATCTTTGGTATCAAGCTGTGTTCTTTCCAGCCACACCATCCTCCTTGCTATTTTTCAGATGTTGTAGATAATCTTATTTACGTACTGATTTTTAACAAACCGACTAGTAAAAATATATATGAGTCAATCTGGGAAAGTTGAATGTTAGTTAATATTCAATGATATTAAGGAATTATTGACAATTTTTGAAGTGTGACAGTGATGTGGCATGTCAAAGGAAAGTGCTCCTGTCTTTAGGAATACATACTGAATTTTTTTTTGGATGATATTATATGATGTCTTGATTTGCTTTAAAATAATCCAGTGGGGGTGTTGATTAATTGGTTGGCAGTATAGCAGCAGATGAATGGATACATGGGGTTCCTTATACAATTCTGTCTACTTTTGTATAGTTTAAATTTTTCCATAATAAAAAGTAAGAAAAAATGATGCAAATATGCTTCTGCCTTAGGGCCTATGCACATGCTGTCACCTCTGCCAGGAATATTGTTCTTCCAGGTTGCCACATAGTGTGCTTCCTTAATTTATTCTGGCCTCTGCTCAAATGTCACCTCTTAAGAGGGGCCTTCTCCGACTACCTTACACAAAACAGCATCCCTCTTATCCTGTTTACTTTTCTAGTCCTTTATCCTACTTACTTACTCTTTTTTCTAGTCCTTTATCCTGCTTTTTTTAAATAATACTCTTCATTAACTGATATTTGTCATCTTTGCGATCGTAAAAATTATAGGCCCCATTCGGAGAGGGACTTAATTTGTTTCTTGCACTGCAATGTCTCCATGCCTTGAACAGTGTGCTGCATGTAAGAAAAACTCAAAAAATGTTATTTAAATAAATAGGCCGGGCGCAATGGCTCATGCCTGTAATCCCGACACTTTGGGAGGCCAAGGCGGGCAGATCACCTGAGGCCAGGAGTTCCAGACCAGCCTGGCCAACATGGCGAAACCCCATCTCTACTAAAAATACAAAAATTAGCCGGGTGTGGTGGTGCATGCCTGTAATGCCAGCTGCTGAGCAGCTGAGGTACAAGAATCACTCGAACCCAGGAGGCAGAGGTTGCAGTGAGCCAGGATTGTGCCACTGCACTCCTGCCTGGGTGACAGTGAGATTCCATCTCAAAAAAAAAAAAAAAATATATATATATATATGTATAATTTAAATGAATGAATGTACATGTTATACAGCTCAGAGTCCTCATCAAAGCCAAATCAGTAAACCTGCTATATTGAGTTACTCTATCTGCCACCAATTGATTGTCCAGAGTCTGTCTGACTCATGCGTTTAGGGATGGGAGAAAGCACTTTGCAAATGCTAAGGCCCTATATAGTTTAGTTTTCATTATTTCCAGTCCAGTTTGGAGGGACTAAAAGAATTGTCAGATTACTACACTGAGGTCAGCAGTGTAGTAATGTCTTAGAAAAGCTTCCATTTTAGAATAGGCTCTTCTCGAGGTCACTGCCTAGAAACAACTGTACTGTGGCTAACTTAACCCTTAGAAACATAGAACATTGGCCAGGGGCGGTGGCTCACGCCTATAATCCCAGCACTTTGGGAGGCCGAGGAAGGCAGATCACTTAAGGTCAGGGGTTCGAGACCAGCCTGGCCAACATGGTGAAACCCCGTCTCTACAAAAATACAAAAATTAGCTGGGCATGGCAGCAGGCGCCTGTAGTCACAGCTACTCAAGAGGCTGAGGCAGAAGAATTGCTTGAACCCGAAGGCAGAGGTTGCAGTGAGCCGAGATCGTACCACTGCACTCTAGCCTCGGTGACAGAGCAAGACTCCATCTCAAAAAAAAGAAAGAAAAGAAACATAGACCATCATGTTATTCCACAAATGAACACAGGCTTCTCCTTTTCCTGGACATAATATAACTGCCCTATCCTTTGAAAAACGTAATTTTGGATTGCATTTCCAATAGTACTGAATTTACTCTGAGCTCCTTACAGCTGCAGACTGATCCTTTTCTGTACCATTGTGCACATTAACACAAGACTGACCTGGCCTCTGCCCGTGGAACCAAGGAAATCAGCATCCCGTCTTCACTCAGCAAACCAAAGGGACTTGAAGGACGTATGCCTCTCATTCTCCCTCCTTACCTTCCCTGCTCTGTTTAATGTGATATCAGTCATTTCTGGACACTTGCCAGATCTTGACTTCTGGGACTTTGGTTCTGCTCCCCACACCGGTTTCAAGGAGTTAATAGTAAAGACAGCTACTGATTTAGAAGGCTTTAGAGCTGCCCATTCCACAAAGACTTGCCCACAGGCAGAAGGTAAACAACTCCAACAAAACTTCAGTGTTTTTTTATGAAGCAACAAATTTTGAAAATCATGAGTTTATTTAAGGATTTCAAATGTAGTGTATTTTACTTCAGACAAATAAACATACTTCTCCAAGATTCTATGAACAATCATATTGCAGGCATTACATATAACACATATGTAGCATATGTATATGATATCAAAGACCTTTCTTATCTAAACTATACTCATAATGGAGTGTTACATAATTACTATAATGATGCATAAAAGGAGAATATGATTTTAATATGAGAAATTCTTAAACTTACTAAAGTTTGTGTAAATAGTGCTAAATGAGCATTTTCAAAATGTTTGCTTTATATCTGCCTTCAAGGAGATTTTTCTGCTTAGAAAAGACCAAGTAGGCCCAGTATTAGGTTCCCACATTTTGTAAATCTGACTAATGTGGACTGTGGCTCTTTTCACAAATAAATTTTTATGGAAAAGAGCCTGGAATTCTGGGAAGGGCCACTCCCATGCAGTAATGATGCCTTATTTTCAATAGTTTCCATGAGAAAGGAAGCATAAAACAAAAAATACACATAGCATGACCGACTTCTGCCTCATGCAAAGGTGAGGCCAGGAGGAGACAATGCAAGAACTGAGCAAGAAAGCAAAAATGTTCACCACAGTGGGCCTTAGGGGAGGCCAGGAGTGCTTTCAATCTCCTTCTAAGAATAAAATGTCACACCTCACATTAAAATGAAATCATTTTTCACAGACTTTGTATGGAGAGGCCTTTCCCTTTGTCTAATGACTAGTTCTTAAAATGAATTCTGAGCTTGGGGGACAGCCAGTGATGAAGAAACATTGATCACTGGAGGACGGGAGAAGCAAACTCATGGAAGGATGGCTGTAGTAAATAGTTCATCATTATCAAGATGTATGATATAGAAGTCTATTTTGTGCTTCACTACCCTAGCCTAGATGAATTCATGAAATTGTATGTATATTATATTTAATTTATCATGAAATATTTCAGACTTTCAAAAAAGCATAAAGAATAATAAATGCCAGGCATAGTGGCTCACACCTGTAGTCCCAGCACTTTGAGAGGTTGAGGCAGGCAGATCACTGGAGCCCAGGAGTTTGAGACTGGCCTGGGCAACATGACAAAACCCTATCTCTACAAAAAATACAAAAATTAGCCAGATGTGGTGGCATGTGCCTGTAGTCCCAGCTACTCAGGAGGCTGAGGTGGGAGGATCACCTGAGCTAGGGAGGTTGAGGCTGCAATGAGCCATGATCATGCCACTGCATTCCAGCCTGGGTGCAAGAGTGAGACCCTGTGAAAGAAAGAAAGAGAGAAAGGGAGAAAGGGAAAAAGGGAGGAAGGGAGGGAAGGAAAAGGGGAAGGGAAGGGAAGGGCAGGGAAAGGAAGGGAAGGGAGAAAAGAAAGAGTAATAAATTCTCATGAACCCTTAATCCATCTTAAAAATAAAACCTTATCAAAACTTTATCAATATTGACTTTATCAATCAATCTTTCAGAGTATTGACTTATTGATAAAGAAGGGCTCTGTGTACTCCCAGAGATTGCATTCCCCTCCATACAGGGATAACTAATATTCTGAATTGAGTGTTTATCATCCCATGTGTTTCTTGAAAATTATATTTCATGCCAACTCTGTGGAAGTTATTAACATACTCTTTCAATTTAAAGCTCTAGGGCACTTTTTAAATTGTGCTAAAAATATCTCTCATTGCTATAATAAGTTTATATTAAAAATATTTTTAGCATAAAATGAAGCTTTCCACCATACATTATTTTAAATGAGTCAACTAATTGGTAGTAAATATCCCAAGTCAAATAATAGTTGCAAGAGATCTGGGGACTCTGAGGATTAAATTTATGGTTTTCATTCTACCATATTTTAAACTGAAAAAAAAATCAGCCATTCAAAAGTAGAAGGAACCCTTGATTACCTGGAGCTTGGCCAATGCTCATGGAATATCTAATCAATGGACAGTAGCCAGAACCAAACACTTTAAAGGGGCTAATGACTAAACAGTGTATTCTATACTCTCTAAGGGGAGCAAAATTCCCAATGAACTCAGCCTTGTGTTTGACCATCCCTACTTATAACTTAGGCATGTTTCAGAGTTGTGTGAATGCTTGTTAACCAGCAGGGCACCCTTTAATAAATCTCTGTACTGTTATAGTCACCCAAGAGGCTTTGCCTACTAGAAGCCAACTGCTCTTGCCAGAGTGGGAGAAAAATTGATACACTTAGAAAGGGTATTGTTTTAGGCTGGGTAAGGAAAATATGAATGGGTCACACAAAGCACAGTTTATTTTGTGAAGGGCCGGGTCAATGACACAATGACGGAAACTGTCAGCAAGGAAAGCTACAGTCTAGCACTTGGTTTGTTGGGCTTTAGTTCCTAGGACAAAGACCTTGTATTCTTAATACAAGTCCACAATGTTTTGTCTGAAATTTTGAAATCCAAAGAACTCTTGAAATTGACAATTTGTCATATCTCAAAATGCCAAAACCTTGGACTAGTCTGAACTCATTTAGTGGCAAATTATCACCTGAACTGATGTCAGGCTATTTAAAATCTATTTAAACCATTTACTGTTACTATTTATACATTTCACTGCAGAAATATGAATGTGTTTGATTAGAAGACTTTGCTCCAGACTCCCTGGAGGTGCTATAATATATAGAATTACTATTCTAAAGTCCAAAAACTTCTGAATCTTAGAATATGGTTGGCCCTACAGGTTTCAAATAAGAGATTGTGGAACTAGAATCGCTATCACTAATTTAAGAGATACCGTAGGCTGCAGCTATTAGCCTTTTGACTATCTCATTTGATTCTCACATCAACCCTATGACTGAGATAAACATATTTCTGCACCTTTGCTGTTCAGTATATATTTCTGCACCTATATGTTCAGTATATACATATAACCGAAAGTTAAATAAGATTTTTCCTGTCACCTCTTGATTGCTGGGAAAACCCCAAAGCTGAGAACATTGGATCCTAAAACTGAGGAAAATAGGTGCTTGTACTTCCCATTCATAATTCTCAAGAAATCCTTTAGCTGTGTGGTGAGTTCCCTCTCTTCACCACGCTTCTTTTGTGCTTCTTCCTTCTCCATTCCCAACCCAAGCCACATGAGGAGGACAGTAAGAGAATCTCTGGTAAATTTGTACATTTGGAAAGGGCCTGTGAGGAGAGAGTCATTCCCCGGCTGAAGTTATAATTATGCCCTGATATTGCTGATTTATCCATTATGCCCATTTGAGCATAAGGAAAAAGAAATCAGGGAGTGACAACAAGGAAGGGAGACAGGACAGTTTAGGAGCAGGCTGCTCCCTTGCTGAGGTAGTAGGACAGCTGCACTCAAAGAGGGCACCATGTTAGCCTTAGCTGGTAAAACACAAATAGGTCAGTGGAAACAGTTGTGTGTTTTGGTTTTATTTTTTTGTATGAGTAATTTGTCAGATTTCTCTTGGGCTTGGCAAGGATCTGAGTGGACCCTGATGAAGACAGATAGGCTTGAGCCATCTTGGAGGTGCCCCGCCCAAGAGGGCTGCCTGTGGGGCAAAAGGACCCAAGATCAAGGGGCGGCAGGACTGGAAAAGAGGGATAGGAGAGGGGGTTGGTGGATTTTAAAAAGCATCAGGCTAGCTTCTCTCTAGTCAGAGAACTAAACAGTGGGGAGGACCCCTATAGCAGTCCCCAGAGAACCCTACATATGCTCCACTGGATGCCTGTTTTGCAGAGACCATCTACAGCCAAGAGGGGACAACACAGCAAGGTTAAGTAAAAAGATGTTCGCCATTTTTCATTGCCCTCTCCCTTGCAACGGTACATGGAGGAGAAAAGGACCCAGGAGTGTGTGTGTGCAGATGGGTCGCCCTTTTAAGCTTCTCACATTTTGAAATCCACTGTTAACTCCATGCCCACCCCCATCCCATCACATCCTTTCCTCTACCCTTGGCAGAGAAACTCTCTGGCTCAGACATGAACAAAAGAACATTGTTATCTCAGCACAGTAAAGCAAGCTGGAATTTCCCAAAGGAATATGATTGAAGATAAAAGAACGTAAAGAAAACACAAAGTTCATAAGTACAGTGAGGCTGAGAAAGCACAGATTTCTCCTCCTACAATAACCAAACAGCACTAGGCTCTCACCAGTGGTGTCCACACCCTCCTGAGAATCCCATCCAGTGAAACTGTATCTCAGATCACCCAGATACTTTCACTCCACATCCTTCTTAGTCTTCATGCCTTCTTAGAGGGAGGTTTGAAGGACATCCTGGCTGGATAATAGGTGATACACACATGGATAAAGAAATAGTACTGTTTCTTAGCTTTTGAGTCTGATAGACCTGAGTGACCTTATGAAAATTACTTCACCTCTCTGAGCTTTTTATCATCCATATAGCACCTATTTCATAGTTATGAAACATTCACATAAGTGCCTGCATATGATAAATACTCAAAAAAGTTTCCTATCTGCAATGGACTGAATATATACCCCCCGCTCCACACCCTACATTCATATATTGAAATCCTAGCCCCTAGTGTGATGATATTAGGAGGAGGGACCTTTGGGAGGTAATATGTCATAAGGGTGGAGCCCTCATGAATGGCATTAGTGCCCTTATAATGCCTTCAGAGAGCTCTCTTGTCCTCTTTCTGCCTTGTGAGAGTCCATTGAGAAGTTGGCAGTCTGCAACCTGGAAAAGGGCCATCCCGGAATCAACCATGCTGGCACCCTGATCTCAGACTTCCAACCTCCAAAACTCCATCAAGTAAATCTCTGTTGCTTCTAAGCCATTCAGTCTATGACACTTTGTTGCAGCAGCCCTAACTGACTAAAATGCTATCATCATCATTATTATTACTAGTATTAATGATATCATCATGGGAAGACACCACCTGGCTCTGTCTTCCTTCTCTCTACATTTATATGTATTAATTTCCTCATTCTTTCTCACATTCCTCCTACCCTCATGGGTAGGTAAAGTTTATTTCTTTTTCCTTTAAACTGATCGCCCTGTTGATTGAATAAACTATATCATAGATTTGTTGGAATAAGCTATATCAAACTCATCAATCCACCCCTAGGCGAAGCTTGGCTTCTTTACCTACAGTGCTAGCCTGGCATCTGGACTTTAGTATAATGACACAATATTACATCCCAGGTGATAAGGTTTGGCTCTGTGTCCCACCCAAATCTCACGTCAAATTGTAATTCCTAATGTTAGAGGAAGAACCTGGTGGGAGGTGATTCCATCATAGGGGTGGATTTCCCCCTTGCTGTTCTTGTGACAGTGAGTGAGTTCTCACAGGATCTGGTTGTTTAAAAGTGTGTAGCAAGGCCGGGTGCGGTGGCTTATGCCTGTAATACCAGCTGTTTGGGAGGCTGAGGCGGGTGGATCATCTGAGGTCAGGAATTTGAGACCAGCCTGGCCAACATGGTGAAACCCCGTCTCTATTAAAAATACAAAAAATTAGCTAGACGTGCTGGCGGGCACCTGTAATCCCAGCTACTTGGGAGGCTGAGGCAGGAGAATCGCTTGAACCCAGGAGGCAGAGGTTGCAGTGACCCAAGATCGCGCCATTGCACTCCAGCCTGGGTGACAAGAACGAAACTCTGTCTCAAAAAAAAAAAATGTGCAGCACTTCCCCTTTTGCTCTCTCTCTTCTGCTCCAATGTGTAAGGACATGCTCACTTCCCTCTCACCTTCTGCCCATGATTGTAAGTTTCCTGAGGCCTCCCAACCAAGCTTCCTGTACAGCCTGTGGAACTGTGAGTCAATTACACCTCTTTTCTTCATAAATTACCCAGTCTCAGGTAAATCTTTATAGCAGTGCAAGAATGGACTAATACATCAGAACTAGCTAAACATTTCTATTTCATGTTTAAAGGATATCTTTATTTTCCAAACCCCAGTGGTGAACCTCCTCGAGGCCAGCCATTCATCACATGTTCCCCGACTCATATGGCTCATGCTTGAGCCAGGTAAACCACAGCCTCTTCACTGCCAGCCAGGCATCAGACAAATCCAGGCTCAAACCTGGGCTCAGTACGAAATTACTAATAGTAAGTGCTTAATCTTTCTAATTTTCAATTCACTCCTTGTGGAATTGTGATTAGGATATCTCCCACAAGAGTCTTTGTGAAGGTTAAATAAGAAAATGAATGCCAAGCACTTAATGCAGAGGCTGGTCCACATCACCACAGGCTCAGTAAATGGTGGCCAACATCATTAGTACGTGTTTATGATATCACAACTACTTTACATCAACAGTTAGGTGGACAATACATATCAAAAGAAAAAAGGACTTTCTTTTACATAGTCTCTCACCCATGTAGAACCTACTCAGTAAACCAGTGGTTCTCAACCTTGAGATACACATTAAGAGTCACCTGTTTACCCTTGAATCTTAATAATGTCCTACTCTCTTAAGATAGAAGTACAAATAGCACACGTATGGACCTGGGTACTACTGGTTTCTTAATTATGGTCTATCTTTATTAACAACTCCAAATCGTAATTGAACACAGTTTCCCTGCATTTATTGGTCTTAGGAGTCTGATGGTTAAAGGCAAGAAATTTGACTTTAACACTAATGTGTTGATATTTCACACTTACATTTACTAGCTGGGGCCACATGCCCCAGCCTGACCTTTGTTTCTATCCAAAGTCCTTTCTGCAAAGTGCAGTCATTTCTGCCCCATAGCAGGAGCTAAAGCACTTGCTAAATAAATGAATTCACAGCAGAGAATGGCTAAATGCCCTTCATGTTACAATGTTGGATGAACAATGAGTGGTTCATGGATAAGAGACGTGGCATACTGGCCAGGCGCAGTGGCTTATATCTGTAATCCCAGCACTTTGGGAGGCCGAAGTGGGCAGATCACCTGAGGTCAGGAGTTCGAGACCAGCCTGACCAACATGGAGAAACCCCGCCTCTACTAAAAAACACAAAATTAGCTGGGCGTGGTGGCGCATGCCTGTAATCCCAGCTACTCAGGAGGCCGAGGCAGGAGAATCGCTTGAACCTGGGAGGTGGAAGTTGCGGTGACCTGACTTCGCGCCATTGCACTCCAGCCTGGGCAACAAGAATGAAACTCCATCTCAAAAAAAAAAAAAAAAAAAAGAGAGAGAGAGAGAGAGACGTGGCATCCTTTCTTTGAAATATACCAAGGGGAGGCAATGCGATGAGCTTCTGAGTCAGACACATCTGTGTCCCTGGGGAGATCAATTAACCTATCTGAGTCTCTATAAGGATGAAGATAATGACAGCACCTACCTCCTGAATGGTTGGGAGGATTAAATGAATCCATCAATGAGCAGTGCACAGCTTTTAAGACATAGTCTCCTTGATGCTGATCTCACATCCTTTCTTTTTTTTTTTTCCTTTTCTGAGACAGAGCTTTGCTTTGTTGCCCAGGCTGGAGTGCAGTGGCACCATCTCGGTTCACTGCAACGTCTGCCTCCTGGGTTCAAGCGATTCTCCTGTCTTAGCCTCCAGAGTAGCTGGGATTACAGGTGTGCCACCACCACGCCCAACTAATTTTTGTATTTTTAGTAGAGACAGGGTTTCGCTGTGTTGGCCAGGCTGGTCTTGAACTCCTGACCTTGGGTGATCCGTCTGCCTCGGCCTCCCAAAGTGCTGGGATTATAGGCAAGAGCCACCATGCCTGGCCTCGTATCCTTTCTTGGGGTTGCCCCAACCTCTCTTTCTTATTTTCATTCACTTTCTAGTTTCTGACCAGGGATCTTCTTTGGGAAGATTACATCTGGAGAATCATGTTTATTTCTGAGCATTTGAAGAGGGCTTTGTCCAGGACTATAAAGGCCAGAAAACTGTCATGTGAAAAGTGGACTTTTAGACATTAGGTAAAAACTAAGGCAATGTGAATAAAGTATGGACTTTAGTTAATAATATCAGTTTATTAGCTGTAACAAATGTACCATAATGACATAAATAATAGGGGAAACTAGGTGTGGGGTATGTGAGAACTCGCTGTAATATTATTGCAACTTTTATATCAATCTAATACTATTCTAAAATAAAAAGTTTATTCACTGTTAAAAATATTTATCAATATTAAAACCATAAAAGTCAAAATTTACATATATGTTTATAATTTATTCCTATATGTACATGACAAGAAATTATCAGAATAAAAGTGGAATTTTTTTTTTTTTTTGGTAGAGTCAGTGTCTCACTATGTTGACCAAGCTGGTCTCAAACTCCTGGCCTTAAGCAATCCTCCCATCCTCGCCTCCGAAAGTGCTGGGATTATAGGCATTGAGGCACCATGCCTGGCCAAGAAATTATTTTAATGGACCTCTAGTCAGGAATAAGAAACACATTGGGGAAATAATAATATTGGTTACTTTCTTAAAATATTTGCAGGCCTCTATTGTGTGGAAGGTAAGATATATGCCGTATAGTTCCCAAGGCAGAAATAATGAGCAGAAATGACAGATAATCCAGTTTTACCTCAGTTGATGATTAAAACTGTACCCCCACATACACACACAAAATGGACACATTGTAAAGTAGTATATAAACTCTTTGAAAGTTGTCATGCAGAAGGCAGATGACCACCCATTGAGGGGATGTTGCAGTGAGTAGATAAGAAGTTTCACTTGACAAAATTGTATATATTTTATGACCATTTGCTTATCCTTATGTCCATCGGTTCTACCTTGCCCTTTTCTACCTTCATCCTTTTGATCCATTAAGTTTTGAATTTGGAAAGGACTTCAGAGACTATGTAGTTCTTATCTGGGGTGTGATTTTCTGACATTCTTCTTGACCCCTGGTATTATAGGCAAACACATCACTAGGAATCCCACTTGTTCAGCTTAAATCACTATTGTTTGTTCTTTCTTACTCTGGCTCAAGATCCTCATCTCAGGCTTTCCTTGCTTTGACAACCTGTTTGGAGTCACTTCTCCAGCTCCAACATTAGAAATCTCGCAGATTTGTTCTTGCCCTTCTGACATACAACTTGGAGCTATGATTGGTCCTTCTGCCCCATACCGTCCCATGGACCTGCTGGGCAATGAGAAACAAAAAACCATCTGTGATGGATCACTGCCCTGGCCCTGAGGCTGACATCCAGACTGAGTCATTATTTTCATGTGTCATATTTCTCAGATTATGGCCTTATATTTAGTGCACAAATGGATCCTAGAAATGAAACAGAAATGCAACTTGGAAAATGCACCATGACTCACAAAACAGATAAACTGCACCAAACCATAATGTGCCACACACACAATCTAAGATCAAATTAACCCTATCTCCTTCAGATTCACATCTTCCAAGTAAGACCACAGATAAACTGACTTAACTGAAATTTTGCAGACTCATATCTTGTGCAGATGGGACCACTGACTCTCCTAACAGCTCACTTCATTTACATATTCTGACCAATCCCTGCTAAGACCACACTTACTATCTGCCACCTAAAACCACCTGATTATTAACTGCAGCCCCTACCCAAGTACCCTTCCCTGACTCCTTCCTTTTGGGACACCGTCACAGTTGTGCTGTGCCTTGCTCAGTATGCATAATAAACCCAGCTTTGGATAATCAACAGGTACTCCTGGTGATCTTTGATTAGAGAGTCTAACAATTCTTTTGCCTGGTTATGCTCATTTTCTTCTTGTTTGCCAAGCACACTCCTACTCTTGCTTCAAGAATCAACTTAAATATCACTATGAGTCTGCCCTGATTTATTCTTCACCTTTATCCTCTGCACTACTAGTTACCTCATCCTCTGTGTTGCCCAAGCACTTGGCCCAGACTTCCATTAGCTTTCATCTCACTATATTTTCATTCTTTTGTTTATGTCTGCCCACTCCTTCCACCTTTCCTTAAAAGCAAGAACACTTTTATGCATGTTTGTATGTTCAATGTTTACCCTGGTCCTAGATACCAAATAGACACTGAATAAATAATTGTTACTTAAACCCAGATTATTATTCATAACAAAACTGCAAACAGAGCTTTAAGGGATACGTGTGTTACTTATTCTTTCTCAGCCATCATATATGTACAAGGAAGCCTCATGTACAAATTTCCACAAAACCCTTTCCTCTGTGGTAAGAAGAGTCTCTAAAACCAGATACTGGGTGGCCAGGGTCAAAAGTGGTGATATAGGATTATAGGGACCCAGGTGATGGGCATGACAAATACTGTTTGTAATTCTATCTTGCAAAGAGGAAAAACAGCCCAGCAGTTTCATTTTACAAATTATTTTAATTATGCCTGCCTGGTTGTTACTGGTGGAAGATGTCCAGGTTCTTGGTGTTTTAAACAAAGAATTGGACAAACGCACAAACAAAGCAACCAACAAAAGCATAGATTTATTAAAATAAAAGTACACTCCACAGAGTGGGAGCAGGCTCCAGCAAGCAGCTCAAGAGCGCGGGTTACAGAATTTTCTGGCACAAGGCAACCAGTGCGGCTGAAGTGAAGTTACAAAGTTACACCGTACGCAAATGTCTGATTGGTTGCAGAAGGGTACCAATCAGAGGTGCCTTCCATTTTTCATCTGCAACACAGAAGGTGGGGGGTGTTGCAAAGGAAGTAGCCTCTGATCCTTTTGTTACTTGGGTGTGGAAAGTTGGAGTTTTCCTTTTGATTCAGTTCTAGGGAAGTCAGCATGAAGTCAGCCTTAAGTTCCCTGCCTCCAGACCCTATTCTGCCTCAGGCTGGGTAGGATGGAAATTTTTTTTTTTAATTAATTACTAAAACAATACATAACTTAATTTCTTATAAAAAACAGCTGGGTGTGGTGGCACACACCTGTAGTCCCAGTCACTCAAGAGGCTGAGGCAGAAGGATCACTTGAGACCAGGAGTTTATATATGTAATGGATAAAACTAAAGTCTCTTAGAACACCACTTCCATCCTGATGCAAGCACTACTTTTCCAAAGGTATTTGCTGTTATTAGTTAAATATGCATCCTTCCAGATTATTTCCATGCATTATATACATAGGAAAAATATAGTACTGTTTTGTGCGTGTGTTTAATACAAATGTAATCAAGACTAAATGTCTTTATTTATTTTTGAGACAGAGTCTTGCTCTTTTACCCAGGCTGGAGTGCAGTGGCACTATCTCAGCTCACTACAACCTCTGCCTTTCGGGTTCAAGCGATCCTCCTGCCTCAGCCTCCCGAGTAGCTGGAATTACAGGCGCCTGCCACCACACCTGGCTAATTTTTGTATTTTTAGTAGAGACGGGGTTTGGCCATGTTGGCCAGGCTGGTCTTGAACTCCTGACCTCAAGTGATCCGTCCACCTGCCTCCCAAAGTGCTGGGATTACTGGCGTGAGCCACTGTGCCCAGTCAAGACTAAATGTCTTTAAACCTTCATATGCATGTGAGATACGGATGGTAAAGATTTAATGAAAGAGGTTCATTTGCTTGGCTCTGTTACTTAACCTGTGTCTAAGTAAAAATGTTAAGAACTGAACATACTCAGAGCATGTGTGTATTCTGCATATAGCATATTAATACTTATATTAATAAATATACATCTATATTATATTATCCTTATGTTACCCAAAGATAATGACTGATTCCCATTATAGCTCAAAGGGAATGTTGTGAAGATTAATGAGAGAGTTCCTAAAACTATTTCAGCTCTTTAGAATGCAAAAGCTAAAAATAAAGCTGTATGCTTTAAGTGATCAAAAACATCTGAATGCACAAGCTACATATTATCTTTAGTGGAAAAATAATTATTACTTTATATTGAAAAGGCTCATACCTAGTCATAAAATTCTTATTCAACACTAGAAAAATCATAACGTAAATATCTCCTTTCTCAGTTACTTATATAAAACTCTAGTTTACCTGTGTAAATGGGTCATCATTACATGTATAATTTTATATTTTAGAATAGGAAAATCACATTCATGCTCAATAATTTGTTTTCAGTGCCAACTTGAAGTTTTTCCAACCAAACATTGAGAATGCACTTTTGAAATGTATGATGAAAAAGTATCAAGGAATGATGAATTGATGCATTCACAGTTGGAAAGTAGTAAGAGTTTGTGGTTGTGAACTATATTTGCTAATAAATTGCGTTTTAAAAGCTGCAAAAGGCTTTTAGAAATGCAATTAATATGCACATTAATAAGCGTTCCAGGAAATCACCAGCTCAATATGGAAAATTAATATGAGTAAGACACATAGTCACTATAACACTGTGTTTATATAGCCCCTACTTTATGTGTTAAGGCCTTGTCTATCATAAACATGGTTGGAATAGGCAATGCACATTTATACCCAGCTAAGAGTTAATTATCTCCCCACTTAATCATCCGAACAGAGGCTCATTGTAACCAATCTTGTTGGAATTGGGTCATTATCCTGTGCTTTCCTCAGATACAGTGATGTTTTAAGACACATCTTAAAAGGGTAAGTTTTACTAAGGGATCTAGGCTAAAAGAGACTACAGTGAAATTAACCCCTAGGTTTTCTGTCAGAGAATGTATTAGTCAGGGTTCTCCAGATAAATAGAACCAACAGGGGATGGTGTGTGTGTGTGTGTGTGTGTGTGTGTGTGTGTGTGTGTGTGTGTGTACATATATAAAGAGAGAAAGAGAGATTTATTTTAAGGAATTGGCTAAAGCAATTACGGAGACTGGTAAACCCCAAATCTGCAGTTCAAGTGTGAAGACCATCTGCCACTAGAACTCCCTCTGGGGGTGGTGGAGGTCAGCCTTTTGTTGTAGTCAGGGCTTCTTCAATTGATTGGATGAGGCCCATCCACATTAGAGAAAGTAATCTGCTTTACTCAAAGTCCACCGATTTAAACGATTTAAAGTTAATCTCATCCAAAAATACTCCCATAGAAACATCCTGAATAATCCACATATTTGGGCACCGTGGCCCAGCCAAAATGACACATAAAAGTAACCATCATGGAGAACTATGGCAGAAGAGCCTTTGAGGTCTTCCATAACGAAACAAGAATACCTGCTGTCACTGCTAGTCAGCAGCCTATTGGAGAAAATTTTGAAATCTGTGAGAACCAATTAGCTCCTGTTTTTAACAACAAGGCTGCTGTTCCTGAGAAACCCCTCCAAGTCCTGCTCCAGCTCTAGATCTTATCTTTTCAAATCACTTCTCATCAGATAAATATGAAATAGCTCCCACTTACTATTACAGTTAATCTTCTTGCTAAGCATATTTTATTTTATTTTTATTTTTTAAAAATTTATCTACTTTTTAATTTTTTTAAAAAATTATTAAAAAACAAAACCAAAAAAGAATCTTAAAAGAGGCAGAATATTGGCAGGGCATGGTGACTCATGCCTGTAATCCTAGCATTTTGGGAGGCCGAGGAAGGCGGGTCACTTAAGGTCAGGAGTTTGAGACCAGCCTGGCCAACATGGTGAAACCCTGTCTCTACCAAAAATTAACTGGGTGTGGTGGCACGCGCCTATAGTCCCAGCTACTCAGGAGGCTGAGGTGGGAGAATCACTTCAACCCAGGAAGTGGAGGTTACAGTGTGCCGAGATTGTGCCTATGCACTCCAGCCTGGGAGACAGAGTGAGACCCTGCCAAAAAAAGAAAGAAAGAAAGAAAAAGAGTCAAAATATTGTAACAGAAAATTTTCTGGACTGGGAGATAAGGCATCGAAGATGATGAGGAGGAGGAGGATGATGATGATGATGATGATGATGATGATGGCCAGGCACTCTGACAAGTACTGAGCATATTTTATTTCTCTGCATTTATGCAAGATAAATTAGGGTTTAGATGTCAGCTTGTCTGAGGTCACATAGCTAGTAAGTAACAAAGATAGTATCAAAGCCAGGTTTCAGAGAGACTTCAAGTTTCATGCTGTTGCTCCCTAGAGCAAACAGCTTCAAGCAAGCAAACTTGCTTCAAATTTTCATGGCCATGAGGAATTTTGTTGGAGATCTGTGGCAGACTGCTAGTTGCCTACCCAATATCCATTCTCACCTTCTTCTTCAGTAAGTAACAGGATCACTGTTTTATTCAGGCAGCAATGTGCCCAGCTAAAAGACTACAACTCCCCAGCCATGATGTAAGCAGAAGTTGCTGAATGATCCCATGCGTCCTGCAACTCCCACTCCTGCTTCCTGTCTGGAATATGAACATGATGGCTTCAGCATACACAAATGTAGCCTGATCTTTGACTATAGTCACTAGCAAGGGGAACGTATTAGAAGAAAACAGACCATAAGCCTACTAAGATTTTTTAAATAAACTTTTTATTTTGAAATAATTTTAGATTTACAGAAAAGTTGAAAAGACATAGTACAAAGAATTCCCGTACCTTGAAAACATTATGCTAAGTGAAAGAAGCCAGTCTTCTGATTACTCTCTCTAAAGCCCACATATTGTATGATTTCATTAACATGAAATATCTAGGACAGGCAAATCCACAGAGACAGAAAATGGATTAGTGGTTTGCCAGGGGCTGGGGAGAAGGGAGAGTGGAGAGTGCTTAATGAGTACAGGGCTCCCTTTTGGGGTTACAAAAATGTTCTGGACTTGGACAGTGGTGATTGTGCATAACACTGTGAAGGCACTGATTCCACTGAATTACTGAATTGGACACTTAAAAATGGTGAGTTTTACCACTATATAAAAAAGTTCCCTTATACCTTCCAACAAGCTACCCCTAATATTAACATCTTACCTTGACATGGGACATTTGTCAAAACCAAGAAATCAATGATGGAATGACACTAGTAACTAAAGATTTCTTCACTCTGTACATTTCACATTCTCTTCTTTTCTGAAAAGGTGTCTTTATTGCAATTACCCTATTTGTGCCCTTTTCCTCCCACTCCATTCTGCTTCCTGCTAGAATGTAGATATGACGGCTGGAATAAGGACAGAAGCCATGCATCAAGCATAGCAGTGCTTGGGTCCCTGATGACTTTGTGAAGTCTTTACATCAGCCCTAAACTGCCATGTCTGGACTTATTTTATGAGAGATAATAAACCGTATGTTTAAGCTGCTATAACTTCAGTCTATGTTGCCAACAACTAGCCTAATCCTAAATGATATAATGTTATAAATTGCTTGGGGTTAACCTTCAGTGTGTATGAAATTTTCTTTCTTTCTTTCTTTCTTTTCTTTCTTTTTTTTTTTTTTTTTAGATGACAGCTCCCTTTGTCGCCAAGGCTGGAGTGTAGTGGCGTGACTGAACCCATTTGAATCCCAGGTTTAAGCAATTCTCCGGCCTCCACCTCCTGAGTAGCTGGGATTACAGGCGCCCACCACCATGCTTGGCTAATTTTTGTATTTTTAGTAGAGACTGGGTTTCACCATATTGGTCAGGCTGGCCTCCTGACTTCAAGTGATCCACCTGCTTTGCCCTCCCAAAGTGCTTGGATTACAGGTGTGAGCCACCGCACCCGGCCATGATGGGAAATTTTCCAAGCTCACAGGGGACATTCAGGAACTGTCAATAATATTGTTTCCATATCATAGAATAGGCTATGAAGGGACAGACTATGAGATGAGGTGATTTAGTCGATATTTTATATTTGAGCTCCCATTAATTCAGTGATAATCCCAGCATAGAGATTTGCCAATTCTTAAACACATTTAATATCCTTTCCACATTTTTATTCTTCTGACTAATGAATAATTGTGATGCTTACAGGATATAGTAAAATTTTTGACAATTTTTTCTAGCTGAGAATAAATGCAAAAGATTCCTTAGCATTTGCTAATGTTCCTGAGATGACCTCAAAACCTCAGGTTTAAATACTTAGATTTTTATTTCATAGTTTGTGATTATATGAGAATGAGTTGCATGAACAAAATATTAAAGTCAATTTTGTTTTTCTTTTAAAATTATTATCATTACTTTTAGCTCTTAGTGGATATGATTTTCATCTTTTCATATTTTACATTCCACAAGACATTGTATTAACAAAGACTTTTTTAAATCCACCTTTTCTGGAAAAGACATTTTTATGTTCACAGGCATTCTGCCTTATGTTTATAGAAGCATCTAGGGAGAAAAAAATGCGTTCATGTTGAGGATGAGTGAATTTTGTCACGCAGGATAAGTAATTTTCACAGACCCTCATTCTATGCAGGTTTTCTCTTTCTCAAGAGATGGGGTCTTACTCTGTTGCCCAGGCGGGAGTGCAGTGGTGCAATCATAGTTTACTGTAACCTTGAATTCCTGGGCTCAAGCGATGCTCCCACCTCAGCCTCCCAAGTAGCTGGGACTACAGGTGTGCACCACCATACCTGGCTAGGTTTTTTTGGTTTTTATAGAAACAGAGTCTCACTATGTTGCCCAGGCTGGTCTTGAACTCCTAGCCTCAAGTGATCCTCCCACCTTGGCCCCCCAAAGTGTTAGGATTACAGGCATGAGCAACCACACCCACACCTGGCCCTCTATGTAGATTATATCTAAATCTCAACATATTAGATGTATACCTTTGATTGATAACTACTTTTCTATAGCATAATAGAAATTGGATTCAGAAATGATCTAGTAGATACTATGCACAGTCTGAAAGGCAACTTAAGTCATCACAGGTCAGTCTGTTTATATTAGAAAACTATATTGATTCAGTGGTATTGATAAGATGCTTTTGGATACAAGTAAAAAAATCAATTAACAAGTGGCATTAAAAGATAGCTTATCTTTTGGTGCATGCCTTTAGTCCTAGCTACTCAGGAGGCTGAGGCAGGAGGATCACTTGAGCCCAGGAGTTTGAGGTTGCAGTGAGCTGTGATTAAGCCACTGTACTCCACCCGGGTGACAGCCTGGGTAACAGACAGTAAGTTGGCTTTTATGCGATATCTTAAGCTTCATCCTCATTGTCACAAAACGGCCTTCTGGGCTTCAAACATCACATCTTTTACCTGATCACATTAAAAACAGAAAGCCTGGGGATGGGGGGTGGGGAGAAACTTTTATTCTTTTCTTCTTTCCAGAAATTCTCAGCAGACTTCACCTCACATCATAAACCAGAACTGGGGTCACAGGGAAGCTAGGAATGGGAGTACTGGGTATTTTCTGTCTCTGTTATAGAATATAGATGGCCCTGCCAGCAAGGAAGGAGACCTTGGGAAGGAAACCAACGAGGTCTGCCACAAGGGTCTTGTAGCTATCGTCACTCCATGTGCCTTGCATCTTTCTTACGGCCAATGAGCTAAAACATGGAGGATGTGAATGTCACATGGGGTGGAAGGAAGAGGAGAGGGCTAAAAGACACATGGCGGCGGGGCATGGTGGCTCACGCCTGTAATCCCAGCACTTTGGGAGGCTGAGGCGGGCAGATCACCTGAGGTCAGGAGTTCGAGACCAGCCTGACCAACATGGTGAAACCCTGTCTCTACTAAAAATACAAAAATTACCTGGGCCTGGTGGCGGGTGCCTATAATCCCAGCTACTTGGGAGGCTGAGGCAGAGAATTGTTTGAACCCGGGAGGCAGAGGTTGCAGTGAGCTGAGATTGCACCACTACACTCCAGCCTGGGTGACAGATTGAGACTCCGTCTTAAAAAAAAAAAATAAAAGACACATGCCTGGTATAGAATGTTAGTCTGATGAATATGTAATGTGCCAGAGTCAGAAAAATTGTAAACTATCCCTAATCCGCAAAGCTATTCAAGTTAGCAGGACAAAACTTCGAGGTTAATCAGATGAATGCTGATATTCAACATTCAGCTGATTTCCCTCAAAAATCTTCAATGGATCTTTTTCCTACTCTCTGAAGCCTCACACATATTGAAAGTGATCTTTCTGTGGGAATTTTCTATCTTAAGTGTTTGACTGGTTTTTCCTCATATTTATTTGTTCATAATTGTTATTCAAGAGCTCTCTTGTGCTGTCCTAGGTTCTGGGTCATTATATGGTAATTCATGGTTAGAAATCCAGAAACCAACGGATAGAGCATTGTTTATTCTGGAAGATAAGATAATCCCTTATTTGCGTTTATTAATGAGGAGCCTCCCTGACCTTAACAGAATACAAAGAAAGATGGCACGCCAAATTCGGGTTTCATTCAATAAAATTGTACCTTCCTATCAACCTACCAAGAGCTATTTTCAGCATTTTCCTTAGAACAAAACAGTTAATGAATAGCAAACCAAAAGGGAAGGTTGACTGGTCACTGTGTATTGTAAAGTGTAGACAAACATCTTTTGTTTTGCTATTGTTAATGATAAACATGATAATGTGCATCTTAATCAAATTTAAAATGTGGGCATTTGAATATTTTTAATTAGAAGGACTAGTGCACAGTGCCACCTTTAGTCAAATCTAGAGTTCCCGTTTCAGGCTTAAATAATAAATGTGGGCATTATTACCTTTTACAATACACCATTGATAGAACACCAACTTTAAAGCCAATTAAAGGTTGGCAATCTTCCTACCATTGGCAAAGTAACACTTGTTAACAGTTCCCCTTGTGACACGTTTCAGCGTAATCACTGATTTCTGGAAACCTTATTTAGCACTTACGGATATTTTGAAATCTCTAATGAGTTTCTTTTTATAGACATTTTTACGTTTTACTCTAATTTTTTAAAGGTGTTCAGGTAGTTTAATTTTATACGCTCAGATGTGCATGTACCCAGATATTTATATGTGAAAGATAAAATGTCAGAATATGTAGAACTATACTCTATAAATAATAGTTTACTCATAATGCGCAGATTTTAATGGTTCCATTTTTGAAATAGAATTGTGCCCAAATTCATTCAGAAAAATCTCACATTAGAATCTAAATATGCAGAAATTGTTGTTTAATAAACTACAAGTTCTTGTAATTTAAAAACAAATTTTAAAAACTGGTTTGAATAAGTAAATTCTTTCACAGTTATTTACTTGAAATAAAAATGTTGTGGAGGCTAGTAAAGTCTTTTTTCATTTCACATGGAAATAATTTGATAAGCTTGGCAAAGATGTGAGAAACATAAAAATGAGCTAAGAAAATTCAAGTTATTTCAGCCTTGAGTTACTAACACCAAACAGAGAACTAGTTTTCACCAATTAAAGAGCAGTTTGATTATACGCCATGTAAAATGCTAATGCAGAAATGAACAATAGCTATTTCTCATTTAAATTTAGTCATCTGGAATGCTTCAAGTAGATAACATTAATGCAAGATGATACAATGCATCCAGATATTGGCAGTAGATTGATTTAAGTAGACATAAATGATCTTTAAAAAATCAGCAACCTTCAGAAGCTGCTTACATCACTTTTGCTTTATTTATGTAATGTAGTCACACATTAATTAGCAATACTGTACAAGAATAGAAAATCATAATTTAGGCCAGGCATGGTGGCTTACGCCTGAAATCCCAGCACTTTGGGAGGCCAAGGCAGGCAGATCACTTGAGGTGAGGAGTTTGAGACCAGCCTGGCCAATATGGCGAAACCCCATCTCTACTAAAAATACAAAAAAATTAGCTGGGTGTGGTGGCACGTGCCTGTAGTCCCAGCTTCTAGGGAGGCTGAGGCATGAGAATCGCTTGAACCGGGGAAACAGAGGTTGCAGTGAGCAAAGATTGTGCCAGTGCACTCCAGCTAGGCAACAGAGGGAGACTGTCTCAAAAAAGAAGAAAGGAAAGAAAGAAAGGAAAGAAAGAAAGAGAAAGAAAGAAAATCATAATTTAACATATCTTTATCTTAGCCATCTATTCCTTGACCCACAAGGTCAAGCTTATGTCAGGACTAAATATCAATATAAACATTCAATTGCCCTCCTTTTTAAAAAGAACTCAACTGTTATTGTTGCAAGCTTAATTAAATACAAATTATTTAATTTGATTTAATAAACAGAAAATTATTCCAAAGAAGTGTACTTGGTATTTAGGGATGTGTTTTTTAAAAATTTAGAGCAAGACACAATTGAAAAGTTTGCAAGTAATGTCGATAATGGTGAAAAATCAGATACAACCTGATTTTTGTAAATAAAAATTAAGGTTTGCTTAAATATTTTTTTCACTTGGTATGGCAGGGACTGTTAGTTGCCTACCCATATCCATTCACCTTTATTTCTTAGTAAAAGCCTTATTTCTTGCTGGGTGGCCATGTATCCAGCAAAAAGACTACATTTTCCAGCTGTCCTTAGAGTTAAGTGTAGTCCCATCACTAAGTTCTGGCTAATGAGATGAAAGCAGAGCTGGGCTTCTGCGAAGTCTCCCTCTAGAGAGCTGATTCAGCCCAAAGGGGAGACTTCTTTGCACCCCTTTTGCTGATGTTGAACTTCAACAGTCAGCTTGGACCATGAAGTGACCTTGAGGTTGGAGACCCTCATATGAAGGAGGAAAAAGATAAAGAAGACCAAATCCTGGAAGATTTGGAGTGTGCAGTCATACAAGGACCTCTGCTCAGAAGGGCCTCACATGTGGTTCAATGCTCTATTATTGCTACCTTGAAACTTTTAATAACTGTCATCTTTGATGTTATATTTTTTGGTTTTGTTTTGTTTTTTGAGACTGGATTTCCCTCTATGGCCCAGGCTGCAGTGCAGTCTCACTGCAGCCTCTGCCTCCTGAGCTCAAGTGATCCTCTCTCCTCAGCCTCCAAAGTAGCTGGGACTACAGGCATGTGCGTCCACGTCCGTTTGTTTTGTTTTGTTTTATTTTTATTTTTTTATTTCTTGAAGACACAGGGTTTTGCCACATTGCCCAGGCTGGTCTCAAACACCTGAGCTCAAGTGATCTGCCTGCCTTGGCCTCCCAAAGTGCTGTGATTGCAGGCATGAGTCACCACACCGAGCCTGAGGTTGTGCTTTCTACATAAAGTCTAGTAGAACAAGGAAGCATGTGTGTGAAAAGAGAAGTTACACACAATCAGCACGTCTGCTGTTTCTTGTTGCCCTATTTGCATGTAGTCTCATGAGCTCTGAATTCCGGAGGCCCCACAATGAGTGAGAGTTCAATGAGACTCAGAGTGTACAAGGAAAATGTGTTAGATCTATGACTAATTAATTGGAGTACTGATGGCCCCAAGAGGCCACACTTTCCATCTGAACTAGAACTTGCTATGCAGAAAGAAGGCAGTGGCATTTCTAGGAACATAAACAATCAAGGAATCCTGTTGTGTCATTTCTTACTTATGTTACTTCCCTGTAGTAGTCAACAACTTACCCTGAAAATAATAACATAGAAGGAAAAGGGAAGTTAGACAGCCCATAGTTCCTTTTAATTTCAGTCCTTCCTTACTTATCAGTAAGCCAAAGGTAGAAAGTGTTGGTAGAAGCTGCTTGTATCAAGAAGTGAAATAAAAACAGTTAATTTCATTTTGTGCAACATTTTCATTCTTCTGGTTAAGAACAAAGTACAAATGCACACACATATTATAAAATATGAATTATGTGATTTCGGTGATCTCATGTACACACATTAAATGTTCTTATATTTGCATTTAAAACTAGCATTGCTTAATATAAAGATGAAGGGTAAAATTCATGCTATCAATTTACGTTTTTACGTATTTTTTGTTACTTAGATCAACAATAGGAAATTTTAAAAAAACACCAGGGCAAGTCAAGAGAGAGGTCCCAGTAGAAAAGAAAAATCTTTATATTTCAGTACTCTTTTTTTGTTTGTTTGCAACCTCCGCCTCTCAGGCTCAAGCGATTGTGCTGCCTCAGCCTCCCAAGTAGCTGGGATTACAGGCACCTGCCATCATGCCCAGCTAATTTTTGTATTTTTGTAGAGACGGGCTTTCACCATGTTCGCCAGGCCGGTCTTGAACTCCTGACCTCAGGTGATCTGCCCGCCTAGGCCTCCCAAAGTGCCGGGATTACAGGCATGAGCCACCACGCTCAGCCTATGTTTCAGTACTCTTAATGAAACACTTTTTAAATTTTTGAACAGGGGCCCCCACATTTTCATTTTGCACTGGGCCCCACAATTACAGTCAGCCTTGACGTCAAGGAACCACCACACCATCCCTAAACTGCCTGCTTTTGTGTTTAAATCACCGTTTCATTTTAGTCAAATATAATCCTTGCCCTTACAGTGTGCAGTATAGTCACTACACTGCTGCTAAAGAAAGATGTTTGAGGCCGGGCGCGGTGGCTCACGCCTGTAATCCCAGCACTTTGGGAGGCTGAGGCAGGCGGATCATGAGGTCAGAAGATCGAGATCATCCTGGCTAACACAGTGAAACCCCGTCTCTACTAAAAATACAAAAAATTAGCTGGGTGTGGTGGCGGGCGCCTGTAGTCCCAGCTACTCCGGAGGCTGAGGCAGGAGAATGGCATGAACCCGGGAGGCGGAGCTTACAGTGAGCCGAGATTGCGCCACTGCACTCCAGCCTGGGCGACAGAGCGAGACTCCATCTCAAAAAAAAAAGATATTTGATTTTTTGGAAAACCTTTGTTGGGTTTCAAAAACAGTGGGGTATAGAAAGTATTTTTTTTTAATTTTTGTTTTAAATATACAAACACACACATAGCATACATAGAAAAAAAAAGACCAGAAATAATTACACCAAAATATTAATGTTCATAATATTTATCTCTAAGAGTTGGAATTATTGGTGTTACCTATTTTCTTTGTACTTGTGTGATTTTCTGTTGTTCAGTATTTCTTAAATGAATATTTAATATTTTTATAATTAGATGAAATTTAGAAAATTTACAAATGAATCCTGAATCAGTATGAAATTTACTATTGAATCTAGAAACTATGTTAAACTTAGTCATGTAATTTTTTTTATACTTCCCTTAATTTGGGGATTTTCAAACTATAAAAATAATACAGGCTAGTTGTAACAACTGAGATTATACAAAGTTATATTTTAAAAAAACAATTTTTCCTGGCACATGCCTGTGGTCCCAGCTACTTAAGAGCCTAAGATAGGAGGACTACTTGAGTCTAGGGGTTCCAGTTAGCCTGGACAACACAGCAAGACCCTGTCTCTTTTAAAAAGCCAAAAAACTATTTTATGTATATATTCTGTCTCTGCCATCTAAGGCTCACATGTTAAATGACCAACATGTATCATTTCACAAATTATATAGTATAATCTAGCCTATATAATTTGCTCATCTCACACACACACAGATTGATTTTTGAGTTTGTTTTCTGTGAAATAGAATTATAAATGTGAATCCACAATTTACTATTTTTACTTAATATATCACAAACTTCTCTAAAAGAAAATACATAAATTTATCATGTTTCTTATTTCTCCATGTGTACATAGAGACATATTTCAAATCCCATTTTAAGCTTCTCATTTTGGAACTTGGAGATGTCTTTTGACAAAGATGCTTTGCTTGACCAAATTTTAGTCAGGCTCCTGAACCTTCTCCTAGGCCCATCTATGCTCTTCCTTGTAAAATCCAGTTTTGGCAAGAGCCCTGCTAAGTCAGTTTAGCAAGAACTCTCCATCCTGCATTTCCTATCACCCTCAATAGCTTGATCAGGTTCCTCAAACTCCGCCATCCTGCAGGAGATGTCTGATCACCCTGGCCTGTCTTCAGCAAGAATCCTGTTAGGTCAATTTCACCAGAATCCCCCTTACCCTTAATGTGTCCTCTTAGTAATTTTTATCCACTGAGCCCTACCCTGCTTCTTGGCTATAAATTCCCATTTGCCTGTGTTGTATTCGGAGTTGAGCCCAATCTCTCTCCTCCACTGCAAAATCCCCTCGCCATGGTTCTTACACTTATTGCAGTCTTCCTGAATAAAGTCTTCTTTAGCATGCTTTAACAAGCATCATTGAATAATTTTTTTCTTTATCACTTCTAAGTATAGACTTATTAAAATAAACATTCTGTCTATGATGCTGTGGAGGGCAGAGGGTGGTTTTCTTGTGGGTAGGATGTTGCTTCCAAGTAAACTCATTCTGTCGTCTTGATCAGAGTATATGGAAGGGAATGCTTTAAATTTGTGTTTCCAGACAAGATATATTTCCCATCCGTATGTTTTCTCCTTGCCTGCACTTTCTTATGCTGTATTTCATCCTATATCATGCTAAAACATTGAGTCAGTCCTCTGGTCTGCAGTATGCTTTCTGGTACATCATTCTCCTATTCTCTTGATGGAAAATAGGTTTGGTGCCTTGAAGAAGTAAGTCAATACATAATTCAATATTGATTAGATTAACCTTAGAAGGCTAGGCAAACAGAAGCTTTACCTTAACAGCACCTGCTGAGGAACTGGGGGAATTGGGGGGATGCCTATTGGTTCGCAAAAGTTATAAGGTAGACCATATTGATATTATAAAATTATGATTATTCCTACATGATAGTGAAAACAGATTTGTAAGGAACTGTCTCAAAACTGATGACTTTGGGCCCTTGCGTAGACAGAGTCTCAGTGAATTCCTCGGTGACCTCAGTGTCCTTATTAGTATGAAGCAGTTGGCAAGAAGATTCTGTCTACTCTCTAGTGCACGTGTATACACTTAACTGCACTTAAATCTTCATTTAATCTGAGCTGAGGAAGAGTTCTGTACCAATGAATGGTTTTCTCATCATTTTAAAATATGTTACATGAGTAGTTAACTTGTTTCTTCTTGGTAACATGTCCACCATTACAATTTATAATGAATCACACTTTAATTTTGCTTATTTATGGCTTTATCCTTATTAACAGTTATTCATTGTTCATTGGCTGTGCTCTGCAGTCTCTGCTGATGAGACTAGAAAATGTTCCTATCACCACAGGGAACAGGTAATTACTCTTTTGGGATTATATTCTTGAAAAAAAAATTGGGGAGTTTTTACTCCTCAAATGAGTCAACAGAAAAATCTTTACAGGATGCAAGCGCAAAATATAGATGAATCAGCCACTACATCAAAAATATTATGGAAACAAGAGAAAAAAAGAAAAACGCTTCCAAGTCTATAGCTAGAATATCTTTTTCAAAGCTCGATTTTTGTACCAAAAGTTGTAGCCACACCTAGTTTATTATCGCAAGGGCTTTGCCTACAAGGCAGATAGAAAATAAAAATTAAGTGCAGAAAAGCTAAATCAAAAATTAACCCTCTGCTCCAAATATGTATCAATACATTACTATGTCTCCCCAAACCAAGGTCATCCCAGGTTCAATGTGGTGATTAAAGAGAGCCTTGTCCTCAAGGCCTGGCCTTGCCAGAAGCAAGCTTATGCAATAGGAAGTTTGTCTCTGTCACATGCACATCTCCAAACAGCTCCCTTTCTCTTTGCAGTCGCTTCTTCTCCCTCCCTCTACCTCTCAGGGGTCTCCCTGTCCCTGCTAAATTTTTCTCTCAGCTGGCAGCAAATTAATGGGTAAGAGGGTACCGTTTGTGGAGAAAATTGTGCTGCTTAGCATTTACAGTCTTTATATTATAGTTTCAATTTTTTTTTTTTTAGTTATTAGAAACAGGGAGGAAAATTCTGGTAGAAAAACCAGTTTGGCTCTGGGTCAGTGAAACCATCTGGCAATTTAATATAATCAAACTTTAGTAATTAATTTTTCATTATAATTGTGTTAAGTGACCCTAAGGTATCTAAGCAGCAGAGGTGGAAGAGGGAAAGTAAAAGTTAGTAGTTCTTTCGCGATTTTCTTTTTCATAGGGTAGAAATAGTCATGGGATCTACCAGACTATGGGGAAATTGCTATTTTCTTCTTTTTTGAGAAATATTTAGCAGAGGGGAAAAACCACCACCAGGAGAACTGTAATCAGAAACGTTTGCTCTTGTAGGGGTTAAAATATAAGTGTAATAGGCTTAAATATTGGGAAAATTGAATTTAAACACCAGGTACTTCCCTCCTATAGCATAAAAGATAGTGGGACTGAAAGCTAGTATGTCCTCTGGCCAAATTCTATATTCAACAGGAAAATCCCCACATTTGAATAGACTCAAGAGTAAAAAAAGGGCCGGGCACAGTGGCTCATGCCTGTAATCCCAGCACTTTGGGAGGTCAAGGCGGGTGGATGATGAGGTCAGGCGTTCGAGACCAGCCTGGCCAACATAGTGAAACCCCGTCTCTACTAAAAATACGAAAAATTAGCCAGGGGTGGTGGTGGGCTCCTGTAATCCCAGCTACTCGGGAGGCTGAGGCAGGAGAATCGCTTGAACCTGGGAGGCAGAGGTTGCAGTGAGCCAAGATCGTGCCACCGCACTACAGCCCAGGTGACAGAGCAAGACTCCGTCTCAAAAAGAAAAAAAAGAAAAAAAAAAGTTTGCTTAGTTAACTGACTTTTTACTAACATGTTATGTTCTTTTCCATCCTTCTCTTTTCAATGGGGTATTTTTAATAATTATGGCTGTAAGTTATATAGTTATATTTTCTTAATAGAGTTTAAACTGTTCAAAGTATTTTTCTGGTTCTTTAGACCCAGGGCCTTCAAAATTCTTTGCAAATTTAATCTCCAAAGCATTTTGAAAAACAACGGGTCTCTTGAACATTTTACAAGGATATCTAAAAATATTTTATCTTAAGTTTAAGTCATTGCAAATAATGTATTTCCTGGTGTATTATAATTTGAATATGTACTTTATTTTATTTTTTGGGACAAGGTCTTTCTGTCTGTGGCCCAGGCTGGAGTGCAGCGGCTTGATCATCGCTTACTGAAGCCTCAAACTCCTGGGCTCAAGAGATCCTCCTGCCTCAGCCTCCCAAGTAGTAAAACTACAGGCACACAGCACTGTGCCCAGCTTATTTTTCATTTTTTTGTAGAGATGGAGTTGGGGGAGGGGGTGGCAGTCTCACCATGTTGCCCAGGCTGATCTGGATTTCTAGCCTCAAGTGATCCTCCCCCTTCAGCCTCCCAAAGTGCTGGGATTACTGGCTTTAGGCACAGTGGCTGGCCTAATTTTATTTTTATCAAATCCTTGGAGCTGCAGGTTTAGCTCGCTCACTTTATGGAGTAAGTCCACTGTACAAATACGTTACTGGAGAAGCCAGTCTCTCCTGTCAAACCAATCAGCTAAATCAGACTTACTGCCTATCATTTCAAAATTTAAATGAATGGCCTATCATTGTGAATCTTAATTCTACAAGAGAGAGACAGAGACGAGGTAGAGAGAGAGACAGAGACAAGGTAGAGAGAGAAGGCATGGAGATTTGCCAAGAGTTTGTTGCCTGGATAAAATAAGTCTTTAGTAAATTTTTTTTTTTTTTTTTTGAGACCGAGTCTCGGTCTGTCTCCCAGGCTGGGGTGCAGTGGCGCAATCTCGGCTCACTGCAAACTCCGCCTCCCGGGTTCACGCCATTCTCCTGCCTCAGCCTCCCGAGTAGCTGGGACCACAGTCGCCCGTCACCACGCTCGGCTAAGTTTTTGTATTTTTAGTAGAGACGGGGTTTCACCGTGTTAGCCAGGATGGTCTCAATCTCCTGACCTCATGATCCGCCTGCCTCAGCCTCCCAAAGTGCTGGGATTACAAGCGTGAGCCACTGCACCCGGCCAGGCGTTAGTAATTTTTACTGAGACTGTCTTTGCTCTTGTTTTCTTTCTTTCTTTCTCTTTCTCTTTCTTTCTTTCTTTCTTTCTTTCTCTTTCTTTCCTTCCTTCCTTCCTTCCTTCCTTCCTTCCTTCCTTCCTTCCTTCCTCCCTCCCTCCCTCCCTCCCTCTCTTTCTTTCCTTCTTTCTTCTGTTAGGGAGGAATGAGAAGAAGCCCCCTCAGAAGCAGTGCATTTTAAATTATCCCCTTATGAGTTATCCTCAAGATTTGTATACGCCAGAGCAATACACCAAGGTAAGATTCAAGTTGGGAGAGAGATAAGTCCGTCTTCTCTGAGATGGAAGAAGGGTGAATGTGTAAAGGCAGATATTGGCAGGCCTTAAAAGGAGCTCTCAGGAAACCAAGATGTAGAAGTTGGGAATCTGGAAACTGATTGCACTATCCATCACAATGTGCTTTTGGAAAGTCTTCATGTACCCTAGGAATATATGAGTATCCAGTTTGAAGCCTACTCCCCTGAACTCTTTTTAGAAGTGCATGTGCTATGAAGATGCTAGATAGAAGATAGGCTTCCGGTGGTGAGGCATGCAAACAGCATCAGGCCGCCAGAAAATCAGTAGGGCAAAAGGAACTCCTTTGTGAACACGCTCCACTATTGGCAGAACTCACATTCCAAAGTTAAATTATTTTCTTTATTTTAATCTATATGTTTTGAATTTTTAGAGATGAAAAAGTCTATAAGACAAAAATATAAAACTAGAATAGTAGAATAAATAGCAGTGGGATTATTTTGCATTTTTTGGCTTTACCAAAGTAGTATAAGGCAGCTTCTGCTTTACTTTCCACTGAAGCTCCTAAATTATAATGACAGCATATTAAGGGAGAATTTAAAGTAATGCCACATGTCAGAGAGTTTGAAAGCATGCCAAAATCATGCCCCTGCTTTGATAATGCCAATTATATGGGTGAAAATCCAAGCTTCATAATAGATAAGCTGATATTTCAAAGGAATGCTTCAAAGGACATTCTTCAGCATCACTTTATGGTAAATATGTTTTCATTTTACCATTCTTTCCCAAAGCATATAATTCCCTATTTTCTCCATGAATTGTAAAACATCCCAAAAAGGAGAACTAGCCATAAGGAAGGGTAAAATCTCTACCAGTAGGAAATGTTTGTTGCATTTATCCTCTCGGTATTTCTGTCTCCCATCTTCAGGTAATACTTTCCCACTTCTTTGAGGATATTGCTCCTCCTTCACTCCATGCAGTTCTGGGCTTTCATTTATATTCTTACCATCATAGAAGTTGTCATGCGATGCAGGTCTAATCATTCGTAGTATTCCATCCTCCTGGCCACACACTGGCCCAGTAGTAGGCATATGACCCTAGCGGGGCCAATTAGAGTCTTTCCCTGTGATATTTATATGAAACTGGGAACACTTCAATGAGGCTACCAAAACATAAAAATGCTGAGTTGTGTTGGATTTCTTATGGAAAATGATAAACAATCAAGTTTTCCCATTAGGATCTCATATGGAGCAGGCCATGCAGATAAAGTAAACAATGGAAGACAGAAAGACACAAATAAATAAGGACACACAAATTATAAGAACTTGAACCCAGGCCCTGGAATGGTATTCGGACAAAGCATTGCCTGCATCAGTGAGAGACAGAGAAGGCCCTGGTGACTTATGGATGACAGAGTCTAAAAATCAGATGTCAAAAGGTAGAAGTTGCCAGGACAGATGCAACAGGAAGGTCCTGTGATATGACTTTTAGGCAAGCAGAATGCCCATGGGCTTTTGGCACTTAAGGAACTTCCTGCACTGAAAGGAACTGGGTGTGAAAGGAGACAGAGATGTGAGGTTTTTAGAAGAGATGTAGGCTTTGCATGACTGAGGACAAGCTGGGGGCTGGGTATGGAGGGGGTATTGAGGCAGCTGCAACACCTGTGTTTCAATAGTGCCATCATGTGGCTATGACACCAGCAACAGCCTAGATCTAGCCCAGTGTGCCACTCTGAGCCAAATTTCTGGTTTTCTCTTCTAGAGGCAGACCTGACTGTACAGTCCCTGAGGTGTATGGATTTCCTATGGTGGGATGTGGGAATGGTCAGAGAGATGGGATTACAGAGAAGAAAGATATTTTCATGTCAGAGAAGTATTATTTGGATAACAAAAATAGATGGCTCCTCATTTTGTCCTTCAAGTCAGAGAAGTGGAGTTGGTAAGTGGAGTTTGGAAGGAGTGTAAACTTCTCTGCATGGAGTTTGTAAGTGAAGTGGAGTTGTAAGTGACGGTGTGCTGGAGTTGGCTTGTACCAGATTGTGAGAGCTGAGTATTAAATTTTCAGGAATTTTGCAAGCTGGTTGTTAAATGAAGCCATCATGAAAAATAAAGTACACATGTCAGATTTAATGACAAAAGATTTACTGGGGAAAGAGTTAGCAGATTGAGATGCAACTCCATTTGTCAAATCATTGCTCAATTGTAACCATATGTTGGCTACAGAAACAAAAGTTTGGCAAAAATTAACAAATGCATTCTTCACAAATCCATTGGCTACATGAAGTCACAATAAAAGTATTGTATATTTTATTATTATTTGTAAATCGTACGCTCTATATCTTTTATGTCACGAAATTTATAATAAACTTATATGTACACACACACATATAAATATGTATGCACACTTTTATTCCCTGAAGAGTCAGTTTTTAAACATTTACTAGCGCACCACTACTTCTAGGTAATATGTTTGTAATTAATTGCTAATAATAACAAAATATGAATAATGCATCATTTCATTCCACTTGCACTCACTTAGTTCCAGACTAGTATGACTCCACCCTAAATCATACTCCATCAATGCTACAAAAAGTTCAGGCTGTCACCAGTGCTTAATAGGAATTCTCATTCAGTTATTTCCTTAAATGCTTTCGTGACAAATAGACAAGTGAACTCCTGTGAGATCCATGGTGAGACTTTAAAGCCATGTTGAAATGCTAACTGCATACTATTTTTGGAAAGTAACGTTTTATTCCCACCTATATAGTTCAATTTTATATGATTACATAAGAGGTTAGATCTTACCATGAGCTACTTCTTTTTTTTCTTTTTTGAAATGGAGTCGTTCTGTGTTTCCCAGGCTGGTTACAAACTCTTGGGTTCAAGTGATCCTCCCACCTCAGCCTCCCACATAGCTGAAATTACAGGCATACATTATAGTGCCTGGCTCGTTGAAAAAGTAGAAAGGTGGATTCTTATGCATGATGACAACCAACAACACAATCTTTGCGACTCTAAAAAATAAAAAGGACAAGGGAGAAGCCTCTATTTTCAATAGCAGACTGTACACATGTATTTGATCTGGATGCCATTAAAATGGCAATAAAGGAACAAAAATTGGAAAGGAAATAAAATGACAAGAATGAAGAGAATGGAATGAGAATCACCAACAGATGAGATTTGTTTTAAATTTATGGAAGTCAGAAAAGAGATGGAATCATGTAATGGATTAAACAGAAGGAAGGAAGCCATAACCCAGATACAGTCGGGAGGGGCTTCAGTGGCAGTAGGAATGAATTTGACCGGCAGCACTTCAGAGAAACTCTGAGGCTGGAGAACTTGGAGTCAAACCATCAAGTAAGCGTGAGAAGAAGATAAAGACACTTTAGGTCTCAGAAACTCCTTTTCTTAGGAAGTTACTTGATGTACCCAAGAAAAAAATAAGAGGGAGGGAAATCTGAAAGAAAATGACTTAGAATACAGAAAATGTGGAACTACTCAGGAGTTAAATAAAAAGAACTTATTTTGGGTACTGCGGGCCTAGAAATAAGTCTTTCCAAATTGGAACAAGAATTCAGTGGGGACTAAAAAGAATATTTTCAGTAAGAAAGGAAAGAATCCCATGTCATAGGTAGAATAAATAAAATGTTGAAAGATATTTGGATATGAGAAAGTAAGCATGTTCTTTTTTTCATGAAAAAAAAAAGCAAGGCAATTAGAAACTCCAGGAAAACAAAAATGCTGAAATAAAGTTGTATTCCTCATATTAATCAATCTAAAATACAGTATAACTTAATTGTATATTATACTGTATTTATAGTACAAGGATTATATTGTATTTAGAGTACAAGGAAAATACAATACAGTATAAGGCAGAGTATAAAGGAAATACAATACAGTATAAGGCAGAGTATAAAAAACAATCTGGCCGAGGGTGGTGGTGCACACCTGTAGTCCCAGCTATTTGGGAGGCTGAGGCGGGAGAATCACTTGAACCCGGGAGGCAGAGGTTGCAGTGAGCCAAGATCACACCATTGCACTCCAGCCTGGGAGACGAGCAAAACTCCGTCTCAAAAAACAAAAACAAAAACAAAAAAACAAAAACAATCTAGTTGACTATGATGTCAGAAGCATTCTCCTTCATGTATACAGCAATCCTAAATGGAATCTATAGTTTGAAAAAAAGCAAGCTTCCTGGCTCTCTGTTGAACAATACCTTTATAGTCTAAATAATAAATGTGTTATTAATTATGATTCAACTTTTAGAATCAATTTATAGATAAGATACAGAAAATGTTATTATGTTATGACCACAGAACAGAATATAAACCACCCTTGACAATGTAAAAGAAAGATAAAGCTGATAGAAATTGGTAGGTAAAATTGAAGAAGAAAAGTAAATGGAAGCATAGGGACACTAATAACCTTTTTTTAAAAAAAAAACATGATGGGGAATTAAGAAATACTGTCTTTGAGTAAGACAACAATAAATAAAACTTAAATATTACAAAGTTTAAAAAATGATAGAACAATCAAATATCTAAAAAAGGAAAAATGGAAAGAGATGTAGATGTAAGTAGAGTGAGTTAAATCCTCATCTTTTAAAGTGGGAGATCAACAAATAAATCAAGCAATGAAAATATGAACGTATTATTTAGATGTATGGAAGTCTCTACTAGAAGTAAAATCATAGTGATTAAAAGCTGTGGTTTCTGGGGAGCAGAGGACTATTGTCTCTCATTATAGTTGCTTTTATAAGCTGAAAAAATTTTAACCATATATACATATTACTTTGATTAGTATAAAAAAGTAAAGTAGTGAGGCAGGATAGCAACTGACACATGAGCTCTGAAGTCAGTTTATGAGTGTTTAGTCTCAGCCTCACCATTTCCTGGCTGTGTGACCTTGGTATGTTACTTAATTCCTTTGTTCCTTACTATCTGTGTGACCTTGGACATATTACTTCATCCTTTTGTGCCTTGCATGACTGTTCTGAGTATTAAATAAGTTAGTGTATATTAAGTGCTTAGCAAAGTGCCTAGCATATAGGAGATGACCATATTGTCTGCTAATTTTGAAATAGACAACAGCTAAGGCTTTTGGAAATCTATGAGGGTGGATAGAACTTTTTCTATTATCAAAACTATCTTATTCTTGAATGTAAATGTATAGAACCTCTTTAGAAGAAATTTTGGCGATTGCTGTTAAAATGTAAAATGCATGTTTTTTGAATCAGTTATTCCATTTCTAGGAATTTATCCTCAGATTTCTATTCACATCTTTGTCTAAAGATGTAAATTTAAAGATGTCCATTTCATCACTATTTATAATGGTAAAAAATTAGAATTGGTTAAATGAATTGTGGTATATCCATACAATATAATATCATGCAGTCTTTAAAAAGGGAGATAGATCTATATGTATTGATTGAAAGATATATAAAGTACAATAAACAAGATGTAAAACAATGTGTATATTGTCTTGTATTTGAGTAGAAATGAAACACACACACACACACACACACACACACACACACGAAACTTGTCTGAGGTTGACTCTGGAGAGATGAATGATGCCTGAAATGAGAGGGACATTTACTTTGATTGCCCTTTTACACTGCTTGAATTTTACCATATGCTTATAATTTTTTTTTTTTTTGAGACAGAGTCTTGTTCTTATTGCCCAGCCTGGAGTGTAGTGGCACGATCTTGGCTCACTGCAACTTCCACCTCCCGGGGTCAAGTGATTCTCCTGCCTCAGCCTCCTGAGTAGCTGGGATTACAGGCGCCCACCACCACGCCCAGCTAATTTTTGTGCTTTTAGTAGAGACAGAGTTTCACCATGTTGGCCAGGCTGGTCTTGAACTCCTGACCTCAGGTGATTCACCCACCACAGCTTCCCAAAGTGCTGGGATTACAGGCATGAATTAAGGCTCTAAAATACTCCAAAAGTGAAATAAAATTAAAACTAACTCACCATTTCATTTAGAATGTTTTTGAAAGTAACAGAAAACCAGACTTCACTTAGTTTTCATTGGCTTATGTAACTGGGAATTTACATAATGGAAGTCCAGAGTAGGGCAGGCTTCAGGTTTCACCTGGTGCAGGCTGCCAAGACTGTTATTTATTCCTGTTTGTTGGATTTATTTTCTTTCTCTTTTTTCTTTTTGAGACAGGGCCTCACTTTGCCACCCAGACTGGAGTGCAGTGGCACAATCACGGCTCACTGCAGCCTCAACCTCCTGGGCTTAGGTGGTCCTCCCACCTCAGCCTTCTGAGTAGCTGAAACTACAAGTGTGCACCACCATGCCCAGCTAATGTTTATTTGTTTGTTGAGACGGAGTCTTGCTCTGTCACCCAGGCTGGAGTGCAGTGGTGCAATCTCGGCTCACTGCAACCTCCACCTCCCTGGTTCAAGCGATTCTCCTGCCTCAGCCTCCCAAGTATCTGGGACTACAGGCACAAGCCACCACGCCTGGCTAATTTTTGTATTTTTAGTAGAGACGGGGTTTCACCATATTGGCCAGGGTGGTCTCAAACTTCTGACCTCAAGTGACCCACCTGCCTTGGCCTCCCAAAGTGCTGGGATTACAGGCATGAGTCACCGTGCCTGGCTAGATTCCTTTTCACATTGGCTTTTCTCATGACCAAATGTTACCTTCACATCTGCTCTCCTTAATGTCCAGAGAAAGAGAGAAAAGCTCTCAGAAGATTCTGCACGTGTCCTCTTATGTCTCATTGGCTTAAACTGGTTCTTATGTCATTCCTGAACTAATCCCTGTGGTCAAAGGAACGCCATATGCAGATAAGCTTAGGCCTGGGTTCCTGTACCAGTCACTGTGGCAAGGGAGATGACATTACCCTTCATTCAAAATGGTCTTCCTCTGGAGCTAGGTACAACAGTGTTCCCTGAAGTACGAGAGAAGAATTATACTGGAACCTGAATTAGGAAACTGTTAGAAAAGGGAAAAGAGGGAAATTGGTGCCTTGCAGGCAACCAACAAAGACCATGACTTCTACTCTAATCTTCCTCAATGCTATTATAAAAGCCTTTCCACTGTTGCCTCCAAAAAGTTTGTAAATTACTGTCAAAGAAAATGAATTAATTTTTCTTCTATTGCAACAGAATAATGCCTGGCAATAATGATCATAATATGTCTTTTAAAAAGATATAATTTATAGGAGGTTCTCTCATTTGATACAGATCAGTTGTTAGATTATCCTATTACTTAGGATACAACCATTGGGGGAATAGAAATAGAACTATATCTTCAAGAATGTCAGACTTGGAGAGGATATAGAATAATTATCATCACAATGAGGAAATAATTATAAACTCCAAAGTGGGACTCATTAGGTCTAACTTTCCTTCACTAATGATTGTCTACAAAGAAACAATGTAAAGGTTACAGAGAGAAGCCCACAAAAAGCCTAAAAAATAAGCTACAGAATCTTTCCTTGCTAATACAAATTATGTTAAAATTTTAAAGTTATGTTAAATTTATGTTAAAATTACCATGAACATTCTATCTCTCCCAGATTTAGCCCAATATAGAGTAAATACTGATGCTATCAAGAGAAACAATGGCAACTGTGAACATTGAAGCTTATCTGTTTTTCATTGTATGCCCAGCAAAAGGAGATATTCCCAAAGAACCTCATAATGGAAGCGAAGCTGAACATTTCATGGACACCATCTATAAAACAATTATTGTTGGCTGTATTTTAGACTTCAGAGTCTAGTCTTTTAGGTCTCAAAAGGCTTGATAGTTCTGGGCTGCATGGGATTCTTCTAGATGAGTTGTTGTAGTGGTGATTGAAGTGAATGATGGAGAACTATTTGGGGTGTGTAATGGACTATATGTCTGTGTCACCCCCAAATTCATATGTTAACTCTTAACATACATTCAGTGGTGAAATTTGGAGATGGAGTCTTTGGGAGGTCATTACGTCATGAGGGTGGAGTGCTCATGAATGGGACTAGTGCCCTGGTAGAAGAGGCCTCAGAGAGATCTCTCACCCCTTCAACATGTGAGAACACAGCAAGAAGACAGTATCTGTGAACCGGGAAGCGGGCCCTCACTAGATACTGAATCTCTTGGTGCCTTGATCTTGGATTTCCCAGCTTCCAGAACTGTAAGAAATAAATTTCTGTTGTTTATAAGCTACCCCACTTATGATACTTTTTAAAAAATAAACTTTATTGTGTATATTTAAGGTATACGACATCATGTTACAGGATACATAGAGCAAAGTAATTTTTAGAGTGGAGCAAATATATGCATCATCTCACATGGTAACTCATTTTGTGTGTAGAGGGGGTAAGAGCAGGTAAAATCTACTCATTTAGCAGGAATTCTAAATACAGCACAGTTTTATTAACTCTAGCCGTACTATAGCCATGGTGTTGTACATCAGCTCCTTAGACTTGTTCATCCTACATACCTGCTACTTTGTGGCTTCTAACTTACATCTCCCCATTTCTTCCTTCCACCCTCCAACCCTGGTAGCCACTGTTTTATTCTCTATCTCTGCATATTTCACTCTTTTTTTTTAGATTCAACTTATAAGTAAGATAATGTAACACTTTTCTGTCTGTGTCTGGCTTGATTTCACTTAGCATAATGTTATCCAGTTTCATCCACGTTGTGGGAAATCACAGGAGCCCTTTGTTTTTGGAGACAGAGTCTTGCTCTGTCACCCAGGCTGGAGTGCAGTGGTACAATCTCGGCTCACCACAACCTTCGCTTACCAGGTTCAAGTGATTCTCCTGCCTCAGCCTCCCAAGTAGCTGGTACTACAGGCTCCTGCCACCATGACTGGCTACTTTTTTGTATTTTTTTTCCCCTCCCTGAGACGGAGTCTTGCTCTGTCGTCCTGGCTGGAGTGCAGTGGTGCAATCTTGGCTCACTGCAACCTCCACCTCCCGGGTTCAAGCAATTTTCCAACCTCAGCCTCCCGAGTAGCTGGGATTACAGATGCCTACCACCATGCCCAGCTAATTTTTGTATTTTTAGTAGAGAAGGGGTTTCACCGTGTTAACCAGGCTGGTCTCGAACTCCTGACCTTGTGATCGTCTCATCTCAGCCTCCCAAAATGCTGGGATTACAGGCATGAGCCACCACCCCAGCCTTCTTTTTTTTTTTTTTTTTTTTTTTTGGTAGAGATGGTGTTTCACCATGCTGGCCAGGCTGGTCTCAAACTCCTGACTTCAGGTGATCCACCTGCCTGGGCCTCCCAAAGTGCTAGAATTACAGGCATGAACCACTGCACCTGCCTTTGTTTTTTTGTTTTTTGTTTTTTAAAAAGACAGGGTCTTGTTCTGTTACCCAGGCTGGAGTGCAGTGGCATGATCATGGCTCACTGTTATCTTGAATTCCTGGCCTCAAATGATTCTCTCATCTTGGCCTCCCAAAGCACTGGGATCACAGGTGTTAGCCATTGTGCCTGACCAAGATCTCCCTTTTTAAGGTGGAATAAATATCCATTTTACACACACACACACACACACACATTGTGGTACATAGATATGTAAATATATTTGTATTTTTACACATATATGTAAATATTTATATATGTTTTTGTATATATACAAATATACCACACTTTCTTTTTTTTTTTTTTTTTGAGACAGTATTGCTCTGTCGCTCAGGCTGGAGTGCAGTGATGCGATCTTGGCTCACTGCAACCTCTGCCTCCTGGGGTCAAGCAATTCTCCCACGTCAGCCTCCCAAGTAGCTGAGATTACAAGCGCCTACCACCACGCCTGGCTAATTTTTGTAATTTTAGTAGAGATGGGGTTTTACCATGTTGGCCAGGCTGGTCTTGAATTCCTGACCTCAGATGATCCGCCCACCTCGGCCTCCCAAAATGCTGGGATTACAGGCATGAGGCACTGCGCCCAGCCTCCATGATTTCTTTATTCATTCCTCTGTTGTCGGCTGATGTTTTGTTACAGCAGCCCAAATAATGTAGACAGATTGAAACACATAATTGTAGTATGTATTTTAAATATTGGCTGAATGAAGTTATTTTTTAAAATTTCATAGTGTGAAGTTTGGCCTATTAAGGGCAATTACCCTATTAAGAAGATGCCCTAAATTTGAAGTATTCTAGCACGTGGTTGATGAATTCTTAGCCATGAGTTTAGGGGTAACAGGAAGTACATTCGGACCTGGAAGTGATGTCTTACAAGGCGAGTCACAAGTGTAGGTCCTCTAAAGGGTTCTACATGTATGATAGGAATCTACTCAGTGGTCTATACTGTTCTATCACATTTTGCAGGTGATGGTTGAGTGTCCAGTGTCAAGTGTAGTCAGGCACAAGTGATAAATAAAACTATCTTCATTAATAGCCCCATCTTCCCTGAGATGAACCCAGATAAACAGGAAAGTTTATGATTAAATTGGATGACATTGTACCCTAGCAGGCTTAGGGGGCAGAAAAAAGAATAATAGCATTTTGGGAATCACCCATTTATTTTTTGGCCAGGAGTACCATTTGCACTTGCCTGACTAATGAAAGAAGTTATGTTACACACGGGACCATTAGAGTCCCTAATGAGTCAAATTAGTTTCCTTGAAAGGGCCCCAGTGGCCCTCTCAGATTGCATCCTGGCACAGCAGAAAGACCTGGACCTAGGCCTTGTCTGCTGGGACATGTAACTGGCTGTATTTGCATGGGAGGCCTTCCTTACTCCTAGTTCACATGGCTGACTCTCAGGGTATGCTCAGAGCCCTGTAAGATTGGACAGATACAGAAATTTTGTTTGGTGGCACTGTATGAGTTTTGCCAGTTCTTTTGAGGTTGTAGGACTATATAGCAGAGGTTTTTGAATGAAAGATCTGGAATGGGGATAATTTTCTGACTTCTTGGTCTCAAAGCACCTTAAAACCTAAAATTAACCAGTGGAAGAATTAAGCCTCTGGCCTTAATTTATAGTGGCACATATCTGCTAAGGGCTTCATTCTGAACTTAATAGGAGTGCTAAGTCTTTTTTTCTATTTTTGAGACAGGGTCTTGCTCTGTCACCCAGGTTGGAGTACAGTGGTGAAATCATGGCTCACTGCAGCCTTGACCTCCTGGACTCAAGCGATCCTCCCACCTCAGCATCCCGCACCTCCGACCCCCAGTAGCTGGGATTACAGGCCTGTGCCACCACATTCAGCTAATTTTTGTATTTTTGTTTTTAAATAGAAATGGGGTCTCACCGTGTTGCTCAAGCTGGTCTTGAACTCCTGGCCTCAGGCGATCCACCTGCCTCGGCCTCCTTAAGTGCTGGGATTACAGGCGTGAGCCACCATGCCTGGCAATAGATCTTTTTGAGGCGGGGTCTTTAGGAGTTGAAGGTGAACTTTATGGTGAGGAGCTGCTCTTCTACCCTAGTAATTAAACTCATCTGGCATCAGTCTGTGTGAAAATACTAAGCATGTAGCAGGGCACATCTGCAGGTATTTTCTTAGGACAATGGCATTGAATGCTAATGTGTAGGGTGCATTACAGGGTCACAGACTTCCTGACTGCTGGATTCTGAGTGACCCCCTGGCCTTTCCCTAGAACTTCAAAGTCCCGTACGGTAGCCACTGGCCACAGGTGGCTACTGAGCACTTGAAAGGTAGCTGGTACGAATTGAGATGTACTCCAAGCATAAAATAGAACCTGGAATTAAAAGATTTAGTCTAAAAAAGTGTAAAATATATTGTTAATCATTTTTAAATATTGATTATATGAAGAAATACTATTTTTAGTATCAGGTTAAATAAAATATATTATTAAAATTAATTTCACTTATTTCTCTATCCTCTTTTGAAATGTGGCTACTAGAAAATTTAAATGGCTCAAATTATGTTTCTTTTGCATAGTGCTGCTTCAGAGAATAGTCAGTGGGAGAGTTAGACTAGTGAATGTGTGGCCAGAGGCTGTAAAATCCAAAATCTATGAATAGATATTGGGTCTGAGGAGGTGCTCTCTACAAGCAAGGCATTCAGAATTGAATTTCTCCAGTTTGCCTGGAGATCAACATACCACATCCATTTCAGTCCAGGACTTTCAGCACCAGAGGTGTGTGAGAGGCAAGATCCAGGGACCAAATAAGTCTATTAGTTCAGAGAGTCATGAAAAATGTTGTTAATCAATTGCTAGGAAACTAATATTTATAGCCAGTATTCAAACATCTGAATTGGGCTTGGAAAAACTGTTTTATTTCCTGAGAGAGATGCCCAAGGCTTTAGCCTCCTTAGAGATCTAACTCTCTGATGAGCCTCTCAGGGCCTGTTACTACTGGCTGCAGAGGAAGTGAGTGGATAATGACGCCCTAAGGTCACTGTGTGCAGGCCACAGTATTCCTGACATAGCCTCTCATTCTTCCCAAGGAGCATGGGACACTGCAGCCTGGTTTAAAGTGAGGCGGGGCTTTTCTTTTTCTTCAAGAATAGTTGGCTATATGTTGTGGGGTACTATACACATAATTCAGCATCTGCCACAAATGCATCATTGAAAGAATGGGTCATGTCAGACACTGTAGAGCTATTAGACTTTGGCTGGAAACAAATGGAAAAAGCAAATGGAAAAACAAATGGAAAACTCAGAACACTGGCCTTCTAATACAAACACTCACCTCAGTGACCAGTCATAGCCTTTCTTCCCTGAGGAATCTGCCATGTCATGGTGGGTGGGTGGGGGTGGGGTGGCATCTGGAGAGTGTTTGCCAATCTTGACTCTGTATCTTTAGGTTGCTTGATTCACCTATGCACCTGGAAGGGTAACTTTGGGCACCTAGCAGCATTTGGGAAGAATCAATTCTGACCAAAGCATTCAGTGGGCTGTACTTCAATCAACTTCCTGCTCGGTTTCCCATTTTAGCTTTCTTTCCCATTCACTGTCAAGCTGCAGACCTTTGGACTTGACAGTTATGTCTGGTGACTCCAGCCTCAGACCCTTGGCTCTCCCTCAAGAGATTTGCCTTAGATCTGTTCTACCAGAGCTCCTCTATTTGTATTTCCTTAGATATTTAAAAAAACAAAAAACAGTTAACATGGCAGGCCTGGCTCCTTACCAGGTTTGCCCTTGGCTGACATCTGCGAACTTGAATTTGGGAAAGGTTTCTACTATGCTAACTGATAAAAGTGGCTTACTATACCTAAACTATACAAACAATGTGAGTTTATGATGAATACCTGCTTTATTTCTGGGAGTCTGGAATTTGGTGGTAGGCAGAGGATGCCTATGTGATTTAACCACCAGTAAAACCCTGGGTGCAGAGTGTATAATGAGCTTCTCTGGTAGAAAACACTTCCCACATGTCATCATGACTCATTACTAAGGAGTTAGGCGTGTCTTCTGTGACTTCATTTGGAAAGAATTATCAAAAGCTTGAGCTTGGTTTCCTCTAGACTTTGCTCCATGTGCTTTTGCCTTTGCTGATTTTTCTTTGTACCCTTTTGCTATAATAAATCATAGCCATGAGTGTGACCATATGCTGACTCCTGAGTCCTTCTAGCAAATAACCAAATCTGGGGATGGTTTTGGGGGCCCTTGACATATCAGTTAATATACGGAAACCACTGGAGAAAGTCTTGAATGTAATTTTTGGTTTGATTATTTTTCTTAGAGTTCAGAATGGGAATCCCTAATACATCAAGCATTACATAATATGGTTGGGAGATCCAAAGCACTAAAGCCGAGGCTAATAATATGCGGAAAATTGGCATATGTTGTAGACTTCCCAAAAGACCCCCATTAGGACAAGTTACATAGGGTACACTCAGGAGAGATCAGTGCAGGAAGACCAAGGAAGGTTTGAAGGATTCAGTATGGCAGAAAGACATGCAAATCAGAGACAGGACCTTCCTTAAACAGAACCCAAGACCATATCCCAGAAAATGGAATAGAGAGACAAGGGCTGGTATTATCTCTGTCACATTGGCTGAGTAGGTTAAAATCAGAAAGTGTGTTGGAAAAACAAAGCAAAGCAAAGCAAAACAAAACAAAAAAAGGACCTGCAAGAAAGAATAGACTTCTTTTCTTCTGGGGGGAGGGACAGTGTCTCTGTCGCCCAAGATGGAGTGCAGTGGTACAATCTCAGCGCACTGCAACTTCTGCCTCCCAGGCTCAAGTGATCCTCCCAGCTCAGCTTCCTGAGTATTTTTAGTGGAGATGGGGTTTCACCTTGTTGCCCAGGCTGGTCTCGAACTCCTGTGCTCAAGCGATCTGCCCTCCCCGGCCTCCCAAACTGTTGGGATTACAGACGTGAGCCACTGCATCTGGCCACTTCTTTTTTAAAGTATACTGTTCTTGATAAAGCTGTAGTTAGGAATCTCTTTAGGGACAAAAAGTTTACAAATAGAAAGAGTAAAAAAAAAAATTTATTGAGAAATATTTTCATTATTCTACCCTACACAATGAAAGTTTTTTGTATATGGATGGTATAGATTAGGTTTAGCACTGAATATTTTTTATGTATTAAATATTAAAAAAAAAAAAAAGCCCTGCAAGGCCTCACTAGTTTTGTTTTCTCATGGAAAACCAGAGTTCAAATTCCCAATGGGGATGCAGCCCCTGATTTTTTGAAAGACAGAATATATAGTGGTTATGAGCATGGCCTTTGGAATCAGATGCCTTTTTTTGAGTTCTAGTCCTATTTATAGCTGTGTAATCTTGGACAAGTTAACAACCTCTTCATTTCCTAATTGTTTTCTCTTCAAATGCAAAGAATAATTATAATTGCTTCAAAGGGTTGCTGAAAGGTTGACCTGAATTGCTCCACGTAAAGGACTTACATAGTGCCTAGCATATACAGTATGCTCAATAAATGGTAGAGATCATTGTTATTATTACTATGACATGATTCCTGTGCTCTTAGAAAGTGAATCCATAGGATGTTGTGAATAATTGAGAGCTATAGTGATATGCATTGATAACTTGCGAATGTGATAAAACAAAATGCCCCTAAATTTTTAGTTATAAAACTAACTAAAAGGAATCACATGAAGGATAGCTCGAAGGCCCAGAAATTTTTTTTTTGAGACAGAGTCTCGCTCTGTCTCCCAGGCTGGAGTGCAGTGGCGTGATCTCGGCTCACGGCAAGCTCCGCCTCCCGCGTTCATGCCATTCTCCTGCCTCAGCCTCCCGTGTAAATGGGACTACAGGCGCCTGCCACTACGCCTGGCTAATTTTTTGTATTTTTAGTAGAGACGGGGTTTCACCGTGTTAGCCAGGATGGTCTCGATCTCCTGACTTCGAGATCTGCCCGCCTCGGCCTCCCAGAGTGCTGGGATTACAGGCGTGAGCCACCACGCCCGGCCAAAGGCCCAGAAAATTTTAATGAAACCAGTTTGAAGTTATTATCACATTTTAAGAATGTATCAATCAAAACAAGTCGTTGTTCAACTGTGGCAGGACAGAACAGTAGTTCCAGGACTTTGAATTTTATGACCAAGTTAGAAAAAAAATTGTAGAATGTGATGAAGTGCTGCCAACTTTTCAATTTACCCAAGACTGGCATGAAAAAGATCTAACAGTCTACTACTGCTGTCATGTCCTAAAAGAAAGATGTTTTGTCTCCAAAAAATACACATAGCATATCTTCAGAACAAAGATAGTACTTCCCAGAAAGTCTACTAATCTAGGGAGATTTTTTCCCCCCAACAGGTGAAAATCTCCTGAAAGGCAAGCAATACTCTTTGGATCAGCCCTTGGGATGAGAAAAGTCACAGTTGGGGCTGGGCACAGTGACTTGTGCTTGTAATCCCAGTGGTTCAGGAGGCTGAGGTGGGGGGATCCCTTGAGCTTGAGTGAGGAATTTTAGTGAGGCCCCCCGCTGCCTGCACAGTCTCTACCAATTTTTTTTTTTAATTAACCAGTTGTAGTGGCACATGTCTATAGTCCCAGCTACTCAGGAGGCTGAGATGGGAGGGTTGCTTGAGTCTAGGAGGTTGAGGCCACAGTGAGCTAAGAACATGCCTGAGCTAAGAACATGAATGTACTCCAGCCTGGACCACAGAGCAAGATCCTGTCTCAAAAAAAGAAAAGTCACAAAGGCAAACACCAGTAGTGTCCACTGTCCAAGCAAAAGGAAACTATGCCACCTAAATTTGACCTATTCCTGGTTCCAGTTGCAAAACCATTTATTTTTTCTTTCTTTCTTTTGTAGAATCATGGTCTCACTATTTTGCTCAGGCAGGTCTTGAACTCCAGGCCTCAAGTGATTCTCCCACCTCAGCCTCCCAAAATGCTGGAATTATAGACCTGAGACAACTGTGCCTGGCCTTGCAATACCATTTCCAATGCAAAGATAAATATAGGAGAGTTAGGCATTGATTTTGAGTACTTCCTCTTAATATGGTCACAAAAGTAACAGGACATTCACTAAACATTTGATTTATCTGTTTCTCTCATACTCATGAAGGAACCATCTAATTCCAATGTAGATCAACCAGGGAGAGCCTGGGTTGACCACCTGAACTTCAAACATTTCTAGCAAATCATGGAAATGACTTCTGAATATGGCTTAGCTTCCTATGTAGCTTCATTACAGGAGAGGGAATATGCTGATTATGTCCACAGGGGTATTGCTGTTTTATTTCTCCTAGTAAATTAATACATTTGCATTCTGGTACCTATTTTGGTCTCTTGTGCTTTTCAGACAACTTGTCCCAGTCTCTCAGGGCCTGATTACTCCCAGGCACTGAGAAAATGACATTTCCAGGATGTGGAAGCAGCTGGTCTTCTTGTATACCATGGCACATGCACACTATTCCATTTTTTTTTGCTACTTTATTTATTTTTTTTTAATTATACTTTAAGTTCTAGGGTACATGTGCACAACATGCAGGTTTGATACATAGGTATACATATGCTATGTTTGTTTGCTGCACCCATCGACTCATCATTTACATTAGGTATTTCTCCTAATGCTATCCCTCCCCCAGCCCCCCACCCTCCTACAGGCTCCAGTGTGTGATGTTCCCCACCCTGTGTCCAAGTGATCTCATTGTTCAATTCCCACCTATGAGTGAGAACATGCAGTGTTTGGTTTTCTGTCCTTGTGATAGTTAGCTCAGAATGATGGTTTCCAGCTTCATCCATGTCCCTGCAAAGGACATGAACTCATCCTTTTTTATGGCTGAGTAGTATTCCATGGTGTATATGTGCCACATTTTCTTTTTCCTTTTCTTTTCTTTTTTTTTTTTTTTTTTTTTTTGAGATGGAATCTCGCTCTGTTGCCCAGGCTGGAGTGCAGTGGTGGGATCTCAGCTCACTGCAAGCTCTGCCTCCCAGGTTCAGGCCATTCTCCTGCCTCGGCCTCCGGAGTAGCTGGGACTATAAGCGCCCGCCACCACACCCGGCTAATTTTTTGTATTTTTAGTAGAGACAGGGTTTCACCGTGTTAGCCAGGATGGTCTCCATCTCCTGACCTTGTGATCTGCCTGCCTTGGCCTCCCAAAGTGCTGGGATTACAGGTGTGAGCCACCACGCCCAGCCTATATGTGCCACATTTTCTTAATCCAGTCTATCATTGATGGACATGTGGGTTGGTTCCAAGTCTTTGCTATTGTGCACACGATTCCATTTTTAAATTCATGCCTATCTACTGACATTTACAAAAAAAATACATGGCAGTGGCTTTATTAGTCAAGGTGCAAGCTAAGCTGCTATAATAAAGAGACTCCAAAATATATTGACTTAAATAAAATGAAGTTTCTTTCTCTCTTATAAATCTAGAGTAAGAGGTCCAGGGCTGGCCTGGGGGTCTTACTTCATTAGAGCAGAGGCCTGGGTTTCATTCGGATACCCAAGTTTCTTCTGTCTCCTTGCTTTACCACCTCTCTAGGTATTGTCTTCATCCATATGGTTGAAACTGGCTCTCTCCATGTTTATATTCTAGTCTGTGGGAATGGAAAAAAAATGTCGAGGGCAGGGGACTCTGGCTTTAAGGAAAGATGTGGAAGTCACACACATCACTTCTGCTCATAGGTTATGGGCCCAGATTTAGTTATATAACCAAATCTAGCTGCAAGGTAGGCTGGAAATGTTCTGCTCAGTGTCATGCCCTGTGACTAAGAATACATAAAACATGTTGATTTCTCTGAATCATTGATCTAGACTCATGGAATAATCCCTGTGAAATTTTCCTGACCTTACTATTATGTAAAGAATAATAATAAATCTGCCTTCCCTTCCTCCCAATCAGAGGTAACCTCTAACTGAAACCTGTGTTAATTATTCTCTTGCTTAAAATAATAGTTTTAGACTGGGCACGGTGTCTCATACCTGTAATCCCAGCACTCTGGGAGGCCGAGGCGGGTGGATCACCTGAGGTCAGGAGTTCGAGATCAGCCTGGCCAACATGGAGAAATCCTGTCTCTACTAAAAATACAAAAATGAGCTGGGCGTAGTGGCGGGTGCCTGTAATCCCAGCTACTTGGGAGGCTGAAGCAAGAGAATCACTGGAACCCGGGAGGCAGAGATTGCAGTGAGCCAAGACCATGCCACTGCACTCCAGCCTGAGCAAAAAGAGCAAAACTCCATCTCAAAATAATAATAATAATAATAATAATAAATCAGCACCATAGATTTACTATCTGTATATGTATTCAAAAAATGAAATACTTTTTGTTCTGCCTGTTTTGAGTACCATATAAATGCACGTACTCTTTTGCGACTTGCTAAACATTGCTTTGACTTCTGGTTCCTTTTTGCTTGACAATTTCATCTTCAATTATTTTCTCTCCTGCTGCATTTTACTATAAATGGAAGGAACCAAGCCCCTCCTTTAACACTTGTTAGAAACCTCCAATTTCATCACTTCTGAGTTCTACCTTCCACAAAACACTAGAACATAAACACAATTCAGCTAACTACTTTGCCACATGTATAAACTAAATGGGGAAGTTTGTTTTTTGTTTTTGAGACAGGGATTCATTCTGTCACCCAGGCTGGAATGAAGTGGCGTGATCATGGCTCACTGCAGCCTCAACCTCCTGGGCTCAAGCAGTCCTCCCACCTCAGCCTCCCGAGTAGTCGGGACCACAGGCATGCACCACCACACCTGGCTAATTTATTTTATTTTTTGTAGAGGCAGTGTCTCGCTGGGTTGCCCAGGCGTGTCTTGAACTCCTGGGCTCAAGCAGTCCTCTCACCTCAGCCTCCCAAAATGCTGGGATTACAGGTGGGAGCCACCCTGCCCAGCCCTCTACTCACTTTTCCCCCTTAGCATTTAAACATACTCAAATCTCTTTCCTCTTTAAAATGAAAACAAACAAATAAAAACCTTCATTAAATTTGCTGTCTTCTGATTTCTCCTTTCCTTCACAGGCCATGTTTCTTGAAAAAGTGGGCAAGATTCATTGTCTTTATTTCTCCATTTCTCATTCTTCCCTTGACCTATTGTGAGTGGCCCCACCATTTCACTGAACCTGCTCTCCCTTATTAAAGTCAACAATAACTCTTAGCTGTAAAAGCCTATACCGACTTTTCTGTACTTATCTTACCAATCACTGATTATAATAACCAGCACTGTGAAATATTCCTTCCTTAAGCTTTGTTGCTGCTTCAACTTCTATGACATCATTCTTGTTTTCCTCCTCAACGGCCCCTCCTTCTCCATCTTCATAAACTTATTTTTCTACACCCTTTCCCACCTCCTTAGGGGTGTTCCCAGGGGTTTTATCAGAAACCATGTTGCCTTCTCATTTTATAAATGTTTGGATGACCCCATCTACATTGATGATTTAAGTATCATCTATTAGCCCACGACTCCCAGATATATATCTCTAACTCACACTCTCCATATGGCCAACTGCCCTTGAATAATGTCCACTTCCGACTCACTGTTACACAGTTCCCTGTGTTGGGAGATGGCACTTTCATCTATCCACTCACCCAAACGCCTGGGAATCTACCTAGATTATCCATTCTCCTTCAAGTCTCCTTCAACCCCTGGAAGTAAGTGATAATATTAATTTTGCACCCCAGATATCTCTCATACCTGCCTCTTTCTTTCTATGCTTGCTATCACTGCTAGCATGATTTATTCCTGAGCATCTCTTATGTCTTAGATAGTTTTACCTTTTATGGAAGTGGCTCTCAATTATCACTGTAAAGCAGAACTTGAGGAAATTAAAAATAAATTCAGCTGGGTGTAGTGGCTCACGCCTGTAATCCCAGTACTTTGTGAGGCTGAGGTGGGTGGATCACCTGAGGTCAGAGTTCGAGACCAGCCCGACCAACATGGTGAAACCCCATCTCTACTAAAAATACAAAATTAGCTGGGCATGGTGGCACATGCCTGTAATCCCAGCCACTCGGGAGGCTGAGGCAGGAGAATTGCTTAAACCTGGGAGGCGGAGGTGGCAGTGAGCCGAGACTGTGCCATTGCACTCCAGCCTGGGCAACAAGAGCAAAGCTCCATCTGAAAAAAAAAAAAAAAAAAAAAAAAATCAAATGGTTGATGACTCACCTTAGAAATTACTTTTGGATGGGGACTGGACTTTCACATTTCGAAAAAATTCTAATGTGCACTTAGGATGGCAAGCCATTGCTTTATGATCTGTGAAGATGAATTGGAAGTGGGTTGGAAGATGAACTGAACCATCTTGGGCCAGATGTAGAAGTAATCTGACTAGGAAATATCAGAGTGATCCAAGGCTACCAGAATTATGTTATGAGTCTCTGGTAATTAAACTCTTGAACAAAATCAAATAAACAACAGCAAAACCATATACTTCAGCTTTTTTTGTTATAATTGGTATATGGGATATTGAACAAAGTTGATCCACTGCTTCCTCAATCACAAAGGGGCCAGTAGGTTACATAAACATACGATGTCAACATGGGAGACTGCCTGACTTCTCCAAAGGCATCTGATTCCAATTTTTTCTTTTTCTTTTATTATTTCAGTCTAATCCCATGACAGATTGTGATTCCAATTTTTAAAAGCACTGCAGTACATTTTGAAGATGAGATTTTACCTGGAGCTGCCAGTCTAAAACCCTGTTTAAAGTCACGTCTATGTATTAATTTGCTCAGTCACTGTCTGAGGTCGACACCCATTGTTGTTATCCTGTAGCCCTTCATCCTCTTGTGGGTTAAAAAACCCAGAACATATCTTTCCCTCATCTCCCATGCTCAAGCCATAGTTTGAGTGAGAATGACCTCAACTTAGCTCCACTGTGAGCCCTGATACCAGAGCTTTGTATTATTCCATTGTTATGGCAATAGTAATTGATTCAGAGGTAAGCAAGAATCTAATCAGTATCTGTGAGGACAAAAGTTTCCTCCGTCTTCCATAAGAAAGTTCATATCCACCCCAGGATGGTTCAGTATGAGAATGTAAGCAGCCATAGCCACTGGCCACTGCCAGGGGAGCAACTAGGACAGTGCGTGATGCTTGAAGATGAAGCCAAGACCATGGCAGGTAGAGTGGAACAAGTCTCTCTACTACAGACTTTTCAGTAATGCAGACCAACACCCTCTTTTTATTTCTTTAAGCAAATTAAAATTTTAAAATAATTTGTGCGATGGTCTGAATGTGTTCCCCAAAATTGATAGCTGGAAACTTAATCCCCCATGCAACAGTATTGGGAGGTGGGGCCTTCTGGGAGGTGTTTAGGTCATGAGGGCTCTGCCACTATAAAAAGGACTTGTGGGAGTACATTTGCCCTCTTTCACTCTTCTGCCATGTGAGGACACAGCCAGCAGGCCCACAGAAGATGCCACCTTAATCTTGGACTTCCCAGACCCCAGAACTGTGAGAAATAAATTTCTGTTTTTTACAAATTACCCAGTTTGTGGTGTTCTGTTACAGCAGCACAAAATGAACTAAGACAACTTGTGACATAAAGACTGATTTACTATGTGGTCTTTATTAGAATTAAAATAGTTTTGGCCAGGCGCGGTGGCTCACGCCTATAATCCCAACATTTTGGGAGGTGGAGGCGGGTGGATCACCAGAGGTCAGGAGTTCAACACCAGCCTGGCCAACATGGTGAAACCTCGTCTCTACTAAAAATACAAAAAATTAGCTGGACCTGGTGGCAGGTGCCTGTAATTCCAGCTACGCGGGAGGCTGAGGCAGGAGAACCACTTGAACCTGGGAGGCGGAGGTTGTAGTGAGCCAAGATCATGCCATTGCACTCCAACCTGGGCAACAAAAGCGAAACTCTGTCTCAGAAAAAAAAAAAAAAGTTTTATCACTTGTATACATCCCTTTCTAATATTATTAATTCATATGCTAGTTAATTTTTTTTTTGCTAGTTATATAACTAGCAAAAAAGTAAGGATGATTTTGAATCTTCCCATACTGAGAGGTCATAAAAATTCAGGTCCATGACTGAGGAACAAAATTATCAAGATGGAACAGTGATTTATGGGAATTTGTAACACCTTTATACCATAGACATCATCAAAAGAGATAAGTCTCAGGCTCCTTACTATCATGCCATATTAGAAAGTATGCTGGGTGTGGTGGCTCACACCTGTAATCCCACCACTTTGGGAGGCCGAGGCAGGTGGATCACTCGAGGTCAGGAGTTCGAGACCAGCCTCACAAACATGGTGAAACCCCATCTCTACTAAAAAAATATAAAATTAGCCGGTGTGGTGGCACATACCTGTAATCCTAGCTACTTGGGAGGCTGAGGCAGGGGAATCGCTTGAACCCGGGAAGCAGAGGTTGCGGTGAGCCAGGATCACGCCATTGCACTCCATCCTGGGCAACAAGAGTGAAACTCCGTCTCAGAAAAAGAAAAGAAAAGAAAAAAGATAATGAAAGATGTAGTGCATTGCTCAATAGTATTTATGAACATTAACATGTTTGGATATGTTTTATGAAACAGAAACAAAAGAATATAGTTAATTCATTTGATTATATGTTCATATTGAATTTGCATGTTGAGGGCCACATAGTAAGTAAAATAACTCTGAATATAAATTGGGTTGTATGATAATAATAATTGGCAAAATCAACAGATATTTATTTCATGGTAATTAAATTTATTCAATAACCTTTTGTAATCCATATTTACAAGGATCTTGCAATCCAATTACAAGATAATTGTTGACCACAGTCAAAGGTAGACATATAGAACTGGAAAACACACAATTGTTGCTACTGGATTATAATTGCTTCTAGGCCCCCTCAGATGACAGAGCAAAGAGACATGTGTATACTAACCTGTGTCTATATACACATTGATAAATATTTCTATATGTAACCATCTGTATCTATATTAAGTTAAGCATGAGTTCATACTGATGTCTCCAACTTTAATCCATTTAAATAAATGCAATAATATGTACTTAGATTTGCTCTTATCTTAGGACACAACTCAATTATCTTACCGGTGTTTTGTGTTCCAAAATTTTTAAAACTGCCTAGAACAAAGACTTGTCATGCCATCCAAATCTTATGGCTAAGTGACTAAGTTCTGGCCAGTGGGAAGGACAATTGTGGGGTGGGACTTATAGGGAGGCTTCTGAAAATGAGAACAGTTTGCTGACACACCTCTTTCCTTTACTTTTCCCTCCTTTTCTTTCCTCTTGCCTGGAACTCAGACAAGATGGTTGGACCACTAGCAGCTATCTTTGATCATGAAGTAATTATGAGGTTAGAAAATCATTTTAGACAGTAAAACAAAATGAGAAGTTTGGAATTTTGACAACTCAGAGCTGTCAAACTGGCCCTGGTTCTGCCTACATCCACACTACTTTTATGAGAGGAAAAACCAAATTGTTATCATTTGGACTTTGTTTTATCCAACCAAACCTGATGCTGATAGTTTTTGAAAGTGACTTTAAATGTAGTTTCTTAATCAAACTGGATTGTTTTTATGACTGCTTATATATTATTCAGAAAAAGACTTCTTGAGGAAAGTCACTTTGAGTTGAGTCCTAACAAGTGGGGAGTGTAGAAGCAGTATTAGAATGTGTGGAAAAGAGAAAGGAAGGAAAGAAGAAAAGCAGAGAACCTGAGGAACTCAGAGTGCTCTGGGAAAGGGAAAGAGTACTGCATTGTCAGGGAGGTGAGTACAGAGAGAATGATATCTTAGGAATAGGCGTAAAAATGATTAGATAGTGTGGGTATTGTTGGGAAAGTCTTATTCCTCTTCTTCCCAGATTCTGAGATTCTGATGACAGGAATGTTAGATTTTTTTTTTTTGAGACGGAGTTTCACTCTTGTTGTCCAGGCTGGAGTGCAGTAACGCGATCTCGGCTCACTGCAACCTCCTGCTCCCAGGTTCAATCGATTCTCCTGCCTCAGCCTCCTGAGTAGCTGGGATTACAGGCGCCCACCACCATGCCCAGCTGATTTTTGTATTTTAGGTAGACACGAGGTTTCACCATGTTGGCCAGGCTGGTCTTGAACTCCTGACCTCAGGTGATCCACCTGCTTGGGCCTCCCAAAGTGGGATTACAGGCGTGGGCCACCACACCCAGCTGAATGTTAGATCTTTTGTTAAGAGTCACAACACATGCCCCTGAGCTTCGTGGCTTTTTTTTTTTGAGACGGAGTCTCGCTCTGTCGCCCAGGCTGGAGTGCAGTGGCACAATCTCGGCTCACTGCAAGCTCCACCTCCTGGGTTCACGCCATTCTCCTGCCTCAGCCTCCCGAGTAGCTGGGACTACAGGCGCCCGCCACCACACCTGGCTAATTTTTTTGTATTTTTAGTAGAGACGGGGTTTCACCGTATTAGCCAGGATGGTCCCGATCTCCTGACCACGTGATCCGCCCGCCTTGGCCTCCCAAAGTGCTGGGATTACAGGCTTGAGCCACCTCGCCCAGCGCTTCGTAGCTTTTTAAATCCCAGTCTAGTTTCTCTCTGTTTAGATTAGATAGTTTCTACTGTTCTATCTTCTAGCTCAGTGATTCTTTTCTTTATTCTGCTGTTGAGTTAAAAAATTGTATTTCTTGCATTTTTTCAGTTTTAAAATTTCCATTTATTTCTTCTTTATATGTTGTTTCTTTGCTGAGATTTCTTTTTATTTAATTCAAGCATGTTTTATTGTTTTATTTTACTTTTTGAGAAGGAGTCTCACTCTGCCATCCAGGCTGGAGTGCAGTGGCGTGATAGCTCACTGCAACCTCCGCCTCCTGGGTTCAAGTGATTCTCCTGCCTCAGCCTCCTGAGTTGCTGGGATTACAGGTGCCCACCACCACACCTGGGTAATTTTTGTATTTTTTTGGAAGAGATGGGGTTTTACCATGTTGGCCAGGCTGATCTTGAACTCCTCACCTCAAGTGATCTGCCAGCCTCGGCCTCCCAAAGTGCTAAGATTACAGGTGTGAGCCACCATGCCTGGCCTCAAGCATGTTTTAATTGCTTCTTGAAATATTTTCTGATGGATGCTTTCAAATCTTTGTTAGATAATTTTAACTTGTCATCTCAGTGTTGGCATCTATTGTCTTTTTTATTCAGCTTGAAATCTTCCTGGGTTTTGGAATCATGAGTCATTTTTTAATTGAAATTTGGTATCATGAGTGATTTTTTGTTGAAATCTGGACATTTGGGTATTATGATATTTTGGATATTATTTAAACCTTTTATTTTAACTAGTTTTTCTTGACACTGCTCTGGCAGGGGGCATCAACTTGTAAATGGCAACTGGTAGTAGAAGTCTAGGTTCCTTATTCCACCTCTGTTGACACCAAGGGTGGGTGGTTCCTTGTTACTGCTGGGCAATGGTGGGAGTTTCAGCTCCCCACTAGTTGTCCACTGATACTTCCCTAGTTGAGAGGGCTTGGAATGGCTCCTTACTGCCCCCATGTAGCCTCCAGTGACACCATGGAGGGGAAGGGGTGTGACATCCTTACCATTGGGCAGTGATGAAAGCTCTGACTCTCCAATACACCTCCAATTACACCATCTAAGCAGGGAAAGGGAGGGGTACCTCACCACTGTAAGGTAGGAGTGGAAATCCAGGGTCGCCCTGTGGTTTCCAGTGACACTGAGAGTAGGGAAGGATGTGTGTGGAGGATTACTTGTTACTGCCCAGTTGAAGATGAAAATCCCATACCTCTCTTTGGTTTTCTCTGACATCACCTTAGAGGGGTTGAGGAGTAGAGCGATTGGGGTGTTAGGATGCTGGGGTGTCTCATCACAACCTGGAGAGTGTGGAAGTCTAGGCTCCCAACTCAGCCTTTGCTTTATGGGGTGGGGTCAGTGTGTGTATGTATGTGTGTATTGTTTGTCTACAGTGGAGTGATTATCTTCTAAATGTTTCCTTTCTTGCTAGGCCACTCCTTTTTCATCACTTGGCTAGAAAGAGCAGCCTTTTATTGGGGCACTTTTTGTCTATCTATGCTTCCTGGCATTTTGGGGTTTCTGGTTTTGGCTTCTCCAGCACCCAGTTTGGGGTATATAAGGCTACATGAAAACCCAAGGAACTTCCCACCGTGTTGCTCTCTGGACCCTAGCCAGTGTGACTTCTCTCCACCTTTCAAAGTCTCCCTATGTTTATCTTATATATAATGTTGAGTTTTTAGTTGTACTTAGAAGAATAGGGAGAAACCTATCTACTCCATCTTCCTGGAAGCGGAAGTCAGGGGCCACTATAAGGCATTGAAACAATTACAAACAAAAATGCGTGGCAAAGACTCAGGGAGGAGTTGCAGTGCCTTTCAAACAAGGGCATCAGGAGGGCAATCAAATGAAGAAAGCTAACCAGCCATAGGCAGGAACTGCATTTGCCAGTACAATAATATCTGCAAGCACCTTCAAACAGTAAGAATTACTTAAAAATTCATAACGCTTCTTTAAAATCATGGAAACCTATGAAAATTCCTTAGTTTATGAATCAATGTAGGGCTTCTTGGAGGAGACATTGTTGGAGAAGACAATGCAGGGCTTCTTGGAGGAGACACAGTTGAAAGACCAATTGCAGTTCAGGAGTTAATTATAGAAACCTGTAGTGCTGGAGGAAGAAAAAGAAAAAGAAACCTGTAGGCCCACATTTGTTGCCTGCAGGAGATCTATTCCAGCTAAAACCTGACGAAACCAGGAAGAGAGGCACAGGTGGGAAATGCTCCAGAAACTAATTTACCCCTAGTAGGGGTGGGGACCCAAATCTAGGAGAAGGTCTAATTGTTGAAATGAGTTTTTTCTCCCTCCCTCCCTTCGTCCCTTTCCTTCCTTCTTTTCATTTAGTGTTGGGTAGAGGGTTGGGGTGGAGTGATGGTCAAAGAAGGGCATTAACTTCCTCCCAGTTACAGATAGGGACCTTGCACTCTGTACAAGTTTTTAAGTTTTTGGAAACGTTGCCAGCATGCCCAGAAACATGAAAAGAGCCCAGATGGAAATGATCCAATTCCTTTGCTTTCAACTCCATGGGTTACTGAGTTGAAAAAAAGGTCAAAGTCAAATTTTGTTGATTGTGCTACTTAGATTGGGGTTCGCATTTCCCTAGCTACTCCATACACATTCTCTTTCCTGCTGTATTGCCATTCTCCAAAGGCTATAGTCTTGCTTTGGTGTGGTCATGGCTTCCAACCCTTTGGTGGAGTCAGTGGAGATGAGAAGGCCTGCAATTACCCCCAAGGGGTTTACAGACTCAAATATGTACACTAAGCATTGACAGAAGAATGACTAAATGTCTGTCTCTCTGCACCGCGCAGTGGCTCACGCCTGTAATAACCAGCACTTTGGGAGGCCGAGGCGGGCGGATCACTTGACGCCAGGAGTTTGAGACCAGCCTAGGCAAAATGGCGACACCCCGCCTCTACTCAAAGTGCCAAAAAAATTAGCCGGGTGTGGTGGCGCACGCAGGCCTATAGTCCCACCTCACCTACTCCGGAGGCTGAAGCAGGAGAATCACTTGAACCCGGGAGGCGGAGATTGCAGTGAGCCGAGATCGCGCCACTGCACTCCAGCCTGGGTGACAGAGAGACTCCGTCTCCAAAAAAAAAAAAGGTCTTTCTAATACACATACATATACTACTACTTTCTGGATTTTATATTTAGTTTTGCTTACAAAATGGATTTAGGGTGTAGAATTTTCAAAGATTAGAGAAATATGCCTTGAAATAGAAAGTGCAAGTTTCTAGTAACTCTTCCCTTCAAAGATAATGTTACCAACTTCTTTTCCTACTATTTTTAGTATTGAGAAACTGTTGTGTTAAGTAAAATCAAATGAATTTAAAAGTTATTACACACATGGTAGCTTTCTGAGTGTTTTTCAAGCTGCGAGTCAGTTTTGTCCTTTTTAACACGCAGCGGTTGTGGGGACAAGGTTTCCGAGGAGGCGGGAGCGAGCGACGGCCCCCGCCTCCCACACGCCCTCTGCTTTGGTAAACAAGGAGACTCCCGCCCGCAGGCTGTAAATGAGGCACGAGCTTGGGGGCAGCGCCAGGGCGCCTGGCGTCACTGTTCAAAAAGGCCTCTTATTGGTCCTTCGCACAGCTGCGGACCTGGGAATTCTGATTGGTCTGCTTCCCTGTCCGTAAAGGGATTGACAGGCCCTGCCGCGTCAGGCCGCTCCTCTCGGCTCCGCGCTCCTTCCCTCGCGCGTGGGCACCCGCCCCCGAGCGGTGAGAGCGCGTGCGCGCGCGCCCTTCTCCGTGGGCGAGCCAGCCAGTCCCGCTGCACACGCTCGCAGTCTGTGGGCCCTCCGGGAGGCGGCGGAGGTCACCGCGGGGAGAGGGGCGGGCGCAGCATGGCAGCCTCCTTACGGCTCCTCGGAGCTGCCTCCGGTCTCCGGTACTGGAGCCGGCGGCTGCGGCCGGCAGCCGGCAGCTTTGCAGCGGGTAAGGACCTCACGCCTCCTCCCCCTTGTCCTTCTTTCGGCCGCTCGCTTCTTCTGTCCAGACGGCCGAAGAAGTCTTTTCTCGGGAGGCCCTGCGGTTGGGCTGGGGCTTAAAAAACAATATTTTGGCTGGTACTAAAGGCCTGTCCTTTTCTGCGGCCGCCACTCACTCCGCGAGTACCCCCCTCTGCCTTCCCTCCCTTTCTCCCGGGCTCCTGATGAACGGGTTCAGCGCCCTTTTCGGGATTTAGGAAGAGGTGGGGAAGAGCTTGGGCTGAAGAGAAGAGAGTATTTGGGACCCCGGCATGCTGCTTTGGAGTTAGGACTCCGAGGACGTTTGGAGCGCCCAACTCCAGGAGCAACCCGCACTCACCCCAGCGACCCCTGGTCTTTCAGCGCCCCCAGGGTGCACCTTGGGTTGGGGACACACTTGGGCAGCAGGGCCTGATGTTTAACCACCTGAGTCCGAGGGGATGGCCTTATTACACAAGCGGTGGCTGTACAAGCCAGGCAGTAAGTCTTTCAGCAAAGTTTCAGTCACCCTTGACCAGCAAGACGGGCTTCCCCCCTCTACTGTAACCTAAAAAAATGTCATTTTTGTCAAATTATGAACCAAAACACGTTCAGCGTCCTCAAGATTGTGGGCAGAATTAATCCTGCCTCCCTCCTCTCATACCATGGTAAATTGTGGAAGCTAGCCATGAACTTACAAAGAGGCAGTTTTTAGAGCCAGGATGAAGATCCACGGAGATCTAATACAGTCTTTCATACTCCGCACGAGGGACATGAGGCCCCTTGGATGAGTGAATCAGGATATTCCCAGCAAGACCTAGAAAGTTGTTATCAGTTGTTCCTAATTCCTTAACTTTCTATCACACCAGGACTCCTCTTTAATTGAAAAATTGGTTGATTTGTGGGGGCACTGCCGTTGTCTTCCTCAAACTGAAAGTTTGAGAGTTGTAACAATGCATCGTTTAGCAAGATCATACTGAGGATTAATAACAAAAAAAACCTTGGCATTAATTTTTTCTAATCTTTGCTTAAAAAAAAAATAGTGGGTTAGGATTTGAGCCCCTTGGCCCCCCGCCCTTTTTTTTTTTTTTTTTTTTTTTTGAGACAGGGTCTCTGTCGCCCAGGCTGGAGTGCAGTGGCCCAGTCACACTGCTCACTGCAGTCTCGACCTCCTGGGCTCAGGTGATCCTCCCACCTCAGCCTCCCGAGTAGCTGGGATTACAGGCATGTGCCACCACGCCCGTCCAATTTTTGTATTTTTAGTAGGGACGGAGTTTCGCCATGTTGCCCAGGCTGGTCTTGAACTCCTGCGCTCAAGTGATCCTCCCAAAGCGTTGGGATTATAGGCATGAACCACTGTGGCTGGCCAGGAATTGTAAGAACTTTCTCTTACAATTCTTAACAGCTTCCCATTCTCCCCCTCAGTGAAACCTCTGAATTTCCTTTCTGGCTGGAGAAGAACAGAGGCTCGGTGAGATGCAAGAGACCAGATGTCTGATACAGAACCACAGTAACAAGATAAAAACTCAGAATATGCCAAACTTGAATGTAACCACTGTTTGAGCTTCATATATTGAGCTACAAAAATGCTTCCGACTTTTGAGATAACCCTAAAAGAATAGACACTTTTCCACAGTAGCACCAGTTTTCACATGAATTCACAATTCTTTCAGTTCCCATTAGCCAAGGAAGACATATTTGCTGTTTAGTGGTTTTACAAGGTGTTCTAATGGTATTTTAATGAACCCTTGATGTACCTTTTAGAGTTATGAAAGTTCTTACCAATTCATGGTGAAAGAGCCTGAGGCCTAAGACTGTAATACGTGCCTCTGTAAACTGGGAGGGCCTACCTCAGAGTGCTGATTAGACTACTTTGGCATATGGTCTTGTACTTTGGGTTCTTTGGCCCAAAGGTAATTGTCAGAATATAGATTTCTGATAAATTTTAAATAGTTCTTTTGTGATGAAGTGGTTAAATCACTTAAGCAATTTTTTTTTCTCTTGAAAAAAATTTTTTTTTTTCCCTCGGAGTCTTTGTCTGTCGCCCAGGCTAGAGTGCATTGGCGCAATCTCAGCTCACTGCAAGCTCCGCCTCCCAGGTTCACGCCATTCTCCTGCCTCAGCCTCCGGAGTACCTGGGACTACAGGCGCCTGCCACCACGCCCGGCTAGTTTTTTGGTATTTTTTAGTAGAAACGGGGTTTCACCATGTTAGCCAGGATGGTCTCTATCACTTGACCTCGTGATCCGCCCGCCTTGGCCTCCCAGAGTGCTGGGATTACAGGCGTGAGCCACTGTGCCCGGCCTTTCTTTGGAATTGTTTTAAACATTTAAATTTCTGTTAATTTTAGTTTACTGCAAAAGTGTTAACTTTTCTGACATTAGATTCTTAAAGAGTAGAAAAAAATCTGCCTGCAAGTTTGGAGTCAAATGACATTAAGAAAAAGAACCATGTTCAGATAGTAATGTGTGATGTTCTGAATTCTGTTGGATATTTGTAGTATGTTTAAGATGTTTATATCATATGAATGATAATATTATAAGGAGCTATATAATTTACTGTTTAAAAAAATGAAACCTGAAAGTTGCCGGTTAGTAGCACATCTTTTTAACTTTTTTATAAATACATTTTAGAGACAGGTCTCCCCGTGTTGTCCAGGCAGGAGTACAATGGCACCTACTTAGCTCACTGCAACCTTGAACTCCTGTACTCAAGTGATCTTCCGCCTCAGCTTCCCAAGTAGTTAGGATTGCAGGGTGCACCACGATACCTAGCTAATTTAAAAAAAAATGTTTTTTGAGACAAGGCTAGTTGCCTACTACGCTGGTCTAGAACTACTGGCGTGAAGCCATCCTCTTGCCTTGACCTCCCAAAGTGTTGGGCTTACAGGCATTAGCCACTGTGCCCAGCCTGCCACATCTTAATTTTTAAATGTTTGTTTGTTTGTTTGTTTGTTTATTTGAGATGGGGTCTCTCTCTCTCTCTTGTCCAGGCTGGAGTGCAGTGGTGCAATCATGGCTCATTGCAGCCTCAACCTCGTGGGCTCAAGCAATCCCCCTGCCTCAGCCTCCCAAGTAGCTGGGACCACAGGTGCACACCACCACACCTGGCTTTATTTATTTATTTATTTTTTTTGTAGAGATGGGGTCTCACCATGTTGCCCAGCCTGGTCTTGAACTCTGGGGGTCAACTGATCCTCCTGCCTCAGCCTCCCAAAGTACTGGGATTACAGTCATGAGCCACTGTGCCTAAGCCTAATTTTAAAATACTTAAAGCATTGAAAAGGAAATAGAAGAATGAGAAATGTTAAAGTGTACATGTATTACTATTTCATCACCTGTTTGATAAAATTGTGTATGTTATTTTAGAAGGTAATTAAGTTTAGTTTCAGACTTATTTGTACAGAGAAGAAAATCTACAGCTATAGGCCCTCTACAAAATGTCACGTTGTGACTCTACAGCTTGTACATGGAAAAATAAATCACATCAGATCATCTTGAGGTGACCACCTGACCAAAGGTAGAATGGAAAAATTAGCATCATGTATAGAAACAGGAATACAATTTTTAATATTATTGGTCCTTTTTGTATATGTGAAATTTACTTTCAAAGTAGCATAACTCATTGGATAAATCAAATATATAATGGCAGTTTTTCCCTTTACATTAGCTTCTAGGGCTGCACATGAAGTTCTGAAAAGCTGCTCATGGTCCGGGGCCTAAAAGTTGACCCTAAACTTGTGAAATTACATAAGGAGCGTATTTATTACTAAAATAAGTTGACTGAAACCGTAAAGGCCTTTATAGAGAAAGTCGTCACCCTTAGTTTAGTAACTGTTAATAGTAAAGCAGATAGAGTGCTTATGACGTAGTATTATGTGATAAAATAGATATAAAAAATGTATTATGTGATAAAATAGACATACATTGTATAGAAAATATAACCTTATGATATAATGAAAAATGCAGTCAAAAGACTGAAAGTCCATGCAAAATGTTTTTTTTATTTTTGTGTAATGAGATTGCTTCCCCTTACAACTGTATACTTTTTCATTCTAGTTTTCTACAATGAAAATGCATTACTTTGAATAGAAAAGAAGCCTCAGAAATGTAAAATAATTAACTTGTTACCAATTTTTGCATTTTGACACTTAGTGAAACCTGCTTTTTGATAGCACTTAAGGTTATCAAGATACGGATAACTCCCCTTGTTACATTGGAGAAAGAGGTCATAATCGGTAAATTTGCATCTATAAATTTAGAAACAAACTTTGCCAAGTTTTCTGGCTAGTTTCTTTTCATTCGTCCTCAGTAATAGACACTAATGCTAGTTTCTTAACCAGTGAACCAGTATCACCTTTGTATTTGGTTGATTGATTTTCTCCCAGCTTGGTTTTATTTATGTTTTAACTCTACTTTTTCCACGCACTACTGTCAGAAGTTATTTAAAGAGAGATGCATTATTTAGGTTTGAGAGTTTTTAGGGCAATAATCATTCCATTATACTCATGGATTTCTGCCCCTTTGGGTGCAAATTATTTTATATTTGCCAAGCGCTTATTCAGGTGTTTCACCTTAACTAAAAGCTTTCTTTCCCCAGATACAGGGCTTCTCCTACAGTCATCTATACTTTTTTCTATCTCTTTGGCTCTTGTAACCCACTAGGCAAAAAGGGGCAGTTGGCATAGGACTTGACCTGTACTGCTACAACTTGACCATTTTTGGTAAGAGTAACTAATACTTATTATCAATCGTGTGCCAGGCACTGTTTAACGCTTTATATGCATCATCTCAAGTAATCTTTACAATAATCTTCTGAAGTAGGTACTTTTATTGATCAAATGTTGTCTAGAGAAGTTAAGTAACTTGTAACTTCAATGGTATACATCTAAGAAGTGAACTTATCAGGATAGGAACCTAGGCCTTCCCAACTCAGAGAAAATTTTAAACATTATCACCATCAATAGATAACTTATTCTCTTTTGACATCAGGTCATCTAATTATACTGGCCTTTCTTTAACTTTGCCACAGAGAAAGATGAAATAAAGAGAGCTGAGTCCTTTGAAAACTTTATCTTCATTCACATTCATGTTGGCCCATCCAACATGGCCTCATTGTTCTTAACTTCTTCAGCTTCAGTAACATCAGCACTCTACTTCAGTTTTTCTAGGATCTTAGTAGTAGGAGTGATTCTCTTGCTGAGATTTCACCAGCAGAACTAGTCTCTGGTTGATTTAACCTCCTCTGTGATTCTTGTTCTAACAAACATACTGTTACATAATGCTCATCACCTGGTCCTTTGACTCCCTCCCTTTTCCTCCAAGTACATAGACATGCTTTCTTGTTTCCTCATTTCATAAGGTCTCTCTCTAGGTTTGTCTGTACCCATTCTCAAACTTATTTATAATTAGGAATTTCACTGATGCCTAATACTGTTTTTTTCAGCCTCTTGTTGTATTTCTGGATAAATCCATTGTTGTGGTCTGTTTGTGCCTTTCCCCAGCTGTCACTTAGCTTGGTGATATGGAGAGTCACAGAAGTTTGCTGATTAGATACAATGCTTTCATTAATCTCTTGTTTATTCCCCATTACATTTTCAGATTTTCCACAGCATTTCCAGAACTTTAACTTAGGGCTGGCAGCTCCTGAACCAGTCATTTGGCAGAAGGATGCCATTACCATGTATTAGTTTAGACAGTTTGAAACTTGACCTCGGATCTACGGGAAAGAATATTGGAGAGTCAACCTGCAATGTGTAATGGTTGCTGTGACACTGTTTACCTTTACACAGTCCACTTTTATCAGCAGCATTACTTTGTAATTGCTTTAGAACTGGCTTTTATTCCCATATGCCCATTTGATGAAACTTACCTAGTTTATTATTCATTCACATAGCATATATTAAATTTCACTGTGCCACTTCATTTATTTCATTTTATTATAAAAGTAGTTACAAAAGTTACATGCTCATGGTAAAAAATGGGAAAGGTTATAAAATTAAAAGTAAAATTTTCTTCAACTCCGACCCAGTAGTCCAACTCTCCAGGTGTAAGTACTGTTTCGTGTGTATCCATACAGAAAATCAGAAAAATTAATGCATATGTATCATTTTTTCTTCTCTTATACTGTATCCTATAGATAATGCTCAGCATTTTTTTTCCACTTAATAACTTATCCTGGAGATTTTTTCCTATAATTTTAGATAAATGTCACCTTTTTTTAAACATTTGCACATTTCATTGTGTTGATTTACTGTGAATTATCAAGTGTCCTACAATGTACATTTAGTTATGAATTAAGTGCCCTATTAATATATAATTAGTTATGAATGAAGTGCCTTATTAATACATAGTTATTTGCAGTTTTTTGGCTGTTACAAGTAGTGCTGTAATAAACTATATCTTTGTGTTGTTCAGAATTTAATACATAGTAGGGATTGCTATGGCCCATAGTTGGGCACCTTGTTTGTAAATAAAATTGTATTGGAACACAGCCATACCCATTTGTTTGTATGTTGTCTATGGCTGCTTTCAAACTAGAGTAGATGAATGAAATGGTTGTAACACCATTTCACAATGGCTCACAAAGCTGAAAATAATTTACTGCCTGACTCTTTAAGACAAAGTTGGCTGGCCCCTCATGTGTAGTATATATTCTTAGAAATGGAATTGCTAGGTCAAAGAGTATGCATGTTTTAAATTTAAATTCTAAATAAAAGTTCAAATTTTTTTTTGCCAAATTACCATCCAAAAGGTCGACCTAATATACAATTTGACAGTATATGAGAGCATATGTTTTCATCAGTTATTTCTTACCAAGAGTAGTTTTTATCAAAGAAAAAACTTATCCAACAGGTGAAAAATGGTATCACATCATTTTGTTTTGCATTTCTCTAATTATGACAAGTTGGGTATATTTTTAGAGGTTTTCTGGGGGGTAATTTACATATTTTCTGTTGTCATTTTGTGATTTTTGCCTACTTTAAAAAATTATTCATGTTTTTCTTCCAGATTGTAAAGTTATTTTACATATAAAACAAAGTAGCTCTATTTTTGTCATGTGTTAGAGTGTTTTTCTTATTTGTATTTTATCTGTTTGTGATATTTTTTCCATATAGATATGCTAATCTTTTTCCCCTTGTTTTATTATGAAAAATATGAAGCAGAAAGTATTGAAAGAATAATATAACTGACATCCATATACTCTTTCCTTAGAAACAAGTTGTTAATATTTTGCCACATTGACTTTTTTTCTTCCACATATATACCTATCCCGCTTGAATCATTTGAAAGTAAATTGCTGACATGACACTTTAACCCTAATGCTTCAGCATGAATCTAAGAATGAGGATATTCTCCTATGTAACCAAACTACCATTATCCTACCTAAGCCAATTAGCAGTGATTCCATGGTATCATCTAATGTACAATTTGCATTCAAAATTTCATTATTTTCTTAAAGGCTAGCTTTTTTTTAAAGTCAGGATCCATTCAGACTTCACACTTTACATTTGATCTATCACTTTAGTACTAATTGAGAACTGTCTTCTCTTGTTTGTTTCTATATATATGATACTGACTTTTTAAAAACAGCTTTATTAGCAATATAGTGATATATGATAAGTTGTACATAAAGTATACAGTTTGATTAGTTTTGATGTATATAAGCCGGTGAAGCTATCATCACAGTCAAGAGAGTGTGGCTGGGTGCGGTGGCTCACGCCTGCGCTCCTAGAACTTTAGGAGGCTGAGGCCCACTGATTGCTTGAGCTCAGGAGTTCGAGACTGGTCTGGCCAACATGATGAAACCTCATCTCTACAAAAAAATGCAAAAATTAGCCAGGACTGGTGGCATGTGCCTGTAGTCCCAGCTACTTGGGAAGCTGAAGTGGGATCATCTGAGCTTGGGAAGTTGAGGCTGTAGCGAGCTGTGATCATGCCACTGCACTCTAGCCTGGGCGACAGAGTGAGACCCTGTCCAAAAAAAAAACACAAAAAAATGGTAAACATATCCATCATCATACCCCTGAGATTGATTCATACCTCTGGAATATACAAATATTTGTATATTTTTCTTGGTTATAGATTTCTAGCTTGATAGTTGTTTTTTCCTTCTGGTATTTAAAAAATGTTGCACCACTGTCTTCTCACTTGCATTGTTTCTGATGAGAAATCTGCCTTTATCCTTATCTTTTTCCCTTTCTACATAGTGTGTCCTTTTTCCTGTGGCTGCTCTTGTGCGTTTGATTGTGATGCATCTTAATATGGTTTTCTTCATGTTTCTTGTATTGGGGTTCATAGAGTTCCTTGGATGCATGGGGTTTGTAGTTTTCATCAACTTTGGAACATTTTTGGCCATTTGTTCTTCACACATATTTTCTGCCCCACTTCTCTCTTCTCATTTGAGGACTCTAGTTACATATGTGTTTGGGTGGTTGAAGCTGTCTCACAGCTTATTGATGCTCTCTTTATTTTTTAAATTATTTTTTTCTTTGTGTTTTGAATAGTTTCTATTGCTGTATCTTCAAGGTTATTAATCTTTCCTTTGGTATCTACTCTTCAGTTAATCTTCTGGTATAATTTTCATCTCACATATTTTAGTAGTAGATTTCATCTCAAGAAATTTAATTTGTATTGATAAAAATATCTTTCATAATTCTACCTTTGGAATATATAGACTACAGTTATAATTTTTAACGTCCTTGTTTTCTAATTCTAACATCTGTTTCAGCTTAGGGTTGGTTTTGACTTTTTGACTTTTGAGTATACACGTTCCCTTGGGCTTCAGAGAGGTTCAACTTTGGCCTTCAGCCTCTTCATACTCATCTGGTGATTTTATTAACTTTTACAAATTTCACCTCTTAACTTTTGAGACAAATGGCTACCAGGTATATCTCTTTTTTCTCATCCTATCACTGAAACCTTGGTCATGGTATTTCTTTTTTTTTTTTGAGACAGAGTCTCACATTGTCGCCCAGGCTGGAGTGCAGTGGTGCGATCTCAGCTCACTGCAAGCTCCGCCTCCCAGGTTCATGCCATTCTCCTGCCTCAGCCTCCCGAGTAGCTGGGACTACAGGCGCCTGCCACTACACCCGGCTAATTTTTTTTGTATTTTTAGTAGAGACGGGGTTTCACCATGTTAGCCACGATGGTCTCGATCTCCTGACCTCGTGATCCGCCCGTCTCGGCCTCCCAAAGTGCTGGCATTACAGGCGTGAGCCACCACGCCCGGCCGGTCATGGTATTTCTAATAGTCTGTTGGACATCTTTTCAGCTCATTGACAGTTCATAGTTACCCTGGGTAAAACTGAGCCAGCTCTCCTTGATTTCTTCACTTAGGTATTGATAACACTATTCTCTTACTGTCATTTTGGACCTCACCCTTATTTTAGCCTATAATCCAATCCATTGTTTTATCCTTTTACTTCTGTCTTTGAAATAGTTTTTATACCTGTCTTTTCCTGTGGCTACCACACTTTATTAATTTTGACTTTGTTATGGACTGAAATTTTATGTCCCCACAAAATTTATATGTTGAATTCCTTTTTTTTTCTTTTTTGAGACGGAGTCTCGCTCTGTCACCCAGGCTGGAGTGCAGTGGTGCGATCTTGGCTCGCTGCATCCTCCACCCCCTATGTTCAAGCAATCCTCCTGCCTCACCCTCCTGAGTAACTGGGATTACAAGCACATGCCACCATGCCTGGATAATTTTTGTATTTTTAGTAAAGACTGGGTTTCACCATGTTGGCCAGGTTGGTCTCAAACTCCTGACCTCAGGTGATCCACCCACTTTGGCCTCCCAAAGTGCTGGGATTACAGGCGTGAGCCGCTGCGCCTGGCCAAAATTCCTAACCCTCAATATAATGATATTAGGAGCTAGGCCCTTTGGGAGGCAATTAGATCATGCGGATAGAGCTCCTGTGAATAGGATTAGTGCTGTTGTACAGAGAGACATGAGAGTGGCTTCTCTTTCTGCTCTCTACCATGTGAGGATACAGTGAGAAAATGGCCATCAGCAAACGAGGAAGTGGACCTACCAGACACTGGATCTGCTGTCACCTTCATGTTGGACTTCCTGGCCTCCAGAACTGTGAGAAATAAGTGTTCGTTATTTAAGCCATTATGGTATATTTGTTATAGTAGCTCAAACTAAGGCATCTAGAGGATTACTGTCACTTTTATATTGGTCTTCTTGCCTCCAGGCTCTTTTCTTCAAGTTCATTCATTGTACACTGCTGCCTCATTTCTGTTCCTAAAGTGTAAGTCTCATCTGTCATTTCTCTTGCCCACTGTTTCAATAACTACCTCTTGCCTACAAAATACAAGTTGTTTAGCATCCTTCTATCCTTCCACATTATGGTTGCATTTTTTTTTTAATCTTAATCTCTTGCTGTTTTGTTTCTTTGTGCATTCTTTAGGAAGAATAGAGGGCAGTATCATACAATGTTTACAAGTGGAGACTCTAGAATTAGAATGTCTGGATTTGAATCTTGGCATTACAACTTAGTAAAGTATTAGGTATTTTACTTCAACTCAGCATCAGGGTTCTCAGCTGTAAGATGGGCTTCATATATAGCATATGGTAATAGGTCTGTTTATAAAGTGCTTAGCATAGTGTCTGGCATGTAGTAAAATTGCAGTAAATATTAACTATTACTGTCATTTCTTCATGGCTCTTCTAGTTCCTTGTATATATTCATGTTCCTTTTTCTGTATGGAGTTCCCCTCCTCCTTACCCTCCTATCCATTTGAAATCCTACCCCTTGTATAATATCCAGGTCAGATGCCACATTCCTCAAGTTCCCACACCATGAATTCTCATTTTTCATCAGCATTGTGTTTTTATCTTTAACTGTCTTATGTTAGTGTTTATGTACATGGTTTATTTCTTCTTGGTTTTAAGCTTGTTGAAGGCAAGGACTGTGTCTCTTACCTTCTTTGGCATCTCTTTTGGTACATGTGATAGTTGCTTAGTGTTTGTTGAATTTGTGAATGAATTGTGGTTCTACGTGACCATACTTATGAATTGTTTGACCTAGAGTGAATTGCCTGTTAAATTAACTGTCTTTAAATTATAATCTTCCTAGTTGCTGAAGTTTTTAGATTGCTAAATTACACCTTTTCAACCTTAACACAGTAATGCCACATTTTCTTTCTGGCTATTATTGCTAGTTTGTTTATGAGCATTAGTTAGAGTTCTCTGATGAAGTGTACTCATTCTGTTTAATATCAAAATAAAATTTCAGTTTGGTGTCACTTTTCTGTCATTGAATTCCTTGCAGGCCAGAAAGACAAACTATACCAGTGTACTATTATACCAGTGTACTATTATACCAGTGTATTAAACTTAGCGCCTGTTAAATGATGTTGCACAGAAATGACACCCACATTTAATGGAAGTGTTAGAGTCAGTCATTAAGTTAAAGGAATTAAATATGCTTCCAACCCAAGAAGACCTCTAGTTCTTAAGCATTAGGGCTTCAAATAATTTGCTTTTAACAAATCTCATTCCATTCAGATTCAGTTCAGGGAAGAGCAGATTAAGTTCAGTTGAGGGGACCTGAAACTTAAAAGAGGGACTGTGATTAGTTGTTGCACTACAAATTTTAAAGCTGGAGTTCTTGAAAGAAAAAAGAAAAAGAATGCTGGGAAATGGAAGAGCAAGGAGAGTTACTTCTCTCTTTTCCCTCACTAGACTGTGAGCTTTTAAAGGACAGGGACCATACGTTGCTTGTGTCTGTCTCTGAGCTCTGTCATAGTACTTCATGCAGTGAATATTTATTGAGTGGAGTTCTAAATCTAGAAAGTGAAAAATTGCATCTAACGCTATTTCCATAGTACTGTAAAGCCTCCCCACTCTGTAACGCATTACTTTGATTCATATGCCCACGGAGTAATTTCAAAAAGTCTTATATGAAAAATAAAAGAATAAATAAAACCTGTGTAGTTTTTAAGGCTTTTTTTTTTTTTTTTTTAATGGCAGCCTGGTCAACATGGTGAAACTCTGTCTCTATTAAAAGGACAAAAATTAGCCAGGCATGGTGGTGCGTGTCTGTGATCCCAGCTACACCGGAGGCTAAGGCATGAGAATTGCTTGAACCCAATAGGCAGAGGCTTCAGTGAGCCGAGATTGCATTACTGCCCTCCAATCTGGGTGACAGAGTGAGACTCCGTCTCAAAAAATAAATAAATAAATAAATAAATAAATAAATAAATAAATAAATAAAAATATAATAAGGAAGTCTCTCTTTTCTGAAAGTTCAGAGTTGTTAGACCAAGGTCCTGATACTGTTACACTTGCCATTTAAAGCCTATGGAGGTATCTCCCCTTTCTACCCCAGGACCACCTTTATAAACTGGTGATTCCATTCTCCTGGGTTTAACATCTTTTTGAGTTTTTTTTTTTTTGTATCATTGGAGGGGATGGTTTCTGTAACTGTGGGAGTGGGAAGGTAAAAAGTTTTTCCATTCTTGAAGCTGGTCCAAGACTTACGTCTTTTTGAATACTTTCTGTCTTTTATACACATTATTAAGGGAGATAATATGGAATACTTCACATTATAAGTAAATTACATATTAGGTGTTTTATAAATGATAACATTATTTAGTTTATTGTTAAAAATGGTAAAAGAATGTTATACAGGTACAAAACAGGAAAAATGCTTAAAATTTTGTGAATGTGCCCCAGAAAACTAAATAATTAGAAGTTAGTCTGCCTGCACATTGTTGATAACTTTAAATGTGGTTAGGTCCATTAGTTTAAAATTTGCCTTTTAAAAGTTAGTGGGTTTTTTTTTTAATAAATATTATTATTTATTTTTGAGATGGGATCTCACTGTGTTGCCTAGGCTGTTCTAAAACTCCTGGGCTCGAGCAGTCCTCCTACCTCAGCCTCCCAAGTAGCTGGGATTATAGGTGTGCACCACTGCACCTGGTTCCTGAAAGTTTCTTTTATTAAAAAAAAAAAATCTAACAATTGACTTGCTAATATTAAATGAATGTTTACAATAAAAAATGTTATTTGCCCCTATTGAAAATAATGTATTGAAATCAGTGTGTTCTAGGTCAGTGGCTTCAAAGACTCCAGTTGGATTCATTGGACTGGGCAACATGGGGAATCCAATGGCAAAAAATCTCATGAAACATGGCTATCCACTTATTATTTATGATGTGTTCCCTGATGCCTGCAAAGAGTTTCAAGATGCAGGTGAACAGGTAAGACCTTTTCTTTAGATTTGTTTTAGATTTTGAGAATGAAAAATGAATATACATTCAAATAAGTGACAGCTTCTTAGAAGTATACCCAATGGAGTTGTAAACCTAATTCAGTGTTAATTTTATATATATGTAATCATTCATCCAACATCCAGATTTGCAGTAAAGGAGAGTTCTCGTTAGACATTCAGGGGTATCTATTCTTTGGCAGGTGACTTGGAACATTTTGCACATTTGGTCAGAGGGCCTTGTTTTAGCTCTGTATCAGTTTTCTGAGATAGTAACTTTACTGATTGTGCTGTTAAAGTAGTTAGTTTGGTGGAAATAACCTCCTGTGTTATTAAAAGCACATATGTCTTTAAAACAAGAGTAGGCTTAGAGATATAAAGCTTAGTTTGAGTTGAAGCTCAGATACATGCTTTCTTACTGGGGGCAAGTTACATCACTTCTGCTGATTTCCTCATTCTTAAAATGTGAACGATGACAACCTATGCCATTAGGTTGTGAAGCTCAAATGAGAGAATGTATGTGAACATACTTTGAAAACATCATATGGCAGCACTTTGTGAATAATTATTAGTTATTGGCCATAAACCAGGAGACAGCCTAAAAACACTATGTCCTATAATGAAGAGTTGAGTTATAGTGGATCTCTAGTGTTTTTAGGCTATCATTCATGTTTAAAGAATTTTGGTACCAGAGTTTATCATGTTGGATGATAACATCTGCTGGTTAAGTCTTGAGTTGTTTGGATTTGTTAAACTTTATCAATAACTCAAATTACAGGAGACCATGTATCAGTATCCGAATATAGTTTGTTTTTTCTAGATATGAGGGAAATTCTTCTTGGTCAAGTTGTAGAGTGGTAACTGAGGATAGTGTGTGATCCCAGAACAGAGAATACTAAAAAATTCCTGAGAAAAAGGTGAGAAAAAAATTACACAGCCAGCTTCTAGATAATAGACTTGAAAGTAAATACTGAAAAATGCTATACCTAGTTACAGAACAGCTTTAGGTAACTTAGAAGCCATTTTCAGAACTATATATCTGAATCTTTTTCCTTTCCATGGTTTTTGTGCCATATGGAAATTGCAGCAGTATAGTGTGAGGATGGAAGTATGACTTTGGAACTTTTCAGGGTAGTGTTGTGGCTGCTTCTGCCTGTTCAGTCTCTGAATACGGATATTACACTCCCAGTATAGCAGGCTTACAGGCTTAATTAATGTAGGGACTTAGTAGCCTTGTTGGAGAGATTTGATCAGTCGTATAGTAGAGAATCTGGGAAAGGCGGCCTTTTACCATCTTCAGAGATGGTGAGCATTTCAAGTTGATATTCAGTCTGAGATGAACCAATTAGTAGTTATTTTGAGGAGACAGTTATTACTTTTTGGGATAACACATCTATTTGGTATTGCCATTTTACAGTGGTTTATCTGTTAGTAAGAGTAACAAGGGTACTTGATCTCTAAACAGAGGAAATATCTTCAATTAAAAACAGAATTTAACCAAAGAGTGGGGTAGGAATTGAATGGGGACTATTACCCTAGACTGGCAAAGCAGAAGCTTGTGACCTTTTACGTTGTTACAGACACAGGTACTCTTCCCTCTATGCCTGTAGTACTTCCAGCTTGTATGTGGAACGACTGTAATGATCATCACTGCTTTGTGACTCTCTCCTGCTTTTTCCCAGAATTCTAGAGCTTTCTGATGCTCTGCCTGAATTACCTCATACTCTGAAGTTACCAGGCTTACCTCTGTTTCCCAACAAGTTTCTTATTTCTTTAGTGTTGCTAATTTTAGGTAGGTATGAAGGAAGGCTGCCTTAAGAATAAGGCTTATCCCTGCATGAAGGAGATATTTATGTTTTGAAAGGGAGAGAAAAGAATCTAATACAGTATTTAGTGAGCACCTACTATGTGTCAGGTCTTTTGCTAAATATTTTGTATGTATTATCTCATTTTATCTTTGCAACAGAAGTGCTATCAAGAAGCCAATGCTTGGAGAAGCTAAATAATATCCCTAATGTTATATAGTGGTTCTTATTATCTGCAGTTTCACTTTCTACGATTTCAGTTACCTATGGTCAAATGTGGTCTGAAAATGTTAAGTACAAAATTCAAGAAATAAACAATTTATAAGTTTTAAATTGCATGCCGTTCTGAGTAGCATGATGAAATCTTGTGCTGTCCAGCTCTGTCCCAACCTGGATGTGAATCATCCCTTTGTCCAGCGTCTCCATGCTGCAGACACTCCCTGGCCCATTAGTCACTTACTAGCCGCCTCAGTGATCGGGTGTTGTGATATCGCGTGCTTATTTTCAGGTAACCCTTATTTTATTTCATAATGGTCCAAAGCGCAAGAGTAGTGTTGCTCGCATATTGTTATAATTGTTCTATTTTATTGTTGTTGTTAATTTCTTACTGTGACTAATTTATAAATTAAACTTTATCATAGGAGTGTATATATAAAGAAAAACTGGCTGGGCGCAGTGTCTTGTGCCTATAATCCCAGCATTTTGGGAGGCCAAGGCAGGCGGATCACCTGAGGCCAGGAGTTCAAGACCAGCCTGGCCAATGTGGCGAAACCCCGGCTCTACTAAAAATACAAAAATTAGCCAGGCGCGGTGGCGTGTGTCTGTGGTTTCAGCTACTTGGGAGGCTGAGACATGAGAATCGCTTGAGTCCAGGAGGCGGAGGTTGCAATAAGCCGAGATTGCACCACTGCAGTCCAGCCTGGATGACAGAGGGAGACTCTGTCTCAAAAAAAAAAAAAAAAAAAAAAAATGCTGGGCGTGGTTGTGTGTGCCTGTAGTCCCAGCTACTTGGGAGGCTGAGGTGGGAGGATTACTTGAGCCTAGGAGGTTGAGGCTGCAGTGAGCTGTGTGCTCCAGCCTGGGTGATGGAGTGAGACCTTGCCTTAAAAAGAAAAAAAAACAAACCAGAAAACATAGTCTATATGTTTATATAACATAGTCTGTATAGGATTTGGTACTGTCTGTGGTTTCAGGCATCCACTGGGAGTCTTGGAATGTATACCTCTCAGAGGAGGGGTTACCACTGTGTAGTGAATGAATAGCAAGAGCCAATGTCTAAACAAAGGTCTTTGACTTCGGAGTTTTGGTTCTTTTTGAAATTAATGTGAAAGACATTTTTGAGTGTGTGTATGTGACATCTGTGTTGATGATTCTGAAATGTAGCTACCTGTTAACCTATTTATAAACTAGATTGCTGGAAAATAAGGTGCCTAGATCAGTCAAGCCACTGATCATTGGTCTCCCTTGCCTTCTCTTGTGTGGTTCTGTACCCACGGAGTTACAATTTAATAATATTTATCTATTGTATGGGTTGTTTAGTGGGTTGAATAGTGGCCCACCTCCCCAACCCCCAAAGATGTCCTATAAAATTGTTAGGAGAAAACACAGAGGTAAATCTTTATGACTTTGGATTTGGCGAAGGATTCTTAGATATGACACCAAGAGCATGAGCAACAAAATGATAAATAGGTAAATTGGACTTTATCAAAATTAAAAACTTGTGCTCCAGAGAACACCATCAATAAAGTGAAAAACAATTCACAGAATGGGATAAAATATTTGCAAATCATATATCTGATAAGGAATTTGTATCTAGAATATATGAAGAAGTCTTACAACGCCAGCATAAGACAAGTAACTCAATTAAATGGGCAAAGGATTTTAATAGACATTTCTCCCAGGAAGATATATGAATGACCCAGTAAACATGTGAAAAGATGCTCAACATCATTAGGCATCGTAGAAACATAGTCAGAACAGCCGGGTGAGGTGGCTTATGCCTGTAATCCCAACAGTTTGGGAGGCCGAGGCAGGTGGATCACTTGAGGTCAGGAGTTCAAGACCAGCCTGGCCAACATGGTGAAACCCTGTCTTTACTAAAAATGCAAAAAAAATTAGCCAAGTGTGGTGGTGTGCACCTGTAATACCAGCTACTCAGGAGGCTGAGGTGGGAGAATTGCTTGAACCCAGGAGGTGGAGGTTGCAGTGAGCCGAGATTGCCACCACTGCACTCCAGCCTGGGCGACAGAGTAAGACTCTGTCTCAAAAAAAAAAAAAAAAAAAAAAAAAAATCAAAACCATGAGACACACCCACTAGAATCTAGATTAAAAAGTTAGATAACAATGTGTTTGTGAGGTTGTAGAAAAGTTGGAGCCCTCATACACTGCTAGTGGAAATGTAAAATGGTACAGCCACTTTGGGAAAGAGTTTGGGAGTTCCTCAAATAATTAAAAGTTTAGAATTATGCCATGACCCAGCAATTTCACACCTAGCTATATACCCAAGAGAAATAAAAAATTTGTATCCACACGGAAACATGTATTTAGCAACATTATTCATCATCACGAAAAAGTGGAAACAACGCAAAAATCTATCAGCGGATAGAATGTCCAAACAAAATGTGTTATATCCATACAATGATGATTATTCAGTAATAAAAAGAAATGAAGTACTAATATTTGCTGCAACATTGATAAACCTTGAAAGCATGCTGCGTGAAGGAAGCCAGTCACAAAAAACCACATACTATAGACTTTTCCTGAAAGTCCAGAATAAGGAAGTCTATATAGAGACACAAAGTAGATCAGTGGTTGCTTAGCGCTGGGGAAGAGGGAAAGTTGGGCATAGAGGAATGATAGCTAATGCGTATAAGATTTCTGATTTTTTTTTTTTTTTTAAATGGAGTCTCACTCTGTCACCAGGCTGGAGTGCAGTGGTGCGATCTTGGCCTACTGCAACCTCCACCTCCTGGGTTCGAGTGATTCTTCTGCCTCAGCCTCCCGAGTAGCTGTGACTACAGGCACGCGCCACCACGCCCAGCTAATTTTTTTTTTTTTTTTGAGATGGAGTCTTGCTCTGTCGCTCAGGCTGGAGTGCAGTGGCGCAATCTTGGCTCACTGCAACCTCCGCCTCCCAGGTTCAAGCAATTCTCCTGTCTCAGACTCCTGAGTAGCTGGGATTACAGGCACATGTCACCACGCCTGTCTAATTTTTGTATTTTTAGTAGAGATGGGGTTTCACCATACTGGCTAGACTGGTCTCGAACTCCTGACCTCAGGTGATCCACCCGCCTTGGCCTCCCAAAGTGCTGAGATTATAGGTGTGAGCCACCGTGCCCGGCCAATTTTTTGTATTTTTAGTAGAGACGGGGTTTCACCATGTTGGCCAGGATGGTCTCGATCTCTTGACCTCGTGATCTGCCCACCTCGGCCTCCCAAAGTGCTGGGATTACAGGCGTGAGCCACCATGCCTGGCCAGGTTTCTTCTTGAAAAGATTCTAAAATTGATTGTCATCATGGTTGCATATATCTGTGAATATGTTAACAGGGCCTTTGGTATACTTTAAATGGGTGAATTGTATGCGAATTATATGTCAGTGAAGCTATTAAAAAAGATATATTCAAGTTCTAACTCCTAGTACCTGTGAATGTGAGCTTTTTGGAAACAGGGTCTTTGACGATCTAAAGTTAAGATGAGATCATCGTGGATTTAGGGTGGACCCTAAAGCTAATGACAAGTGTCCTTACCAGAGACAGAAAAGAAGACACAGAGACACAGAGGGGAAGGCCATATGAAGATGGAGGCAGACATTAGAGTTATGCTGCTGCCAGCCAGAAAATATCAGGAGCCATCAGAAGCTGGAAAAGGCAAAGACAGATCCTCCCTTTGAGCCTTTGTGGGGAGTGTGTCTCTCTTGACACCTTGATTTCAGACTTCTGGCCTCCAGAGCTGTGAGAGAGTAAATTTCTGTTGTTTTAAGCGACGGTGCTTGTGGTAACTTGTTGCAGCAGCTGTGGAAAACTAATGTAGCAAACATTGGGAATCTACAAAATGTGTAGGTTTTGAATCTTTCTATACCACTTAGTATCTGTGCAATCTTGGGCAAGTTTTTCAGTGTCTCTATACGCTTGTTTCCACATGTATGAAGGATAATCATACTGTTTTCATAGACTTGTTATAGGGATTAAGTGAGTTAATTATGCATGGAGCTTAAAGTAGCATTTGGCACATATTAATCACTGTATGTTAATGTTAACTATAAATTAGTTTCTGTGTGCCTTAGTTTCACCTCTGCTGTACACAGCTGTTCCTCTTCTCATGCTGTCCATTCAACAGGTAGTATCAGATATTCTCTCCTTTTTTGTGAAGAAAAGTTACTTTTTATTGCTCTAATCACTATGGGTTAAGGCTACTGTAGACTACCTTAGCAAAATGGGATAGGACCTTCATTAAGTCACTAATGTAACAGATGTTTCTCGAGAACTTTCTATGTGCCAGGCACTGGGAATATAGCTCAGAACAAGACAGTCACAGTCTGTGCCTTTAGGGACCAATAGGTGGTGTTAGATTATCAAATTACACAAATATGTGATTCCAAATTGTGATAAGTCTAAAGAAAAAGTAAAAGGTCACATTAGTTTTTAGTAAAATATGTGTTACATTAGGTGAGAGGGTGGTTAGGGGAATTCTCTCTAAAGACTAGACATTTGGCCGGGCGCGGTGGCTCACGCCTGTAATCCCAGCACTTTGGGAGGCCGAGGTGGGCGGATCACGAGGTCAGGAGATCGAGACCATCCCGGCTAAAACGGTGAAACCCCGTCTCTACTAAAAATACAAAAAATTAGCCGGGCGTAATGGCGGGCGCCTGTAGTCCCAGCTACTTGGGAGGCTGAGGCAGGAGAATGGCGTGAACCCGGGAGGCGGAGCTTGCAGTGAGCCGAGATCCCGCCACTGCACTCCAGCCTGGGCGACAGAGCGAGACTCCGTCTCAAAAAAAAAAAAAAAAAAAAAAAAAAACTAGACATTTAGGCAGACAGCGAAAGAATAAGTAGGATTTATCCAGATTAAGAATGAGGACAAAGGAGCAGTTTCCTCAAAAAGTGGAGCCTCAGTCTTTGCTGAAGACTTTTACTTTAGGTCAACAGAGATAGCTTGAGTAACTACCAAATGTCTAGTAGTTTACCTAATGCTGTTGGGAAATAAAACAGGTTGAGTTGGATGTGACGAGGTGTTGGATATGTCTTAGGTGGCAAGACCAACTAATACTGCAAGGAAGTTTCTATTGTAATTTTACTATAATTAAGTGCTAAGGCAATTTTTGAGGAAGAAAAAAATAAGCAACTCTTAAGGATCATTTCATTTCTGATAGGGAATTACAGGAAGATTGCATGTAATCTTTACTCACCCAACAAAGATTGTAAAATGAAATCATGAAGGACAAGGTCTCCAAGATTCCTGCATAAAAATTTGAGGGTTCCAGGACACAGACTCAGTTACTGGGTTTTCCTTTTTCTTCTTCCTTGCAATATGTCACTGGGTGTGAAGAAGGAAAGAAGGTGGGTTCTGGGTCGGTGCTCCTCCCAGATTAGTGAATAATAGCGAAGACTTAGCTTCTTGTGCACAGTTGCCACTCCTCCCCCAATACACAGTGGGGAAAATTCTGTGTGTGGTTCACCCTGAGGCAGGAAGCCTGGAAGACAGAATCTTCTTGCCTCTCTTCCTCACATCTCTCATTCTCTTAAGCATCTTGACTCTAAGAGGTCCTCTGAGTATTGATTTTAACAGCAGTGGAAGGTGGGACAATGTGAAATTCAGATGAATGAAGTGAGAAAGGTAAAGGGTGAAAAAGCTTTGGTCCTGAGGGCAACAGAAAATGAAAGCATTTGTTGATAAATGATTTACGTTGGCAGCTTAGAGAGTGTTTTGAACAGTGGCCATGTCATCAGAACAAGTGTGATTTCCTAAGAGCACTACTTTAAAAGGTAATATTAATTTGGATGAATACGTTCTGATATATTAAAATGTCAACATTCTTATTTCATAGCTATGTTTAGTTTTTTAAAATGTTGGATAAAAGAAAAAATGAATTTCATTCTATTACCATAAGGCCAAGACACGACTTGGGATGAGATGGAAAAGTATGTGTGAAACTCTGAAACTTTTTGCCACAATAGTGCCCTGAAGGGTGGGTTTAAAGGTTAAAAAATTCAGCGTATATTTGAGTTGACTCATACATTTTTAAGGACGGGTGTCCATTTCCTCCCTCTGTGTTACTATATCAAGTCAAGCTGATGAAGTGAGAGCCAAAGAAAACAAGCCCATCCCCCAACACCCCACCAAGATTGCAGAAATGCTGGTTAGTTGATTTCTAATGTCAGCTGTTCTTTCAGTGAGAGATTTGCAGGGAAGAAAATCAGATGTTGTTTTGAAGAAGTGCTTTTGTTTTTTTTGAAAGCAAAAACTGAGAATTTATTGTTTCATGTATTGGAAGAGTTGGGGAGTGGCCTGACCTCTGGCAGAGCTGAATTTAGTGACATAGATACAGCCAGATTCTTTTCTTTTCTCTTTGCTTCTGGAGTCTGCTTTTCTCCATCAGGCTCCTCTCTCCCTTCAAGGTGCAAGATGGCCACCTGCCGTTCCAGGTGAAGAAGTATTTTAGAATATTATGACCCTGGAGGCTTTTCTTCAAGCTTTAGTAAAACCGTAGTCATGCACCTCATAAGGATGTTTTGGTCATGGACTGCATACATAAAGGTGGTCCCATAGGATTATAATAGAGTATTTTTACTGTACCTTTTGTATGTATAGATCATTAAATGTACAAATTCTTACATTATGTTACAGTTGCCTACAGTATTCAGTACATTAACGTTGCTGTACAGGTTTGTAGCCTAGAAGAAATACACTACACCATGAAGGTCTGTAAGTGCTCTCTCTGATGTTCGTGCAACATGAAATAGCCTAACAACTGTCAACCTTATTAAAATAATGATTCAGAAACTGTGATTAGGTATAGAGTTTATTCAGGCCCAAAAGGTGGAAAATGGCCACCTGGAAGCATAAATTCAAGTTGCCTTGAATATATACGATTAGCAGATGTTACAAGTGATTTTGTTTGTTCATTTCTTTTGAGACAGGGTCTCTCTCTGTCACCCAGGCTGGAATGCAGTGGCGGGATCATGGCTCACTGCAGCCTCAACCTCCCAGACTCAAGTGATCCTCCCGCCCCTGCCTCCCAAGTAGTTGGGACCACAGGTGTGCACCACCATGCCCAGCCAATTTTTGTATTTTTGTAGAGACAGGGTTTTGCTTTGTTGCCCAGGCTGGGCTTGAACTCCTGGGCTCAAGTGATCAGCCCACCTTGGCCTCCCAAAGTGTTGGGATTACAGGTGTGAGCCATTGCACCTGGCCCCAGGTGGGTTTTTAAGGAAAAAAGAAGAGGCAGTTCCTAAGTTGTTTAACAAGAGTTTACATTAACATAAATTATTAATTGACTGTACATTGTTCTTTGTATTCCAAATTCCAGGAATATGACAATAATAAGGGAGGCAGCTAGTCAGGAACAAAAATGCCTTTAAGCAATTGCCACTGGGCACGGAGGGTGGCGGTGACCAAAGTCCTATGCTTACGTCTCTCTGGGCCTGATAAATTTTGCAAACCTCACATAGTTCAGACTACTTCAAGTTATTTTTCTTTTCTCACAACGCATTTCTCAGAACGTATCTCTTTTGCTTGACTGTACGTGGATTATTAGGGAAATAAAAACTTTGATAAGTTTAATATGTTTTACAGGACTACTTAATAGCTTGTTTATGCCTTTAAGTGTTAACCTATTCTGATAAGGCATTTATAATTGGTTGAACTTGTTATTTGTGGTCATTTTCATAAAATATGTGGACGTTTCCGTATCCCTTTATTTTTTTTAATTTAAAAACAAAATCAGAGGGAAGTTTTTATTATATAAGCATTTATTAAAATAAGTTGGGCAGAATGATGGACTCAGAAAATGAGTGTGTTTGTAGGGCAGCCTCCAAGGCCCACAGGAAGCTTGCAGTTGATGTTTTTTAACTTTTAGGTTCGGAGGTAATTGTGCAGGTTTGTTATATAGGTAAATTGCATGTCACAGGAGTTTGGTGTACAGATTATTTTGCCACCCAGGTAATAAGCACGGTACCTGGCAGGTAGTTTTTTGATCCTCACCCTCTGTCCCTCCCTCCCCCCTCAGGTAGTCTCAAGTGTCTGTTGTTCCTTTCTTTGTGTCTGTGTGTACTCAGTGTTTTGCTCCCACTTATAAGTGAGAATGTGTGGTATTTGGTTTCTTTCCCTGGATTAGTTTGCTTAGGATAATGGCCTCCAGCTCTATCCATGTTGCTGTAAAGGCCATGATCTCATTCTTTTTTATGGCTGCATAGTATTTCATGGTGTATATGTACCACATTTTCTTTATTCAGTCTACCATTGATGGGCATTTAGGTTGGTTCCATGTCTTTGCTATTGTGAATAGTGCTATGATGAACATACGGGTGCATGTGTCTTTATGGTGAACTGTTTATATTCCTTTGGGTATGTACCCAATAATGGGATTGCTGGGTTGAATGGTAATTCTGCTTTGAGTTCTTTGAGGAATCACCACACTGCTTCCACAGTAACTCATCTAATTTGCATTCCCACCAGCGGTGTATAAATGTTCCTTTTTCTCTGCAACCTTGCCAGCATCTCTTATTTTTTGACTTTTTAATAACAGCCATTCTGAGTGGTGTGATATTGTATCTCATTGTGGTTTTGATTTGCATTTCACTAATGATTAGTGATGTTCAGCATTTTTTCATGTTTGTTGACTGTGTGTATGTCTTTTTTTGAAAAGTGTCTGTTCATGTCCTTTGCCTACTCTTTAATGCAGTTGTTTGGTTTTTGCTTGTTGATTTAAGTTCCCTATAGATTCTGAGTAGTAGACCTTTGTGGGATGCATAGTTTGCAAACATTTTCTCCCATTAGGTAGGTTGTCTGTTTATTTTTTGTTGATAGTTTCTTTTGCTGTGCAGAAGCTGTTTAGTTTAATTAGGTCTCATTTGTCAATTTTTGTTTTTGTTGCAGTTGCTTTTGATATCTTTGTCTTGAAATCTTTTCCAGGTCCTATGTCTAGAAACAGTATTTCCTAGGTTATCTTCCAGGTTTTTATAGCTTTAGGTTTTACATTTAAGTCTTTAATCCACCTTGAGTTGAATTTTGAGTATGGTATAAGGAGGGTTCCAGTTTCAGTTTTTTGCATATGGCTAGCCAGTTATTCCAGCACCATTTATTGAATAGGGAGTCCTTTCCTTATTGCTTGTTTTTTTTTTTTTTTTTTTTTTGACTTTGCCAAAGATCAGATGGGTATAGGTGTGCAGCATTGTTTCTGTACTTTATTCTGTCCCATTGGTCTGTGTGCCTGTTTTGTTCCAGTACCATGCTATTTTGGTTACTGTAGCCCTATAGAAAAGTTTGAGTTTGAAGTTGGGTAACATGATGCCTCCAGCTTTGTTCTTTTTGCTTAGGAGTGCCTTGACTATTTGAGCTCCTTTTTTGGTTCCATATAAATTTTAAAATAGTTTTTTTCTAATTCTGTGAAGAATGTCATTGGTAGTTTGATAGGAATAGCCCTGAATCTATAAATTGCTTTGGGCAATATGGCCATTTTAACAAAATTGATTATTCCTATCCATGAGCATGGAATGTTTGTGTCATCTCTGATTTCTTTGAGTAGTATTTTGTAATTCTTGTTATAGAGATCTTTCACCTCTCTGGTTAGCTGTATTCCTGTATTTTATTCTTTTTGTGGCTATTGTGAATGGGATTGTGTTCTTGATTGGGCTCTTGGCTTGATTGTTGTTGGTATATAGGAATGTTAGTTATTTTTGCGCATTGATTTTGTGTCTTGGGACTTGGCTGAAGTTGTTTATCAGCTTAAGGAGATTTGGGCTGAGACTATGGGGTTTTCTAGATACAGCGTCATGTCTGCACACAGGGATAGGTTGACTTCCTCTCTTCATATTTGAATGCCTTTTATTTCTTGCCTGATTGCTCTGGCCAGGACTTAAGTACTATGTTGAATAGGAGTGATGAGATAGGGCATCCTTGCCTGGTTCCGGTTTTCAAGAAGAGTGCTTCTACCTTTTGCCCATTCAGTATGATGTTGGCTGTGGGTTTGTTATAGCTTATCCCTTTATTATATTCGTGTTTCTGTTGGAAACAGATGCATCATTTCAACTTTTAGCATCTTTTTAAAAAACGTAACTGATAATAATGATCAGATCTTAATATTTTAGAAATTTTGAATCAATAAATTGCGAATGCAGTGATTTAAAAATATAAACCCCGGAACCAAACTGTCTGGGCTCACATCTCAGCTCTGCCATTTGCTAGCTGTGTGACTTCAGATTACTTAACCTTTCTCTGCTTAAATTTCTTATTCTTATATAAAATGGGGATGATAAGAGTACCTTTCTCTTAGCCCAAAAGAACCTGGCACATAGAAAGTACCATTACTGCTGCTGCTACTACTATTACTGCTGCTGCTGCTGTTACTGTATCTATGCCATATTTCTCCAAAATCTTTATTCTCCAACATACCCCAAACACCACTGTCTCAGCTGCATTATTGAGTCCAGAATATGTTGAAAGAGAATAATAGATGTATTTTCATTCTTGATTATAGCCAAAAGGCCAAGAAGTGATATGTAGACATATTTCTAAATGAAAGAATGAAGATACAAATTAAAACCAAACTAGGAGGTAAAGTGATTTGACAGCATTCCTGTTTAAGAGTCTGCTCTGCACTGCCCCTTCTGACCCACCTTTATTTTGCAGAAGATACTGGTTTTTCTTTTTAACTTAATCCTTAGCATCAAGGACATGTGACTTGTGCTTCATTTTCATTGTCTAGGATTTTCCTTGGAGATGCTGCTGATCTATGCCAAAAGTCTGGGATGTATGCACCACTTCTGTGTGAGTTTATTCTGATTGAACTAGGCTTAATTAGATTCTCTTTTCTTTTGTTTTCTCTTTAAAAACTTGGAAACCATTTTGTTGTTCCTGAGTTGTAAGGCTGAACATGTTTGCTTAAGTAAATCTCTTGGGATCTAATCTGGCATCCACTCAGGTCTTGTTAAATGAGAGCTTTAAAAGCCTCTTGCTGAGTGGGCTCCATCATTGTTGACCAAATGTTTCAAGATGTAGGCACAAAGCGCTTTTGTCAGTTTTTCAAGTGTAGTTTAATTTTGAAGTAATTGTGCTTTTCTACTTTTAAAGTATTTAAAAAGTACTTTTAAAGAGTACTGTTAAAGATTAAAAAACACAGGAGTGGCAAGTTTAACAAGATCACATTCTTCTTGTTTCTTTATAAATTTCTGTTACCCATCTGGTTTACTTGGAAGCAATGCTGAACTTAACTTATGTGACTGTTTTATCTAGAAGAGGCAGCAAGATTTTTCTCTTCATGTAAAGCAACTAGGTAACATTTGTCTTCTTCCAATGGATATGTAAAAAGGGGGTGTAGTCCCTTCAGATTACTCTTGGCTCTTCACCCCCCTCCTCATGCTGCAAAGCAGATTTTTTGTTATTAAACAGATTTTTAATTTATTTTAGCAGATTTTTAATTTATTCAGTCCTCTGCTCTTTATATTACACACCCACCATTGATGCATACTGGCATACAGATAAATCAAAGTCTAATTCAGAGAAATTGGCTGCAAGAATTCTTAAAGACTATATTGTGGTTTACACAGAAACCAATTTCCTGTAGTCAAAATTGAGATAATAGAAGAGTAGAATTATCTTAATTCATAATAGTATAAGTATGAGGCCGTTGGAATTAGCAGGAGATCTGTCTGGGGCAGCCTTGACAATCAGAGCAGAGCCATGTCCCAGAGTCAGCCAGGCCAATGACCATCCCCAGTTATGGAGGTGTTGAAAACCTGCACGGTGAAAGTCCTGCAAATGCTGTGCATTGTGCTGAATCATTGCACATGCTTCCAGTCCCCTTAGCCCCTTTTCATGGGAACCATACCTTCTTAGAACTTGAGATTACTAAATATGAAAAATATCTGTCTAAGTTTCCTTTTTACTTTGGAGATAGGAACCCTGAGAGATAACCCAAATCACTGTTTTTATTTTATAGATTTGGAAACTGAAGCTGGAGATGTTACATAGTTTACACAAAATCACCCATGACTTCTTGGCTGAGCTGCAACTTAACCCGGGTCTCTGGCTTCCCAAATTAGTGTTCCTTTCACTGATCCATGCTGTCTTTGCTTATCCATTCAATTAGCAAATGTAATTGAAGGACTCTAATTAGTTTGGCTTCTAAAGGCTTTTGTAGTTGATGTCAGACTGGCAACAAGGTTGGTTTGTTTTTCCTCCCAGCTTTTGAGTTGTGGCCAGATTTTGTCAGTCAATTATTTCAGGGTCTTGAAGTCATCACATGGATGGTGAGATTGTTTGAATGTCTGTTTATCTGTCTGATAAACATGCCTTTGTAGTACAAATTAGAGACTGTTAGGATGTACCAAATACACACACACACACACACACACACATGCACAGAGAGAGAGAGAAAGAGAGAGAGTGTGTGTTATTAGGTATAGAGCAGTTGTGGCCAGTACAGTGGTGACATTCCAGCTATCACTACTGTTGTGTATTTCTTCCGGGCCTGTGAGCTTTGATACTACTTTCCTATACAATTGAGGGGTTAGCAGTATTCTGGCAATGCAACCATCTCAAGAAGCAGATGCTAGGGATGCAGGGGGCTGATTGGCCACCCCATGCACTTGGCAAGTGCCCGAATTGGCACTGCCAGTTTATGGGATTAAGAAACTTGGAGCTGTGAAACATCCTTAGACCTGTGAGCTAATTGTTGGTGCCCTTCAGGGCCCCTCTAAAGGAGTTATGTAGATGGAATTTAATTTCTTTCAGTGGGAGAGAACTCAATTCCTAAGAGAGAGTTGAAATTAACTCTTAGACCTCAGGTCTTACTGATGTCCCTTAAAGGTCTGGAAGGATGGAGCTGCAATAGAAGGAAAGTATGCCATTGTTTTGCATTGTGTTTATTAGAGTAGGATGAACAAATGGGACTAAGTAACATATATTTGGTATAGTATAGGAGTAGAGAAGTATGACTACTACAACTTTTTTTTTCTTATTTCACTGAGCTCTATTTTTCTTGAGTAAACTTGAACTGTTTGCCAGGAAATAGTTGCCTCTTCTAGAGTCTCAATATTTATGAAGGTGTAGGAAAGGTTTTCATGCAACTTAAGCGCTTATTTCTTTGTAATTTGATGGAAAATTTTTTAATTTTTAGAATTATTTGTAGCAAGTCCTCATTATATATCAAAATATACAGGTTGAATGTATCTCATTGTAGATTATAAAATGCTGTATTGTCTTTAGAGTGAAACATTAAAAGAGAATATCTTTTTTTGTTGTTTTAGGGTCTGAGATATTTTATAATATCATTTCCTAGCTTGTTAATACACAATATGCCAGGATACTTGATTTACTGAAATTTTAAAGAGTGACTTATGAAACTGCTTTTTGTTAAAGCTACATTTATCCTGAATTTGATTTAGAAGCTGATAGTCTCTTGTGGAAAACTGAAATGTAATTACTTCTAGCTCTTAATATTTAGATTACACACTCTGTTTGGCTTCCTATTCTTTTACTTTCATCAAATGCACATAAATACAAAAAGAACATGTGTAAACTTCTGCCACATGAAAAGCAGAGGCATTCCTATTTGTAAGATGCTTACATGTCCCTTCACATTTTCTAGTAGAAATACGTTTCTACATGCATAATGTATGTAGAAATATGTTAGTTTTTACATATGTAACTCATTCTGGAGAGAAATCCTCAATAATCTGCCTGATCGTCTTTTGTCTTTTTTTAATGAAGAGAAAAAAGGCTTTGCAGAAGATGTTGTGACAGTTGGGATGCCGGATTTCTTTTCTTTTTCTTTTTTTTAAGAGACAGGTCTCGCTCTGTTGCCCAGGCAGGCTGGAGTATGGTGGCGCGATCATAGCTCACCGTAACCTCCAACGCCTGGACTTAAGTTATCCTCCCATCTTAGCCTCCCAAGGAGCTGGGACTACTGGTGCGCCCCACTACACCCAGCTAATTTTTCTATTTTTTGGTAGAGATGGAGTCTCACCGTGTTACCCAGACTGGTCTCCACCTCCTGGGTTCAGGCAATCCTTCTGCTCCGGCCTCCCAAAGTGCTGGGATTACAGGCGTGAGTCATTGTGCCCAGCTGATTCTTTCTATTAAAGGAGAGTTTGAGTCAAGGAAGGAGCTCCTGGTCTCTCCTGACCTCTTTGGTTGCCAGTTGGCTGGCCAGGTTTATCAAGGTGAATATGTGGAAAAGAGCCAGAGAGCTGGGGATGGGGGATGTGAGTAACAGTGCATCTACTCATGCATGCACCTAAGCAAACAGGATAGACAGCGCAATTTTCCTTTGCAGTATGTTCGTGGTCATTATTAAAGCAGAAATGAGGGTTGAGAGAGTGCCCTGATGCCTATTCATATATCTTTATTCTGTATGTAGTTTCCACGTAAGTTTCGGTAGCTCATACTGTTAGCCTTCCTGGTGGTACTTGCAGTCATTGTAGTAAGTGTTTATGTCCTTGTCCTGACCTTTTCTTTTCTGAAACAGACTTTTCTTTTCTGAAACAGATACTTTCTTCTTTTTTTTTTGCTTGAAAATACAGACTGGAGGATGGTGGGGACTGGGACTTGAGATTTTGTTAGGGGATTTTGCTGCCCACCAAATCACTGATGAATCCTACAGTTGAGTTACCAGCGTTGTTGTACTAGAATATTTTTCTTAGTCAAAGTGTATACCAAAGATTATGCTGTTTAGGAATCCAACTTGGAAGAACCCATGAGAAGTGTGTCTGTTCCCAGGACTGCTGGGTTTTGCCCTTTTACCCTCAACTCCCTTCACACTTTTAAAAATAAACGATAGATTTGATTTCACAGAAACTGCATCTGTATATGTATAATGATGTGCCTTTATTTTGGGCAGTAAGCTTTTTTTTTTTTTTTTTTGGTCATTTGCAAACAAGGATTAGTCTTTATGCACTGTCACTGTTATAGGCATGCATGAAAAGTGGATCCTGTTTGTGCTCTAGAAACTGCTTACATTTTAATTTAAATAATGTGCCTTTGCAATTTTTTTTAAAGGTAGTATCTTCCCCAGCAGATGTTGCTGAAAAAGCTGACAGAATTATTACAATGCTGCCCACCAGTATCAATGCAATAGAAGCTTATTCCGGAGCAAATGGGATTCTAAAGTATGTATTTCTCACCTGTGGATATTTTCTTGTTATGATAGTTCATGAATTTCACATGTTAGAACTATTAGGAAATTACAATTGTGTTTGTTAAACCTTTCTATACTGTTTTTATTTCATAAAGTGAATAGTGTGGTGGTTTTCTCATTGTAAAAGGCTTATTTTTTCACTGAAGTCAAGTATGTGACAATGTGTATAAAATTTTTTGGTTCCGTTTCTTTCCTTTAACTCTTGCGTTAAACTTACCCTTTCACTAGTAACATGTTTAAGAGACTTTTAAAGCTTACATTTGAAACTGCAACTGTTAATAATATAATTTTCTTACAGCTTATAGAAATTCAGGAAAAGGGTTTTATGAAAAATATAGCCAAACATTGGAAAGAACACCATCGTTTAACATTTTATTATACGAAAAAAAGTTATGTCCTGTGGGTTAGTACGTTTGTAGTAAGAACTTTGGGAAGTTGGAATTAAAGGTTAGCAGTAGCTCTTTAACCCATTTATGTCAGAGGTTGCAAATTTTTTTGTGAAAAATCAGACCTTGGCAATGACCTTGAGTAGTAGGATGTACTGCTTGAGCAGTAGGATGTAAATAACTCCCACAAACTTAGCATAAATGGAACACTAGGCATAAATGGGTTAAGTAAAATACAGTTTAGGTCAGTTTCCTAATCAGTGCCTGTCTTCCCTGGCTCTGAGAAACCTTTTGGTTAATTGCTGCTTATTGCCAAACCCTTGCGGTTATGTTAGGATGATAGTGATTGAATTCCCAGCTTAGTTTTGTCATGTCACTGTTTCTATTCCTAACTTATTTTGTTGTTGAATTTCAGCAAAGAGCTAGAGCAAACTGGTAGACACTGTAGTCACAAGAAGGGCTAAAAGAAAGGGTGTAATTTCAGGAAACTGTAATATGTGAAATTTGAAGTTTCTGGTAATTGAATTGTGTTGGAAAACTAACCAACTTGGAAGGAAGCAAAAGACACTTGGATATTAGGCAGAAAACTGATAAGATAAATGTTTAGATTTCAGGGAAGGTTAAAAGACACTCATTTTGGATGGAGCTCTCAGGGCCACAGTGTGTGTGGTCCAGAGGCATCCTAGCTGTCCTGTTACCTAGCCTGTTACAGTTATGGTCCTGCTTTACCTCTGAAAGAAAAGTTACTAAAAACTTCTGAGGAGACATAGCCCTACATTTGTTAATATCCTTTGCTAAGGAATATGGTGACTAGCTATCAGAACAGTTTGGTCCAGGGAGTGTTTTTAAAAAGTTTGACTTTACATTGAACTATAATTTGCTTCTTATGGGTGATTCTTTATTTTTTTCTGGGTGAGGATCATTTCCATACACCCAGTGCATGTATAATTTTTGGGATGATTTTCCATTTGTTGAAAGGTTTAAGATCTTAAAATATTAAGATCACAGATTGATAAACTTAATTCTTATTCTTTTAGGCTAAAGAGAAACCTACATACTCTTGGAGTATGCTATTTCTCTTCTGTGAAATATACCCAACAATTGCATTTGAATTGTAACAATTCATATGTCTAAAATTGTTGTTTAAACAATTTTTAATATGTATATTTTTCTTTTCTTTTTATTTTAGACGAGGTCTTGCTATGTTGCCTAGTCTGGTCTCCAACCTGTGGCCTCAAGTGATCCTTCTGCCTTGGCCTCCTAGAGTGCTGGGGTTACAGCCTTAAGCCACCATGCCTGGTTATGTTTAAACCATTTTGTGTGCTATTTTTTTAATAGAAAGATTTTTCCTTTTAATAGTTTTTATCAATGATTTTTCTGTTTTCTTCTTCAGTATTTATATTTATTCAGTTTTAATTTTCTTATCATGATTCCATGCCCTCTGGGTTAGTATATCTATAGTAAGAACTTTGGAAAGTTTGGCCAGGCACAGTAGCTCACACCTGTAATCCCACCACTTTGGGAGACTGAGGCAGGATGATTGGTTGAGCCCAGGAGTTCAAGATCAGCCTGGACAACATGGTGAGATCCCATCTCTGTAAATATAAAATTTAAAACTTAGACGGGTATGGTGGCATGCACCTGTGGTCGCAGCTACTTGGGAGGCTGAGGTGGGAGACTCTGTCTTAAAGAACTTTGGAAAGTTTGAATTAAAGGTTAGCCATACCCTTTAAATAAATTATAATTTAGGTTAGAGTTTCCTAGCTAGTGAAGATAGACACTGCCTTATAGTGTATATATATAAGTTACCCTAAAAAGCCAAAAAGACTGTGAGATTTCCAGATTCTTTCATATATTTTCCTTTCTACCTGCTTGATATTTTATTTTGTCATTAAAGTTACAATTATAAAATAATATGCCATCCCAACACAAATGGCTAGATTTTAATTGCTTATGTTTATTCTTCATTGTGGAAATAACACGGATATATGAAATTTGCAGTATGGCTTGTTAAAGACAAATAAATTACTTTTTAAAGATCCAGCTACTTTACAGACAAAAATTTAAGTCCTATCTAATACCCTTTTAAAGTTAATAGGTGTTTTAAATTGCTTACATCTTAGCTTCATGTTTATTATTATGGTTAGTGTGTAGTTCATCTGAAATCAGAATTTATACCATGTAGTATATTAGGTTTTATTAGGTTTTTTTTGGATCTTTTGAAAGAGTTTGGGTTTACTTTTGAAGTACAATTGGTCTCAAAAAGAATGAGATTTTTAAACGTGTTCTAATTAATAATGTTTTTAATACTAAACTAAAATCCTCCTTGATATATGGCAGCTTTTCAGCAGATTCTAATTCTGTAGGTAGTTGCATGAAATTTTTACTCAGAGTTGTAAACTACAAATATTTTTATTTATTTACTTAGAAAAGTGAAGAAGGGCTCATTATTAATAGATTCCAGCACTATTGATCCTGCAGTTTCAAAAGAATTGGCCAAAGAAGTTGAGAAAATGGGAGCAGTTTTCATGGATGCCCCTGTTTCTGGTGGTAAGTGGTAGCTAAAATATATGCAAACCTATTTATGTTTGTCAAAAGTAGCAATTATGGTTTTGTTGTACCATATGGTTTTGTAGTAGTTATTTTTAGACTTGTTACAGGATTCTCATTAAAAATAAAGCCAAACTGATACGTTATTTAGTACTCTCAAGTCTAAATAACTAACATTGTTAGTCTTAAATTCAGATAAAAAAGTGTCATAACTTTGAAGTGTTGTGAATTTTTGGTCCATTTACTGTGGATAGGAATACATCAGTTTTTAGAAAATTTTTTTTGGAACTATTGAAAAAAAAATCAGCTTAAATAATCCTGTAACTGTTAAAGAAATTGAACAAGTGGGAAAAAAAGAAAAACAATTGTTTCACAAGGGAAGCATTGGCTCAGATCATTTTACAGATGAATATTACCAAAATTTCAAGGAGCAGATCATCTAAATTTTATACGAACTTTTCCAGAGAACAGGAAAAGAGGAAATACTTCCCAATTCATTCTGTAAGACCTTTATAACTCTGATATTTACACCAGATAGAAATGTTATAAAAGAGAAAAAATAAATATAGGTTTATTTTAGTCATGAATGTAGATGTAAAAACTTTATATTAGCAAACTGAATCCAACCATGTATGAATGAGATTAAACACTATAACCAAGTTTCCTTTAGCCCATGTATGCTGAGATGGCTTAATTTTAGAAAATCTGTGCATATAATTTACCATGTTAACATGGTTAAAAGTCATATGATTGTCTCAATTAGAAGAAAAGACCCACTAATGAAATGCTAAAAATTTACTATTAACTCATACATTAATAGCAGGTATCTGGGTAGTTTGGAATGGCAGGATTATAGTATGGCTTCTCTGTAATTTCCAAGTTTTCCAAAATTACTGTGTAATCAGAATTACTGTGTACACATTTATATTATGTATTTGTAGCAGTATAGCAGTAGACAGCAGAATATGAATTTTATTCCAGTTACATTAAACTTGATTGTGGGCTTTAGAATTAAAAAGTAACATATAATAATTTAAATCATTTCGTATTTTTTTATAAAGAACTTAATGATCTTGTAGAGGTACCTTATATCCCAAATGATTTTTGAATATAGGTGGAGGAATAAATAATTGCTGGCTCTTCTGATTGTTATATTGAATTACTTAAATAGGATTTAGGTATAAAAATTTATGATGTGGTATAGGTACTTTGATTAAAAGTACCTACAAAATACTAATAAGCAGTTTTAAGGTTGGCGTTAATGTGGTTTTTATTGGATGGAATTAATAAACTGAACAGATCTTTCTTAGAGTGGTTCTGCAGTTGAATTTGAAAATTGGTATGGTACAAATGTTCTTGCCATTGATTGATTTTCTTTGGTCTCAAGAGTACAACCTGAAATTATAATCTGATAATAAAAAATACCAATTTGATTTTTAAACATTATTTTAACCTTTAAAATATAATCTTATGAGAAAACTTTGAAATTACTCTTTTGTTCTTATCAAGCAATTTTTAAACTTTGGTTTGTTGTTTTAGTGTACAAAAATGCTAACATAACTGAATACACCTGAACCTGCATATGTAGTAGATTAAAAGCTTTGTGCAGGGATGATTTGTGGTAATTTATTGGTTGACACATGATCATTATGAGGTTAACCAGTATATAATAGCAGCTTATTTATATTGGTCTTATTGTTATTATGTTTATATTTTTTAACATGGTATGTTACAAACTGTTCCACCTTCCCACTTAAAATAGGCTGGTTTAAAAATTACTGTATTTTAACTAAATAAAGTTAAACCAAAGTGTTATAGGACCACTAGGTTTGATTGCTTGTTGCATGATAACAGACCAGTATGCAGACACAATGGGAGTTGCAGTAGAGAAAGAGTTTAATAATTGTAGGGCAGTCAAATGAGACAGAGGAACCTTCAAATCCTCCTCCCTCCAGGGTTTGGGGATGGAGCTTGTAAAGGGTCTGAACAGGTAGGGCTAAAATGTGGGGATTGCTGATTGGTCAAGAAGCAAGGGGGAATTCCTGGGACAGGGAGATGAAGAAACCGCATTCCTGTGCAGAGTTGGTTGGTTCCTTGGTTGAGGTCTTGAGACTGGTTGGCTTCAGCCATTCTGCTGGAATTCAGGACCTGAAAAACACCATAAGCAATTCTTGGGTAAAAAGGTCCAGTGTCAGAGATTCTGTGTATAGGAACAATGGGGGAGCAGGTGGTCAGCATGCCGCATGACCCTTGGTTAGTTACCAGCTACAGGGAAGTGGGTTGAAGTACCCCAGTGCACCCTGGTCAATGCCTGACTATAATTCTGCCTAAAGCCTGGCTTGTAGTTCTCCATCAACTCTGTGAGGGTGGTTTCAAAAGGGATGTGGGGAAAGCATGGCTTAGATACCCAGAATGGGCCCACAGTTTTATAGAAGTCCAGTGTTCATCAGTCTTGAAACATGGAATCTTTGAGATCATTTGAACAAAACTTGAAGAATTTCTCCCCATCCCTTTCTCCCAAGTCTTCATCTATTTCCTATTCCAGACTTTAAAAAATGCATCATGGATTTATATATAGGTACGTACAAATAGAGTAGTATTCTAAAAGTGTAAATGGGAACATACTATACTTCTATTATCCTATGGTTAGTATTTTAAAGAGAAGTTTTTTTAAAAAACTCAGATGAATTTAAAATAGTAATGATTTTTGAGAAGCAATTGGTTTCTTCAGTCAAGCGTTTCCCCCTACTTCCTGGTAAGTATTATTCTGGGGAGTAAAGTAAGAATTATTACTTAATCATTTTTCTAGCCTATGGAATAACAGATGGAAAGTTTTCCTCAGGTTTCATTTTGATACTTATTAGACCCACTGTGTAATGGCTCCTGTGTACATTATCCTTATTAGAAAGAATACAATTGTATTTAAGTGCTATATGACTTCTTTTAAAAATCGAAAGTAATGCTTAAACTGTTATGTTTATCATCCTGAAACCAATGTGAAGAACCACTTTAATATTTGTGTAGTTATCACTTTATAGTATAGATAGTAGTTTATAAAGCACTTTGGCATGCCTCAGCCTATTTGATGCTTCTTTTTGTTTTAATTTTAATTTTTGTGGGTATATAATAGGTGTATATACTTAAAGGGTAGATGAAATGTTTTGATACTGGCATGCACTGCCTAATAATCACATCATGTAAAATGGGGTTGGTGCTTCTTTTTGAAGCTGTCAAACTGTACATCTTTTTTTTTTTTTTTTTTTTTTCTGAGACGGAGTCTCACTGTGTCACCCAGGCTGGAGTGCAGTGGTGCAATCTTGGCTCACTGCAACCTCTGCCTCCCAGGGTCAAGCAGTTCTCCCTGCCTCAGCCTCCCGAGTAGCTGAGATTACAGGCGCCTGCCACCACACCTGGCTAATTTTTGTATTTTTAGTAGAGACAGGGTTTCACCATGTTGGCCAGTTTGGTCTTGAACTCCTGACCTTAGGTGTTCTGCCCTCCTTAGCCTCCCAAAGTGCTGGGAATACAGGCGTGAGCCACCATGCCTGGCCTTAAAGTGTACATCTTTATCAGAGCCCACATCACGCTATATTTATAGGCTATGATTCTCTTCCTCTTGAGTTTAAGCTTTTTTAGTGCAGGGAGTAAGTTTTTTTCCCCAATTTTTAAAATTAAATATTGAATATATGTGCAACATATTTATAAAATATATGTGCGGTATAAAGTGTAAGTATACATTGAACTAATACGTACCCCCTACTCAGTTTAAGAACTAGAGCCTTGCTATTTATTACCTTTGAAGTTCTTGTTTCCCTGATCCTATTTTCTTTTCTCTCTGATGAGAGGTAACCAGCATCCTGAATTTTATGTCTCATTCCCATGCTTTTTTTTTTAAGTTTAACTCCATATGTTTTTATTTCTAAACAGTAGTTTATTTTCCACCTTTGGAACATTATAGAAATGTTCCATAATGAGCATATTCTGTGACTTGCTTTTTCACTTTACACTGTATTTCTGAGTTTCAACCCTGGTGTTACTAGAGCCACTGGCTTACTTGGTACCTGTGTGAGAATTAGAAAGGGCACCTCTCTATACCAAAATAGCCCTTCAGGTGAGCAGAACGAACCTTTGTATAAAGAAAAAGGTATGCCTTTCTGTAGACACGTGTAGCCTTATGTCAGGGTTTGCGGTTTGACACATTGAATGTAGATTAAATGTCAGCCCCTGCTCACCCATTTGGCTAGATGCCCATGTGCAGTACATAAAATGTATTGCCATTATGTGGTTGTTACGTGCAGTTCTTTCATTTTAACTGCTCTGTGGTATTGTTCTATATAAATACATCACTATTTTTTCTTTCTATTGTGATATACATTTGGATTATTTCCAAGTTAAAAAAATATTCGCATTCTTACACACCATGGAAAGGTGTCTTTTTAGTCTCTGTTTTTCCAGTGTAATGCTTAGAACATGGTTGGTCTTCACTAAATGTTTAAAAACTTGAGTTGACTTCAACTGGAAAAACAACCATGTGAAATAGACAGGATAAGCAGTGATACTCCCATTTTACCAAGGGTGGAAGTAACACCAAGAGATATTAGATAACTTACCTCAAGACCATACTGTTGATCAGGGGCAGAATTGAAGGACTGATATGATGGTTCTTTAATGCATATTCTACTGTATTAGGAAATAATATTTTCTAGAGTTCTCATATATTTCAAGAGGGAAATAAAGATTGCTAAATGGAAGAATTAGTGACCTTAGGGCTAAGCAGCAGATGAACATTCCAGCTAGACCCAATCTAAAGTGCTTACCTACAGAATTGTGAACAAGTAAGGCCACTAAATTTGGGGGTGGGTGTTATATGTAGCAGTAAATAACTGATGCAGCCAATAAAGTTGATATTTCCATAATTATATAGAAGTATTTAATGTTGCTTGTATTATCAGTGTGCTACCTGTGCTTATTTAGTACAAGTGTTATAAACTCTTTCTGAAGGAGAATTATTGTAATGCGGTTTTGATATGAAGGCCAGCTTTAACATTACTATAGCCTTGGAATATGTTTTGAAGTCAGGTAATGTGGCATCTCTAGCCTTGTTCTTGTTGCTGAGGATTGATTTGAATAATCGGGCTCTTTTCTGGTCCGTACAAATTTTAGGATTTTTTTTTTTCTGATATTGTGAAAAATAACTTGGTAATTTGGTAGAGATTGCATTGAATATTTAGATTGCTGTTGGCAATATGGTCATTTTAACAATATTAATTTGGCCGGGCATGCGGTGGCTTATGCTTGTAATCCCAGCACTTTGGGAAGCCAAGGCAGGTGGATCACCTGAGCTCAGGCATTCGACACCAACCTGGGCAACAATGTGAAACCTGTCTCTACTAAAAATACAAAAATTTGGCTGGCCACGGTGGCATGCGCCTGTTGTCCCAGCTACTTGGTAGGCTGAGGCGGGAGAATCACTTGAGCTCGGGAGGTAGAGGTTGCAGTGAGCTGAGATCGCACCATTGCACTCCAGCCTGGGTGACAGAGTGAGACCTTGTCTCAAAAAACAAAAAACAATATTAATTCTTGTGATCTATGAGCATGTCATGTTTTTCCATTTGGTTATGTCATCTTCAATTTCTTTCATCAGTGTTTTGTAGTTTTTCTTGTAGAGATCTTTCACCTTGTTAAATTTATTCTTAGATACTTTTATTTTTCATAGCAATTATAAGTGGGATTGCTTTCTTGATGTTCTTCTCGGCTAGATCACTCTTGGTTTATAGAAATGCTACTGATTTTTGTGTGTTGATTTTGTATCCTATAACTTTACTGAATTTATTTATCAAATCTAAGACTTCTGGGTTGAGTTTTAGGTTTTTCTAGGTGTAAGATCATATCATCAGCAAAAAGGGACAGTTTAACTTCCTTTATTCCGATTTTGATGACTTTTATTTCTTTCTCTTTCCTGACTGCTCTGGCTAGGACTTTCAGCACTATGTTAAATAGGAGTGGTGAAAGTGGGTATCTTTGTCTTGTTTCAGTTCTTAGAGAAAAAGCTTTCAACTTTCCCCCATTCCATATGATGTTAGCTGTGAGTGTGTTGTATATGGCCTTTATTATTTTGAGGTATGTTCCTTCTATGCCTAGTTTGTTGAGGATTATTATGAAGGGATGTGGAATTTTATCAAATACGCTTCCTGTGTCTATTGAGATGATCATACGGTTTTTGTCCTTCATTCTGTTGTGATGTATCACATTTGTTGATTTGCATAGAACCATCCTTATATCCCTGGTGTAAATCTCACTTGATCGTGTTGTATTATCTTTTTGATATGCTACTGGATTCTGTTTGCTAGTATTTTGTTGAGAATTTTTGCACCTGTGTTCATCAGGTATATAGGCCTGTAGTTTTCTTTTTTTGTTGTGTCCTTGTCTGATTTTGGGATCAGGGTGATTCCAGCTTCATAGAATGAGTTAGGGAGAATTCTCCCCATTTCAGTTTTTGGGAATAGTTTCAAAAAGATTAGTATTAGTTTGGTAGAACTCAGCTGTCAGTTTGTCTGGTCCTGGACTTTTCCATGTTGAAAGATGTTTTATTATTCTTTCCATCTTGCTACCTATAATGTCAGTTCAGGTTTTCTATTTCTTTCTGATTCAATCTTGGTAGGTCGTATGTTTCTAGAAATTTTTCATTTCCTGTAGGTTTTCCTGCTTTTTAAGCGTATAGTAGTTCATAATAGTCTCTGATGATCTTTTGTATTTCTATGGTATCAGTTGTAATGTGTCATTTTTCATTTGATTTTATTTGAGGCTTCTCTCTTCTTTTCCTGGTTAAACTAGCCAATGGTTTATCAATTTTATTTATCTTTTTGAAGAGCCAAATTTTTGTTTTGTTGATCCTTTGTATTTTTAAGTCTCTATTTCATCTAGCTCTGCTCTGATCTTTATTATTTATTTTCTCCTGTTCATTTTATGTTATGTTATGATCTTTGGGCATTTATTGCTATAAACTTCTCTCTTAGTACTGCTTTTGCTGTATCCCAGAGGTTTTGGTATGTTGTGTTTCTGTTTTCATTTGTTCCAATAAATTTTTTTAATTTCCATGTTTTCTTATTTTTAACTTTTTTAAAAAAAAATAGGCTCTTGCCTTGTCATCCAGGCTGGAGTGCAGTGGTGCAATCACAGCTCACTGCAGCCTCAACCTCCTGGACACAAGGGGTCCTCCAGCCTCAGGCTCTCGAATAGCTGGGACTACAGGTGTGTACCACCACACCTGTCTAATTTTTGTAGAGATGGATTCTCACTGTTTTCCCAGTCTAGTCTTGAACTCCTGGGCTCAAGTGATCCTCCTACCTTGGCCTCCCAAAGTGCTGGCCTCCCAAAGTGCTGGGATTACAGCCATGAGTCATGGTGCCCAGCCTTTATTTTCATCTTAATTTCTTAGTCAACCACAGTGGTCATTCAGGAGCATGTTTCCCCGCCACCCCACCCGTGTATTTGTAGAATTCTTCTTTGTATTAATTTTAGTTATATTTTATTGTGGCGCGAAGAGATACTTAACAGGTTTTCAGTTTTTTGTTTGTTTGAGATCGAGTCTCGCTTTGTCACCCAGGCTGTAATGCAGTGGTGCCATCCCGGCTCACTGCAACCTCCACATCCCAGGTTCAAGCGATTCTTCTGCCTCAGCCTCCTGAGTAGCTGGGTTTACAGGCTTGTGCTGCCACACCTGGCTCATTTTTGTATTTTTAGTAAAGACGGGGTTTCACTGTGTTGGTCAGGCTGGTCTCAAACCGCTGACCTCAAGTGATCTGCCTGCCTTGGCCTCCCAAGGTGCTGGGATTACAGGTGTGAGCCACTGCGCCTGGCTGTTTTCAGTTTTTTAAAAGTTATTCAGACTTATTTTGTGGCCTAATAAAAGGTCTATTCTGGAGAATGTTCCATATACTGATGGAAAAAATGTATATTCTGCAACTGTTGGATAAAATGTGCTGTAAATGTCTGTTAGGTCCATTTTGTGTAAACTCCAGTTTAAATTCAACGTTTTTTTCTTGACTTCCTGTCTAGGTGATCTGTTTAACATTGAGAATTGGGTGTTGAAGCCCCCAACTATTATTGGATCTCTCTTTCAGATCTAGTAATATTTGTTTTATGAATCTGGGTGCTCCAGTGTTGGGTGCATATATATTTGGAATTGTTATATCATCTTGCTGGATTGATTCCTTTTTCATTATTTAATGCCCTACAATTAATGATTGTCTTTTTATTGTTCTTTATTTAAAGTCTGTTTGATGTAAGTATAACGATTCTTGCTTGCTATTGGTTTCTGTTTGCATGGAATATCTTTTTCCATTCTTTTACTTTAGCTGTGTATGTGTCCTTATTAGTGAGGTGAGTTTCTTGTAAGCAGTTGGATTGTTTTTTTTTTTAAATCCATTCAACCTTTATGTATCTTTTAAGAGGATAATTTAATCTGTTTAGTTACTATCAAGGTTATTATTGATATGCAAGGCTTTGTCCCTGTCATATTGTTAATTATTTTCTGATGGTGTTATATATTTTGTTTCTTTCCTTTTCTCTCATTGTTAGTCATTATGGCATGGTGGATTTCTGTATTGGTACCATTTGAGTCCTTTTTTCTTTGTGTGATTGCTTTGCTGGTGAGTTTTATACTTTCATGTGTTTTCATGATGGTAAATGTCTTTTTGCTTCCAGGTTTAGGACTCCCTTGATTATTTCTTGTAGGGCTGGGCTAGTGGTAATGAATTCCTTGAGCATTTGCTTCTCTAGAGAAGACTTTATTTCTTCTTCATTTGTGAACAGTAATTTTGTTGGATACAGTATTCTTGGCTGCCAGGGTTTTTTTTTTGTTTTGTTTTGGTTTGTTTTTGTTGTTGTTGTTGTTTTTCCTGTCAGCACTTTGAATATATCATCCTATTCTCTTCTGGTCTATAAAGTTTCTGCCGATAAATCTTCTGTTAGTCTTATGGGGGTCCCTTTATAGGTGACCAGATGCTTTTGTCTTGCTGTTTAGCTTAGACTTTATTTATTTGTTTATTAGAAACAAGGTCTCAGTCTGTTGCCCAGGCTGGAGTGCAGTGGTGTGATCAAAGTTCACTGCACCCTTGAACTCCTGGGTTCAAGCGATTCCCCCCAACCCCAACCTCCTGAGTAGCTGGGACCACAGGTACGCATCACAATGCCCAGCTAATTTAAAAGTTTTGTAGTGATGGAATCTCAGTATATTGCCCAGGCTGATCTCAAACTCCTGGGCTCAAGCGCTCCTCCACCTTGGCTTCCTAAAGTGTTGGGATTACAGGAGTGAGCTACCATATCCTGCTGGATTCGACTTTAGACAGTCTGATTAAAATGTGTAGTGAAGAAGATCTTTTAGCATTGTATCTTTCTGGGAATTGGTGAACCTCCTGTATCTGAATATTTAAATCTCTTGCTAGACTTAGGAAGTTTTCACCTATTCTTTCATTAAATAGATTTTCTGATCTTTTCACTTTCTCTGTGGGTTTGGAGATACTGATGATTTGTATATTTGGTCACTGTATGTTGTCCCAAATGTCATGAATGCTTTACTCATTCTTTTTAATTCTTTATTTTTGTCTGACTGCATTATTTCAAAAAATCTATCTTCAAGTTCTGAGCTTTTTATCTTCTCCTTGTGTAGTTTATTGTTGAAGCTTTCTAATGTATTTTATATTTCCTCCAATAAGTTCTTTAGTTCCAGAGTTTCTACTTGTTGCTTCTTAAAGATATCTATCTCTTCGGTAAATTTCACATTCATATCCTTAATTGTTATTCTGATTTGTTTGCATTGTGTTTTGGAATTAATCTGTTTTTCACTGAGCTTCTTTAAAATCAATATTTTAAATGTATTATCTGGAATTTTGAAGATTTTTAAAAATTAAAATATATTGTTGTAGAATTGTTGTATTCCTTTGGAGATGTCATATTTCCTTGCTTTTTCATGTTTCCTGTGTCCTCATGTTGATATCTGTGCATCTGGTGTAACAGTCTCTTCCTCCTATTTTTGAATTTACTTTTTATAGGGGAAGACTTTTTCTTAAAGGTGTATCTGTGGTTTCATGATTGAGCAGGGCTCTTTGGCTTTGATTACGGTTGCATGCAGTATTATAGTCACTGCATGGTTTCCTTGGCTGTAAATAGCTTTTCTGGTATCTGTTATTTCCTTGGAGGGTTAGGGTGAAGTTATTAGTGGAAGCTGTGGTGAAGTTGTGGTGTGGACTGGGAAGCCAGGTAGGCCAGTGTTCAGGCCCTAGTGGTGGCAGCAGTGGGCTGTGCATGCTTTGTTCCCCAGGGCAATTGATACAGTTTGGATATTTGTCTCCCCAAGTCTCATGTTGATATGTAATCCCCAGTGTTGGAGGTGAAGCCTGGTGGGAGGTCACGGGGGCAGATTTCTTATGAAAGTTTAACACCATCCCCTTGGTGCTGTCCTTGCAATAATGAGTAACTACTCAGGAGACCTGCTTGTTTAAAAGTGTGTGGCACCTTCCCCCTTCTCTCTTGCTCCCACTCTGGCCATGTAATATGCCCACTCCGCCTTTGCCTTCCACTATGAGAAAAAGCTCCCTGAGGGTTATCCAAAAGCTGTGCAGATGCTGATGCCATGCTTCCTGACAACCTGCAGATCCAAAAGCCAATTAACTTCTTTTATTTATAATACCCAGCCTCAGGTATTTCTTTATAGCAATGCAAGAACAGCCTCATACATGCTGGCACCTGTGTCAGTGGTTACCAGTGGACCAATTCTTGGGCTTTCACATGGCTTACTCCAATGCCAGTAGTGGCAGCGGGGGCTGGGTAGGTGAGCAGGTTCTTATGTCACTGGTCAGCTGGAGTGGTATGGGCAATGGCAATAGTGGTGGTTTGATTACCTTCTGGGTCCCTATCTGCGTGGGCTGGTGATGGTGGTGGCTGCGATACTGGTTGTGGCTGCAATACAGGGTCACCCCCAACAGCCCCAGACATGTTGCTACCAGGCTTTTCTGCCGTCTATAGCAGCAATGCTGCCATGCTATACAGAGTGGTGTATGGGCCCTGCCTTTGCATGTGAGCCTTAGCATGGAGGCCATGCTGCCAGTGGGATTTCAGTCACCACTCTCTGCCCCGGATAGGTAGCCCTCCAGCTTGCCTGGCCCAGCCTCCGGTGATAGCAGGAGCAAGTGTACAGAGCAGGGGGAAGGGTACCATGCTCTGTGTGAGAGCTTGATCACAGAGGCTGCTCCACCAGTAGGAGAAGAGTTCACTCTTCCTTTGCAAAGCCAAGCACAGGGTTTGTGAATTGCTGGGCTTGGAGTCATTTCTCACAGCCCCAGACAGGGAGCTCTCAGACACTGTAGAGTGTGCTTCAGTTTCCTTTGTCCCAGGTACTGCCTTTCAGCGCACTGCACCATTTTTTTCCTGGGGAGTAGTATACCCTGTGGGTTAAAGCACTTTGGACCCAGCCAGTGCTGTGCCACCACAGCCATTCAGGTCTTGGGGGATGGTGAATGACCCAGGATGAGTTTCCTGTCTGGTGCAGTGCCTGCCCTTGCAGGGTTTCCAGATCTCCACCTGCGCTAGTGTCAGGGTTCATGTAAGTAGAGGAGCTCTCTTGTGGTTCATATCGCAACAGTCCATTGCAGAGACGTGGACTGCTGAAGCTCTTTTACTTACCGTTTTCCTGTAATAGGGAGTCCCTCGGGGCTCTTGGTTGATCTTGGTTAAGCTGGCTGCTTCCTTTCTTCTCTTTCTATGCCTCTGGTGTTTGCTGTGAATTCACCCTTGGACTCTAGTGTTCTCTTCTATTTGAGGTATTTTTATTCCTAATTTTGGCTCTTCTTTCTGGAGAGGGTGGCTGTCTGGTATCTGTCGTCAGCCATTTTCAACCAGGTAACTGAGTTTTGACCAAGTTGGTGAAAATTTAATATAAGTTGTTATAGTGTTAGGACTGCTGAGATCAAATGCAGTGTTGTGTCACTTAATGTTAAGCAATTGCGTCATTGTTCTAACATCATAGAGTGTACTTACACAAACCTGAATCTAGGCTATATTGCCATAGTCTATTGCTCCTAGGCTATAAACCTATACAACATGTTACTATACTGAATACTGTAGGCAGTTGTAACACAATGGTAAGTATTTGTGTTTCTAAACATATCTAAACCTAGAAAAGGTACAATATTAAATACAATATAAAAGATAAAAAATGGCACACCTGTATAGGGCCACTTACCATAAATGGAGCTTGTGAGTCTGGAAATTGCTCTGGATGAGTCGGTGAGTGAATGTGAAGGCCCAGGACATTACTGTACACTGCTGTAGACTTGATAAACACTGTATTCTTAGGGTACACTAAACTTATAAAAAATATTTTTCTTCAATAATAAATCAACTTCAGCTTACTGTAACATTTTTACTTTACAAACTTAAATTTCTAAAAAACTTTCTGACTCTTGTAATAATACTCGAAACAGCAACACATTATACAGCTGTACAAAAATATTTTTTCCTGATATTCTTATTTTATAAGCTTTTTTTCTATTAATTAAAAATTTTTTTTTTTTTACCTTTTAACTCTTTTCTAAAAAAGGAAGACATGGGGGCTGGGCGCAGTGGCTCATGCCTGTAATTCCAGCACTTTGGGAGGCCAAGGCGAGCACATCACTTGAGCCCGGAAGTTCAAGACCAGCCTGGGTAATATGGCAAGACTCCTTCTCTGCAAAAAATAGAAAAATCAGTTGGGCATGGTGGTGTGCACCTGTAGTCCCATCTACTTAGGAGGCTGAGGTGGGAGAGTCGATTGAGCCTGGAAGATTGAGGGTGCAGTGAGTCGTGATGGCACCACTGCACTACAGCCTAGGCGACAGAAAAACCCTATATTAAAAAACAAACAAACAAAAAAAACAACGAAGACATGATCACACACATTAGCCTGGGCCTTTCCTAAGCCTTCACATTCACTCATTTGATATTACTGTGCTGTGTGGTTTGGATATATGAGCCCTCCAGACCTCATGTTGAAATTTGATCCCCAGTGTTGGAGGAGAGGCCTCATGGGAAGTATTTGGGCCATGGAGGTAGATCCCTCGTGAATAGATTAATGCTATTCCTTGGAGGTGAGGAGTGAGTGAATTCTCAGTCTTAATTCCCACAATATCTGGTTGTTAAAATGAGTCTGGCCCCTTCCCCTTCTTTCTCTTGCTTCCTCTTTTGCCCTGTGATCTCTGCACGTGCTGGCTCCCCTTCACTTTCTGCCGTGAGAGGAAGCAGCCTGAGGCCCTCAGAAAATGCATTGGTGCTAGTGCCATGCTTCTTGTGTAGCTTGCAGAACTGCGAGCCAAATAAACCTCTATTCTTTATAAATTATCCAGCCTTGGGTATTCCTTTATAGCAACACTAAATGGTAGTCCATTTAGACACACTGTCTTTCACTTCTACATCTTGTCTCACTGGAAAGGTCTTCAGGGGCAATTAACAGGCATGGAGCCATAATGTCTTAAGATAACAATGCTTTCTTCTGGAATACCTCCTGAAGGACCTGCCTGGGGTTTTTTTATAGCTTACTTTTCTTTATCAATAGAAGGATTATACTCTATTTACTCTAAAAATATAGTAAATCCATAAACTAGTAGCGGAGTTGTTTTATTTTCATTAGCAAGTATTATGTGCTGTACATAATTGTTGTGTGCTACACTTTTATTTGACTAGCAGTGCAGTAGGTTTGTTTATACCAGCATCACCACAAACATGAATAATGCATTGTGCTGTGACATTACTAGGTGACTGGAATTTTTCAGTTCCGTGATGATCTCATGGGACCAGTGTTGTATATGCAGCCTGTCATTGACTGAAATGTCATTATGCAGTGCATGGCGGTAGTATGTCTAGCTGTTAAACGTCTCTTGTGCTCCTAGACTTCAGTTTTATTATTAGAAAGGACCTTACTAATAATTTAATTTAACTCTATTAACATTTTATAGATGGAAAAATCGAGGTTCAAAGAGGATAAGTGACTTGCCCAGGGTTCTCTAGGTTGTTAGCAACTCTAGGACTAGAATCAGTTTTCCAGCTAAATCTAATGTTCTTCCCACACTATGTCACACCTTCCTCCCTTCAGTCTCGTTCCTTGGTGGCCTCCTGTCTTCTTCATAGCAGTCATAGTTATCAGAAGGGATTCTCATAACTCCATTTGTATCCATTTTATTTACCCCGGCAACTGCTTCCCTATCTCCTATGTTGCTAGCTGATAGGCACTGGCATGTAGTAAAAACAGGGAATCGCCATATTTCCTAGTCCTCAGAGGCTATTTTATAATCTTAACATTTCTGTTAAGATTAGAGGCTTAACATTTCTGTTTTAGATTCACACGAGAAGAATCATTGAGAAGCCACTATTCTTGAATCTGGAGAACTCAGGAGAGATCAGATCAGTCCTATTAGGTTAGGTCCATCCTGGAATGTTTGTTAACTGGCTCTAAGGGGCATTTGTTCTGTGGATGGATTGGGATGGAACCAGTTTTTGGGGTCTTTCCTGATTGAGATCCACCTGACTAGTGCTGTTTCATCAAATAAGCCTCCAGAGAAAGAAAAGTAAAGTGATACCTTGACATATCTTTAACATGTTTTAGTTTAATGGGATAAGATCTGTTTTTAGATATAAGGATTTGTGAATTGAACAGAATTATAGTTGAAAGCAAAGGGATGAGAGGATTTTTATATAGCAACAATGATAGTATGAAATCCATGCTATTGCAAGGACAACTGTGTTATGCTTATGTTTGTGCCTGTCTCTTCTACTAGACTGAAGAGGGCAGACACCATGTCTTATTTAATTTTATATCTCCAATGTATATCTCCTTGTAGACAATAAAGTATGGTTGGTTGAATCAAGAATCTTTTCTTCTTTAAAATTCAAGACTGATGTTAAATATTTTGAGCCTTCTTGCGGTTATTCATCTTTCTGAAGCTGTCCTCCAGGTTATCTCCAGATTATTTACCTCTCTGTGAAGTGTAAGCTAACTGCCTCTACATTTTGTTATCAGTCAGGTAGCAGGCATATACTATGTTTAAAATGTTGTATTGTAATATTAGGTGCCATTGTGGCGAGTGTGATTATGATCAATTTAGTGGGGATGAGATAAGAGAGAAATACTCAGAACAACTTAAAGAGGAAGTTCTTACATTAAAAGTTTAGAATTTAGAAAAACATACTAATACTTGCAAATAGTTACAGAAGTATTTAACAAGCAGAAATGGAACTCCTCATTACCAGTTTAATCTCTAACAGCATTCTAGGCACTATAAAGAAACAGTCCTCATCCCATCTCGGTTGACTTTTATTATTTACACTTTTATCTCATAGTCAGCTTTCTGGATATTTAAAGAGAGAATAACACTAGATTTAGGCCGGGAGCAGTGACTTACGCCTGTAATCCCAGCACTTTGGGAGGCCAAGGTGGGCAAATCACTGGGGCCCAGGAGTTTGAGACCAGCCTGGCCAACATGGTGAAACCCTGTCTCTACCAAAAAATACGAAAATTAGCCGGGCATGGTGGCGTGTACCTGTAGTCCCAGCTACTCGGGAGGCTGAGATGGAAGATTCACTTGAACCTGGAAGGTGGAGGTTGCAGTGAGCTGAGATTGTGCCACTGCACTCCAGCCTGGGTGACAGAGTGAGACCTGTCTCAAAAAAAAAAAACAAAAAAAACCCACAACAACAACAAAAAACCCCACTAGATTTAATCTATACAGCTGATTCCAGGCCAACAGAAGGACTTTTAGTTCTGGAAATGGAAAGTTTCTGTTAAAGATCAACTGGAAATTTCTTAAAATTTCTTCCCAGCAACAACCTGGGGGGAACCAGTGGAATTTGGAATTAGATTTGACAGTTCCTTAGTACATATTCTTTAAATAAAGAAGAAAGGGAATTAGTTCATATAATTCTCCTACCACCTTTATTTTTTTGTTGTTGTGCTTTATCTGTCTATCTATCTAAACGAGGCTCTTTCTACCATCCAGGGAAACTTCTTTCAATTTATTCTTTTATATATATATATATAAAACAAAATGTAGAGGCACTTAGCTTACACTTCAAAGAGAGTTAAATAATCTGGAGATAACCTGGAGGACAGCTTCAGAAAGATAAATATATAAATATAAATATAAATATATATATTTATATAAATATATTTATATAAATATATATATTTATATAAAATATATTTATATAAATATATATAAATATATTTATATGAATATATATAAATTATAATTTATATAATTTTTATATGTAATATATATAAATTATATTATATATATTTATATATTATGTAAATATAATATATATATTTTTGGATATATATATCCTATATATATAAAATATATATATAATATATATATAAATAATATATATATATTTTTTTGGAGATGGTCTCTGTCATCCAGGCTGGAGTGCAGTGATGCAATAATAGCTTACTGCATCCTTGAACTCCTGGGTTCAAGCAGTCTTCTGCTTGGAATATCTAGGAATTCTCTGGAATATCTAGGACTATAGGCATGCACCACCATGCCCAGCTAATTTTTAAATTTTTTTTGTAGTGATGGGGTCTGGCTGTGCTGCCCAGGCTGATCTCCAACTCTTAGGCCCAAGTGATCCTCCTGCGTTGGCCTCCCAAAGTGCTGGGATTACAGGTGTGAGCCCCTGTGTCTGGCTGAGCCTGGTACTTTTAGAAAGAGATTACAGGCTGGGCGCGGTGGCTCATGCCTGTAATCCCAGCACTTTGGGAGGCCGAGGCAGCAGATCACCTAAGGTCAGGAGTCCGAGACCAGCCTGGCCAACATGGTGAAACCCCGTCTCTACTAAAAAATAAAAAGTATCTGGGCGTGGTGGCAGTCACCTTGATCCCAGCTACTTGGGAGGCAGCAGCAGGAGAATCGTTTGAACCCGGGAGGCAGAGGCTGCAGTGAGCCGACATCGAGCCATTGCACTCAAGCCTGGGGGACAAGAGCAAGACTTTTCTCAAAAAAAAAAAGAAAAAAAAAAGGAAAAGAAAAAGAGAATGTAACTTTAAAAATCAAGGTCTGCATTTCTTTCTTCAACAAAATATCTTGTACTTGAAATTATTTATATAGTCCTTATAAGATTATCTACTTGTTTCTGATTATACACTTTAATCTCATCTTCTGTATTATGCTGACAGCATCTTCACCACAAGGGACTTGCCTTATTTTCCAGTTCATACAAAGAAGGCACTAGGGATAAGGCTTTAAAGATACTCAAAGTCCTTTGCCTCTTGAAACTTATAGAGGAATAGAGAGAGTTAACATAAAAATAATTTCAGTGATAATTGCTATGAAGGAAAAAAAAAAGGAAGAGTAACAGTTTGGGAGATAGAAAGTATTGAGAGTGCTCTTTTGGATAGTGGATGGGATGCCCTTTCTGGGGAAGTGATATTTAAGCAGAAATTTGAATGAAAAGGTTTAGAGAAGAGTGTTTCACTGAAAGGAGTTGCTCTGTAAGGGCTCTGAGGCATTGAACTAGCTTGGTGTGTTCATGGAACATTTATCTTTGTATCACCAGACTTAGCAGTTGTTTCACTCAGAGTTTGTTCAATTGAATAACCTGTACCTGACTCCCCGTATGTCTAATACCATGCCTTTGTTTATTAGTTTGTTGTTTCCAAAGTAAAGTGAACTGGGCTTTATATAAATTAGCCCATGACACAGGTCTCATAAGTATGATGCCCTATTAACTTGTGCAAATCACATTTTTATGAAAGTTGTAATCCTTATTTAATGTCTCATGTTGTTTAGTCATGCCATTTTGGATACATACACGTGTGTGGGTGGGTGGGTGTGTGTGTGTGCGCGCACACACGCAGTGGGTCTGCTACCACAGTGTTGGTTCCAACTTGATCAGCTCTCGTCTATAATGAATGCTAGACATACAGCAAATTAAAACTAAATTAAAAACTATTGCTAGTGACTAATGACCAAATACTGTTCAGTCTGCTCCCAGGGCATCATTATAGCTGTGCTTGAATAATTGAAGAATAAACTCACTGATTGCCTAATACATCTGTAGATTTGCCCAGAGACCTTAAGTTGAAGTGACTCTGAAGTGGCGCTTGTAGTTAGCCCCAGGCACTGCATGTTGGCACGCCTCATTGATTTGCTAAACTGTATTGTTCTAGGTAGGAATTAATGTCAAAATTAAATAATTGAACTTGTGTGTATGTGTTTGTATAACAGTTCCATACCAGAAAACCAAATTTTATACTCTACTTGGCTGAGTTAAGTTTTAGTAATTTGTTTGAGGCATTCTTAGAATAAGCACAAAACCTATTAAGAAATTTCTCTTAGAGAGGTAGGCTTGCTTGGTAAATCTCAGTGAGTTTCATATAGACTTCATTATTGTTTTTAAAATCAACCATGCAGGCTTGGCCCTTACTGCTCACTGAACTGGATACCTACTGTTTTTCCACTAGATCTGTATCTAATTTATGGTAAAAGGACCACAAAAAATTATTTCTATTTTGGCACCTAACACTATTATAGTTAAGGGTCTTTTGGCATTTCCATTAAAACGTTTTCTTAGAGAAGTTTATAACTTGGCAGTTTTACTTGGCTTTGGGCTGAAACATTGCTGTTTTTGTCCAAAAGCAAATTCTTCCATCAAATTTCATATAACTGAAATTGCCTTGGTTTATAATGTGTGGAGGGGGAAGGGCTATCAGAATAGGTCTTTTTTTGATACTCTCACAAGTGCTTCGATTATACAGTAGTCTTGTATGTGATATTTATTCTTATGTTTTATTCTTACCTCAGTAAGAATTTATTTTTGTTACACACAATGAATAAGTTCTGGAGAGCTGTTGTATAACATAGTGCCTGTAGTTAACAATATCGTGTTGAGTATTAAAAATTTGTTAAGAAGGTAGATACCAGGATAGGTGTTCTTACCACAAAGCAACCACCACCACCACATTTGGGGCATGAGGAAACTTTTGGAGGTGATGGAAATGTTTATTACCTTGAATGTGGTGGTGGTTTTATGGGTATTTGCATATGTCCAAACTCACCAAATTGTATACTTTAAATATGTGCAGTATATCAATTATACCTCAATAAGGCTGTTTAAGAAAATTTTTAAAAATGATTTGAAATATTTTGGTAAAATAATTCATCTCCATGGGTTCCTGTCTTTAAAGAGTTATAGTACTATTATGTATTTTAAAGTTACTTTTGGCCAGGCGTGATGGCTCATGTCTGTAATCCCAGCACTTTGGGAGGCTGAGGTGGGCAGATCACCTGAGATCAAGAGTTTGAGACCAGCCTGGCCAACATGGTGAAACCCCATTTCTACTAAAAAAATATAAAAATTAGCCGGGTGTGGTGGTGCTTGCCTCTAATCCCAGCTACTCAGGAGGCTGAGGCAGGAGAATCGCTTGAACTTGGGAGGCTGAGGTCGCAGTGAGCCAAGATTGCACAGTCTACTCCAGCCTGGGCGACAGAGCAAGACTCTGTCTCAAAAAATAAATAAATAAATAAATTTTTAAAAACTTACTTTTTAATTAGCAACTGCTGTTATTTATTATAAAATTTAAAGTACTTAGTGCGTTGACTATTATATGAAAGGCTTGAATTACATTATCTTAAAAAAATTAAATAAAATAAGACTTTCCTTGGTCTGACTTGCTATTATTTAAAACTTTAGTAACTCTTATAATTAAAGTATACCTTACTTTGAGGGACAAATCCATTTCCTTAGAAATGAGTTAAGATTCATCAGTACTAGTACACAGAACTGGGTCAATTATGTTAGCCATTTACATTTTCCCATAATTTTACTTATCACTCTGTATCCATAAAGTATCCTTTCTGTCTCTGGAGAATATCTTTAGCCTGGGATTTTCTACAGTTTGCACAAGTAGTTCAGAAATGTTTGGTAAATAAATTCCAAGGGTTTCTTTGAAATTAGTCCTGAAGAAGAGGTGCCCATAAAAATCTCTTTTTACATTCTTTGGCATGCCTAAGACTGCCTTGCAACAGTTGTCATAGACAGTAATTCATATATAAGGTGTTAAGTTCTTAACACATTCAAAGAAGACTGGTGACTCACTGCCCAAGATAACATGGTTGAGGCAGCTCCAGCAGTTTGTCGCCTAAGAAAATTACAGAAGAATGTGTTAGAGAAGGCAAGGTGATCACTTTTACAGTATTTTTTATTATTGCTCTCATTATTTATTGTTAGTAATAATTACTATTATTGCCAACAACAAGCTACTTTATTTCTAAAAATTTACTTTTGCAGTTTGCAATTCCTTTATCTCCAGACCTGAAGGCCAAATTTTAATTGCACTGTAATTTCCAATCAAGTAACCATGACACCAGCTGTTCTTGCCAGGCTCTATTCTGTGGTAGAGGGGGAACCTGTGTTCTCTTTACATGGTTATGCTGGAAAGTATATGGATAAGGCAGGGGTCCTGCCTGAAGTAATCCCAGGGTATTTTTAATGTCCTTTAATTGCCATTCAGGATGTAAGTCAGACACAATTGGGTCTGGTCACAGTTTAGGACTACTGAGCCCTGTTTATATAAAGGTGAATTTAGCAAATAAATCTGAAGCTATTACTTATGTACAATTTATTTTTCTTTAACATCTATTGATTTCTAAGCAATGTGAAACTAGTTCCAGTATACTCTATGTATTATATGTCTTCATTTTGTTTTGTTTGTGATCCCTGGATAGCATTGGCAGTGAGGTGGGAGGAGGAGATGTAATTGAGAATTTGACAAGGGCCTTGCTACCATAATCAAACTGAAACCTTATCAGACTTATTTGAAGTTTTCAAGAAGTCCGATTTTCTTGAGGTTTGATAATGTTAACAGATGAAAAGTATATGACGTTAAGTTTTAAGTCTGTCTTTCTATGTATTTGCCATAAAATTCTGTTTTGCATTGCTTGGGTGATGTAGTTGTGAACATTTTAAATTTACATGCAAATTTCATAGTAGTCATCTTTCCTTCAGGTCCAAGGAAAGTATGGCAGCAGATATGCCTTCTGTCTTTTGCCTTGGAGGGATTTTGACCTGACCTGAAGGTAGAAGATTGTTGTTTTTTTGCATTTAGCTTAGGTTACCTACAGGGATAGGAAAGATGTGGATTTCTTTTAAAAGAGTACTAAGAATTTTAACATTAGTATCTGACATCTTTTTGCTTTGAGTTATTATTGACTGTTAGTTTTGGTTATCATAATTGTTTATCTACTACAGCCTCTAGGAGGACATTGTACCTAGGGAGATTTTAAAAAATCAAACTTAGTATGAGGCCAGAATACGAATAATTTTATCATTAATTACATTTCATTTCCCCTAATGCTTCTTATGTGTGAGAGTAGTACTTGTTCTTAAGTGACCAACATATTTAATGTACTATGTCCATATATTAAAAGAATAGAAACTAGTCTTGGCAGACACTGAAATAGTTAATTGGCTTTTACAGCCAAGATAGTTTTATAAAACTTTGTGAAAATTAAGAAACGGGAAGAAAAGTATTTTTCTATGCACTAATGGCATATTTTATTAACCCTTTACCTTAGGCTATAACATTTTTTTTTTTTGCAGCATTCTTTCATTAGATAAGCAGCTGGAGGAAGGAGGCTAGTTAGTTTACTGTAATTGTTAAATATCTACAAACATTCAGATAGTTAAAATAATTATTTCCATATAAAATCCTGGGTAGAGGTGAGGTTTTTCTAAAAATAAATGATAATTTTGAGAAAGGAATAAGAGCAGCGACATAATTCTGACTTTGAGACCTGTAATCTTTGATAGCAAACTTTTTTTGTTTTTTTTTGAGACAAAGTCTTGGTCTGCTGCCCAGGCTGGAGTTCAGTGGCGTGATCTCAGCTCACGGCAACCTCCGTCTCTTGGGTTCAGATGATTCTCCTGCCTCTTCCTCCCATGTAGCTGGGATTATAGGCATGAGCTACCATGCCCGGCTAATTTTTTATATTTTTACTAGAGACATGGTTTCACCGTGTTGGCCAGGCTGGCCTCGAACTCCTGACCTCAGGTGATCTGCCCACCTCGGTCTCTCAAAAGTGTCGGGATTATAGGTGTGAGCCATGGCGCCCAGCCGCAGACTTTTAAATACAGCATTTAGAAAGGTTTGATGACATCTTATGGTCTTTAATTGGACTGAACTTTTACATTCTTATTAGTACACATATAAAATCAACAGCTTTTCATGATTCGGCATTTACATCTTAAATCCTGCACTTTGCTCTGTTAGGAAATAGAGCAACACTGGATATTTCAAGCTAATAGGAAAAGTCTACATTTGATACAGAAAAGTTACCTTACGCAATATTGAGGAGCTAGTGAACAAGGGTTAGGGGGTGGGGGTGCCAGAGACCAGAGCATGCAAGAATGAGAGAGAGATTACATTGTCCTCTTCCATTTTAGTTGGTAGTTTCTACTGAAAACTGTAAAGTTTAACTTTTTGGAATTGTAACTATCCAAAGTGGGAATGTAAACTATATTGAACAAAATTTATTTAGCCTGTTAAAAAGTCAACCTAAAACTATGGTTAATTAGTTTATATTATTACATCACTTTTAGTAGAGACTCAACAATCAGTGCAGAGTAAGAGGAGCTATTATCAGGTGAGCTGACTGCTACCCATATGGGGCTTTAAGATAATGATGAGTTTAAATTTCCTCTTAGAGCTAAGTGAGAATAAAACTGGAGGCAATAAATACTCTTGGCCAAAGCCATTAAATGAAAAAGCTGGGAATTCTCCAGCTCTTGACTTAAATTGTTTGTTTATCAGCTGGCGCCTAGTCTGGAGTCAAGAGCTGGAGATTTCTATCTGTGACAGAACTTTGAAACTCTTGCAGGACACTTTCATTTCAACTTAAGGTAACTTGAGTTTATAGCTTTGGCTTTAAAGATTACTAATGATTTACTCATTTCCTTACCATTTAACCAGAGTGGACTTTTTCCCAGGAAGGGATCTGTGTTTATTTAGGGCCTTTGTCTGCGGAGGGATTAAAAGGCAGCCCACCAGCATTGTGAACTTGATGGTCATAAAAGGTCACCAAAACACACCATAAAAACATTCTTACCATGGAATTAATTATACAGTGTAATTTTACAAAGCAACTTGGTTACTCCATCTTACCCCCTCCCCCATATTTAAACATTTCAACTTTTAAAAAGTAAATCTTTGGTATAATTTTGGTTTATGAAAAAAATGTTTTATGATGTTTAAATGCTGAGGAAATTGTCATGTGCATATGTACAGTTTAATTGCTTAAAAATCTTAAAATTTTTGAAATGAAAATGATCATTTATTGTTAAACTGTGGGATGAATAACTTGTTTGGGAGGAGGTTAGAGTAGTCAGAAGAGTTGGTTAGTATTTCATAGAACAGCTCAGTTTCCAAAAACCTAAGTCCAGCTAAGAATTTATCTGTGCCACCAGGTGGCATTGCATCCAAACCTGCTAATGATAAAAGGATTATAAAATATATTATTTTTTGTTAAAGATATAACGATTTTACTTTTGAAGTTGACTGAAAACTACATCTGATATCAAGGTTAAGTATCTGCAAAGAATTGAAAAGATTTCTAAACTCTAAATATTTGTTTTTAGGTTGTTGATATTAAAACGAAAGTAAATGAAAATGAAATATTTGGAGGGGATTGCTATTTTTCATTTAGTAAAATAAGCATTTAACATTTGGCTTTTTTTTTTTTTTTTTTTTTTTTTTTTGCTTGTCTAAACACTGGAGAGGGGAATCCAGCGTATAAAAATTCTCACAAATATTTCAAATCCCCGCCCCCCACCATGTGGCAAGATTCCACCCCCCTCCCTGGGTCTTGTAAAAAAAAAAAAAAAAAAAGTGTCAGCAGGTTTTACTGTATGGGAATTTTTAAAAAGAGGGAGAAACCTCTGAAAGGTGCAAGTTGGTCCTTTTCACAAGCCTAACTATGAGATTCATTAGGCAGTTCATGTTCATGTCTTAAAAGCTGTTTTTGGGAAAGTAAATTCTTGAGTTTCCTGTACTGTTTTTCAGGGAGTCTTTATAGTCTTTTGAATCAGCTCATTTTAAAACAGTGATAATGTAAAAAGCACAATAAAAAAAGGCTCATTATAAATTTTATAAAAGTGTGATTTTTTTCATTAAAATACGTATTCATGTTCTATTTTTATGAACCCATAAATATAAGTTAATAAACTGTAGCAGAAACAATTAAATTACTTAATACAGCTATCCAGGTGATAGGATATGTTGTCAGAATAAATAAAGCTCAGTGTATATTCTATTGATTTTTATTCTTTTAAAAAATGTATTCACCATGCAGAGTGATGTTTAATGCTTAGCTTTGATCATTTAGCAAAAAGCTTAGTGCTACTCATTTTATACTCTTGCCTCTTCTGAGGCTTCTTAATGTGCACAACCTGTTTTAAGAAATGTATATGTTTTCAAAGTAAATGTTTGACCTCCCACCTTGATGTTCCCACTTAAAAGCAAAACCCTCCCCTCCCTTATATTTTGAATAACTTGATGAGAATGTGTGTTGTACTAAAACTAAATATATGCACCCTTCAGTATTACCAAAAGAGACCTTTTGGTTTTAAAAATTAGGAAATTTCACTTTTGAAAGTAGTCTAGACAAAGGTACTCATGACATTTGACCCTGAAATTTTTACTTTTAAACTTGATGCAACAGTCTGCTTCTTAGCTTTGTTGTATGCTAATATTTCTACTTATTTAACATCAAAAAGCTGTAGAGGTTTCTCTTTATAGATTATGCCTGTGTTCTGGAATTGCCTCCTGCTGTCCATGAATTGCTTCTTGGCTTGTTGTGTTAGAATTTCTCACCAGGGTCTTTTGTGAGCTATGTAGCCAACATTAAAAAAAAAAAAATCAAATTTGATAGAGTAAACTGGACTAGTAAAAATTATACTTACTATTCATAATTATAATTGAGGTTTCTTGGCTCAGCATATCAATTTTATGCAGTAAGAGTAAGCACATACAAATCTCATGTAATGATATGCATACATATAGTTGCCTACAATGACTGTTTTTCTAGTTATTTCTATAATATTAAAATGATTTTTTTGCTGAAATTCCAGAAATCTAAAAACATTGAAAAATAATGATAATGAGAAAAACAATTCTTACTTGTTAGGGTATATGTTATTTAGTAATGAAGCATTTAGATTTTGGATTCTCTCATTTCAGTTGGAAATAGTATTGGTGTAAGTGAGTGTTGCCATGGGAACCTCCACATAGATATAAAAGGCAATACTGTCTAAGTGGAGGAGGAGGGGCGATGTACTGAAATACCACTGGCCTAAATGATCTATTTTATGTATGTGTGTTGGTGTGGGGGTGAGAGCTAGGATGAAAAGGGGAGAGAAAGTACTACAGAAAGTAAATGTTAGCAGTCAAAGCAATTTACTCACACTTTTGGATTCTTTTAGATAGAAGTGTTTTAAAGCTCGAAATGTGATTCTTAATTATTGGTATCATTTGCACACACTGGGGAGTCTTTGCATATCTTATTTTTAATGTACAGTGGAATATGTTTAACTTACTTGGTTTTAGATAAAATTTAATTTAGTGAAATTTGAGAGTTAGGATTTCAGTCTTTGAAATGGCTTTATACATGTTATTAAAGATGTTATATTTAATTCTTTTTAAATATCTGAAATTTAGAAAAACTGATTAGGACACAGTTAATGTGGCTTTCAAAGAAAAGCTGGCATTTTGGCTTTATAGTATTTTTAATACTAGATTTTTAGTAATTTTCTATAAATATATAGGCAAGGAAACAATGACTTACTGTATCTGCATGTGTAATATTTTATGGTTAAAAAAATAAAGAATGAAAACAACAAAACCTAACATAAAATCTTTTTATATCCCTTAGGAGCACATAAAGATTGTAGAGATAGAGATGATTAGAGAACAACCAATTTAACTGCATGCAAAGTAACATTTTTGTTTTTTGTATGTTTAGGTTACAAAAAAACAATGAAATTGTGCCCAACCTGAGTTAGCCTGGTAAAATGCAGCAGCATCATCATTGCAGTTTTAACACTATGGATTCTGGTTGTCAGATACAAATATAAAAAAAAGAAGAGATATTAACTGACAAAAACTGTTTAAACTTACCTTTTTAGTCAATCCAGAGAAAAAGCTGCCAAGGTAATAAAACATCCAGAAGTTTTTAAGTTAAAACGAGTAATTTAAATTAAAAGGGGTGAGGGGGCATGAGCAAGCAAGGGAGAAGAAAAAAGGGGTGAAAACGACAGGCACTTTGCTTCCTGGGCCTGGCTGTATCTGATGTAAATTAACCAGCAGTGGGGAGTGTATTGTTTCCAACTCCACATAAACAATGCTGGGTATCTCTTTGGGAATGGGTGGGTGCTGGGATGGATGGAGGTTGTTGAGAAGGGAACTGGCAAGCAGAGTTTATAATCTATTAGTGGATTTTTTTTGGCATGCGAAACATAGTAGGAAAGAGTAAATAATGAGAAAGTACGTTTGCATGTAAAATTGATCAAGTGAAACCTTAAAATGATGTGAAATAATTCATAATTGTTAGAGAATGCTTATTTGTCAGTAATCTTCAGGTTTAAAAAAATTTTTTTTAAAGACTGACGCCTTGTAATGTAAAACGTTCAGCAATGAAGATACCCAGTTTTAAGTGTACTTTTGGCATAGTATATCAGCTTAGCTCTAAACATGGCTTCTAAAAACTAAAAGACTAAGGAAACTTGTATTTCTTTGAAAAATAGGTAACAAGAGGGATGAAAAGTCAAGTTTATTTTTAAAAATAAGAGAATGAAAGTAAGAGCTACAACATCCATGTTGTTTTTCTGTTTCAGTTTTTGCCTGCTGCTTTTTCTTCCCTGCACTCTTTCTTGGAATAAAATCTGATAGTCTTAACGGAGTGGAAAGTGTGAAAATGCACACAGCCTTATCAATAAGTAGATTCAAAACATCTCTAATCACCTTAAAGTTTTATAGTGCAGAATTTTCTAGAAGTCAACTGATTAATTAAGTACCTTTTGTGTGTCAGTTTATCACACTGGGTTGTTTCTGTATTTTAAAACATTTCATCCTTATAGCATCCCCATGAAATGCAGATTATCCTCTTTTTTTTTTTTTCAGTGAGGAAGTTGAGTCTCAGGAAGGCACAATAGGACAATATGCAATTTTAAGAATTAGCCTGATTTAGCAAAAATAAGACATTTTAGGTAGAGGATTTTCAATATTATTGCAGGAGACTAATACATTCAAGTTTGGAGTTTCTTTGGGTTGCTAGAATAACTAAAAGGCTTTGGTTTGTTTCATTTAAAAACAAAATAGAGAAAAATACTTTTTCTTGTTCTATCGATATCACACCATTCAATGACCCCACTCCCACACAATACCCACAATCAAAATATAGAAAGAATTATTAGCTAACCAAAAAAAGTTCACATAGGTAATCTAAAGTAATTTTATTTTTGGTTTTAAGTGCTTTAATCTAGTTAACTAAAGGAACAAAAAGGGCAAACATGTATAAACAAGTGAAAACCAGAATTTTTAACCTTCTAACATAATATCCTTCATAGGTCTTTTAGCAATTGGATTATTAAAAAGCCAGAATACCTTATTTAGTTATTAATCATAATATGAGTACACAGGACAGCTTTACGTATTTTCCCCTTTACCTTAAATTTTTAAATTTTTATTTTCCAACATTACCCAGTTAAATGCACTTTTATAACTTTTTAAATACCCAAAATTGACCTTTACAAAATATCAATGAGAATTTCAGTATTCAACATTAATCACTGATAAGCTTTTTTTTAGCACGTTTATAGTATAGGTATTTAACGTTAATACATGATTAACAGTGTATCAAGCTTATTGCACAATCATAATAAAATACACTATTCAGTGCTAATTAGGCATTGCAATTATCATTTGGTGTTGTACTGAAAGAATTATATTGGTAACTGATGCTTTTCATCTTGTTAGTATTTTTAATCCCTCTCAATATATATAATCTTTCAGTAGTTTCATCAAAAGAAATCTGTTCCAACAACTTTAAACAGAGGACCTTCAAGAGTGTGAGGTGTGTGTAATAGTTTTATCTTGAAGAGAACTCAGTGAAAGATACTTTCTAGATTATGTTAAAAAGATCCAATCAACCGGCCCATACTCATCATGATTTAACTTTTACAGTTTTATACATAGGTTTCATTGAAGGCTGTAAGAAAATCTGATGTTTATAACATTTTCCTTTGCCAGTGTTTGTCTGAATTTTGCAAAGATCAAGTATCCAAAGTACGAAATGCTAGTGTATTTTTGGAAAACAAACCAAAACCCACTTACCCAATAGATTTTACATATTCTAAGAACGAGAATTCAGTAGTCTGGTAAGTCTGGCTTCATAACTCATAGATTTCTTGCACCAAATAAGATTGTCAGCAGTTTGGAAAGAAGAGTAAAGAAGAGGCTCTTCTTCTTACATTGGTGTGTTCAAAAGTAAAATATAAACCAGTATTTTTGTTACTATAGCTTAGAGCACTAAAGAAGAGCCATCTACCAGTTTCCAGATTGTTTTAGAAGTAGTGTCTGAAGACCTTTTCATTTCAACTTGTTCTTATTCTAAAGATTCCTGGCTCGTTATATACTAAATTGTTTCTAGAAATGCTTACTAGATAGGTTGCTGTGAAAGGAAAGGTTTCGAAAAGGATGAGTAGAGAAAATTACTTTTGAAAATATATTCTGACCCTCACCCTTACTGGGATAAAGTTCCAAGGGAATAAGGATTATTGCTAGCCAGAAAATTGCCCAACTAGATAGTGATGAAAACTGGAGTTTAGCCAACTCTTATTTTTGTGTGATTTTACTCTTTTCCTGTGGTTGGTTGGATTGGCAAAGACCTTTAGTGGGTTGTTTGATTATGGCAGGACCAAGGTCAAGTTTAGCTTTGCCTGACTTCAATGATGTTATCTTTTCAAACCAAAATGCCTTATGATAATGAGATTCTTCATTTAAAAAAAAAAAAGAACAATTCTTGATCTTTATGCATGTTTTGAGTGATGTGTTTTTTGAAGATAGAGGCTGTAACTTTAAAAGGGTAGATTGTTATATTCTAGGAAGTATGCTAAGTGAACATATGACAGTGTTTTCATGAAGGAGAGATGATATGGGAAAACCATAGCAATAAAGGTGAAGAAAAATAAGAAATGTGAAAGAAGACCCATTCTGTTTTTGTTGTTTAAGGGAGAGAACTCCCTGACCCCGTCAAAACATTTTAGCATCTGAGAAATAAGAAGTTACTTATCTCTGTTACTTCTTCCATATCCCATAGTAACTTAAACTTTGATTTTTTTTTCCCATTGGCAACAAAAATGTGATATAGCATTCCTTTTACTTATGTCTGAATTTTGAATTTTTTGTGTGATTATAAGACAATATATACAATTATAAAGGACCAACAAACATTTACTTACAATTTTCCATGCAAACCTTTTTTGAAGAAAAAAAACTTCCCTTAAAAAAAAACTGAATGTTTTAAACAATTGGTATTTGGTTTTATTTGTATTATTTTACTTTCTGTTGTTCAGCTGTAATCAATTTTTTTTTTTTTTTTTTTTTTTTTGGAGACAGAGTCTCGCTGTCACCCAGGCTGGAGTGCAGTGGCGCCATCTGGGCTCACTGCAAGCTCCGCCTCCCGGGTTCACGCCATTCTCCTGCCTCAGCCTCCCCAGTAGCTGGGACTACAGGTGCCTGCCACCACGCCCAGCTAATTTTTTGTATTTTTAGTAGAGGTGGGGTTTCACCGTGTTAGCCAGGATCGTCTCGATCTCCTGACCTCGTGATCAGCCCGCCTCGGCCTCCCAAAGTGCTGGGATTACAGGCGTGAGCCACCGCACCCGGCCATCAATTTTTAAAACTAATTAAAAATTGAAATACAAAGGATTTAAAACAAAGTTTGGGAAGGGAAATTGATCTAATTGGCTCTGCTATTTTTCTGCATTTTCTATAGAAATTCCTTTAAAAAATGTTCTTTCATTTTAATCCTTCTTTAAGTTCAACCTAAGGAATGCATTTGATAAACTTTTTTATTTGGATCCAAAATAACAACTCTGACGGACTAATTGGTACATACATCATATGTGAACACATTTTTGATATGATGTTTGCTTTCTGAAGGGGTCCTTAATTATTCCCTTTCCGTAACGAACTAAAATTTTTGAATGGGAGCAATCACATATCATTGTAAGATGTTCTGCATTTGACATAGATGATTATGTTACTGTATGTCGAGTTTGAATTGTACTCACTTTATGCCTCTTGGTGGTCATACTTTTTCTTTTTTTTTTCAGTGCTCACTCAGTACATAAAGCTTGTATGGGAAAGAAGTCCTTGTTTCCTGTCTTTGTTGGTATTTGTAGGTTCCTAATCTTCTAAGAGTCTTGGGATGTAGATCTGTACCTCATGACTAGGGTTGGGTAGTTTTTATGGTGAGGAAGAGGGGAAAAGATAGTATTGAAGCAATTCCTGTCTAGGTCTGCAAAGTGCAGATTGCATTTCTCTTGCAGTGGTGTTAGGTATATGGCCCTTTTTTGGGAAAGTGTTTGGAGACCTTTATCTTTCTCTGTTTTGTTGTGGCAGATGGAGTTGTCCTCTGGTATTTTTGCTAGGTATGATAAATGTTGTACTAAAACTGCTTGGTGGAAGTTTATTCTGGAAAGATTACTGTTCGTTTCAGTTTCCTGAAGAAAATGGAATCATAGTATTCAAACCATTAAGCAAACAAGTCCACAAGCAGACCAGCAATAATAATGTGTACTTCTAATTGATGCTTGTGATTCTTATTCCTTCTTTAAAACAAAGGTTTAGGAATAAAAACCAGGATTGATTATTAGTTTTGTCTAAAATAAAACAAATGGTAGAAATAGTCAAACATTTTTCTTCATAACTTCTAGAGAGAAATATCTAGATAATGAAGGATTGCCCTTATTTTATAAAAGAAAATAAAAGCAAAGAAGTTATGTGGTTCTTTTATATTCCAGAAATAAAATGTTCAATTCTCCCATTCATGTAGCATAGCAATCTTTAGTTTTATTCTGATTAGTTTGACTAATAGTATTTTTAGATAATTGTGTACTTCTAATAGCTTTTATGCAGTCTGTAATTTATCTACACTTGTGTTGAAAGCTGTTAGCCACCACTTACCTACTGGATGGAAATAAATTTTTGATTGATTAAATTCTCCCAACAAATAAACTTGTTGCTAAAAACAAGTAGGAGATTCTAATCACATTGCTTGGCATTTAGAGACAGAGTTTCTTTCTTCTTTCTTGGGTGATTCCCACTGCAGATGTGCTTTGACACAACTGGGAGTAAATTTATAGCCTGAACTGAGTCTGTGGGGTGATTCGCAAACTTTTATTATCCTCCATCTCAGCTATTTGCCATTAATATTTTCTTATACTAATACAGGTAATCAAAATTTGATCTTGGATCTGAAACGCCCTCTTCAAATTCCTTTATATTTTATTTTCTATCTTATAGGTATTCTTTCCTTCAGTAGTTAGGAGCAAAATAAGATAGCAGCAGCATCTGCAGTCTTAAGCCCCTCTTTTTATTGGTGTTGGAGGAAAGTAGTGAACTATGATCAAAACAGTAAGTGGTCTTAGTGGTATCTGGAGTCCACTCATGTCTTTGACTATGATTATGGCATCTGAGATACAGGATGCAAAGGAGTCTGGTTTGGGGGATTCTGGTAGTGCCTCTTATAGTGGTGTAGCCTCTGTACCCAGCACATTATTCTAAGCCTGAAAATACAGGATTATTGACTCCGAGCATCATGATTGTTTTTTTTTTTTTACTGAGTCTATGGGAAGCTCGGAGCTACACTTTGGTACCCAATAATAATCATCGTTTTCCCCTGGCCTTCCCTCTTTCTGTGTGGTTTCTATTTTCACTTGTGTCTTTAGCTTAAAAAATATTTATTTAGTCCCTACTATCTGGTAGGCACTGAGAATACAATGGTATACATGAGAGACCTGCCTTCCTTCCTTTTAGTGCTTATAGTGCATATGTTTCTGTCATCTTACAGATTATCTCAAAATCCTTTTTGGAAGTAAATATATGAATTATAGGGCCATCAGGTTTTTGTGCTACGCTGTCTCTTTTTAAAATCTTTCTCTATGTACTTTTATTCCTGCCTTAATTTTTATTTTCTTTGCTTATTTTTTCCGATTTTTTAATAAAATTAAGACTCTCTACATCTACTTTTTCCTTAACACTTGCCTTAATATTTAAAAAAAGTTTTTATTGCATATATATGCATATACACACTTTTTTAAAAAACAAATGGGATTTTTTTGCAAATTACTTTTTTAAAATTTCATATATCTTTTCATATATACAGCTTGAGCATATGAAATCTGAAATTTGAAATGCTCCAAATCTGAAACTTTTTGAGTACTGACATGATGTTCAAAGGAAATGCTCATTGGAGCATTTCAGATTTTGGATTTTTGGATTTGGGATGCTCAGCCAGTAAGTACAATGCAGATATTCCAACATCTGAAAGAATCTGGAATCCAAAACACTTTTGGTCCCAAGCATTTTAGATAAGGGACATTCAGCCTGTAATAAATTTACTTTATACTTTCAAATTACTACAAAATATTTTATTTTGTAGGCAGACTTCTGCTATTACAGAGGCTACTCTGAATATTCTTGCAGAGATATTTTCATGTAAATGCAAATTTATCAGTAGGAGAAATTTTAAGAAATGATATTTCTAGGTCAAAGAGTATGTGTGTTTTAAATTTTGGTAGATGTTGCCAGTCTTTTCATCAAAGTTTTTACTTCCACCAACAATGTAGGAGAATGTTGTGGTCCGAATGTATCCCCCAGAATTCATGTGTTAGAAACTTAATTCCCAGTGCAACAGTCTTGGGAACTTTTGGGAACTGTTTAGATCATGAGGGCTCTGCCCTTGTGAATGGATTAATAATGTTAGAAAAGGGCATGGTGGAGGGAGTTTGGTCCTTTGGTCCTTTTTTGCCTTTATGCCCCCTTCTGCCATGTGAGGACACAGCATGCCTCCCCTCCAGAGGACACAGCATTCAAGGTGCCTTCTTGGAGGCAGAGCTGGAACCCTCACCAGACAACAGACCTGCTGGCACCTTGACTTGGACTTCTTAGTCTCAGAAATGTGAGAAATACTTTTCTGTTCTTTATAAATTACCCAGTGTCAGATGTTTTGTTGTAGGAGCACAAAAGGAAAAAGAGCATTTATTCATACATTTGCAACAATCTGTTTGGGGGAACTGATACATTATCTTTACATTTCTTTTCTAGTCTAATAAGAAGTAAAAAATAGTATAGTGTGGTTTTGATTTTCTTTTCTTTTTTTCCTCCAAATTACGATCTTGTTTGAGCATTTTAAGAACATTTATTAGCCATTTATTTGCCTTTTTAAAAAGTGATTGCTAATTCCTGTCCTTTATGCGTAATTTTATTAGATTTATTCATTCAGCAGCTATTTCTTGAGTACTTACAGTTTGCCAGGCACTGTGCTAGGCATTGATCTTTTCTAATTGGTATGTATGAGTATCAAATGCTCATTCATTTATTCAATAAATATTATCTGTCATATACCAAGTACTAGTCTAGGCCTGGGAATATAGCGGTTCACACACACACACACACACACACACACACACACACACACACACACCTGCCCTTATGGAAATTACACTGTATTTTTATTTATTTATTTATTTTGAGACAGAGTCTCTTTCGCCTAGGCTGGAGTGCAGTGTCACAATCTAGGCTCACTGCCACGGTCTAGGCTCACTGCAACCTCTGCCTCCCAGGTTCAAATGATTCTCATGCCTCAGCCTCCTGAGTAGCTGGGATTACAGGCACGTACCACAATGCCTGGCTAATTTTTGTACTTTTCATAGAGACGGGGGTTTTGTCATGTTGGCCAGGCTGGTCTCGAACTCCTGTCCTCCAGCAATCTGCCCACTTCAGCCTCCCACAGTGCTGGGATTATAGGTGTGAGCCACTGCGCCTGGCTGGAAATTACATTTTAATGAGTATGAATATGCGTGGGGAGATAAAAATGTTGCAAATATTTTCTGCCAGTTTGTCCTTTCTTTATTCAGTTTATGGTAATTTTTAAAATACAGAAGCTTGGAATTATCATACAGTTGAGTGTATCAGTCTTCTCCTTTATGGCTTCTGAGTTTGGTGTCCTATCCAGAAAAGGTTTACTGTCACTAAGTTTGTAAAATTAAAAAGAAATTTATGTACATCTTCTTTTAGTTATTTTGTGATTTCATTTTTAAAAACTTAAATTTTTTATTCCTTTGCAGTTTATTTTAGTTGAAGGGGTGAGCGTAGAAATCTAGATTACTTTTTCTTTTAAAAATATATTTAATGAAAGTCTGTTTTTTTACCCTAATTTCAAATGCCCCATTAATTTCATACACTCAGTTCCAGCATGTATTTGGGTCTTTTTCTGAGCTCTCTGTTGATATCTCATTGTTGAGTGTTTCCTGAGTAGGACAACTTTCCGTTGCTTTATTTTACTGTCTGGAAGGGTAGTTGTCTTTCATTGCTCTTTTTCCCTCGCTCAGAATTTTTTAGACTACTTTTGCTTGTTTATTGTTCCAAAGAGACATGAAAATCATTTTATCATGTTCCTCCCAAAACATTGTTAATATTTTTGTTGGGATTGCACTGAATTTATGGATTAATTTATGGAAAATTGATATATTTACACAACTAAATCTTTCTATTTAAGAATAAGATATACTCATTGATTTCTTTTTGTGTGTCTCTTACTAGGACTTTAAAGTTTTCTTTAGGCTGGGTGCAGTGGCTCACGCCTGTAATCCCAGCACTTTGGGAGGCCAAGGCGGGTGGATCACCTGAGGTCAGAAGTTCGAGACCAGCCTGACCAATGTGGTGAAACCTCGTCTCTACTAAAAATACAAAATTAGCCAGGCGTGGTGGCTCATGTCTGTAATCCCAGCTATTCGGGAGGCTGAGGCAGGAGAATCAGTTGAACCCAGGAGGAGGAGGTTGCAGTGAGCTGAGATTGTGCCACTGCACTCCAGCCGGGGCAACGAGCGAAACTCTGTTTCAGAAAAAAAACAAAAAAACAAAAACATCTTTATGTAACAACCTAAACATTTCTTCAACAGCTTATTCCAAAGTCTTTTTATCTTTGTTGTTGCTGGTATTATTTTATTTATTTATTTATTTATTTATTTATTTATTTTTTGAGACGGAGTCTCGCTCTGTCGCCCAGGCTGGAGTGCAGTGGCGCAATCTCGGCTCACTGCAAGCTCCGCCTCCCGGGTTCATACCATTCTCCTGTCTCTGTTGCTGGTATTGTAAACTGACTTCTCTTTTATTAAAAAAAAATTTCCATCGATGTTTATACATATGAGAGGTATTGATTTCTATATATTAATTTGAACTCTACTTCCTTTTTGAATTCTCTTATTCTACTAGTTTTTCAGTTGGTTCTCTTTGATTTTCTAGGTCTAAAAATGATCATTTTGTGCCTTTTTTTCCTAAATCATATTGCCTCTTTTTGTAAGTTTTATCTCTCTTTCTTAACTGGTTATTAAACATTTGGTTAATACTTCCAGAATAATATTGAATAATAGTAGTGATAACAAGTGTCCTTGTCATGTTCCTGACATTAATGAAAATGCTTTTATTGAGTTAATCTTAAACACAGTGGTAGCTTTGGTTTGAAGGAGGTTTTTGAAAAATTATGTTGAAGAAATATCTTTTTTTTTAAATGTATGTTTGCATTATTCATTTCCTCAACCAATATTATGTTTCTAGTATGAGTCAGTTACTGCATTGGCCCTGGAAAGTGAGCAATCAGAATAGGCACAATCCCTGCCCTTGGAACTTACAGTCTGGGGGAACTGATACAGGTTGATTATTGCTTAGCCAAAATGCTTGGGACCTGAAGCGTTTTGGATTTTGGAGTGTTTGCAGAATACATACCCGGATGAGCATCCCTAGTTTGAAAATCCAAAATGCTTTAAAATCTAAATCTTTTTGAGGGCTGACATGATGCTCAGAGGAAGTGCTCATTGGAGCATTTCGGATTTCAGATTTTTGGACTGGGGATCCTTTCAACCTGTATTAATCATATAATCATAAAAACTGTACCATATTTTGCCCTGTGCTACAGCAGGGTTACATTGAACCATAGGAGTATTTACCTAAGGTGGATTTTCTTGGAGGTCAGGAAAGTCTTGTTGGAAAAAGTACCATTGATTGTGACCTTAAAGGAGAGTATGAGTTAACTAGGCACAGAGGAAGAGCATGCTGAGCACCTGGTGGCACATTTTAAACAGGGAAGTATGGTGTTGGATGAGGCTGAAGAGAGAGGTTGGGCTGGACTATCAAGACCTTTTTCACCATGTTACTAATTTTGTTCATATGCTAAAAACCATTGAAAGTTTTAAGTAAGGAGACAGCATAATCAGATTAGGATTTCTAAAAGATTATGGTAGCTATAGTGTGGAAAACATTTTAGAGACAGGGTGTGAGTAAAAGCTGGGAGACAAGTGAGAGGCATTTGTAGTAGTCCAGGCACACACGGATGGTAGCTTGAGCTAGAGATATAGATATAGAGAAAAGTTGTCGCATGTTTTTTTTTGTTTGTTTTCCTAAAAGTACCTTAAATTTAGGCTTTACAAGAAGTCAGCCTATAACATTCACCAAGAATAACTCATAGGATGAATGGGGCCAGGCGAAGGTGTGGCTTTTGGGATAAAAAATAACCAAGTTGGTCTGAGTACTTTTTGTTTTATTGTTTTTATTCTCATCCTGCTATTTCTTCTCATCTTTCCTATTTTGGTTTCTGACCTAAAAATTCAGTCTCTTTTCTTCAGATAGTCTCTTCGTTATCTTAAACATTCTTTCATCCAGCAAACATTTGAGTACCTCTTGTATCATGCATTCTGCTGAGTGCTGAGGAAAAAGATAAATGGACCCTCAGGGACCTCAAGATCATCATAATGTATTAGGTGAGACAGATGCATATTCATAAAAAACACATTGCACTAAATGTAACACACAAAATGAAGCTGTTGATACATTTGAGGCATCATTTGGAAGCCTTTCTGGAATAGGTGAGGTTCAAATTATGTTTTAAAAGATTAATAGAGATTTTCCAAGTGAGGAAGGGGAAGGCTGTTTTCAGGCAAAGGGAATATAGCATTTACAAAGATACAGAAATGTGAAATAACACAATGTTTTTGCTTAAATATGGAAGTTTGATATTTCTGGATTTTGGCATTTCTGGTTGTAAATGGAGAGGAAAGTGGGAAGAGATGAGATTAGCTCGATTGACAAGACACTCACATGAAGGTTCTTCTAGAATCACTGTATTCAGAAAAGCATTTACATTGATTGGGGGATATAAAAGGCTAGCATGAGAAATTAACATAGCAATGTATTTAGATTTTAGAAGCCCACAACTCCATTTAAAAGATGCTGTTTTTACCTAGGTTAACAAGTAAATTGTTAAACTAAGTTTCAAGGGGACAGATTTAGTTGTACTTTTAGAAAATACTGTCTTTATAAATGCCTTACATTGTGTGTATATGTAAATGCTTGCAGATAAAATAATGAAAGTTAAACAAAATAATGAAAGTTCCCACGCTCTTCACTGAAGGCAGTCAGAACTTGTGGTGGGTTAGGTGATAATTTTTTTTTTTTTTTTGAGACGGAGTCTCGCTCTGTCGCCCAGGCTGGAGTGCAGTGGTGTGATTTCGGCTCACTGCAACCTCCGCCTCCCGGGTTCACACCATTCTTCTACCTCAGCCTCCCGAGTAGCTGGGACTACAGGCACCTGCCACAACGCCCGGCTAATTTTTTGTATTTTTAGTAGAGTCAGGGTTTCACTGTGTTAGCCAGGATGGTCTCGATCTCCTGACCTCGTGATCCGCCTGCCTTGGCCTCCCAAAGTGCTGGGATTACAGGCGTGAGCCACCACGCCCGGCCACAGGTGATAATCTTAAGTGAGCTGAGAGGGCTCAGGTCCTCACCAACTTAAAATTTACTTCTAAGGAGAGACTTGGAGAGTCTCTGAGATTCGTAGAGTATTTTTTAAATGATGTTTTGATCGTACCCATTTACCTAATTGAATTTATATGGTGCCTCAATTTAGAAAAACTGAAAGCTAAACTTCAAATTAAAAATGTAAGACTTAGATGAGACCATTTGATACCAAAATATGATGGTATCAGTTAAGTTCCTTATAAAAAGAAAAATCAACTTTTCTCTTGCAGTGTTAATATTTTTCCTGAGATCCTGTCTCCTGCCTTTAACCATTTCTCTGTTATTTGAGGGAGATATTCAAGGATTGAAGCGAACAGAGTCCCTCACTGAAAGGCTGGAAATATAATTTCACTTAACCGTACCTGGTAGTATCTTCTTAAATGGTATAAGAAAGTGCTTTTCTAATTCAAATGATTCAAATAATATTTGCTAATATTATGACCAAACTTTGAAGAAAGTGATAGTTGTATTTTATAGGATTAAGTGAGATCCTTATCTGGGACTATGACGGGATTAACAGATACCTTCAGAATGCTTTACAGCTGAGGTGTATGTAGATAGATGTAGAGCTCTAAAGGGATTAGGTGGGTGGTGGTTAAGCAATAGCAGATGTCCCTTTTAAAATCTTCAAACTAGAGGTCTGTTAAGTACAGTGCTTATTTTTTGCTGACTTGGTTCCATGAGAAACCTTGATGTTTTTTAGTGCTTCTGAAAGTATCAAGAAGAAACTATTCAGATGGTTTGGAAATTTGGGGCCTACTCTTTTTGCTTTGTAAAATGGACAGTTTTGGATAAGCAGGAAATTCTGACTGATGGGCAGCAGAACAATTAATTGCAGTATAGAAGTGCATTAGGTATAGTGAAAAGAGCACTTACATGAGAAATCTGAACTCAGATCTGAGTTCTTTTATTTCCTCTATCTGTTGTGTGACTTTGGGCAAATTAACTTTTCTGAGTCTCAACTTTTCTGGGTGTAAATAAAAGTGATGGGACTGTTGGTGCTGAGTCTAAATGCATTGCTTATTTTGAGACTTAAATGAAATGATGTACCATTGAATCTCTTGGAGTGGGCATATTCCTTTCTCTAATGCCATTTTTAGGGCCTGACTTTTTGTGAAAATCAAATGAGATTTTGGTGTTTTCTTTTTTTCTCACCAAAATCCTAACCTCAGGGCTGACTTTATCAGAATGTTCTAATGTAATCATTGTGGAAAGATACACATTAGTACTTACTTGAGAATGTTGTAACCCAAATCAGAACTCTTACTCTGGTTCACAAAACAGGACTTCTAGAACTTTGAGAAGAGGCAGTTTGGTGTGATGGGACGATCACGGGATTTGGATTCAGGACTCCAATGTAGGTCACTTACTAGTTGTATGACTTGGGTATGTTCACATATACCCAAAAGTCAACCACAGAGTCTTTGCCACAGAAAAGGTTGCTCAGAGAACATAACTCTCTTCATTTTATATACAGAGAAGTATTTCCCCAAATTGCCTTTTTACTGATTGTCTTACAATCAAGTACTTGATTTCAGTTTTCCTTTTAGTTTCTACCATACATTTGAAGACAGTGGAGTTAGAATCACTTTCTCTGATGCATAGTGGGCATATATCCTAGTTATTTAATATCTCTGTGCCTTTCTACATCTGTAAAATAGGCATTATTATGTAACACATACCTCAAGGGTTGATTTCTTAAGGGTCTAGAAAAGTGTCTGATCCACAGTATGTACTGAATAGTGTTAATTACTCCTATTGTTATTAAAATCACTATTGGAATTATTAAGGGGAAAATGTGAATTTCTCATTTAGTCAATAAGAATTTGAGAGCTAGCAGCATAGTTTAAGGATAAATTCTAGTTACTCGTTTTCTACTTATGTATAAAGATTTGAAGGAAAAGGTTTTATTCACTATAAAAATTAAAACAAAAAAATTAAGGTTTTCCTAATTCAAATATAAGCATTTTAGTGATTTTTAAAAATGTAATAGAAGCATACTTACCCTTTTTTGTTAATCTGAATTTTTAAGTGGAAATATAACATGCTGATAAAACCATTTTATAACATAAAAATACACATTTTCAATATACCTATATTACCTAATAATGCCATTCCCACATTTTAAAATTCATTCCTGTGGGATAGCTATTTGTCCCTGCAAATGCAGATAGTTCCTAATTTTCATACATATTATTCACATACTTGAGTGAAATAGTTTGCTTTCAGTTTTAACTAGTATAATTTAAAAAAACTGTGGTCGGGTCTCTCAAAACATAAGAGATACTGATTTTAAAAAGTGGTTACAAATGAGGCATTTGAAAAGCAATTCCTAAACAATTGGATTTTAGGGGTTTAAGGCCAAGCATATAGGCACTCTACTTTTTCATTTCTGATCAAGAACAGAGTTAAAAAGTAAAAATAATTAGAGAATATAACACTTTGTGCTTTTAGAGTATTGATTGCTCAGATGGAATTGAGGAAATTTTAGTAATTTCTAGAAGCAAAATTATAGAGTTAGTAAAATCATCTTAGCAGAGAATAAGATGGTTTCATGATATATTTTAAAATACTCTATACTGGGCCAGGTGTGGTGGCTCATCCCTGTAATCCTAGCACTTTGGGAGGCTGAGGCAGGAGGATCACTTGAGGCCAGGAGTTAGAGAACAGCATGGGCAACACAGCAAGACCTTGCCTCTACAAGCAATTTTTAAAATCTTAGCTGGGTGTGGTGGCATACACCTGTAGTCCAGCTACTCGGGAGGCTGAGGCAGGAGGATCACTTGAGCCCAGGAGTTAGAGGCTACAGTGAGCTATGATCATGCCACTGCATTCCATCCTGGGTGACAGAGTGAGACCGTATCTCTTAAACAAAAGAAAATAAAAAATAAAAACTGTTTACCAAAACTTCTTGCCTTGTATTTATCCTGGACCTCCTTTCCTTACACATTTTCCAAGTTCACTTAGCAAATGAAGCAAACCAAAAAAACCAACAACCCTCCATTGTCCATAAGCTTTAAACCTGAAACATGGTTACATTTGACTTGTGCCTGGCCAGCAGCCTTTTCATTTTTTTAGTTTTGTAATCAACAGTTAACTGTTATTTTCAGAGTAAAGATCCTAAAGATTTGTGCATTAGAAACATTTCTTGGGGACTGATGTCCAGATATCACTGTGTAATCCCTATTTTAGCTAAATTTCTGTTGGTATTTGTATCATTGCATGATTCATAAACAGACATTACTTATTCCCTTTCTCTTCTAAACTGCTATACTCTACTCATGTTGTGGAAACTGCTATTTTGAAAGTGTAACTACTGATGGACTCTTTTTCTCTTACCTCCTCAGTTGATTAAAATGTCTCATTTTATGATGAGGTTGCTTGGGTGAGAATCTTGGAATTACAGCTGTACCTTGGAATTTTTTCTCAGTTGTCTTGAATGGATTAGAAATGGTTAAATGGCTTCAAATACTCATCTCAACCTTCAAATCACTGATGGGTTAAAATGAGTTATTGAAAAAGAACGAAACCTCCTAATTGTAGCGGTAAGGCGAGAGGGTATAGGCAGTGGGGAGAGGAAGTGCATGTGTTTGGGAGTGGCATGACTAGGGCTAGAGGGTGCAGGGGAGGGGAGAATGTAGACAAGGCAGTGAGCTATCTCACATGAACTTTACCTAATGAAATTTCTTGTCACTTCTTTTCTTTTTATTTAAAAGTAGGTATTAGTAAAAGCTACTACAGCATTTTCTCCTAATAATTCATTTTTTTTTGTCCAATATAACTTGTTATACCAGATTTTCCTTTCGGTCATTAAGATTTAAATTTCATATTTCTGGTAGTAAAATCATCTGTCAAGTGTGGGGAATCTGCAGCTTTAACACCACTTCATGTCTGATTAGAAGGTTTTCTTTTGCAATTAATTTTCCTCTCAGCTCTTTGTGGAGAACAGTAGCCCACTGCAGAGAGGTTAGAATACTGTGGACTTTGGCTGTTCATCTTTAATGATACAAGGAGGTAGCAAAGCAAGAATAAATGAGGTACTTTTTGGTGAGCAAAAAATGTGAACTGTCAGTGTGAGATCGGTTCTAGGAGCAGTTAGCCAGCAGTAATAGGGCACACTTGAGTAATTGAATTTGCATAACAAGGCTTGCTGAAGAGATCTGACAGGCATAGAGATTTGTCTAGCTAGAGAGCTCCAGATGGACGTGACCATGCAGCAGCTGGGTGGCACGTTGCGCAGCATGGACGGCACCGCCCAGACTGGCAGCTGGACCCTGGCGACTGCAGGGCTGTGGCACGCCAGCTGGTGGCTTCTGACAGCCAGTGGCCCTGTTAGAGAGCCTTTTTATAATGGCCTGTCAGGGTACTGTACCTGCAGGGACTGGCAGGAGAATGTCACAAGTCACCAGTGAGGGTTGTTAAGCTGAATAAATCTGTCCCAGGAAAGTCGAGGTGGTCACTGTTGGAACCACAAAGCTAACGCCTCACAAGAGTGATTTCCCTCCTTTTCTAAGAGTGCTGTCCTCTTTTCTTTTTGTCTCCTCCTCCTCCTCCTCCTTTTTCTTCTTCTCTGTCTCTCCCCTTCCCCTTCCCCTTCATTTCTGGTCAAGAACAGAGTTAAAAAGTAAAAATAATTAGAGAATATAACACTTTATGCTTTTAGAGTATTGATTGCTCAGATGGAATTGAGGAAATTTTAATTTCTAGAAGCAAAATTATAGTTAGTAAAATCGTCTTAGCAGAGAATAAGATGGTTTCATGATATATTTTATTCATGAAACCATCTTTAATCAACCCCTTCCCCTCCCTCCCTCCCTTCCTTCCTTCTTTCCTTCCTTCCTTCTCTCTCTCCCTGTCTCTCTTTCTCTCTTTCTTTTTTTCCACATTGCTCTACACTGCAGTTGCTCTGGATTATTGTAATATTCTTAAAACCTTGAAACCCAGTTGCCAAACTTCCTGAGAGCTCATGTAGACTATCAGTTGGAATGGAAAGAATGTTCCTTTTTGTGTTTTCCTTCTGTTTTTGCATATTTGCAACAAGGGCATATTTGCTTTTGTAGAAATTGGTGATAATCTAATAATTTATATTGAATGTATTGTTCATAGGGAAAAAACATTTTTAAAGAATAAATTGCAGAGAAAATGCGTGAACTGATGTGAAGTCAGTTTGTTAAGTCACCTCCCCCTTCACGTCCAGGTGGACTGAATTTATGTGGAGGAATTACATAACCACCTATCTTCTTAGATTAGAATAGAATAGCATGGAAGAAGGCCAGCTTTCTGCCTGCTGTTAATAAAGTTTACATCTGTGTTCTTAAATTGAGAATTTTGCCATCTTATAACATTTTCTCCAAAAAAATTTAAAAAAAAATCATGTACCTAGAAAATACAACCATTTTTAAGGGCAGGAAAACTCTAGATTCATTTTTCAGTAAACAGAAAACTTAAATGTTACAAGCCCCAAACTCACTCACTTTTAGGACAACCAAAATCTGGTGAAACCAATTTATACACTTCCTTTGAGTGTGTGTCATTGACATTTGATCTGTTTCTCTTTGAATCGTCTTACAAATGCTTTTTACTTTTTCATTCTTTTCCTAATTATTTCTCATATCATCCCAGTGAATTAGACAGGGTAAATAATATCTTCATTTTGATGAGATGAAATGTGAGCCACAATGAAGGCAAATATATGTAGTGTCTCCTGGCTAATCTGGGGCCACCCAGTCTTTGTGGCAGTCAGGATGGTTCTGAAAAGTTATTATGTTTAACCCTCAGATTGGCAAAGATACAAAAGTCTAGTCCTAGCATAGATAGGGAAGATGTGTAGCCTCATAGACTGCTTTGGTGATGTAAGTTATTTGAACCAACTCAGAGAACAGTTTGGTAGTATGCATCAAAAACTTTTATACATACACACACGTGTGTGCATATACATACACATACATACACACGTGTGTATATATGCACACGTGTGTGCACATGCAAATATACACACGTACTTTTATACATACATATGTGTGTGCATATATACACACATATATACATATATAAAAAACATGCACACCTGTATGTATGTATAAAAGCTCTATATTTATAGGTCTATAAATTTACCTAGTAATTTATGTATGTATATTTTTACAAATATATATAATTTACCAAGTAATTCCACTTTAAGAATTTATCCCCCCAGAGTAAGAATATGTGTAAAGATTTAACTATAAGAATGTACTTTTAGCATTGTTAAGAACATTGGTTCTCAGTGTACCCTCCATGGATCCCTAGGAGGCCATAAAGTGAAAATTATTTTTCTAATAATAGAGTAATAATACTCATGGTGCAAAAGGAATGGTGAGTAAAACTGCTGCCCTTAGCAAGAGTCAAGACAGTGGTATCGTATTCTTAACAGCTACACATAAAGCATTCCACTTAATGTTCCTTGATGAAGCATTAAAAATTATTAATTTTATTAAATCTTAATGTTGAGTACATGTCTTTTGTATATTTTATTTGATGTAATGGAAAATATGCCCCAAACGATCCTGCTACAGTTGGTATTGGGGTTGTCTTGAGAAGTATTTAGGTGATTGTTTGAGTTGCCAGCTATACTATCTGCATTTTTGTGGAACACCATTTTTATTTCAAAGAATAACAAGACATCTTATAGAAAGAAAAAAGTGAGTCTTACTTCAAGGAAAGCAACTGAGGGTATTTGTAACCAATGATAAAACTGGATCTTTCAAGTAAAAATTAGAATTTTGGAAAACTTGTATCTGACCATATGAACTTAACAACTTTCTAATCCTTAAAGACTTTTGTGAAAAGATTGTTGGTGCAGTTAAAGAATGTGAGTTTCTGTTACTGTATACTGGGAATTTAGAATATCTGCATAACTAACTGAACGAGTATTTTCCAATTGACCGTTGTATGATGTTACCAAATTATGCCTAGATAAAAGATGCAAAGTACAAAATAGAGGGATAGATTTTAATGTAACATAGTATAAAAAGTTCTTTCCACATTGCAACAAGCCTTTAAGAAACCACCATTTGTCAGGTTTGGGTTTAATATAAAAGAAGGATATCCACAATTATCTGAAAAAGTTATTAAAATTCTCTCTTACTTTTTTAAACTGCATTATCTATATGAGGTCAGCTTTTCTTAATTTCAACCAAAACAACATATATCTGCTTCTGCATTTAATCTACTATGAAAATCCAGCTGTCTTCTATTAAGCCAGAACTAAAGAGATTTGAAAAATTGTCAAGCAGTGCTACTCTTCTCACTAAATTTTGTTGCTTGTTATTTTTCCCAAAATATGTTAATATGTATTAGGTTTATGATTGATGTTTTTAAGTCAATTGAGAAATGTTTTTAAAATTTGTTTTGATTTCTAATACAGTAAATACCAATAGATATAATCCACATAAACAAAAGCTTTTGTGTCCTCAAAAATATTTAAAGAGTATAAAGAAATCCTAAGACCAAAAAGTTTAAGAACCACTGGTTTAAAATGATGAGGCCTTGGAAATAACCCAAATGTCCAATAAGGGAGAATTGATTAAATTACATATTATGAATCAGTGATGTAGATAAATATCTGACATGAAAATATTTTACAGTGTTGTGTTAGTAGTAAAAGCAGGTTTTGAAACAATACATGAATTAATGTCACAAAAAGTTATTAATATATAATATGCTTAATATTGTATTCTATAATACCTAGGTATTAGGTAGCTTTTTCTTGAAAAGGAAGGTAGAAAAAGTTTTTTTGAAGTTGTCATAACAGTATTAGACTGCATCATGAGATACTGTTTCCTTCTGGCTTTTGGTGAAGGTATTTGCTTTTTACTAGTTTTGTAACATTGGCCAAGTCTGAATTTTGTTCTCCTTACTTTAAAAATCAGATCAAGGTTGTTAACAGAGTAAGCTGTTCAATGTATTTTACTTCCCTCTAACATCTCCTTAGCTTTTAAAATTCTGTATAATAGCGGTGTATCTGTGACAATTAATGCTTAATAAAGCTTCCCTTGAAGTCAAAATAAGGGTCTTTTGAAAACAAGAACACATCTTGTAAATATCATCTTATTTCTGTGAAAAAAAAGTTTTGTGGAATAATAGCTGTAATACAGAAAGTAAATTATCATCATGCAGATGCTTATTGGTAAAGATAGGTAAGGTAGCTTATGATTATACACTAAGTACTAGGCCAGGTATTTTGTAAAATTGCTGAGTACTTTACAGACATCATCTCATTTAATCCTCACAAAAGCCCTGTGAGGTCAGTACTGTTGTTATCCCCATTTTACTGATGTGGAAATGGTCTCATAAAGAGGTTAAAGAATTTGTCCTACTCATTTGTAGAGGTAGAGCTAATTCAGACATGAGCCTGGCTGACTGTAAGGTTTGTGCTTTTTATCCATATAATAATCTCCAACCAAAGAGAAATGAAAAACCACCATACGGACACAAAGAGCAGCTCGCCCAGCTTCTTACTCTGGGAAACCAGATTGATTTTGAGGTGGGGAGAAGCCTGGATAAAGTCCCATACACTTAGATCTCTAGGCCATAAAGATTCATTCCACAGCATTCAATTAGAATAATGTAAATATGTAAAACCCAGTGCCTGGTATATCATAATTATTTAGTAAGTGGGAGTGAACTATTACAATAATTCTACGACTAAGCCAGAAATTAGGTTCCTGTTCATAAAATAGGAAAAGAAAAAAATTCCCATAGTCCCACAATCCCTTACTTGAAACTCTTGGAGTCATGTGAGTTTTGTTTTAGAATTATAGCAAGGTAATATGTATATTTACCATATGCTATGTAACATCCCCAGCAGAGACCAGGGCAGCCCCCTGTAATCAAAACACCAACAATTTCTGCAATGAAATATATGAATATTCACACTAAGCAGAAGAAATGAAGACTATAGCCTTAAATCAGTTCAGGTAAAGTTTTGCTGCCAAATGAGTGAAGAAAAACTCTTTTGCATTTCAGAGCTTATTGTATAAGAGTTGAAGGGAAGGGATTGTGTACTTGTAAAGCATACAACAACATTTCAAGGAGAATAAAGAAGCAATTACTTTACTAAGTTGAATAGACAAGTGATAGTTCTGTTCAAAAGAGACTGTTAATCCTAAGTCAAAGCATGAAGTCTTTTTGGCCTCTGATTTCAAATGCTAATAATTACATCCAAAGAGAGAAAACAAGCATCTCTTATTTTATCTTCTTTCAAATAAGTATGCGTCACTTTAAATGAAGTTGGGGACTAAAATCAAGTACTATATTTTTTTTCTAGAGGATCTGTGTTTATCAAAGAAAACACAAGAAGCTAAATCCATTTGAATTGGGTTTTTTTTTTGTAGATTCCTTTTTGTAATAGAATCTCATTTTTTTAAAATGAGAATGGAAAAATGATATTCTGTATGGTGGTCTTTAAGTGCTGAAGGATCCACAGAGTCTTCTGAACTTTGAAAGAAACTAAGTTTGGCCACTCCTGAGCAAAAGTAATCTAGAAAAAGCGATAAGTATATAAGGTGATGGATATGTTAATTAGCTTGATTTAATCATTGCACAATGTATACATTTATCGAAATATGTTGTATATCATAAATCTATAAAATTTTTATCAATTAAACCTTAATAAATTTGGAGGAGAAAAGGAAATCTACCTTCCATCCTTCCGTAAAAGGAATTGAATAATTCTAAAGGAAGGGAATTTCAAATTTTAGGAAGATAAGCAATTATAGTTGATGGCAGTACCTGTTGTAGATAAAACTGAAGCAGAATAATTAAACACCTGCTTCTTTATCTCTACCCTCTTCATGTCCTAGCTTCCTTCCCTACTGGTTTATATTCCACCGTACATGATTACACATCCTCAGCTTCCTCGTTCTTCCTTCCTCTATTGAATTTGACCCCACCCCTGGTCAAATCCAACTGTTCATTTGCTCTGCATTGGCCCTTGAGTAGCTGAACATGGTTGGAGTAAATGGATGACCATGTTGGTCTGGCTTGAATTTTAAATTAATGATCACTAATCCCAAGTTGGCCCTTAGGGCTGCTTGACAGTTCCCCTTCATTTCCTTAGTCCATTCATTCTTTTCCATCACCTAAACAATTATTTCACACCTTCTCTTGTCTCTATGCCTCTGGTATCCTCACGCAGTGTCAGCTGATGACCTTTCCTTTTTACTTTCACTGAGAATAGACACAGTCGTGAAAGAACTTCCACATGATCGCCTACCCCTTAACCTGCATGCATTTGTATGCATGTACTCTGCCTATCCTCCTGTTAGAATTGGCCAAGCAGCAGTGGTCTCTGAAGTCAGCCTTTCTACTTCTGCTTTGATCTCCACCTCTCTTACCTTCTTCCCCATTAAATCAATTTCTAGGAGTTGTTCCTTAATAGGTAGTTGAGATTGAGAACCACTCTGCTAGAATGTAAACTCCACAGACCAAAGATTTGTTCTCTTGCTCATTGCTGTATTCTCAATGCCTGTAACAATACATAATCCAATAGTAGGCACTCAGTCTTGTGTTTAATGGATAGATGAGTGAATGGATAAATGAACAAATGAATCTTTCTGGTAAAAAAGATATAAATTGCAGTACAAGCTCTGAAGAGCTTAATAAATAATCTTTCCTTGTGTTTTATGATCAAATTGGAGCTAAACTGTTCATCTTACAATGTTCATTTAAAGAGTTTTCTGCTGATTTACTGTAACTATCCTCACCTGAAAACTTTTCCTAGCATTTTTATGCACACAGTCCTAGTTATCTGGATTTTTGTTGTTGTTGTTGTTATTGGGAACTGAGATTTTTCTGATTTCTAAGTGGTTAAGCTTTGCTTTTCAAATGAATTTCTCTGGTGGCAGTTTCACAAGTGAATAGATCTGTACAAATCCAGAACTGTTCATTTTACTCATTACTGCTACTTGGAAGACCTGAGTTCAACTGCCTGCTCCATCACTTTTTCTCACTGAAGTGAATCTGGGCATGATTCTTGTATTGAGAAATGCCTAGTATAGTCTCAATATAATTGATTGCATTTCTTTCATTAAAATCAGGGGAAACATGTTTGTTTCCTTGACACCTGTGTTTCATGAAAAATCGTAGAAAACAGCCACATGTATTTTAATTTAGTTCTATATCTCTTTTCCCTTAATCCTAATTTGTAGAAGTGTGGCTGTTCAAACAGACTCTCATGTATTTTGAAATACATGCAGTGCGGTTTTTGTATGGGAGCAAGTACTATGGATTTTCTTGGGCTATAACTTAGTAGCATGGCAGTAGGTTATAGAACCAGTCCATGAATCCTGCAGTTCTTACTAATGTGAGTCAAATGGTATTATGGTAAAGATACCTCGCTGCTTTTTTGGTGGCTGTGTTTTTATTTGTAGGACAACCCTAAAATAGAACTCAGCTAGGTCATTTCTAAACGTAATGTTGTGGTGGATACCCCAGAACAAACACCATTAATGTGGTTAGTCATTTACTTGGAAAGCTATTGCCAGGGCAAACTCAGAGCCACTAGAGACAGAAAGCACATAAGTAAACCTGCTTGTTAAAGTGGAGATACAGAGTAACTCAGCAATGTAATAATACGAAGTAATGGTTAAGTATTCAGTTTATAGAAATTTGACTCAGATGTTTCAATAAAATATCTGTTTTTGTAAATCAAAAGATAACTACCTTCATTGGTATTTGGGACCAAAGTTTTTCCTCCTTCACTTTCTGCCCTTTTGGAAGACACAGTAAAAATAGAATTCATGAAACATTTCTAAATAATGGGTGTATAGAGATTCTCTTTATGTGTGGTATCAGTGCTCTGCTATGTAATTATTTGTTATATTTTAAATTTCAATTTATGTGTTCTCTCTTGCCCCCTTCAGCCCCGTGCCACATAATTTTTGTTTTTGGTGGAACCATTCAGCCTTAAATACTTTTAGTATATATCGTCTGAGAATAGGGACATAACTCCAAAACTACTATCACACCCAAGAAATTTGACTTTGATTCAGTGCCATCTAATATATAACCCATATTCAAATTTTCTCAGTTGTCCCCCAAATAACTGGATTTTCTAATTTTCTTTGATCCAGCATCTAATAAAAGTTCATATGTTACATTTAGTTGTTTTGTTTCTTCATCTTTCTTTAATCTAAAACAGTTCCCATGCCCTCCCTTTAAAAATAAAAATAATCTATCTTGACATTTCTGGAGTCTAGACCAGTTATTTTATGAAATGTTCCTCATTCTTGATTTGTCTGATTATTTTCTTACTGTTAATTTTAGGTTAAATCTTTCTGGTTACCATATAGAGTCTGATTATTTTTTAAGAAGTGTAGTATTCAGTTATAGAGAATCTTGACTTGTTCTGCCTGCTTGCACCTGCTTTTCTTAGAGTCCTAACCTCTCAACTCAGGTGCAAGGAAGCAGAGTTTGACTACTTTTGTGGGTACTGAAGACCTAGCTTATTGTAACAACAAAAAAAAATGTGGTTTTATTTTTAGTAAAAATCAGTGTCCAATATGCGCTCTAAATATAATCTGGTTATTTTTGAAATTTATGTTAAGAAGTAAGAATTTGGCTGGGCGCGGTGGCTCACATCTGTAATCCTGGCACTTCAGGAGGCCGAGACAGGCGGATTGCCTGAGTTCCGGAGTTTGAGACTAGCCTAGGCAACATGGTGAAACCCTGTCTCTACTAAAATACAAAAAAAATCAGCCAGGTGTGGTGGTGGGCGCCTGTAATCTCAGCTATCAGGAGTCTGAGGCATGAGAATTGCTTGAACCTGGGAGGCGGAGGTTGCAGTGAGCTGAGATCGTGCCACTGCACTCCAGCTTGCGCAACAAAGCGAAACTGTCTCAAAAAAAAAAAAAATCTAAACATTGAACTTTAGAACCAAAATGAAATCTTACTGTAACCCTAATGTACAATACTAAGAAAACAAATATTTTCATTGACATATTGAACTTATAAAATAATGTATCTTCAAAAAAAAGATTCTCTTAGTTTTAACAAATATTCATGCTTAAGTAATGTCTTCAGCTCCACATTTTCAGAACCCTATTAACTCTCACTTAGCAAAATTAGCATACTGAACTCTCTAAACTATTTAATGATTTGATTTATATATGTTCATTCTAATGAACAATGGATGCTAATAACAGTATTCTGTGAGGAGTAAGGTTTTTTTTGAGGTCAGCAGTGTTTAGATTAATCAGGTTGACATTTCTTGCTGGTGGGTCATGAACTGTTGATAATAGCATTAAATGGTGATTCAGTTGTTGCAGAAGGTACAACTCATTATCCAGCTACTATATTAAATCATTACAGAAACAATTGGCACTCCACACCCATGTGTTCTGCAGCAATGGTACATCAGGGAAGTATATTTGTTTCTTTTATTTACATCTCAAATTTTTTTGGAGGCTTACCTACATTCTTAAAGGATGCTACAGCATTGCCACTACTTTAGGGAACGAGGATGATTATCTTGACTGATTTGGGGGGATGAAGGGATATATAATCCTTTTAATAACACACCCAAAGTCTTCTCTTTATATTGCGAGCCTTTCTGAAACCTTGTTTTCATAATGAGTGTACCTGGGTTGCAAGTAATAAAAACAAATATATTTATGGATTTTTAAATTGGGTTTAAATTTAACATAAATTATTATTACAAGGATATGGGTCTTTTAAAAAGATTTGTATTCATTTTAAGAGAGAAATGATGCTTGGCCAGGCACAGTGGCTCATGCCGGTAATCCCAGCACTTTGGGAGGCCGAGGTCGGCAGATCACCTGAGGTCAGGAGTTCAAGACCAGCATGGCCAACATGGAGAAACCCCATCTCCACTAAAAATAAAAAATAAGTCAGGTGTGGTGGCGCATGCCTGTAATCCCAGCTACCTGGGAGGATGAGGTAGGAGAATTGCTTGAACCCGGGAGGCGGAGGTTGTGGTGAGCCGAAATCATGCCACTGCCCTTCAGCCTGGGCAACAAGAGCGAAACTCCATCTCAAAAAAAAAAAAAAGAGAGAAATGATGCTTGGAAAGTTCACAAATGTGCTGTAGAAGTAATTTCTTCCGAAAGGTCATTGTTATAGAAATCTCTTTAAGAAAAATTTAAGAGATGAGCTGGATTTGTTTTTTACAGTTGTTAATCTATTGCCTTTTAAGATAAACCTTAGTAATTTGGTATGCATTGAATCAGAAATTGTTGGTGTCTTTGAATTTTAAAATCAAGTATGTTTTCAGTGTGTCCCGTGTGTATAGGCAGTGAATAGATAGTAGCATGACAATTGTATTAATGTTGATTTCATTTCTTATTGGATAGTAAAGAATTAGTGAAGTCAGTTTCTAATTATTAATAAAATACCCCAAACACCCAGCCCCACGGTTTCACAAATAGGTGCTCGATCATAATTTGTTAATGAATGTGTGACACTTGGGTAGAAGCAGGAGAGCTTTTTGGCATTTTGTATTTGCCAGAATATACTTTAAGGAGCTAAGTATAGGAAAAAGGAATATTTCCCTTTATAATGAAAAGGAATATTAACATCTTCAAAGTAATTGCCTTATTTAGGGTAAATAGGTTCTTCAAATCTATGCTGACTCTTTAAGAGAAACAATATAGCATTGGAAAATTATGGGCCACTAGAGGTCACTGTTTAGTAATCAACTTTTAATGAACCAGAACAGTCAGGAGAGCCAATAAATTACAGTGTGGATTTTTCTAATTATGAATTCATATTTAATCATTCAATGACAAGTTAACTTTGGAAATGGTTTTGTGTACTTTGCATATGTGGTTATGCTAATGCACTATTATATTTCTCTGATGTTGGCCCTCCATCATTAGAATAGAACATTGCCAAAGGCTTTGTTATATAATCTTAATTACTAATTATGAGACATAATTAACCTTGTTACCGCCTCCACATCCACACAGTTTTTGGAAATAAAGTTTTACTCTAAATAACAATTACTTTTAAGTGAACATAGGTGTAATGGTTATGATCAGTTCCTCCTCCTCCCTCATGTCTTGTCTTCCTGCTTCATTCTTGGTTTCCGTTGCTCCCATCCCTTTCTCTGCTGTCTTATTTCTTTCCTTCCCTCCTTTGGATTCCTTTTCCACTTTATTTTGTCAGTGATTGAATGTTTCTTCTCAAGCTTTCCAGCCTTGATTCAATGAGTAGAAGAATGTGACTTTTACTGCATATGTTAAAGTAATCCTAGGGTGGGCAACTTGAGCTGAGCCAACCAGCAGTGCAAAGGAAGATTGTATGCATATAAGCAAGCATGCTGCTGCTGCTGTTGCTGCGAGCAGATGGCTGTCTTCAGGCTGTCCAGCCCAGAATCCATTCAGGAAAAAGCAGATTTCCGTACTTACATGATAAAAACTGTTTTCCTCCTTACAGGCTAGGCTAGTTGCTCAAGAGGAGGCCTCATGATCTTAGGGAAAAAACAACATGTGCACATGTGTTTCCTTTTTTTGAAAACAGCCCTGTGCATTATTTCTTAGAAAGCAGGCACATCACACCATTGCTCGGACTTCCTCTACTTCTTGCTGCTTTTACCATCCCTGCTGCTATGCCACTGCTATACAGTTATATCCACCTCACTGTTCTGAGATTTCAGTCTGCCCAAGATATACTTCTGATAAATTGTTCAGAAACTTTCTCTGGTTCCTGATGCTCACCCAGTCCAGCCCAGTCTTCCTTCTCAGCCTGCCATTCAAGGCTCTCCACACTCTGGATCCAACTTACTTTTCCATTCTTATTTTCTGCTACTTCTTTCCACATGCCTTAAATTCTAACCAAACTGGACTATTCACTAATTCTTAAATATTTACCTTATTTACTCAAGTCCCAATGTAGATGCCACCTCCTGTGATCTCTCCTTAGGTAAAAGTCACCCTCCCTGTGAAGCACCATGACAGGTTAGGGTCTCACCTACATTGTAATTACTGTATACCTATGTTCTCAGCTACACTGTAAGTCCAGAGATTCTTGACAAATAAATCAAGAGTGCTAAAATTTCCAATTAAAAAACCTATTTGGCAGAGTATCTGGCTTTCTAATTTTATTCTGGGAAAAGTAAAATAATTTTATAATGCTAAGGTTTGTAATATTAGGGAAGGTCATGGGATATCCTAGAACTCTCATCTACAAAAGATAAGATAAGCCTTTGTCCAATAAGTTGAGCTCTGTCTGAACACATAAGAATAGTAGTCAGCTTGCCCTTCTCGATTACCTGCTTTATAATATCACTGGGAATACAAACAGTTCTCTATTAAATCTCCTAAATGAGAGGAAAATGTATTTTATAATTTAAAATGGTATGTTCATTTTGTATGTACATAGCTCTATTTTGAAGAAATTGAGTTTTGTTAAAACAGTCTTTTGCTTATAACAGCTCCAGATTGCTTGTGTTTTGGTAAAAATAAGAGATGTGGAAGATACATGGATTTTGAACTTGAACTATATTTTGGGGGCTCTTTTCAAGTATTAGTTCCAGTGGCTGAGTACAGTATGTAAATTTCATTATTATTAGAGGGGGAGGTGTGCATAACCACTTTTTTTCTCTATTAGAGCAGCAATAATAAAGTTTTGCATGTCTGAACCTATCTATGTACTTAGTTATGACAGAAGCTAACTTGCAAGCTTGTTTGTTTACAAATAAAAAAGGTAAAGAGTTACCTGTTTGGAGTTTGGAATGTACTTTCCTTGGAAAAAATATTTTCTAATATATTTAGGTCCCTATTATTTTCAACCTCACATATATTGAGAATATCCCTAAATTATAACACAATTAGCATCATATTTCTGTGGGAAATGATTTCAGAGATTCTTCGTGGGATACCAGCCCCTCCTATCCTATCCTTTGAGGAAAAAAAAAATCACCTGCTATCTCTTCCTCCCCTTTTCTAAGCTGTGGGATCTGAAATTTTCTCTGGGGATTCACCTGCTTTTCCAAAATTCCAACTATCTAATTTCTAAAGAGATTTTCTAACTCTGTATTTCCATCACAGACTTTTCTGATTTCTGGATCTGCATTTTTATTTATTGGACTCCTTCAATCAAGCTCATTTTTGGAGTCAAACTTTTTCATTTCAGTAAAACCAGCTCTAGCTCTTGGTCCTCTATAGTATATTACAATTTCAGTTTTTCTAATCTTTTAGGTTCAAATTCTGAAAGTAGCACTGTCCAATAGAAATGTAATATAAGCCACATGTGTAATTTAAAATTTTTTAGTAGTCACATTAGAAAAGTAATAAGAAACACAGGTGAGGATAATTTCAGGAATACATTTTATTTAACCCAGTATATCAAAAACATAATTTCAACATGTAATCAATATAAAATTTATTCAGATACTTCACATTTTTTCATACTAAGTCTTTGAAATATGTGTGTTTTACACTTAAAGCACATCTGAATGTGAACTAGCTATATTTTAAGTTCTCAGCAGCCACATGTTGCTAGTAGCTACTCTGTGGGACAGGACACAGCCTTAGAGAGTCTGCCGCTACATTTTTCTCTTAGCCAGTGACATATTCTGGTTCTGCACTACCTGTCAAAGTTTGTTAAATACATGCAAGGAAATTTACAGAATTTTTCTCGTTCCTTTTTTCCTATACTTCTTCCACTCCTGTTTTTAGAATAATGCATATATCAGCCACTTTGTTAGAATAAGTCATGGTCTTTGCTCTCAAGAAGCTCATACTCTAGTCTAGTCTAGACGATGTCTAATCAGTGAGATGGGCATGGAAAAAGATACTGTGTTACAGTATGGATCGGTAATTGCCATAACAGAGATATAAAGAAGTTCCATGATAAGACGATGATGTAGTTAGGGTCATCCACATTTACCAGATCTGATTGCTAGGCAGTTGCTTTCCTGAAGAAGTAATCCATGTTTACCATGTATTATGGGGCTGGATGAGGACATTCCAAGAAGAGATAGTATTCAAAGTTGAGAATTAGAAAAGGGCATGGCATGTTTGAAGATTAAATGAGAGTCAGTGTATCTGGAGTTTTGTTTGTTCTAAATTCAGCTACTTACAATTTTCTGCACAAATTCCCTACTTTTTTCGCCTTTATGCGTTTGCTTTTGCAGATCACTTTACACAGAATTTCTTTCTCTGTCCCTAGTCGTTTCTTACCAGTATATATAATCTTAATCATCTTTCATGGCCCATATTGATCTGATCTTTTTAGTGAAGCTTCTTTTACTCTTCTGTTGTAGTTTTATGCCCCAAATGAATGTGATATTTCTCTTCTTGGAATTTTGAACATTTTAACTTTTGTATGACAATATTTTGTGTATTAAAGTTAATTTTATAATGCAGTAATAGTCTGGCTCACCAAATCAAATTCTTAATTTGAGCAAGAATTGCATATTAATTATTTTTGTATACCCTGAAGAGCTGAGAGTGGGTTCCTTGTATACAGAAGATATTCAGTAAATACTTGATTCGTGGATAATAAATATTTTTATGAGATATTTAAAACAAAAGCACAAAATTGAAGTGATCTAGAGATTTCAAGTACCTAATGTTTCTTGTAGATTACTTTCATGGAAAGTCTTCATTAACATGATTGACTGCTGTATGTAGTTGGATGAAATTTCTTGATTTCATTTGTAAAAATAGATGTCATAAAAGCAACATTCTGCTGTAATAATGAAGGTGCTAATGGTAAAGATGAAACCTGTTTTATTATGAGAAAACAGTTAAAAGTATCTTGGCATAAAAATACAATGGAAATCACTCTTTACTTTGACATTTAAGGACCTGTTTTGTTTCTTTACATAGCCATCTACTGCTTCTGGCAATATGGTAGACTAGGTATATTAAAATACCCTGCTGCTATAAAATACCGGTGGCTGGATAAATTACAATAAATGTACTTTTAAATGCACTTTACATTTCTCATTAGAGAATGGAGATCTTCAGTGACCAAATAATCGAGTAGTAATCTGAAATAAGAATAATAAATAAAGCCAGAAGCTCTGGCTGACCTGGAAGCAAATGCTGATTCCAGAAAACAGGGGCTCTGGACGTTAACATTTGTGAGTAAAACAATCATGGGGTAATGGAAACCTAGGCCCTATGCTCACACAAAGTGAGAAAGCCAACCCTTAGGCCCCAACAAAGCCAAATGCCCAAAGAGGCCATAACTTCTGGGAGAAAGGGTGTTCTATGGATCGTAAGCCTGCTAGTTAAAGAATCTAACTAGGAAATCTGTCTGTCTATGCTGGTTACAGGTTGAGAAATAAAGTATATTAGTTTCTCCTGAATCTTTACAATAGTAGCTCTGAATTTATGGGCATAGAGTTCAAATTTAAATTACTCATCCAATTGGGAAGATACTCAACCAATAATTAAATTTAAGACCTTAATTTGGTAGGGCTAGAACTTGTCATCCATAGAAGAATAAAAATTCTTTCTGGAGAAAATCATCCTTAATCCAGGAATCTTAGAACTCATAAATATCAAGTACAATAAATGTAAGCTCACAGTTAAAAAAAAATTACCAGACACAAAGGGAGACAGGTCACCAGACAAGCCAACAGAAACAAAAATATTCAATCTCTACGAACTGTAGATACTGATGTTTCCAAAACAGAGTATGAAATGACTATACATAAAACATTTAAAGAAATAAAAGATAGCCTGGAGCAGTGGCTCATGCCTGTAGTCCCAGCACTTTGGGTGGCTGAGGCAAGTGGATCACCTGAGGTCAGGAGTTTGAGACCAGCCTGACCAACATGGAGAAATCCTGTCTCTACTAAAAATACAAGAAAATTAGCCGGGCATGGTGGCACATGCCTGTAATCCCAGCTACTCGGGAGTCTGAGGCAGGAGAATCACTTGAACCTGGGAGGCAGAGGTTGCAGTAGACCAAGATCACACCATTGCACTCCAGCTTGGGCAACGAGAGCAAAACTCCGTCTCAAAAAAAAATAAAAATAAAAGATAGATTGAAAATGAATAAGGATCCAGAAAATGTCAGAAATGACCGAATTTAGAAAAATCATTGAAATTTAAAAATTAATAGATAAATGGTATATGGGAGCAGAAGAGAGAGAATTAGTAAATGAGATATCTAAAGAAATAACCCAAAGGTACTACAGAAAGAGTTGGAAATGGAAAATATGAAAGAAAAGTTGAGACATGAATAGAAAGCTAGAAAGAAAAAGTTATGCATGCATCTAATTGGAGTTCTAGATAGAATGGGAAGAGAGTGGTCAACATGATGATATCTGAGAATTTTTCAGAATTGACATAAACCCACAGAAACAGGAAGGACAATGTATATCAAATAGGAGTTTAAATTTTTTTAAAAAAGAAATCTTACTAAATACATGATAGTAAAACTACGCAGTACCAAATACAAACGTGTAAAGCAGCTGGGAAAAAAAGACACATTACCTATAAAAGAACAATACAGACTGATACCATACTTTCTTTTTACTCCCCCCACCGCCCCCAGCATTATTGAGGTATAATTTATATACAGTAAAATTTACCTGTTTGAAGTGTAGAGATTGATGAATTTGGACAACTATATATAGTCGTGTAACCGTCATCACGTTTAAGGCAGAGGGGAGTTTCTATCACTCCAGAAACTCCCCGCATGCTTTTTTGTAGTCAGTTCCTTCCTCAGCCCTAGGTAAACACTGATTTGCTTTCTGATACCATAGTTTTGCCTCTTCTAGAATATCGTGTAAAAATATCATGTAAATATCATGTACATATGCATGTAGAATTCATACAATAGGTAGCCTTTTGTGTTAATAGCAGACCTCCTAAGAACAACTGAAGCCAGAAAACAGTAGAACAATATCATCAAAATACAAGTAACTGTCACCTTAGAATTTGCATCCAACAGAACCAAGAATGATAGTAGGTTCCAGTTGTGGTTAAGATGAAGTAAATATACTGTCCTTTCTCTCCTACTGAATGTGTCTAAAAACCTTGGGCAGAGTGCCTGGAGAAGCTGTCTGAGGACTCTGAAAGGTAAATGATAGCAAATAGACTGGAGAAGGAAAATAGAACTTTTAAGTACAAAAGCTCTGGCAATGAGTTTCCTGGATCCTTTCCCCACTTTTTGTATCTCCCAGTCTGAATTCAAAGACAGCATGAATCCTAGGACTGTGCACAGGTGCAAACAACAAGAATTCCAAGGGAAATTTCTGATCCAAGGAGCAGGAAGAGAGGCTCTATGAGACAGAGAAAGTGGAAGAAATGCTCTGTCTTGTTTTTCTTCCCTCCCAGCTCTGCCATATGATCCTCTCTTCTGAACCTGCAGTTTTGTGGTGGCAGCAGCAGCCAACCAGACACTTAAAAATCCAAGGGAAGTGAATCCTCTCTGATCAGAGGAACTATGGTCCAAACAGTGTAGAATGATTCCTATTGCTTTTTTCTTTTTTTAATTCTCTTGCTGTTTGGCCCCAGAGACAGATCTAGTTGCAGGAAGTACAAGACTTTCTAGTCAGAGGACCGGGTGGCAGTGGGGGATGGAGGTGGGGTAGTAGAGTGTCAGAGAGTGGGGCCCTTCACAGATAAGAGGGAGCTCATAAAGGGACCGCATGATGTTATGTATGAACTTCTGGGCCCACCCTTGAGCCATACAACATAGATCTGACCCTAAACAGCATACCAAGTAGCTGTGGGATAGATAGCCCACCCAGATATCAGGCTGGCTCCTGGCTGATGCACATCTAGGACAGATTCAAATACATCCTGTTCTTCATAGAATTGGAGCAAGACCCAGAGTCTCATAGCATCTTATATCCCAAATGTTCATGATATGATACAAAATTACTTGACACAAAAAGAACCAGGAAAGTCTGATTAAGTCTCAAGGGAAGAGACAAGATACCAACCCTGAGATTACCCAGATGTTTTATATTAGGCAGTGATTTTAAAACAGCTGTTATAACCATGCTTTAAGAAATAATAATCTCAGTTAAGAAAAAGAAGCTATAAAAAAGAACCAAATGGAAATTTTATAACTGGAAAATACAATAATTAGAAATTTGAAGAAAATCACTGGATATGTTCAAAAGCAGAGTGCTTGTGACAAAGAAAAGAGTCAGTGGATTTGGAGACAGAAATTACATGAATGGAAATTATCTAATCAGACTAAAAGAAGAAGACTGTAAGAAAATGGACAGAGCCTTGGGATCCCCTGAGATAATACCAAGAAATATCTAACATTTGTGCCAGTGGAGTTTCATACAGAGATGAGTGTGGTACAAAAAAAAAAATTTGGAAAAAAAAAAAGGTGGCTGAAAGCTTCCCAAGTTTAGTGAAAGACAAACTTAGAGGTTTAAGAAGCTCAGTGAGCCCCAAATACAATAAAGAAATCTATGCCCAGATTATCATAAACTACTAAAAACCAGACACATAGAAAAAATGTTGGCTGGGTGCTGGCTCACGCCTGTAATCCCAGCACTTTGGGAGACTAAAGTGGGTGGATCACTTGAAGTCAGGAGTTTGAGACCAGCCTGGCCAACGTGGTGAAACCCTGTCACTATTAAAATACAAAAAAATTTAAAAAAAAATTAGCTGGGCCTGGTGGCAGTCACCTGTAATCCCACCTACTTGGGAGGCCGAGGCATGAGAATTGGCTAAACCCTGGAGGCGAAGGTTGCAGTGAGCTGAGATCATACCACTGTACTCCAACCAGGGTGACAGAGAGAGACTCTCTGTCTCAAAAAAATAAAAGGCTATTTAAAGAAATAAAATTGTTTGAGATCAGCTAGAAAAAAAAATGATGCATTACAGGGGAACAATGATTGCAACAACTTCAGAAAAAAACATGTAGGCCAAAAGGCCAGTGGAATAACATTTTTGAAGCACTGAAACCAGAATTTTATATGTGACAAAAATATGCTTCAGGAATGAAGATGAAATAGAGATATTCACAGGTAAAGGAAAACTCAGAAAAATTATCTCCAGTTGATCTGCTTTACCAAAAAAAGGATAAAGGAACTTCTTCAGGTAAAAGGAAACTGATACCAGAGAGAACTATAGAACTGCAGGAAAGAAGAGAAACAGAAATTGTAAGCATTTGGATAAATACAGTATTTTTTCTACTTTTAAGTTCTTAAAAATATGTGTGATGGTTGTGATTAAAAATTACCAATGCCCCTTGACTTACAGTGGGATTACATCCCAGTAACTCCTGCATAAGTTGAAAATATTGTAAGTTGAATGTGCATTTTCAACTTAGGATGGGTTTATCTAGATGTAGCCCCATGGAAAATCAAGGAGTGTACTGAATGCATATGGCTTTTGTACCAATGTAAAGTCAAAAAAAATCGTAAGGCAAACTAAGTCGAAGGCCATCTGTAAAACATTGGTGGAATTTTCTATATATGTAAATGTAATACAGATGACAACTATAATATTAAAGGCAGTAATAGTAAATTTTCTACATTTCACTTGATGTGGTAAAATATTAATTTTCAATGGACATGAAAACTTTAGTATGTATATTGTAATCCCTAGGTCAGTCACACACGTGTGCACGCACGCACACACACACCCTATACAAAGATGCAATAGATAAAATGGAATATCAAAGAAATATTCAAATACTGTAATGCAGAAGAAGGTGGGAAAGGAGAAAGAGAGGAACTAAAAACATAGTGGACAAGCAGAAAATAAACTAGTAGACTTAAATCCAAACCTATCAATACTAACATTAAATGTAAATGACCTAAATACACCAACTAAAAGGCACGATATTATCAGATTGGATTTAAAAAAGAGACCAAAATGTGTTTACAAGCAATCCACTTTAAATATAATGATGTAGGTAGATTAAAAGTATAGAAAAAGATATACCATGTAAATACTAGTCAAAACAAAGAGCAAGGAAAATTACCAAAGGTATAGAAGGACATTACATAATGATAAGAGTCAATTCACCAAGAAGACACTAACAGTCCTAAATTTGTAGGTACCTAATAATAGAGCTTCAAAATACATGAAATAAAAACTAGCAGAATGAAAAGGAGAAATGAACAAATCCACAATTATTATTGGAGACTTCAACACTTCTCTCTCAGTAATGGATATGACAAGTAGACAGAAAAATCAACAACAATATAAAAGAATTGAGCAACATCGTCAATCAAATGAACCTAATTGACATGTATAGAACACTCTATGCAGCAACAGCAGAAAACACATGCTACTTCAGTGCACATTTACCAAGATGGATGGTATCCTGGATCAAAACCACCCTTAACAATTTGAAAAGAACTAGAATTAAACAAAATGTATTCTTTAATCATAAAGATTTAAACTAGAAACCAGTAACATATATATGGAGATTTACTCCTCAAATATTTGGAAATTGAATAACACATTCCTAAGTAATCTATGGGTCAAAGAGGAAATGTCAAGGGATATTAGAAAATATTTTGAACTGAACAAAAATATAAATACAACATATTTGTAGGATGCTCCTAAAGCAGTGCTTGGAAGGAAATTTATAAAATTAAATGCTTGTATTAGAAAAGGAGTCTCATATCAGTAATTTAAGTTCTATTGTGAGAAACTAGAAAAAGAAAAGTAAAATAAAACCAAAGCAAATAGAATAAAGGAAATAATAAAGAACAAATTAATGAAATTGGAAACAGAAAAACATTAAAGAAAATCAATAAAACCCAAGGCTGCTACTTTTGAAAAGCCAGCCTAACCAAAAAATAAGACACAAATTACCAGTGTCAGGAATGGAGCACTGTAAGGAACTCAATTGACATAAATTTTGCAGTGTAAATGAAATGGACCATTTTTTTTTTGAGAGCCACAAACTACTAAAAATTATTTAAAAAGAAATTAAAGAATGAATTTGTAGTTAAAAACTTTCTGAAAAAGAAAAACAGAAGCCTAGATGTTTTTTTGTGATGAATTCTACCACATTTCTTCTTATTTAAAGAAATAGCAGTTCTACACAATTTCTTCTAGAAAACTGGAAGAGTATGCAGTATTTCCCAACTCATTTTTTGAGACCAGTGTTACACTGATACTAAAACCAGATAAACTATAAGACTAGTACAGATTAGTATTCTTTATACTGTACACATAAAAATTCTGATCAACATATTAAGAAATTGAATCAGCAATACATAAAAAGAACAATACAGCCATGTGGGATTTATCTTAGAATGCAAATCTTGTTCAACTGAAATCAGTCTTTGTAATATTAATAGTCTAAAGAAGACTTGATGCTAATATCCATATGTATATATATGTATACAGAATATAATGTATGTATGACATATAGATGACATATATCTGTATGTCAGAATTCAACATCCATTCATGATAAAAGCTCTCAGCAAACTAGGAATAGAAGGGAACTTCCTAAAACTGATAAAGGCATGTACTAAAACAAAAACAACCTATAGCTAACGTTATACTTTGTAGTGAAAGACTAAATGCTTTCCCCCTGAGATCAGACAACACAGGATATCTACTCTCACTGCTTAGTCTCTCACTAGAAATCTTAGCCAGTACAATAAAGTAAGAAAAATAAAAAGAAATAAAACTATTCATATTCACAAATGACATGATTGTCCATGTAGAAAAGTTCAAGGAGTCTACAAGTAAATGCTTATAAACAGTAAATGAGTTTCCTAAGGTCATAGAACACAAGGTCAACATACAGAAATTCATCATATTTCTCTATACTAGCAATCAACATTGGTGTTTTAAGATATAGAGTTTATTATTAAGCAGGTATAGTGAGGCCAACAGATCAGGACACCACTACCATTGAGAAGATAGTTTATTACTTACAGTTCCCAAGAGGAGGGGCCGTGTCACACCACACAAGGCCATATGGGGATGCATCAGGGTCGATCAGGAGGCAGAAGGAACAGAAGGAAAACGTGGGCAAGAGCCTTTGTTGTGGTTTCCACATGAAAGAATGGATGAGGCAGGGTAAGCAGGCTTAGGCTTGGCTAGTTTGAATAATTTCAGCAGTTTTGGGGTGTAGGGGCTATCTCTAAGTGTCTGGTACTTGGCCCTGGGGTGATTAGAGCAGAGAAATAGTGGCTTGGAGCATAAGAGCTCTATAATGCAGGTAGTTGGGGATGTGAGCTTTAGATTGGTTGGTTTGCATATGAAAGGCACGCTTAAAGGTTAGTCTTTTACTCTCTCTAGGAATTGATTAGCCCTGGGAGGGGTAGTCTCTCCAGGATCAGCAAGGGCCCAGATTTCAAAACATCAGAAATAAATTAAAAGGCATAATTAATGCAATTGGTAACTGACATTTAAAACATTATTATTTACATTTGTTTCAAAAACTAAATTACTTGCTATAAATCTAAATGTGCAGAACATGTGAAAACTACAAAAGTTGATGAAAGAAGTTAAAGAAGACCTAAATAAATGAAGTGTACTGTGTTCATGGATTGATGGATTTGAAGACTCTGTGTAGTAAAGATGTCAATTTCCCCCAATTTAGCACTATTACTTTTTATTGCATCTATAGAGAAATTGACATTAATTTTATATGGAAAAACAAAATAACTAAAATAACCAAAGCAATTTTGAATGTGATTAATAAAGTTGGAGAAGTCACATTACTCAATTTTCATACTTACTTCAAAGCTATACTAATAAAATGTGGTATTAGTGAAAGACATAGAGATCAGTGAAACAGAAGAGAGTTTAAAATAAGACTCGTGAATGTTTTTGTTTTTTGACAAATGTGCAAAGGCAATTCAGGGAGAAGGGATGGTCTTTTCGACAAATGATAAACAATTCTACATATATTAAGAAAAAAAGGTTGTTGATCTATAGCTCACATCTTATATAAAAAATAACTCAAAATGAGCTAAATGTAAAACTTACAGAAGAAAATATATGAGAAAATCCTTCTGGCCTTGGGTTTGGAAAAAATTCTGTGATATGGCACCCAAAGCATAATTCATAAAAAATAATTGATAAATTGTACTTTATGAAAATTAACGGCCAGGCACGGTGGCTCACGCCTGTAATCCCAGCACTTTGGGAGGCTGAGGCGGGCAGATCACAAGGTCAGGAGATCAAGACCATCCTGGCTAACATGGTGAAACCCCATCTCTACTAAAAATACAAAAAATTAGCTGGGTGTGGTGGCAGGTGCCTGTAGTCTCAGCTACTTGGGAGGCTGAGGCAGGAGAATGGCGTGAATCCGGGAGGCAGAGCTTACAGTGAGCCGAGATCGTGCCACTGCACTCCAGCCTGGGCGACAGAGCCAGACTCCATCTCAAAAAAAAAAAAAAAAGAAAATTAACAAACTTCTCCTCTGCTAAAACACTGTTAAGAGGCTGAAAAGACAAGCTGCAGCCTAAGAGAAATGTTGCAAACTACATGTTCAACCAAAGCCATGTAGCCAGAATGTATAAACATTTCTCAAAAGTCAACAATAAAACAACCAACTCAATTAGAAAATGAGCAAAAGATTTCAACAGACATGTCACCAAAGAAAATACATGGTTGGCAAATAAGCACATGAAAAGATGCTTGACATCATTACCATTAACAAAATTCAAACTAAAACCACAGTGAAATACCAGTACACATCATTTATAGAATGGCTACAGCAACTTTTAAAATACAACAGTTTAAGTGCTGATGAGAATATGGAGCAACTGGAATGCTCATATTCCTAGTGGAGATGCAAAATAGCACAACCACTTTGGAAAACAATTTGGAAGCTTTTCATAAAGTTAAACATACACTTATCTAAGTTTCCAGCAATCCTACCTCTCGGTAAACCTTCATGCTAGCCTGGATAAATGAAAACTTGTGTACACACAAAAACCTGTACCTGAATTCATGATCCACTAAAACTGAAAACGACTTAAAAATCCTTCAATGGGTGAATGGATAAACAAACCGTGTAACCTCCATACAGGGAATATTACTCAGCAATATAAAGGGATATGCTGCTGATACCCACAATAACAGGTAACCCAAAGGCATTGTATGAGTGAAAGAAGTCAGTGTGAAAGGTTATATTCTATGATTATGTTCATATAACATCCTGGAAAGGCAAAACCGTGGGAATGAACAACAGATAGTAGGATCAGGAGTTGGAGAAGGCAAGAGGGTTTGACCACAAAGGGGTAGCATGAGAGAACTTCTGGGGGTGAGAGAATTATTTCGTATCCTCACTGATGATGGTGGTTGAATGAATGTATACTTGCTAAAACTTGTAGAACTTTACACACACATAAAATTTAATTTTACAGCATGATAATTTCAAAATAAAAAAAGGAATGATGATTAAACATAGACATTTTCAGTAAACAAAGACTGATAAAATTTAACACCAAGAGATGTACATTAAAAGAACATCTAAAGGTTATCCTTTGATCCTAAAGGATCCTAAAGGGAAGTCTGAGATATGAAAAGAAATGGCAAAGGCTGAGTGTGGTGGCTCATACCCATAATCTCAGCACTTTGGTAGGCCAAGACAGGACGATCACTTGATCCCGGAAGTTTGAGACCACCCTGGGCAACATAGCTAAGCATTGGTGGCTTGTGCCTGTGGTCCCAGCTACTCAGGAGGCTGAGGTAGGAGGATCACTTGAACCAGGGAGGTTGAGACTGCAGTAAGTCATGATTGCACCACTGCACATCAGTGTGGGCAACAGAGCAAGATCCTGTCTCAATTTTAAAGAGAGAAATGATAAACAAGAAATGTAAACACAGAATTTGAATTTAAATGGTCTATAAGATTGGGTAATTTAAATTATTTGGATAAATCTGAAAATATCTAAATAAAAATAAAATATAAATTGTGGAATTAAAGAACTAAAATACTGAACAGAAGTAATGTGTGAGCAAGGAATGTCTAAAGGTCTTCTGTTCTATGAAAGATAGATCAAGATTTGATTAACTTTTCAGTTTAACTTCAAGTATGCATGGTGAAATTTTGAAAACAATAAAAATAAAGTATATTATTTCCAAACCAGTAAAGGAAAAAAGAAAACAGAAACAACTCCTGAATCAATTTAAAAAACAAGAAAGGAGGGGAAATAAAAATCACATAGAGGAAAAGCACAAAGTAAAATAGTAGGAAAAAATGGATTAAATGTACCCAATTAAAGACAGATTTTTATCATGTTGGATTTTTGAAAACTCCTGCTGAATCTTATTTATAAGACACACACCCCTAAAACATAAAGACTCAGAAAATATAAGTATCTTTTTCTTACATACCATGCAAATTCCAATCAAAAGAAATATGGATTTACTAATATCTAATAAATGGGTTAATTAATTAAATGTAACAGTTCTTAAGATTAAAAAGCACTGTTAGGGATAAAGAGGATCATTACTAATTAAAAGGCTTAAAAAGATATGACAATGTAAACGTGTATGTATTGTACCTAATAACCTCAGAAATGTATAAAGCAAAAAATTGTAGAACCACAAGAAGAAATTTATAAATGTCTACTGTCACAGTGGGACCTTTCAGTATACTTCTCTCAGTTGATGATCAAACAACAAAAATATTGGTAAATATATAGACTTGAATAAATTTGATCAGGTGGACACATGTAGAACCTCATATCCAGCAATTGAAGAAATGTATTTCTCAAGACACATCAAAAAATTATTAATAATTGACCACACAATAGGCCATGAAGCAAGTCTCCAGCATCAATGAATCTGTATCTTATAGACTGCATTCTTTGACTACATTGTTGACTACAATGCAATGTAATTAGTAGTAAAAATACAATTAAAACCTATACATTTAAAATTTAGAATCACATTTCTAAAGAATTTATTTTTTTTAGTCAAATAAGTCATATAAGAAAAAATGTTAGAACTCAACAGTAATGAAAATCCTGTATATTAAACTGGGATGCAGCTGCAGCAGGACTTTTAAGAAACTGAGAATGCAAGTTTTGAGTGGAATTTGAAAATATAAGGGGCAAGGTGAGTATTAGAAAACTTAAATTTTTTCCAATATAAAGTACACAGTGAAAACTAAAATGAACTCAACAAGAAGTGAATAACCCAGTTTAAAAATGGACAAAGGATTTGAACAGACATTTCCCCAAAGAAGATACACAGATGACTAATAAGCACATGAAAATATGCTCTACATCACTAACCATTAGGGAAGGGCAAATCAAAACCACAAAGAGATTACACTGAACACTCATGAGAATGGCTACTATTAAAACAACAAATAGAAAACAAGTGGTGTTGAGGATGTGGAGAAATTAGAACCCTTTTGCACTGTTGGTAGGAATGTAAAATAGTGCAACCACTGTGGAAAATGATATTGGTGGTTCTGCAAAAAATTAAACATGTAATTACCATATGATCCAGCAATTTTACTTCTGGGTATATGCCCAAAGAATTGAAAGCACATATGTTCATAGCAGCAGTACTCATAGTAACCAAAAGGTGGAAACAACCCAAATGTCCATCAGTGGATAAATGGACAAACAAAATGTGGTATATGCACGTAATGGAATGTTATTGAGACAGTATTCTCAAGGTTAAAGAACAAAATGCAGCTCTTTGCTCTTTTTAAGAAATACCTGAAACAAAATTATATTAAAGGCTAACAATAAAAGAAGAAACAACGATATATTTATTTTGGGTACAATATACACTACTCAGGTGACAGGTGCTCTAAAATCTCAGACTTCACCACTATACAATTCATCCATGTAACCAAAAACCATTTGTACCCCAAAAGTTAATGAAATAAAAAATATTTAAAATAAATGAATAAAAGGCTGAGTGCAGTGGCTCACACCCGTAATCCCAGCACCATGGGAAGCAGAGACAGGTGGATCACTTGAGGCCAGGAGTTCAAGACCAGCCTGGCCAACATGGCGAAACCCCGTCTCTACTAAAAATACAAAAAATTAGGCGTGGTGGTGCACGCCTGTAATCCCTGCTACTTGGAAGGTTGAGACAGGAGAATCGCTTGAACCTAGGCAGTGAAGGTTGCAGTGAGCTGAGATCTCACCACTGCACTCCAGCCTGGGCAACAGAGCAAGACTCTGTTATCAAAATAATAATAATAGAAATGTAAACAAGATTTGATGGCAACATCATATTACAGAAACTAAAACTTAGGGCAGAATTTGTGATGAACAGGGATGTCTTATAGTGGAACAAAACTGCACAACTTGTGAAGAGGAAACAAAATTATGCACTTTTATGCATACAGCATTATTATATATCAGTGAATACATAAAGGCAAAATCTTTAGAAATTTACGAGTTTGATTTAAAACTACAGTTATATTGGACATTTATAATAGTTCTCTCAGCATTTGACAGATCAAAATGACAACACATATAAAAGTAATTAACAGTGATGCTTAGTTTAATAGAATACTACAAATAGAGAATATACTTTCTTATCACATTTCCATGGGGAGAACTGGCCACAGATAAAACGTTTAAAGATTCAGAAATAGAAAATCCTGTCATATTCCCTAATCACAAGGGCATATATAGTTTTTGTGATTCCCTACTCATAGGGTTTTTTTGTTATTGTTGTTTTTTGAGACAGAGTCTTGCTCTGTCACCTAGGCTGGGCTGCTCTGCAGTGGAGTGATCATACCTCACTGCAGCCTCAACCTCCTGGGCTCAAGTGATGCTTCTGCTTCAGCCTCCTAAGAAGCTGGGACTGTAGGTTTGGGCCACCACACCTGGCTAATTTTCTTTATTTTTTAAATTTTTTCTAGAGATGAGATCTTGCTTTTTTGCTTAAGCTGGTCTCGAACTCCTGGCCTCAAGCAATCCCCCTGCCTTGGTCTCATAAAATGCTGACATTATAGGCATGAGCCACTGTGCCCAGCCTAAATACAGTTTTAAGCTGTGGTTTTGGGTTGATTTGTGGGCTCCCAAAATTCATATGTTGAAATCCTTAACCCAAGTATCTCAGAATATGACCATCTTGGAGATACGGTCCTCACAAAGGTAATGAAGTTAAAGTGAGGTCATTAAGGTGGGCCTTAATTTAATATGATTGTTCTCCTTACAAAAAGGGGAAATTTAGACACACACATAAAAGGAAGATGATGGGAAGACACAGGGAGAAAACAGTCATCCACAAACCAAAGAGAAAATCCTGAAACAGATCCTTCCCTCACAGCCATCCAAAGGAACCAATCCTGCCAACACCTTAATCTGAGACTTCTAGCCTCCAGGACTGTCAGACAGTAAATTTCTGTTGTTTAAGCCACCCAGTTTGTGGTACTTTGTTATGATGGCCCTGGCAAACTAATACAGCTACCATTTCAAACTTGAAAATATTCTGCTGGATAGTTTTAAGATCAGAGAAGTTTTAAGCTAAAATAAATGAAAATGAGAACATTTTACATAAAAAATATGAGGGCTCCTCCTTTCCTGAATGCGATTTGGCCCCCTTATAAAGCTAAAACTGTGGAAGAGATTTTATAGACTAAATGCTTGTGTTTTGTTTTGTTTTTGTTTTTTGTTTTTGAGACTGGGTCTTGCTCTGTGGTCCAGGCTGGAGTGCTGGAGTGAATATGGCTCACTACAGCCTCAACCTCCTGGACTCAAGCAATCCTCTTGCCTCAGCCTCCTATGTAGCTGGGACCGCAGGTGGATTGCTTGAGCTTAGGAGTTTGAGACCAACTGGCAAATGGCAAGACGCCATCTCTACAAAAAAATACAAAAAAGTAGCTGGGTGTGGTCATGCCTGTCTGTGGTCCCAGCTATTTGGGAGGCTGAGGTGGGAGGATTGCTCGAGCCTGGGAGTTGGAGGTTGCAGTGAGTCGAGATTGTACCACCACACTCCAGCCAGGGTGACCGAGCGAGACCCTGTCCCCCCAAAAAATGGAAAATAAGCAGATCCTCTAAAACTCAATAAACTAGAATAAAACAAATATAAATCTATTTAAATAAGAAGAGAAATGTGACAAATGTGGTAATTGGAATTAATTAGGAAATTAGTTAACAACAAGAAAAATAGAGTCATTGAATAAAACCAAGAACTGGTCTTTCAGAAGACAAATCTTTAAGAAGTTTCACCAAGAAAAATAGAAACCATAAGCATCAAGAATAAGATAAGAGATTGCACACAGATATGGATGAAATAAGGAATTATAAGTTTGTGGGCAGAAAAATGGAAAGTCCAGAAGAAATAGGTGATTTTCTAGAAAAAAATGTTACCAAAATTGATTCAAGAAGAGGTAAACACATGAGTAAACTTCCAACGACCAGAGATATTCAGACAGCCATTACTAAGAAGGAACAAAGTAAAGATGGTTTTAAAAGACAAATCTTATGTAGTCTTCAAGTAATACTTAGTTCTTGTATATTGTGCTACGGTTTGAATGTGTCCTCTCCAAAATTCAGGTGTTAATACTTACTGGCCAATGTAAAGATATTAAGAGGTGGGGTCTTTAAGAGGTGATTAGGTCATGAGGGTTCCTCCTTTCCTGAATGGGATTAGGCCCCCTTATAAGAAGCTTAATGGAGGGATTTTGTTCTGCTTGCCCTTCTGTCTTCTGCCATGTGAAGACACAATGTTCCTCCCCTCTGGAGGGGATACAGCAACAAGCTGCCATCTTGGAAACAGAGAGCAGCCCTCACCAGACAACTGAACCTGTTGGTGCCTTGATCTTGGACTTCCCAGCCTCCAAAACTGTGAAAAAATACATTTCTGCTCTTTATAAATTTCCCAGTCTGTGATATTCTGTGATAGGAGCACAAAACAGACTAAGACAATATGTAACTATATAATATAGTTTAATATTATTCTTGGTTCTGAGGTCTAGAATAGTACTTAACAAATTTAACAAGAAATGTGTAAGACCTATATGAGGAAGATGACAAAACTATAAAGGCAAAATAAGATCTGAATAAATGGAGACACCACTTATCTGCTTGGAAAAGCATGTAAACATGTCCATTCTCTTGAGATAATATATAAATTGTAATGCAAAACCGTGTTATTTCTTAAAAAAAAAACCTTAAGCTCATCTGGGAGAATAAGTAAATAAAAAATGCCAATTTTTTTTTTTTTCCTTTTTAGACAGGGTCTCACTCTGTTGTTCAGGCTGGAGTGCAGTGGTGTGAACATGCCTCGCTATAGCCTCAACCTCCTAGGCTCAAGTGATCCTCCTGCCTCAGCCTCCTGAGTAGCTAGGACCACAGGCATGTGTTACCATGTTCAGCTAATTTTAAAAATTTTTGTCAAGACAGGGTCTCACCATGTTGCACAGGCAGGTTTCCTGGGCTCAGGCTCTATCCTCTTCTATCCTCCTTTATCCTCTATCCTCCTGCCTTGGCCTCCCAAATATTATAGGCACCTGCCCAAAAAAATTTTTTAATAAGACAATTAGGACTCCATAAATATCAGAACACAGTATAAAGTTACAGTGATTAAAACAGCATCATATTTGTTCAAGAACAGACAGACTGGGAGACAGAGTTAAGTCCCCAAACAGACCTTTGTATGTATAGGTACTTAGAATCTGAGTAAGGCAATCAGATCAGTGGGGAAATGAATTCTTTAATAAATTGTGTTAGGACAATTCATTGTGGGGAGCAGATCCCTACTTCACCCCATACACTGAAAATAAATAGCAGATGGATTAAATAACTGATTGTTTTAAAAAATGTGTAAGAAGGCCAAAGAAATGTCTAAGAGAATTCTTTCAAAATCTTAGAATGAGGAAAACCTTCTGAAGCAAGACAAATAATAAAAAACCATTAAAAAATTAACAGATCCAAGAATTGAAAACACACACACATCTTTGTGACAAAAAGAAAAGTTAAAAGGCAACAACAGACTGAGGGAAATTATTTGCAAAATATATAACAGAGTAGACATAAAATCTATAATTAACAAGAAAAAGACCAAGAATCAGGAGAAAAGTAAAGAAACATGATAGGCAGTTTACTGAAGAGGAAACCCAGTGAACTATGTAAAAAGATACTCGACTTTTCTAGAGGACACAGAATGACTATCGTGTATCAAGCATTGCTTATGTAGTCTTTCACAGTCCTGTCGAAGCAGATATTATTAACAAGTGAGAAAACTGAGTCTTAGAATTAGTAACTTATGGTGGACGTTTTTTCAAATACTGTAATTTATCAAAGTGGAATGTTTTTTGCATTAAGTTAAAATCCTTTCTGTATTCTCTAATTCACGACTATCTTTAAATTTTGTTTTCAGAATACACTTGAAGGTGTTTATTTAGTATGCCCCTTGAAGAGAAAGGGCAAGGAAAGAAATGCAGTTGGCTACCCTTGATCATGTGACCCTAACAGGTTAAGCTTTCAGGACACACACTTGCATGCATATATATTTGACTTGAGAAGATAGACATGATTTTTACGAGGATTTGTTTCTGTTCTACTTTGGCAAATACTGCATGAATCATGTCTCTAGATTTTGACTGGCTGGGTACTTTTTTTATATGCCTGAACTTCTTGACATAGTATTGAATTGTCTTTCAAGTGATCCAAATAAATAATACATATCTATACATTTATATCACTGTAAATTTGGAAATGCTGCCATAAGTGGGTAATGGTAACATCATAACTGAATGGACATGCAGGAGACCAATTTGGGGTCTATTTGAGGAGAGGGTAGGGGGACAAAAGGTGTTTGGACATGTTGAATTCATTGTGCTTCTGAGGGCCAGTAGTAAGAATTAGCTGATAGATAGTTGAAATTTTGACTCTAGACTTGGAACTGACAAGTTGAGTCTTGTCTTTGTACTCAGTGTTCTACTGAAACAAGTTGTATGTAGTCAGGAGGTGGGTTGTATTAAGGGCTGAGGAGGGAGAAGGCCATTATCCATAATAGGTTTATGTATTTGGCTTAGTCTTTATTTAAAAAAAAAAAAAAAAAAAAAGTAGAGCAAGAAATGTTCCTTTTGCTGTGATTGGTTCTCATGAAACCGGAAGAACAGTTCTCCCCACTTAAATTACCACCATTAAGCAGTGGTTGCCTTTATCACATATACAGAATTCTGTAAAAATTTTATTCCAAGGTTTTAGTCCTTGAAGTAGACCAAAAATAAAATAATTTTTAAACTACTTCCCAGAGGAGTGTTTTTCTGCTCAATAAGGAAACAGTCACATGGCATTCAAACTCTATACAAGCAGTACTGTGTCCTTTGTCCTCACGCAAATCTGGTTAGTTACCTTTCCTTAATGTTATGTTAATGCACCATCAGAAATGGTTGCAAAAGGCTATGCATTGGCTGAGGGGCTACCAAGAATGGCAGAGTGGACCATACTCAACTCATTGTAGGAGTTGGCACCCTCTTCAACTGTACCCCAACCCCAAAATATGAGAGTCCACATTTTCAAGGGATTTTCACATGAAAGAGATAATTCCTGGTTAGCCAAGTGTAGCTTATTAGCACAGCCTTCTCTTAATCTTTAGTTTTCTGCTGTCCCCAGTTTTCTACTGTTTGCTGCCGGGTTATCATCTTGCCTTTTGCTTATTTCTTCTTACTCTCTTCCCTCTCTCCTCTGACAGCCATTACTTCTGTATACCTACCCTCAAAGTTATAACAGAACTCATGTGAATAATCAGTTCTCTTTAAAATAGAGGGCACATGATTATTATGCCTGTTTTTCTTCTCAAGCAAACTAGACAGGGAATAGGGATGGGAGGATACCCAGAAGGGTGTGGTATTGGTGGTAATTGGATTACTGAGAATTTGGTTATTGGCCTTGTTTTACTTTGTGATTGTTAATGCTGAATGAAAGGATGCATGTGAAACTTACAGGAAAATAGCCAACTCCAATCACAGAAATGTTACAAACCACGTGTTGCCTAAAGAAAGTAAAATAGAAGGACATAATGATTACAAGCTATTTGGCTTTTTTTTCCTCTTATTTGGCTTTTAAAAATGACTTTTGGCTGGGCGCGGTGGCTCGCGCCTGTAATCTCAGCACTTTGGGAGGCTGAGGCAAGTGGATCACCTGAGGTCAGGAGTTCGAGACCAGCCTGGCCAACATGGTGAAACCCTGTCTCTACTAAAAATACAAAAATTAGCCAGCTGTGGTAGTGGGCGCCTGTAATCCCAGCTACTCAGGAGGCTGAGGCAGGAGAATCACTTGAACCCGGGAGGTGGAGGTTGCAGTGAGCTGGGATCGCACCACTGTACTCCAGCCTAGGCAAAAAGAGCGAAACTCCATAAACACAAACAAACATACAAACCCAGCTACTTGGGAGGCTGAGGCAGGAGAATCGCTTGAATGCAGGAGGCAGAGGTTGTAGTGAGCCAAGATCACACCCTTGTACTACAGCCTGGGCGACAAGAGCAAAACTCCATCTCAAATAAATAGTAAAAATAAAAATGACTTTTAAAGCTGAAAGATACGTTATTTGCAAGACGGAGTTTTAAAAATCATATTCTCCAGGGGCATTAAGTTAACTGTCTTTGTGCTCCAGCTATTTAGCTTTCAGGAGTTTAGTGTTTTATTGTAAACCGACATTGTGCACCATCTTGATCTGAGGTGAATGCCAAGGAATTGCTTTTTAAAGTGATTTTTAGAATAAAAGAAAACCATTTCATCTCTGATTTGCCCTCCCTTTAAAAACCCCACTCTGCATTTCTGTCTTACGGCTTCTGTACTGCATCAGTCCTCCTCAAGCCAGCCAGCTCCATGCGGAACATTCTGTTGCTCTTTCAGCATAAGCAGGTCTATTGTGATATTTATCTGAATTCAGGCAAGGCTAATTAAAAGAGCTGCTGACAGTTGTTGTGATCTGACTTTGACTGCAGCTTGATGGTCATTATGGGTAAATAATGAACCAGGTCTGCAAATGTAGCAGCTGCCAACTTGGGATAGAAGAACGGCTATTGCTTCCAATTTAAGGATCTATCGACCGCTTCTCTTCTCCCTGCAGATCTTCTGCAGAAAACTAATGTTTTCTGCTGCTGTGTATTGTGGTTTCAGCTGTTTCAGATATAGCCTATAATTTCCTTCTTTAATATTTAACTTAGGACATTATTAGCTTTCAGAGTTAACAACTTTTCTATTTTGAAGAATCTCAGCTTTGTCCTTGTGTAGGCTTTAGCTAATCAGCTATAGTTTATTTATATGCATTTAATTTGTGTGTTGTGCAGGAAATGGCTAGTCTGTAAGAGCAAGGTATAGCTTTATTAAGATGTTTCACAATCGTATATAGGTATCTCTTCTAAAAAAAGAGATAGATGCATGTCCCTTGCTTTTGTTTTCTTAAACACCTACCAAATCTCAGTTTTGAATTTTGTTCACTTTGTCAATGGCTTATGAAATATTTTGATGCAGAGCTCTATTTATCAATTCAGAGGAACTGCTGCAGTGACTTTCATTAAAATGCAATACTGAATATATTGTCACTCCATCATGAGCTTTTCCTTGTCCTATTAGCAAGTAGGAACAGGTGCATTAAGGTAAGAGAGAAGGCAAATTGCATTCATAGATTAGTATTCTTCCTGCAGATTTTTCATACTTGTGAAATACAGTTTCTGGATTTAAAAGTCATATTCTAGAATTTAACACAAGCCAGCACTTAACAACACATCCCTAGCGTTTATTCAACTGCCATAGAAAAGACTGTCTGCGTTATGTAAAGTCTGAGGATACAGTGGTGCTTTGTGCATAATGCAGCAGAGCTTTGAGATCTTGCTGGGAGGAAATGATCCCAAACATGCCCCTGAAAGACAAGCCTTACTCTGAAAAATAATGATGAAAAATTGCTTATTTCTTCATGTATTTGTGTCTGTGTTTATTTCAGGAAAAGCTAACTAAACTTTGTTTATCTGACTCCAGAAGAGTGCTGTGAGTGTTTTTGCTTTTCTGTTTCCAGCTTGGATAATGCCAGAAATAGTGTTAACAAGGGGTTATGTTATGCTGGCTTATGTTAAACCAGATCACCCCTAACATGTGCAAAGCCATTCATCTGTGTCACCAAAACCCAAGAGAACATCTGACATGGACTCTGAAACAGAAACAGTGATCACTTACAAATCAAACATGGCACGCTCTAAACTGATTGTGCACGGCAATCTTTTCTAGAAAGGACAACTAATTGAACATGATAAAGTGTAAAGTTAATTAACACCCTTAAATTTGTTGATTACTTTCACGGGATTATATTGTTCGTTGAGTAGCAGCTTTCTGTCCCAGCTGTCGCCTTTTTCTGCGAATGTCGCTGGTAAACAATAGAGACACCATAGCAAGTCGTAAATGGTCCCTGTGACAGCAGCCCCTTGTGAGGCTGCATCTGTAGAAAATGATTAGAACAATTGCATTTTAAAGATGGCTCACATTGCAGCCCAAGTCCCATTGGTCCTCTTCTTGATCTCTTTTGATGGCACACTGGTTAAAACATTTAAGTTCTTTTGAGTAAATTAAGTGATTTACTATGTTTGGCTATATATCAATGGAAGTGCTTTGGTGGCAATGTTTTTACAGTATTAAAGACAAATATAATTTGAATTGTACTTTTTAGTTTTCCATCTCTTCCCTCTTTGGATTTGAAGCCTTCTTTCTAATAGTCATAGAATTGAAAATGATCTCCTTATTTGTAACTTGGGAGTAGTTCGTCTAAGTTATCAGCACCTGCATCATGGTTTATCTATCATAATTCTTTGGGTCAGCTTTTCAGTAAGGCTAAATTCCAAATTTCAGCTCTTTCCTACTGTTAGATCAAAGACTTCGACATGTTTAAGCTGAATGAATTTACTTGTTATGTTTAAATTTTTTATAACATTTGTGTAATAGCTATATACCTTTCCAATGTATTGTTTCATTTGAGTGTCAAAGTTAGTATGGCCAGTGTTTTTATCACTGTTTTCAGATGAAGAAACCAAGATTGAGAGGTGTTATAACTTGTCCAAGAGGTGTGACCCTGCACTGTGATTTCTTTCCAAGTCTTTTAACTCAATCACGTTTTTCACTTTTAACTCCTCATAATAATGTCCTCATACATGTACACTTAGCTTATGCATGTTTATGTAGCAGTAAGTGAAAATGCCATTACCACATGTAAAGAATCATGCTGCCCCAAAGTTGAGCTTTTAAAAAAGTAATTGACAAAAAAAAATTGTATATATTGTGTACATGTTATAAAATATGTATACATTGTAGATTGGCCAAACTGAGCTAGTTAATTACCTCACATACTAACCATCTGTGTGTATGTGTATGTGTGTGTTTGGTGTGGTGTGGTGAAGTTACTTAAAAATCTACTCTCAGTAATTTTCAAGATTACAATAAACACATTGATACTAAAAAGAGCTTTTTGATAAACTAGAAAATATTAAGTCTTAATGAGTCTTAATGAGTATTCTTGGTCATTTTATTAGCCATTGATATCTGCCTGCCTACTAAGAAGAAAATTAACATTTATCAGACACATGCCATGTGCTGGGTGCAAAGATTCAAACAGCTCATGACAATAAGGATCTTAATAAGACACACCAGAAAAATCATTGATTAGAGTAGTGTAAGTGCTTTATTAGAGATATCACCAGGAATGTTTTAAGAATAGAGAAAGGGGGGTCATGAAATACTTCTGAGTTGTCATGAGTTGAGTCTTGAAAAATAAGCAGGAGTTAGCCAGGCAAAGAAGGCAGAGAAGGGTATTTCATGTGAGGGAACAGCCCAAGATAGGCATGGGTGCATGAAAAATCATTGCACATTCTGGCCATTGCAAATAGTTTTCAGTGTGCATTGAGTGGTAGTTTTTGTTGCAAGGGTTAGATGAGGAGACCAGAGAAGTAATTAGGATTCACTGACAAGGAAAATAAAGATTTAAAAATCAGAGCTCATTTAAGGAGAGAAGAGAAAATTCATTGCTTCCTACAACTGAAGACAGAAGAGAGGGTACAGTGAGTTATGTAGTTCTCCTTTTTGCTGAAGCATAAATATACAGGTACTTCAGAAAGAATAACTTAATGGAGAAAAAATGGGAGGAACTTTGAGATTATATAAGAAATGCTGGCTGGGCGTGGTGACTCATGCCTGTAATCCCAGCACTTTGGGAGGCCGAGGCAGGAGGATCATGAGGCAAAGAGATCGAGACCATCCTGGCCAACATGGTGAAACCCCATCTCTACTAAAAATACAAAAAAATTTAGCTAGGTGTGGTGGCACGCGCCCATAGTCCCAGCTACTCGGGAGGCTGAGGCAGGAGAATCGCTTGAACCTGGGAGGCAGAGGTTGCAATGAGCTGAGATTGTGCCACTGCACTCCATCCTGGCGACTGAGCGAGACTCCATCTCAAAAAGAAAAGAAAAGAAAAGAAATGCTAAGTAATAGTGAATAATGTTTTCAGTTACTGGTTATTTTCATGTTAATGTATAACTTAAGCCTTGAGCCTGTTTTCATTCTTATATCAAATAAAACTGCCCAAAGATTAGGAGACAGATTAGCATAAATGTTAGAATGAGGTGATGTAAGTTTTACTTCTTTTATAGGTATAAGGCTAAGATTAGCCTGAAAAGGGTATAAAGCAAGAACCAAGCTTCAATTCAGTTTATCTTGGGAAAAAAGGTCACTATTTTTGATGCAAAAATGTGAAAACATTGTTCATTACTTCATTTACTGTTCCTGCATGAAGTTCCAAATGAGAATTTTTAAAAAATATGTTAACTGAGTTCAAGGAAAATATATGCTTGCTCTCAAATAGAGTTTCCCAAGACTTGTAGGATACTCAGATCTATATTTGAGATTTGTTGTGAGATACTATGGTTTCTTTTTTTATTCTTAATACTGATTTTGTTTTCCTTTGAAAATTCGATTTCATTTTTTAATTGACAAAAATTGTATATATTTAGCATGTACAACATATTTTGAAAGATGTAAATATTGTGGAATGGCTAAACCGAACTAATTAACATATGCATTACCTCACATACTATTTTTGTGATAAAAGCACTTAAAATCTACTCTCAGCAATTTTCAAGAATACAATACATTGTTATTAACTATAATCACCATGTTGTACAGTAGGTCTCTTGAACTTATTTCTCCTTATTTCTGATTTTCTAAAAGCTCTCTATTTTTTTTGCTCTGATAAGCAAACCCACATTGATTGTGAAGAGTGGTGGAGTATTATGTGCATTTAGATAACAGGCAGAACTCAGCGTCTAATAAAAAGCATACCAGATTACTTGCTCAGTTCATGTTAAACTGCTCTGAACTAGATTCACAAATGGATTCAGAATACCTGTATTCTCATCAGTTTTTATATGCCTACCTACAGTTGACAGCAAGAATATTACTCTTCAAGAACAATATCTTGTTTTTTCACCCCTTCTCTGAGAATTCATTATTCTTTCAATGACGAGGGTTGAAAAATGAAAGGAAAGGGGGAATCAGGATTTGGTGGCGATTGCCCTCATTCATCTGACACTTGGTATGTGATGCTACCTTTTGGCATTTTCTTCTGGTTATACATCTCTTTTCCCTAATTATATTTTGGATTTTTTGAGTGCAAAGACTAGGTTTTATATCTACCATGACCTTAGTTTTGGACTGTCTGTGATGGTCATATTTCAAGTAGTTTCTGAATATAACAGAAAACAAGTCCTTATTTTTGATTCAGCAAATATGTTTACTCGTTGAATCTTTACACATAGCACAGAGATCTAGCAAGTTGTTAAAGGCACTGAATAAATATTTGCTGATGATATTTTTCCTCTTTGGACCTTTGTACAACTGTATGCCCTCTAATAGCATGAATCTGACTTTTTTATTAGCTATATGTATTTTCCTTATCCCTTCCCCCACCTCCATTCTCCAACTTCTCCCTCCCCCCAACCATCACAAGCACAAGATTTCAAACTCCTTGAGAACAAGGATTGTTTCTTCCTCATTCTCAGGGTTGAGGACCACTGAAGAATGGATCTCCAGTGATCACATTTTTGATGTCAACTATAAGTAGGTGTGGAAGGGAAGAAAGAAGGCAGTTTAGCAAATGGAGTCCTCTATGATACTTTTTTTTTTTTTTAAGAGAGAGAGAGGCTGACTTAGAGGATTTGTGCTTAGATTTAAAAGTGCTTCTCCACTATAAGGCTTATTAAAATCAAAACAGACTACCACGAGAAGTGACAGATGTCTATCACTTTAAAATCAGGGTAGTCAGCTACCCATTTTGCATAGTTTGGGCATTTGCTTTTTCATTTATTTGTACAAATGAGTTCAATGTTTCTGATTGTAGTATTATGGGAGAGAAACACTAGAGACATCATCACAGGAAAGTGTTAGAAAAAGCACTAAAGGCAGCCACAAATATTTAGGCTTTTTAGAGTTAATGTAGTTACATGAGAAAATTTTCTTTTTTCTCATTTGGAACAATTTTTTTGTGCAAAGTAAAACATGCCATAGTTTTGTGTATTAATATAATAAATGTGGGAAAGTGGATGATTATGAACTTGAAAACCCAAAATTATCATAGAATTTCAAAAGCTTAAAAGGAATTCAGTGATGATTTTCTCTAACCACTTCACATCCTAGATGAAGAAACAGGGTGAGCAGCATTTAATGACTTGCTGGAATGATAGAAATGCTTTGTCTGTAATCCTTGGCATCTTGTGCATATCTTGTGAGAGCAGTTATCACATGGTATTACAGTCGTTGTCTGTTTCCTTGAGACTTTCCTTCTCTCTTGCCTCCTGAGAATCTCTTATGTACTAGAGCTAGTGGATGTGAGTGAATGAGCCAACAATCACTGCCCTCATGGAGGTAGTGTTATTCTAGGGGATACAGACCAGAAACAAATGAAACTGTTAAAGAGGTGATAAATGCTATGAATAAAATTGAAGCAGGAAAAGGAGAGAGTGATGAGATGCTATTTTAGATTGTTAGGTTGAGTGGTCAGGGAAGGCCTCTCTGAAGAGGTGAATTTTGAACAGAGGCCTGAATGAACTAAACTATACCAGTCATGAGTATCTGGGGGAAGAACATTTCAGGCAAAAGGAATAGCAAGTTCAAGGCTTTGAGATGGGAACATACTTCACCTGTTTCAAGAACAGCAAGGAGTGCAAGGTGGCTGGAAAGCAGCAAGTGATGGGAAGAATGATATGAAATGAAATAGGAGAGGTAGCCCAGAGCCACATCATGTAGGGCTTTGTAGGACTTGGGATTTTATACTGAGAGGGCTAGGAAGTCTTTGGAGGGTTGGGAATAGGGAACAAACATGAGCTGGGTGAACTAGATTTATATTTTAAGAGGATTCCTCTAGCTGCTATATGGAGAACAGACTACAGAGACAAGAGGAGAAGAGAAATAAAGTAGGAGACTATTGCAGTAATCCAGGCAGGAGTTACCTGTAGCTCAGACCGTGGTAGTAGGGATGGACAGTGAGAGAAGTGGCTGAATCACCAGTGTGTACCTTCTTAGGAGCAGGGACATTTGTGATTCATCCTTCACCCAAGGGCTTACCACAGGGCCTGATTCTTAGCAGGTGCCCAGTTAATTGTGTTGAATAGATAAAACAAATGCAGATTTCTTGTCTTTCCCATTCACTATGCTGCCAGAGAAAGATTTTGCAAGAAGTCTTCACAGTGATGTCATCTTAACATAGTGGCTGTAGACCACTAAAGTTCTTCTTGACCTGTGCCAGCCTACTTCTGTTATTTATAGGTGCGGCCCAAACCCGCTAATACTTAAAAAGAGGGGCTAAAATTATCCCAGAGAAGACAATGGCTTAAGTAACTAAATAGGAAAATGCCCACTTCACAAATTCAAGTTAAAAAGTAGTAAGCCCTTACATTTAAATAGCATTTTTAGCTGGTCACGGTGCTCATACCTGTAATCCCAGCACTTTGGGAGACCAAGGCAGGAGAATTGCTTGAGCCCAGGAGTTTGAGACCAACCTGGGCAATAAAGTGAAACCCCATCTCTACCAAAAACAACAACAACAACAACAAAAACAAATAGCCAGGCACAGTGGCACATGCCTGTAGTCCGAGCTACTCGAAAGGCTGAGGTGGGAGGATTGCTTGAGCCTGGGAAGTTGAGGCTGCAGTGAGCTATGATCATCACACTCCAGCCAGGGTGACAGAGTAAGACCCTGTCTCAAAAAATAAATAAATAAATAGCATTTTTATTTTACAGCATACATTCACATATTCACAGCCAATCTATGAAGAAGTTATTAATACTTTTCCTGTTTTATACACTGAGACTCAGAAGTTAAATAATTTGTCACACAATTTGCCAGCAAGTGGCACATCCCCAAAACAAAATATAACATTTCCAGATCTTTTACCCTTTCTACCATGCTATTTATCAGCCAACCATTTGTTGAGTATATCATGCACTATAATAGATAATGGGGATGCTGGCAAGCCATGACCTCAGTGCTGACTTTTTAGGAAGTTTATAATGGAGGAATCAGACAAGAAAATCCAAGATTTTAATAAAGTATGATAAATGCTGTAATAGAATCAAGCACAGGGTGGATTTTGGTTTTGTATATATAATTAATAAAATATATGTAAAATAAGTATTTCTTTCAGTATTCTAGCAACTACCCGAGTATGCATTGTGTGTTTTTCTATTTTAGAAAATGGACTAGAATCAAAATGGCGTGTCATTGTAATAAATTTCTTCATTTTTGATAGACATAAACATCTATACAATGTCTCCTGAAATCCATAAGCTGTCTTACACAGTTTTAGAGTCGCAGCTTTCTAGGTATTCTTTCCTAAGTTCAAAATGGTTACATTTATTTCAGGATAATTTCAGTCTTTTTGTTTTGTTTTTGAGACAGGGTCTTGCTCTGTTGTCCAGGCTGGAGTGCAGTGGTGCGATCTCAGCTCACTGCAGCCTCCACCTTCTGGGTTCAAGCAATCCTCCATCTCAGCCTCCTGAGTAGCTGGGACTACAGGCACATGCCACCATGCCCAGCTAATTTTTGTATTTTTTGTAAAGACGGTTTCGCCGTGTTGCCCAGGCTGGTCTCAAACTTCTGGGCTCAAGCAGTCCACCAGCCTCAACCTCCCAAAGTGCTGGGATTACAGATGTGAGCCACTATGCCTAGCTAATTTAGGTCTTTGGCTGTGGGACTAGGCTTGATAGTGTTATATGATTAAAGGAATATGTATGAGAAGATAAGATTTGGTTCCAAGGAATGTCAAAACTTTAGAATTACCCATTTTAGTTAGATGCTTACTTTGGGATGTAGGTTATGATGAAGTCGGAAATAATTATGATACCACATCAATATGAGGAAAGAGTCGAACTACCACAGACCTCTGAATTAAAAGATAAATTATTCTTTCTTTTGTGGTCTTCTCTTGCTTAAGCAACTTATTTCTGCTTTTTAAAATATGTGTTTGAATAAGTGAGAAAGTACACCTGTCAAAAGACTAACCAGCTGAGAACCATTGTCAGCATTAATTTTTTTTAAATAAATGACTCCGAAGCTATTTAGCAGTCTGTAATCTAAATACAAAGCAAAACTATTGATCTATGATGGATAGTGCTGGATTTGCTTGTAAGCTTTGACTTAAATCGTCTACTTAATTTCTCTAGGTGAGATCAACAGGATTAGGAGGAATGGTGGTTATATGGTTTAAATAAAAATGTCTAGAAATTGAGCGAAATAATTATAAAACATTAATGGTTTACCATCTTGATAAAGTAAACTAGAAACTAACAAAACAGCAGTCACTTTAATGTTATAAGAATGTTTGAATGACATAGATTGGCTAATTGAAAGCATTTTTTATAAATTGGGTTTTTGTATATAATCCAAAGTGAAGATATTGTAAAATGGTGTAATTTAACCATATGTGTGAGCATCTCAGGTTTTCATAACATGTGGGCACTCACTCTTCCAAGATTGTTTGGCTAGCATAATGCTGACTTTTTTGGCTTTTAATAATTGCTTATGAATAGTATAAACTGTAAAATAGAAAGCTATTTGATTTGACAATAGCAAAATATTCACAATTTGAATGAAATAGGTATCTCTTCACTTGGGCTTTTAAAAAATATATAAATACTGTATTTCATTGAACACATTAAATCCAAAAGCAGGCCATTACCTGCAGCTGTCTAATGGCCAGATTTGATACATACTACAGACAATTACAGTTTCTTTGTTCTTACTGTACTGTAAAATAAGTTCTTCCACATACTTGCCTGGGAAGTTTTGAAAAATAAAGCCTAACTTGAAAATTATGAATCAAGATTTCTTTCAATATTAAAAACAGTAATAGCGCTCTTGGTTTTATTTTATAGTTAATAAAAATTTAGATGAATGAAGCTTTTCCTCTCCCTTTTAGGACAAGTCTAGATTATATTTTCTGTGCTAAATTGAAGGTTCTTTCTCCAATCATTAGAATGAATGAACATGCATTAAGCCTCTGTTAAAAGCTACTAAGGAGTAGTGAAGTCAGTGTTAAAGTTTATTTCTTCTTCTTGCTCATATCACTAAAAATAAATTGCCCAAAAGATGTATAGCAGGAAGGAAAAGAAAAATCAAATAATATTGAAAAGTACATATGAGAATAATCAGTCAAAATAAGCAAAGTTTTCCTTGCCTTAAAAAAAGAATCTACCATCTGAAATGCCTACTTGTTTAAGGAACAAAGAGCCAGGTCTCCCTCTTTGTAGATCTCACTTATAGATAGTATTTGGAGAGTGGGTGAGTGAGCAAGAACCCCGAATCCAAACGTGGGCAGCAGACCTCTCTCTGGCTGCTCCTTTGCTGATCAGGGCCCAGGTAAAACTTTTTTTTTGTATACTTTCTATAACTTAGTAGGTTTCTTAGGAGAATAATAGATGCATGGGAATAATAACATTTACATTTTAAGTTCCCTTATCTGTTAGGCCATGATTGTGCCAAAATGATTAAGGTGAGTTGAGATTGAGAGTACAACTGAATCTGTATGTCTCTCTTGGTTTGTGATTAATCTGGGTGATACTTGATTGCTGAATATTTCTGTAGAGATTTAGAGTATCTTATACATGCCTGGCATAAATACAGATTGGAGGCAGGATGTTTTTAGTTGGTTTCTCTAATTTTATTACCTGCCTAAACATTTTAAGAAATATATTCTTTTGCTTCTATCCCTTTACCCCCAAATGATTCAGGTGTAGGAGCTGCACGATCTGGGAACCTCACGTTTATGGTGGGAGGAGTTGAAGATGAATTTGCTGCTGCCCAAGAGTTGCTGGGGTGCATGGGCTCCAACGTGGTGTACTGTGGAGCTGTTGGGACTGGGCAGGTAAGATTTTTACATTAATGACCTTGACTTGATGATGTAAAATTGACTAATGTTCCTTTCTCTTTCCTGACCATATTTTTATTCTTCTTTCTTCAACCTATGGATTCTTTGCTCAGATTTTAAAACATTTATTTGGAATAAATTAGTTTTGCATCATTCCTGGTGGGCTTAAGCAGACATCAGCCAATTTACTTATTTAAAAAACTTCCATTATTGGCCAGACGTGATGGCTCATGCCTGTAATCCCAACACTTTGGGAGGCTGAGACAGGAGGATCACTCAAGCCCAGGAGTTTGACACCAGCCAGGGCAACATAGTAAGACCCCATCTCTACAAAGAACAAAAAAATTAGTCGAGTGTGGTGACACACACTTATAGTCACAGCTACTTAGGAGGCTGAGGTGGGGGGATCACCTGAGCCCAGGGGTGGGGGATTGAGGCTGCAGTGAGCCATGATAGAGCCACTGCAGTCAGCCTGGGTGATAGAGCAAGAACCTATCTCAAAAAAAAAAAAAAAAAAAAAAAAAACGGGAAAAAAAATTCATTATTAGGATCTTGACATGTCTGTCATCCCAGCAACTAGTGAAATCATCCTTAAAACTGCTCTTATTCGAAGTGCTTGTTTCTGAGTTGCTATTTTCCTCCATCTAATTTTGTAATTACAGTTGACCCTTGAACAACACAGATTTGAACTCCATGGGCCCACTTATACATCTATTTTTTTTCCATAGATATATTGAAAATTTTTTTGAAGATTTGTGACAGTTTGAAAAAACAGATGAACCACATGGCCTAGAAATATCAAAAACATTAAGAAAAAGTTAGATATGTCGTGAACGCATAAAATATATGTAGATAGATACTAGTTTATAAATATGCACAAATCTGTTATAAAGAGTTAAAATTTATCAAAGTTTACAAATATTTATAGACCATACATGGCACCATTTACAGTTGAGAGAAATGTAAAGAAATGTAAAGATGCATTAAATCATAATGGCATAAAATTAACTCTAGTAATACTGTACTACTGTAATAATTTTGTGGCCACCTGTTGCTATTGCAGTGAACTCAAGTGTTACAAGTATTGAGCATAAAATGTCATGTGACACTAATCATCTTTGTGTGAGTGGTTCATCTCTTTAGTAAATTGTGTATCATAGTAAAAATTGATCTCTTGGAATTCTCTTGTATTTTTTTATCATGTTTAGTGCAATACCATAAACCTTGAATGACACCATGGGACCCATACAAAGTGCCACTAGTGATGCTGGAAGTGCTCCTAAGAAGCTGAGAAAAGTCATGACATTACAAGAAAAAGTTGAATTGCCTGATACATACCATGGATTGAGGTCTGCGGCTGCGTTTGCCCTCCATTTCAAGATAAACAAATCCAATGTAAGGACCATTGTAAACAAAGAAAAGAATAGTCATGAACCCATCACTGCAGCTACTCCAGCAGGCTTGCACTTTTTGCAGAACATCTTTTTATCTCACATTGAAAATGCAGCTTTTATGTAGATGCAGGATTGCTGTAGAAAGGCATACTTACATCTAATATGATTCAAGAAAAATATGACAACTTAAAGCAAAAAGAAAGTGAAGGATCTAAAGCTGGAGAATTTAATGCCAGCAAAGGATGGTTTGATAATTTTAGGAAGAGGTTTGCTTAAAAAATGTCAAGAAATAGGCGAAGTAGCTTCTGCCAACCAAGAGACAGCAGACAGTTCCCAGGCGCCATTAAGAAAAAATCATTGAAGAGAAAGTATATCTGCCTGAATGAGTTTTTAATGCAGACAGAAGTGCCCTATTACGGAGAAAAAAAAAAAAAAAAGGATGCTCGAAGGACATTTATTAGGAAGAGAAGCAAGCAGCACCAGGATTTAAGGCAGGAAAGGATAGGCTAACTCTACTGTTTTGTACAAATGCAGTTGGGTTGAAAATCAGGACTGCCCTTATCTATAAAGTTGCTAACTTCTGAGGCTTTAAGTGAAAAGATAAATACCAGCTGCCTGTCTTTTGGTTGTACAGCAAGAAGGCCTGGACGATGAGAACCCTGTTTCTGGATTGTTTCCATCAATGGCTTTGTCTCTGGAGTCAGGCAATATCTTGCCAGTAAGGGACTGACTTTTAAAGTTATTTTGATATTGGACAGTACCCCTGGCCACCCAGAATAACATGAGTTCAACACTGAAGGTGTCCAAGGGGCCAACTTGCCCCTAAACATAACGCCCCTAATTCAGCCTCTAGAGTAGGGGATCATAAGGACCTTTAAGGCTCATTACACATGGTACTCTATGGGAAGGATTGTCACTGTGGAAGAAAACCCTGATAGAACATGAAAATCTGGAAAGATTACACCATTGAAGATGCCATTGTTATTGTGGAAAACGCCTTGAAGGCCATCAAGCCCCTAACAGTAAATTCCTGCTGGAAAAAACTGTCCAGATGTTGTGCAAGACTTCACAGGATTTATGGCAGGGCCAATCAAGGAAATCACTAAAGAGATTGTGCATATGGCAAAAAAGGTGGGGAGTGTATGAAGGCTTTCAAGATATGGATCTTGGATTAATTCAAGAGCTAATAGACACCACAGCAGAGTAATTAACAGAAGAGGCTTGATGGAGATGAGTGCTTCTGAACAGTACCAGATGATGAGGAAGAAGATGTACCAAAAGCAGTGCCAGGAAACAAATTGACATTAGACAGTATGGCAGAACGGTTCTGATTATTCAAGACTCCTTTCAACTTCTTTTACAACATGGACCCTTCTCTGATACAGACACTGAAAATAAAGCAAACAGTGGAAGACGGATTGGTACCATACAAAAACGTTTTTAGAGAAATGAAAGAGCAAAAACATCAGATAGAAATTACAATTTCCATAAAGTTATCCGGAGTGTGCCTGCCCCTTCTGCCTCCCCTTCTACCACCTCCACCTCTTCTGCCTCTGTCACCCCGAGACAGCGAAGAGCAACCCCTCCTCTTCCTCCTCAGCCTACTCATTATTAAGATGATGGGATTGAAGACCTTTATGATGATCCACTTCCACTTAATGAATAATAAATATATTTTATCTTCCTTAATGATTCCCTTAGTAACATTTTTTTCTCTAGCTTGCTTTACCATAAGAATACAATATATAATACATATACAAAATATGTGTTAATCAACTGTTTATGTTATTGACGAGGCTTCCAGTCAACAGTGGGCTATTAGTAGTTAAGTTTTTGGAGAGTCAAAAGTTATACATGGGTTTTTGACTGCACTGGGGGTTGGCACCCCTAACCCCCTCATCATTCAAGGGTCAACTGTACTTGCCATAGTCCTCTCTATTTGTAGTACAATCACGCAGCAATAACCCATGGACTTCAAATTTTTCTTGAAAAGCAAGTAACTTTCATTTAGAAGTATGAGGTGACTGACAGAGATGATTAAACAATACTGAACACTGAAATTGTTAGTTGTCTCCCTCCCCCTCCCAATACACACACACACTCTCTCTCCTCCTCTTAATGCTTTTATCCTGGTCACTAGGACTCTCTTTATCTCACTCTAGACTTGGTATTATCTTAGATATATTTATTGTCTCCATACTCTTGTCCAGTCAGTCTCCAAGCTCTATTACTTCAAGTTACTCTCATTGTTGACCTTCATTTCCATTCAACACAGGACCTGGTCCAAGCCTTTCTTTCAGTGTCTCACACCTAGTTTACTGGTCAGGGGGCCTAATAGTCTCTGAATGTCAAATTTACCACTCTGTCCAACATCATAACCCAGACCAACTCCATCAAGATGCTTGTATCATCATAGTGCTTCCCCATTCTGAAACTTTGAATAGATCCCTATTTCCTACCGTGTCAAATTTTAACTCTCCACCCTAGCTTTCATAGCTGACATGTCCTTGCCCCAGTCTTAACGATCAAATTTCTCACCATTCCTTAAAACACAGGCATATTAAACAATTTTCTTACTGATCTCCAGCAACATCCCATGTTCTTAAATATTTAATCCTTCTTATATATTTACCCTTCGCCCCGGATCTCCTTCTTTCTCTTTCTTGTCTGTTTAAATCCTGCCTTGGCCTCCTAAAGGATGATTTCAGGTTCCACTTCCTCTCTGTTCCTGCCTTCAGTGGTCTTGTTGCTCTGAACTCCTATCTCTTATAGCCTCTACCTTACAATTCACCACTTGTTTTTGTTGCCTTTTCATACAGCATATTACTCCCATTTCCAATTAGATTGTAAGTTCCATCCCTTAAAGAGCAGTTGTGCCCTATAGTGCTGAGCCCGTAGTAGCTATGTGGAAAATAAATTTTCACATAGGCAAATTTATTACCTAGTGGAGGAGACCCGCAAGTCTGCTCTGGGATAGCATGTGAGGTTCAGAGGGAGCCATGCTGCATCAGGTTCTCTTCCGCACTCGAGAAAATCAACAGTTGAATGTTATTTCTTTTAGAAAGCAGCCCCTGGAATTGGGCAAGGAAAAACGTCCTGTGAGTTTTACCTTGAAAATACAGATATTTAATATGTACTCAATTTATTTTCAGGCGGCAAAGATCTGCAACAACATGCTGTTAGCTATTAGTATGATTGGAACTGCTGAAGCTATGAATCTTGGAATCAGGTTTGTTGAATAGTACGTTTTTATACTAACATTTTTATAGGCTTTCCTATTTGATTTTCTGATGTTAAAAAAATGATATTCATGAGAGATAAATGAGTTGATCCAAGAACATTTTGAAAGTACTTCATTATTGAACTTTAATAGACTTTGCTTATTGGACAAGCAATAGGACCCAGGAGAGCATGAATACTCTTTGCCATAGCCATAAAATGTATTGCCTGTGCATTTGAAGTTGTGCATTTGAAGCTATATTATCCTTTTTATGTGGGACCCCCATTTCTTCTATTATGTTGAAATACAAGAAACACTTTTCTGTAAAATTTAAACATACTTTGGCAATGTTGGGACAAATTTGTATAAGACATGGTTTTAGTGTGTAGTGAATTCAAGTGGTATGCTACCATGTGACTAGTTTATGTACCTTTTAAAAATATAGTCCCCCAAATCTGCACTAAAAGTGTTCTTGGTGGTTCATTCTCAGGCTAAAAACTGGATAGCATTCATAAAGATGCAATTCATATGCATAACTCTTTCATTTTATTTTGCCTGTGGTTTAGTTACTTTGCATTCGTATGTATCTTTCTATTAAAGTGGCATACTTTGCTTAAAGTGATTCAGGAATTCTGTTTTTCCTATGGATGATCATCTTTTAAATGCTTAAGGTTAATGTCTTAATTTTAGCCTTTAATCTTTTGGGTTAGTAATGCTACATATGATTAATCACCTAATTAATTTTTGAATGTTTTATATTTCATGAAAATAATAAATATACATTTCTTACTTTAGAAAATGCTTAATGAGCAGGATGCTTTACTCAGTTGCTTTCATCACATTCCCCAAAACTGCTTACCAAATATATCACAAAACAGAATAGTGTTTCATACCATAGCTTTTGATAAAAGTAATAAAAAGAGCCAACATACTTGAGATATTTTTGAAAACACAGTAATGGATTCACATTTCCTCTTAATTACCATATCAAGATGCTGTTGTTTTATTGAATTGCCCTTGTCTCAGATGTTTAACTATCTTGACCTATTAAGTTGTCATGTTGTAATTGAGATAAAAGAGGAATTTGCTTTGCGTCAGCACTAATTGGTTTATCAATATCATGTACCATTTACATTTTAAAATTGAATGTCCATAAGATGGTAAAGCATGTCTGTACAGAGCCTTAATAAAAGTGGTAGTATATAGGGACCTTTTCAGTGTTATGTTTGTATTGTGGCCAGTTTTAGGATATGGGTCACTTATCATAATTGAAAAACTGGTTACTAGTAACTTGTTTTCATGTTCATTCTCTAGACTAATTTCATGGAAGAGGAAAATGTACATTTCTGGAACATAAATGGCATACACAATTAATTGGTGTTGACACCAGGATTGGTATGCATATGTATGTTTAGAATTTTATTTTTATTTTTCTGGATATAAATGATTATATAAAGTAAAAGGCTGGATGAACCTAGGTTATACTGTACTACAGCTTTCCCTCTTTGCCCATTGACTCTGTGCTTCTCACCTTGAGCATCACTGGACCAGGATGTTCCTTAGTCATAGTGATGCATCCTCTGGCATTTCTTGAATAATTTTCCTGTCAGAACTCTTACTATAAGATGATCATTTGACCTTCTAAAATGAAGTTTTGTATAGGCTAAGTGCTTGTGGAAGTTCTACTGCAAACACCAGCTACAACTGTAGGCAATACAATCGAATACGAGGTGTACAATGAAGTAAAAACCATTGGCTACTTGTAGTGGGTTTGTTTTCAAGGAGAAAATGAAAAGTGATAAAAAATAGAGATGTAAGAGAGCAGAAGCAATTAATAGAGTTTCCCTTATTTTTGGCTCTGATCAACTATGACAAAATTGTTATTTAGAAATATGAAACTTTTAAATCTTTCATTTTTCTAAAACTCTACATATATACTGATATATATAACATAAAATATATTCTAAAAGTCTGAACACAAGGCAGAAACTCACTAGTTATACTTAACTGTTAAAAATAATTTATAAGTTTCTAGTGTTTCAGATTATACCAATGAATTGCTTATTTTCATAACATGAGGATTTTATCACTTTATCTTACGAAGATTCTCAGTGGTTTAAAGACCCTAAAAATGAATGCTTCTGCTATTGTCTTTTCTTCACGGTTTACAGACATGGTTTAAAGTGACAGGATTGTTCTCTAATAGAGTATAGAGAACGGCCACGATTTATTGAGCTTTGCAAGGTGAAAGAGAAAATTGGCATCAGCAAGCATAAATTCCCAAGTAGTAAATTCCCGCAAAGTAGTATAGCATCAAAATGGTGTAGCCACATTTATATTCTGCCCACTCTGAAGTGAAATTTTTTCAGAGTATTAATGTCAACATTTACAAATTGAGTCACCCATTCCTGTGAAGTGATCATTTCTGATTAATTTTATTCTAAGTCAGTGGTTTTTCTGGAACACTGTTCCCCTTTTTTAAAAAAATTGAAGAATAAAATCTTACAGTTTAAAATTCTTATTGACCCTATGCTCTTTTACAGTGAGTCTTTATGGATGTTAGCAAAATTTTTAAATGTTGTTAAAAAAAAAAAGTAAAGAGTAAAAAATATGGTATACAATATATTTTGAGATTCCTTTTTTATTAGACCTTTCTGCTTTCTAATTGGATTCCTACATAGGCATTAGAAGCATAGTTTTATGGTCCTGAAAGTACCCTACTTGTATTAGAGAGGTTTTGTTCCTGTGTATCACATAGAAATAACATTGATGATGTTTTGTTGTTTTAAATTACCAGCTCCACTGGAAATTGATTTTAAAAAAAAATTTTTGGTGGTATAACAAGTTACTTGCATTGCCAACCAGGCCCAGGCTCCTCCAGCAACCACTGTATTGTCTTCCGCCAAAAGAAGCTTGAAGCAGCTGAACTTCTGGAAAGCTGTTCAAGATGAGAACTTTCCCTCCAATGTAGTTTTATTAATAGTTTCTTGCATACTGCCCTTAGAAGATGTTGCTTTTGCATTTATGTGATGACTGGAGCCTTAGTTGTTTACCCTAATAAATATAACAGATGGCAAAGGTTTGTAATTTGTAAATGGCCAAAAAGCTTGTTCTTTGTATGTATCTATACTGTCTGGTTTTACATAAGAACAAAACAAATTATGTCACTAAACTGGGATGTTTGTGTCACAGGAACAGATCTGGAAATGAAACATCTAAGACCATGTCAATCCAAATCATTCACTTATCCATCATACAAATTTCTTAATAAACTCATAAAATGCCATCGTACTGGCTAGTTGTTGACTATTAAGTTTACCACCTACTTAATAGTCAACTACTAGCCAGTACGATGGCATTTGGGCATACATGTAGGTCTGCATTCAAGCTGTCCCACAGACTTAAGCTTTTCTCATTTATAAAATGACAAAAGTGATTACATCTATCCACTGGGTTGTTGTGAAGATTAAGTGAGTTAATCCATATAAAACTTATTAAATAGTTTCTGGCACATAGTAGGTGTCGATATGTGGTAATGATATTTGTGGTTGTGGTGAGGTGGTTATTGTTTGAAATTAAATTGTACTTTAATCTTTTTCTTCCTAACATGTCTCACTAGCTGGCATTACATATTTATTTGTCTGTTTATTACCTGTCTTCCCATCTAGAAGCTCCATGATGGGAAATGGTTTGTTTACTCATTGCCATATCTTAAGAATATACCTGGCAGGTATTAGGCACCCAGTGAAGATTTGTCAGATAAATAAGGAGAGGAGGGAGGAGGTAGGGGAGTGAGTGAGTGAGGGGATAAGATATGGCACTTCTCTTGCCAAAGGTAAAAGTTATCCAGGTGGGTCTTAACTCAGCCCTCCTGGCAGACAGGCACAGCCTCCTCTTAGCTTCCTTCTTACTGTCTCCTTCGCTGCACGTGTAGCACTTGGATATAGCAGATCTGAGTAAACATTGATGGATAAGTGATTGATTAATTAAAACTGACATGGTCTTAGATGTTTCATTTCCAGATCTGTTCCTGTGATACAAACATCCCAGTTTAGTGACATAATTTATTTCGTTCTTACGTGAAACCAGACAGTATAGATTACTCACAGATAATATAAACAAACATTTTTGGCCCTTAAAGTCTTGGTTACAGTGAAGGCAAATGTTTAATTTTTTAAATTTTTTTGCAGTTTATGCATTATTTTTACTTCTTCCAAACCTCATTTAAAATTCTTGTTTTAGAGGTGAGTAGATTTGACACAGTGACGTTTATTTGAGACGCATTATATATGCAGTCAGAGCGATGAATTCATTCTGTTTATATCAGAGAACATTCCAGCAATTGTAAAGCCACATGCATGCACGCATGCACTCTCGAACCACATCCAGTGGCAAGTTATTATGGGGACTGACAGACTGTCATTCTTTTGATGGCTTGAGCTGTATATCTTCTGAACAGCAATGGGGCTCTTATGCAGAAAGTATCATATGTTCCCAGCCAATTTACAGGGAAACAGCAATAACATTTTATCATGGTTGAGAGCCCAGTAGCTGCTTCCTATTAAACTTGCCCTTTCAGATACCTGTCTTGGATTAATTTGTTGATTTCGAATGGAAACTCAGTCTTCTCCAGTGAAGCATGACGTTCTAGGATAGACTCTGAATGACAATTACTGTGTATTCTAGCTGGTTTCAGACCATTACAAGCCTTGGGCACAGTGGAAAACAGAGGACTTCAGTAACTGATTTTAATATCATGTCTAATTTTAACTGTCAGTTATGTATGTGCCAGAGAACGAATCCTCAGAAAGATGAAATGCAAAACACTTCTAACTTGCTCTTTTTAATGATACACTTTGCTGCGGGTGGGGGCAGGGGGAGGGAAGTGGAGAGGGAATAACTATCTCCTGAAGGGAATCAGCACGGTGGGGAAGCATCAGATTTGAAAAGTGAGAATGAAACAACTGCCACCTGATTTTTTGTGTGTGCCCCTCAGGATGCTTCTAAATAGTAATGTGTTCACCAGAAAGGGTTTCCATCAATCAATACCAGTACTTTTCCTTGAACATTCAAGAAAAATGTAGGGTTTTACAAAGTTAGGATAATTAGCTTTGCTCACCATTTTGTTGAATATTATAGAAAAGAGTGAATTTCCTTAGCTGTAAAAGCTCTTGTGAGCTACTACTGAGTGTAACCTGGTAGATTAGAAAGAAGGAAGGAATTCTGCTGCTTTAAATATGATGAACCATCTTAAAAGATCTAAGTTAGGAAGCCCTGAAATTATATTTCAAATGGAGAGAGAAAGTGACGTTTTGGAGTCTTTAAAAGTATTTTCTCCTTATGGAGCATATTAGATGTATGCATTCTTGAACATTTGGTACTTTGCAGTTATAGCAAATTAACTAATTGTTAATTGTGATTTTACTTTTCACAATTATTCCCTAAGCACACTGGCTTTATCTTTTCCTAAGTGATATACTACAGTAGCATACTGATAGCCTAATCTTATTTAAAAGGAGAAAGCAAGCATCAGTAGCATACTATGCATGCAGTGAACTTGGATCTTTATAAAAGAATGAATGAAACTGTTGGGTTTCTCTCTGGGAATCTACAGTTGAACAGAATGAATGATAGCCAATTTAGACTGAATTTCTGTATCTGTTACAATCCTTAGTAAAATCCATCACTATAACATGGGCCACCATATGAATTCAGATACATGATATGCCACATAGCAGTCTGGGAACCACAGCTACCCCTTGAAAGCCTGATTACATAACAGTTGTATTATGTGGTAATTCCATACATATTTTTGGCTGTTAGCCTCAGCCCCCTGCTCTAGCATCTGAAAAAATGTTTTATTGGCCATGATATTCAGATTTTGAAATAAACAGGCATGTGTTTTAGACACACAGAGTAAACAATCTGAGCGTGCCAAGATGCACAGTTTGTTTAACATTTACATAAGTGTCTCTTTTCAGTGTTTTTTTTATTTTCTGGAAGAGGTTGGTTTTAAGAAAAAGTGGAAAGCTTTTATGACAATTGTTTCATAATGGCTCTGTGTATGAAAGAAACCAAATAAATTGCTAGGAATAAAGTTTTATTTGAAACTTGATTCAGTGATACCTAGCAAAATTGTGCTTCCCAAACTGCATTATATCTTTAGAATCCAAGTAATGGAGCATTTTGATTCTATTATTTTTTCTAGGGTCCACATTGAACAGCCGTTTATGCCATCAGCCCAGTGATAGAACAAATGATGTTTCTGCTTGGGCAAGCTTTGTTTTATCAGGATCAGTAACCTTATCAGCAGTTGACCCAGAACTATAATGCATGTCTCTGAATAGATAGCATATGTCACAACTCTGTGCAGACTTGCTTCATAAGCAAGATTGTCTAATAAAGATTTAATAAATAAGGAAAAGTTTGCAGCAAAAAGTCTTCTTTTATAATAACTTTTCTTAAGCTCGTTTACAGCTCCTGGCTCATCTCTTGCATTTATTCTCATAAAAACTAAAGGAATAAACATACATATAAATGCATTCACACAGACTCCCATGATGCATCGTTTATCTGTCAGTATTTCTTTCTGAAATATATCATTTGTGGGTAAAGAATGTAGAATTTAAATTATCATATTGTTTTAAGGTTCTTATGTGACATATAAATGTAGTAATGTCCAAAGACTAGAAAACCCATGAGTGTGATAAACCAACAATATTTTTATGCAATTGTATATTATTTTTTCTTAATAATAGGATAACATAGAAGGTTTTCTCCAAATGCAAAATGGTCCTGGCTCAAAAATATTCTTATTTAACCAGTAGTGTTTAGTACTCTATAATTCAAAATTGGATTCTTCACTCTCGTATCAACCTGCTTAGATTTTAGAAGACATATAATAAATGGAGAGAGAAGATGGAGCATCCCCATACATAAATAAGTCACGCACGACGTGTACATTTTGACACTTAACACTTCTTTTCTTTGACCTTTGACAGGTTAGGGCTTGACCCAAAACTACTGGCTAAAATCCTAAATATGAGCTCAGGACGGTGTTGGTCAAGTGACACTTATAATCCTGTACCTGGAGTGATGGATGGCGTTCCCTCGGCTAATAACTATCAGGGTGGATTTGGAACAACACTCATGGCTAAGGTATGGTAAATGTAGACACCCAAGAGAGAAGGAAAAACGTTTCACGGTCCAATAACACCTTCCTTCTCTTTCTCTTAATAAAGCATATGTCTCAGGTAAGAGGCAAAATTACTAGAATATTCACTCTCACTGAAAATGAGTAAAAACCTAACTTAGATGAAAATCCTTATCTTGTTCATTTTTATTCCTGGCCTTTTGGTTGAGAAGAATGGGCCAGACCATGTGTGTGTGTGTATGTGTGTGCGTGTGTGTGTGTGTGCGCACTTGGGTTTATTTATATGAGCCGGTAAAATTTCGTTCACCATTAATTTATGTTAATTTACCAACTTCTTAAATGAGAACAGTGAGAATTTTCTCATTGTTAATAATACACTGGCAGTGCATATATGCATCACGAAGAGAGGATTTTCCCATTGATAATAGATTTCCAAATACATCTTCCTGCTTTAAGATTTTAATATATGGATTTATATATAAAAACTAGTTAAGTCATTGGAAAAGCAAACTGTCATCCTTCTCTTATTTGAGATCTCAACTTTAGAAAGTCTATGTTCTCAACTACAGAAAATAATTTTTAGACCAGCTAACTTTCAGATTTCTGCAGTGCTTATTTTCTCCCAGTTGAGGGTTGGTTTTTGTTTGTTTGTTTGTTTGTTTGTTTTTCCTGATTAAAAAGTAAGAATACGGCCAGGCGCGATAGCTCATGCCTTTAATCCCAGCATTTTGGGAGGCCGAGGAGGGCAGATCACCTGAGGTCAGGAGTTCGAGACCAGCCTGGCTAACATGGTGAAACCCAGTTTCTACTAAAAATAAAAAAAATTAGTCGGGCGTGGTGGTGCGTGTCTGTAAGCCCAGCTACTCAGGAGGCTGAGGCAGGAGAATCGCTTGAACCCGGGAGGTGGAGATGGCAGTCAGCTGAGATAGCACCATTGCACTCCAGCCTGGGCAACAGAGTGAGACTTCGTCTCAAATAGAAAAAAAAAAAGAAAAAGAATACATATACCTAGATACCACACAAGCATACCTTGGAGATATTGTGGGTTCAGTTCCAGACAACCACAACAAGTCACACAAATTTTTTGGTTTCCCAGTACATATAAAAATTACGTTTATACTATGCCATAGTCTATTAAGTGTGCATTAGCATTATGTCTAAACAATATACGTATCTTAATTTTAAAATGCTCTATTGCTAAAAAAGCTAACAATTATCTGAGCCTTCAGTGAGTCATATAGTCCTTTTTTGCTGGTGGAAGGTCTTGCCTTGAGGTTGATGAATGGTGATTGACCAGGGTGGCGGTTGCTGAAGGTTGGGTGGCTATGACAATTTCTTAAAATAGGACAGTAATGAAGTTTAAGTTTACTGCATTGATTTACTCATCCTTTCACAGAAGATTTATGTGCTACTGTTTGATAGCATTTTACCCACAGTAGAACTTCTTTCAAAAACGGAGGCAATCCTCTCAAACCCTGATGCTACTTTATCAACTAAGTTTGTGTAATATTCTAAATCCTTTCTGTCATTTCACCAGGAGTAGATCCATCTCAAGAAACCACTTTCTTTGCTCATCCATAAGAAGCAACTCCTCATCCCTTCAAGTTTAGCACAAGATTGTAGTAATTCAGTCACATCTGCAGGCTCCACTTCTAATTCTAGTTCTCCTATTTCCACCACGTCTGCAGTGACTTTCTCCATTGAAGTCTTAAAGGCCTCAAAGTTATCCATGAGCATTGGAATCAGCTTCTTTCAAACTCCTGTTAATGTTGATATTTTGACCTCCTCCCATGAATCACAAATATTCTTAATGGCATCTAGAATGGTGAATTATTTTCATAAGGTTTCAGTTTACTCTGCCCAGAGCTGTCAGAGGAATCACTATATATGGTAGCTATTGCCTTATGAAATACTTCTCACATAAGAGTTGAAAAATGACTCTTTGATCCATGGGCTACAGAATGGATGTTGTGTTCATAGACATGAAAACAACATTAATCTCCCTGTACATCTCCATCAGCACTCTTGGGTGACCACGTGTACTGTCAGTGAGCAGTCGTATTTTGAAAGGAATCTTTTCTTCTGACCAGTAGGTCTCAACAGTGGGCTTAAAATAAATATTCAGTAAACCATCCCATAAACAGATGTGCTTTCTTCTAGACTTTGCTGTTCCATTTGGAGAGCACAGGCAGAGTAGATTCAGCATAATTCTTAAGGGCCCTAGGATTTTTGGAATGGTAAATGAGCATTGGCTTCAACTTCAAGTCCCCAGCTGCACTGGCCCTTAACAAGAGGGTTAGCCTGTCCTTTGATGCTTTGGAAACAGACATTGACTTCTCTTTAGCTGCGAAAGTCCTAGATGATATCTTCCAACAGCAGGCTGTTTCATCTACACTGAAAATCTGTTGTTTAGTGTGGCTACCCTCATCAGTGATAGCTGGATCTTCTGGATAACTAACTTCCTGCAGTTTCTCCATCAGCAGTTGCTGCTTCACCTTCCACTTTTATGTTATGGAGATGGCTTCTTTGCTTAAACCTCATGAACTAATCACTACTAGCTTCACACGTCTTCTGCAGCTTCCTCACCTCTCTCAGCCTTCACAGAATTGAAGAAAGTTAGGGCCTTGTTCTGGGTTAAGCTTTGGTTTAAGGGAATGTTTTGGCTGGTTTGATCTATCCAGACCACTCAAACTTACTCCCTATCAGCAGTAAGGCCGTTTCACTTATCATTCATGTGTTCACTGGAATAGCATTTGTAATTTTCTTCAAGAATTTTTTCTTTGCATTCTACTGTTTGTTTTAATGGGCCTGCCTTTCAGCCTGTCTTGATTTTCTACATGCCTTCCTCACTAAGCTTAATCATTTCTAGCTTTTGATTTAAAGTGTGAGACAGCTGACTCCTCTTTTCATTTGAACACTTAAGAGGCCATTGTAGGGTTATTAATTGGCCTAATTTCAATATTTTGTGTCTCAGGGAATAGGGAGGCCTGAGGGGTAAGAGAGAGAGAGCTGCCATTCAGTGGCTGGGCAGTCAGAACACATGTGTACCACATTTATCGATTATGTTTGCCATCTTATGTGCGCTTTCTGACACCCCAAAACAGTTTCAATAGTAACATCAAAGATCACTGATCGGCTGGGCACAGTGGCTCATGCCTGTAATCCCAGCACTTTGGGAGGCCGAGGCAGGTGTATCACCTGAAGTTAGGAGTTTGAAACCAGCCTGGCCAACATGGTGAAACCCTGTCTCTACTAAAAAAAAAAAAAAAAAAAAAAAACGCTGGGTGTGGTGGTGGCAAATGCCTGTAATCCCAGCTGCTCAGGAGGCTGCGGGAGGAGAATCACTTGAACCCAGGAGGCAGAGGTTGCTGTGAGCCAAGATTGCGCCACTACACTCCAGCCTGGGCAACAAGAGAGAAACTCCGTCTCAAAAAAAAAAAAGTTACTGATTGATTGCAGATCACCGTAACAGAAATAATAGTAATGAAAAAGTTTGAAATATTGTGAGAATTACCAAAATGTGACAGCTGCATGAACTGGGCACATGCTGTTGGAAAAACAGTGCTGATAGACTTGCTCAATGCAGGATTGCCACAAACCTTCAATTATTAAAATACAAAAACAAACATGCATTATCTGTGAAGCATGATAAAGTGAAGCACACTAAGACAAGATGTGCCCATACTTGGCTTACTCTCCCTCATTCCCCATGACGTTTGTTCATTCTGCTTCTTGAATATGCCTTGAATTCATCCAGCTCCCTCCTCCCCAGCTAGCTGTACCTTGGCTGAGCCTCGTTTGTGTTGTACCACAAATACATCTTAACTGATCTTGTCTTTCAGCCTGATCTTCTCCAGTTTATTTTCCATATCAAAGCAAGAGTGAGCTTTCTAAAATGTAAAATCCTGATTGTGTCACTTCTCCTTTGAAGCTTTTGTAGTTTCAGTTACTTGGAGATTAAAGTCCATCCCTGCAACTTGTCTGACAAGCCCCCAGATGCCTTGGCTTTTGCTTGCCTCAACCAGACTGATTTTCTTTCCCATCCCCCTCTCCTTGCTTTCATCGTGCTGAACTCACTTCTCCCTCTTGTTCTGTCTCTTGGAAACCTTCACATTTGCTTCACATTTGCTGTCACATTGTCTGCCAGGATGGATCATTCTTCCTTGCCCACCACCTCCCTGCCACCCCCATGTTTTCACCTGGCTCCAGGTCTGTGCTTCACTGTCTTCTTTTTCTTCACCTTTCCCAGCACCCCAGACCCTGCTTCCTTGGATCCCATGATAGTACTCCTCCTATCCAATTATACCATGCTTATTTAATTGTCTTTCTCCTTAACACAATGTGAGTTTGGGTGGGCTGTGGCTGTTTTGCTCATCATTTTATCCCAGCTTCTGGCACATTGTCAGCACACTTCAAATATTTATTGGATGAAGTAATATTTGCAACTGTATTTCCTGTTTTGCAGTTTTATTTCTCCTTGTTTTCATTTAAGAATTTTTTAAAAAAAATTTATGTCTTAAAGATTTCCACAGATAAGATTACACAGGGAAATTTTTTTTCTTCAAATCTGTGGAACAAAACAAACAGGTATTGTGGAAGGTGGAAAAATCGAAGAGACACTCAGAAATCAAGGTTTCTGTCTGGAGCAATTTTGCAGTTATATGAAAGCGCTTATTTAAAAATGTTAACTTACCATAGTATTTATAAGTATCTTATTTTTTCAGATTACATTTTTCCTTCTTTCAAACCAAAACATAAGGAACCACAGTTCCAAAGAGCCTTTACCACCAGTCTCAGCGTGTTCTCTCCTCCTGTTTGATTTAGGATCTGGGATTGGCACAAGACTCTGCTACCAGCACAAAGAGCCCAATCCTTCTTGGCAGTCTGGCCCATCAGATCTACAGGATGATGTGTGCAAAGGGCTACTCAAAGAAAGACTTCTCATCCGTGTTCCAGTTCCTACGAGAGGAGGAGACCTTCTGAGTGTGCCCTTTGGCCACGGACACTGTTGGGAACCAAACTCTGTCTTGGAGCCTCCTTTTAGCTCACTCCACAAGTAAATGGATTTAATCAAAGGTCACCTATCTGCTTTTGATTGTCTAGGTCACAGTAATCCCTAGGATTTTTCACCGCTTATTCTTTTTGTCTTTTTAACAAACATATTATCCGAATTTTTTTTCTGCAAGCCACTGATAGTCTCTGCTAACTAGCTTAATTGACCTTTTTACAAAGTTTGATCCCCAAGCATCCTCAACTAAATCATTGAATACTTCAATCAGGATATTATCTGCTTTACTTTACAAATAAAACCAAATCTTTTGTCAACAGGATGAAACCCATCTTAAAGGAAAGAAAAGGAATTGGTGTGAAGAGAGAAGTTAGAGAAGGGAAATGCAGTGAATTACTATCTGTGTCCATCAGGAAGTTTGTCCTGTTAACCAAATGGTTACTGCACTACCAGGGTTACTGGTTTATTTTCCAGGGAGCTGATAAAGCAGGAGAACTGTTGCTGCATGTTTTCTATTTGGACTCCGTCACAATATGGTAGGATATCCCTCACCAACTCCCGACACTCAGCAGACTTGTTTTTATATTTTTTTCTTTCTTGTTCATTCTTACTACGTATTTTTTGACTTAAGAATGACATCTTTAGATGCATTTCAGAGCCAATGATGATATTTGCTTTAGATAATTATTATATTATTATAAATATAGCCATATTATTTTGAATTCAAATAAATTTCTATACTGGTAATACTTTCTTGGTGTTTTTGTTTCTTCCCCATCATTTGGTGAACTAATGTTCTGACAAACTGATGTTCACACTAATGGGGAAAGGATGGGAATAAAGAGAAAGGAGGGGAGGTCAAAAGGAACAAAGCTCTGAGTTGGCCAGTGGCAAGCTAGTGTTTTGCTGCTTTACCTGAATCCTTATTGAGTATTCGTTTGAATGTTTTTTAGGTCATCAGTTCTCTAGGAATTCAGCCAGCATTAAGTGTAACATGCCCCAATATGGAGCACAGTCACCACTTTTCCCACCTCAGCCTCTAGAAACATTCCAGGTAATAGACCTAGACACCAAATTTGGCAGAAGTATTACTACTTTCATCATTTTACTGGTGATAAAAAATTCCAGGCACTGTTATAAGTGCTGGGGATACAGTGATGAACAAGACACAAGATTTCTGCCCTTGCAGAGCATAAGTTCTGGTGTCTCATGTGTTTGTGACAGACAAGAAATATGTATTTTTCAGATAAGAAGAACTAAAAAGAAAAAGCAGGATAACGGGGATGGATAGGGAGTGCCAGGGGTATTTTCTTAGGGTGATAAGGAAAGTTCTCCCCAATAAGGTGTCAATTGAGCAGAGGTAAGGGAGTAAGCAATGCAGGTATCTGAGGAACAAACATTCCAGGCAAAGGGGACAGAAAGTACCAAGGCCCTGAGGTAGGACAGTACTGAATATGAGGAATAACAGGGAGGCTATAAGTGAAGTGGCACAGAATGAGGGTGGCCAGATCATATGGGGCCTTGCAGGGTATGTTAGGACACTGGCTTTTATTCTGAGCAAAATGGGCAATGTATCAGTTAGCTTTTGCTGGATAACAAATCACCCCAAAATTTAGTGGCTTAAAACAACAAACATGTATTGTTTTTCAAGATTCTGTGGGTTGGCCATATTATTATTCTGGCCTAGACCAGCTCATCTGCAGCTAGAGTGTCTAGTTTGGCTTTACTCAGCTGGGACAGCTGGAATGGTTGGGGCTTCTCTCCATGTTTTCATGCATTCTCCAGGAGGCTGGTATGAATTTGTTCACATAGTGGTGGAAGCATCCCAGCAGCAGCATAGGACAAGCCCTGACTTTCTAAGCCTCTGCTTGCTTCATGTTTGTACTTTCCCCTTGGCCACAGCAAATGTCATAGCCAAGCCCAGAATCAGCATATGTGGGGTCTGCATAAGAGTGTGGACACAAAGAGGGGCATTATGGTGGCCTTTTTGCAAACAGCCTATCACAAGCAGCCTGTGAAACTTTTTCACCAGATTGATGTGATCTGACCTACTTTTTTAAAGGGATCACTCTGGATGCTGTGTGGAGAAGAGTCTGTAGGAGCAAGGCTGGAAACAAGGAGACCAATTCGGAGGCAATAGTAATAACCCAGTTGAGAGGTGGTAGCTGGGACCAGAATGTTAAAATGATGGAGGAGGCAAGAAGTGGTTAGATTCTGAACCTAGAAAACAGAGCCACTAACTGATGGATGGCATGAGAGAGAAAGTAGGGAGTCAGGGATAATCCCACTGTCAGTGGCCTGAGAAAGCAGAAGAAAGAAGTTGCCATTTCCTATATGGGGAAGATCATGGGGGGAAGATTTGGGGAGGATTGTAGGAAGTTTAGGAGAAAAAAATCAGAGATTTATATGAGATGCCTTAATAGACATCTAAGTAAAGAAGAACAACAGTCCAAGGACTGAGCCCTGTGTTACTGTAACTTTAGTGGTTAGGAAAATGAGGGGGGACAAGCAAATGAGACTGAAGCAGAGAGATCAGTAAAGTAGGGGAAAAACATGGGAGCAGTGTCCCAGGAGCCAAATGAAAACAGTATTTTAAGGAGGGAATGATGATCTGTGAGTTGAGTAATAGGGCTGAGAATCATTTGGATTTGGCAAAAGAGCTATCACTGGTGACTTTTTCAAGAGTTTTGGTGGAGTCTTGGAAATGAGAGTTGGATTGAGAGTGGGAGAGGAATTGGAAACAGTAAGTATAGAGAATTCTTGAAGAGCTTTGCTGCAGAGGAAAACAGACAAATGGGATAGACATTGGCAGCAAATAAGGGACCAGGAGGAGTTTTATTATATTTTTAAAATAGGAAATGTTATGGGATTATACGGATGGAAGTGGAATGATCCAGTAACGAGGGGAAGTAATGGCACAACAGAGAGGCTACTTGCTAAATGCTGCCTTTCGAGTAGTTGAGAGGGAAGGGGTTTAACTGTGGCCAAATCTCTGCAAATTAAAGGAACCAGCAAAAACAGATCAGATCACATTTCAGCCCGTCAGCATCTTACGTGAAGGATAGAATAGAATTGTAATCAATTATACAGTTTTCAACACGAACAAAATATTTGTGCTGGAAAGGAATTACCTCTGAGTGTGACCCTGTACAAGCCACCCTCTACTGACCATTCATTTTCTCATCTATGAAGTTGTCATAAACCATCTAGCTTAATATTAAATGCTTTCTGGAAATGAAAACAAAAGATATAAGGACAATCACACATGATAGCAGCATATGGAAAAACTGGAACCCTTATACATTGCTGCTGGGAATATAAAATGGTGCAGCCACTTTGGAAAATAGCTCGGTAGTTCCTCAAAAGGTTAAACAGTGTTGGCACATGATCCAGCAATTTCACTCCTAGATGCATAAGGAAAAAAATATATCCACACAAAGCTTGTACACAAATGTTCATAGCAGCATTATTCATAATAGCTAAAAAGTGGAAACAATCCAAATATCCCCCAACTGATGATTGGATGAACAAACTGTCATATCTGCACAATGGAAGATTGCTTGGCCATACGAAGGAATAAAGTACTGATCCATGCTACCACATGGATGAACTTAAAAACATACCAAGTGAAAGGCGGCAGATGCAAAGGGCCACATATTGTATGATTCTACTTATTTGAAGTATTGGATAATAGGCAAATCCATACAGACAGTAGATGAGTGGTTTCCAAGGACTGGAGAGGGGGAAATGGGGAGTGACTGCTAACGGATATGGAGTTTTTTGGGGGGAGTGATGAAAATGTTCTGGAATTAATAGTGGTGGTTCACAACTTTGTGGATATATTTTAAAATCACTGAGTTGTATACTTGTAAATAGTGAATTACCTCTCAATTTTTAAAAAGCCTAAGGAAAATATCATGAGTTAAGATCTTTTGATAAGTGGTTCTCAACTGTGGCAGTTTTGCTTGCCAGGGGGGACACATGGCAATGGCTGGAGACATTTTTGGTTGTCCATTTTACTGGCATTTAGTGGGCAGAGGCCAAGAATGTTGCTAAACCTCTTATAATGCACGGGACAGCACCCACAACAATAGTTATCCTGCCCAAAATGCCAGTCAGGCAAAGTTTAAGAAACGCTGCTCTAGGTGTATGTTCCACAAGACCTGAACTCAGCATATCAAAACCTGAGCTCCTCATTTTCCCCCAAAGCCCTGCTTCTCCTTCTGGTCCTATCCCACGACTCCTCCCAGGCTTTCAGGACCCATCCCTGACTCCTCCATTCCTCCACCCATTCTCCTTAGCTAATTCTAAATCTCTAGTGCCTATTATAGGCCCTCACCAGTTCTTATCTAGGGCAGCAGTCCCCAACATTTTTGGCACCAGGGACTGGTTTTGTGGAAGACAGTTTTTCCATGGGTGGTGGTTGGAGGAATGGTTTTGGGATGAAGCTGTTCCACCTCAGATCATCAGGCATTCGATTCTTGTAAGGAGCACACAACCTAGATCCCTCACATGTGCAGTTCGCAATACGGTTCAGGATCCTATGAGAATGTAATGCAGCTGCTGATCTGACAGGAGGCAGAGCTTAGGCAGTAATGCTTGCTCACCGGCTGGCCACTCACCTGCCCCGCAACCCAGTTCCTAACAGGCCACGGACCAGGTCAGTACTGGTCCTCAGCCCGGGGGTTGGAGACCCCTGATCTAGGGCACTTCAGTATCTGCAGCGACACCTTTTATTTTCCCTAACAGCTTTTTAAAGGTATAGTGTACATACAATGAAATTTGCTCCTTTTATACAATGAATGGCTTTTCGTAAACTGAGAGTTTTACAACCCTCACCACAATTCAGTTTTAGAACATTCCATCACCCCTGCAAAATCCCGTGCATCCATTTGTAATCACTGCTCATTCTCCCGGCCCCCAGCCATTGGCAGCTACTAAGCTTTCTGACTCTAGATTTAAAGCTGCTTCTTGGCCACCAGCCTGGTTTTATTTCCCAATTGCTGAGCACTGCTGCAAGAGAGGTCTTTCTAAGACTGAAATCCAATCCGGCCAACCCTGTTTAGAATGTTTGAGCCTAGGATACAGTCTGGTCTCCAAAGCCATCCTGCTGGGGCTTCTATTTCACCAGCACCACTGCCCACAATACTTGTCTTTTCCCAAACGTGCCATGCTTTGCACACCTCAGTACATTTGCACATGCCATTTCTTCCATTTGGAATGCCGCCCCTTCTGGCACCGTGACCGGTTCAGCACTGTTGTCTTCTAAAAAGCCTTCCTCAGCAACTTCAGACTCAGTCGTTTCCACTCTGTTTTCACAGCAGTTTGTTGACATCTTTCTCATCATAGGACTTGCCCTGTTACATTATATTTGCAGCTTTGCTCATTTGTCTTCCTCACCAGACTGTGAGCTGGACGGCACAGAATGTGTCGTATCAGCTTTGAGGTTTGCGTTGAGTTCAGCACCTAGCATTAAGAGCTCAATAAGCGTTTGAATAAATGAATGAATGAGTGAAAGCTAGGGCATTACATTTATGTTAGGTGAATTACTGACTGCATAAACGTTTTCTTAAAGATTCTTGCTTAGCAGACCAAGTTTATTAGTCAAAAGTTTAGCTTATGCTGCTAAAACTGGAGAAATTCTGGAAGAGAGAGTATGCATTTTTGGTAGCAAGCTTAGTCTAAACTTTTATGTACTTGCATACAGTAAAGCATGCACCTATTGCCCCTTATGGAGTACAGCAGTTGCAAATGTAATCTTACATAACATGCTATGTAGACCTTGAGACATGAGGTGAATCTCAGAATAATCTAGGTTTGATTTACTCAAGGGAATCTGTAAATAGGTGTATGAGAGACTCTTTGCCATCCTACTGATCTGACACCATTATAATGGAGCACACGGCTCAGCCACAGCTGAGTCCACATGTAAGTGAACACCAAATGAACTGGGCCTACTCCTTGGCCATTCTTCACATTACACAAATTTCTATCTTGTTTTCTAAGCAATCAGAAATGTGTATATTATGTCCACATTATAGGGGGGAGAAAGGCAAATCTGAGCAGAGAATGGGGCAAAATTATCCACGTGCATAAATTCTACCCAGGCTACTATCAGAAGCCTGCTGCTGCTCAGGAAAACAGCACGAGTTACTACCAGCCTCAGCTGCGGTAACTGCACCCTTGAGTATTCTCAAATGGCCAGCCAATGGGGAGGCGTCTGCTTGAGTGGGGTTTTTAGCCATCTTTCAGTTCAATTGAAGAGGGAGCTTAAGGACATCATAGGGATTTGTAACATTCCATGCAAGGTGTCAGACCCATAAACTAGCGTGTCCATCATACCGATGCGCAAGTGGAATCGTCTCTCATTGGTGGCAGACAGACTGAAGATGACCTTTTGCTATGTAATTGTATTCATCATTTAATAATTCAAGAATATCTAAAGGGGATGAACACTTCTTTATTCAGATTAGAGCATTAATAGGAAAACACAGTAAATCAGAAGCCCTTTGCAACCAGCCTACAGGGAGTGCTTTCGAATGCCTTGGTTACAAGAATGGTTCCCGGGCTGGGAGACAGGAGACGTGAGCTCTAGCCCTAGGTCAGCACTAAGCTGTGTGTGTTGTAGATCTGTTTCCTTCTCTTTAAAATGAGGGCATCCCATTGATCTTTAAGGTTTGTTTTAGCTCTAAAATTCTGATTCCCCATAGTTAAGGGTTTAAGAAAACATGAGGCATGTGCTTCTGACAGTTTTTGGACTCTCTCTGGTTAGGTATTATTTATTGCTCATATAGCCATCTCATTTATTAAGGTTTTTTTTATAGCCAGGAATAGATTCAGAGATCAATACATTTTTATTAATGATAGTCCGTCATGCCTGGTAAAGAGATAGCAAGAAAGCTCATCTAGAATGAGCCACTTGAATAAACCTGACACATAAGCTTAGCTTCGAGCTGCATTTTGGCAGGCCTCTCTGTGAAATAATGACATTGGCAGAGGAAGAAACTATGGAAACCTTCTTCACAGCCAGACTCATAAAATCAAAAGCAGGTTTGGGGTGTGTTTCTCAGCCCTGGCTGTATATGCAAATCCCATGACTTTTTGAGTGCAGCATTTTATCTTCAAAAGGACAAAATTTGGCATTTGCTGTAGTCATTAAACATGATAAATGCCTAAAATACTTTAGAGTTTGGATTACTGTAGGTTAGAATAAATATTGTGTCAATACTAAACAGGATTTTAGAGTGGAAAACTTCTCATGGACATTGTCAAATCAAAACTTAAAATCTTTTCACTATTTTCCCTTTAATCATACGAATTGAGCATAATTGTTGCCAGTTCTCCTTGTAAAAATGATGGTCTGGGCCTTTTGGAAGTGAATTACTCCTCCCAGCACCATTAAGAGATAGCCTTGTGCCCTGAAAGAGTTAATTCACTTCCAGATGGAGCTTTTCAGCCCCTCTGAGTTCAGATGATATTAAGTTCACTAGTCTTTTATGTTTGTTTTGAGCCTCTTGAACTTCGTTTATATACCATTTATGGATAGAACTGAAGTATTCTATGGTAATTTTAGACTATTTGAGACCTCTTCCAGAAATTTCACTTCAGAGTCCCAATCCCAGAGACTCCAGAGCAAATGCAGCTTTCATCTCGTCTCTCTCTCCCTCCCCTTAATGACCTTAACCCTGACCTGAGGACCACTCTCTGTAAGTGCCAAACATGATTCATTCTCCTTGCTTGGTTTAGTTTTGTTCCTTTTATGAGCCAAGATGACCAGGAGACCTGATAGCTTATTTGCGCTAATGTAAGTATGCTCTACTAGTTAACTCCTAACTCATTTATTTGGCTTTTGCTTTGCCTAGAATTGACCCTTTGTCTCAGAGATGAAACGTTTGTCTTAGACAAAGAGATGCAAACAGTTGACTTAAACAAGAGTCAGGATACAGAGTGAAACATAAAACAAACTGCTGGAGAGGGAGAGTATCTTTATATCCTGTACCTCAACTGCCATATTATAGTTCCAGTATAAATGTTCATTAACATGTTAATGAACATTATACAGTTAAAGCCTAATGTGCTCCTGTTCACACTACTTTCCTCTTGTGAGTTCTAGGAATCATCATATCTCCAAGTTAAAATTTTTCATGTTTGTCACTTTGTGATCCGAATGTCTTATTTCTCCAGCCTCTATAACATAATTTCTGATTCTGCTTGTGTGTGCAGGCATACTTTTCTGACTTGAGTTTAATACGTAGTCTCTGATTTTTTTTTTTTTTTCAAAGTTGCAATGGCAGAACTGGGCCATCAAGGACACTTAGAAGGTGATAAGCTGGAAGAGACTTTTAAGGAGAAGATTTATGATGGGTTTAGTTTCCCTGTTGTCCAGCTTGCCACTTTCAGCCCAATTCATTTTGGATTGGTAGGGGGTCTGTCCATGGGGTTCTGACAAATGTGTTTTTATCCTTGTGAATTTATGCTCACTTCAGTGTCCAAAAAAAAAAAATCTATTAAAAACTGATATGACTTTGAACAGTGGCTTGGTCCCTGATTATGGCCTTTCCTGGCCATCCCATTTAATTTCTGGCTGGACCATCTAGTGACATTAAAAGCTGCCCCTTCCAAAGGTGGATGTTCCCTGCATTGCACTGTACTCATTGCAGTTTAGTCTAGTCCCTTTTATAGGTCAGTGACACCTTGAAGCTTGTATACCTGAGTCACCACAAATCTTAAAAGATGCAATTTTCTTGGCAGCTTTATCCTCCTAAGATGAATTGGATGGTGGGAGTGAAGGACAGGGTTCTAATCTCTGTGTTAGGACCAGGGACGATAGAGACCTCTGTCTTCGCACTGGGAAGCTGCTAGCTGAAGGACTAAAAGAAGGGTTTCTTAAGTGGTTAGTTACATGCTGGAATCTTTGTTGTGGTTTTTAAAACAATCTGCTTGTTCTCTAAAAGAACCTGTTTGTGCTTCTCCTTGAAAAGTACCAGTGGCATTCCCTCACCTACGATACAGCTTTAGGTACTTACTCTCTTCAAAAGAAATAAAATTTCAAAGAAAATTCTTCTAAGGTAGTCAAAGAGTTATCAAATCTGGAGAGCTGGGGAATCTTTTCTTGTGTTAGCCCTGTTATGCCAGATGGTTTCCTTAAAAAAATCATGAATGTATTCTGCATGGTCAGGCATTGTCATCTTTGCAGAGAACTGTCTTTGCCTAATGTCCTGTCTGATGGGCCATTCTATATATTATATGCTACATAATCTCCACAAATGTATACTGTGGTCCATAAAACTGCCATACTGTTTTCAGAAACTAGTAATTCACAAAGTAAACCTGAGACAGTGCTGTTAATAAACACAAATTGCAAACAAGAAGGTAGTAAGTGGAAATAATGCACTCATTTAGGAGTCATAAAGCCTTTGATCTTACTTTGAAGGAAAGAGTCTATGTTTAAACTACCCATTCAGGGACAGCCAGATGCCCATAAAGAGCAGTGCTTTTTGCTTTGATAGAAAATCACTGAGGCCTGTCTAGCAGGTCTGGTTTGTAAACAGATTAGTTAAAGGCTCATCAGGACTGATTTGCATAGGATTCAGCAAGCCTCAGTCACTTAATGAGCAATGCCATTTCCAGGTTGGGAAGAACACCATTTTTTTTCCCCCTAGCTAGAAGTCTTAGATCATTACTTTGTGGGAAAGGGAAAGAATATTCATATAAAGTGAACCCTTGCTGTCCTCTACTAATGGGAAAATGATGACCTAAGGCTTGCTTTGCTTGCTGTAAATGATGAAGGTTGTAATGAAAGAAATAGGTGATGAGTTTGAAATTAGGTTACAAAAAAGGTTTTCCTACCCTTCTCTATTGTTAGAGAGACAAAGGAGGACTAATGTGAATTATAATAGAGAAGGTAGAGAAGGTAAATGCACTGCAGACACAGACCACAAACATGTATCCACAAGTGTTTATGGAGGACCTCCTTGGAGCCTGGCTGTGTGTCAAAGGCGAGACATTCCATGCTGCCCAAGGCAGAGAAAGCGTCAGCCTGCACCAAGCCTCCCTTCTGGGGCCATCATTACAGAGAAATGGGAACAGCAGAGGAAAGGAATTTGGCAGTTTAAGCACAGGTTTTGAAATTCCTACCAGTGAGCCGCTATTTGCTTGAAAGATGGCAAGACCGGTATTTCCAGAGAGAGCAAATCCTCTGATCAATCTTTCTGCACTTTTATTTTTGAGTTTCAGAATAATGGGCAATCACCTTCCTGTCAGTAACTAAGAACCTCTCTTCTCCTTAAATTGTTGGAGTGAGAAAAATGTCCAAAGAGGCAGGGCGTGGTGTCTCACACCTGTAATTCCAGCACTTTGGGAGACTGAGGTGGGCGGATCACTTGAGGTCAGGAGTTCAAGACCAGCTGGCCAGCATGGCAAAACCCCATCTCTACTAAAAATACAAAAATTAGCCAGGCGTGGTGGTGCGTGCCTGTAATCCCAGCTACTAAGGAGGCTGAGGCATGGGAATCACTTGAACCCTACCAGCAGAGGTTGCAGTGAGCCGGGATTGCGCCACTGCACTCTAGCCTGGGCAACAGAGCAAGACTCCCATCTCAAAAAAAAAAAAAAAAAATGAAAAGAAAAAAGAAAAAAAGAAAAATGTCAAAAGAAAGCCTTTGCCTATTTTGATCACTTAACAGATAACAAATGGAGCAGCTCAGTAGAAACAAAAAATCAGAAACTGCTTAATTGTGACTTTGAAAAATATTAACTTTGAAAAATTTTAACTTTGAAAAATAAGCAGTTTCTGAGTAAAACAAAGTGATCTCCGAAGTTTTCAACTGACTTCCAAGCATGCAGTGAGCTGCCGGGGGACAGTGGGTGCTTCTTTGTCTGGCTTGCAGCAGCAGCATCCTGCTTATGGGAGACGTTTTTTAAATATTGTCAACGTTGGCAACATTAACTTGCTCAGCTAGAAACGTGTGTTTAAATAGCAACCTTTGGCCTTTGGGTCCTGCCTTGTCAAGGCCAAGGACCTCAGCCTTACCCTGCTTCCTAGAAGCAAGATCAAATCAGCACTCTCCTGTAAATGTCACCTTGGATCCATTGCACTCAGGAAGACACAGTGCAGCTCTGGGAAGTGTCAGGAGAGCCTAGGGACAATTTCATACTGGCGTGAGCAAGACTCCGGGTCCTGTCCAGGTAATTCAGATGGATAGCGGGTGTAAAGGGAGGCCATGCCCTCTGTCTCTCCAGATGGATTTGATTAGGCTAAGGAGGAAGAGGAGGCCTTGTTAGTCTGCTTGTGAAGATGGCTAGGGAGAGCATTCTAGTAAAATCTACTTGAGACCAGGTAAAACAGCTGCAACCCTCCCTAAGAAAACTGGGGGTATTCTATATCTCTCAAGGCACCATGTGTGAGGCCTCAGAGGGCCTTGCAGTCCCTCTTGCTGTCACCTTTCCCCAACCCCACTATTTTCTGATGGGAAGATCTCTTCCAGCTTGCCTTTGTCCACATCTCTCTCAACTTCCATATGGGCACAGACCTGCGTCTTATAGGCAGGGACCTCCTGTATTCATTCATCTTAAGCTGTTTTATGTAATAGTATTGAAAAGTGATTCACATCCTTTTCCATGCCCTGGTCTCCTTATTGGGCTCTTTAGATGGGCACTGACAAGAAGGCTCCAACCCACCTACCTACTGAGGAGGCCTCTTGATGCGTGGCAGCACCTGCATTTCTACCACAGGCTGGCACCAGGCAAATGAGCATGTCCACTGCCTGAGTAGACATTCAAACATGAGCTCCATGAGGGCAGGGACTGTGGTTTTGTGACTGAGGTATCACAAGCACCTGGCACACTGGATGGATCCCACACACAGCATTTGTTTGGTGCATGAGTGAATGAACAAATGAATGAGATAACCCCAGTTTTTATTAGTAATTCTCTTGAATTACTAATAAAATTACTAAGGAACTAGTAATTCCCCTTCCTTTAGCTGTCCAGGAACACAGGCAAAGCCAAAGCTCCCAGGGTCCTGATTCCATGAGCTCTAAAGCAGGAAGGATTGGAGGAAATGAGGGATTGATTGTAGTGAGGCAGGTTTGCCAAGTCTTAGGAAGCCCAGCCCCAATATTTGGAAGCTTTCCCTGAGTTAGAAACATGAACACATAACCTGTGTTATTATGGGCCCAGGGCCGATTCCAAGGCATCAGGAATAGGCCCTCTAAACATCCCTTTACACACATAAATCACTAGCAGAGTTTCTAACCTGTAGTAGATGCTTAATAAATGCCCTTGCTCTCAGAGTGACTGCATCTGAATACTGGCAGGTAGGATCTTTGATTGGAGTCACGAGCCTGTTACATTGAAATGCTGCTGTGCTACTCAAGCTTAGAGAACACAGAAGCCCACCATAGCAGGAGACCAGAAACTGCTTAATCTCATTTCACTTAATATATCTTAAGTGAGATAATCTAAACACTCTGCTTTATTTTACAAATTTATAATCAACTTTTGAAAATGATGAAAGCCATCCTTTGCTGCCCTACTCACCTCCCATATCCTTCAACACTGTATTAAAAGTTGGGCCACGGAGAGGTCAGGCCTGAGTTCTAAACCCAGCAACACCATTTTCTAGTGTGGGCTTCAGCAGGTAACTTAGCCTTTCTCAGTGCCAGTTTTCTCATCGTAACATACGGATAACAGTAACTGTCCCAGGGGATAATTGAAAGGCTTAAATAAGACAGTGTAGGTACAGGGCATGGCATGGTGTCTGCCACATAGTTAATGCTCACTAAAACTTACGAGCTCTTATTATGAGCTACTGGTAACCAAGAAGCCAGTTGGTGAAGAGCAAACTTGATAAATACAAGACTGCCATCAGCCATCTTCTACCTCAAATGGTTTCTGGTTAGTTAGCAAGAGGGTATTCGAATCTGCTTGTGGGAGATTTTTCTTCTCTAGTGCTGTAGGACCCAGTAGAGATAGCGAATACGAAAAGCCTGGCTCTCTCAAACTTGGCAGAAGATAAGTCAGACATGTGCGGACTCACTGGCTGTATCTGCTAAGACAAAAGCAGTGGTCTGCAAGGTCATATTCTGGGAGACAGATCTTGCTGAATGAATTCCACTCAGAGCTGGGGCTTTGGCGCAGCCCATGGCTGTTAGTGCTCAGCCCAGTGGGGCAAATGGTGGCTTTAAGTCCTCTCTCCTGTGCAATCCTCCCCTACCCCATTCTTTGATGTGGAAAATGGACACTTTGTCAATCTCATGTAAAGTGCTATGCAGATGCGGTTTCAAAGCACTTTCCCACCTCCCTGTCCCTGAGTCTTTCCCGTTTAGAAATTCTGAAGCCGCCAGACAAGCAGACATCACTCTAAACCAAACTGGAGATTGCTAGCTAAATGTCTGCAAACCCAGGGACTCAGCTGGTGCACAGCTGATGGGAGTGTAGACTGATAAAAATCTTGCTGGAGGATCAGTTGCCAATAGATTTTAAAAACACTGATTTATAATTAAACACTGAAATATTTACAAATGTATTCATTCATCTTAGCTTGTTTTATATAATAGTATTGACAAGTGATTCAGATCCTTTTCCATGCCCTGGTCTCCTTATTGGGCCCTTTCTAGCCAAGCTTTGCCAGGCCCAGTGCAGCTGGTGAAGAGGTTTGGCTTTGGAGATGGCAGTGAAGTAGGAAGAGCCACCACAAAACTATAGGAACCGCCAGGCGTGGTGGCTCACACCTGTAATCCCAGCACTTTGGGAGGCTGAGGCTGGCAGATCACGAAGTCAGGAGTTCGAGACCAACCCAGCCAACATGGTGAAACTCCGTCTCTATTAAAAATAAAAAGATTAGCCGGGTGTGGTGGTGGGCACCTGTGATCCCAGCTACTCGGGAGGTTGAGGCAGGAGAGCTGCTTGCACCCAGGAGGCAGAGGTTGCAGTGAGCCGAGATTACGCCGTGGCACTCCAGCCTGGGTGACAGAGCAAGACTCCATCTCGGGGGAAAAAAAAAAAAGAACCATAGGAACCCTGGAGTATTCCCTACCACTGTTAAATTGTCAATAGGGCATGACATGGCTGGTGAAAATTATCTATCCCTCCTTACTTGCAGCCATCCACAGCTCTCCTAGTTACTGACCTGTAGTAGATGCTTAATAAATGCCCTAGGCAGGGATTACAAATAACTGCATATAGCCAGCCAAACATGCTTCCAGCATAATAGAGCCATAGAATGTAAATAGAGCTCATAGTAAAATAGAGCTACAGGAAGACAGGAAGATAGTAGGGGGAAGGAAAGAGGATTAGAGAGTGAGCTGCCATTGTTTAGGATAGTATCTTAGGACATAGAGAATAGAACAGGGGCTTTGGAATATAGCAGACTTATATTTGAGTACCTGAATTACCGATAAATAGCAAACTACTTAACACTTCTGAAGCTTGGTTTCCTTATCTATAAAATGGAGAAGCAGGCTGGTGCTGTGGTTCATGTTAACAATCCCAGCACTTTGGGAATCTGAAGCAGGAGGATCACTTGAGCCCAGGAGTTAGAGATCAGCCTGGACAACATAGTGAGACCCTATCTCTACTAAATAAAAATAAAAATTAGCTGGGTGTGGTGGCACACGCCTATAGTCCCAGCTACTGAGAGGCTGAGACAGGAGGATCACTTGAGCCCAGGAGTTTGAGGCTATAGTGAGCTATGATCACACCACTGTACTCCAGCCTGGGCAACAGAGCAAGATCCTGTCTCTAAAAAAAAAAATAATTAAAACAAAATAGGAAAAGCAATTTGTAGAGCTATTGGGAGAATTAAATGAAAGAGCATATACAAAGCATCTGACCCAGGGAAGGTACTCAATAAAAATGAGTTTCGTTTTCAAATACTTTGTCCTGTTGTCTCCTTAAGAAACCTTTATTACATAATGTGTGATTTCAGATTCAAAAAGCATGATCAATGTGACATCTCTAAAACTCTGTTATGTCCCAGATGAACAGTCTGATTTATTATCGTATATGTAGTTTCCACTATCTTAGTGGGGTTTTAAGGAATTTAGCCTTGTAGTGACCTTTTTGATTAAAGACTCTCTTAAGAAGTTGGTTAAATAACAAAGTATGGATTATTAAGTCCAAGAGTAGCATTTAAAAAATATGATTACCTAAAATGTGGTGCTTCCAGTAAGCACTATGTTTAACATCAGGTGAGTTGTACTGATATCTTTTGCATAACTAACAGATGGCTTTGAAGTTTACTCAAAAGACAATTAAAAAGGCTGGTCAGGCAAGGGATGGCGGGATGTTTTAAAGCCTGCTTTTACCCAAGCATTCCATGCAGATAAGCACCAGGGTAGAGGAAGAATAAGAAGTGGTCTTCTAAGCTTAAGTGTTCTGTTTCACTTCCTTCTGTCCCAAGTAGTTGCTAAAGTAATTTACAATTTGGAAAGCTGTGATCACCCTACCTGAAGCAGTAAAATCTCATGGTGGGGCCTCCTAATTTATCACCGGCAGTAAATGCTAACAAATTATACTGTACTAAAAGCCATTGCCCAAGAGTTTAGCCCAGAAGACACCAAGGCAAAGCCTTTTTTTTTTTTTTTTTTTTTTTTTTTTAATCAGGATGAGTGAATGTTTAGTCTACTGGATATTTTTCAAGCTTACATTTTTATATTATACCTTTTGGTTTTTTTGAACCAGATCCAAGTTTGACTGGTATTTGCAGTAATGTTCTCTTTGTTTTCCCTTTATTTCCCATCTCACTGTTACCTCTATCCCAGTGGAGCCTTTCCAGTGTTTGAAGAGGGCAAACATTGATCTAGCCTGAAGTTAGAACAGGAAAATATGTGCGAGGAAAATGATGTTACCATTTGCACTCAGTCATTTGGTCAAGAGTCAACCCTCTCATTTTAAAAGCAAAATATGCATCAAAAACTTCAACAGACTTCAGCAGCAATGGAAAGCAGCATGTTTGGAAATTGCACATCAGGAGACCTACTGCTGAGTTTAGAATGATTACCAGATTCCATCATACTGCCTTCTAGTGAAATCTAGCAGTTTCTTGTTAGAGTCTTAGAAACTATTCAAGACCAATCCATTTAGCCAAAAAAAAAAAAAAATTCCTCCTCTCTGGGTGAATTTATTGATATCAGAGAACAGATTTATTTATAAACCCAAGAATTCTTCTAAAAAATAAAAAAGAAAGAAAAAAGCTTTCCTCAAGATACTAAGGATCCTGAGGCCTCAGAGGCTCTTGGTCATGCCAGATTTGAGCATCTTCCTCTACTCTTTTCCTAAATGCCACAGAAAGGGAAAAAAAAAGTGAGGAAATATCACTTATTCTTTCTTTTAGATTGGCTGGAAACCTAGTTTTTGTTGGTTTTGTTTTAGATCCGGATTTCTTTCTTTCTAATTGAGTAACAGGGTTGCTCGTGCAAGTCACCCATTCTCTTGCCCTTGTGAACTGGGGGCCCGCAGGAGTGGCAGCACCTAGGGCTGTGATAGACATGCAGAGCCTCGGCTGCCAGCCAGACCTGTCGTGAGAAGAGCTGCTGAGTATCCCTCAGATTGCACTGTGCCAGGGGATGCTGGTGTTTAGGGTTGTTGGCAGGTTTTTAGTTTGAAGGGATGTCCTATACGAGGAAAGAATCCTAGACCCAGAGCACTCCAAGAAGCAGAGGGCTTACTCATGGGATATACATGCACCTGAACTGGAGTCTGAAAGCAAGATCTGGAGGCAGCTCCAGGGACAGGCTGTCCTCTGCCCCTAGCTCCTGTGTCTGCTCCACTCTCCTCCCTTCACGGACCACATTTCAGAGCTTCCTCATGGCTTCTGCTGCTACACAACTTAGGCTTTGACATGGTCCATGATGGCCCCTCCAATCCCTTTCTCCATCAGCACCTCCTTTCAGCTTCAGCTCATACGGATGCCTGATTTCCTCCATCTAAATTCTCAAGAGCTAGAATCTGATGGGTCCAATAAAACGTTTTGCTCCCAACTTTCCACAGGTCACTGGCTAGCCTAGAATTGGACTCTGGATCAGCTCGAGGGGCTGGGGGTACAAATGATCTGCGTGAAGGCTGACCTCAGCAGGGGAGGAGGCCAAGGACTGGCAGGCAGTTCAAGAGGCCTGAGAGGTGGGACCCTGGCCACCTGAAATTTATCACAGCTTGTAGGAACTGCACAATAAAAAATCTGAATGGAACTTGGGAAAAAACTCTCAGCTGGGCGTGGTGGCTCACGCCTGTAATCCCAACACTTTGGGAGGCCGAGGTGGGTGGATTACGAGGTCAGGAGATTGAGACCGTCCTAGCCAACATGGTGAAACCATCTCTACTAAAAATACAAAAATTAGCTGGGCGTGGTGGCACGCGCCTGTAGTCCCAGCTACTCGGGAGGCTGAGGCAGGAGAATCACTTGAACCTCAGAGGTGGAGGCTGCAGCGAGCTGAGATCACACCACCGCACTCCAGCCTGGCAACACAGCAAGACTCTGTCAAAAACAAAACAAAACAAAAAAAACACACACATACACAACAAAACTCTTACCTGCTCCCCAATGCAAATGTCAGTTTAAGTCAGGAAATAAAAAAAGTTTCTAAATTTATTTACTGCCAGACCTATTCTAGGGAGAGAAAGAAGGAAAGATGAGTATGGGGAACTAAACATTGATTTTAAAGACGTTTTGTGGGCCAGTTAATTTTAGGGACTTATAGTAAGACAAAAAACTACATACCTGGGAGGCTGGTGAGAGTAAGTCTAAAGAATTGAAATTTTCTGATATATTATGTAGAAGACAGGTACCCCCCTTACCTCTCTTCAAAGAGCCTAATAACATAGCTGCATTTATGAAGCCTGGAAGAAGTTGTTAGAGAAAGTTTGAGAGTTTTAAAATTATTACTGAAGAAAGATCTGAATCTTTATCAGGAATCTTAGTTTTCCTACAAAAATTACAAATCTCAGGGCAGATATGTCAGCCATCTGGGGATCAAAAACTAAGCCTTTTGGGTTAGGAGAGAAGATGGCCGAATAGGAACAGCTCCGGTCTACAGCTCCCAGCGTGAGCGACGCAGAAGACGGTGATTTCTGCATTTCCATCTGAGGTACCGGGTTCATCTCACTAGGGAGCGCCAGACAGTGGGCGCAGGTCAGTGGGTGCGTGCACCGTGTGCGAGCCGAAGCAGGGTGAGGCACTGCCTCACTCGGGAAGCACAAGGGGTCAGGGAGTTCCCTTTCCTAGTCAAAGAAAGGGGTGACAGACGGCACCTGGAAAATCAGGTCACTCCCACCCGAATACTGCGCTTTTCCGACAGGCTTAAAAAACGGCGCACCAGGAGATTATAACCTGCACCTGGCTTGGAGGGTCCTACCCAACGGAGTCTCGCTGATTGCTAGCACAGCAGTCTGAGATCAAACTGCAAGGCAGCAGCGAGGCTGGGGGAGGGGAGCCCGCCATTGCCCAGGCTTGATTAGGTAAACAAAGCAGCCTGGAAGCTCGAACTGGGTGAAGCCCACCACAGCTCAAGGAGGCCTGCCTGCCTCTGTAGGCTCCACCTCTGGGGGCAGGGCACAGACAAACAAAAAGACAGCAGTAACCTCTGCAGACTTACATGTCCCTGTCTGACAGCTTTGAAGAGAGTAGTGGTTCTCCCAGCACGCAGCTGGAGATCTGAGAACAGGTAGACTGCCTCCTCAAGTGGGTCCCTGACCCCTGACCCCCGAGCAGTCTAACTGGGAGGCTCCCCCCAGCAGGGGCAGACTGACACCTCACACGGCAGGGTACTCCAACAGACCTGCAGCTGAGGGTCCTGTCTGTTAGAAGGAAAACTAACAAACAGAAAGGACATCCACACCAAAAACCCATCTGTACATCACCATCATCAAAGACCAAAAGTAGATAAAACCACAAAGATGGGGAAAAAACAGAGCAGAAAAACTGGAAACTCTAAAAAGCAGGGCGCCTCTCCTCCTCTAAAGGAATGCAGTTCCTCACCAGCAACGGAACAAAGCTGGATGGAGAGACTTTGACGAGCTGAGAGAAGAAGGCTTCAGACGATCAAATTACCCCGAGCAACAGGAGGAAATTCAAACCAAAGGCAAAGAAGTTGAAAACTTTGAAAAAAGTTTAGAAGAATGTATAACTAGAATAACCAATACAGAGAAGTGCTTAAAGGAGCTGATGGAGCTGAAAACCAAGGCTCGAGAACTACATGAAGAATGCAGAAGCCTCAGGAGCCGATGCGATCAACTGGAAGAAAGGGTATCAGCGATGGAAGATGAAGTGAATGAAATGAAGTGAGAAGGGAAGTTTAGAGAAAAAAGAATAAAAAGAAACGAGCAAAGCCTCCAAGAAATATGGGACTATGTGAAAAGACCAAATCTACGTCTGATTGGTGTACCTGAAAGTGACGGGGAGAATGGAACCAAGTTGGAAAACACTCGTCAGGATATTATCCAGGAGAACTTCCCCAATCTAGCAAGGCAGGCCAACATTCAGATTCAGGAAATACAGAGAACACCACAAAGATACTCCTCAAGAAGAGAAACTCCAAGACACATAATTGTCAGATTCACCAAAGTCAAAATGAAGGAAAAAATATTAAGGGCAGCCAGAGAGAAAGGTCGGGTTACCCACAAAGGGAAGCCCATCAGACTAACAGCTGATCTCTCAGCAGAAACTCTACAAGCCAGAAGAGAATGGGGGCCAATATTCAACATTCTTAAAGAAAAGAATTTTCAACCCAGAATTTCATATGCAGCCAAACTAAGCTTCATAAGTGAAGGAGAAATAAAATACTTTACAGACAAGCAAATGCTGAGAGATTTTGTCACCACCAGGCCTGCCCTAAAAGAGCTCCCGAAGGAAGTGCTAAACATGGAAAGGAACAACCGATACCAGCCACTGCAAAATCATGCCAAAATGTAAAGACCATCGAGACTAGGAAGAAACTGCATCAACTAACGAGCAAAATAACCAGCTAACATCATAATGACAGGGTCAAATTCATACATAACAATATTAACCTTAAATATAAATGGGCTAAATGCTCCAATTAAAAGACACAGACTGGCAAATTGGATAGAGTCAAGACCCATCAGTGTGCTGTATTCAGGAAACCCATCTCATGTGCAGAGACACACATAGGCTCAAAATAAAAGGATGGAGGAAGATCTACCAAGCAAATGGAAAACAAAAAAAGACAGGGGTTGCAATCCTAGTCTCTGATAAAACAGACTTTAAACCAACAAAGATCAAAAGAGACAAAGAAGGCCATTACATAATGGTAAAGGGATCAATTCAACAAGAAGAGCTAACTATCCTAAATATATATGCACCCAATACAAGAGCACCCAGATTCATAAAGCAAGTCCTTAGAGACCTACAAAGAGACTTAGACTCCCACACATTAATAATGGGAGACTTTAACACCCCACTGTCAACATTAGACAGATCAACGAGACAGAAAGTCAACAAGGATACCCAGGAATTGAACTCAGCTCTGTACCAAGCAGACCTAATAGACAGCTACAGAACTCTCCACCCCAAATCAACAGAATATACATTTTTTTCAGCACCACACCACACCTATTCCAAAATTGACCACATACTTGGAAGTAAAGCTCTCCTCAGCAAATGTAAAAGAACAGAGATTATAACAAACTACCTCTCAGACCACAGTGCAATCAAACTAGAACTCAGGATTAAGAATCTCACTCAAAACCGCTCAACTACATGGAAACTGAACAACCTGCTCCTGAATGACTACTGGATACATAACAAAATGAAGGCAGAAATAAAGATGTTCTTTGAAACCAACGAGAACAAAGACACAACATACCAGAATCTCTGGGACACATTCAAAGCAGTGTGTAGAGGGAAATTTATAGCACTAAATGCCCACAAGAGAAAGCAGGAAAGATCCAAAATTGACACCCTAACATCACAATTAAAAGAACTAGAAAAGCAAGAGCAAACACATTCAAAAGCTAGCAGAAGGCAAGAAATAATTAAAATCAGAGCAGAACTGAATGAAATAGAGACACAAAAAACCCTTCAAAAAATTAATGAATCCAGGAGCTGGTTTTTTGAGAGGATCAACAAAATTGATAGACCGCTAGCAAGACTAATAAAGAAAAAAAGAGATAAAAATCAAATAGACACAATAAAAAATGATAAAGGGGATATCACCACCAATCCCACAGAAATACAAACTACCATCAGAGAATACTACAAACACCTCTACGCAAATAAACTAGAAAATCTAGAAGAAATGGATAAATTCCTTGACACATACACTCTCCCAAGACTAAACCAGGAAGAAGTTGAATCCCTGAATAGACCAATAACAGGAGCTGAAATTGTGGCAATAATCAATAGCTTACCAACCAAAAAGAGTCCAGGACCAGATGGATTCACAGCCGAATTCTACCAGAGGTACAAGGAGGAACTGGTACCATTCCTTCTGAAACTATTCCAATCAATAGAAAAAGAGAGAATCCTCCCTAACTCATTTTATGAGGCCAGCATCATCCTGATACCAAAGCTGGGCAGAGACACAACCAAAAAAGAGAATTTTAGACCAATATCCTTTATGAACATTGATGCAAAAATCCTCAATAAAATACTAGCAAACCGAATCCAGCAGCACATCAAAAAGCTTATCCACCATGATCAAGTGGGTTTCATCCCTGGGATGCAAGGCTGGTTCAATATATGCAAATCAATAAATGTTATCCAGCATATAAACAGAACCAAAGACAAAAACCACACGATTATCTCAATAGATGCAGAAAGGGCCTTTGACAAAATTCAACAACCCTCATGCTAAAAACTCTCAATAAATTAGGTATTGATGGGACGTATCTCAAAATAATAAGAGCTATCTATGACAAACCCACAGCCAATATCATACTGCATGGGCAAAAACTGGAAGCATTCCCTTTGAAAACTGGCACAAGACAGGGATGCCCTCTCTCACCACTCCTATTCAATATAGTGTTGGAAGTTCTGGCCAGGGCAATTAGGCAGGAGAAGGAAATAAAGGGTATTCAATTAGGAAAAGAGGAAGTCAAATTGTCCTTGTTTGTAGACGACATGATTGTATATCTAGAAAACCCCATTGTCTCAGCCCAAAATCTCCTTAAGCTGATAAGCAACTTCAGCAAAGTCTCAGGATACAAAATCAATGTACAAAAATCACAAGCATTCTTATACACCAACAACAGACAAACAGAGAGCCAAATCATGAGTGAACTCCCATTCACAATTGCTTCAAAGAGAATAAAATACCTAGGAATCCAAATTACAAGGGATGTGAAGGACCTCTTCAAGGAGAACTACAAACCACTGGTCAACGAAATAAGAGGATACAAACAAATGGAAGAACATTCCATGCTCATGGGTAGGAAGAATCAATATCGTGAAAATGGCCATACTGCCCAAGGTAATTTACAGATTCAATGCCATCCCCATCAAGCTACCAATGCCTTTCTTCACAGAATTGGAAAAAACTACTTTAAAGTTCATATAGAACCAAAAAAGAGCCCACATTGCCAAGTCAATCCTAAGCCAAAAGAACAAAGCTGGAGGCATCATGCTACCTGACTTCAAACTATACTACAAGGCTACAGTAACCAAAACAGCATGGTACTGGTACCAAAACAGAGATATAGACCAATGAAACAGAACAGAGCCCTCAGAAATAACGCCACATATCTACAACTATCTGATCTTTGACAAACCTGACAAAAACAAAAAATGGGGAAAGGATTCCCTATTTAATAAATGGTGCTGGGAAAACTGGCTAGCCATATGTAGAAAGCTGAAACTGGATCCCTTCCTTACACCTTATACAAAAATCAATTCAAGATGGATTAAAGACTTAAACGTTAGACCTAAAACCATAAAAACCCTAGAAGAAAACCTAGGCATTACCATTCAGGACATAGGCATGGGCAAGGACTTCATGTCTAAAACACCAAAAGCAATGGCAACAAAAGCCAAAATTGACAAATGGGATCTAATTAAAGAGCTTCTGCACAGCAAAAGAAACTACCATCAGAGTGAACAGGCAACCTACAAAATGGGAGAAAATTTTCGCAACCTACTCATCTGACAAAGGGCTAATATCCAGAATCTACAAAGAACTCAAACAAATTTACAAGAAAAAAACAACCCCATCAAAAAGTGGGAGGACATGAACAGACACTTCTCAAAAGAAGACATTTATGCAGCCAAAAAACACATGGAAAAATGCTCACCATCACTGGCCATCAGAGAAATGCAAATCAAACCACAATGAGATACCATCTCACACCAGTTAGAATGGCAATCGTTCAAAAGTCAGGAAACAACAGGTGCTGGAGAGGATGTGGAGAAGTAGGAACACTTTTACACTGTTGGTGGGACTGTAAACTAGTTCAACCATTGTGGAAGTCAGTGTGGCGATTCCTCAGGGATCTAGAACTAGAAATACCATTTGACCCACCCATCCCATTACTGGGTATATACCCAAAGGACTATAAATCATGCTGCTATAAAGACACACGCACATGTATGTTTATTGCGGCATTATTCACAATAGCAAAGACTTGGAACCAACCCAAATGTCCAACAATGATAGACTGGATTGAGAAAATGTGGCACAGATACACCATGGAATACTATGCAGCCATAAAAAATGATGAGTTCACGTCCTTCGTAGGGACATGGATGAAACTGGAAATCATCATTCTCAGTAAACTATCGCAAAAACAAAAAACCAAACACCGCATATTCTCACTCATAGGTGGGAATTGAACAATGAGAACACATGGACACAGGAAGGGGAACATCACACTCTGGGGACTGTTGTGGGGTGGGGTGAGGGGGGAGGGATAGCATTGGGAGATATACCTAATGCTACATGACGAGTTAGTGGGTGCAGCGCATCAGCATGGCACATGTATACATATGTAACTAACCTGCACATTGTGCACATGTACCCTAAAACTTAAAAAAAACAAAGAAAAACAAATCTCTTCAACTAAGATGACTGTAATTCCACCATTAAAGGCCTACTTTAATGAAAAAAAAAAAAAAAAAGAAAACGTGGTATGAACCATGGAATACTATGCAGCCATAAAAAAGAATGAAATGATGCCCTTTGCAGCAACATTGATGCACCTGGAGGCCATTATCCTAAGTGAACTAATGCAGAAATAAAACCAAACATTGCATGTTCTTATAAGTGGGAGCTTAACAATGGGTACTCATGGACATAAGGAGGAGAACAGTAGACACTGGGGACTGCTAGAGGCGGGAGAGAGGGACAAGGAAAAGGGCTGAGAATCTACCTATTAGGGATTGTGCTCATTACCAGGGGGATGGGTTCAGTCATACCCCAAACCTCAGAGTCATGCAATAGGCCTCTGTAACAATCCTGCACGTGTACCCCTGGATTCTAAAATAAAAGTTGAAAAAGAAAAAAAAAGAAGAATTGGTTAGGAGAATAAGCATTTTATCAATTGAAAATAAACTTGAAAGGGATCCTTAATATTTTGCCCACTCAGGGTAAACCTTCACTGCACTAACAATTTTCAGCTAAAGGCCCTAACTAAATTCTGCCACCTGGGCAAACTCTAGTCCGATGATATTCAAAGAAATTAAACCATTTTAAAAACTTAAAAAAAAAAACAAAAAACTAAGCCTTTTGATGCTACAACAAGATAACATTATGGAAGCCCTGCAGCCTAGTTCAACAGGCACTGCTGAGAGCTCACTGCAGTCATAAATAGAGGTGATTCGGTTTGCACAATGTCTTTCTGCTGGTCAGGCCCCTCCTTTCCTTTGTTTCTCCCTCCTGGCCAGTGAGACTCATTCCCCTGCCTCCACTCTGTCCCCTCTGGCCTAATCCACACACAGTTGCCACTTGGCCTTCCTGGAGGCACAGCTCCAACCACAGACCTGATCTGCTCAGACACCGGCAGAAGTCGTGAAGGAAGCGCAGCCTCCCCAGTCTGGCACCTGCCTTAACACTCTGCACAGTGGCCACACCTCCCACGACACTCTTATCTGTACCATACACTCTTGTCATCCTGCAAGGTCTCCTTCCTCAGGAGTGCTGGCCCAGTCCCCCGTCCCTGCTCACTGCCCCCAGCTTTCCTATCCCTGCCTAGCACCTCCTCTGGGCTCTGTCTTTCAAAATGCCCTCCACCTGAGGCGGAGTTTCACTCTTGTCACCCAGTCTGGAGTGCAGTGGCACGATCTCCACTCCCTATAACCTCCATCTCCCGGGTTCAAGCGATTCTCCTGCCTCAGCCTCCCAAGTAGCTGGGATTACAGGTGCCTGCCACCACGCTAATTTTTGTATTTTTAGTAGAGATGGGGTTCACCATGTTGGCCAGGCTGGTCTCTAATTCCTGACCTAAGGTGATCCACCTGCCTCGGCCTCCCAAAGTGCTGGGATTACAGGCGTGAGCCACCATGCCCAGCCTCAAGTGCATTTATGATACCGCTTTCGAGATACCCCTCCTCCTTCTCCCTGGTTTGTTGATGTCTCATCTTCCTCATAGCAGCTGTGATCTCACATGCCCCTTTCCCTTTTGTTTTTTAGGTTTTCACCTTGAAGATGCCATCCCTCCCCCGTTAGGTCAGAAGTATATCAAGAATGGGAACTTGAAATCCTCACACCAAATGTGACGTGGTAGAAAAACAGAGTGGTATAGTAATGCGAGTAGGATCTGGACTCCCAATTTCCTATCAGAATTCACATTCCTGGTGGACTTATTTGCTGTGGTTTGTGGGATGTTGAACAAGTCACTTGCCTCTCACAGTCTCAGCTTCTGTATCTGTAAAATAAGACAAGAATTATAGTGACCCCATAGGCTTGCTGTGAGGATCACCTGAGCCATACATTCCAAAGTGCTCCGTGAACTCATCAGCACCTCACAGAACATCACTTGCTGCTCTAGTGATGCCAGTAGGTGCTCAGTAAATGCAAGCCCCCATGCAGCCCCTGGACGGGGATGCTGGAGGCTCCAGGGTTAGCCAACAGCATTAACCTGCTTGTCCGTCAAGACTTTTATAAGAGCTGCTAACAGGCAGGAAAATTGCAGGATTTGAGTTTCACCTCCTCCCCTTAACCAGGTCACCTTCTGGAGGAGGTGCTAATGAGCAGCAAAATGACCAAAATGTGGGCAGTAAGGGAGGCAGAGAAGGAAACAGCCAAGGAGCTTGGACAGCCCTCTGCTAGCTACCCAGCTCTTGAAGCTAGGCCTAACAGGCATCCCAGAGCCCAGCACAAGGCCCCTCTTGGCACCAAGGGGAGAATAACCATGCAAGGGCCAGAGATGTGGTTTTTGTTCCGGTGAAGCTTTGGGAAAAAACCCACATCAGGCCCCTCTCTCTCTGGCCATATAAACTTGGAGTCTCCAGCCTCCACAGTGGGCACAGTGGTGCTTTAATAATTGCTCTTTCTCTTAAGCAGGTTCCATTTTAACTGACCACCTTCTTGACAAATATTGAGCCACAGAATGTTCTTGACGAGTGGCAACCTAAGAGTGCCATCAGCAGTGGAGGGTCTCAAGTCTTCCATTCCAGACCCACGGCCAGAGCAGGCAGGTCCAGGAGGGGCAGGCACGGGACTGGCCGCTTCCCAGACATCCATGAATAGATGTGGCCTCCTGTGAGTCTTCCCTTACCATCTGCGGTGTCAGCTTCAGGGCTCCAGGGCTCCAGGGAGAACCTGAGGCCTTGAAGGAGCAGGCTGGTGAGCCCCAGCATTCACTAACCACGACATCTGCCAACAAACTTCACCCATCAGTGGCTCTCAAGTCTGGCTGCACATGAGAACCACCCGGGGCGGCAATGCTGCTGCCACCTTGGAAGGTTGCTGTGTACTGAATCGAGGTAATGCGTATTCAATACTTGGCACTTAGTAAATACAGCAGGTCCTCAAATAATGTTGTTTTTCTTCTTTTCTTTTTTGAGACGGAGTATCGCTCTTGTCACCCAGGCCAGACTGCAGTAGCATGATCTCAGCTCACTGCAACCTCCACCCTCCAGGTTCAAGTGATTCTCCTGCCTCAGCCTCCCAAGTATCTGGGACATAGGCATGCACCACCACGCCTGGCTAATTTTTGTATTTTAGTAGATTTTGTATTTTTAGTAGGTTTTGCCATGTTGGCCAGGCTGGTCTTGAACACCTGACTTCAGATGATTCACCCGCCTTGGCTTCCCAAGTGCTGGGATTACAGGCATGAGCCACCATGCCCGGCCAAATAACACTTAGTTCAACGTTATTTTCTTACAAAATTGATGAGAAAAGAAAAATCAATTCCAGCTGGGGCCACTGTCTATGTGGAATTGGCACATGCTCCTCACATCCGCGTGGGTTTTCTGTAAGTACTCCGGTTTCCTCCCACATCCCAAAGGTGTGCACATGGCATGTCTACCTGGTCCCAGTGTGAGTGTGGGTGTGTGTGAGTGCGCCCTGAGATCTGATGGTGTCCGGGCTGGGGCAGGTTCCGTCCTGCAGCCTGAGCTGGTTCCGGCCACCTGCCACCCTGAACTGGAATAAGCAGGAAAATAATTATCTTGTTTCTATGAATTTGTCTTAAGTGTATGTATTGCTCATATTTATTTCAGTGTTTAATGTCAGGAGCATTCTGGTCTTTATTTAGAAGTTTGGTGATGCTTTTGCGATTAGAACTATTCCAGGAACTTAGCTTCCGTTTATAGCAATTAGCTTATGGGAAAATGGATTTTGTTTTATGGCGGTTCACCTAAACTTGCAGTTTCCAAGAACCTATTGGCAACGTTAAATGAGGACTTACTTCATTCCTTTTTTCTGTATTTGTGCCTCTATATCTTACAAATAGCAGTATATAAAATTAATATAGTCTAATAAAAACCAGACACAATTGGAGGTGACACTCTAGGGTGCTGGTCTATACTTTTTCACCCTGTTGTGATTCTACTGATATTAAATCAGAGGTTCTCAACTGAGAGGAAAGGAAGCATGCTCCCTTAAGGAGGAACAAAGGAAAGGGGTGGAAGGCGCGGGCACAGTACACTTTGCACACATCATGAACTGAGCTTGATGCTAACAGACTTGGATTGGATCCAGCCTCCATGTTTTACCTAAGATAGAAAGTGTGTGACACTCACACTGATAGCCCATGATCAAAACGCTTTTTGTTTGTGTGTTTTTTTGAGCTGGAGTCTCGCTCTGTCACCCAGGCTGGAGTGCAATGGCACGATCTTGGCTCACTGCAACCTCCACCTCCTAGGTTCAAGCGATTCTCCTGCCTCAGCCTCCCGAGTAGCTGGGATTACAGGTGCCACCACCATGCCTGGCTAATTTTTGTATTTTAGTAGATTTTGTATTTTTAGTAGGTTTTGCCATGTTGGCCAGGCTGGTCTCGAACTCCTGACCTCAAGTGATCTGCCCGCCTCAGCCTCCCAAAATAATGGGATTACAGGCGTGAGCCACCACTCCCACCCCAAAATGTTTTTTAATACCAAAATAATTTTTCTTGTAAAAGTACTATTATATTAAGTCAGGATATTGATAATTCAAATGTTTAAAGAAGTATTTTGAGATTTTAATATTTACCAAAAGGGTATGGGCTATTTCTCATGATAACAAGTAGGAAAAGTTTTGCAGTGGGCTTTTAGGTGGGGAAAAAATGTGTACCTAGAGAGATCTGCAAAACTCTCAAGCTTGAATTTGTTGTCTTCTCACAGGAGCCCTTGACTTTGAGGCATGTTTCTTGATCCTTTAATTTTGTGCTTAGAACACGTCCTTGGATGGGGGTCAAAGTTTCATAGAAAGAATTTAATTTACTTAAAAGGTGTAGTTGCTCACTGGAAACCCTGGTGCCTTTGGGGTTCTGATATGTGAGAATGAGTTCGGGCTTTGAAACAGAGCTTTTTTCTTCTTGGGATGAAAAGCCAGAGCAAGACACTCATGGGCATCACTGGAGGGCTTGGTAAAACAGAGTGCTGGGTTCTGCCCCTAGAATTTCCAGTTCAGTACATCTGAGTTGAGAGCTTGGTCTGAAAATGGACATGTCTAACTAATTCTTACGGGGCACTCATACTACAGGCCTGGTGGCCACACGTTGAGAACCACTGCTCTAACCTGAAGAGGGAAGGAAATACAGAGTCTGGGCAAGCTCAGTTGGGAGCAGCTGCAGAGTTCTGTACTCCAGGGATGGGGCAAGCCCAACATGCAGTCAGCTGGTGAGGTCTGTGGGCAGTCCCTGTGTATGGTTCCTACCTGTCCCTGTCTCTGGGCCTTCCTGGGCATTAGGCCATCTAACCAACCTATAAATAGTGAAGGAGCCAGAATTTGAACCTAGGAAATTAAGAACTATGAAGGGTCTGAGGTTTTACTCTACTTGTAATCTAACAAATTAGCCTGCTACAGTTTCATGGATTGGCCATAGACACAAAACTCCTGGATCAGAGACAAAGAGCAATTTATTGCTCATAGCAATAGCAGTAGGTAGAGTATCAGCATTTTCTTTTGCTGGTTTCATGAGCCTCATTGCCACAGGGCAATACAAAGAGGGCCAGTTGATTCCTTTACATGTGGTAGATTGAGTTGTAGGAGAGGAACACTAAGATGAGGGAACCTGAGTCTTTTATAATGGACAGAGAGTATGCCCAATCTCTTCTCTGGTAAGAGACACTGTATCTTTGAAGGCTGACCACTCTACAAAATTTTTCAAAAGTGATATACTTTGGATGTCCCCTCCAAATCTCATGTAGAGATGTAGTCCCCAGTGTTGGAGGTGGGGCCTGGTGGGAGGTGTTTGAGTCATGGATCCCTCATGGCTTGGTGCTGTCCTCAGGGTAGTGACTGAGTTCTTGCGATGTCTGGTTGTTTAAAAGTGTGCGGCATCTCTCCCCAACTCTCTCTCTTGCTCCCACAGTGGGAGTAGGCCTTGTGATGCCCCTATTCTTGTTCTGCCTTCTGCCATGAGTAAAAGCTCCCTGAGGCCTCCCCAGAAATGCTGGTCCCGTGCTTTCTGCACAGCCTGCAGAACCTGAGCCGCTTAAACTTCCTTTCTTTATAAATTACCCACCCTCAGGTATTTCTTTATAGCAATGTGAAAGAATGGCCTAACGCAAAAAAGTAGTTTAGAACAATGTTATTTGGTATCTGTGCTTTGCTAGGTGTGTAGAAACATGAAAGACCCATGGATAATTGCCTCCCAACAAGTCTATGCTCTTAATACCTTACACTGGAGTTAGTAACTACAGCCCACCAGCCTGCAGCCTGTTTTCCTACTGCCAATGAGCTAAGAATGTTTTTTACATTAATGGACTATCACACACACACACACACACACACACACACACACACACACACACGGAGAATATACAACAAGAATCTTACGTGGCCTGCAAAGCCTAAAATATTTACTACTGTCCCTTTAAGGAAAAAAAAAATTGCCAACCGTTTCCCCATGCAGTACTGCTTCTGTAGCCCTGGCTAGACTTATGCCAAGAGTCTAAATGAACCTGACTTATTCTAGCAGTTTCTGTAACCATTAGATATTCTGGGACAGGTGTATGGCAGATTGCATTTCTTAGGTGGCAGACTCTGAGATGGAGTTTAATGTGCAGATATTTATTAAGGAGCACCTTTGGTATTGACACCTGTGGAACATAGGCAAGGAAGTTGGACTGGATAGAGAAGCTGGGCTGTGATTCAGGCCCAGCAATAGACTCAGCCAGTCACACAAGGAGCTCTGAACCTAGAATAGCCTCTCAGACTGTTCCCAAGTTGGGCTGAGATGCCCAGGACTTTATATTCATGCATCAGTCACTCATTGGATGTAGGCCACCTGTGAAGACCAGGCCAGATGGCTCTCGGGAGCTGAGGCAATCCCTGAAGGGTCTGACAACTGAAAGCTGTCTGCCCATGCCTCCCAGTAGCTGGGACAACTGGTCTTTCATTGAAGGGAAAATCTCAGAGGAGCATCTCACTGTTCATCACATGGCGCAAACATTTTAGGGCCATGATAGTGGCCTCTATTAGATCTTCATCCTTCTATAATGATTTTTCTAATCTCTCTTTTTTTTTTTTTTTTTTTTTTTTTGAGACAGGGTCTCACACTCTGTCACCCAGGCTGGAGTGCAGTGGCACAATCTCGGCTCACTGCAACCTCCGTCTCCCGGGCTCAAGTGATCCTCCCACCTCAGCTGCACATATAGCTGGGACTACAGGCCTGCACCTCCACACCCAGCTAATTCTTTTTTTTTTTTTTTTTTTTTGTAGAGACAGAGCTTTGCCACGTTGGCCAGGCTGGTCTTGAACTCCTGGGCTCAAGTGATCCATCTGCCTCAGCCTCTCAAAGTGCTGGGATTACAGGCTCAAGCCACTGTGCCTTGCCTTTCTAACCTTTTTGATCCCCTGAAATACTATACTTAGCATAAAGTCCTGCAAGTGGTAAGGTCTAATAAGTATATATTCAATGAGGAGGTGAATGAGTTTTATGGACTAAATGTTTGGGTCACTCTCAGATTCGTACGTTAACTAATTTCTAGTGTGATGGTATTAGGAGGTGGGGGTCTTTGAAGGTTAATTAGGTCATGAAGGCAGAAGCCTCATGAATGGGATTGGTGTCCTTATAAAAAGGACCCCAGAGAGCTCTCTCATACTCTTTTATCCATGTGAAGACACAATGAAAAGATGACAATCTGCAACCAAGAAGAAGGCCCTCACCAGAACCCTACCACTCTGTCTCAGACTTCCAGTCTCCAGAACCATGAGAAATAAATTCCTGTTGTTTCAAAGCCACCCAGTCTGTGGCACTTAGTTATAGCAGCCCAAACCAAGACAAAGAGTAGGGGGTGAGTGGGTGGATGGATGAGTTACAAAAGGAACCCAACACTGAAGTCTTGGATACCGCTCCAATGACCTCTTCTGAGGTCCCACCTCTGTTCATTAGGAGCCCTGGACAGGGAAGCTGTGTTATAGAATACCACACCACCCACTATCCTTCCAAAGACTGTTCTTAAAATCAACTCAAACAAAAAAATAACTGCGATAGACTTGACCTTTGAAAAAGAAACATTAGATCCTCTTTCTAGTAGCTGGGAAATTCAGCACTAGCAACAAAATTGTGTGAATCACTGACAGAAAAGGGGCCAGTAGCTGTAGCTCTCACCAATACAAATGAGAGGCAGGCAAAAGGCAGATTAAAATATGATCTTGTTGATGCTTTGGCTTTGCTTCCCAGGCTTTTGGTGTGTGGAATTGTAGACTGCATTTTTCTTCTATAGAGCCCCAAAGCATTAGAATTAGGATAGTAGATCTGGGCCACGACAGGCTTTCATCCATTGGCAAGAATTAGACCCCAGGGAGGAAGAGGCAGGGTAGTCTGCACTCAGGGAGACTTCAAGAGCACTCTTGTCTTGGGTCCCAATTGGCCAGGCGATATCATGGTTGAGTTTCTGAGCAGTAAAGTGGGATATAAGTAGATGAACCACAGGAGAAAGAATCCTTAAACAGTCCCAGGCAGAAGTAATTTTCTACGGTTTTGGTTGGCAATTCTTTTGAGATTCAAAGGAACAAAGGACAACCAATTCAACAGTAATAAGAAACAGAAAGTGGCAAATTATTCAGTAATAGGGGTTAAAAAATAGCTATAGAAGCCCTTTAAAAATGAATTTCATAATAGATATCAGATTTCTGCTTTCAGTAGTGGCAGAATAGGATATTTGGACCAACCTACCTATCTGTTGAAGACAATCAGAAAAGCTGAACAAAGTAGTTTGTAAAAATCTGCTTGAAGGCATTAGAGAACAAATAAGGCAGAAAAGAGTTACCAGGTTAAGATTTGGGGGAAGGCAGAAACCCAGAGCAATGGAAACCCAGTGGCATTTAGGACTACCTCTGCCAATCCCAGAAGAGATGGTTGAGAGGTTAAAAACATAAACAGGGCTTTGATTGCTTTGCAGAACACAGGGGAACAGAAACTGGATTCTATAATTTGAGGTGATACTCATAATTATCTATACTCTGGAAGAAAAGATGAACTAGAAGTAAACTAAAAAGATGAACTAGAAGTAAACTAACTTTCAAAAGGACTGAAACTCAGCTTAAAATCCTCTCATTACTGAATTGGATTAATGGGATCCTAGGTTGCTAATGCCCCAGCTATCATCCAGATGCACAGATAAATCCTTTCTGAAGACATGGTAACATTCTTCTAACTTTTAATTTTTTCTACTATTTTTCATAACCAATTTCAGGCACTTATGCAAAAATAACCAGGCATATGAGAAAAAAGAAAAGTACAAATGAAAATCAAGAGAAAGAATAGATCCACGGGGGATCCAAACAAGGAAGGTATTAACATAGACTTTAAAATAACCATGCCTGATATGTTTAAAGATAACATTGTGGATGTGTGTAGGGGTTTGGAAACTTACCGACTGAACGATGGATACACCGCCAAGGCGAAGCCGACAGCTGGAAGGCCTAGGGCCTGAATCCCTCCAGAGCCTCACCTCAGTTTCACGTAGGAGATGGGTCCTTGTGGAGTTCGAGTTGGACACAGAAGAAACGAGGGAGCCCGGGTCTCCTCCGAGTGTGCAACAAGCTGGCCTGGGGCCCCCCGAAAGGACGCTGGAGAGAAGCCCAGGATCACCCAGTCTTTGCAGCAGGGTGCAGGCTTGGAGTCCCCCCAAGGGCGGCTAGAATCAGGTCCAGGGTCCCCCCAGTGTCAGCAAGGCCTACACCTGGAGTCGCCTCAAAGACAGCTGGAGTCCAGTCCTCAATCCCCACGATGTCAGCCGAAGCCAAGTGAGGAGGCACCCAAGTGTGCTCAGGGCCAGGGAGTACCTGGCCTCGGAGTTGGCCCAAAGTAAGGAGGAGCTGATCCCAGGGGGCCCCCCAGCATCAGCTACTGCCGGGCCCAGGATCACCAGAGCCTTAACCCCAGTCAGGAAGCTCCGGGTCCGGAGCCCTCTCAGCCACTACTGCAGCTAACACTCGAGGCACCTGGCTTCCCCCAGGGTCAGCACGAGCAGAGCAAACCACCTCCAGCTGGGGAGATGGTGACAGACGGCTTCGGGGCAAAGAAGCCAAAGGGTTCTTCATCCCAGGCCCCAGCGTCCAAGAAGCTGAAGGAGGAGGAGCTTCCTGTAATCCCGAAGGGGAAGCCCAAGTCGGGGCAAGTGTGGAAGGACCGCTCCAAGAAAAGATTCTCTCAGATGCTTTAGGACAAGCCCCTGCGTATATCGTGGCAGCGGAAGATGAAGCAGGAGAGGAAGCTGGCCAAGGACTTTGCCCGTCACCTGGAGGAGGAGTAGGAGAGGCGCCGCCAGGAGAAGAAACAGCGTCGGGCGGAGAACCTGAAATGCCGCCTGGAGAACGAGCGGAAGGTGGAGATCGTCCAAGTGATCCGAAACCCTGCCAAGCTCAAGCGGGCAAAGCAGCAGCAGCTGCGCTCCATTGAGAAGCGGGACACCCTAGCCCTGCTGCAGAAGCAGCCGCCCTAGCGGCCGGCAGCCAAGATCTGAGCTCAGGATGGCCCGAGGCCTTCCACGGCCAACAATCATGTCAGACCCAGCACCTCAGGCCGCTGCTCAGACAACTCTGCTGGAGCCGGCACTCCAACCCCATGGCTCCAGAATAGGGACCCCCAACTGGGGTTCCTTGGCCTTTGAAGACTTGCAGGCAGGTCTCTGTGGGACAGAAGCCCAGAGGTGGGGCTGGGACCTGGCAGAGATGGGGCGGGAAGAGATTCAGCCCCCATCCCTCCTTCCTCTCCTTCTCCAAGTGCCTTCAAACCAAGAACAGTACATTTTTCTGGTTCCTCAGTGAGCTGGTGACTGGTGGGTGACTTCCCTAGCGATGTATGTCCTGTCTCAGCGTCCTAGGTCCATCCCAGGCCTGGAGGCTGGCAGTTGGGAATCCAACTTCCCCCACACCTTCCCAAAGGCTGCTCTGGGCACCTCGGCGCCCCACTGGCTCTGTCCCCAGCAAACTGAATCCAGCTCCTCCCTACTTTTCAACACTGAAAGATTAAAATGGGAGGCTGCAGGGAGCAGGGTTTTTCCCTAGCACCCCCTTTCCAAACCAAACTCTGCAGAAGCCCCAGATAATCTAACTCATGTCCGTCCAGTCTACAGCAAAAATATTTATATTTATTGCGTGCTTGTCGCATACAGGCACAATCCTAGGCACCAACCAATACAGACAGTAGACCAAAGTAGGAGCTTTTATTCTGATGGAGAGAAAACATAATAAACAATCAAAATGCAAAAATAAATAAATAACATTGTGATTTTTCACAGAGAAAAATCAAATGGAATCTGTAGAATTGAAAAATTCAGTAACTGAAACTAATAATTCATTGAGTGAGTTTAATAGAAGAATAGATGCACCTGAATAGAAAATTAATGATCTGCAAGATAGGCCATGAAAAAATATTTGGAATGATGAATGATGACAGAGGAAAGAATAAGAGACATGGGGATACTGTGAGGAATCTAACATAATGTGTAATTGGAGTCCCAAAAGTGAGGAGAGAGATTGGGTAGAAGCAATATCTGAAGAGACAGTAGCTGAGAATCTTCAAAAAATGATGAAAGACATTGAGCCACAGACTCAGGAAGTACTACCAGCTCCTAGCAGGACGAATAAAAGCAAAAGCAGACCTAGGCACATCACAGCAAAACTGTTCAAAACATCTTCAAAGAGTTGACAGAAAATCAACCAACTGAGGATCCTACACTCAGTAAAAATACCCTTAAAGAATGAAGATGAAATAAAAACATTTTCAACCAAACATGGATAAATTTGTCAGCAGAAGACCTGTACTGAAGGAATACTAAAGGTTATTCTTCACACAGAAGGAAAATGATTAAAGACAGAAATTGGAGGTGTAGAAAGGAACGAAGAGCAATGGAAAATGTATGTAGGAAATATAAATAAATATTGATTATCATAATGCCTCATGGAATTTATAATACCTATGGAATTAAAATGCATGGCAACAATAATATGTAAGGTCAGAGTGGGATGGAAGGGGGTAAATTAATAAATCAGTATTTTAAGGCATTATCAGAAGAGGGTAGAAGTATAAAATAACATCAGGCTTTTATAAGTCAGGATGTATACTGCATCTCTATGTTAATGACCCAAGGACTATTAAAAGAGTACCACTCTTGATACATGCACTCATACCCAAGCACACATGCACTTGCATGCACACATAGAAAAGTCATGGGAAGCCTCCACCAAAATGTTAATTTTGGTTATATGTGGGTGGAGGCAGCTGGCCAATTTTTCTCTTCCTTTGCTTATGTGTATTTTAATTTTTTTCTAGCATATAGAAAATGAATCACTACCCATCGAAAGAGCTTTACCTTCTAATTCTATGACTCGTCTATTTCTTTTTTAGCTCTTCTGAGCTGTAGATAGATAATTTAAAGTAAAATTTGCCATTAATTTGAAGTCTGGTTTGGTTTTGTTTTACTGAATAATAAAACCTTAATATCTTCCCCTGTCATTAAATACTATTCTATAATATCTGAATGACTATAGAATAGCCCTTTGCATAGCTGCTCTATAATTTAGCCATTTGCCTATTGTTGGACATTTGAATTATTTCCAATTTTTAGAATAAATATTCCTAATGGACATTCCTGCAAACATGATTTTTTTCTGAGGAGATATTTCTAGAAGTGTAATTGCTGGGTAAAAGGGTCTACAAAATATTAAGTTTTTAAATTCATATTACCAAATTACCCTCTGTTAGGGCTGTATTTAGCTGCTTTTTAATTGGCCAATATAAGAGTATGGAGGGGGTTATAGTAATTGTTTTCACAGTGTGCACAGGGTTTATGTCTATGACAGTTGAAGGTTCCCTCCATGCTGCTGTGGTCACACCTAGAGAACTATGCCAAGCAGTGCATGGTTGCAGTAATGGGCATAAGGGCTAAAGGAATTCACAGAAAGGGAGCAGTCTTATGGGTCTGGTTGAGTCTGGAGAAGCTTTGTGGAGAGATGAGGCTTGAGGAAGGTCTTGAAGGTGGGTAACAGACCGGTCCAGAGGTGGAGAAAGCTGCTGATGTGAAGCAGGTGCCCTTCAGACCAGCCCCAGCAGGTGTGGGCGCAGAGTGGTAGGACCAGAGAAGGTGGCAAGTGTCTCCAAGCAACACTGAACCAGGCTGAACTAGATAAGATGGGTCCTGGCAGGCAAGGGAGGCTCTAGAACAAGGCAATGGTGTGATGAAAGGGACATGTCTGTGTCCTCATTTGACCCCCACATTTGATGTTTCCTCAGAAATGGGAAGAAACTGGGGCTTTTCTACTTTTTATTATATTAGAAAAAAAAAAACCCTGCCAATTTGCCAGTCTTGGAAGGATAATAAAAACAAAACTCTTCCTCTCTCAGCAGAATGGAATTAGATTCACCTTGTTACAGTTTGTGCTGCTACCAATTAGAGAGAGAAAAGATACTCTGCTGAAATGTTCTCCACCTTCCAGCTGCTCTTCTTTAATCCGTGTAGTTTAAATCCCCCAAGGACCTTAAACTAAAGCAACCACCAAATATTGAAAAATAAAACAAACTGTGAGTTAGGGGGACTGTAAAGAATGCCTTTTGTTTAGGAAAGGAGGGGAGCAGGGAGGATTTTCAATGGGAACCCCTTTAAAGGTGAGGAAGAAAGAAGTTTAGGGCACCTTTCTTTCTCCCCAGGGATTTCCAAGCAAAGACTTGTAGACTCCAGGAATCCCGAGGACAGCACTAGTGTCTTGTTAAATCAGGTAGAGAACTCTAAATTAGAGACTGATGAAAGCAGGTGATCTCCCAATTGAGAGAAGTCTGAGTGAGCCAGGCTGCACTCAAGGATATCCCCTCAAAGGCCATTCCTGGGGAGGAGATGTTTTGCACGTGTGCCCAGGAGCAGATGTCCTGAGCCAGAGCGGACACAAGGTGATGGTTGGTGGGGCAGACCCCCACCTGCAAGAGCAGTTCCAATGAACCCCGAGGTTATCCATACACACTGCCAGTCTGCCAAGAGAAGCTGCTTCTCACTGTGGCAGATCAGCTGTGACCACATCTCTTCTCCAGAGGAAGGACAAGGAGAAGGTGCCAGCCATAGGACAACAGTGGGCAGCCGTCCCCTCTCCTGCATGGGCAAAGGCACTGGGCACTGTCAGCAGATTTTGACCCCGTCTCCTTTACCCTGCATTGCTTGAGCTACAGGACCACATCACTGAAATCAAGCATCGGACTTTAGGGGGTCAAGAAATGGGATTTTAGATCTTTAACTTTTGGATGTGTTGTTTAAACTACTAAAAGAGCAATGAGAGGTGGAGGGATGGAGTCAGGCTGCCCAGTTGACTTTGGGTAACTTGCTTTTCCTTTCCAAACCCGTCTCCTCTCTGTAAAATAGGGCTAGAAATAGTGCACACCTCAGAGGATGCTGTGAGGAGTAAGTGAGACAATGCCCTTGACCGCCCAGCGGGGCCCAGCACACAGGGAACGCGTGGTGCAAGTGGGAGCTCGTTTGCACTCCAGAGTGGGAGGACGTGCAAGCTGGGACGTGGCTTCCACTGCAGTCCAGGGGTCAAGTAAAAATGATAAGATGCTTCTCATTAAAAGACAAAAATCTTTCTTTAGAAAAAGTCTTCATGTGGGGCAGAGTGTTCCTTCCAGACAAGCCATCTCTGAATCCAAGTATGAAGTGAGATTCAGACAGGACAGCCCGTACAGTCATCTGTAGGATTCGAGCCAGGTGAGTGTCCACCAGATGAAACCAGGCCCCGAAGAAATCCATGGGGCTGGATCCTAGCACCTGTTTAGATTCAGTGCCCTGCTGCTCTGGCCCAGGTCTTTATTTCCCTGGTTTCGCTGGCTCACCTGTGTGTACTTTTCTGGTAATTTTTGCTTGTGGGGGAAGACCAGGAAAAACTGATAGGCAATGAGATGGAATTTCTTTATTTATCCACAGTTTCAGTCAGGGGAACCCTGCACTCCACCACCCTCTACACAATAGGACTTAGAGACCTGTGCTTTAACTTGGCCTGGTTCAGGGTCTAATCACTGTCCTCTAGGTGGCCAGCCTCCAACAAGGGAACTGCCACTGTGCCAAGGAGGCCAGACTCAGTTCATCAGAGCAGGTAGATGTGGGAGGGGGTCCAGGGATATGGCTTCAAGGGGGTCACTAAGATCCCTGGCCCATTTGCAGATGGGCCACCAATGAAGATGAAGTGTGGTCTTGGAGGCCATGGAGGCTCCCGGAAGGCTGGAGGCTGGCCATCTCTGCTTGGCTCCTGGGGCACAGGCTAAGCTTCAATGGCACTGGGTGGCAATCAGATGGTGGGGCACACGGAGCTCCCTGCTGTGCAGCCTTTCTGTTTAGAACTGGAGAAGGGCAAGGCATGCTTTCTGAGGATCCCTCAAAGACCTCTGCTGCTGTCCAGTCAAGGCCTTCGCTTCCCAAGCATTTCCCAGGCTTCCTCACCTCTGCACCCTTAACGCCATCCTACTTTGCTAAAATATGCTAGTAAATGACATCCAGGTAAAGAAGAAATGGAGAATGCCATAGTCTAATAATTTGCCTCCTAAAATTCACACCCTTTTTGCCAGATGGCAGGAGTGAGAATGACCTTTGATGTGGATGGTTGGCAGACACCCAGCAAGAGACCCCTCCTCGCCCCCAGAGACTTCCCCATGGAGCTGCATCTCCCAGCAGAGGAAAGCCCAAGGTAATGTCTGTGCTGCAAGCCCACCTGTATGTGGATTATCCCTCTCCGTTTCCTCCACATCCCCAGAAATCTCAGCTTTACCATCATTAAAAATATACCTAAATATTAAATTCTAAATAATGTATTAGCATTATTTCGTCAACCCTAAAATGTGTCCTTGAATTGTATAGAACAGGTGTCCATTGCTGTGCATTTATTGTATTTGGATTTTTATTTCATTAATTTTACTAAATAATACATGCACAATGTCAAAGCTAAAAATGTCCAAAAGAGTATACAATGAGGATGAGGTGCCTCTCCTCCCATCCCTGCCCCACTCCCCAGGCCTTTGTTTCCCCTGCACATGGAGCAACCATTGTTTTTAGTTTTTTCTGTGTCGTTCCAGAGATAGTCTACATATATACCAGCATGTATGTATGTGTGTCTGTATGTTTGTTTGCTTGTGTGTGTGTGTATACACGGTATCCTTTTCAAAGTACAAGAGGTGGCACATTGTTAACATTGCTTTGTATATTGATTTTTTTCCATTCAACAGTATATCTTGAAGTTTGTTCAACATCACCATGTATAGATTGTGCCATAATTTAACCAGTCCCCTACTGATGGACAATTGTATTATTCCTAATTTTTTGAAATTATAAACAAACCGCAGAGAACATCCTCAAGCATACTTGTTTGGATGCAACACACATATCTGTGAGTTAAAAATCCTAGTATTATAAAATGCAAAACTATAAAACTCCTAGAAGGTAACAGAGGACAAGACCTAGATGACCTTTGATATGACAATGACTTTTTAGATACAATACCAAAGGCACAATCAATGCAAAAAAATTTTAATGCACTTCATTAAAATTAAAAAATTAGGCTGGGAGTGGTGGCTCGTGCCTGTAATCCCAGCACTTTGGGACACTGAGGCAGGTGGATCACCTGATGTCAGGAGTTTGAGACCAGCCTGGCTAACATGGCAAAACCCCGTCTCTACTAAAAATACAAAAATTAGCTGGCATGGTGGTACACACCTGTAATCCTTGCCACTCGGGAGACTGAGGCACTTGAATCGCTTGAACCTGGGAGGCAGAGGCTGCAGTGAGCCGAGATGGTGCCACTGCACTCTAGCCTGGGCAACAGAGAGAGACTCTGTCTCAAAAAAATAATAAAATTAAATTAAAAATTTCAACTCTGCAAAAGACATTTTCTTTTTTTCTTTTTCTTTCTTTCTTTCTTTTTTTTTTTTAAGATGGAGTATCATCCTGTCGCCTAGGCTGGAGTGCAATGGCACAATCTCGGCTCACTGCAACCTCCACCATCAGAGTTCAAGCAATTCTCTTGTCTCAGCCTCCTGAGTAGCTGGGATTACAGGCGCGCACCACCACGCCTGCCTAATTTTTTGTATCTTTAGTAGGGATGGGATTTCACTATGTTGGCCAGGCTGGTCTCGAACTCCTGACCTCGTGATCCTCCTGCCTTGGCCTCTCAAAGTGCTGGGATTACAGGTGTGAGCCACTGCGCCTGGCCAAGACATTTTTGAAAGAATGAAATAACAAGCTACCATCTGGAGGAAATATTATATTTATAAAAGACATATCTTATAAAGCACTGTTATCCAAAATATACAAAGAATTCTTAAAATTCAACATAAGAAAACAACCTAATTTTAAAATGGACCGAAGACCTTAACAGATACTTCACAAAAGCAGATATACAGATGGCAAATAAGCACATGAAAAGATGCTCCACATCATATGTCATCAGGGAAATGCAAATCAAAGCAATGAAATACCACTATGTACCCAGGAGAGTAGCCAAAATCCAGAACACTCACAACACCAAATGCTGGTGGGTATGTGGAGCAAGGGGAACTCGCATTCATTATTGGTAGGAATGCAAAATGATACAGCTACTTTGGAAGGCAGTTTGTCAGCTTCTTACAAAACTAAACATAATTTTACTATACAGTCTAGTAATTGTGCTCCTTGTTTTTACCCAGTGGAGTTGAAAACTTAGGTTCACACAAAAAAACAGCACATGGGGCCGGGCGCGGTGGCTCACGCCTGTAATCCCAGCACTTTGGGAGGCGAAGGTGGGCAGATCATGAGGTCAGGAGATCGAGACCATTCTGGCCAACATGGTGAAACCCTGTCTCTACTAAAAATACAAAAATTAGCTGGGTGTGGCAACATGTGCCTGTAGTCCCAGCTACTTGGGAGGCTGAGGCAGGAGAATCACTTGAACCTGGGAGGCGGAGGTTGCAGTGAGCCAAGATCACGCCACTGCACTCCACCCTGGTGACAGAGCGAGACTCCATCTCAAAAAAAAGACAGCACATGGATGTTTATAGCAGCTTCGTTCATAACTGCCAAAACTTGGAAGCAACTAAGGTGTCCTTCAGAAGGTGAATTGATAAATAAACCACAGTACATCCAGACAATGGAATGTGATTCCACACTAAAAAGAAATGAGTTATCAAGCCATGAAAAGACATGGGAGAATGGAGGAACCTTAAATGTGTATTACTGAGTGAAAGAAAACAATCTGAAAAGGCTACCTAGTGTAGGATTCCAAGCATATGACATGCTGGAAAAGGCAAAACTGTGCAGAAAGTAAAAGATCAGTGGTTGCCAGGGATTGGGGGTGGGTAAGAAAGGGAAGGGTAAAATGGCAGAGCACAGAGGATTTTAAGGGCAATGAATTGATGCTGTATGGGGCTATAATACTAGAGACATGTCATTATATATTTGTTAAAACCCATAGAATGTACAACACCAAGAGTGATCCCTAATGTAAACTACGGACTTTGGGTGAAAACAATGTGTCAGAGTAGGCTCATCAATTGTAATAAATGTACCACTGTGGTAGAGGTGGTTGATAATGGGCGAAACCATATGCATGTGTGGGGCAGAGGCTATATGGGAACTCTTCATGCCTCTGCTCAACTTCACTGTAAATCTAAAACAACTCTAAAAAATAAAGTTTATTTATTTATTTATTTTTGAGATGGAGTCTCGCTCTGTTGCCCAGGCTGGAATGCAGTGGTGCATCTCAGCTCACTGCAGCCTCCGCCTCCTGGGTTCAAGCGATTCTCCTGCCTCAGCCTCCCAAGTAGCTGGGACTACAGGCGCATGCCGCCATGCCCAGCTAATTTTTGTATTTTTAGTAGAGACGGGGTTTCACCATGTTGGCCAGGATGGTCTTGATCTCCTGACCTCATGATCTGCCCGCCTTGGCCTCCCAAAGTGCTGGGATTACAGGCGTGAGCCACTGCGCCCGGCAATACAGTCTATGTTTTAAATAAATCCTAGTATTAGCATTGCTGGGTCAAAAGGCATATGGATTTTAAATTTTGACTGGTAATGTTTTTGTCCACCTGAAAATTGTCAGAGGGATGAAGGTTAAAGAATAACTAAGAGGCAAGTTATTAAAATTGCATTAAAAAGTATGTTTTAAACAACTTTATGCTGTATTGAAAAAATACAGAGCTGTTCACATATAAACTAACCTCTGAAAGCTTCTATGGCACAAAAACAATAGTAGCATTTATCAACCCCTTAACTACCCATCAGGCACTCTGCTTGCTACACACAATCTCACCTTGTTGTTAGAACATTCCATGAGGTGCAATCATCATGCCTAACTTCTGAATGACAGAAATAAAAGCACAGAGATGTTAAGTAACTCACCTAAGGCTACATAGCTAATATGTGGCAGGGTCAGGACTTGAACCCAGACTGTGTGATTCCAGAGCCTCAAGCTCAACCACCATGCTGCCCACCTTACAGTAATTCAGACAGAACACAGAAATCCTGATTTCTAGATGTATTCACATTAAGATTTTTTTTTCAGAAAAGTACTGTACCATTAGCATAGAGACAGAAGCCTTAATAACACAAAATTATCGTTGCTTATTCTCTGCCACTGGATCTTGAATTTAATAAATAGGTTCTGGGTTCTTTCATTTAGGGCTGTGCTCCAGGTTCATCCTCCACCCATCTGCACCCTGCCCTGTGTCTCTGGATGCTGGCTTCTAAGGACAGTGTCACTCAGGCTTTCTGCCCTCTGGCTTGGTTTGGTTTGGCCAATGGTAGGAAGTGGAAGGAGATGGAATGGGAGGAGTTGAGAAAGGTCAACTCCTTCCCTCTCTTCTGGGCTGAAGTCTGCAATATCTAAGTCTTGACATCTGATTCTTGCCTCAGACCACTAACTCTCAGATATTGCTTATGTGATTTGCTCAAAGAGCAGCCTTTCCAACCTGAACCTTTGATCGCTTTGGGGTACTCTGTTTCCCCTACTACGCTCTCCAAAATGCTAACGCTGCTGGCAGAAGTCACCTGTCTCTCTAGACAGAGTGTGTGTGTTTCCATCTTCTCAGAAACAGCCAATAGTTTTCTGCATGCTATGACAAGAGAAGGACTGTTTTTGGAAAACTTCTGTTGGTGGGGCCACTCCCTTCTTGTGATAGGGGATACTTCCACCTTCGCCTTCACTTTGTACAGATACGCAACAATCCTGTGCAAAGCTATTACCTGGCCCTCCAATAAAAGTTTCTTTGGGTGTTACTCTCTCTTTAATCACTGCATGGCAGATTATATTTCTTTTATTTTCTTTTTTATTGAGACAGGGTCTCACTCTGTTGCCAAGGCTGGAGTGCAGTGGTGCGATCAAGGCTCACTGCAGCCTTGACTCCTGCTAAGGCTCAAGCAATCCTCCCACCTCAGCCTCCCAAGTAGCTGGGACCACAGGCATGCATCACCACACTAGGCTAATTTTTGCATTTTTTGTAGAGACAGGGTCTCACCACATTGCCCAAGCCGGTCTCAAACTCAAGCGATTTGCCTGCCGTGGCCTCCCAAAGTGCTAGGATTACAGGCACGAGCCACCGCACCTGTCTGGCAGATTATATTTTCAAAGATAGATGCGGCAATATCTCCTATCCCAGGTGCTTTCTACACTGTGACCTTGACGCTCCTCCTATTGAGAGGTGGGTTTTTTGCAGCCTCCCCCCCGCCACCCCCGCCACCTTGGGTCTGAGTGAGTTTGTGATTGTTTCTACCAGTAAAGTACACTAGAAGGAATGGGCTGTGAAGAAAGGGCCATGGAGCTTTGGCCTAGTCTTTTAGAATTCTCCCTTTCCAGAGGCCCCCTATCGGAACCCTTCCTTTCAAAACTGAGCCTCCAGGCTGCGAGACGCCCACACTGCGTGGGATGCTGTGTACCACAGTCCTGGTGGAGCCAGCCACCTACATATCAGCTCAGGCACCAGACAATGAGTGAAGAACCCATGCGGGAAGTGGATCCTCCAGTTCCCACCACATACCATACTACATACGGCCCCAACTTAGGATGGCTCAACTTAGGAGTTTTCAACTTTAAGATGGTGTGAAAGTCATACACATTCAACAGAAACTGTACTTTGAATTTTGATCTTTTCCAAGGCTAGCAACATGCCCTATGATACTCTCCCATGCTCCCAGCCAGCCACGCGATCACAAGGGTAAACAACCCATACCCAACCGTGTACTGCGTTGCCAGCATTTCTTAAATATTGTGTTTTGTGTTTTCACATCCCATCATGTCTATGAAACACCCATCTGTGTCTAGGCTAATGTAAATGTTCTGAACATGCTTAAGGCAGGCTAGGCTAAGTGTTTGGTAGGTTAGGAGAATTAAATGCATTTTCTACTTAGCAATATTTTAAACTTACGATAGGTTTATGGGGATGAAACCCTATTGTAAGTCAAGAAGTATCTGTATTCCAGCCTCTCACAGTTCGTATCCTCCCAGCTGAGGCCAGAGGCATCATAGAACAGAGAAGAACCATCCTTACTGTGCCCTTCCTAGTACTTGACCCTTGGAACCTGTGAGCATAATACATGGCTGTAGTTTTACACCAGTAAGTTTGGGGTGGCTTGTTATGTGGTCACAGTAATAGGGACATGAGCATACCTAATGCTGTGTGCTCATGTTCCTGTCACTGTGACTGCAAAACAGTACATGGTGACTGCATAACAGTACACGGTGACAGTACTGGCTGATTCATTTAGAAATACACAATTCCCAAGGCCCAAACTGTTTTTATTTTTATTTTACTTTAAGTTCCCAGATACAAGTGCAGAACGTATAGGTTTGTTACATAGGTATATGTGTGCCATGGTGGTTTGCTGCACCTATGAACCCATCATCTAGGTTTTAAGCCCTGCATGCATTGGCTATTTGTCCTAATGCTCTCTCCCCTTGCCCCCCACCCCCTAACAGGCCCCGGTGTGTGTTGTTCTCCTCCCTGTGTCCATGTGTTTTCATTGCTCGACTCCCTCTTATAAGTGAGAACATGCAGTGTTTGGTTTTCCATTCCTGTGTTAGTTTGCTGAGGATGATGGCTTCCAGCTTCATCCACGTCCCTGCAAAAAACATGATCTCATTCCTTTTTATGGCTGCATAGTATTCCATGGTGTATATGTGACACATTTTCTTTATCCAGTCTATCATTGATGGGCATTTGGGCTGGTTCCAAGTCTTTGCTATTGTGAATAGTGCTGCAATAAACATACATGTGCATGTGTCTTTAGAGTAAAATGATTTATATTCCTTTGGGTATATACCCAGGAATGGGATTGCTGGGTCAAATGGTATTTCTGGTTCTAGATCCTTGAGGAATCGCCACACTGTATTCCACGGTGGTTGAACTATTTACATTCCCACCAACAGTGTAAAAGTGTTGCTATTTCTCCACAGCCTCACCAGCATCTATTGTTTCCTGACTTTTTAATAATCACCATGCTGACTGGCGTGAGTTGGTATCTCATTGTGGTTTTGATTTGCATTTCTCTAGTGGTCAGTGATGTTGGGCGTTTTTCATATGTTCGTTGGCTGCATAAATGTCTTCTTTTGAGAAGTATCTGTTCATATCCTTTGCCCACTTTTGAATGGGTTTTTTTTGTTTTGTAAATTTGTTTAAGTTCCTTGTAGATTCTGGATATTAGACCTTCGTCAGATGGGTAGATTGCAAAATTTTTCTCCCATTCTGTAGGTTGCCTGTTCACTCTGATGATAGTTTCTTTTGCTGTCCAAGGCCTAAACTTAAACAACATCCCGCCTCCACCTTTATTTCAGAAGGAGGTGAGATCATAGAAGTTCAGATTTTTCTCCAATCATCCATTCAGTGTTTTGAGAACAAGCATGAGTATTTAAAATCAAAAGAATACTATAAACCTCAATTCATACTGCTAAAATTCTGGTGCTACTTTTATAATGTGGGGTTGCGAGTTTTCTTTCCATTGCTACAGTTCCCTCTAATCTTGCAGCCATCTGTGCCTGCTCTGATGAAAGTATTATAGAATACCCTTTTGTCTCTGACCCTGCCTGGAATACACACATAAGTTAGCTTGAACCACATGAAATTGCCATTTTGTAGGTCATAAATAGTTAAGTATCAGTAATTGCATGTGTTTCAACCTAACAGTAACTTCCAACTCCATATATATATATATAATTGAATTATACTCTTAGCTCTCAATCTCACTGGTACTTGCTTCCTGCCTTCCTCTTCTGTCTCCACCCCATCTAAGCTGGATTTTTCTGTATCACATCATCTTGTCCTTTCTTCCATAGCACTTATCATAATTTGTAATTATGAGTGTGTTTATTATTTAATGTCTAATACTCTAACTAGACTTACATAAACTCTACAAGAGCTGCATATCCTTGTATCCCAGCTCCTGGGACAGACCTGGCACATCATAGACACTCAGTAAATGTCATCTGAATTAATGTATATACAATATGGCTCTCTTCATCTGCAGACAATGTTTTTATTCTGTTGCCAGAGTGTCCTGTACACAGTGTGGTCCTTGCCATTGTACCTGGATCAGAATTTAAGCTATTAGAACAATGAATGGTTCTAATCTTATAGAGAATACTCAAGATACCACATAACTTTTCTTTCCTATCTTTCCAGCTCTTAGGATACTTCATAAATCACAGTTTAGTGGGGATTCACACACTCATCCATTTAATCTTCTTTGTATCCATCTATCCATGTATCCATTCATCTATCTATTTGAATGCTAAGCACTCACAGTGTAGCCTTTTCTACTTGCCTGGAACCATGTCTTACTCATGAGAGGGGACACCAAACTCAATAAGGCTTGGTCCCATCCCCAATGAGCTCATGTAAGCAGAATTTGAAACAGAGCTGATAAGTGCTATTACAACAACTCGTAAAAAGTGTCACTGGAACACAGTGAGGGACATGACTAATTACTGGCAGGAGAAATAAAGAAGGCTTCACAGAGGTAGTGTTCACTGGACCTTGAAAAGTAGGAGTCCACTGGGTTGGAGGCAGAAGCTACACAGGCAAAAGGAAAGCCTAAAAAATTAGAATAAACCCAATAGTCTTAGATGTGATCAAAATAAATCAGGGAGTAGACGAGTATTTGTTAACCCTTTATTCTGAATGTAGCCTCAGACCACATAGGGCTCTGTCCTTATTTCCTAAATATAGAACATGTTGTGCGTTTGTTGCCCACGTTCATGCACAACTAATTCCATTTTCATAAACTTTAATGATTCTACCATGCTCTTTACAGCCACTGATTTTATATACTCTTCCCATCAACTTTATCATTTCACTTTGTACGTATTGTAGTAATTGGATTGCGTGCCTTAATGGCGCGATAAGTTTTTGCACACTTTGCCAGTGACACTGCTGACTTAGCATAGTTTGTCTTACTTACTTTACTGCATTGTTCTTATTAATTCTTCTACAGCCAACTAAGCTATTTCTCCTAGGAATTGCCTGGGAGACAGAAAGCCTTATTTCTGTCCTACTTTGCTATTCCTAGAGATGAGTAGAATTTCAAATTGTTCTTACTTTCCAGTAAATACAAATCAGGGGTTGTTTCAGTTATCTATTGCTGCGTAACAAACAACCTGAAACATCGTGGTTTAAAATAACAGCAGCCATTTGCTATATTTCACAATTCTGTGGGTTGACTGTGCTCCACTAGGTGGTTCTTTGGCTTCATGTTGGTGTTGGCTGGGTCTGTAGTCATTTGGAGGCTTCACTGGGCTGGAATGTCAAAGCTGGATCACTGACATGGCTGACGGTGGGCACTGGCTATTGGCTGTAAGCTCAGTGCTGTTGACCAGACCACCTTAGGAGGACCCCTCCATGCAGCCTCTCACAGCATGGTGTCTGGATTCTAAGAGGGAACATTTCCAGCACACAAAAGCAGAGACTGCAGATCTCTCAAGGCTCAGCCTCAGAAGTTATGCAGTGTGACTTCTGCTACTTTTCACTGGATGAAACAAGTCAAGGGCCAGCCCAGATACAAGGTGAAAGAGCATAGACTCCGCCTCTCCATGAGAGCAGTGCTAGAGAATGTGCAGCCATCTTTAATTCATTACAGGCAGATCAATTCCCTTCTGAGGACATAAAGTACCACAAAGGGTATCTCTGATGTTGCCCGATTGTTCTGCAAATGTACTAGTGCATTACATTTCTTAGAAAATCACTAAAGACCCAGCCCTTCTCCCTTTTTTAATGTATCTTACTATTATGGAAAGTAATTAGGTTCAGGAACTGTGAATTTCTTTGCACTTCTAGCTCATTGCTATTGATGACCATTGGTAAATCAAAGCATTTCATTTTTTAATTTCTCTTTTGTTTTTATTGCAATCTTGGTTGAAATAATACTTCTATATCCTGTATGAACTAATCAAAAAGAGCTCTAATCAAAGCAGGAGAGCATATGTAAATAGTCTCTCTTGAGAACAAAAGTGTAAACGTAAGCACAATTTGCTAATTATTCTGATCTCATGTTGAGATAAACTTAGTCACGACATTTATCCAAGATAATATTTTTCTAAACAAGTATTTTTCTAAACAAATCTGGTATTTCCTTTAAATTCATTTACTCCTTCCTTCCTTCCTTCCCTCCCTCCCTCCTTTCCTCCCTCCCTCCCTTCCTCCCTCCCTCCCTTTTGAATGCTTTGACTTGGATTGCCCACTTTGGCACTGTTGATAGAAAGATGAATGAGACAGAGACCCTGCCTTCAATGACCTCACAATCTGAGAAACTAAAATGTGCACAACTTTATATACAGCATGCTAGACAATGATGAGGGCAATGATGGTATAAAGCAAGGGGTGAGGAAACACATGCAAAAGGGAGTCAATTCTGCTCAGGGGCATCAGGGAAGGCTTTGCAGAGTGTATGGAAGAGTGACCCATGCCAGGAGAAGGGTAGCAGAGGAGTGGGCGGCGCAGGGTGAGGCTACATTGAGAACAGCATTGATTGCCGCACTTTGGCCACCTTCTTATAAGTGGTGATGAGATGGCAAAGGCTTTTGGTGTTTTTTTTTGTTTTGTTTTGTTTTTTTTGAGATAGGGTCTTGCTCTGTCACCCAGGCTGTATGTAGTGCAGTGGTGTCATCAGAGCTCACTGCAGTCTCAAACCGCTGGGCACAAGTGATGCTCCCACCTCAGCTTCCCAAGTAGCTGGGACCACAGGTATGTGCCACCATGCCTGGCTAATTTTTTCAATTTTTTTTATAGAGACAGGGGTCTCACTATGTTGTCTAGACTGGTCTCAAACTCCTAGTCTCAAGGGATTCTCCGACCTTGGCCTCCCAAAGTGCTGGGATTACAGGCATGAGCCACTGCACCCAGCTGGCAAAGGCTTTTAATAAATGCCCCCAGGTTGGTCCCACTCTGTTGGGGCCTATCTGCGCACTGGGCCCTCCAGTTTACCTCTTTGTACCCAGCTACTTCTCCTGCCCATGGAATCATGATGTGACTGGACTTCCTTCTCAGACTTCCCATCCTTCTTGGCTCCCATTATTGTGCTCCAGCATCGTGGGGCTCCCCCAGCATGTCTCATCAGAGATGTTCCCTCTGCCACTCTGCCCTCCCCCAGCATCCCCACCTCCTGGTAAGCCCTGATCCTTTGCCTTGTTGGGGTAGGAGGTTAGAGAGCCAGAGCCCTGTGAATAGCAAGCAAAGTCACTGAAATGGTCTCAATGAAGAGAAAATAGAAAATGTGAAGACTTCTTGTTGTCTCCCCACCTTTATGCTTCCCACTCTCTGAGGTCCTGCTCCCTGGAGAAACCCTCCTGTGCTTCAAGGATGGTACCTCTGTGACCTGGTCTCTCATCTGTCAAGGTCATCGCAATTTCCTCTTAACCCTGACAGCATTTAAGCCTCTTAGGGAAATGATCACGGTCTGCACTTGTGTCAGAGTTGTCATTTTTCAGCTTGTCTTGTCCCATTTCCTGCCCACTCACTCTATCCATGTTTTTTGAGGGCAAGATGCATCTTGAATGCTTTAGAACACTTTAAATAAACAAGACATGGGCACTGTACAAAATGCAAATAAGCAAAAAGAAGGAAGAAAAATGATGAATGATCCCACCACTGTTAACATTTTGGTATATCTTTTGTTCTTTATTTTGATATGCCTTTTTTTCTTTGTATATTTATATATGTAATTTTTTTTTTTTTTTTTTTTTTTTGAGACGGAGTCTCGCTCTGTCGCCCAGGCTGGAGTGCAGTGGCGCAATCTCGGCTCATTGCAAGCTCCGCCTCCCGGGTTCACGCCATTCTCCTGCCTCAGCCTCCCAAGTAGCTGGGACTACAGGCGCCCGCCACTACGCCCGGCTAATTTTTTGTATTTTTAGTAGAGACGGGGTTTCACCGTTTTAGCCGGGATGGTCTCGATCTCCTGACCTCGTGATCCGCCCGCCTCGGCCTCCCAAATATGTAATTTTTTAAAAGCCCCATTACATGTGCTGTTGAGCCTTGTATGTAGTAGGCCCTCAGGAAATGTTTGTTAGATGAATAGTGAGTAAATAAGTGAAAAGTGATCTAATGAATGATTCTTTGGAAATCTTCCCAGGAGATAACTCATCCCGAGAAATAATGTGCGACTGACTCCTAAGAGGAGAATGGCTCCAGAATCTTATCTAAATGTGTAGCAAATGAAGGTAATTTTAAAACTTAATTCACCAACTCATCCATTTACTTGTTGAGTACCTACCAGGTGTTGGGCTTCTAAGCCGGTCATTAGGTGAAGTAATAGTGGAAGCTCTGGTGACCGATTCAGCATTTTGGAAGAGTGTAAAGATGAGTTTGTGAGAGAATTTCAGCACTGTTTTGTGGGGAGGGGGGTTCCCAGCTGTCGATATTGATCCTCATGTCTGTTTGGTGGTTACAGCCTTGGAGCGGACCTGTGTCTATCAGGGGCTCTTAGCTCAGTCACTTGGCTCTGCAAACCATCCAACCCACTTTTCTTTAATTCTTGGGGCCTCCCAGGAGACTTTCCCTCTGAAGATAGAATGCACAGAATGTCAGCCAGCTCTCCTGATTCTCTGGGCAGAGTGTGCTCGTATATAGCCAGCCTGGCTTACTAGTTAGTCTCTGGGAGGTTTAACAAGGATGGGGGCCCCCTGAATCCTGGCACCTCTTTGAAAACTAACAAAGCTGAAGACCAGATTCTGTGGGCAGGTCAGGGCAGTCAGAGGCAATTACCTGGGAGGGTCACTGTTTTTCAGCCTGCCAAACTCTCCCAGTCCCCTATAATACAACAATGTTAGGGTCTGAATGACGTGGCTGCTGAAACTCTCGGCCCCAGGAACAGAAATCAGAATTAAAATTTCAAAGCCCTATATAATCTGTAAAGGTGCATGTAAACAGTATTATTGCCATCATTATGAGTACCAGAATTCTACAAGTGCTTGGCAGTAAGGAGCCTGTGTGTTTTTAATTTCCTCTAAGACACTTAGAATAGCCATTTGGTGGCCAATATGTTCTCAATAGCTGCTGCTGAATAGTAATAATATGTGGTTTATTCAGTATCCACGATTATACCTTCAAATAAACATTTTTCCCAAGCATTGGGATCCATGGACAACTCTGAATGGTGCACCAAAGTTCAAGAGTTCTTTACTGATCTTTTCTTTCCATTTTGGGATTTTAACAAAACGGTTGTTGGATATTAAAATCTGCATAACATGAGAGCATAGTAGCATCATTAAAGATGAGAAATTATTGGGACAGTGAGACACCACCTCACACCAGTCAGGGCGGCTATAAAAAAAAGATGGATAACAACAATTTCCACATGGAGATGTGGAAAAATCAGAACCCTCATACACCAGTGATGAAAATGTAAAGTGGTGCAGCCACTTTGGAAAATAATTTGGCAGTTCCTCAAAATGTTAAGAATAGATATATCATACGACCCAGCAATTCCTCTTCTAGGTCTATAACAGAGAGAATTGAAAGCAAGTGTGTGTACAGAAACTTGTACACAAATGTTCGTGGCATCATTATTGATACAACTCAAAGGTGGGAACAACCCAAATGTCCATGGATGGAGAAATGGGTAAACAAAATGTGGTACGTACATACAATGGAAGGTTATTCCACCAGAAAGAGGAGTAGAGGCTGATAATGCTGCACCATGATGGACCTTGAAAACACAGCGCAGTGTGAAAGAAACATCACAGAAGAATATATATGGTATGATTTTGTTGATATGAAATGTTCAGAGACAGAAATAGTGGTTTCCTGGAACTGCATGGACATGTACGTATGTGTGTGTGTGTGTGTGTGTGTGTGTGTGTGTGTGTGTGTGTGTGTAGGGGAATGGTGGTGTAGAAAGAGAAAGGAGGGTGACTACTAAGGGGTATGGGGTTGGGGGATAAAAATGTTCTAAAATTGTAGTGATTGCACAACCCTGTAAATATACTAAAAAATATCAAGCCAGGTGCGGTGGCTCACACCTGTAATCCCAACGCTTTGGGAGGCCGAAGTGGGAGAGCCCTTGAGCTCAGAAGTTCAAGACCAGCCTGGACAACATAGCGAGACTTCATCTTTACTAAAAATCAAACACTTAGCCAGGTGTTGGGGCATGGACCTGTGGTCCCAGCTACTCCCTGGGGGATGGCGGGGGGGGTGGGTGGGTAAGGTAAGAGGATTGCTTGAATCCAGGAGGTTTTTAAAAAGCAGTTGTTTTTTAAAAAGAACTGATCAAGCAGATAATTTTAGAAGCAGTTCAACTTTTGTTAATGTTCATTTATCTTCTAGTTTGATCATCCTTTCATAATGAGCTCCACAACTGCAAAACTGAAGCTGTGACACCCGCTACACTTGTCTCCCTGGTCTCTGGAAGGGGCTGCAGTGAGGTCTGCATCTGACTCCTAGCCTGCCTTCCTTTCCCAGAATCCTTAGTGGGCCGTTTGCCTATTCTGCAGCCTTCGCCTTGGTCCCTTAGGCTCTATAAATCACACTTTCCATTCTGACCTCTCACTTTAAAGTGATCTGAGATACTTTGTATAAAGGATGAGGCAGCACATAAAAATAACTAGTATTGTACCGATTTGTCTCATCTGGTAGTTTGTGATACATATTTGTAAAGTTCTAGCAAATGTGAGAAGCCACAGAAAATTGCCTTTTGTCCAAATAGAGGAGCTAGATTTTTTTCCTTTTATGTTATTGATCAGTGAGGTAGGTGCAATGATATTTTATTTCATAGTTTTCCTGCAGGAGCAACACCCACCCAGCCTGCTGCAACTGCCCAGCCAACTAAATGAGCCAGTCGTTCTACAGGAACAGCAGCCATAGAAAAGTCGAGCTTGCTGGATTCATGGGCCAGGCAGCTCCATTTCCCCAAATTGCAAATGCAACTTGAACTATACGACTTACTAAGGGAGCACTTTGTTACAGACAAGTTCGAAGACTCTGTTTGACAGTTGAAGTCAGACCGTTTTGATTTTTACATAAAGATAGTTAAACGTTGTCTTGACAGGTTTATTCTAATTTGGTAAAGGCAATAATTTTATGGGATGGTAACTGTTTCCTTGCAGTCATGATTCCTGCTGTTACTCTTGCATTTTCTTCTAATTGGCAGATTGATGGGTTCCCAAGAATTTGCTTAAAAACCATTTGCAGAGGAAGAAAGACAAATCAGAGGGTCGTGCTTTCTCCCCTGAAAGACCACTTCTAGTAGTGTGGGCAAGGGGTCTATATTTGCTCACAATTTACAAATTATTTTTGGCATATTAATAGACTTTTGCCTATTTAAATTTAATTTGTATGAAGGCAATAAATGTGCTTACTTTAAAAGTCAAATAATACTACAGGACATATGAAGAAAAACAGCAATCCTTTCCCGACTCAACCCCCTCCTCCAATTCCTGTTTCCCAAAGGAAATTCCTTTCATCTCTTTAGCCGTTCCTCCTGCTATATACCTTCATATTTCTAAATAACAATATTATACTGTTTTCCCTTTATTTTTCACTTACAGATATCACCCACTGACTTCCTGCTATGAAAGATCAGAATTCAGCTTTCTTATATTCCTCTGCCCCGTCATCCTTGAAACTCTTTTCCCACTCTTCTGTGGAAAATCCTCTGGCTTTTGTTTATTTTTATTTTTATTGTTGTTGTTGTTAATCTCACGTCTCTTTCTTGACAACAGTCTTGGTTTGGTGGAGTGCGTCTTCTAGTGACTTCTCAGAAAGTGATATATGGAAGGTACATTTTGAGACCTTGTCTTAATCCCCCTCATCCTCGATTGAAAGCTTAGCTGAGTATAAGATCCTGGTTTGGAAATTATTTTCCTTTAGGATCTCAAAGGCATTATTCCATTATCTTCTAACATTATTATTATTATTGTTATTATTTTGAGGCAGGGTCTCACTCTGTCATTCAGGCTGGCGTGCAGTGGTGTGATCACAGCTCACTGCAGCCTCTATCTCCTGGGCTTGAGCAATCTTCCCACCTCAGCCTCCCAAGTAGCTGGGATGACAGGCATGTGCCACTACACCCAGTTAATTTTTTTTTTTATTTTTACTTTTGTAGAGATGGGGTCCTATTATGCTGCCTAGGTTGGTCTGAAACTCCTGGGCTAAAATGATCTTCCCGCCTTGGCCTGCAAAAGTGCTCGGATTGCAGGCGTGAGCCACCATGCCCGGCCTGTCTTCTAACTTCTGGTATTGCTATTGAGAAGTCTGATCCCATATTTATTTTACCTGTGACCGGTTCTCTCTCTCCCTGTCAGAGCTCTCAGGATCTTTTCTTTATCCTCAGAACTCTGAAATATCATTATGAAATGCTTTGTTATTAGTCATTTTCATTAATTATGCCAGGCTTTTAAGCCCATTCAATCTGAAATATCACATCCATCAGGGAAATTTTTTGTATAATTTTTTGATAATTCCTTGGTCCATTTTATCTGTCCTGTCTTTCAGAAATTAGACCTTCTGAATTGATTCTCCAATTTTCTCTTCTCAATTTCTTTGACTATTTATTCTATTTACTGTGAGAGTTACTCAATTACCTCCTAATTCGTTTATTACTTGTAAAATTTCTGTCATCATGGGCTTAATTTCCAAGAGCTATGTCTTGTTTGCTGGATCTTCCTTCCTTCTAGTATCTGATTTTTCTTACTCTCTGAGGATATCAATCACTATTCCAGAAGCTTCCCCCTGCTCCTTGCATTGTTTCTGTGTCCTCTACAAAGGCTGCATCATAGGATAGCTAACTCAATGTGCAGCTTGAGCCAAAGAAACAGAAGGAAATCAAGATTAAAACCTGGTTCTTTTAGCCCCTGAAGACACTGCACCATAGTGAATCTCTTTGTAAAACATTTGACTTCTCCTTCCTTTCAGTGCTGCTGCTTTTTCCTTAATCAAGTGGCTTAGTGAGATTTTAGTCAAAATTTTTATTGGTCAGGACTCTCTGGAGAAACACACACATACACACACACACACACTCTATTGGTTATCTCTCTCTCTCTCCACATATGTATGAAACTTGGAAACCATCTATTTGTCATTCTTGTTATGTATATGCCTATGGAGAGAGTGAGAGAGATTATAAGGAATTGGCTCACGAAGGCTGGCAAGTCCAAAACCTGCAGAGTAGCCCAGCAGGCTGGAGATCCAGGGAAGAGCTGATGTTGCACTTCAAGTCCAGCTATCATTCGGTGGATTTTCTTCTCTGCTATGTCTAAACTTAAAAAGAAAAGAAAAGAAAAACAAACAGAAACCCTCTGAACCTGTCCTTATTCTCACAGCTTCTAATACTACCCCTGTGGGAATCCATAGTGCCTCAACGTTATTTCTAAATCGTTCTGTACACAAGACCTGGTTCTGCCTCAACTACCACCTACAGGACAGTTCCCCTAGAAGATTTTGGTGCTTCAAGTGTAACACTTTCACACCAATCTAATATCAAACCAATTTTCCACAATATTAACTTCTCACTCCAGCAGTCACTCTTCTCTCAGTCTCTCAGGCTTGAGACTCAGAAACCACCTGTTCGTCATTCTCGCCTTGTATCCCAACAGCCATTAGCACCCAGCTGATGCTCCCTGGGAACTCTTCTCTTATTCCCTCCCCATTCGATGTTACCCTCTCGACATGGGACGTGCTTGGCCATGTTCTGTGCTCCAGGGACTGTAGTGAGGCCCAGCACTGTGAAAGGGATAAGACATGGTCACTGTTCAAGGAACTAACAATCTACAACCTGGAAGCACATGACACGGCTGGCTTGTAAGTCACTTCAAGTTAGGGGTGTGTCTGGGCATTGTTTAGATGCCTACTGTTGCAGGCTGGGCTACCCAGGAAGCAGGCTCTGAGGCAAAGATGAATTTGCAGGAGCTTTGTCGGGGGGGGGGCGGTGCTCTTGGGATGACACCCAAGGGAAGGGAGGAGAGGGAAGCAGGATCGGGCAGTGGGAGGAGTCCAGCTGTGGTGTGGTCTCAATGGCAACCTTGGTAGATGCTAAGGAGAGTTCTGAAGCAGAACTTTTCAGAGTTGTCCCAGTTGGGGAACACGGGCCAGGACGTTATACCTCCATGGACCAGTCATTGGATGCAGCAGGCCACCCCGGGAAAGGGGGTGACCTTGGATGAAGCGGCTCCTCATTGGGCAAGGCAATCTCTGAGGGCTTCCTGCTGGCAGCAGTCCCTGCAGCTGTAGAGTGGCCCTTCATCCCTTAAGGGGCATGTGGGTGGTGCAGGCCTGTGGCACCCACCAGACCTGTGGATGCTGGTACAGTCTCGACACACCTCAGCGTAGAGAACAAATAGGGGTTGAGTAAGTAAGCAATTCAGGAAGACTCAGGTAATCTTTTGGTAATCTCAGGTAATGCGTTCTGTTTGTTACATGCCTACTCCCACTCCATCAGAATGGGTTAGGGATTGAATTAAAAAACAGTAAGATCACAGGCCCTGCCTGAAAGAAAGAAGCTTATAGTCCAATAGTGGCTACCAAAAGGTAAACAAACGGGGCAATATAATGAGAATCAGAAAACAGAGGGTTATGGAGTAAAAACACATTTTCAAAGAAGTCTTAGGGCATGACAAATGCTAAATAAAAAAAGAGGACACCAACTGTTTGTGTAAGCACTCATCTTCCAGCACACACTTTTGTTATGCTGGTGCCAAAAAATCCCTTGTAATTTGATTTTTAAACTAAGCAATTTTTTAAGTTGCCAGTCACCTAGAAACAATAAATGCACTGAACTTTTTCTCAGTCAAAGTTCCCCTTGTCTTTTTACAGCACTTATTTTTTTTCTTTTCTGAGTATGAAAGTTTTACAAATATATAGATGGAAAAAATACTGGAAAGAAATTCATCAAAATGTTAACAGTGCTTATAACCCCCAAGTAGTCAATTTATATGCATTTTTTTCTTTAAGTTTTTTTATTTCCCACATTTTCTACAAGTGTGAGTGACTTTTATAATCAAGGGAAATATACTTTTTAAATATAGTGTGAAAGTGTTGCGACAAAACTGTGTGAACACAGAAGATGAAAACACAGAGCAGCAGGTGAGGGAGAGCTTCCTGGAAGAAGTGTCACCCGCACCAAGCATTAAAGGTGAGCTGGGGCTGGGTGAGGAAAGGATGGAGCACATGGTGCTGCACTTGAAGGGCACAGGCAGAAAGAACAAAACGTGCCATGGCCCTAGAGTGTGAAGAAGCATGTTGGGTAAAAGGCTGAGAAACAGGGAGCCCTTGAGAGGGAAGAGATGAGGCTACAAGGGCAAGAAAGGGCAGAGGATGAAGGGCCTCCAGGGATTAGGGGTGCAGATCTGGAAGCCCACGTCACACCCTTGCACTCAACCTCTTCCAGCTTAAAAGGCTTCATGATTGAACAGGGTATTGATTAATGGATGCTGTTTTGTGGAACTAATTTAGAAGTAAAAACTGATTTAGAGTGAAAAGCTTCATGCTTGACATGAAGTTTCTCAGCCTAAGCAAGGTGACCTGACTCAGGCAGAGAAAGTGGTCTGTCAATGCGAGAGATGATATAGACATGACTACACACACACACCACCCCACACCCTTAAGACTCTAGAATCTACATTTTTTAAAGGAAGAAGAAAAGAACCAGCTCAGGTTCACTTTGCATACTTTAAAAGTAATAACCAAGATTTGCAGGTAGTCCTTATCCAGGGATCTGAACTCTCCGCAGGTCATTAACAATGTTAACTGTTAGCAGCCTGGGAATCCATTAAAAACACATGTCGGGGGCTGTGGCCATCTAATGCTGCAGGAATGCATTTGGCTGAGTACTGAACTCACCTTTGCAGACCTCAGAACCTCTCTGTCGTCCTGTGTGCCAGCTGGGCTGGGTTCGCTGAAGATGCCCTTAGGACTGTTTTATCTGGGGCACCCGCACTATTAGCACCCACACTCATTTCCTGTTCCTGCCTCAATTTTGTCTGTGTCTGGGAAGAACTAGTGGTCACTGCAGGCCACTGGTTTTTCTCCTAGCCCAGTCCTTCCATCCCTATCCCTATCCCTATCCCTGTCCCTGTCCCTGTCCCTGTCCCTGTCCCTGTCCCTGTCCCTGTCCCTATCCCTATCCCTATCCCTATCCCTGCACTGCCTCACTGCCTGCTTGGACTCTTACTGCATCCACTCAGGATCTGCAATCCGCTTCCACTTGCAACCTTGCTCCCCTCCTACTTGCTTCCCCCTGGCCACCTGGACAATCTCTGAAGCAGAGATGAAGGAGTCCTTTACTTGCTCAAAACTTGAATGACCCCCAGTTACCCGTGGCAGAGTCCAACTTCCCCACCATTTTTACATGCACCTCCCACATCCAAGGCCCTCCATGGTCTGGCCAGACCTTACCTCTGCAGAACCGTCTCCTACCATCCCCCATGGACTCCCTCCATGCCAGCTGGCCAGGAGCACCCTGTCCACAGAGCACAGACATTGCCGGTTGCCCCCGAGGACCCTGCTCACACTAAGCTATTAAGTAGGTGTAAAAGTAATGACAGTTTTGGTCATTTTTTTAAAAAAGTAATTGCAAAAACCACAATTACTTTTGCACCAACCTTTTGCAACTTTTTTTTGCCTTCTTCTCCGCCAGGATGTGGTGGAAAGGATAGGCTTCAGAATCAGACCGGCCTCCTGGGTTTTAATCCTGTATTAGCATCACTAAATATGTGATCTAGAACAAGATATTTAGTCTCCCTACACTTCCTCATTTATAAAGCAAGGATCTTATTCTCTGCCTCAGAAGGCTGTTGTGAGGATTATATCCGATGTTTACGTAACACAATGTACAGGGGGACATATCCTGTTGTCTTAGGTTTTGACTGAACTTCCAAATGGAGACATGGGGGGAAAGGAACTCTGTATTTGAAAGAGTGGAACAAGAAACATCCCTCCGGATTCACAAAGGGATTCAGCAAGCATGGCCCTAGTAGACTTTCCAAGAGGAGGCTAGAGCTTCACCGCCCTTCATAGGGCTTACATATTAAGTTTACCAGGTAGCCCCATGGGGGCCCTACCTCACTGGAGGGGAGAAGGCAGAAACCTCCCTCAGGATCTATGGCAAAGCCTTTTCTAAAATACCTTCCGGCAACCCACCCCCCATATATATAAGATATTTATTTATTTATGAGACAAGATCTTGCTCTGTCTTTAGGCTGGATTGCAGTGGTGAGATCACAGCTCACTGCAGCCTCAAACTCCCAGGCTCAAGCAATCCTTCTGCCTCAGCCTCGCAAGTAGCTGGGACTACAGGCATGCACCACTGTGCCTGGTGTCTTTACACAAATAAAGATGTTAGTTAAAAATCACGAAACCACAACACATGAACTGATCAAGGTGGAAAGGCAGAGAAAGGCAGCTGATTCCTGACAGAATTACAGGGTGGTGGCCAGGGTGGAGGTGGCAATAGCCAAAGTGTCTTTTTTTCAAAATCTCTGCTGAGAATGTACTGTCCATCTTCTTCTAGTCAGGGATTGACTAGTGGGTTGTAAGGTTGCCAGCTTGCTCAAATAAAGACAGGAGACTATTAAACAGGTATAGGAGTGGCTCATGGAAGTCAGGTGCAGCTGGTCTTCATGGGGATTACAGATGGCAACTAGGAAGCCGTCAGGGACTCAGGCAGAACTAAACTGGATACGAGTCTGAAGTTTTGTTTTAGGATGAATTGGACCTTAACATGTCTGTGATTAGGACTGTTTTATTTTTATTTGTAGAGGCTGGGTATCATTCTGTCATCCAGGCTGGAGTGCAGTAGCATGATCTTAGCTCACTGCAGCCTCAAACTCCTGGGTTCAAGTAATCCTCATGCCTCAGCCTCCCAAAGTGCTGGGATTACAGGCATGAGCCACAAAGCCTGGCCAGGACTGTTTTAATAACTGAAAGTGACCGGGAGAGATAGGCAACTAATATTGTCCAATTTCTGATAGACTGTGTTTAAAGGAGATAAATTAAGAAGTTTCTAGATTAAAGCCTACTTCTTTGGGCCCATTTAGTGAATAATTCTCTGCCATGTGTAAAAACATTTAGCACAATGTTTGGCATATAAGTGCTCAATAAATATAGTAGTAACAGTTACTATAGTATTTGCACCTGGTGTCTGGTACACAGTATTATTATTAAATAATGTTATTTAGTAATAATCATATTGTTATTATCCATGTGCACATCTCTCCCCCAACTAGACTGATACTCTGTTTGCTGAACTAATTGTGGCAGGTAGGGGAAGAGGCAGGCAGTGTGAACATGGATTCTTTGCACTCACCAATGAAGAGACATGATGTGCACAGAAAATAGTGAGAAGTAGGAGAATTTGTCCAATGGCAGAGTACTACGTTCGTTGGCTCTGACAGCTGTATCTGGCTCAGATACCTGGAATTCTGCATTCTCTTCAGAATAACTTTAACAAGAAGTAGGGACAATAAGATACATGCAAAAGAGGGAGAATGGAAGAAAAAGGACACTTCTCCTGGTCCACACCGTGCCAGAGACCATGCTGAGCCCTTTTCATTTGTTGTCTCATACAATAAGATGCAATAACATGTGCAAATTGTGGCTGGTATTATCCCAATAAAACATGGATACATTTTTAAAACGTGCCATGCTTGCACAGAGAACTATGAGCCTACTTTTTCCATTATAATTTTTGTGTAAACATGAAACGACAAGAGTTTAAAGACGGAGCCTCCCTGAGCACAAGCTTAAGAGTTCCAAATATAATCAAAATCCTCTTCTTTATTTTCTTGCCTAAGTGGCTTCTCCCAGGAGGATAGCAGTTGCATTTCCTTCATTCTGTGCAGCAGTGGTTGCAAATGAATGTGCTTTACCATCAAAACATATCTATGCACCTCTGCAAGGGTAGTTATCTCATTCAATAATAGGTACAGCCTAGAGACAGTGTAGTTTTAAACCCAAATCTTAGAAATTCCGAGGAATTAGTCACTCACTTGAAGAAAAGAGCAGGAAAGGGTAGGACTGCAATAAAACAACACCTTGTTCCAAATAATATCTCCTTTATGCTTCTAAACTTCACCCAATCCATAGGCTAGTGTGAGTGGATGGCTGTGATAAATGGAGACAGAAGGTGAAGAATGGGAAAGTTATGAAGAATTAACAAGTTCTTCAACCTAGAGTTGGGTTAAGGTTGTGAATATTAGCCAGAGAATGCCTTTACTTTCTAATTGGAATGGGAAGATAAAAGCCTAAGAAAAACTCATAGAAATTTAGATTTATAGATAATTTTGGCATCAACACATATTTGAAGTGCATTACATCAATGATGTCTTAGAAGATTAAAGTCATTGCTATACACAAACCTACGGTACTAAGTCACATCAAAACAAAAATCTGTTGAATTAAATAAATAGGTTTATTTTTTCCTACCTGATGTTTGTTAGGCAGGGCATATTTTTCAGCTTAGCAATTGATTATATGAAAAACTACTGGTTCTAGAACAAACATTTCTGGTTTTTAGTTCGTGTGTGTGTGTAGAGAGAGAGAAAGAAAAAGCACACTTTATTGGGAAGCAGAGTGTTGCACAGTGACCGACAGGCGAAGGCGGCCCAATGGACGTCTTACACATCATACTCCAAAAGACTCACAGGAAGTGTTGCTAATAAAAATAAACTGGAACACGAATTCCTCTGGGCAACTCCCCCAACCTCATCCCTTTGAGGGCTTGGGAAATCTCCCAGCCATTTTCCTGATGGCAACTGTGGTTCACTAGAGACAGAGCCCCTTGGGGGTGTCTTCCTGTTCTTTATAAAGAACATTTTCTTGAGATTTTTTGAAGTTTTCATTTGTTACTTTCATTCCATGTTCTTTTAAGGCCATCAGACTAGCTTCTGTGCAGATTGCCTTGATGTCAAGTGTCAAGTCGTTCCAGGGTTACATCATTGGCCAGTGTCATGCTGCTTGTGTGCATCTGAAAGATGTGCTTCTTAGTCTTTTCATCAGGCAGGGGGAACTTGAGCTTCCTGTCAGTGTAGCCTGGTCTGATAAGTGCTAGATCCAAAGTTTCTATTCGGCTTGTGGATATGATAACTTTCACATCTCCCCTTGAATCAAATCCATCCAACTGGTTCAACATTTCCAGCATTATTTGCTGAATTTCTCTCTCACTATCAGAATTTGAGTCACATCTTTTTGTCCTAATAGCATCAATTTCATCAATAAACATGATGGAAGGTGCATGTTCTTCAGCAACTAGAAACAATTCCCATATGAGTTTGGGCCCATCATGTAGGTATTTCTGAATAAATTCAGAGCTGATCACTTGCAAGAAAGTGGCTAAGATGTGGTTTGCTACTGCTTTGGCTAACAAGGTTTTACCTGTGCCAGGTGGACCATAGTGAATGACTCCCTTAGGGGGCTTTATACCCATCTCTTCATAATATTCAGAATGATTTCCTTAATTTCCTGAATTTGGCTGTCCAACCCCCCAGTATCAACACAGGTCTCCTGGGGGGTCTTTTCCACCTTCATCATTGTGACTAGGGTATCCGTGTCATCCATCAGCACCCATATCACAGCACGAACCTTGTGGTTGAGCAGGACCGAGCAGCCAGGTTCCAGCAGATCCTTGTCTACAAGAATGCTCTGAGCCCACAGATGTAGACATGATGGCATGATTGTCATCAATAATCTCTTCCAAGGTTACTACTGACATCAGGGTCCCCTCAGATCATCCACTTTTGATCTTTCCTCCTCTTGCTTTCCTTCTAATAGTTTCATTTGTTCCTGATTTCTAATGAATTCTTCCTTCATGAGAAGACAGTATTTAATTATCTCTAACTTTCAATAATTTTAACTGGCACAGAGTGTGAGGTGTCATCAGTGGCAGTTTGCTGGCAGCATCTGGTCCCTTTGTTTTCTTCTTCTTCCTCACTCTAGCTGGTATAGGAGGTTCATATTTCTTTTTCTTGTCCTATCATCCTTCTTTCCAGCTCCAAGACCATGACCACCACTCTTGACTTTGACCCATCTTGCCTTGGCCACTCAAGCTGCCTAGTTTTTAAATTTTTTTTTGTACAGATGAGGTCTTGCTACGTTGCCTGGGCTAGTTTTGAACTCCTGGGCTCAAGCGATCCTTTTGCCAAAGTGCTGGGATTACAGGTGTGAGCCATCGCACCCGTCACAGAACAAACATTTCTTGACATGGATGCAACTATCTTAGGATAGTTGTATCTGGAAAGAATTTGCTTCCAGAGACTTGGCTTTTAAAAGCCTACTGAAGATAGAAGGTAAATTCAGCCAGAAATACATCCACGTGATTTGGTTCAGTAAAATTCCATGTGCTCTGTGAAGCTATTACTTTATCTTTCACTACCTGTGTTGAACAATTCTAAAACAGAACTGTCTTATTGACTTGGTTTCAGGCTTATCTGGAAAGGTGGGCATAATAACTTCTCTGTAGCTCAAAACTCATGGGATGTGTGGCTAGAAGTCTTAGGTTAGTGTCCCAGAATTGTTCTGAGTGGCTCTGTGAGTATCTCTGTGGCAGGCACAGCTAGCAGCCTACTAGTTATTACTCTCTTTTCACCTTCCATTTCAGAAACATCATTTTACCTAGAGCAGCAATGTGTCCTACTCAAAATACTCACATCCCCATACTTCCTTGCAGCTGGGGCTGATACTTCATTTTCTAATTATCTTATTAGTACTGAGTAATCCCTTTAATTGCAAGCATTGTTCTAATCTTGATTTTATTCACAGAATATTACATTAAAAAGGAAATAGTGGTTTCACCAAGACCCCAGTGAGATGAACCAGGCTAAACCTTTGCCCATAACTTATTGTCCACTTATCTAAAAAAGGAGTCATTCTAGAACTAAGCTTCATTTGAAGTGTGGCATCAGGGAGCTTTGACACTAGAGCAAGATCCTTAGCAGAAGAATGAATCAGGGTTTAAATCAGGAAATCTTTAATTCAGAAAAAAGTATTTAACATTTAATAAGATTTCAAATAATGTTCACTGTTGACTATCTTTTTAAAAATAAAGACCCTGGCTAGGCGCGGTGGCTCATGCCTGTAATCCCAGCACTTTGGGAGGCCGAGGTGGGCGGATCACGAGGTCAGGAGTTCAAGACCAGCCTGGCCAACATGGTGAAACCCAGTCTCTACTAAAAACACAAAAATTAGCTGGGCGTGGTGGCATGCATCTGTAATCCCAGCTACCTGGGAGGCTGAGCCTGGAGAATTGCTTGAACCTGGGAGGCAGAGGTTGCAGTGAGCTGAGAGCGCGCCACTGCACTCCAGCCTGGGCAACAGAGCAAGATTGTGTCTCTAAATAAATAAATAAGACCCCAAGATTGAAGAATCATAGGTACTTTAAAAATTGTCTTTATACTTTTCCATATGTTTTCAAATTTTCTACAGTGAAGATCTACTACTTCATAACCAGAAAATAAAGATATTTTGGAGTACAGTAAAAGAGTTTAGAAGAAAAAAGAAAGGCCTAATAAATATAATTTCCTTAGAGAACACTAGATATTACATAAGATAATATTAAGAAAAACATCAACCTTAATATTTTCATCAGATGTGCTTTTGAGTGTCAGTTGCAGTTTGTTTCTGTCATGTGTGTGTTCCAAGTAACTGAAGTTTTTAATGTCCAAGAATTCAATAATGTACTCTAAAATTCCCACTGATCTAATAATTTTTCTCCTTATGGACATGCATGAAAAAGCCCATTATCTTCAATGCAGAATTCTGCTTGCAGAAATGGCCTAAATGTTGTTGGAAACAATAAGAATTGAGCAATCCAAATAACGCCAGCCTAACACTAGTATGACATTTGGTTAGGGAAGATGTCCCAAGAGAAATGTAAACTATTTGAAAACATTCTGTTACTAAAACTTGGACATAAAAAGAATGACAAATGGACTGGATGCAACAACTTAATTCTAAGCACGCATGGGTTTGGCTGCTGTGAATGCATTTTAACATGTACAGTTTTTCATGTTCTCTTATATGGATATCATCCCCACCACATGAAGAAAGATCAATTGACATTTACTACTTGCCGAAGAACAGGTTAGAAGCAATCAGCAACCTCACTTCTGGCCTGGAATCAAGCCGAGTGAGTCACAGAATCCTAGAACCTTGGTGAGAGTCCCATCCAATCTTCCTCCCCAAGTACACCCCTGGGGACCAATGACAACCATCTGCTTAAGAGCTATTACTCTGTCCCCCAAATTAAAAGCTACAGATTGTCAAACAGAAGGAATACAAGAACAACAGAGTAAAATGACCAGATCTGAAACCATTTGTAGAATGGATAATCCCCAGACAGCTTCAGATGCATGTGGCTGAGACCTCAGAAAGTGCAAGTCAAGTGAGAGGGAGTGACGGGTGGAGGCTTTGTTTCCATTCAAATGGGACCAGTTGATAAATGGGTCCAGGAACCCCAGACAGTGTGTGGATGCTATTGCTACATCTTCCCTGCTTACAGTCCAGCTCCATTTGGGAGAATGTGTACAAAGGCTTTTTGGTCCGAGTGGTTTCTTTATGGACAGATTTACTCTTTCAAGACATTTTTTAAGGCAAAGGAAGTGTAATTGGAAACCTGCAGCATGTCAAGAGTTAGCTATTCTCTTGGAAAAAGTAGAATGATTCAGTGAACACTTTGAAGCATGCAATGTGTGATCAATATGTGAGGAGAGAGGATCAAGATGAGGAAATCCTAACTAGGAAAAGAGAAGAGAAGAGGATTTCAGTGTTAACACCATTTAAAAGCCAAGCATTCCTCTGATAATGAACTCTTGCTACAAACCACAAGGGACAACTGCCTTTTGCTTTATTAAAAAATAAAAAGGGGTTCCTCTCGGAGCGGAGACGGCAAATGGCGGACTTCGACACCTACGACGATCAGGCCTACAGCAGCTTCGGCAGCGGCAGAGGGTCCCGCGGCAGTGCTGGTGGCCATGGTTCCCGTAGCCAGAAGGAGTTGCCCACAGAGCCCCCCTACACAGCATACGTAGGAAATCTACCTTTCAATACGGTTCGGGGCGACATAGATGCTATCTTTAAGGATCTCAGCATAAGGAGTGTACGGCTAGTCAGAGACAAAGACACAGATAAATTTAAAGGATTCTGCTATGTAGAATTCGATGAAGTGGATTCCCTTAAGGAAGCCTTGACATACGATGGTGCACTGTTGGGCGATCGGTCACTTCGTGTGGACATTGCAGAAGGCAGAAAACAAGATAAAGGTGGCTTTGGATTCAGAAAAGGTGGACCAGATGACAGAGGCTTCAGGGATGACTTCTTAGGGGGCAGGGGAGGTAGTCGCCCAGGCGACCGGCGAACAGGCCCCCCCATGGGCAGCCGCTTCGGAGATGGCCCTCCCCTCGGTGGATCCAACATGGATTTCAGAGAACCCACAGAAGAGGAAAGCGCACAGAGACCACGACTCCAGCTTAAACCTCGAACAGTCGCGACGCCCCTCAATCAAGTAGCCAATCCCAACTCTGCTATCTTCGGGGGTGCCAGGCCTAGAGAGGAAGTTGTTCAAAAGGAGCAAAAATGAGCCTGCGGTTGGGAGGGAATGGGGCGTGGGGGGTTAGAGCAGGACCACAGCCTGGTGAGTCCCCGGGCAGCCGTCCTGCAGCCGCCACTCCTGCGCCTGCCATTGGCCTCCTCACAGCGGAAACACAGCTTGTGAGTGCATGTCAGCTGTTAACAAGTGGTTTTTAGTACATTCTGGGCTTTGCTGTATCTATCTAGTGCCTGTTTGTGCGTTTTTTTCTTTCTTCCGCTGCTTCCCCATTTTCCTTCTGTCCTTTTTCTCCTGCTCCTTGTTTTCCCAGCAGCACACGGGGTTCCTCGGAGGAGCAGAGGTGGCCGCCGTGGGGGGGCGTTTGGGCTGCGGTGCTGCGTCATTTTTCCTTTGCTTTCTCTTTACTTTAGACACTGGCCCAACTCCAGGAGTTTCCTTTCATTCCCTCAGTGCTTCTCTTCTGACCTGCATGTTGAGTTCTGTATTGCTGGGGCTTCCAACAAAAACCAGAGTCACTGACAGAGGGAACTGCAGAGACCTTGTTGGTATTCAGCTGTGATGGATATAGAGAATCGGAGGCACCTTGTTTTCACAACTAGGATAAAAATATCTGCAGGGTCCTTTCCATTCCTATTTAGAGGGAGTCCTGGCTCCATGACCCCCTCCCGAGTGGACTGTCCAAGCAGATAGGCTCACACGAGAAACAGTGAGGCTGAAAGGGGGGGCCATGGAAGAGCGGTAGGGAGTCCACGGAGAAGATGCAGTGAATGCTTGCATGCATTCACACGTGTGTGTGTCCCAGCTAGTTCACTCCTTTCGCCGTGCGTGGTGGAGGCTCGCCTCTCTGGCCGGGTGCAGTGAACGGCCAGCGGGTTTCTTTTCTGCTGGGCCAAGGCGCTTTGGGGGTGGAGGGGGTGGTGCTGGCGCTGCACTGGGCTGACTGCGGCGCTGACACAGCGTTTCCCCCCATCCCTGTTGCCTGTGTGTTGTGTGGATCTGTTCCTAGTATAGGCAACATAATGAGATACTGTGCTTCCCACCTCCCCTTCAGTTCAGAGCCAAAATGGGTCTAGAATCTGGCACTTTACTCATTTCCTTTGATAAATTGTACTGTGCAGAGCTGTCAGGAACCTTCAGATAGCAGTAGAGGACTGCAGCTGCCTAGGTCTGCGGCCACATCTTGGGGACACACTGGATTGTTCCCATGTGCAGGGTTCAGCACTTACGTGGGAGTGCTAGGGGTTAGGCTTTTGAGCTTGAACGCCTGCGTGTGAACAGATGAAAAATCCTTCAGTACCCAAGTCCCAGTCTGTCCTATGGGGAGCAGTTTGGGGGCGGCCGGCAGCAGGAGCCTGGGAAAGAGGCCCTCGCCAGGTGATGGCAGGGCCAGGGTGGCCTGGGGCACCCAGCGGAATGTGCTTAGTATTTGGTCACCAGCCGTCATCCTGGGCTTTTCCTACTGTGTCTTGTTACAAGGCCTCAGCAATCCACAGAACTCTCTCTCCTTCCTTCCACCTGTCAGCTTCTCTGCTTCTGAGATAAGAACCATTTGTGTAACACCAACACTTAACTTCAGAAAGACATGCATTATGTGGTGTAATCAAACCCGAGGCTTTCAGATGACCTACTTACATCTTCAATGTGGATAAGATAAAGAACAAAACACATGCATCTAAACTGCTGGGCAATCCAGTTGACTTTTAAATGTAAGAATGGAATTCCAAACACTTAACACATTCAGCTATATGACAGAAAGTAAATCTATGGATATGGTATTTTGTGAATGATCTTTTAAATAAAAGAAAACCTTACGTAATATTTAAAAAAAATAAAAAATAAAAATAAAAAAATAAAAAGATGGGGATGTCTAGACAAGAAAAATATTAGAGATCATGTCTTAAATGTTCTTGTACTGGAAGACATAAAACCACATACACCCTCCTTTCTCACTTTCCTGCTTTTTTACAACCAAAACCCAAGAAGGAAAAAATTGTGGAAGAAATTGTCTGGGTCCCAGGGCCATTCCCACATATAGGAAAAGCATGTGCCTCAATGTGACTGAAAGACTTCTTCTCATCTCCTTTGTAAGATAGTGAGTGTGTGGAGGGTTGGATCTGTGTTGGATTTTTTCTTTTTTTTTTTTTTTTGAAACGGAGTCTTGCTCTGTCGCCCAGGCTGGAGTGCAGTGGTGCAATCTCGGCTCACTGCAAGCTCCACCTCCGGATTCACGCCATTCTCCTGCCTCAGCCTCCCGAGTAGCTGGGACCACAGGTGCCCGGACCATGCCCAGTTAATTTTTTGTATTTTTTTTTTAGTAGAGACGGAGTTTCACCATGTTAGCCAGGATGATCTTGATCTCCTGACCTTGTGATCCGCCTGCCTCAGCCTCCCAACGTGCTGGGATTACAGGCGTGAGCCACCGTGCTAGGCTCTGTGTTGGATTTTTAAACCCCTCCTTCATAACACTGTATCAGCCACAGAATGGTCTCTCAATAAATGCTAGGTGAAAGGAATGAATGGAATGGAATTATGACAACTTGGATTTTTTGTTGTTCTTATTCTTTAAGTCATATTTTCTGTGAGTTGCTGTTTAGATTGGAGTTTTAATAAGAATCACACACATGGCTGAGGACAGAATAAAGAAATACGAAGAATGAGGACTGGAGAGGTTGGGATAAAGAGAGTGTGATGTGGCTGCAGTTACCCTCATCCCTTCAATGAGGAAAGTGGACGAGGATGACCTCTAAGTTCCTTCTAGCTTCAACGGATTGTGAGTTTTCCTGCATCCTCCCATGTCATTAATACTTTAGCTTTAAGCACCTCCCAATTCAAACCTCCTCTGCAATATTGCCTTTTCTATCCATTCCATCACTGTTAATCTAACATATTAGCATTTCCAACAAAATGGGGACTTCAAATATTTTATTAAAGTATGAGACAGCTCTATAACAGAATGCTGTCAACAATGTGGCTGTTAATATTGATAATGCCACTGGATGACATTGTTCATAATTTTTAAAAAGTTTAAAACAATGATATCATAGTAAAATAACCCTGGAATATCTGGAAGGAAAGAGAGTCACCAATACTGTGATTATCCCTGGATGGTGGGATTATGGGTGGTTTTTATTTTTCTTTTTGAGTGAATGCATTTTCTAGTATTTTTACAATGAACATAAGTTTCTTATGTTACAAAAATAGGAAAGAAATCAAAGACTTCATCTTAAATGATCCTAAAAATGATGGCTTGAGCTATTCTTTAATTTTTCTTTTCTTTCCTTTTTTTTTTTTTTTTTTTTTTTTGAGACACGGTCTTGCTCCATCGCCCAGGCTGGAGTGCAGTGGCGTGATCATAGCTCACTGCAGCCTCAAACTCCTGGCTCAAGGAATCTTCCTGCCTCAACCTCTCAAGTAGCTGAGATTACAGGTGCCTGCCACTATGCCTGGTAATATTTTTCTCAGTGTAGAAACAAGGTTTTGCTATGTTTCCCAGGCTAGTCTCGAACTCATGGCCTCAAGTGATCTTCCCATTTTGGCCTCCCAAAGTGCTAGGATTACAGGTGTGAGCCACCGTACCTGGCCTCATTATTTAACTTTTCTATGGAAGGAGATTCTTTGCCTTCCACTTATCCATTGAAGGCTGCTGGTGTTTTTTGTTGATTCACAGCAGGACTAAAGCTCTCCACTTCCAGAATTTACCTCCAGTTTACTTTGACACCACTTTCGCTCAGGCTCTTCACAAGCATTGCCTCTTCCCCAGTTGTTCTGTGCCAGATCCACTGAGATCCGCCTAGTTCTGTCTCCTCTCATGGAGCTGGAAGGCTGACAGCTAGACTCTCAGACTCCTAGACTATGGTTCTGGACGTGATTTAGATTCTGCAGTGAGATATGCCCTTGCATAAAGATTAGAAAGAGAGAAGCAGAGGCCATCTTCCTGCAGCAGTGCTGCCTGACGAGCAAGCACTATTGGCAGCAGCTGGTCTCTAACAATTTCTTGGGTATAGGGTGACTGTGGCAGCAGCCAGAGTGGAGGCAGTTCAGTGTCTGGTAGTTTCCTGACTTCGTCATCATAGCTGCTGTGGTGTGACCTTGAAGCCAATCATCTAGCCTAGCGACCCCATGACTCATTCCTCCGGCCCCTCCAGTGACTTTGTAGCAACCTCATTCCCTGTGTTTCATTCCTTTCTTCTTGATGTGACCGAAGTTGTCCCCCCTCATCCCCCACGACAGAGTCCTGGTTCAGATCCCATCTGCTTCATGAAGCTCACTGAAGGTTTTGGGAGTCTAACAATGGCCTCACCTTGTGGATCTTCATTCCACAAGAATAGAGCAGTGACAACAGGCTGGGAGGGCCCCTGTGGAGGGCTGGAGAAGGAGAGGAGGCCTGAGAGGATCCTGGGGCTTTTGTTTTCTCTTTGAGGTTTCATGTTAAAGGTTCCTTGAACAAAGTATGCCACAGCTACAAGAGCTTTGAAACCCTCTGGACTACTTTTTTTTTTTTTTTTGACACAGAGTCTCACTCTGTCACCCAGGCTGGAGTGCAATGGCGTGATCTCGGCTCACTGCAACCTCCGCCTCCTGGGTTCAAGTGATTCTCCTGCCTCAGCCTCCTGAGTAGCTGGCATTACAGGCATGTGCCACAACGCCTGGCTAATTTTTGTATTTTTAGTAGAGATGGGGTTTCACCACATTGGCCAGGCTGGTCTTGAACTCCTGACCTCAGGTGATCCACCCACCTCGGCTTCCCAAAGTGCTGGGATTACAGGCGTGAGCCACTACACCCAGCTAGACTACTCTTAAAATAAGAATCTTTGTGCACAGAATATCTGTGATGTTACAACTCAAAGGAATAGAGACAAGAATAAGGTTCATTCCGTGCTTTCCTTGAGATGAGGGACTTGCATGTTTCATTGCAACTCCTTTCAGGGATATAAACCCTCACCCTTCCTGATTCAGTTAAGCCAGGCCCCATCTTCAGTGACACTGTCAACAGCTGGTCACCATCCTCTCTTTAGCAGCCTCTCCAGTCTAGCAGTCCCTCTTCTCTTCATTTTCAAATTTGTGACCATTCAAAGTGAAATTTGAAACTTTCTGCAACAGGATTGGTGATTTATATTATTTTGTACGGAGGGCTAGAACTTCAAGAAAATTGATTTCTAACCAGACCCTGCTGTGCCCTGTCCCATCACAGTAAGGCACAGTAAATGAGAGGCTGAAATAGAAATTCCATTTTTCACCCATCAAGTTGAGTACTTCATCTGACATACCTGCAAAACTAATAGCTGGAGATTTAACACATTTTTCCATAAATACATTTCTCTGTAAATCTAGACTCACAAATACAAAAATAAAAACCCAAAACATTTTTAAAATGCAGCTCCTATAAAAGTAGGAATCATCTATCAGTCCTGAAAGATGAAATTTTTAAAAGAGCAATGATGATGACGATAATGATTCATGTTAACACACCTTTCATCAAAAGCATTCCAGTAACTTTTTTTTTTTTTTTTTTTTTTTGAGACGGAGTCTCGCTCTGTCACCCTGGCTAGAGTGCAGTGGTGCGATCTCGGCTCACTGCAAGCTCTGCCTTCCGGGTTCACGCCATTCTCCTGCCTCAGCCTCCTGAGTAGCTGGGACTACAGGCGCCCGCCACCATGCCTGGCTAATTTTTTGTATTTTTAGTAGAGACAGGGTTTCACCGTGTTAGCCAGGATGGTATTGATCTCCTGACCTCATGATCTGCCCACCTCGGCCTCCCAAAGTGCTGGGATTACAGGCATAAGCCACCGCGCCCAGCCTCCAGTAACTTTTTAAACTTCATGTAGGGGTTGCATCAGGCATTTCTGGTCATCACTGTCTTTGGGGTGAAGCATAGCAACTGTTCAATGACATGATTATAATGTTGGAAGCATTGGAGAATCTGGTCTCCAAAGAAATGCTAAGGAGTATAAAAGTAACTCTGGGCAGTATTACACAGGACCTGGGAGTATTTTTTCGAATATTATGGACTTTTTAAAAGCATGTCAATCACATGTGTTAGAGGGACTTCTTTTACCCGCCCCCTTGACATATACTTGCTGAAGTTTTTGTTTGGTACCAACCCATGAGGAAGACTGTTTCCTTCCAAAGGGACATCTTATGTGAGTTTGCATTTAGGCTTGAGATTTAGGTGGCAGACACAAACAAAATAACTAAGTCAATGGGTGCTCAGAGAATTGGGAGAATATAGAAGAATGTAACATTATTATTATTATTTTGAGTATAATTGCCTTATTAATCAGTATTTGCATAATACTTGGTAAAGCACTTAGCTAATACATGGCTATATTCGCAATTTAATTCACCCAGAATATTTCTATTCAGCATTTATATAGCACCTATTGGTTTATGATGCTAATATAGTAGATTCATGTTTCTGTTAAGGCTTAAATGAAATAAGTTGAAAGCCAAGTCCATTATATTACCTTCTTTATATAGAACATTTCATCATGAAGGATTCCAAATTGCTTTACAAAGTACAGTGAAACCCTTTTACAATGAATTCCTAAGGGGACAGCTAGAGCAGTGTTAGCTGTGGCATTTCATTGTATGAGCACTGTATTCAGCATTATGGGATTGATGGGGAAGGAGCAGATTTTAAAATCGGTATAGCCCTTGGGAACTCAGATTGTGTTATTTGCCAAGATGTCTGCAGTCCAGAGCAAAGGAAAAGTTAAGCTGTTATTGACCTATGAATGAAATTTTTAGGCTTACAATATAAAGTATGAACAAGGAAAGCATTTAATACAAAAACCCCCACCTTAATACAGTAAGTTAGAAATACATCATATACAGAGAATCTGCTAACAAATATCATGTGATAATTAACAGATTTTTTTCAAGAACTCATTCAATTTTCCTTTTTTTAAAATAGTTTGCTCAGATGTAACATTCAGAAAAGTGCACAAACTGCAATGTGGCATATCAATAGATTTTCACAAGTGAACTCACCTGTGTAACCTGTGTACAGTTGAAGAAATAGAATGTTACCAGGATACCCAGGGATCCCCACATGCCCCCTTCCTAGTCATTACCCAATATCCTATAGGGACCACTCACTTGACTTTTAATATAGTACATTGGTTTTGCCTAGTTTTGAGCTTTATGCAAATAGAGTTACACAGTATGTACTCTTTTTTGAAAGCTTCTTTTTCTCAATATTATGTCTGTGAGTTTACACACGTAACTGTATATAGCAATAGTTAATTGACTTTGATTACTTTAGAGTAATCCATTGTATGAAGGTCCTGTAATTTATTCAACAAAAGACATATATAAAAAATATATTAAGAACTCAAATCAGTAAGACAAAAGGAGACAAGTCAACAGAAAAGGGGACAAAATTCATTAGTTACTTTGAGAGAAGTGAAAAGACGATCAGTCTCGTTAGTTATCAGGGAAATGCAAACTAAAATACCAGATACCATTATACTCCCACCACAATGCTAAAAGGAAAAAGACTGACAATACCAAATGTTGGGAGGATGTGGTGATTTTCAGAGTGCTAGTTGGAATATAACATGGCACAACTACTTTGGAAAATTGTTTGACAGTTTTCCGTAAACTGAAACATACATCTACCCTATTCCTGTTGCACTCCAAGGTACTTAAGATAAATAAAAATATATGTTCGTATAAATATATGTGCAAGAATGTTCATACAACTTTATACATAATAGCCTCTAGCCTCAATCAGGAAATAACCCAAATAACCATCAAAAGTATATTGGATAAGTAATTTTTTCTTCTTTTTAATATGTCAAAAAAGCTTTGTTAACAAGCAGAAAAAAAGGCAGCACCAAGGATTAGTGCAGAAGTTAGTAAAATAGCAAACAGAAAAACAATAGAGAAAATCAATGAAACTGAAGGTTAGTTCTTTGAAAAGATCAACAAAATTGACAAACTTTTAGCCAGACAGGAAAAAAAGAGATAAATCTCAAAAATGAAAGAGGGACATTAGTGCTGACGTTCCAGAAATAAAAATTATAAGGGAATACTATAAAAAAATTGTATGCCAACAAACTAGATAACAGATCAAATGGACAAATTCCTGGAAAGGCAGATGCAACCAAACTTACTTAAGAAGAAATAGAAAACGTGAGTAAACCTAAAATAAGTAGAAATTAAATTAGTAATCAAGAAGCTTCCTATAAAGAAAAGCCCAGGACCAGATGGCTTCATTGATGAATTCTACCAAACATTTAAAAAAGAACTGATGCCAATTCTTCACACATTTTTCCAAAAAATAGAAGAGAAGGGAAGACTTCCCCGCTCACTCATGAGGCCAGTATTACTCTGATAGCAAAATCAGACAAAGACATGGCAAGAAAAGAAAAACTACATATCAGCATCACTTGGAATATAGGTACAAAAGTCTTTGACAAAATATTAGGATAGGTAATATAGAAAAATAATTATATACTACGCTCAAGTGGGATTGTCCTAGGGACGCAAAGTTGGTTTAACATCGGATGGTGCAAGATGGCTGAATAAGAATAGCTCTGGTCTGCAGCTCCCAGCATGATTGACACAGAAGACAGTGATTTCTGCATTTCCAACTGAGGTACCTGGTTCATCTCATTGGGACTGGTTGAACAGTGGGTGCAGCCCACGGAGGGTGAGCTGAAGCAGGGCGGGCATCGCCTCACCTGGGAAGCACAAGGGGTTGGGGGATTTCCCTTTCCTAGCCAAGGGAAGCCGTGACAGACTGTACCTGGAAAAACAGGACACTTCTGCCCAAATACTGTGCTTTTCCCAGGTCTTAGCAACTGGCAGACCAGGAGATTCTCTCCCGTGCCTGGCTCAGTGGGTCCCATGCCCACGGAGCCTTGCTCACTGCTAGGGCAGCAGTCTGAGATCAACCTCCGAGGCTGCAGCCTGGTGGGGGGAGGGGCGTCCACCATTGCTGAGGCTTGAGTAGGTAAACAAAACAGCTGGGAAGCTCGAACTGGGTGGAGCCCACCGCAGCTCAGCAAGGCCTACTGCCTCTATAAACTCCACCTCTGTAGGCAGGGCATAGCTGAACAAAAGGCAGCAGAAACTTCTGCAGACTTAAACGTCCCTGTCTGACAGCTCTGAAGAGAGCAGTGGTTCTCCCAGCACAGCGTTTGAGTTCTGAGATTGGACAGACTGCCTCCTCAAGTGGGTCCCTGACCCCCAGTGTAGCCTAACTGCAAGACACCTCCCAGTAAGGGCTGATTGACACCTCATACAGGTGGGTGCCCCTCTGGGTCAAAGCTTCCAGAGGAAGGATCAGGCAGCAATATTTGCTGTTCTGCAGCCTCTGCTGGTGATACCCAGGCAAACAGGGTCTGGAGTGGACCTCCAGCAAACTCCAACAGACCTGCAGCTGAGGGACCTGACTGTTAGAAGGAAACAGAAAAGAATAGCAGCAACATCAACGAAAAGGACAACCACACCAAAACCCCATCCGTAGGTCACCAACATCAAAGACCAAAGGTAGATAAAACCTCAAAGATGGGGAGAAACCAGAGCAGAAAAGCTGAAAATTCTAAAAACCAGAGCACCTCTTCTCCTCCAAAAGATTGCAGCTCCTTGCCAGCAATGGAACAAAGCTGGATGGTGAATGCCTTTGACGAGTGGACAGAAGTAGGCTTCGGAAGGTCGGTAATAACAAACTTCTCCGAGCTGAAGGAACATGTTCTAACCCATCACAAGGAAGCTAAAAACCTTGAAAAAAAGGTTAGATGAATGGCTAACTAGAATAAACAGTGTAGAGAAGACCTTAAATGACCTGATGGAGCTGAAAACCGTGGCATGAGAACTTCGTGAGGCATGCACAAGCTTCAATAGCCAATCCAATCAAGTGGAAGAAAGGATATCAATGATTGAAAACCAAATTAATGAAATAAAGTGAGAAGACAAGATTAGAGAAAAAAGAGTAAAAAGAAATGAACAAAGCCTCCAAGAAATATGGGACTATGTGAAAAGACCAAATCTACATTTGATTGGTGTGCCTGAAAGTGGCAGGGAGAATGGAATCAAGTTGGAAAACACTTTTCAGGATATTATCCAGGAGAACTTTCCCAGCCTAGCAAGGTAGGCCAAGATTCAAATTCAGGAAATACAGAGAACACCATAAAGATACTCCTCGAGAAGAGAAACTCCAAGACACATAATTGTCAGATTCACCAAGGTTGAAATGAAGGAAAAAATATTAAGAGCAGCCAGAGAGAAAGGTCAGGCTACCCACAAAGGGAAGCCCATCAGACTAGCAGTGGATCCCTCGGAAGAAACCCTACAAGCCAGAAGAGAGTGGGGGCCAATATTCAACATTCTTAAAGAAAAGAATTTTCAACCCAGAATTTCATATCCAGCCAAACTAAGCTTCATAAGTGAAGGGGAAATAAAATACTTTACAGACAAGCAAATGCTGACAGATTTTGTCACCACCAGGCCTGCCTTACAAGAGCTCCTGAAGGAAGCACTAAACATGGAAAAGAACAACTGGTACCAGCCACTGCAAAAACATGCCAAATTGTAAAGACCATCGAGGCTATGAAGAAGCTGTATCAATTAACGGGCAAAATAACCAGCTAACATCATAATGACAGGATCAAATTCACACATAACAATATTAACCTTAAATGTAAATGGGCTAAATGCCCCAATTAAAAGACACAGACTGGCAAATTGGATAAAGAGTCAAGACCCATCAATGTGCTGTATTCAGGAGACCCATCTCACGTGCAGAGACACATATAGGCTCAAAATGAAGGGATAGAGGAAGATCTACCAAGCAAATTGAAAGCAAAAAAAAAGCAGGGGTTGAATCCTAGTCTCTGATAAAACAGACTTTAAGCCAACAAAGATCAAAAGAGACAAAGAAGGCCATTACATAATGGTAAAGGGATCACTTCAATAAGGAGAGCTAACTATCCTAAATATATATGCACCCGATACAGGAGCACCCAGATTCATAAAGCAAAGTTGGTTTAACATCCAAAAATCAATTAGGGTAATATACTACATCAATAGAATAAGGACAAAAACCACATGATCAGCTCAATAAATACAGAAAAAGTATTTGACAAAATCCAATACACTTTAATGATAAAAACATTCAACAAACTAGGAATAGGAGGGAACTTCTTCAACCTGATAAAAGATAACTATGAAAAACCCATAGTGAGTGTCATACTTAATGGTGGAAGACAATGTTTTCTCCCAAAGATTAGGAACAAAGCAAGTATGTCCATTCTTGCCTCTTCTATTCAACATTGTACTGGAGGGTCTAGCCAAGGTAATTTGGCAAGAAAATGAAATAAAGTATATGCAGATTGGAGATGAAGAAGTAAAACTATCTCCATTTGCAGATGACATGATCTTATGTATAGAAAATCCCAGGAAACCCATTAACAAACTACTGGAAATAATAAATGTGTTCAGTAAAATCAACTGTATTTCTGTGCAGTAGCATTGAGCAAGCAAAAATTATATTAAGAAAACTGCATTCCAGCCTGGGTGACAGAGTGAGACTCCATCCCCAAAAACTAAAAACTAAAAGGAAAACAATTCCATTTATAATAGTACCTAAAAGAATAAAATGGCTGGGCACGGTGGCTCATGCCTGTAATCCCAGCACTTTGGGAGGCCAAGGTGGGTGGATCACAAGGTCAGGAGTTCAAGACCAGCCTGGCCAACATGGTGAAACCCTGTCTCTACTAAAAATACAAAACTTAGCCAGGTGTGGTGGCATCCACCTATAGTCCCAGCTACTCGGAAGGCTGAGGCAGGAGAATCACTTGAACCTGGGAGGCAGAGGTTGCAGTGAGCTGAGATCGCGCCATTGCACTCCAGCCTGGCAACAGAGCAAGACTCCATCAAAAAAAAAGAAAAAGAAAAAAAGAATAAAACAGCAGTAAATTTAATAAAAGAAGCACAAAACTCATACTCTGAAAACTACAAAATATTGCTGAAAGGAATTAAGGAAGACCTAAATAAACAGAAAGCATCACATGTTCATGGATTAGAAGATGTACTATTATCAGGAAGGCAATATTCCCCAAATTGATCTGCAGATTCAACGTCATTCTTTTCAAAATCCCAGCTGACATCTTTGTAGAAATTGATAAGCTGATCCTGAAATTCATATAAAAATTCAAGAGACACAGAATAGACAAAACAGTCTCTATTTTGTCTTTTAAAATTTATAATTGACACAAAATTGTACATATTTATGGGGTACAGTGTGATGTTTCAATGCATGTGGACATTGCATAATGGTAAAATCGGGATAATTAGCATATATCCATCATTTTAAACACTTATTATTTCTTTGTGGTGATAGCATTTAAAGCCCTCTCTTCTAGCTATCTTGAAATATACAATGTATTCTTATTAGCTACAATCACTCTACTGTGTAATAGAACACCAGAACTTAATTCTTTCTGTCTAACTGTAACTGGCTAGATGTTAGCTAACATCTACCCATCCCTCTTCTCCCCTTCCTCACTCTCTAGTAACCGCTGTTCTACTCTCTATTTCTATGAGATCAATGATTTTAGATTCCACACAAGAATGAGAGTGTGTTTATCTTTATCTTTCTGTGCCAGTCTTATTTCACTTAACCTAATGTCTTCCAGGTTCACTCATGTTGCTGCAAATGACAGAATGTCTTTCCCTCCCTCCCTTCCTTCCTTCTTTCCTTTCTCCCTCCCTCCCTCCCTCCCTTTCTTTTATTTTTATTTTTTGAGACAGGGTCTCACTCTGTTGCCCAGGCTGGAATGCAGTGGTCCAATCATGGCTCACTGCAGCCTGAAACTCCTGGGCTCAGGCGATCCTCCTACCTCGGCTTTCCAAGTAGCTGGAGACTCCAGGTGCATGCCACAACATTTGGCTATTTTTTTTTAATTTTTAATTTTAGTAGAGATGAGGTTTCACTATGTTGCCCAGGCTGGTCTCCAGCTCCCAGGCTTAAGTGATCTTCCTGCCTCGGCCTCCCAAAGTGCTGGGATTGTAGGTATGAGCCACTGCACCTAGCCAGTGACAGTATTTCATTCTGTTTTATGGCTGAATAGTATTTCTGTGTGTGTGTGTGTATAAAATTTCCTTTATCCATTCATCAGTAGATGGACACAAGTTATTTCATATCTTGGATATTGTGAATAGTGCTGTAGTAAATATTGGAGTGCTATCTCTTTGATATACTGACTTCCTTTTCTTTGGATATATACCCAGTAATGGGATTGCTGGATCATATAGTAGTTCTATTTTTAATATTTTGAGTAACTTCCATACTATTTTCCATAATGGCTTTCCATAATACATTTCCACCAATGGTGTCTAACAATTCCATTTTCTCTACAGTAGCTCTTGTTATTTTTTGTCTTTTTTGATAACAACCATTCCAACTGGGGTGAGGTGATATCCATTGTGGTTTTGATCTGCATTTCTCTGATGATTAGTGATATTGAGCATTTTTTCATATGTCTGTTGGCCATTTGTATGTCTTCTGTCAAAACAACCTTGCAAGTAAAGAAAAACTTGGAGTATCACATATCCCAACTTCAAAACTCACTACAAAGCTACAATAATCAAGACAGTGAGTTATTCTCTCAGGATAGACATATAGATCAGTAAATAAAAATTGAGAGACCAGAAATAATCCCCTGAATTTCTAGTCAATTGATTTTCTTGACAAAGGTGTCAAAACAATTCCATGGGGAAAAAATAGTCTCTTCAACAAATAATGCTGGAAAATTGGATATCCACATGCAAAAGAATGAAGTTGAACCCCTACCTCACAGCATATACAAAAATTAACTCAAAATTGATCAAAAACTTAAGTGTAAGAGCTGAAAGTATAAAAATCTGAGAAGAAATATAGGGGTAAATCTTTGTGACCTTGGATTAAGCAATGATTTTTTTACATATATATGACATCGAAGCACATGGACAAGAAAAAAACAAATGAGCTGGACTTCATCAAAATTACAACTTTTATGCTCCAAAAGACACCATCAAGAAAGTGAAAAGACAATCTATAGAAAATTTGGTAAATCACACATCTGGTAAAGGATTTGTATCTAGAATATATAAAGATCAATTACAATTCTATACAGTAGTTCCTCCTTGTCCATGGTTTTGCTTTCTGCAGTTTTAGCTACCCACAGTCAACCATGGGCTGAAAATATTAAATAGAAAATTCCAGAAATAGGCAATTAATAAGTTTTAAATTGCAGGCCATTCTGAGCAGTGTGATGAAATCTCATGCCACCCCGCTTCACCTCACCGGGTAAGTGAAGCATCCCTTTGTCCAGCACATCCACGCTGTATCCTCTACCCACCCATTAGTCACTTAGGAACCTTCCTAATTATCAGATCAACTGTCATAATATTGCAGTGCTTGTGTTCAAGTAACCTTTGTTTTACTAAATAGTGGCTCCAAAGTGCAATCGTAGTGATGCTGGCATATTTTTATAATTGTTCCATTTATTATTAGTTATTGTGAATCTCTTACTGTGCCTAATTTATAAATTAAACTTTAACACAGGTATGTATGCATAGGAAAAAGCAAAGTATATATAAGGTTTGGTACTCTTTTCAGTTTCAGGCATCCACTGGAGGTCTTGGAACATATCCCCCGTGGATAAGGGGGGACTACTGTAATAAAAAGACAATCCAGTTGAAAGATTGGCAATGAATTTGAATCAACATTTCTCCTAAGAAGATACACAAATGGCCAACAAGCCCATGAAAAGATGCTCAACATCACTAGCAGTTAGAGAAATACAAATCAAAACCACAATGTGATACACCCCAGTAGGATGGCTAGACGCAAAGACAGGTAATAATTTAGTGTTGGGGAGGATGTAGAGAAAATTAGAACACTCAGGCACTGCTGGTAGGAATGTAAAATGGTACACCAACTTTGAAGAACAGCCCTATAGTTCCTCACATGGTTAAACAGCTACCACATAGTCTAACAATTCCATTCACATGTGTATATATAAGAGAAATGAAAATGTGTGTCCAGTCACAAAATTATAAACGAATGTCCACAGCAGTAGTAGTATGTATAATAGGCAAAAAACAGAAACCACTCAGATGTCCCTGTAGGGGTGGAAAGGTGTGGTACCTTTCCTCACCCATCATAAGAATCACAACCAACACGCCTATAGCAGGAGTTGGGTTAACAAGACAACAGCATAATAGCTTATTTAATCAAAGTTTTACGTGACATAGGAGCCTTCAGAAATAAAGATCCAAAAACCAGGGAAAATTTTGTATGTTTATGCTTAGGTTTAATGAAGAATGGATGGCCATGCAGAAATATGATTAGATTAAAAGGGTATGATCTAATAGTAATAGATGGAGAGGGGGAACCCAGCAAGACCTGTCTGTTCAAATCCTTCTTGGCCTCTCTGTGTAGCATTCCTTCCTTGAGGATTGGGCAAGATCCTTCTGGGATGAGAGTCTTCAAGGAAGAAGGGAAGAGGGAGAGTGATCATCCTAGGTTTTATGGCTTGCTTTGGGGAGAGGAGTTCTAGGTTCTATGACTCACTTTGGGGAAGAGAAATTCTGGCTCCTATGACTCACTTCCAGGGGTAAAGATTTGGCACATCTCTCAACTGGTGAATGGATAAATGAAATGTGATATACCCATATGATGAGATGCTATTCAGCAATAAAAAGAAAGAAATACTGATACATTCTATAATCCATAAAACCTTGAAAAGCCTTATGCTATGTGAAAGAAACCAGTCACAAAAGACCACATATTATATGATTCCTTTTACATGAAAGGTACAGAACAGGCAAATCCATAGAGACAGAAAATGGGGGATGAGGAGTTAAGGGGGACAGCTAAGGGGTGTGAGGTTTCTTTGGGAGGTAATAAAAATGTTTCTAAAGTTGATTGTGGTGATGGATGCACGCCTCTGTAAATACACTAAAAGCCACTGAATTGTACACTTTAAGTGTGCGAATTGTATGGTCTGTGAATTATATCTCAATAAAGCTGTTAAAAAATAGCTTTGTTTCCAAATGACAAAATCAATACACATTCTTTGTGGAAAACTTATAAAAGATTGAAAATATGAATGGATAAAGTAAAAGTCACCCATAATTCCACAGATAACAAGAGGTAACATTCTGGTGTCTATCAAGGACATGCTTTGGCTCTTCTGAAGCAAGGAGCAAATTCCTTTACAGTGCAAGAACCTTACTGGCTTTACTGGTCCCCCAAGATATGTGTTGGCATATGACATTGCTTTCACAAAGCCCTGATGCTGTAGAAATTAGTTCTGTCTCTGAGATGGCTCATAAACCATTTTTACTTTAGCAAGTGGGGTTGAAAGTGAGATCTCTTGAGGCCTTGGTGGATGGGGACAGCAAAGGTTGAGTTTGCATGGGAGGTAGAAAAATAGAAATGTCTGGAGCTTGGGAATCTGGGAAGTGTTATGGAAAGATGAACCCCTGGGAGAGAGGAAGAATAAATATAAGAGTGAAGTAGAAGGCTAGGGGCAGGGGCACATCTTTGAAAACAAGCCTTACCTATTTCACTGTTTTGCACATAGAGATAGTCCAAGATCTGACAAAAGAGGAGTGTTAATAATCATGTCTAAAAAACCTTCCTAGCATTAATATTACCACTAACAATAACCCTTTCTCCATTGAATAGTGTACCAGATTGTATTTTCCAGAAATCGCAATATCTATAAGGTTCTTCTATCCCATACGCTCTTTTTGCAAGATGCCTGGCACTTCTTCACCAAGAGATGGGAGTCTGTCTCCTCTCTTCAAATCTTGGTGTGACTACCCTGACCAATGGAATATGGTGGAAGCAATGCTATGTGACCTCTCATAGGATATAGCTCCCACTTGGCTCTTTCAGGACACTTGCCTTTGGAACCCAGCTACCATGTTTTAGGGAAGCCCAGGCCACATGGAGAAGCCACATGTGGGTGTTCTAATCCACAGTCCCAGTTAGACCTTCAGTCAACAGTCAGCATCAGTTGCCAGACATGTGAGTGAAGAGCCTTCACATGCTTCCAGTTCTGAAGCTTTGAGTTTTCCAGCCAAAACCATTAACAGTGAGAAGCAGAGACAAGAAATCCCTGCTGGGCCTGTCTGAATTCTTGACCCACAAAAACTGCAGAGGATAATAAATGATTGTCTAGTTTTGAGTCACCACATATATGGTAATTTTGTTACACAGCAATAGATAACTAATACAAATGGTGTTGACAGTTTCAAAAGTTTTTCACAGTAATCTGTTAGTTCAGGCAAGCACAATGAGGAAAGTTCTTTCCATTTTACAGATAAAGAAATTGAAAGGCAGAGACATGTCTCTGGTGTTTTTTATTGCATGTGTACATATGCTAAAAGTTTTAAACTGCATTATTTACTTTTCTCATTATTACTGTTAACTTGAGATTACTTATATTTTATTAGAAAGGGAAACTTTGATTCCCTTAAAAGGACTCATAAAAATAAAAAATAAGGCAAGAGTCAAGGAAGTCAGACAAATTGTTACTTCTTCTTCCTGAATTTGGTACCACTTATGCTCTAGTTTCCAACACTCAGTAACCTTAACGGTGAATCAGTTTTAGAACTATATGACCACCTGCAGAATCCCACCATCTTAAAGGATCTTAATCTAACAGATCTACCATCTCATGCCACGGTGTCTCAAGTTATATCTTAGGATATCTAAATTTCTGTAGATGATGGTAAAATATGCTGCTGAGTTTCACAGGATCCCTAATGAACCTTTGTGTTTGCTAACTGCTCCAGACACATGTGTTTCTTCTGCAACATTTTCCCTGTTGTCATACTAGGCTACCTATGGTAGGTAGCCTATGTTAGGTGAGTAAGGGTCTTAGTTATGAAAAACACTGACCAAATGATAAGGTACTCGCTCTGATTTGAGATTCAGTTAAGAACCATGACTTTTATGCTCAATCAGTATCTTGTACTTTTTTTTGAAAAAATAGCAAGTTATTTGTTAAGTCAGCTTCCAGATCCTTGACAGATCATCTTTGATCAGAAATATGGCTCAATAGAACATATCTAGAAAAATATGCAAGCTGTGCATCTTTCCTATCTCCTCTGGGAAGTAGGTCTGAAGGGAAAGGAAGTATTACTTTTTACTCTTTTTTATTTGAGTTTTTATTGTAAGCATGTGTTGACTTTATAATAATAATAAAAACAAAATAAACCCCCCCCAAAAAAATTAATTTAAAAAGGACCCTGCTTCTGCCAGATGTTCATTTACCTTCACCTGGATCTAATTTCTTAATTTCTCTCTGTCTTTACATCTGTGTTATGGATATAACAAAGAAAAGTTCAGAGATGTTGGCATTTGCCGTGGAAAATAAAGAAAGATCTCTTCCAACAACCCCAGCCACATTACCCAGGGAATGGTGGGTTCCATAAGCACTTGGGGGAAAATGTTTTCATTTTCAAAGGCTTTGACCTGGACTCTGGAGCACCACCCAAGGCCTTAAAATTCCATCTGTAGTTCCAGGTGGAGATCTGAATTCCCTCTTGGAAGTTTGAGCTCTTAATTAGGATGAAACACTTCAACAGACATTTGTTATTTAAAGACAAAACCCAAATCAAATTCTAAATTGGAGGTTTCATGATAAACAGTTTGGGACAGTGATACGAAGATATCTACACCATATGCACTGACATTTTATTTGATCTGTGGGAAAGAGGAAGGGACTCCATCGGGGAGAAGAAAGAGGACCTGCCACATGGAGGTTGGAGTGGGAGGGGCCGGGGTGTGAGGAAAGAGATCCAGGGGCAACCTCCAGCAAGGGCCATTGCCAATGAACTCCTAGTGTGGTTCTATCTGAGGTACAGTTTTACCCTTTTCTTCCCTGCTTTGTAACCCTTTTATAATCCCAAGGAAATGTCTGGCTGAAAGATACTAATCTGTAGAGGATTATTTGATGGCCATGCAGCATACCAAGTGTTCTAAGTTACGTAGATTTTCTCTTTTTCAAGCCAAAAATATCATCTTGTACAATATTATTTTGGCAGACTCTGGGATTATTTGCACGGAGTTTGCTCTGGTGTACTCTCCTCTGTTTACATTGAAGGACTCCCAATAAACAGCCATGTGAGGTCATTATTGCATTTACTGTTAAGACGTTGTTAAGTCAGTGTTTCTGAACCAATTCAATATCCTCTATATAAAGATGCATGTGTAAAATTTCTTTCAGACCAAATCCCAGGAAAATCTTTTATTCCCCTGAGAAATTAATACTTTTCCTCATGCACAATGAATCATATTATAGATTAGGCTTTTTGTTTTGTTTTGTTTTTTTGCTTTGACTGCCAGGAAGCTCAGAGCCAGATTTGCCACTCAATTGTAATAGTTATTGGATCAATGTCCAGCATCTCTCTGCTTCAGCTTGAACCTTGGCCTTGTTCTTCTATTCTATATGTTTTTACTGGCCCTGCTTTTTAAAATCTATTTTCTATTTTATACTGCTTATTCTCTATAAGCTGCCCCAAATCCTTTAGTAAAAATAGTCCATTATATGTAAATAAACAAAATAATAGAACAATTTAAGGTAATCAGTTTTTTCTGCAGCTAACAGGGACTTAAGAAACAATCTAATCTGGCTAGGTGTGGTGGCTCACACTTGTAATCCCAGCAGTTTGGGAGGCCGAGGCTGGTGGATCATTTGAGGTCAGGAGTTCGAGACCAGCCTGGCCAACATGGTGAAACCCTGTCTCTACTAAAAATACAAAAATTAGCCGGGTGGTAGTGGCAGGTGCCTGTAATCCCAGCTACTTGGGAGGCCAAGGCAGGAGAATCACTTGAGCCTGGGAGGCGGAGGTTACAGTGAGCTGAGATCACGTCATTATACTCCAGCCTGGGTGACAGAGCAAGACTTTGTCTCAAAAAAAAAAAAAAAAAAAAACTAATCCAACTTGCATATTTTATCAGTGAGTAAAGGGAGACCCAGCAAGGCCCACCTTGATTTGCCTGGGACTGAGGGGTTTCCAGGCACATGGGACTTTCAGCATAAAAATCAGGATGAGCTGGTCACTCTACTGGGTTAAGTGGCCTTTCTAAAGGCACACAGCAGTAAACAGCAGAAATGGCACCAAAGCCCAAGCCTCTGGCCCTCTAAGGCAGCTGTCTTCCCTTATTAAATGTCATTTTAGAGACTGGTTTTATGAAAGCAAGAGTTTAAAATATGTATCTAGGAACAATTCAGTATCCATCTCTTAGTTCTTATCTTTAAATTTTTTTTCTTTCATAGGGAGTTACACTTGACTCTTTCCTCCTGTGTACAGTTGTATCCACAGCTAGAAAGGTATAAGCACTCCCCGAAGATAAAGTTCCCATCCTAACAGCTTCCTGGCAGGCGCAGCTGACTGCACTTCTTGGAGTAAGAAAGGAAACTTCCCTATGGCCCACTGCTCCAGGCCTCCCTTCTGTTCTCCAGGGCAGAAGAAGAAAGGCCCCAAACTAACACTCACTGGAGCTTTGGGAATCACATGAGCTCCTGTGTCTTTTCAATAGAATACTGTCCATTTTGAGGAAAGAAGACAAAAACTGTCTCCTCCTTCAACTCTTAACTTTTTATAATATGCCCTCAGCCAGATCTAAGAACTGAAAATTACCTCCAGTAGTTTTCTGAACAAAATAGCACCTTTGACAGCTTACTGCGGAGGCAGATTCTGGGAATGTTTTAGGATCTCAACTTATATCTGAAACTCTTCTCTTACTGGTCTAATATGCAATAATTTAAACCAGTGTGAAGCAAAACTTACCACATTTTAAAATGGAAATCTAAATAGTTTTCTCGCCAGCTTAGGGGGACAAAGAAAAGTGCAGGATGACTTGGGGTACAAAGATCATTCTAACTCCTGCTTGGCACGGGGTCCTTCTGGATCCCAAGTCAGAGCTGATGAGGTAACTACACAGGAGACCCTCAGTATCCTTGTTCCTGGCCTCTCTAGGGAGACCTGGCAGGGTCCCAGCCCTAATGCAGCTGGCTACCTTGGCTACTTCAATGGATATCTGATAGAATGTACAGACAAAATGATGTCATCCTCAAAACACTCTTTTAATTTTTAATTTTGACCTTATTTATTTATTTATTTTTTGATATGGAGTTTCACTCTTGTTACCCAGGCTGGAATGCAATGGCACGATCTCGGCTCACTGCAACCTCCACCTCCTGGGTTCAAGTGATTCTCCTGCCTCAGCCTTCTGAGTAGCTGGGATTACAGGCATGCACCACCACACCCGGCTAATTTTTCTATTTTTAGTACAGACGGGGTTTCTCCATGTTGGTCAGGCTGGTCTTGAACTCCTGACCTCAGGTGATCCGCCTGCCTTGGTCTCCCAAAGTGCTGGGATTACAGGCATGAGCCACCACGCCTGGCCAATTTTGACTTTATCTTATGAGGTTCTATCAGAAATAGAAAATAGAAAATAAATAAATACTGAAAGTAACAGTAATAAATAGAGGCGTGAGCAACATGCTTTTTTATGTCACGGTGTGTGTGTGTTTCTATTAGAGAATGTGCCCCTGTGAAAAATAGCCTTTAAACTGGAAGTGCATTTTCTCTTCAATCTTGGCTACCCTTCCCTCTGGGTGAGGACACATGGCTGCCAACATACTGTGGCCTAAGGGGCTCCAAAAGCTCCTTTGTCCCCAAATGTCTTCCCACTGGAGTCTGTCATGATGCCTGAATTCCCATTATTGGGCTCAATCCTTTGATTCAAGATGCTGAGGCTGCAGAGGACACCAGTTTAAAACCTAAGCATGATCCCTTTGGGAGAAGTAACACATTTTACCACTGGGCACACATGATATCAAGCAGGTTATCAGATCAGCTAGTTGTCACCCTGGAAAATGAAACACAGGGTAAGTACACTTTACTGGGGTCCCAAGAACACATTTGGATCTTGTACCAGGACAATGGAAATGGTGGAGGCACGGAAGGAGGTCCACAGTACAGAAGGATGCTGGCAAACAGATTTCATTCATGAAACACAGATGACCTTAGCCCTTTTCATCCACTTTAACCAGGGGTTTACAAGTGTGTATGTGTGGGTGGATGTAGGTGGGTGACACTAGCAGACACCTTTGTGGGTGTGAAGTCCTCAATATGATCTTGCACACACAAAGTGAAAGCTTAGGGGCATCCAAAGACCCAAGACTGGCAAGGGATGTCGCTAATGCTCACATTTTTTACCAACCACCATAACCAAAGGATCATTAACTGAAAATACCCAGTGTTCATTCTTCCATACTACTTCCTACAGCACCCAATTTTTTCATCTGGCAGCCACCTCTTGCCCACAAAGCCCTTGTGCTTGAGGGTAACCTCCTCCCTTGCCCAACTCAAGGAATGGGGCCTGATGAGCATAAGCAAACTTCGCATAGCCCGTTCCTCTGACAGTGACTGGCTCATGGGTGGGCATATGACCTAAGCTGGTCCAGTTAGGGTGAATTCCCAGAGCTCTGCTTGGCATTCTCTCACCGGATGAGAATGAAGAGGCCAGTAGCTCAGATTACAACTGGAAGCTGTTACATGAGCACTAGATGAAACATTGTTTGGCTGTAGCCAAAGCTGTAGCCAGCAGTGCAGAGAAATGGAAATAAACTGGGTCCTCAAGGATGAGATTGAGCCTCTGGACTGAGTATCCTGGAGCCTACCTCTACAGCTGTCTTGTCAGTCACATGGACTTAAATACTCCAGTAAGTGTGGTCTGAGGACCAGTAGCATCAGCATTACCTGGGAGCTTTGTGGAAATGCAGAATTTTAGGTCCCATCCTAGACTTCCTGAGTCAGAATCGGCATTTTAACAAGATCCCCAGCTAATTAATGTGCACTTTAAAGTTCAAGAAGCACTGCCCAATATAGTTTAATCCTGTTGACTTGAATTTTCCATGACTCTCGATTTAACAAATCCTAAAAATCGCAGGCTCCCTCCACTGGTGACTCTGGGCTTCTCTCTGCTTCCGTGATCTGATTAGCCCCTTTTTGTTCCACCACAATGAACTCCCTAGCCCCTCCACTCCTTTCTTCTTACCATTGTCCATTTAGACAACCATCTGGAGATGCCTTGTTTTCTCTGTTGACCTCTTAATCTATTTCTTAAACATCCAACAGATATGCAAGTTGGACCAATTCCAAATGGTTTTTAGAGCAGTGAGAGGGAGTTTTGTACTGACTAGCAAAAGACAACTTTACTATTTGTTTATTGCCAGGGTCAGAAGGTTAGCTCTTAGCTCACCAACCCAACTCTTGCAAGTGGTTTCCCACTCAGGCCACCAGAGGTGTAGAGTTTCCGGAATACTTGGAAGACACAGATTCATTGGTTAGTTCCATTGTTGTGTCTGTGCTTTAGAGGAAACTTTTAGGCAGAAGGGAATGGAAGGATCTCATTCTCCTCATTTGTTTGGGGGAGATGGGGATCCCATCTGCAAGCTTACTGATCAGGGCAGCACTTGACAGATGGCACATGCTTAATAATTATGTCCTGTCATTGGTTCCCTCTTTAACATAGGCACAGCAATCATGCCCATTTCAAGAGGGAATATCCTGATCATTTGGCCATCAGCTAGCATTCTTGCTGAGATCGAGGCTGTGATTGCTGTGCAACCCACTGTGTGTCAGATATAAGGTGGAAGTTGTGACTTTTGCATTGAATTCCACTCAGCTTCGAAGTTTTCCTGGAGAGGCTCTTGGCCTGTGACTCGGAGATCTGCTTCCCTCTCTGGCCCTACACTAAAGTGGCTGTGTGGCCTTGGGCAGTCACTCCTCCTTCCAGCCTCAGTTCCCTCCACTGTCAAAGAGGGGGCTGGACAGGATGGCTGCTCAAGTCCCCGCCAACATTCTAGGAGTCCGTGACTCTGCTGTGGTCTGCTTCCACAGCATCTCTCTCAGTAGCCCTCCTTACAAGTATTCCGTTTAGAAAACCCCGTTTAACAGGAGGGAAAAGTGGAGCACAGAAAAGTGAAGGGTGTGCCCTGAGGTCTGACTATAGAAAGTTAGAAGTGGAGCCTGAGTTCTGCTCTCTTGCGCCAGCTCAGGACCTGGACCTTGTCACATGATCACATTTGTCTCCAGTGATTCCATGGCAGAGAAGAGCTAACGACAATACGTTTATGCTATTTCATGAAATCTAATTTTTATATCAAATGTCTAGATTAGAATGTGGTTTTCTTAGCTTAAAAGGATGTTGGCCTAGTAGAGATAGTTTAAATCATTCACCAGAAGTTTTACATGGGGACAGACGTCCCCAGGTCTTAAGATGCTGCCTCAACTGAATGGCATTCCTTTTAATCCTGTACTTGCATAATAAAACCAGTTAGCAGAGCAGCCAGTGTGTTTGCTCTGGGGGGCTATTCATCAAGGTTATAATGGAAGGAAGAGCACCTGGTAACACTGCAAAAGCAGACTTCATTTCCCTTTGTAATTACAACTGTAAAATAACTTCCAAAAACCCAAATTGCTATTGAGCACTAAATAAGGCAATTCTCAGTGTCCACCCCCCTGAGTGACAGTCTCATTTCTGCTTAATTGAGCAGCAGTCAATTTCTTTTTTTAGCCAAGGTGGTAGCTTCGGCTTGTTTGTCACTTGGGTGAACTGGTTATGATGGTGGGCACGCGGTGGCCTCATCTCAACCTTGCTGGTGCTCATTTGGTGATTCTGCCGTCTGCCCATGCAGACTGGGGCGGCAAACAGTGCTCCTAGTGAGTGCTACTGTAAATTGTAATTTATTAAGGAAAGCAGAAAATAATCACAGAGGGCAGCTGCATTACACAGTTCCTTCTCTAATAGTGGTCAATTACAAACAGCAAGAATTCCATAAATGGTCTCTCTTAGGTTGAAACAAATAGATTGAATTTTTTTTCACTTGCTGAAAAATCTCAGCATTAAATTTAATCAACATTAGCATATGACATGACTAGGTTGGATAATTTTTGGCCTCCACACTGACTATAAAATGCTGTCAATTACCCTCCTACATTCTCTCTCTTTTTTTTTTTTTTTTTTTTTTTAAGAAAAAGGCTATTACTACAGAAATAAGTGATTGTAGTCTAAGGGACAGCAGCTGTTTAATTTCTGCTTTAATTTTAAAATCCTGGCCATACTGCCACTTAAAAAATCAAACTTAGAGTTAACCATATGTAAAAAACCATTTAAGTTGAAAACAAAACATTTATGTATCTGTTTCTTAAATAAAATACAATGCCCTATTTCTAAATGTTTATTATAATCTTCTTGCATCCCAGCTCCATCACATTCCAGCTATATGTCCTTGGGCAAGCTCCTTAGCCTTGCGATAACTCAGTTTCTTTACCAGTAAGGTGGCAATAACAGCTCCTGTCTCACAGGGTGCTTGGAGATTTAGGTAAGATATATATGAAAAGTGCATAGGACAGTGCCTGACAGATAGTAAGTGCTTTACTACATGTTTTCTATTCTTATTCTTATTATTTACATTTTCTGTTCATTAAAAACTCTTAATTACAATGATTAAATCATGTTATGCCCAGGAGGATAAATATATTCTTTAGTGCTTCCTAACTTGGTTTAGCACATAATAGAATCTTTAGGCTGCAGCCTGCTCCTCTGAGGAGCCTGAGGAAATAAATGGAAGGAGGAGAGGCCAGTGATTCCCAAGGAATGTGTGCGTGTGGTGCTGGGGATTGAAGACAGGGACAGGATTGGCCACCTTCTTCAGTTTAGGCCTTGTCTTGGCAAAATGCAGGTGCACGCCATCCTCTAAACCTGGATGGAAGGGAAAAAGGGTTTAGAAAGTAAAAACTGTTGGAGGGAGAGGCGGAAGGCTGAAGGGGCTTGTGTAGAATAGTCTTGGTCTGACTGGGAGAGGACTATATCCAGGGTACAAATGAAAATAACTCAGGCCAGTCTCCACCCCATCAGGACCCACTGAGACCCAGGCACCAGGATTTTTCAGGCACCCTGGGGGTGATTCCAGTGTGGAGCCAGGGTTGAGAACCACTGCCCTAAAGAGCAGGTGAAGAGGTGGAGGAGGGTCGGGTGAGGCCTGAGTGGAGAAAATTTTAAACCACTGCTGCTGTGGTGAAAGTCCCAGGGAGTCAAAAAGAGATGATCAGTAAGTGCTGGGCTGTAGTGACAGACAAGTCATCTGAAATCAAATAGTGTGGCTCTGTGCAAGACCTCACTGTCATTGTTTCTTGGCAACCTCAGCTGAGGTTCCTTTGGTCTGTGAAAGGTAGAGGTGCACTCTGACCAGGGTATGAGGAGAGAGGAATTTATTGGAAAGACATAGGGGTATCTCAGCAGAAGCCAGGAGAAGCGAGGTTGGCAGGGCAGTCCCTGGGGACTTGGCATCAAGAAGTCAGAGATTCTTTCTCCCAAGTTCTGCCATTGATCAGGATCGAGTCAAGGCCTCCATTCCAGATTCAGTTTCCTGGGAGATGGAATGATGGGCCCAGCCTAGGCTACATGTTCACTCCTAGACAATCAGCTACAGCCAGAGCACAAGGGCTCACTGGCAGCCCATCTCTGTGTACTGGTGACTGTTCCAAAGAACAGGTATCATAGTGAGTCTGTCCAACACACCAAGAAGGGTTCATTTTCCCCTAATAACACTTGGCATCCTAGCCATGGGAATGGACAAAACCAACTTCTGGGTCTTCAGGGTTGTACATTGTGAAGGCAGGCATGGGCCGACTGACCATCATCAGTCAGGAGGTGAGGGAAGTTGCATGGCTGGAGATGACTGAGAATAAGGAGAGTACTGGTAAGGACAGCAAACCCCTACACAGTGCTCACATGCATCACCCCCACAACCTTATGAACTAGTATTATGATGATCCTCATTCTTCAGATGAGGAAACTGAGTTGTTAGGTGACTTGCCCAAGGTCACAGAAACCCAGTCAGGCTTCAGTATGTGTGTTCCTGTCTTCTGAATCACTATATTGTCTCAAAAGATAAAAAGTCCTGGTGTGCTTAGAGAGTGGGGTACAGGAAAAGCAGGGAGTAACGGGGATATGGTGGGAACTGTCTCTGAATTCAAAGTCTTGGAGGGAGAGCAGGTCTAAGGGATGAAGACCTGTGCTGTTGGGTGGCTGAGGTATTAAGAAAGACGACATGAGCAGTTTGAATCCACATGACTCCATGAAGTGATCCTTTTTATAACTGACTTGCAATTATATCATTATCTAGACAGTTCTCCTGAAACACTACTGATGAACTCTGTTTTGCTGTTTGACTTTTTGGTGTTCATAAGACTATAAGCTCCCTTGTGGGCAGGAACCACCCCAGTTGGTGCCCTATAAATATCCTATTGGTGGATCTAAATGGAGAGTTTAGGCCAGGCATGGCGGCTCACACCTGCAATCCCAGCACTTTGGGAGGCCGAGGTGGGCGTTGCTTGAGGCCAGGAGTTCAAGACCAGCCTGGGTAATATGGTGAAACCTCATCTCTACAAAACATACAAAAATTAGCTGGGCATGGTGGTGTGCACCTGCAGTCCCAGCTACTCGGTGGGAGGATTGCTTGCACCTGGCAGGTGGGGGCTGCAGTGAGCCATGATCACACCACTGCCCTCCAGCCTGAGTGACAGAGCAAGACCCTGTCTCAAAAAAAAAACAAAAAAAAAAAAACTTGAGTTAATTTTGCTCCACCTTCATTGACTGGTGTGGAGTATTTAGCCTGATGTAAGAAAAATTTACTAACGAAGGAAGTTTCTCCCCTTCATATTCTATCTTCTCTTAGTGTTTTCTTACTGTTCCTGCAGTGATTTGCTGCCATTGAGACTGTGATTTAATTATGCAAAGTGTGACAGATCATTTGAAAGGTATTAGTTGCTGAGGAAGCACATTTATGATGTGGGGAAAAAAAGCCTTTGCATTTTGCTCAGTTTCACATCCTCTCTGAACACTTTTTAGAAGGAAATAACTTAAATTTTAAATGATTACCCTGCAGATTTATGAAATATTTCAACGAGATGTGACAATGAGAATGTGCTCAACTGTCTCCAGTGGTAAAAAGAAAGAAACCCTGATTCTATGACTGATGCAAGATATGTGAGTTTCTCACCTGCTGTCAGCATCCAGGCCGTATCTACCCTGTCCCTTTCACACCTGGGCAGAACTGTAAGGTAATCCTGCCTGGCCTCAGGCCAACTGTGCTGGGAGGTATACACACTCTGGGCCTCAAACAACTCTTGGGTTAAAAAGACCAGAGCTAAGTCTATATGTGGTAATCAGGGAATCAGGCTATGAGTATCTGTTGACAGAACCATCTTCCTGGTTGTCATACTACAATCAGAAGTGCTGGAATACTTTGTCCTCAATGTGCCTCCTAGCACATCAGCCTCACCTGGAAGCTTCTTCAAAATGCAGGGTCTCAAGCCCTGCCCCAGACCTATTGAAGCAGAATGCACATTTTAACAAGATCCCCAGGACACTCCTATGCACATTAAAGTCTAGGAAGCACTGGCAAACACACTGATGAGTCAAGAGTTCTCAAGGGCAGGTTCTGTGCCCATTTGTCCATGTATCTCCCATGCTCAGAACGGTTAGTGGGAGCTCAGTTGTTATTTGTTGTATTAAAATGAGTGGTTTATATGCAAAGGTACACACCTATGAAAGTGTCGGGGCTATGGAAGAAATGTAGAGTGGCTGGAGTATACAAGAAAGGCAAGGAAGTCTCTTTCATTCATTCCTTCGACTGGTGTTTCCTGAGTGCCTGTGACATGCCCAGTATTTTTTGTATTTTTATTTCTTTTTAAATTTTTTTTAATTTTTAATTTTTGTGGGCATGCCTAGTATTGTTGTAGGCACTAGGGGTAGAGTGACAACCAAGGCACCCCAGTGTCTGTCCTCATGGAGCTTATCTGCCTGGGTATGCAATAAATTAGCCTAAGAACTACTCTTTGAACCAAAGGTGAATAGGATCTTTTGGTTATTGGTTGCTGGAAACTTAACAGCTTTTGGCTAAAAATTAAGATATTCCCATTATTTTTCTGTTCATCCATTCTTCCTCAGTTTTTTTTTCTCTCTCTCTCTACCTATAAGAATGGACAGAGGCATGATTTTTCAGTCATTATCCTCATTGGCAGCAGTGCCACATCTCAGTTGTATTAAAAGTCTAAGTCAGGAGTTTAGAATGGCTCCTTTGTACTTTCAATGCTTCTCAGTTTTATGGCTTTAAGATTCACTGCCTGCACCAGTTGTTTCCTGCAGAACGTAGACCACTCTCGGTTGTGCTATCTCAGGGTATTCCTTCTGTAACAGTTAGGTGTCTGACAGCCACAAGACAGGAAAAATTTATTTCCAAATGTCCTTTCCTTTTTTCCACATTAACTTCCAAATCTTGAAACTCTGAAACATGAGGCTTGAATTGATCCACTATATTTTTCATGTTGAATGTATGTCACTCTTTTAATCACTTATCAAGTATTTTTGGATTGTCTTCTCTATGCTAGGCACTGTGGATATAAGGAAAGGATTAGCTTTATAAATTAGGAATGCAGTAAAAATTGACTTTGATGTCTTTAGTCTTAGAAGCAGAGAGCCGGCCAGGCACAGTGGCTCAGGCCTGTAACCCCAGCACTTTGGGAGGCCAAGGCAGGTGGATCACCCTAGGTCAGGAGTTCGAGACCAGCCTGGCCAACATGGTGAAACCCCATCTCTACTAAAAATACAAAAATTAGCTGGGCGTGGTTGTGGGCACCTGTAATCCCAGCTACTTGGGAAATAGAGGCAGGACAACTGAATTGCTTGAACCCGGGAAGCGGAGGTTGCAGAGAGCAAAGATCACGCCATTGCACTCCAGCCTGGGTGACAAAGCGAGACTGTCTCAAAAAAAAGAAAAACGGAGAGCCACTGAAATAGAAGTATTATGGGATATATTTCTAGAGCAATGTATCATCATTTAATAAATTATGTTCCTCCATTCAGTAGACTACTATACAGTCACTAAATTAAGAATATTAAATATTAATATTTAATAACATGCAAAGATAATCCTGATATATAAGCCTCAAAGGTTAAAAATAACATGTACAGCATGAACTCATTTTTGTTTAAAATAACAAATGTAAAATATCTGGAGGGAAATACATCAAAATGTTATGAGTGTTTATCACTGCATGATGGGGTAATGAGGGTTATTTATCAGAATTACATGTTCACTTTTGTTATCATAAGGAAAACAAAAAATATATTTAAAAAATACATTGTCCTCCTCCCTGAGCCCTGGAATCTCTGAGACCCCCATGGGACGAACTGCAGTGAAGCTGTCTTGGAGCTTAAAGAATTTCTGGGCTCTGTGCATTGGTTCAGAAGTGGATCCAGCATCAGTAATTGAGTTTAAATGATGGCTTCTTCCTTCCCTTACAGCTCTCACCTCAACCTTGGTTTTGCTCTGAAAAAAATGGGACTATTAGTAATTACTATAGTGGACATTTGTAGCTGCCCAGCAATCTTTTGCACAGCCTTCCTATGTTTGGGGAATTTCACACATTGTGAAATTCCCACACCTCCCCGAGATGCCGTCAGAACTTACGTTTCTAGTCTCTTGCTTTTCTAGGAGCTCCGAGCCTGTGTCCCTGACTGTGGGAGGTTCCCCCATGAGGCTCTGATGTGGAAGAGAACTCTGCAAGAAGGATGGAGTCCATTTTTCCAGAAAGGTGCTGGAGGAGACATCTAGCTTTGGGGAGCTAACATCCTTAAATAAATTTCTTTTCTGCTTGAACTGGCTAGCTAGAGGGGTTTCTGTTGTTTGCAACTGAGAACCCTGGCAGAGCTATCTATTCAGACGGTTTTCATTAATTTATGTCAGAAATGCTCAAACTTTTTAGTCTCATGATCTCTTTACTGGATTAAAAAATTATCATGAACTCTGAAAAGCTTTTGTTTAGTTAGGCTATATTTATCAATATTTACCATACTATATCTTAAGATTTAAGAAAGTATGTATCTATTAATTCATTTCAAAATAACAATAATAAACCTATTTCACATCAACAGAAATAATAAAATTTTATGAAAAATGTTTCTAAAACAAAAAAATTAGTGAGAAGTGTAACATTAATTTTTATTTTTGCCAGTCTCTTTGATGTCTGAATAAGTAGAGGTGAGTTCAATTTTCTTATCTTCTAAATTTAATCTGTTGCAATATGTTTTGTTGTTTTGGTTGACATATATAAAGAAAATCTGGTCTTACATATTACTAGCTTTTCAGATAATTCCAGATAATTCTTCTTTGATATTACACCAAAACTTGACAAGTAGCACTTTCTTAAATGTTAGTTGCAATGTGGAATCTAAAACCATTATCAATGAACTTTTCATACTCTGTTACATTACAATGTATTGGTATCTCTTTCACTTTGATGAGATCACTTACCCACACACAATTTTGAAACATCATACATTGGTCATGTGGAAAATATACTTTCAACATTTTATTATAGGATATTAAAAAATTATATCCATTACTGTTATCTCCAATTTCATCAATCACACCAGTACTTTTTGTCAAGACAACCGTCACACTGTCATGCAGAAGTGCTTTGTGCAGGAGTACAGGCACAGAGGAAAGGACATGTGAGGACACAGGGAGAAGGTGGCCCTCTGAAATCCAGGAAGAGAGGCCTGACCAGAAACCTGCCCTGCTGACATGCTGAGCATGGACTTCCAGCCTCCAGAACTATAGGAAAATAAGTTACCGTTGTTTAAGCCACCCAGTCTGTGATATTATGCTGTGGCAGTCCAAGCTGACTGAAACAGCTACACACAAGCTGGGAGCAGGCGTCCAGCCTGACTCACTCTATCCATGCAGTCCCACACTCACTTGCTTTCATATATGGTAGGGGTTCTCCTCACTAGTCACGCGGTTACCTGACATTGTATCATTTAGGATGCTTTTGGGCACAAGGAATATAAGTGTCTTAAACTGAAAGAAACCCAACCAAAAGTGTCTTGAACTAAAAGAACAAGAAGTCCAAAGGCGGGTGCCTCCAGGGTTGTAACTCAGAGGCTCACAAAGACCCAAGGGTTTCCTGTTTTCCATCTTTCTATTATCCTGCCCTCTGGATGTGATTACCCCACATGATGGCAAAGTGGGTGCAGAAGTTCCAGGCATCAGAACCCGACTGTAAGACGTCTAGCAAAAAAGAGAGATGCTCTCATCCAGGTATCTCTCTTACGAGCAAGAACACTGTTTTCCAGACTCCCCGCACGTCCACCCTCAACTTTCTCTCAGGTTTCATTGGCTGAGACCGGGACATATGGCCAAGTGGACACAATCATCAGCAAGAGGAATGAAACCAACAAACAAGCCTCCCCTCCAGGGTCTGAGTGGGTGGGCCCAGTCTCCTGTGATAAATGATCCAAAGGGGAAACAAAGGGCTGTTTTCGTCATCCTCTGGCTCCTGGTGTAAATTTGCGATCATGTTATAAGCTTGTAATTGTGCTATAAGTCTGCTACTATGTCCCTGAACTTGGACCGTTAGGCAAGAAAGTATAAATGTTATGATGCAAATCCTAACAGATACTCTTCCTGTCCCATCCACATCCCTCAGACCCCACCATTTCCGGGTGCTCCCCAAAAGACAGATGACTTCCGGCTGCTAGCACCTCTCCTCGGAATTAACAACCCCTCCTCAATGCCTTCAACCAATGACTGACAGGAGTTGGTGTCTAAATGTCCCAGTGTGCTCACCTCTGGAGGTCTAATTATGGGCTATGTCCTACTCCATTTCCTAGACTCGGCTCCAGCTGCCCACTGGGGCAGCTGGCTTACTCACGCACCTTTTACTGGCTGCCTCCCCTGTCCCGTTTCCCCTCTCCCCTGCTGATACTCCCTTCCCTGCCCAAAGAAATCATTTGCATTTGAACCCTTGTCTCTGGGTCTACTTCTGGGGAAACTCAAAGACACAAACTATTCTATGCTATATAAATCAAGCCAGAAGAGTACAGGGAACTCCCAGGGTGAGTTTCAACTCCATCCTGAACCATGAAAGGTGGGAGGAATTGGAACCCACTGGGCATGTGAGCTGACCACATCTCATCGGGGCTGGAGTCAGACTCAGCTCTGATGTTATAAGATCTCTTAAGGGAGTTCTCTTGCCAAGACATCCTCATTAAACACGTCCCCCAGGAAGTTAGGAACCTATTTTGGGGCAAAGGCAGTGACAGGGGTGGGGAGTGTGAGGAATCCCCAGAGACAAACAAAATGACTTCATACTTTCAAGGGCAAATAAACATAGTGCAAGCTGAGTGTGCATGAAAACTAAAAGGGAAGTAATCAAACATGGGAGTGGCTCAACAGCTCGGTCCTTAGGAATATGGACTCTGCTAGTGTCTGACCTGTACAAGGATTTTAGAGAGTGTTCGCCTGGTTTCTGACTAATCAAGTGCAAGAAAAAAATCTACAGTCAATAATAGAGTGTTGTAAATGCTGAAGTGAGAAAATCTTTAAAACCTCTTTCTATGATTTTAGTCCAATTTTCTATTCCCACCCATTGTTTTCTGTGTCTCAGCATACTTATCGTTAGGCTTTTCTTTTTTCTAAGAGCACCTCACTCTCTGAAGTGTGTTGTCATATTTTGTATCAGTTTTCCCTCACAACGGTAGGTCAATATCATTTTTTCCCTGTTTAAGGAAGAAAAAGCAAGGCCAGAGAGGGAGACAAGCCTCTGGCTCAGGTCAGACAGGGAGTTACCAGGAACCCTTTCCTGCTGCCTGCGGGCAAGGCACCTCCGGGACATGTGTAAACAAGATAAAACAAGGCCAGTTACTTCCTTAAGGAAATTAAAACTCCTAATTTGGAAAACTTTCTCCCTGAAGCTTTAAGTCTAGGTCAATATGACAAGTGCAATGAAGTACCCTACTTTCATCTCTTTGTCTATCTAATTTCTCCCTAGATCAATCCCCACCTCCTCTGGGAAGTTCTCCTTGATTATGTCAGCCTTCAGGAGTCTTCCTCTCCTCTCTGCACTTGACCATACTTTGCCATCACATGGCAAGTGCTATGTGTTCTGTGCGGTTTTCCTGGTCCCTTGCATGATCTCTGGCACATAAAAGTCCAGTATGTATTATTTAATGACTGCATGAAGTTTTATGACAAATATGTTGCATGTACCTCTGTGTGTGTGTGTGTGCGCGCGCGCGCGTGCGCGTGCACTTGGGAAATGGTGAGAGGCTGGGAGCAGTCCCACCCCCAACTTTAATTAATCAGTCAAGACAGGTGAAGTCTGAAGACCACAATGCCGTAGTCACAAAGTGACTGGGGACCACAAAACCATGTTGCTTCCTACACATTCCTGACAAAAGTAATCTTTGAAGTTCTGATGTTCCTTACCATCACAGCACTTGCAAATATTACAATCGCAGGCTAGCAAATGACCCAGTCTACTCAACTGACCACCCGACAGAAAGCGCAGTTACACTAGGCTCTGCCGGAGCCAGAAGCCGGCAAAGACTCCACTGCAGGGTCCAGCTGTCTTACACACACTTGCACAGGCACGCTGGCAGAGCACAGCCACATCAAACAGATGAGTGCTCCTCCATCTCCCTGCTTCTTACGTTCACATTTGGCCACTAATCATTAATTCATCCACAAGAGTTTACTGGGAAGCTACCATGTACCAGGCCCTAAACCAGGGACTGATGAGCACAAACAGCTCCTCTACGCCCACACTGGCAAACGTTCAGGTGTTCACAGCTTCTGGTCGGCTGACGATGACTCACCTTGCTTTCCAGAGCTGTTTTATTTTCTTCATTGTTAGTATATAGTAATGGTTATCGTAGATGGGGACGCTCTGTCTGAACTTGATCTATTCTCCTGCATGATTAGTGGACACTCTTTGTTGCTTGGTGGAGAAAAAGCAGCCACAAAAGTCATGTCCTCATTTTGGTCCTCAGTTTCTTTCCTTTTCTTTTTCTTTCTTTTTTTTTTTTTTTTTTTTTTTTTTTTTTTGAGACAGGGTCTGGCTCTATTGCCCAGGCTAGAGTACAGTGGTGCAATCACAGCTCACTGCAGCCTAGACCTCCTGGGCTCAATCTACCCTCCCATCTCAACCTCCTGAGTAGCTAGGACTACAGGTGTGTGCCACCGTGGCCAGCTAATTTTTGGGTGTTTTTTTTTTTTTTTTTTTTTGTAGAGATGGGGTTTTGCCATGTTGCCCAGACTGGTCTTAAATTCCTGGGCTCAAGTGATCCGCCAGCCTCGGCCTCCCAAACTCCTGGGATTACAAGTGTGACCCACCGTGCCCAGCCAGTCCTCAATTTATCTGTATTATGGCTGAGCACACCAGGTGGTCAACAAAGCCAGCACCTGGCAGCAAGAGTAGGCTAAACTCCTGCGCAGTCTTGATTCAGCAGTTTTGAAGCCATTCCTTGCAGTTCTTTGCTCAGGGGCCTCCCTCCAATCCACTCGGAGACTCACATTGAGTAGGATACAGAAATCACTGCACATGGCGCTCCTCCCCACTGAATGCTTCATTATAACCCAACAGGAAAGAAGTTTAAACTAAACAAATGCTCTCTTTCCTTTTCTTCCCCCACCCATCAGTCTCTGTCATCTTGATAGAGAAAATATGGCTGTTAATAGCCTGCAGTGGAACAAACATTTGCATGACTGTTACCTCAGAGCCCATAATTCTGAGCTAATTGGCTGATGGTGCTTAAAATGATTAAGTGATTGTAATTTATATGATTAACCAATTAAACCATCCTCCAGTGATTGGTTCAGGGTAGGCCTTGAGATGTGCGCTTGTCTCTCAGCATGAAGGCCAACGCCGCCGTACAGTATTAAATGTTCTTCCAAATGCTGAGTTGTTCCTCTGACCAGCAGGTAAAATCCTTTACACTGGGTGGTTAAATTTGATCATGTTCAGTGAATGGCTACCAAAAACTCAGTGACTGGCATAAAAGTGGGAGACAGGGCAATGATTCTTTAAGAATAACATAAAGGGACAAAGTGGCTGTGTTGTTTCCTAGAACCACGGTTGTTAGTTGAAAATAGCCCAATTCCATAAAAGTGAAAGACACAGTTAAGACTGAAAACTTGGGAACCATGTTGTTCCATTCCAGCCCTGGGCTGGGCCACTTAGCAGCTGTGTTGTGTGATCAGGTTATCGAACCCCTTGAAGCCTGTGGATTCCTCTCCTATGAAACAATACTCTTACTTACCTCTTAGGATTATTAGAAAGATCAAGTAAGGCTATGCATATTATAATCCCAATAAATATTAGTGGCCGTTATTGTTGTTCATTTTGTTATGACTCTATTGCTCCACTGGAATATAAGCTCCAAAGACATCCTCACTTTTCTATTCCTGGTGATCAGGAAGGCGCCTGGCACATAACAGGGACTCAAAAATATGTGTGGATGATTGAAATGATCATAGTGAACACAGAGCATTAAACTCACACTGGGCACTGTTCAAAATGCTTTACATTCATGAACATGGGCAATCCTTGCAACACGTCCATGACAAGGAGGTACTGTTGTTACCCTCTGCATTTTAGAGGTTAGGAAACTAAGGTAGTGAGAGGTAAATTAATTTGCCCAAGTTCCCACTACATGTGGGAGGTGGATTTGAATTGAGGCCTACATTATGGCACCTTTGTAACTAATAAGTAGGAGGATGTTTAGACATGTCCCACTATCCAAAGTAAAATGTCATTGCCAAATGGGAATAAGAAAAGAAAATGTTTTGGTTCCTTGCATTTGGTAGAAGAAACAAACTGGGTTAAGTTGCCAGTGATGAATTTCAGGGACTTGTCAAATTTGGCGAATGAAATAAGGAAGAACTAACTTGAGTTCTCAGAACCAACCAGACAGGTAGGCCGAAAGCAGAAATTGAACATATTATTTGTTAATTTGTTAGGTAAACTCCATTTCACTGTAATCCACGTAGGGCTTCCCCTACCACTGTGCCTGCTACCAGCAGCCATGTTACTTTCCCCGTGCCCCAGGCTAAACATACCACCTTCTTCCCGAGACTTCCCCAGCTCTTTAACCACTGAGAGATCTGGAAAGCCCAGCTGGTGGCTAGTTTGTTCAAAAGCATAAAGAGAGGCAAGTAACTGGCATCCCCATTCTGGAAGTTGTGGCCAACATACCAAAGGCAGGATCTCGTGGGTATCTCTCTCCCAGGCCTCTTCTAGTCATTAAATGTCAGCACAATAAAGATAGCAAGTGTTCTGCTTCCATTTACAGCATAATGTGCAGTTGTGCCATGGGTACTACCAGGGATGAGAGGTATTATACTGCTGCTGCTACCTACTGCAATAAACATGGGTGTGAGGCCAGCTGGAATTTCCCCAACAGAACTGAACACTTTATCAGTTCAATAGCATCTGACTCGATCCACTTTCCTTTTTCATTCTACAACTCCCCTTCCTTTTCTCCCCTTTCATCCTGGCCAGGATTTATCTCTTTCTCCTCCCTCTTGTCTTCCTTCCTTTCCTCTCTCTCTCTCTTTCTTCCTTACCCATTTCTTAAACATGAATGCTTAATCTACCTATTTTCTTTCTTTCTTTCTTTTTTTTAAATAGAGACAGGGTTTCACTTTGTTGCCCAGGCTGGAGTGCAGTGGCACGATCATGGCTCGCTGCAGCCTTGAACTCTTGGGCTTGAGGGATCCTCCAGGCTCAGCTTCTTAAGTAGCTGGGACTATAGATGTGCACCACGGTTCCTGGCTTCTACCTATTTTCATGGGACAAACTATAGTTCATTTTGATGAATATGGCCATTCAGAAGTGATTGGAGTATGCATGCTATGGAAGTTGAAATTTTTATTGTTAACCTAAAATTAATTCCACTTTCTTTCAACATGGATTCTTAGTGTTATGTTAGTGTGACTTTACCTAGGTTCTTTTTTTTTTAACTTTATTTTCTCTTACAAAATTAATATATGTTCATATTAGAAATGTTATGAAATACAGAAAAAGAAAAAATAAAAATCGCTCTGGCATATCTCCTAATCTTTATTCTTCCCTTAAATCCTCCTAAACTAAAAAATGAAAAAAAAATTTTTTTAAACCTGAAAGATTGTGCTCCATGTGCATGTGTGTGCATAAGAGGAAGGACAGGTTTTGGAGAAAGGCCCTTTGTGATTCACTGGGCTTGAAGAAATATATCAAGATATTTGACAAGTTTAAATTATGACTGGGTTCCCACAATACTGACCTCTGGATCCCTGATCTTTCCCAGTGTTTAGGGAAACCATTTGCTGGCTATGGCTCAGGAGAGAGAGAAACCCAAGCTGTGGACTTGGCAGGTCAAAGCTATTCAATTCATCTCTAAATCTTTACAAATCCAAGAAATTCCCTGAAGTCATCATTTACTCTAAACTTGTCCATTGCTTTTTGTAAAGGAGAGGAAAGAACCTTGCTTTGGTTAAACATCAGCTCCTATGAAACCAAGCGTTGAAAGGGGGCAGAGTCCATAATTGATTTTCTGACAGGTTATAAAATATTAAAAGATGGGAAAGTTTTAAAACTAATTTTTAGGTATCCATCTGAAGCCATGTCCAGTTGGCCCGCAGGATCAATGAAACAACATTATAGAGAAATGCTGAACTCATACTCTCCTAGTTAATCTATATTTCAAAGATGAGATTGAGCTCTTAAATGACCTACACACAGAGTGAGCTGATTCCCAGTTTAAGCCTCCCATTTGGAACCTTGGTTGCAAAGATTAACTATTTCAAGGCAATGAAAGTCAACACACCCCTGCAGTCTTGGCATGGTGGGAAGGTGGGAGAGAATTCAGACAAACCATGGAAAACAGGGCAAGTAAAGACCAACTGGGTCTTAATGATGATATAATGTCGACTTCTTGGGATGATTTTTGGCTTTTTATTTTATATATTGTGGTGTACTTCTTGCTTTGCAGGAGACATGGGACACAGCCTTTATCTATTCCTGGAGGTCCCCTCAAGCGTAGCATCTAGCCCATTTGAACTGACTGCTAAAATAAAATTACATATGCTGAGTGGCTTATATACAACAGAAATTTATTTCTCACAGTTCCCACAGACCTTGAAGTCCACATTGAAGGCAGATTGAGTGTCTGGTGAGGGCTTGCTTACGGCTCCTGGGTGGGACCTTCTTGCTATGTCCTCGCATGGAAAAGGAACACTCTGGTTGCTTCAGCCACTTGTAAGGGCTCTAATCCCATTCTTGAGGGGTCCACCTTCATGACCAAACCACCTCCTCAAACCTCATCTAATACCATTACATTGGGGAGTAGCTTTCAACACATGAATTTTGCAGGAATATGTTCAGTCCATAGCAGGTGGCATTATGGAAATTTGTCTGACCTTATGTGCAAATAAAGTCTATCCTAACAAGGGTGGGAGTGTCTTTTAGTTTCTTTAGCTCCATCTCCACGAGGAAGTCTTACCCGAGGAGCACAGGAATTCAGGAAGTAGCAGGGTTTCAGGCACAGGATATGAATCAGGGATATGACCTTAGGACTTCCAGTTCTGTCTTGACCACTATCGTCAAGTGGCCTTGAAGCAAAGGGGAAAATTCTGGACTGAGGTAAATTTGGATGGGGATACCATCTAAGCATTTCTGGAAACTATCTCTTTTTCTTCTCTCTCAGGCTGGGCCTACCTAGAATGCATTCTACCTTGTCAACGTCCTGACCCTCTCAGAAGGTTCTCCAGTAGTTTCTAAATCAGCCTTCCCTGTGGTTTCTGGCCATCGCTCATTGACCTCTCCATGACTTTGGGGACTCCTCACACTTGGGCCCAGTATTTAGATGCTCTTTCCTCCTCTTCCCATAACCCCCCACCTCTACTCCCTCATTTCATGCTCCCCTCCCTCCCCATCCCCAGGACCATAAGCTCCTTGAAAGCAGGGATTGGGCCTAGCTCAGTTCTACTCCCAAAACCGAGTACAACTCCTGGCACCATGACCCTCTGACTATGTTTGGTCATTTATTTTCTTTTCTAGCTCCCTATCTAGAGTGTAAGCTTGGCAAAGGCAGATCTTGCCAGATTTGTTCACCTCTCTCTCCCGGGGTCTAGAAGAGTGCCTGGCGCATAGCAGATCCTCAGCACACACTTACTGATGGAAGAACAGGCCAGCTGAGGCACAATGCACAGCAGATGTGTGAGCGGGGTACTATGGGGATGTAGTTCCAGAAGCCATTTGTTTTTAAAGGCTTGAAAGGAATGTTGAGAAAGACTTAGCTGAAGAGTTGGAACTGGATCTGAACTTTAAAGGCTCAGTGAGCCTCTGTGGCTTAAAGGTGAGGAACTGCACAATAGCCAAGATTTGGAAGCAACCTAAGTGTCCATCAGCAGATGAATGGAGAAAGAAAATGTGGTACATGCAGAATGGAGTACTATCCAGCCATAAAAAAGAATGAGATCCTGTCATTCGCAACAACTTGGATGGAACTGGAGGTCATTACATTAAGTGAAATAAGCCAGGCACAGAAAGACAAACATCATATGTTCTCACTTATTTGTGGGATCTAAAAGTCAAATCAATTGAGCCCATGGAGACTGAGAATGAAAGGATGGCTACCAGAGGCTGGAAGGGATAGTGGGGAGTTAGGGGGAGGTGGGGATGGTTAATGGGTACAAAAAATAGAATGAATGAATAAGGCCTTGTATTTGATAGCACAACAGCGTGGCTACAGTCAATAATAATTTAATTGTACATTTAAAAATAACTAAAAGAGTATAATTGGATTGTTTGTAACACAAAGTATAAATCCTTGAGGTGATGAATACCCCATTTACTCTGATGTGATTATTACATGCTACATGCCTGTATCAAAACATCTCATGTACCCCATAAATATATATACCTACTATGTACTCACAAAAATTAATTTTTAAAAAGTCAGGGCCGGGCGCGGTAGCTCACGCTTGTAATCCCAGCACCTTGGGAGGCCGAGGCGGGCAGATCACGAGGTCAGGAGATCGAGACCACGGTGAAACCCCGTCTCTACTAAAAATACAAAAAAGTAACCGGGCGTGGTGGCGGGCGCCTGTAGTCCCAGCTACTTGGAGAGGCTGAGGCAGGAGAATGGCGTGAACCCGGGCGGCGGAGCTTGCAGTCAGCCGAGATCATGCCACTGCACTCCAGCCTGGGTGACAGAGCGAGACTCCGTCTCAAAAAAAAAAAAAAAGTGAGCAATTGGAGCCAAGGCAGGGGTGGAGACAAGGGTGTGGTCAGGGTAGAGGAGGCATGATCCCATTTAGGGCACAGACAGAGAAGGTGAAGGGGACTAGACCATTCAGTCGGAGACTGGGGTAGAGGGGGCTACGCAGGTGACTGAGGCCAGATGGTGAAGGGTCTCGAGTATGCTAACGGGCATTGGGATTTTATCCTCTAAGGCTGTTGAGGGTCTTAAAGAGATAAGTGATAGTTCAGATCTCTTTATAGAAACTGTGTGGATGATGGAGAGGCTGTGGCAGGTGGCAGGCGGCAGGCTGGTGGCAAGGAAGCCAAAGAGGACAGTCTCGCTATGGGCCAGGGGGTGGGATACAGCTGTGATCTCACCTAGAGTCTCCTTGTCCTGCCCTGGCACACGGGAGTGGCTCCATGAGTGGCTGAATGAGTGGTGCTGAATGAGTGCTGAGGTTTCTGTGAGTTTCTCTTAAACACATGTATTTTCAAGGTTAATTCAGTGCACATTAGGTCACTGGTTCTCAACATGGTGATTTTAGGCCAGGCACAGTGGCTCACGCCTGTAATCCTAGCACTTTGGGAGGCCGAGGCAGGCAGATCATGAGGTCAGGAGTTTGAGACTAGTCTAGCCAACATGGTGAAACCCTGTCTCCACTAAAAATACAAAAATTAGCCGGGCGTGGTGGTGTGCGCCTGTAATCCTAGCTACTCAGGAGGCTGAGACAGGAGAATCTCTTGAACCCGGGATGTGGAGGTTGCAGTGAGCCGAGACCGTGCCATTGCATTCCAGCCTGGGCGATAGAGCAAGACTCTGTCTCAAAAAACAAAACAACAACAACAAAAATCCATGGTGATTTTGTCATCTAGGGCAAAGTCTGGAGACATACATTTTTGGTTGTCACAGCTGGGGTGATGCTCCTGGCATCTAGTGGGTAGAGACCAAGGAGGCTGCTACACACCCTGCAATGCACAGGACAGCCCCCCACAGCAGAAGACTGTTCAATCCAGGATGTTAATAGTGCCAAGGGTGATACAATTAATGGACTAATTAATTAATAGACTAGAGGTGGGTCCCTGAAAATGTGTGGTTTTACTTTGCTGCAAGCAAGACCTTCATCCAAGAGTGACTTCTTGAAGTCATTTAGACTCCAGAGAGCACTTTAGAATTGGGGTGACAAACAGCCTGAGGTTCTGACCTCAGCAATTCTGACCTTGACTGCATTAACTTGTTGCAATCAGATGAGTGCCAACAGAAGGCACTATTTTTTTGTTTTTTTTTTTTTTTCTTGAGACAGAGTCTTGCTCTGTTGCCCAGGCTGGAGTACAGTGGCATGATCTCGACTCACCACCACCTCTGCCTCCCAGTTCAAGCGATTCTCCTGCCTCAGCCTCCTGAGTAGCTGGGATTACCAGCATAGGCTACCAAACCCGGCTAATTTTTTGTATTTTTAGTAGAGATGGGGTTTCACCACGTTGGCCAGGCTGGTCTGGAACTCCTGACCTCAAGTGATCCACCCGCCTCGGCCTCCCAAAGTGCTGGGATTACAGGTGTGAGCCACCACGCCTGGCTGGCACTCTTTAATTTAAAGCGAGAACACCCGTAAGCCACCAGCATTGTACTGGTCACGGGGTGGCACTCTAGAAATGCCAATCCTGTCCCTCTTTCCTTTTAATAACTTGCCCTGATATTTCTTCTGATTCCAATCCCAGTTTGTCCAGGAAGCACTTCCTCAGATCCATCAGGGCAAGGATCTTTGTTTTGCATACTGTTATATCCTCAGCACCCAGAACAGAGCTTGGCACAAAGCAGATGCTCAATACATATTTGCTGAATGCCTGAGTGAATGAATGAATGAAACAAATCCCAATTCCAAGTAGCCGGAGATGTCACTATGGTAAGCTCTGTGAAGGTTTGCATTTTCCTGTGATGGACATATGATTAATGTTTCATGAGCAAGCTCATACAAAAAAAAAAAATCCATTAACTGCAGAGGCCAATTTTTCTCTTAATAGGAGACAAGTTGCAGAGGCCTGTGTGGCTCCAAATTCTTATACATGTGAAGGAAAAGATGTTCCAGGCTGATTTTGTTCACTCACTCTCTCCGCTCTCACGCAGACCCCTCTGCAGGGAAGGTGGCCAGGCAGTCCGGGATTTTTCTTCTCTGAGCCTACAAGGCCCTATCAGAGCTGCTAGTCTCATAATCAAATTTTAATGACTGTCTGCTTCCCTTCCTAGATGTTTATAGTCCTCTGTACTCTGATTAGGTTTTTGGTCCCGCAAGATAGTTAAAAGCCCACAATTTGCGCTGGGTGTTTTATTTTTTCTGAGTTAAGTGAGTGGGTAAATGTTCCTTTGATCTTCCCCCCGTGGATGAGGGCTGTTTGTGTTTTTAAGGCCCTCACCAATTATGGGAAATGGTCTCAGGGCTGGGTTGGAGGCTGGCCTTCTGGGTGGTTCAAATGTCCCTCAAAGGTTTTTATTCTTTCTCCTCCCCTCTCCCCTACACCCCAGGTGCTGAAGAACAGAGGAAAAGTCAGCAGCAAGAAACTCTGGGAAGAAAAATGAACTGGATGGTGCAGGCCAATGGAGGGTGAGATTTCTGAGCCAGTGTTCCAGGAGGTCAGAAGCATTTCTCTCTCCAGGGTTTCCCTCACCTTTGATGGGGTCAGTTGCCAGTGGTGGGGGAGATTGAAGCCACTCGTAGTACCCAGGTTAAATCGCCATCCCCATGGAGTTTGATAAGTAGCTCCGCGGGAAGACTGACCAGGAGGAGACAGACCATCTCCTGGGCTGGATTTGCAGCTGAAACCAGTAACCAGCAGACCTCTGTCATTGCACTTATTCCAGCAATTATGTATGCAGGAGGAATGAGGAACTGTGATCCCAGGAGAGAAGGCAGAGGACCTCCAGAATCACGCCCAATACCTTGGGGCTTCCCAGGTGTGTCAGGATTGAAAGATGAACCCCATGCTGCCTGGTGACTTCTTTGTGGTGCCTATACAACATCCTTCGTGTGCCACAGCTAAGTCACATGCAGTAGCACTTCATTATTTTAATTAAGCTTATTGCAAGAGTAATCATCATTGCCATCGGTATCAATCATCAGCAGTTTTCCTGATTATGACCATAAGTGATGACAGTCTATGCTGACAATAAACAATCACACCTCTGGCTTGAATTGACATTTCACTGGACATTGCGAGGCTGTGCCAAACACTCTTGGGCTTGCTTATGTAAAGAACTATTTATCTGTGACAAAAGCTGAGTCTATCAGATATTTGTTTTTGCTTCCCTAATGGATAAGTTCATAATATTTGCAAAATTCATCCTTTAATAGATGACAGCCAAGGAGTCCAACACACATTTAGAAAGAAGTTATGTGCTCTTAGCTCAGGGCTGCGGCATCACAGCCATTCCCCAACCTGTCCTAAACGTGTATTAGTTGAGTTATGGCTCTTTCTTCCAAATGGACATGGGAAATGAAGTTGTTTCGATTGCAAAATGGCTCTTGGCTGTTTCCTATTTCTAAGTGAAAGTAGGAGGAAAAGAACCTGAAGGACAACAGCTTCGTTCCCTTTATAACTGGCCCTTTCTGGCATCTGACATGATTGAAATTCTTCAACATTTAAATAAGACATCTCGTGAACAACAATAACCTAGTTGCTTATTATTCTTGTTACTGCATTTCCATGGTTTAAAGCACTCCCTGGTCTCAGCCATTTGTGCTACAAATAATTTTAATTGAGCCGAGAAACCCTTGACATTTTAGAAATTACCTTCTATTTATAAGACTTTAAGAAGGACCCTTCCTGGCAGTCCTGACCTCTGTCTGATTTGGCCTTTTTTCCCCTGACTTTGAGTCTAGTTTTTTATTTTCATTGAACCAAATTACTTTCATTCCTAATTTAATTTTGCAGTAGCAAATAAAAAGCCAATTTGATATCCATACAATCCCACACCAGCTATGAAATAGCCAGGCTCCTTCGACTTACACACGTCAGAAACCTGCTCATATGAAGTCGGTTCTGTTAAGGTTGATGAAATGAGTTCTGGGAAGCTGACTAAACAGTGCCATTTGGGATGAGAGTCTAGAAACAGGCTCTGTCAGATCCTAAAATATCCTTTGAGGCTCACGGCAGTTTTCCAACTGAAAATTTTTATTTTTGTTATTTGCTTTTTTCAAACATCACAAATTCGATTCTACTGGTGTAGACTTTGGTGTATCAAGGAAACTTCATTTTCATATGAATAACCAAACATTGTACATTTGTACAGTACTTTCACATTCATTGTCTTTGATCTTCAAAATAACTCATTCATTTGGTTCATGTGTACAGACCACCTACTATGTTCCAGTAACAACTCTAGGCATTTTGGATATAGCAATGAAAAAAAAAAATCTCATGGAACTTACATTTTAGGGGGAGACAGATAATAAACAAAGAAGACGTTGTTTGGTATTAAGTATGGAATGGTGTTAAGTGCAATGTAATATAAAACAAAAACTGAGCAAGAAAGAGGGATAAAAACTGCCAAGGTGAAAAGACTTTACTGGTAAGATGACATTTGAGTCAAGACCTGGAGGAACCAAGGGCAAAAGCAACCTTTCAGGTTGGAAGACAGCCAGTGCAAAGGTCCTGAGGCAGAAACAGAAAGGAGACCTCCGGGTTTCGAGTGGAGTGAGCAAGGGGCCATGGGTGGTAAGAGGTGTGATTGAAGAAGCAGCAGGCAGGCTCTCGTGTGGGACCACGAATGCCCGTGTCAGGACCTGGCTTTTACCGAGTGAGCTGAGAGCTCTGGGAGGGTTGGTTTTTGTTTGTTTGTTTTTGTTTTTTTTTGTGATGGAGTCTGGCTCTGTCGCCCAGGCTGGAGTGCAGTGGCACAGTCTCTGCTCACTGCAACCTCCGCCTCATTCAAGCAATTCTCCTGCCTCAGCCCCTCAAGTTCTGGGATTACAGGTGCCCACCACCATGCCTGACTAATTTTTGTATTTTTAGTAGAGACAGGGTTTCACCACGTTGGCTAGGCTGGTCTCAAACTCCTGACCTCAAGTGATCTGCCTGCCTCTGCCTCCTAAAGTGCTGGGATTACAGGTGTTGAGCCACCGTGCCTGGACTCTCTGGAGGGCTTTGAGGAGGAATGTGGTGGTCTGACTTATGTCTGAAAGAGCCGGTCTTATGCTGGGAAGAGGGCACAGGCAGACGCAGGGGGATCAGTTAGGAGGCCATTGCATTTGTCAAGGAAAAGATGATGGTGGCTCAGACCCAGGGAGATTGCAAGTGAGGGGTTACCAAGGCGATCTGTTTCTGGACATTGAAATTAATTAAGAAAAATTTTGTTTAGTCTCATTTTAAGGTAAGAAAACTCAGCCTCAGAACTGACTTGCTCAAGAATATAGAGCAAGTGTGTGACATAGTTGGGTTTGAAACCAGACATCTTGGTGGGAGTCCTTCCACAGCACCCTGTGGAGACCACCTGCCCACTGACTAGAGCACAAATATCCATCTCAGACTTTCTGCCTCAGAAGCTTGGTTATGTTCTCATTAACATAATAAATAAGGAACCAGGAAGAGCAAGGGCACCCCGGTCCCCAGGATACCGGTACAACTAATGCTACCTGACAAGTAGCAGGTTGGAGCCTAATGAATGGCTGGGAGGAGGAGGAGGAGAAACATTTGCTTCCGGGGAGGAGGGGAGCTCATTAGTGGCCTAGTTGCTCAGCTGGCTCAGGTTCTTGTTTCAAACAGACCCCTGCACTGCTGGGCGTCTTTCTGGAAACAAACAACCCTACTGTAGCTTTGGGGTTCCATGGCTTTTTGTGTTTTTTTCTTCAGCTGAGGTGAAATTCACATGACTTAAAACCAGTTTAATTTTAAGTGGACCATTCAGTGGCATTTAGTGCATTCACAGTGGTGTGCAACCATCACCTCTATCTAGTTTCAAAACATTTAATCAACCCAAAAGGAAACTGCATACCCATTAAGCAGTCACTCCTCATTCCCCTCTCCCCACCCAGGCCCCAGGCAACCACTGATCTACTTTCTGTCTCTCTGGATTTATTTATTCTGGATAGCTCCTATAAATGGAATCATGTAGTATGTGACCTTTTCGTATCTGACTTCTTTCACTTAGCTTAATGTTTTTGAGGTTCATCACATTGTAGCCTGTGTCAGTGGTTCATTCCATTTTATTCCTGAGTAATATTCTACTGTATGTATGTACCACCAGTGTTCATCCATTCATCCAATTGTGGGCATTTGAAATGTCTCCACCTTGCTATTGTGAATAATGCTGCTATGAACATGTGTGTACATGCATTTAAGTACTTGTTTTCAGTTTTCTGGAGTATATACCTGGGAGTGGAATTGCTGGGCCACATGGTAATTCTGTATTTAACTTTTTGAGGAACTACCAACCTGTTTTCCACAGCAACTGAGTTGTTTACATTCCCACCATCAGTGTATAAGGATTCCAGTTTCTCCACAACCTACCTAACACTTGCTATTTTCCTTTAAAAAAAGAAAAAAAGGCATAGCCATCTATGGGTGTGCAGTGGCATCCCACTGTGGTGTTGAGCTGCATTTCCCTAATGTTGGAGATGTTGAGCATCTTTTCATTTGCTTATTGGTCATTTGTATATCTGCTTTGAAGAAATTCTCTATTCAAGCTCTTTGCCCACTTTCAAATTGGGTGGTCTGTATTTTCATTGTTATTATAGAAGAGAAAGTACATACTAGGGGACATAAAACTCAGTCCCTAACATTAGAAGTCCAGCTTGATTAACTATTGGAGTAGTAGTCTAAGCAGTGTTGCTGACGTTGGGAAAACATCAACGTCATTTTCACCCGGTAGTTACTTTTCCCACTACTAAATGGGTCTCCCTTATGTTCTCTTCATACTGGGCTACTCGGGAAGGAGGACAAAGCTTGGTACTAAGATAAGTCATTCAGGAAAGGAATTACGTAAGCACAGGGAAAGGGAGAAGAGAGGAAGTCACTGGTGATCAATTTTAAGGAGCACATGCATGATGAGGTAATAGAAGGAAGCCCAGTGTGTTTGCATCAGTGTCTGTTTACTGTGGAAGATTTTTATGGGCAGAGATTTCCATCTGAAAGACAAACCAACAACAACAAAAATCAAGCAGATGTGGGGTGGTTTTTTTGGTATTTTATAGGTTTTAAAGTGCTTTTACTTAATGACTCATTGAGTTTTTATAACAGCCTTAAATACCAGGAATGGCAGATAATGCTACCTCTATTTTGCTTCCATGATAAGACAGAGTCACAGAGATTAGGAAGTCTTTTAATTATCAGGTGGCAGAGGCAGGATTCAAACTCAATCCCCACCCCCATGCTCCACCACCATCTTGTATTTATTCACTGAAGGACTTTCCCATAATGCTCTTTTCCAATCATGTGCACAAATGGAGCTACTGGGTCAGAGCACTTGAAGCCTGCCGCACCCTCCAGGAAGGCCTAGAGGTCCTACCTTTGGGCTTCCCATCTTTCCAGACCTGCAATTAAACTCTAAAGTCTTGGAAGCCTCCTGTATTGCCAGCCCCACTTGTCTGTGTTTCCAGCCTGCTGCGAGGGTAGTATGGACAATGAGGCAGCAAGCCAGGGGAAGAGGGATACTGGAGTGAGGGAGGCCGGTGAATATGCTGTGGGGAGCCTCTGTGCCCTATTGGACAAAATGGGAGTTCCTAGCCCTGGATTCTTGTGAAAGTCGTTACCCGGGGCCCTAGCCAGGGCTTGCAGCCAGTGCAGTAGAAAAGTCAGAGATGCCCACATGCACATCCTGGCGATTCTCCCTTAAGAAAGTCCATTCTCCATCTTGGGAGACCACCTTAGAGAGGCACAGTTTATGCCTTGTATTTGCTGCATAAACGAAATGCAATAAAACACCTTATCTAATTTTATTATTTTTATAATTATTGTTTTTCCAATAAGTTGGTGAAGGTTTTGACAACAATAACAGGAGGTTATGAACTGTGGTTTCTTATCTGGGGGCCAACATTGCTTCCAGGAAAAGACAAGAAATTTGAAGGCAGAAGTTCCACCACTAACTGACCTTATAGTTTTGGGCAAGTCATTTAAGGCTCACTGAGCCTCAGTTTCCTCATCTGAGAAATGGGAGCTAATGGTCACAACAGCAATAGCACACATCTCTTGAAAAGTTCATGGATCAAATAAAAAAACAGGTAGGAAATTGCTTCATAATCTGTAAAAAGATATAAAAATAGTAAATATTATTATAGGATAAACTTAGCCTTTAAATATCAGGCCAACACAAGGTTAGGAGGGAATATAAGAGTGAGAGAGAAGTTCAAGGGCAGCCATCAGACTACTGCCTGGGCTTCAGTCCTGATTTGCTGACATATCTTCCTTCTGGAAGGGTTTGATGTCATCATGGGTGAGAATTATTTGGATGAGAGATAGCAACTGATAACCTCATCTCCCTATATTGCTGCAAAACACAAAGTTTTCCAAAGTACTCCACTCAAATTTTCACAAAAATATCATCCCTGTAAAGGCCAGGAAAGGCTCTTTTTTGCTGTTGATAGTAGTAAAGGCTTATTTGTTCATTCCCAGGCAAATAGATTTAGGGCTCCTGGTAATTTTAAGATATAAAAAAATTTAAAGGGACAAAAACATAGAGCATGGGAAAACCAGCTATTGTAGAAATCACAGCAATTTGAAAAACAATTTTTCCCATCTAGGGGTTTCTGTTACACAGTTGTCTTTCATATTATTTTTAGTATGTATTTTTAAGCTGTTTTCTCAGCAATTTTGGTTCCTATCAAGCTCTAGGCCTATACTTATTTTAAGCAGTTCTGAAAACAAGGCCTCTATTAAGATATTTGAAAAGAAGGGAACACAGACCAAACTGTGAACAGTGGTTACCTCTGAGAGGGGTTGGAGTGGAACTGGGAAGGTGGGGAATCCATTGCTTCTTGACTCTCTTACAGTGAGCATGTCATGTAGTCAAATTGCAAATATGCATACATATATTACAATAATAAAAATAGAAATTGTTTCAGCAAATACTCTATTTGTCTAGATAAATCCTCATATAACCTGGAAAAATATTAACTTAGGAACCTCATGTCATTTCTCCAGCCCCTCTTCATGCCTTCACCTCTCCTCCCCTGCAACACATTGAATTGACAAGTCATTGCCAATTATTGAAAATTTGGGAGAGGAAATAAAGTTCAATTTTGGTACAAGCAGCTATATTGACAAACCTAAAAACAGAAGTCCCTAGACTATATACTCCTCAAAAGCAGAGCCTTTGTATGTTATTCTTTAAATCATTAATTCAACTATTCCATACATGTCTACTGAGTGCCAGGTACTGCTCTACATACAGAAGTGCAGCAGCTAACAGATAAAACTCTCTGCCCGCAATTAACTTACTTTCTAGTACTGATACACAGTCTTAACAAAAATTTGTTGAATAAGTGAATTTGTTAAGCAATTCTTGAGCATTTACTATGGCCCAGGGATTATTTTAAGCATTGAGGTCACAGCAGTGAATTTGACACAGCTTATATTCTAGGGAGGGGAAGCCAGACAAAAGCCAAATAAGTCAATGCGGAGATGTCAGATGGTAAATTGTATGCAGCTTGGCTCTTGGTGCTGATACCACTTCCTGCCTATACAACTACAGCTTCACAAATGGGAAAATCTCAGACCTTCCATGCTGCCTGCCAGTAAAGACCTAAAGTTACCAAGTCCAGTAACTTTAGGTCTTTGAATGTATCATGGCAAATGGAACTAAAATTCCATTGACATCATATGTGGCCCTGGGTCAAATCTTCCCATTCTTCCGCCCAGTCCTCCCACAAAGGTAGCTTGCCTAAGATGATGTCAGGCAATATATTAGTTTTCGATTGCTGATGTAATAAATTACCAGGAAATTGTTGGCTTAAACAATGCAAACTTATTCTTACAGTTCTGGAGGTTGGAAGGACAAAATAGGTCTAATGGGGCTAAAATCGAGGTGTTGGCAGGATTTGTTCCTTCCGGAGACTCTAGGAGAGAATGCCTTTCCTTTCCTCATCCAGCTCCTAGAGGCTGCTCCCTGGACTCCTGGCCCCTTCCTCCGTCTTCAATGTCTGCAACATCCAGCCGAGTCCTTCTTACCGGCCTTCCCTCTGCTTCTCCTCCACTGCCTCCCTCTTCTGCTTTTAAGGACCTTTGTGCTTACGTTGGATGCATGTGGATAACCCAGGACACTCTCCCACTTCAAGGTCAGCTAATAACAACCATAATCCTATCTGCAACCTTAATTCCTCTTTGCCACACAGCCTAACACATCCACAGGTTCTGGGATTCAAACGTGGCCGTCTTTGGGAAGGAGATGGGGATTATTCTGCATACCATGAGCAGGCTAGAAAGGAAGGACCTGCTTTTTGTGCTTCAATCCCCATCCCCAATTTTTGGGACTGTGTTGAACAACTAGGACGTGACTAGTTTATACATGATGATGGTAAACAGAACAGAAAATGCTACACCTTCCAGACATCAGGAACACAGAGCTTGCACTTACTTGTGGCGCCACATCACCTTTCCCTGGACATCAGCTGTAGGAGGCACCAAGTCCAGTAACTCTCAAAAAAAAATTTTTTTTCAAAAACTTCTTGCAAAAAGGTCTTTTATCACCTGCTACTTTTTTTCATAACTGCTTAATATCAGGAAGATTCCTTCCAGCAGCAAGCTCACGTATCATATCTTAATATTCTTCCCCTCTGCATGGCACTTTCTAGAGCACTTCCACATTCTCTCGCTTGACCCTCATGAAAACTCTGTGAAAGGAGAAGCAGGAAGTACACTGTCTGCATTTAGCAGTGAGGAAACTGGACTTAAGGTGGCAGGGATGACCTGTCCAAGATTATGAAGCCAGGACGTGGACCAGGTCTTCTGACGCCAGTGCCTATACTCTCTCCATGACAACATGTTCTCTCCAACATGCATTTCTCTTGGTTTAGTACTCTGGAGTCCCGGGCCAAGTTCCATTTGCACCACACAATCATTATCACCATCATCAGCATCATCACCACCATCGTCATCATCATTTCGACGAATTTCCTCAAAGTTATTCATCGGCAGAAATCTCCTTCAACTGTCAGTAACCACTTTTAGTTCTGTCTGTGAGGGGAAACCATGGCTGTGCGAATACCCTCATTTTCTGATTCAAGCCATCAATATGCCAAGAAATCAGTAATTCTGATCTCCATTTCTATGAGTGATCCTTTATTAAACGTTCTCCTTGGTGACACCCAGACTCAGTCCTCAAATGGCTGAAAAAAAATTAGAAGGTTCCCCCATCAAGATCACCAATACCAGCCAGGTGCAGTGGCTCACGCCTGTATCGCAGCACTTTGGGAGGCCAAGGCAGGTGGATCACCTGAGGTCAGGGGTTCAAGACCAGCCTGACCAACATGGCAAAACCCTGTCTCTACTAAAAATACAAAAATTAGCTGGGCATGGTGGCGGATGCCTGTAATGCCAGCTACTCAGGAGGCTGAGGCAGGAGAATCGCTTGAACCTGGGAGGCAGAGGTTGCAGTGAGCCGAGATCCCGCCACTGCACTCCAGCCTGGGCAACAAGAGCAAAACTCTGTCTCAAAAAAAAAAAAAAGGTCATCAATAAAAGTCACCAATACTACCAGCCTCAACATGCATCCCTGGCATGACTCTTCCAATGATAATGATCTATGGCTGCAAAAAAGGCACCCCAAACTCAGTGGCTGGAAACAACCACCATTTTATGTGCTCATAATTCTGCAATCTGAGCAGCATTCAGTTGGGTGATCCTTCTGTCAGTCTTGCTGCGGGCTGCTCATGTGAGAATGAGAATGGAAAAGGCAAATAGTGTCTTGGAATTATTAAAAAATAGTTTTGACCTTACACACCACCTAAAAGGGTCTCTGGGACCAACCCTCAAAGGGTCCCTGGAACACACTTTGAGGACCTATCCTTCCTATTTTTGGTTCTCCATTTTGAGATTGGACCATGGCTTGTTTGGGAAGAGGAACACCAGCTAGTTCTAGGGAAACTCTCTAAAGTCCTAGGGGTGCTGGGTAACTTTCATCATTGACAACGGTGATGAGGAGTAAGTCAGTGCCCAGCTTGCTCTGAGAGCACTAAACTGGGTTTCTAATCTCTGGAGCTCTTCAGCCTCTCACAGTTCTCTGATGTGCAGACTCCAGCTAAGGCACTACGTCCAAGGCAGAATTCCTATCGTTTTGTTTCAAAGTATGTGGGATTTGTTTTGGGTCAATTTTTTTCTCATCAGAATTTAAAATTTCCACCATCCAGCCTGAGCCTTGCTCCGTATTAGATCTTCCATGACATGTGCCATATTTTCAAACTGTCTCTCACGGCATCGTCGTTCCATTTATTAACAGAGGAGGGATTGGGCCATGCAGCTCTTATTAAAACCCATGGCAGTCACACTGCTTTGAAAATTTAGTGGTTAGCTAATATAAAAGTCATAAAAGGTTTGGGGTTCTGAGGGCTTCCATAAACTCTGAATTTTAGGTGCCCTGAGATGCAATTTCTGAGCAATTTCTTTGATCTCTGGCTGCCCTGGTAAATCATTTATTAGGGTAACCTTTTTAAACAGAACCTTCTCAACCTCTCCCACAAGATACATAAAATAATGTACTCTGCAAGCAGTCATCAACTCCCTGCACTTACTGTATTCGCTGATTACAAACCGATGGAGATGTTAGAAGTTTTTTCAACCAATTCTTCTTATTCTCAGAAATTTGCAGAAGAGACAGTGATGATGTGCCACATGATGCCAGACTGCAACTACCTGAAATTTCCAGAATGGGACATGCCACACTAAGAATATTTCAGCAGTATTTGTTTTTTTTTACAGACTAAGATATTTACAACTAATAAAGTTCAAAGTTTTACTGGGTCAATCTCCAAGTCAGCTTGGTCACATCATTTTCTTGCAGCATCTTGCATTTTCACTCCCCTTTTTCCCTGATCACTGCAAGGCCTGTCCTCCCATTCTGTCTGCCATGATTTTTAGGGATTCCAAAGTGGAGAGAAGAATAGTCACATGCCTACAGCCACAGCCACCTTCCCTCCCACCCCACCACCCACACTTGCCTCCCTGCTTTGTCTGAGGACTTCAGAGAAGTCAAAAGTAGCTGACATCAGGAAAAAGTTCAGAGATTTCTGGCTTAGAAAAATGTGTCACATCACTTACCAACGAACTGTTCAACATGACGTGAGAAGAGATTTTTGGGGGAGAAGTCCTGGTGAAGGTTTGGAAACAACACATTTTCAACTCTCCATCACCGTTATATTCAAGGCCAAAAGTTCCAGTTTTGTGGATTAAGAAAAACATTGGAGGCTGGGCACGATGTCTCATGCCTGTAATCCCAGCACTTTGGAGGCTGAGATGGGAGGACCACTTGAGACCAGGAGTTTGAGACCAGCCTGGGCAACATAGCAAGACCCTATCTCTAAAAAAAGTGTATATTTTTAACTTAGTTGGGTGTTGTGGCACAAACCTGTAGTCCTAGCTACTTAAGAGGCTGAGGCAGGAGGCTGCAGTGAGCTATCATGGCCACAGTACTGCAGCTTGGGCAGCAGAGTGAGACCCTGTCTCCAAAAAAAAAAAAAAGAATGAACAAAAGAAAAACCTTGTTTAAGTCACCCTGAAAAAGAGTGACTCTCATGATCAATTTAAGTAGCAATTCATGTCTCAAAATGAGGGAGAAAAACCGATTCCCAAATTTGTAAATGTTGGAGAAGGAAAGACCTTTCTAAGCAAGGCAAGGAGCCATCATGGAAGCCATAAAGAAAAAGATGGATAAATTTAGTTACATGGAAACAATGTGTGCAGCATGGCCATGTGCCTGCCTTAGCTGCTGTGCATGTGAACCTGATGAATTCCGGGTCACTTCCCCTGCGTCCATTCATTCAACAGAGGTTTGTAAATACCAGGGGGCTGGAAAGCGTGGTGGTAAAGACCACAGATGCTAGAATCAAACAGGCTCTACCACATATAATCTGTGACTTCAGGCAGGTCACCCAATTTCTTTGTGCCTCAGTTTTCTCACCTGGAAAATGGAACTGATAATAATGACATTCTTACAGGGTGTTTGTGAAGATTAAGATAATACAGGAAAAGTACTCGAAACAATGTCTAGCACATAATAAAATCACAATAATGGTAGTTTTCATCATCATCACTATTACCCTGTATTAGACGCTGGTGTGAACTGAATTGTGTTCCCTCCAAAATTCATATGTTGAAGCCCTAACCCCCAGTACCTTAGGATGTGCCTGTATTTGGAGACAAAGTCTTTAAAGAGGGGATCAAGTTAAAATGAGGTCATTAGAGTGGGCCCTAATCCAATATGACTGGGACTTATATGTCCTTACAAGAAGAGGTGATTAGGACACAGATGCATAAAGAAGACCATGTGGGCCCAGTGCGGTGGCTCACGCCTATCATCCCAACACTCTGGGAGGCCGAGGTGGGTGGATCACTTGAGGTCAGGGGTTCGAAACCAGCCTGGCCAACATTGTGAAACCCCATCTCTACTAAAAATACAAAAAAATTAGCCGTGTGTGGTGGCGGGTGCCTGTAATCCCAGCTAATTGGGAGGCAGAAGCAGGAGAATTGCCTGAACCCGGGAGGCAGAGGTTGCAGTGAGCCAAGATTGCGCCACTATACTCCAGCCTGGGCGACAGAGACTGTGTTTCAAAAAAAAAAAGAAGACCATGTGAAGACACTGGAAGACAACAGCCATCTGCAAACCAAGGAGAGAAGCCTCAGAAGGAAGGAACAACACTGCTGACACCCTGATCTTGGATTTCTTCTAGTTTCCAGAATCTTAAGAAAATAAATTTCTGTTGTTCAAGCCACCCAGTCTGTGATGCTTTGCATGGCAGCCCTAACAAACTAATACAGATGCCTGCTGTGTGCCTGATGGCTCCCCAGGCACTGGATGTACACTGATGAAGATGACAGCCCAAGACCCTGCTCTTCTGGAGGTCGAAGTCTGGTAGAGATCAATAATGAACACACAAGCACACCTAGGAACAACATAATTTCAAGAAATGATGGGTGCTATGAAGAAAATAGTAATGGTGTCATAAAGGGAGTAGCGTGTATTTAGACTGTATGGTTGGAAGGACCCCTCACAGAGTGACAGGAGGAAGCCAGCATGGGAACACTGGATCCATAGCATTCTGGGTAGAAGGAGCCTGCTTGATCTGTTTGAGGAACTAAGAGGTGGCCATTGTGGCTGGAGGGCTATGAGAGAGGGAGAGGGGCTGGAGAGGAACAGGGCCAGGTCACATAGGGCCGGTAGGCCAAGGAAAGACCTTGGATTCATATTTTAAAAGCTCACTCTTCTGGGAGGGGAATGAATGAGGGGCTGGAGTAGCAGCTGGGAAAGCAATCAGAAAGATGGAGACCTTGGACTGCGGGATGGGGCAGAGACAGAAAGAACAGGGATAGAGGCTTGCAGGACTTGCTGGTGGCTTTAATACCAAGTGGGAGCAGGGGAATATCAGAGGGGATTAAAAAGGTGCTAGGCCCAGTTAGAATGGCGATCATTAAAAAGTCAGGAAACAACAGGTGCTGGAGAGGATGTGGAGAAATAGAAACACTTTTATACTGTTGGTGGGACTATAAACTAGTTCAACCATTGTGGAAGACAGTGTGGTGATCCCTCAAGGATCTAGAACTAGAAATACCATTTGACCCAGCCATCCCATTATTGGGTATATACCCAAAGGATTATACATCATGCTGCTATAAAGACACATGCACACATATATTTATTGCGGCACTATTCACAATAGCAAAAACTTGGAACCAACCCAAATGTCCAACAATGATAGACTGGATTAAGAAAATGTGGCACATATACACCATGGAATACTATGCAGCCATAAAAAAGGATGAGTTCATGTCCTTTGTAGGGACATGGATGAAGCTGGAAACCATCATTCTGGGCAAACTGTCTCAAGGACAGAAAACCAAACACTGCATGTTCTCACTCATAGGTGGGAATTGAACAATGAGAACACTTGGACACAGGGTAGGGAGCATCACACACTGGGGCCTGTTGTGAGGTGGGGGGAGGGGGGAGGGATCCCATTGGGAGATATACCTAATGTAAATGACGAGTTAATGGGTGCAGCACACCAACATGGCAGATATATACATATGTAACAAACCTGCATGTTGTGCACATGTACCCTAGAACTTAAAAAAAAAAAAATGCTAGGCATTTTCATGAAATAGCTGCATGAAAGGTAATTCCATTTGCTGGTTTGGGGAAGACCACAGGGGCTGAGGGACTGGGGAGCAGGCCAAGGGTGGGATTTAGAGCCACATCGTGGCCAGACCATGACTGAGGTGCCTCTTATACATGCCAGTTGGAATGTCAGGGAGTTAGAGCTCAGGGAGATGGTGGGTGGGGATACATATTTGTGATTCAGCTGCGAAGACAGGCGGGACCACTGAGGAAAGCACCAGAACAGAATGCCTGGGACTGGGATGAGGTCCTCTTTAGAGCATGAGAGGAGAAAACTAAGAAAGGTCATCAAAGAGGTAGGAGGAAAAGCAGAAGTGCACGTCCCGGAAGTCAAGAGGAAATGAGAGGAATGACCACACTCACGGACTAGCGATAATAAGTGTGTCTGGGAATGAATGTGCATTCGAGGATGGCCTCCACACATGTGCGTGTGCACAATCGTGGGGCTGTCTGTTGGTGTACACAGTTACAGAGTCCAGTGCTTCTAGGGTTCGAGGCTCTCTTTTAAATTACATTTTACACATCAGTAAACTTGTAATGCAGGAAGTGCTTTCTTAGGGTTATTTATATCCCTGGGTTGCAGAAGGATTTGTCAGGAAATAATATGAATGTTATTTATCTGACTGTTGAGCTTTATTGACTGCTACATTTCACATCCTTCAGTTCTTTTTGGCAGAGGAGTAAATAACACTGCTATTAACCTCTAACACCAGTATAAAAATAGGCAGTTATTAAGGGGTAAATATTACTTTGACGATTATTGCCCCAGTCTGCTTTCTCTGGGAGAGGTAATAAATAAGGCCTCTCATGGGGTCCACAAACTTCCCAATTTTGTTGAGGGAGCTGGCAGTGCTTGTGGCCATGGGCTGTGACTTGGAGCCATGTGGAGCCTGTAGAAAATGCTTGAAGAGCTATTGCTCATTTCTGGAGGAAATAAAGCCAGCATTAATGCCCTGCCATGGCTGGGCATGCAGGAGCTGAAGGTATTAGGTCCTAAGGTTTCCACAAGGAGAGAATCAGAGACGGCTGAGACGCCTGTTAGGAGTGAGGCTGCGGAATAAAAGGGAGCCAGGCTCGGGAGCAGGTGAGTCTGTAAAAGCCCAGGGTTGTTACATGAACCTGCTGCTGGGCCCACACTGTGGCTAGAGAAGCTTTGTGCCCAGGGTTTCACCATGGTCATTTTTTAGTGATGAACAGGTTAACTGGCAGGTTAACCCCAGGGAGTTGCCCCATTTTGGAGGTGGGAGATGAAGAGTTATGGTAGCAGGTACAGAAAGAGTCTTGCACTAGAAGCCAAGAGCACTACAGTCTCAACTCTAACCTTTACTTGTGTTATGGTCCTGGGCAAGTTATTTGCCTTCTCATGCATAATAAATGAGGGAGTTGATGTACATGGTTTTCTAAGATCTCTCCAGTCCAGAAATACTTTGTTAATAACCTGGTTAAGTCTAGTTCCATGCACCCACCAGGTGTAGGGAAAAAAACTAGTGAACAGTGAACCAATGCCTAGTGATCTCTGCCCATACAGTGGACATGATTGTGTTCTTCAGCCAGTGACTCCCTCATTGATCTATCAGAAGCCCCAGCAGTAGTGGCACCCACGTGCTCAAGCTGGCCCCAGGCTGTAACTTGAACGGAGATCTCTTGGCTTTTCTTTGCAGCTCTGCCAGGGGCTGCTGTAACATCGGAAATCCTTAAACACTGTTTGCTCCAAGACTAAATTTTCTTGGCTCAAGATGGTTTTTGGCCTTACTGTATCCTCTCATTACACATGTAAAAACCTAGATAATTTTTTCCTTGTAAAGCTGTTAAATCTAGACCTCATGATTTAAAAATAGTTGGAATGTTTCATGCAGAATGAGAGGAAGGCCTGCTTCATACTGTGCAGGAGATTGACTTCTGAAGAGCTGCCTTCACATGAATGCATTCTAGGAACCCACTATCTAATGAAAGCTTTGTAAAATGAAACATCCAGCATTAATTTAATTTGTGTGTTTGGGAAGTTTGGGTTTTCACATATTGGCAATGTGGAGGCGGTGATTTGCAGTAAGGCACATCTCTGCTTTTCTACATCTAAACTGTGCTAAACTTACCAATTGGGGTGTTGCTTAAGCTGTTTGTCTCTTTAAACAAAACCTTTGAGGATGTGAACAACGTGGCATCTCCATTCTACTCCGAAAGCATGCAATACTTAGTCGAGAGAGTTGTATTTATGAAACAACAGAAATACACACAAAAGAGTGAAATAGATAATATGATAGGCCCATTTGTTATAAATGGCAGCAGAATGGTTTGGAAATTCTGGCCTCATTTAAATTTTCCTGGAATTTACTATTTTATACTGCAGAGCTGGGTGCAGTGGCTTATGCCTGTAATCCCAGCACTTTGGGAAGCCAAGGCAAGAGGATTCCTTGAGGCCAGAATTCCTTGAGTTCAAGACCAACCTGGGAAACATAGTGAGACCTCATCTTTACAAGGAAAAAAAAAATTAGCCAGGCATGGTGGCACCTACCTGTAGTCCCAGCTACTATGGAGGCTGAGGTGGGAGTATTGCTTGAGCCCAGGAGTTTGAGTCTGCAGTGAGCCATGATCATACCACTACACTCTAGTCTGAGTGACAGAGCACGATCCTGTCTTAAAATATACACACACACACTGCAGTATGTTAATAGACACTGTGCCAGTATTTTCTGAAGGCTGTATATTACTGCATATGGACATTTTAAATCATTATGAGGGCCACTTTAACTGTTAGTAGCTCCTCAAATAACACAACAAAAATATGCATTTTGGCAAAGAAAAAGATAATTGTGTGTTTAACAATAACATAGGGTGTAGACACATGCCACGTCTATGTGTCCATCTTGCACACACATGATGGGAATGGAAAAAATGGAGAGAGGAAACAGAGTACCTGGAAACATGATGAGAAGAGTTTATAGAGAGATTGGTTCAGCAGACGGAGGTGGGGTGCTCCCTTAACCACAGAAACCTTTACTGATGAGGTTTCTGCACCTAACTGAGGTTTCTGCCCAGTCACATCATGTCCATTGTAGGATGAGATACGCCATCTGTGAAGGCCATCTGAGAAGGTCCTAAGGCCCTGTACTAACATACTGCAAGCAAGTCCAGCCCTCCCTGCATAGATACAACCCATTGATCAGAGTCCCAGGCAGTGTTCCCACTGCTGTGGAGACTGTGGCTACAGAGGTCCTTGGCATGAATTTCCCCGGAGAACTCTTTTCCTCCTGTCTCCACATACTCCCTTTTCTACTAGGCTTGTCCTCTTCTTTCCAGCAACAAAACGAAACTTGGTATGGCTATGGTTCCTATGTGAAAATGAGCAGGGATTCAGACAAGGCTGTTGCCTTGGTAGGGTGGGCCCCCTGAATTTTTTTTACTGTGAGCCATGAAGACCTTCCAGAGAGAACTCATTATAAGGGATGATGAAACCTAACACCCTGAGCTATAAGAGCTGCTTGGGACCAGTGATTCTGAGGACAGGATGGTGTCTTTTAGCTAGAGTCGTCTCCTGGCTGTCCCCCATTGGAATCGTTGTGGGTCTGGTGTAGGGCTGGGGTTTGCTGTCACAGTACAAGGTAACAAGGCTAATCAAGACAAGAGAGAGAAATGATTATGGGGCAGTTAACTGGACATGCATGTGACATACCCCTAAGAACTATGACACGACTATTGGACATATTTACAGCACTCTCTTTCCATGAGTGGGGACAGGAGTGTGGTACACCTGTGAGAACTGGCTCAAATGAGAGCTGGTGGCATCTGAGTTGTTATTGTTGTGTAATTCAATTTGTACTTCAGGATGAGAAGCCCTGGAAAAATCAAGGCCCCACTGTCCAATCAGAGGCTCCCCAGGATGCACCGTGCACATGGTTTAAAACCAACATCATTTCCACCATGTGGTCTTGGGTTGGCAACATCACCACCACCTGAGTTCCCATTAGACATGCAGACTCTCAGACCGCACCTCAGACCTACTGAGTCAGAACCTCCACTTAAGAGACCCCCTGAGCTTCCTCTGCACATCCAAGTTTGAGGGGCGCTACTCCATAGCAGTGGTCCTCAGTGTTGGCCACACAGCAGAACAACCCTGGGAGCTTTAAAAACTCCTGATGCCTGGGTCCTATTCCTAGAGGTGTTTGCACTTATGATCCCGAATACAGGTATGTTTTAGCTTATGCAACAGAAATATTTATGAAAAATAATGTGCAATGACATGTTAGTAGCTTGAACCATATTTTCATAGCTATATTAACATTTCAAAAGCCCTTTAAGTCTATTCCTTCTGTTAATATTTTATGTCATATTAACATAAGACATACTTACTATTTTAAGAATCTTTTGTTGTAAAGCACCTATTTATAAAGTAACAGCCCCACCTAACTTTTCCGAGATTAAATTTTCATACACTAGGCTTCTTTGACATGAAGGTTTATCAGACACCTCACACGTATGTTGCATGACCTTGTCACTTTAAGTATCATATTCTCGTATTTAAATCTCAGACCCAGCCATAATAAATTCTCCCCTTCTCCCTGTGTGCCTGAAAATGTCCGTCTGTGACAGCACCTTCTTTATTTGCCAATGTCCCTCTGTTAAAGCACCTTCTTCATTTGCTCTGCCACAAATTGTGTTCTGTGGTCTATTTATTTGCCTCCCACTAGACTTTATGTGCCTTGAGGAGTGACACAATGTGAGCATCTCAATGTCATGTCCATACAAGGTACTCAACAGATGCTTGCTGAGTGCATGATGGGTGGCCAGGTGTGCAAAGGAATGGTGCCAAAGGGAGATGTGGGATGTCCTCAGTGCCTCCACCACCTGGTCAGGGAGGCCACATTGCCCTAGTCGAGCACTGTTGAGAGCCGGGTAAGCAAATCTCCCCCTGCTTCTCCTGCCTGCCCCCTTCTCTCCCTGCTGGACTCCATAGCAGTGGCCCTGCTCCTATGTAGGGGAGCTGCTGTCGTTTACCTGTGGGCACAAGCTTCAGTCTCTGCAGTGCTCCTTGGCTCTCACTCAGGGGCCTGGGTTTTCCTTTTCTATTGTGCAGAGCTGTATTGTCACCTTCTCTCTCCTTTTTGTTTTGGAGAAAAGAAGACAACCCCCTCCTCCAACATTCCATCTTTCCTCAAACATCTCCAAAGAAGGTGTCCAAATAGGGAAGACCCAGCTGAATCAAAATCAATGTGCTAGACAGGATTTGTGGCCACAAAGTCCATGTGGCCAAGACTTCCTCTGATTTGACCAGGCAGAATTAGGTCATCAATCAACGGGGAGTCATCTCAGGACAATGCTGGGATGATGATCAAAACCGCCACTTCGCACAAATTTGATTTTGAAGTTAGTGCTTTGAATGTCTTAACCAATACTTATTGACGGGAGGAGGGAAAGGGAAGGAAAAAGGAAGGAAGAAAGGGTGGAAAGAAGGACAGGAGGGTGGAGAGAGGAGGGGAAGAAGGAAGTTGTTCTTATACTCAGAAAACATTTTTGCCCATGAAACCAAGTGTTGCATTACAAGGAAAAAATTGGAAAATGCCCTGTGGTGGAAAACTATACATGGAGTGATGAGTAGAATAACTTATTCTCTAAATAGCTGACATAACAGAAAATATCACCAAACAGTGTTGCTTTCCGCAAAGAATATGTTTGTATTGGATTACAGAGAGGAGGCTAGAAGAGCAGGGTCATCCTAACCTTCTGGCTTGACTGATGGAATTCAACTTTGCAGTGTGGGAAACAGAAACTCTGATGTCTGTGTTTTTCTTTAATGTCTCATTCTATCATTGGTCCTTTTCTTGTTAATAATTTTTAAAATGTAGTTAACGACTGGATTTTCCATTCGAAATGACATACTTTCCCCTACCTCAAGTGTAGCTTCATTTTTTTGGTTGATGATACAGCCCTTATACAAAACAACAGAGTACTCCCCTTTGCCTTTGCTACGTTAGTGTTTCCTCTTCTACCTCCAAGAGGTATCAGAGGATCAGGCAGAAGCAAGGTTAAAAACCACGCATTGACTGTACATTGAAAAATAAGAGAAATGCCCAAAGAAAAATCTAGAAGTCTTCTAATCAAGGCAGCATGCATCTCTCACATCTACTTCTCCAGGCTGGTGTGTACCACTCCTTGCCCTCTGGTTCCCTCACTCGCTTGTGTGTGACCCTGTGGCAGGACCACAGGAAGTGATGGGTGAACCCAGGGAGCCTTGGGGTACCAGCTTACCTCGGATATGAGGGAGAATTGGAACAGATGTCCCCCATCCACACCTACACCCTGCAATCATTCTGTCAGAGTGCAGGTCTGATGCCATCGTGCTCCCATTCAAGCCTCTGTTGCCCCTCACGTGCCAGCCCTCCATAACATCTCCTCCTGCCCATTCAGCCTCATCCTTCAATGCCTCCTCATCAATGAAGGGCAAGGATCCTTCTCTCAGTTTCTCAAATTCTCCACTCTCTCCCCTGCCTCAAGGCCTTCACTCCTGAGCTTCTGCAGAGGAAGCTCTGCTCTTCTCCAGCTGACTCTAGTTTAAGTGTCACTTCCTGAAGAAAACTTTTCCTAACCCCCAAATTTGGTCAGATACCCCTGCTTTATGTACATATATCACCCTGTACATCTATCTCCCGGTGCTTATGATACTGGAAAGTAATAGATTCATTGGCGAATTCATTTCAACGTATATTTTGCTTACCAGATGGTAAGCTGCGTAAGAGCTGAGCCCATGTTTCTCTTGCTCAGCATTATAAAACCAGCCCAGCACCTCGTGCATAACAGGCACTCAGTAGATATCTGTTGCTGTTGTTGTTGAATAAACAAATAAATAAAGTGGCATTTTGATCCCAATGTTGGTTTCCACAATGGTGCCCATTTCTCAGGATACATCTTAGGCTCTGATCATGTGTGCAGCAGGGAAAAAGCATCTGTGATGGTAACAGAAGATCAGAGCCCTGAAATAAACAGGAGCTTTTGTACACAGCACAAAGGATAAATGTAGTTTTAGAAAGAATCATGGAAAGATATGAAGATGGGGAGAAGTAGACAAGAAATACTAAGTGCAGCAAGTATAAGGAGCACAGCACCCTGGCTCTGTGCCATCGGAGGGCCTCTGAGGAGGACCTGGGTGGGGCCTGCTGGAAGGATGGAGGGGGAAGGAACTCTGGCCAGTGGCAGAGGCACAGCTGGAAGCCTCTGATATTAGCACAACAAATTCATCCATCCAGGTCAGCCCAGGCAAAGTCCAGGGCCAGATTTAGATGCTAGAGAAAAGGTGGACTTTCCTAAGGCCAGGAATAAAGAACTGCTAGCAAGAGAGGAGGCAAGGAAGAAAGTGAACTGTCAGAACTCTGACATTAAAAATAAAATCATAAAGTGAATGTATGTGACTAACAGGCCAGCACTGGAGTCAATGTTAAAAGGCCATTTATTTTTCCATATCACAAAACACAAATTACTAAATTTGCAATATGAATGCTTTATTGTACTCTAAAAATTCTGAATTCTTTAGACTGCTCTTTTCCTGTTCCAAAAAAGCTATTTTAAAAGCTCACATTAGAATATTTTATAACTCTTTTATCCCTCCTGAACATCTGTGAACTGGAAAGAATATAGTATACTACAGAAACAATCCATTTAAAGAAAAACAATTAAAATGAAAACTACTTCCATTTCTGTGGCATAAAACTCTAATTCTCTCTCCTTTGCAATTTTATTACCAACCTGACATGATATAGTCACAGCTTCACTTACACACAATGTTAATTTTACTCATATGCTACTTAATCTTCAAAACATTGCAGAATAACATTTTTCTTTAGTAATTTATCATTTACTAGGATAAGGCAATGTGTTTAGAGGATGTTAGAGTTTTTTAAAAGTTTGCATTTATCTCAGTCCTGAAATGTGCTCTGGGTGCTATTAAAATATATCATTTATACACTTTCACATTTAACTATATTAACTATACCTTAACTAGACATTTATTAAGAGCAGCATATTTATTTCCCATTCAGGACTTTTTAAATCTGCAAAGTCAGCTCTATGGAAATGAACAATTTTTGCCGGCCTTACACTGTGTAATAGGTTAAACTGAGCAGAAACCTTGGGCTCCATTGTAGTGGGATACACAATTGCATATCTTTTCTAAGCTTCCTAAATCATTCTCTCTTGCAGAACTTCTCATCATTCCACCAGCTGCCAGGGATATGTTATGAACTCTAAATAAGTTCATGACAGCTCTCCATTCACTCATTCATTCATCATTTATCAAATATCTTCTACATATAGAGATTGAAAGATGAACACATCTGACTTCAAGATCCTTCTCTTGAGGTGTATAATGAAAGCCTCATTTCCTCTTGCTAATTTTATTTTTACTTATATAAAAATATAACACATGTGCACATAGCTTTGTAAGCTTTCCAAAGGCCAGCACTTTTAAATTTTAGCCATTTATTTGAGTTTTTACCTTCATAGCTTTGAATACTATGTTTCTACTGCTATTTTTTGATTTTTCAGTTTTGTTTTATTTTATTTTGAGACGGAGTCTCGCTCTGTCAGTCAGGCTAGAGTACAGTGGCGCGATCTCAGCTCACTGCAACTTCCACCTCCTGGGTTCAAGCAATTCTCCTGCCTCAGCCTCCCAATTAGCTGGGATTACAGGCATGTGCCACCACACCTGGCTAATCTTTGTATTTTTAGTAGAGACAGGGTTTCACCATGTTGGCCAGGCTGGTCTCGAACTCCTGACCTCAGATGGTCTGCCCGCCTCAGCCTCCCAAAATGCTGGAATTACAGGTGTGAGACACTGCACCCAGCCATGATTTTTCAGTTTTAGATAGCATCCACTGATTCTCAGTTATGGAAGATACCGGTTTTATTTTCTTATACTGTCTCCTCCCCACACACACCAAACACTTGCCCTCCCCTTGAACATCCCAATATATATAGCATTATGATGAATAAGTAAATATTAATCATAGTTAAGCCTTAGTAGTAAAATATAATTCCATTTCCTTTTTCATATAGCTGTTTGCTTTCCCTGGAGATTATAATTGCTTTGTTTTCTCATTTGTATAATTAATGGGACCCTAAATCCTCTGACAGAACTGTAAAATCTCCTCTGGGAACGTTCAAGTACACCAGGTTGTTGCTGCTGCTTCTACTTCTTTAACACCTAGAGAAACGGTTCCTGAAAGTATCATGTTTTCTATTTCTTTAAGACATTAACCTTGGAGTCTTTTGTTCCCCTGCCACCATCTGGACTGGTCGCTCCCTAGGCCTGTTAACCTGTCAGGCTGAGACTTCTCTCTACTCTCATCCTGGAAATGTCCTTTATCTCTCTCCTGTGTTGGATTCCTGTTTCCCCAACCCTAGGTCTTTTTCTTCCTTGACTTCTACCCTGTTTTAGTGGAGTACATCCTCCAGTAGCTTCCTGAGAAGGGTACATGAGAGGCACAAAGTGCCTCCAAATCCTGAGCCTTTCTAGGGAGCTGTGGTACAAATAGCTTGTTTTTAATTGGCTTCTCCCCCATGGGCTTAGGTTTCAGCTTTTCCCAGCATGACAAAATCATCAAGGTGATCAGCCATCAAAATTTTGTTGAAATCTCTTATCTGCTGCAGTCTTCTCTCTAGTTCTTTTAGTCTTTGTGAGTTTAGGCCTTTTATGTTATTTTAGAGGCATTTCTGGAGGGAACGGAGATAAACACATGTGTTCCATTTACCATGTTTAGCCTGCAGTATAGTAATTTCCTTTTACAATACTGGAATTTAGTCCTGCAAATATGACTATTCCTCTAGTCTTTCATTTACTCAAATATAGAGAGAGCACCTACTATATGCCAGGCATGATTCTATACCCTAAAGATACAGCACTAAACAAAAACAACAGAACTCCCTACCCTCATGGAGCTTACACCCTAGAGGAGGGAGGGATGGACAATAAACAAAATAATGACTGAAATATATACCAAGAAAGGACAAAAACATTGAGTGACTTAGGGCAAACCTGAGAAAGTCTGATATTTACCCTAAATTGGGTCTTCTTTGACACAAGGTCTTATTCTGTCATCCAGGCTGGAGCGCAGAGGTGTGATCATGGCTCACTGCAGCCTCGACTTCCTGGCTCAAATGATCCTCCCCGCCTCAGCTACCCAGGTAGCTGGGATTATGGGCACAAGCCACCATATCTAGCTTTACTTTTTATTATTTTTATTTTTTGTAGAGGTGGAGTCTCATTGTATTATTCAAGCTGGTCTCAAACTGCTGGCCTCAAGTGATCCTCCTGCCTCAGTCTCCCAAAATGCTGTATTACAGGCATGAGCCACTGCATCTGGCCTAAAATAGCCTCCATTTCTTATCCTACCCTTTAGTTTTAGTTTGTGCTTGTGCTTCTAATTAGAAACAGGGTGATGGAAACAAACACTGCAATGTTTAGAATGAACACTTCTAACATATTCTCAAGTTGCATTTCCCTGTTCAGTGTATTTTATAATCTTTATTTCATCTGCTAATTATAACAATATAAATCACAGACTGTGAGCCTAGCTTGCAATACAGCTTAATTGAATGTAATATGTTTTCAAAGGAAAAATTCAAATTCATTATAATTTGAAACTCCATTTTTTTTTAAAGGAAAGTCCCAGTTTTCTTAGCACAGGCATATTTACTACAGTATCACTTTGTTCAGTTTCAAAAGCTGAAATTTTAGGAAAACAGGAATGGACGGGAACAGACCTTTCAATGCTAATGTCACCCATTTCTAGCTAGCCAGATGAGGAAAGAAGAAGAAACAGCAGCAACAGTTAGGGGAATTGTGGCCAGAGGTCGACTGAAGCTGCAGAGCCACTACTAAAACAATGGTATGCTAGTGAACATGCAAGAATTTGACAGATGATGCTAAGGGTCAAATAAAAGTGAATTAACACAGGCAGTAAATGATGTAGAGGAACCAGCAGGCAGGGAGAGAGGGAAAAAAATCAACATGGAAAACTTTGAGCAGCAGCAGGCCAGAAAGAGCAAAGGCGGAAAAAGAAAGAAAGAACAGCCAAGGCTCTTGGGACTCTTCCACAGCGATTCCTAAATGTTGAGCTAAAATTGGCTGCTTGGATGAAGTCATCATTACCAGTTCAGTTTAAACCTTTTTATAGAGGAAATTAAGATGTTGTAAAATCATTTAAAATGTTTCTTATATTTCTCTATCCTTTAGTTTTGTTTTGTTTTTGTTTGTTTTTTTAAGAAACTGAGGGTGAAGTTTCATATAAACATGAGTTGAAGAAGTAAAATGGACCTTGGGGAATCACCTGGCCCAGGTCTCCTTTTTTTGTACTTTAGGAATCGAGGTCCAGGTTAAATTGGTGAAGGTGAACACCACACAGTCTTTTCTAGTTATTTGTAGCTCTCCCACTAGACAGGTTGGGTCTGATTCACCAATGGTGTCCCTGCCATCAGCCAGCACTCGCCTAGCCCAGCACAGCTGAAGTGCTCAGTAATATTTTTGTTGAATGAGAAATTGCAACTCACTGTTTCTATTTGGGGTTATTCCTCAATGGCCTGTCTTACAAAGGACTGTCCTATTCCCTCTAACTCATGATTTCTAGCACACGAAGAACTAATGGTTATTAATAGGGGAAGAAATGTATGCAGTGTTACAACTGAAATTTAAGAAAGTCTCTCCTATCAGTCAGAAAGAGAGAGAGCCCTCCAGAGACCATAGCTCCAGAGATCTGTGGCACCCGTCCCCCACCACACACAGGCGGCCCCCAGGGTGCCACAGTGGCCCTTGTGAGAGCTGCTCATCCACAGAGCTGGCCAGTGACTCGTGTAGCTTTAGGTTCATTGCCTTACTTTTCGATGACCACTTTTTCTTCTGTTAACTGGAAGTCCGTGTTTCTAAGTCCTAAGGGGTTATTACGTACACTTAATACAGAGTTTCGAGAGCTGGCAGAGAAACTAACCAAAGTCTCTGATTGAGCACAAATGATGATATAGTATTGGTCAGTACTGTTTTCAATTTGGTCCAGATCTCCCTGCCAATCTTTTGACAGCTAGTAATGCGTTGTGATCAGGAGAAGGCTTAAATATACCAAGTAGCAGATACCCACACATAATCCTGTTGAAGCAGCACAACAATCTTCTAAAATAATGTTACTATACTCTGTCCACATCTAAAGGAATGAAGGCTTGGGCACGATAAGACCTTTCTCAAAAGCATGCAGAAGCTCAGGTTCAAACCAACGGTTCGGTCTGATTCCAGCACCCTTCCTACACTGCGCACATTCCCATTAGCAGAAATTCAGTCAAATTGAAAACATTATCAGGGCCAAGCAGGTGGCTTTGGGGTTGGGAGAAAGATTTACAGACCCTTTGGAAAGGCTGGTCTTTGGAATTGGCAAGATCTGTCCTGAGCTTTTCTTGGCTGTCTCTCTGACCAAATGTATCACTATGTAATCTATACAGCAGTGTTTTAACGGACAGAGCTCTTACCTGTAATAAATTTTCTTCGAACTCGTATGTGCTAAGAAATGCCAATAAACTCAGTTGAAGTAATTTCTTACCCACAGCACATACATTTGCACAGAAGGACCCTAGATCTTATGAACAAGAGAAGAACAGCCCACAATGTCTGCACAGAACAGCCATTACATGCAAAATGGCCATTTGAAAAAGAAACATTTGACCCTTCCATTGATTGAACTTTCCTTCCAAGTGCCCTTCAGAGAGTACTGAGCTGGTTGCCAGGAAACAGAGATTCTTTTCTGGAATCATTTCTCGCCATTCTAAGTGACTTGGAGTGTGTCACTTATTAGAATCTTGGTTCCCAACTTACAATGGGGGTGTTCTTCCTCTCAGGCTTCCTCCACCAAGAAACCTCAAAAGATTAGATTCAGAATATATCTGTAAAGAGTTACAAGATTATGGCCAGGCACAGTGGCTCACGCCTGTAGTCCCAGTACTTTGGGAGGCCAAGGTGGGTGGATCACAAGGTCAGGAGTTCAAGACCAGCCTGACCAATATGGTGAAACCCCGTCTCTACTAAAAACACAAAATTTAGCTGGGCATGGTGGTGCGCACCTGTAGTCTCAGCTACTCAAGAGGCTGAGGCAGAAGAATCACTTGAACCCAGGAGGCGGAGGTTGCAGTGAGCTGAGATCCCACCACTGCACTCCAGCCTGGGCAACAGAGTGAGACTCTGTCTCGAAAAAAAAAAAAAAAAGTTACAAGATTATTATGAACATATGAAACAATGATTTTTTTAAATTGTACATTATAATGGAGCTATTTTCAAATATGTCATTTAAAAGATGCTCAGTGACAGCAATTGAAATTGCTAAAAAATATCATCCACATTGGTTCTATGTAAATGTGAAGCCTCCCTTGTGGTTAACATATGTTTGAGGGAGCCTGGAGTTCTGGAACAAGCTTGGGTGAAGTGATCGAAATTCATTAGCTCTGTGACATCACTCACTAGCTCTGTGATGTAGGGCCAGTGTCTCCACCCGCCAGGGCTCGATTTCCTAACTCGAAGTGAGAGCTTGGGTGAGATAATCTTAAAGGCCCCTTATAACCCTTCTCTTATCCTGTAATTGTGTCACTTCTTTCTGATCACACAAAAGCACACAAAGCCCTTGGCCTCAAGTATTTTATAGTCCAGAGGGGGAGTTAAAGAACAAACAAGTAAACAAATGAATGAGTAGCATCATTACGCACTGTGATAAGTGCCATGAAGAACTGGACTCGTGGTGATGCAGTACAAACAAAGGTGACAGGGATAATAAGGACAGGAAGGTGCAGAGGGCTAGAGGGAGTCTTGCTAATTTGCCTCATTTCTCATAGCAGGGTGTCGAAAAATATTGCTTGAACTTGAAAAAGCAAGAAGGTTTCAATATATTAAAAGTTACTGGGGGCCAGGCACAGTGGCTCACACCTGTAATCCTAGCACTTTGGGAGACCGGATCACTTGTGGTCAGGAGTTTGAAACCAGCTGGCCAACATAGTGAAACCCCATCTCTACTGAAAATACAAAAATTAGCCACACATGGTGGTGCACGCCTGTAATCCCAGCTACTCGAGGGGCTGAGGCAGAAGAATCTCTTAAATCTGGGAGGTGGAAGTTGCGGTGAGCCAAGATCATGCCTCTGCACTCCAGCCTGGGCGACAAGAGTGAGACACCATCTCAAAAAAAAAAAAAAATTTACTGGGGTATCATTAGAATAATAAAAACCAAATGTCAATCTTAAAAACTTGTAGAAGATAAATACATTTACTCAGAGCATAAAGCAATAAAACCTAAGCCATAGAGAAAACAACAAAAAAGGAAGAGTAAAATAGTAAGTTGTTAGATGATAGAACTAAGTTCAGAAATAGTTTAGCAGTACACGTAAATGGGAAACTCCCCTTTTTAAAAGAAAAACACTTTCAGATTGATATAAATCTGAAATAATATATATCTTATCTGAAATAAGATATCTGAATATATATCTTACCTGAAATAAGATATAAATCAGCCACATTACACATTCAAGAAATACATTTATAATAAAATTACTCAGAAAGGTTGCTAGTAAAAGGTAAAGCAAAGACATGGAAATTAGGTGCAAGCAAAAAAATAACAAGGATCATAATATTAAATTCAAGACAAAAAACACACTATACAAATCAAAGATGGACAATTTATAATGGTAAACACAATTTAGTGAATTTTCATGCAGCAAATAGCATTACTTCAAAATCCGTAAAAGAAAAACTGCAATAAAAACAAAGAGAAACAGACAAAAAGGCAACTGTGGTGAGCACTTTTTCAGGCCATGACAGATCAAGTAGACAAAAAAGAATGCCACTGACAACTTAAATCCCATAGTTAATAGGGTGGAGTGTGTGCACACATAAGTGTGTATCTCTATATCTATATTTGTACATATCTATACCTCTAAACCTTGAATACAAAGAATATGCCCATTATATAATTGTCCTTGAAATATTGATCAAAATAACCCTATTTATAAGAGACAAAAAAATCTTAACCACCTGGAAACTAAGAAGTTATCTCTTTAACTCTTGGTCCATAGAAAAATTAAAACAAAATTTAAAATGCAATATCTAGAAAATATTGATAATGCAAGAATCATGTATCACAATCTTTGGGATATTGCCTCTCACCACATAGTTCTACTAACTAGTGTTGTGAAACATAAAAGAATGAAAATAATTAATAGGAACAGTCATTCTGGCAAGTTATAAAAATAATAATAAATATAACTAAATATGGCAAAAGGAATTAGTTTTTTAAATGGAACTAAAAATGGATCCAAAAGATGGTACTTGGGATAAATAAACAAAAAAAAAACACAATAAAATAGATAACAAACCATTAGCCAACCTAGTCAAATAAAAAGATGAAACAGCATATACAAAATTAGAAATGGGTAAGGGAAGTAACCACAAATAGAGTAAAATGTTAAAATAAAATAGAAAACCAACAAATAAATCCATGAGCTACTTCTCTGAAAACAGAACAAAACAGAAAAACTGCTGGCTAAAATAATTAAGAAAAGAATATGAACATAGGCTAATACAAAATCAAAATAGTACATTGGGAACTGTTTTGTATGTATACAAAACAAAATAATTTTGAGATATTTCTTTGCTCAGCTCTACTGAAATAAAGTTGAAAACCTGAATGAAATGGATAGCTTTCTAGAAAAACATAAACTACAAAAACCAATCATAGAAGTTACAGAAAATCTAAATAACCAATGATTAGAGGAAAAAAATAGCGTACATTATCAAAAATCCAACTCGCTCAAAAGCACTAGAATCAGACACTTCACAGGTGCAAAGAATGTTTTAAAGAAAAGATCATTCCAGGACTACTTAAACTGTTCCAGGCCACAGTAAAAGAAGAAAAACTTTCAAATTAGTTTTTGAAGCTAACAAGATATCAATTCCAAAAATCGACAATGATAATATACACACAGAAAAACTATAGTCCAAAGTTATCTATTAATATCAAGGCCAAAAAACCCACTTAAATAAAGTGTTAGCAGAGAGAATCCAGTACACATTAAGAGAATGCTACCTCTTGATGAGAATTTCAAAGACCGTTGCTGAGAGTAGCTGGTGAGAATGTAGATTCGGGAGCCAAACTGCCTGTGTTCAGATTCCGGATCTGGTACTCACCAGGTATAGGACCTCGGACACATAATTATTTAACTTCTCTGTGCTTTAGTTTTCTCATTTTTCAGGTGGGGTTAATTATAGTATATTGAGAGGATTCCATGAATTAACACATGTAAAGTGCTTAGAATAGGGCCTGGAACAAAGTAAACACAGAATAAACATTACCTATTTATTTTCCAATACCGGAAAAAGCTATGACTATAGTTTAACATACTAATAGATCAAAAGAGAAAAATCGCAATTGCTTCCCTGGATGCTGAAAACTTATTTAATTATCTAACATTCATTGTAAAATTTTTATCCAACTTTTAACAAAATATTATTGAGGATGCTTTCATAACATATTAACTCAATAAAATAACAAGATCATTCACCAAAGCCTGAATCATACAGAATGCAGAAGCCCTAGAAGCCTTCCTAATTCAACTCAGGAGCAAGACCAAGATATCCATTCTTCCTGCTGTTATTTGACAGTGTTCCAGATGTAGTAGCCATTACAACAGAACAGGTGAAAGAAGTAAGTGGAAGCATGGGAAGAGGGTGGGCAAAATTACTACTTGCAGAGAGTACAAAAAGATAATCAATCGAAAAATTACTATAGCAGGTAAAAGAATTCAGAAAATTGATGGGTATGAAAATAAGATACAAAATATACACAGATTAGAAAACAAAATGAAAAAAAAATACTCATTTATAAGAAGAAACTGAAAAATATCCAGGAATGAACTTAACAAGAAATGTTGAAGTTGTGCATGAAGAAACTTTAAGATGCTACTAAGGGACACAAAAGAAAACCTGAATAAATGGAAATGCTAACCTTGTTATTGGATAGAAAGACTTAATAATCATAAAAAGTCAATTCTTCTTAAATCAATCTAAATAGACCTATTTAATGCAATCTCAATAGAAGTACCAACATGGTAATTTTCAATTCCAGACAGATTTTCAATTTTCTACACAAAAGTAAACATGCTAGTGTGTCTAGAAAATTCTGAAAAAGAAGAGTAATGGAGCATACTTGTCCTAGCAGATGCTAAAATGCATGATAAATTTGCTCTATTTCTTATAACGAGATTTTGGCAAATGAACAGACCAATCAGTGGAATGAGTACAGACTCCACAAATAACACACTCAAGTTCAAACAGGAATTTAGTTTACAACAGTGACATTGTATATCGGTAAAGAGTAAATGGGCCATCAGTAAGCAGTGTTGAGACAAGTGGAGAGCCATTGGGAAGCAAAATAAAGCTGTATCAGTACCTCTCTCCTTATACCAAATTAAATGTTAGAAAGGAACCACAAGACTATAAACCACAAAAGTACTAGAAGAAAGCAAGGAATATTGTTTTTCATTTTTAATAATCTTGAATTGACATAGAACCCAGAAGTCCCTAAGAAAACGCATGATTATATTTAACTATATAAAAATAAAAAATGGCTCCATGGCATAAAACACTTTAAACTGAATCAACAGAAATGACAAAATGGGGAAAAATAGTTAAAATTCTTACAACAGAATATACATGTGTGACATACAAAAGTTAATTCCTGATATGTAAAAATAACCTACAAAAAAAGTTCAACAACCAATAGAAAAATCGGTCAAAGGAGATAAACAAACTTCAAAGAAACACACGTGGTACTTACACATATGAAAAGGTGCACGGCCGGGTGCAGTGGCTGTCACGCCTGCAATCCCAGCACTTTGGGAGGCCAAGGCAGGTGGATCACAAGGTCAGGAGTTCGAGACCAGCCTGACCAACATGGTGAAACCCCGTCTCTACTAAAAATACAAAAATTAGCTGAGCCTGGTGGTGTGCACCTGTAATCCCAGCTACTCAGGAGGCTGAGGCAGGAGAATCGCTTGAACCTGTGAGGTGGAGGTTGCAGTGAGCGAGGATGGTGCCATTGCACTCCAGCCTGGGCGACAGAGCAAGACTCCATCTCAAAAAAAAAAAAAAAGGTGCTCAATCATAAGAAGAGAAGTGGGAATTATAGGTCTGAAGATTATAGCATTATTTTTGCCTATGAGGCAAAAATTTCAAAACTTGTCAACACACTATACAGGTGAGCATATGTAGGGAGTCACTGGCACTCTTGAACATTGTTGACAGGAGTGAGAATTGGTGCAACCTCTAGAATGCAATCTGTCAAAATTAAAAATATACAAACCTAGGCCGGGCACAATGGCTCATGCCTGTAATCCCAGCACTTTGGGAGGCTGAGGCGGGTGGATCACTTTAGGTCAGGAGTTCGAGACCAGCCTGGCCAACACGGTGAAACCCTGTGTCTACCAAAAATGTAAAAAATTAGCTGGGTGTGGTGGCACGCACTTGTAATCCCAGCTACTTGGGGGATTAAGGCAGGAGAATCACTTGAACCCAGGAGGCAGAGGTTGCAGTGAGCTGAGATTGTGCCACTGCACTCCAGCCTGGGTGACACAGCAAGACTCCATCTCAAAAGAAAAAAATATATATACAAACTTTGGCCTGGCAACCTCACTTTTAGAAAATCTTCTATTTGCCAAAATAATGAAAGATGTATCTACCACACTGCCCAAAGTACAAAACTGGAAATAGTCAAAAAACCATAAACAGAGAAGTGATGAAATAATTTATGGCATATCCTTATAAAGAAGTATATGTGTTGATATGAAGAAACCCCAAGATATGTCATTAAGTTAAAATCATGTGTGTGTGTGTGTGTGTGTATGTATATACAAATATATGTTTGGAAAATCTCTGAAAGGTACATATGAAACTATTGTTGGAGGTTAATTATAGGAAAGAATTGTTATATACTATTTTGTGCTATGTAATTTTTTTTTACTGTGTAAATGTTATTTAATACTAAATAGTAATCTTTTTTTAATTTTTATTTTTTTGGTGGAGTCTCACCCTGTCGCCCAGGCTGGAGTGCAATGGCGCGATCTTGGATCTCTACAACCTCTGCCTCCCGGGTTCAAATGATTCTCCTACCTCAGCCTCCTGAGTAGCTGAGATTACAGGCGCCTGCCACCACGCCCAGCTAATTTTTGTATTTTTAGTAGAGATGGGGTTTCACCATGTTGGGCAGGCTGGTCTCAAACGCCTGACCCCGTGATCTGCCTGCCTCGGCCTCCCAAAGTACTGGGATAACAGGCATGAGCCACCACACCCAGCCACTAAATGGTAATTTTTAAAATGATGAAACAAAAATAAAAAAGATAAGGACTCAGGAGTAATTTTATAAGGGATTCTAAGTACATGAAAGACTGTCCACCATGGACAGTGGCTAGCCATTCTCAATTTTCATAGAAGATATCCTCTCCAACAAAAAGAAATAGTGATTAAACATGAATATATATATATATATTTGGATTGGAGAAAAAGAATAATTTCCTGGTGGAGGTGAAGGAGAGTTGTAACATCCTCTGAAAGGCTTTGAAAGGAGGGTTTGAGTCTGGGGTTGGTGGTGGGTGAATGGGGGAGAGGAGGGCCCTGGTGGCCCAGGGAGGCCTCTTTCCACCCCTGGATGCTGTGACTCTCTTTCCAGCAACGACACCTCTCTGCTGGCTGACAGTTTAATGAGCATTTTACCCAGGGCATTCACGCCAGTAGGAAATGTTGTGAGATTTACAAGTGCCCATTAGTTAAAAGTTCTCAGAGCCACTGTAGATTCAGCACTGCATATAGTTTCTGTTTGGGACTTCCTTTTGCTTCCAGTGTTGGAGATCCAGCATAAAAAAGGGCCGCACCTCAGGGAGCTTCTGTGTTCTCTTAAGCATTCTAAACAGCCATGGGTATGAAATAGTGAGCTCCTCATAGTTGATAAATTATAAAACCCCACCGCTCTCCCACAGAGAGCTCTAGCCTATAAGGTAAAAATGTGGTTCCCTCCATAAATGAATGATCCAGGATACTTCAGTGATGATGGGGAGCATATGGAGAATAAATAAGCCAGAGTAAGCAGAAAGTCAACTGAGTCCGGGTGGCTGCTGTTGGTCTCTGCTGCAAAGCGTACTCCATCATTCATCCTCTTGGTCAGTGCTTCTCAAATTCTGGTCCCTGGACCAGCAGCATCAGCATCATCTGGAAACTTGTAAGCAATGTAAATGATCAGGACCTTCTCCAGAACTGCTGGATCAGAGATTCCTGAGGTGTGGGCTGGCAATCTGTACCTTGAGAAGCTCTCAAAGCCAGTGCTCAAGTTTGAGAACCACTACTTTAGGCTTCTGGAAGAAGACCACCAACAGGAATGAGCACTGGCTGGACTCTGTATCCTTCCCTTCAAAGGAACCCAAGGTGACCTTTCAGCTTCATGGTGCCTCTTCAGCTCTGGCTGTTCATTGGCTACCTGCATCCCCTAAAAGGAGCATCCTCTGATGATATTGGTGACCTCACAGAAGGCACAGCCATTCCGGCTCCTGTGCCTGGTGTGGACACATTCCAGAATGTCAAGGGAAGCAAAGTTGACCCTATGGTCTTATGCTAGCCACGATAATATCTAGCATCCCAAGGATATACCAGTGACTGTAAGGCACTAAATCTCACCATTAAGGGCTGGAACCTTTGTGGTTCAAAAATCTCCTGTTAGGATGTTACCTTAAATAAAATCCTTGAAACCTTGGCCCATGTCAGTTTGCAGATTGTTGCTTCCATTTTCCTATCAGCCTAAGGATTTAGTTGTTATGAGAACAAAACAGGATGGGGGCAAGAGATGACAGGAGAGGAAGCCATACCCAACCACTGCAGTTCTGGTTCTGGGAGTCAGTAAATGTTCTTATTGTTGAGGTCAATTTGATTTGGATTTTCTGTTATTTGCTGCTAAAACACCCTACTGATAGTGACGGTTATTATTCCTTTGTGTATATGGGGAAACTGAGGCACAGAGAGGTTTAGCGACTTTGAGATCAAACTTTGTGACTTTGTGTAAATGTTAAGACCACAGCTCTGCAGTACAAACACCATCTTTCTGCATCAGAAATTTGCTGCCCAAAGTACACTGGGATAATTCCCCAGATTAGGAACTGGGGACACCACCCACCGCACCCGTACCTTGAGTAGCACTCAGCAAGGCTGAATTCAGAGCAAGCATTCAGAAGCAGCTCCACTCCCTCTGGCCCCGTGATAGGGAAAGCAGGGTTGTTTTGAGGCTGTAAGCCCCCCTCCTCCAACCTATCTAGTGAAGTTGCAAATCAGTGTTGCCTGGTGGATAGCAAATCAAGTTTCAAGGTTACAGACAATAGAGAAAGGAAAAAGGTAAATGGGAAATCATTTATCAAGACCATATTTAAAAGAAAAAAAAAAGCTCAGGTCAAAGATGTAACACAATCTCTTAGCTATGTTCCCCACTGGTGTTGGCAGAATCTCAGGGCACTGTGAGATTTAAATGCCACTTTCAATGGGTTTTGAGATTTGGGGTCAGATGGATCATAAATGTTCTCAGTTACAAAGTTTAATGCATTTTTTCTCCAGCTAAAAGGAATCAAATGGCTTGTTTTCCAGTGTGAAGACACCAACAACTTTGGGGGCTGCTGGGGGGCCTGGTTCCCTGATCTATACCTTGACTTTTTAGTTCATTACCTTTTAAGTTAGACATATATGTCCAGTTTAATAAGGAATGCAGTGTCTGGAGGAGTTCATAGTATTTGGGAAGAGATAAGATAAAAAAATCCCATTGTGAGATTGCAGGGTCGGGGTGGTCCACAGTCAGCGGTTCAGGATGTCTGATGTTAAGCTTGTTCTGTGCTGGGCGTTTATCCCCCTTCCTCAGAGGTGAGCAGGCTGAGGCTCAGAGAGTCTGAGAGTAGTGTCCAGGATCAAACTGCATGTTCCCAAGTGCCACATGACGTAGATGGTAGAAATGGGCAGGGGAGTGTAATAAATAAAAGGAATATATGACAAGGACACTGTCTCCACCTCCCACCACTGTGGCCACTGATAAACCCTGGCCTGGCCATGAGCCGGCTGATACTGGTGCAGAGTGGACTGGGCCACCCAATCCTGACCCGCATGACCTGTGCATAGCAGGGGCAGCTGGGCACCACATCTTATACCACCATATCCCAAGCAGGAGAACCTCCCAGGGACAGTTCACACATCACCAACCAAATAGCAACCATCAGAGACTTTGCTATCCTAAGGGCACAAATAGAGTTTGCAGTGTCTTGGCTTTGAAGGACCCACCCTAGTTCTCCCCACACCCCCTCCCGAGTCTGGGCATCTCATCCCCCAGAGCCTAGACACAGGTTCCCTGCTTAACAATAAAACTTTTCCTCATAGTGCTCAATCTTCGACTTCATACGCTTCATTTTTTCCTTACCTCCATCAACTAAATAACGCCCTCTTGCCCACTGCTGCCCCCATGGGCCAGAGGAAGGTACCAGAAGGACAACAGCTAGCTATGACTTTAGTTGAATCGAAGATACTTCCTGCCCTCAGCAACCTTTTCCCTTTCCAAATCGCATCTCATTGAACCCAAGAAAATGGACTCTTCCCATACAAATCCCCAAGTGCCTTGGGTGGAGGTGCGAAATATGCTCAGTGGGGCTATTTTAGGTCGCTGGAGCATAACCCTTTTTTCCACCAGAGAAATAAAACACATTGCCATTAAAACACACTGCCATTAAAAACACCATCAGACCTTTGGTAATCTCTGTAATAATAAATGGGGCGATTACATTTTACATTATTGCAGTGGATTTCATCCTGGCCCTTGAAAACTTGCTTTCAATTTTTGAACCAGAAAATACTTCTTGTGGCAGTGTATTCAAGCCATCATTTGAGCTAGAAGACTGATGATGATACAGACAGTTGAAGACCATTACAACTTCTGTTGCAGTTACTTATCTTCTCCATCCCAATTTCTCTTAATCAAATACCTGGTATTTAAAGGATAAATGCTTGAGGGGATGGATCCCCCATTCTCCATGATGTGATTATTACCCATTGCATGTCTATATCAAAACATCTCATGTACCCCATAAATATATACAACTACTCTGTACCCATAAATATTAAAAAGTAAAACATTAAAAACATATATCTGATACTTTGTCACTTCCTTTGGTAGCAGTTGAGGAAATCATACTTCCTGCAGGCTTAGCTGTTATTAATGTTGGCTTACATCTGACTTTCCAACATTTTGGGTATTGAATGAATACTTGCATACTGTACAAAGATCTGCAAAAGGACTTGTTCCTCATTTAATACATGTCCACTGTTCAGAAAATTAAACAGAAAAGCAACAGGACCATACCTTCTGGGTGGCACATCTAATAGGGAGGAAGGGAGTCTGACACTGCTCCGATGGTTCTTTATGCTACCTCCAGGCACTTTTGTAGTTAAAGATGGGGGCTGTCACCTGCCTACCCCTACCCTCCTGATGGCAGCTTGCACAGGTTGGGAGAAGCCAAAACAGCCTTATAGCCTTTCTGCAGGTTATCTGTCTTTCCTGGCACTATTTCTATTCTTCCTGGGTTTAGTTCTCTAACATCTCTTGCCAACAAGAAGCTCCTATCAGCTCACATAAGGATTCAAAGCTGTAAAACTGAGAAGCAAGTAAAAATGCCTACAAGACCATTAACCTCTTTGTACTTGCAGCCAGAGTTTTTGGATCCTAAGAACTAATTTAAAATCCATTTGTTCTTCATGTTTGGACTATGAGTCCCCAGAGGCTTAATCAGAATGAAAAAGAATCAAATGCCCTATCAGCAGCTCAGCCTCTGGTACCCAGCTCTTGCCTGTTGACCAGCAGGAGATTTAGATTTCCACATATTCCCTAAAATCACCTCAGAGGCAGAAAAGAAAAGGCTATCGCAAAATTCAGTTGCAGCTACTTAATGGAGGGAAGATGGGAATGGGCCAGTGAACTAAAGTGACCTATGTATGGTTCTAACAATCACCAAATGGGGACAACGCACTTTAGCTTCCCAAGTCAGGGTTTCAAAGTGAGTAGGTGGGATGGGCACCTTGAGGGTGCTACAGGCCACTATAAAATGAAACGTGATATGCAAGATTTCCTGTTGTAGGTAAGTTAATGAGGGCAGGTTAGAGTGAGAGTTAAAGGCTGTCATAGTAGAGGGTCTATCTGCCCAAACCAAGTGCAGACAGCAGGGCCCGGCTGCTTTTTATGGGCTGCATGAAACAAAAGACATCAAAACCATTGCTAGATTCATTGTCTAGCCCAGAGCCACAGTAACATTCTCATAATAAGGAACCAAAGGCTGAGAGTTTCCAATGGCTCGTGGAATGTGAGGCTCCAACCTTGTCCATTTAAGGGAGCCCTCTAGCTACTGAACATGCAGCTCTGAATCTGCATGGTTACCAAAGAACAGTAAAACCATCAGCCCCCAGGTACAGCTCAGCAAGGGGCAGGAAGCAGCTGCTGGCTTGATCTCTGGGAAACTGTAGAAGAAAATGTCCTGGCTGGGAACCTGGCTTGAAAAAGCAGTCTCCGCAGCGTAGCTCTTTTTCCTTCTCAGACATTCTTTCCACGCCAGCAGGCTCTGGAAACGTCAGTGAGGAAAAGGGAGGGAGTGCCTTGAAAAGTGCCTGTAGAATCCTTGGGAGCTGCTAATAATTGGGAAGGATGTTCTGAACCAGTTCATTTTTTAAAGTACTTTGTGATTTTTCATGATCCACCTAACTAAAGGAGAGAAATCAGGAAAAAAAGGCTCTCATTATGTTCACTGACATAGAAAAGTAAGGTTGCCTCTTTTATAGAGATGAGAAAAAGTAAACAAACAAAAAAGTATCTGCACTAATAGGGTCTCATTCATTCATTTACTAAATATTTATTGAGTATCTATGAATCAGTTCCTTTACGAGGTAGGACTAGGAGCCAATGAAAGGTGAGGCAAGGTCACTGCCTGCAGGCAATGACCTGCAACCTGGGACAGGATGGAAGCCAGCCATTCAGCAGAATGAGCAAGGACAAGACACTAGGAGGGCTCTGTGGGGGGTGGGGTGGTGGGGGGGACACCTAACTGAATTTGGAATCGGGGAGGAGCTCCCCAGAGAGGAGGAGATGTCTAAGTGGACATCTGACTGTGATGATAGTCAAGGACAGTTTGGAATGAAGAAGGAAGAAGTTTCAGAACAAGGGAACAGCTGGTGTACTGCTTGATGGGGCAATCCCTGTCTCAGCTCCCCAGTCTCATGCCCAGAAATGTCCCCAGATATTTTAGGAGTAATAATGAAGTTTTTCTTAGCTTTATAGTCTGGGCTTAATCCCATTCTGATATGGTTTGGATTTGTGTCTCTACCCAAATCTCATGTCAAATTGTAATCCCCAATGTTGGAAGAGGGGCCTGGTGGGAGGTTATCGGATCATGGGGGTGGATATCCCCCTTGCTGTTCTTCTGATAGTGAGTGAGTTCTCACAAGATCTGGTTGTTTAAAAATGTGTAGCTCCTCCCCCTTCTCTCTCTTCCCCCTCCTCCAGCCACGTAAAACGTGCCTGCTTCCCCTTTGCCTTCCACCATGATTCTAAGTTTCCTGAGGCCTCCCCAGCTATTTTTGCTGTACAGCCTGCAGAACCGTGAGCCAATTAAACCTCTTTTCTTTATAAATTACCCAGTCTCAGGTAGTTCTTTTAATACACACTCCTTTCAGTGTTTCTGAATTCCAAGCTTTTAAAACAGGTTCAGGCTAGGTGCAGTGTCTCACGCCTATAATTCCAGCACTTTGGGAGGCTGAGGCAGGGGGATTGCTTGAGCTCAGGAGTTCAAGACCAGCCTGGGCAACATAGGGAGACCCCATCTCTACTAAACATAATAAACAGCTTTGCTGGAGGTTTAGGTGGGCAGATTGCTTGAGCCTGGGAAGTGGAGGCTGCAGTGAGCCATAATTGCACCAGTGCACTCCAGCTTGCAGCCTGAGATACACAGCAAGACCCTTTCTCAAAAAACAAATCAAAACAACAACAACAAAACAGGTTCAACCGACAGTTTAGACTTTAGTTTGTCTTTATTTTAATTACTTCATGTAAATTAACCTAAAATTATGCAAAATGATAGAAATCTTTCGTACTGATTACATTGGGAAATTTTATAGCAGCCTCAAGAATAATGGTTAGCTGAGTCTGTCTAATGTGAACTTTGAAGTGTGTTGCCTGGAGGAAACAGGAGTGGAGATTCCTGTTGGTCATGTAGAAGCAGGACCTGGAAAAACTTCCTAAGGGAGATCTACACCCAAATTTGGTATAACAGTTTTGCCACAGTGGAAGTAATAACCCAGGAGTAAAAGAATGTTAGAACAGCCTCCCAAATGTGTTTACTGCTGAAGTGCAGCTAACAGGGGGGAAAAAAGAGATTAACTGAATGGTAAGTAACACCTGGGGAAAACTACAAAAGCAGCTGGATTTATTTTGAGAGAGAATGAAGGAATTACACTGAGATACACAAAGAAAGCAAGTTATCAGGGATCTCTTTTTTTTTTACTTAAAGTCAACATGGTCCTGGAATCAGGCACATAGATTCTGGAGTCAAACCACCTGGGCTCAAATCCCTACATAATCACTCATTAGCCATTTTAACTCTGACAAGTTATTTAACATCCTACGCCTCTGTTTTTTTCCATCTTGGGCCAGTTATACCAGTTCTTAACATCTTATGCCTCGTTTTTCCTTATCTATAAAATGGGGTTTTCCTTATCTATAAAATGGGGTTATAATAGTACTTTCCTCATGAAGTTGAGGAAGCATGCCTAGAATATAGTGATGCTCGATAAATTTAGTTGTTGTTATTACTATACCCCACTTTTTACCAGGAAGGAAAGAGAAAAAATGGGCTTACTTACGATTTTTAAAGCAAGGATGTTAGTCCAATATAAGAAGAATTTCCCAAGCCTGAAGATGTTTAACAACATGAGATGGTTTTCTTAGACAAAGCAAGTCTCAGAAAGTTTCGTCATTAAAGTCTGTAGGAAAGAAACTGACCCTGACCTGCTGAGGATGAGCAAGGTGAAGCGGCAAGGAGGTCTTGTTTTGGGGCAAGAAGAGGACAGTGCTTAGATCCAGATACTTTGTGTTCAGATCTCCACTTGCACAAATCAAACATATTCCCGTGGGCAAGTCACTTATGCTGAGGTTCAAATTCTCCTTCATACTACTGTCCTAGGGAGACTCCAAAGATCCAGTATGTGAAAATGCTTTTTAAGCATCAAATGCTATAGGGTAGTCAGTACCACAATATCAAGGCATAGTACTATTTTGTCCAGCTGGTGAGGAATGGAATGGAAAATGATGCCCCTTGGCTCTTGGGTACCCTCTCAGCTCTCCATCCTAAATCACCCTCCAAGGGTAAGAAACAAACACACCAGAGGGGAGAGACAAAGCCCAGTGTAAATTCTTCCTTAGGACCAGTGCCACCCTCTGCTGTCATGCACATTTTATTGACTACCAAAAGTGTTACCCTGGAAGGAAAGACTGTCTTGACTTTGAGCAGTAGACTCAGGGACATCTGGTAAGTGGTTGAGTGTCTGCTAGACCCTCTCTCTAAAGTCAAAAATCTAACACCACTTTCCAGGCACCCTGTGATCTAATGAATTGATTTTGCATCCCACAGCATTCTGGTCCCATCTTTCCTCATGAACAAAGGGACAAGCCCTATAGGAGGTGAGATCTTGTGAGACAGTGCCCAACCATAACTGCTAATGATGTGTGTGTGTGTGTGTGTGTGTGTGTGTGTGTGTGTGTGTGTGTAAAAGAGGAAGTGCTCTCATTTCCCGTGTGGGTGGCACCAATGGCTGAGATCGGCTACTCCTGCTCTCTGGAGTTCTGATGGGGACAGAGGCAGGCTTGTCACCATTATCAATCTTGGACAACTTTAAACAATGCTAAGGGAAATATGACTTCCACAGCCAAGGAAACATACAATGGGCCCTAACTATCCCATGGGTGGCTGCCTCAGGCCTTCCTCCCCTGGCTGTTGTTCTGTCCTGCTTTCTGCTTTCAGCTATTTCATTCAAAACTGCCAGAGGCAAGAGGTGGAGCTGCACCCTTGCTTTGGAGCAGAGACTGTGTGCCTTGGATGAGTCACAGTTTGATATAGTTTAGATGTTTGTCCCCTCCAAACCTCGAGTTGAAATCTGATCCCCAATGTTGGAGGTGGGGCCTAGTGGGAGGTGTTTGGATCATGGGGGCAGATCCTTCATGAATGGCCTGGTGCTGTCTTCGTGGTAGTGAGTGAGTTCTCACTCTCTCAGTTCCCCTGAGAACTGATTATTAAAAGATTCTGACCCTGCCCCTCAATCTTCCTTCCTCCCTCACCATGTAATGCCTGCTCCCTTTTGCCTTCCGCCATGAGTGGAAGATTCCTGAGGCCCTCACCAGAAGCAGGTGCTGATACCGTTATCCTACAGCCTGCAGAACTTGAGCCAAAATTTCTCAATAAAGTACCCAGCCTCAAGTATTCTTTTATAGCAACACAAATGGAGTAAGACACAAGCTAACCACAAGATCGCAATCCTCTCAGTCCACGGTTGGAGTGAGGACTAACAGGGCATGTATAGTTGGGCATGATGAGCAACATCTGTCTTCAGTGTTTGCAACTATAGCCCTCAAACTTGAGGGCGCATTAGAATCACCTGGAGGGCTTGTGACACACAGGCTGGGCCCACCCCGAGTTTCTGATTCAATAGGTCTAGGGTAAGACCCCAGAATTTGCATTTCTAACTAGCTCCCAGATGATGCTCTTGCTTCTGGTCTGGGGAATACACTCAGAAAACCACTGTTCTAGAGTAACCTATTGAGTAACCTATTAAGCATGGGGAAAGGGTGATTCCCCAAGCAGGTGGCTATGGATCACACCATGCCCTTGGAAGACAAGGACCTATGGAGCTGCTGGGGGAGTTTATGTCCCAAGTGCAATTATTAAACAGAGGGGCAAAATGGAGACTGAATACAGGGCTCTGGAAGGGCTCATCCAGGAGGCATTTTTTTCATCTATACCGTACACCTCTGTCCACTTGTACCTGAGGTGCCTTTGTACCGGCATCTTGGCTAGGTAATAATACCCACTTTACCATTTCATATGTACATTAGAACAGTGTCATGATTTTGAAAGACCTGTTATGAAAAAGTTCAAATGAGTTTGAAATCCACTTTCATTAATAAAAGAAATTTCACTGTTATATTTGTCAGTGAAAGAAAAAGAAGACCTATTAATTTTTTAAATAGATTTGCAACTGCAGAAAATGTTCAAATGGTTGTAAAAATGGTTTAAAAAAATTTTTTTTTTTTTTTGAGATGGAGTCTCGCTCTGTCGCCCAGGCTGGAATGCAGCGGCGTGATCTCGGCTCACTGCAACCTCCACCTTCCTGATTCAAGCAATTCCTCTGCCTCAGCCTCCCAAGTAGCTGAGATTACAGGTGCACACCACCACGCCCAGCTAATTTTTTTTTTTTTTTGAGACTAAGTCTCGCTCTGTCACCCAGGCTGGGTGCAGTGGCAGGATCTTGGCTCACTGCAACCTCCGCCTCCCAGATTCAAGCGATTCTTCTGCCTCAGCCTCCCAAGTAGCTGAGACTACAGGCGTGTGCCACCACACGCAGCTAATTTTTGTATTTTTAGTAGAGACGGGGTTTCACCATGTTGGCCAGGCTGGTCTCAAACTCCTGACCTTGTGATCCGCCCACCTTGGCCTCCCAAGGTGCTGGGATTACAGGTGTTAGCCACCGCACCTGGCCAATTTAATTATTTTTATCACCTATTTTAAGAATAAAGTTCTCCTCTGGTGACTATAAAGAATTTGAAGAAATCATCATTGAAAGAAAAGTCTTGATCAAGAGTTCAGTGTAGCTATTTCAACATAAAACCTGAAATAGAAAAATATGTGTCTCTAGAAGCAAGCTCAGGTTTCTTGTGTTACAACCTGAAAAGGTTTTATTTGGAAGTTTTATACAAATTCAATGTGTCATATCTTTCTCAATACTTTGTATTTTACTTTTATTATAATTATGTATCATAAAGATAGTAATTTTCACCAAGCCCCATATTGAAGCTCCCCAATTTACTTCAGAATGCCATGCAAATATTGTACTAGAATTTTCTTTTCTTCTTTTTTTTTTTTTGAGATGCCCAGGCTGGAGTGCAACGGAGCGATCTCGGCTCACTGCAACCTCTGCCTCCTGGGTTCAAGCGATTCTCCTGCCTCAGCCTCCCAAGTAGCTGGGTTTACAGGTGTGTACTACCACACCCAGCTAATTTTGTATTTTTAGTAGAGACAGGGTTTCACCATGTTTGTCAGGCTGGTCTCGAACTCCTGACCTCAAGTGATCCACCCGCCTTGGCCTCCCAAAGTGCTGGGATTACAGGCGTGAGCCACCGTGCCCAGCCTGTACTAGAATTTTCTATGTGTGCTGTGTTGTGGAAAGCTCTCTAAAGCCCTGCTTTAAAAAGGATGACAGACTCTACTGATGGCCTAGACAGCAAGGATCCACCAACTTCTTCCTTGTTAATTGAACTCATACCTGATTCAGATTTTGGGAGGGTCTGTGCTTCAGAGAAAGCCAAGTTTCTCTTCAGCCCCAAGCCAATTGTGCAATTTCACTCTCTTTGCCAATGATAGGATTTAAAATAGATGTGTGATATGTTTCTAGTCAATTAGCCACGTGAGGGAAAAATTTAGAGGGAAATTTTAGAGGGAAAATTAGCCACGCGAAGGCAGACAGAGGGGCTTCTGGAAAGGTTTCTTCCTCTTCAATAGGGACACAAGAGAGGGACATTCTTCCAGCCCTTGGACATTGTCAAATGAGTCTGTGATGGCTGGTGCTGCTGCAGCCATACTATGACCATTATGAATTAACCATGAGGACAACCCCATATGTTGGGAGTGGCAGAGCAGAAAGGTAGAAAAGACACTGGACCCTGATGACCACAGAGCTACTCAGTTAACAAGCTCTGGATTTCCCTTACCTCTAGAATTCTTGTTAGGTGAGATAATGAATTTCTTCTTTGGCTAAGTTGTTTTTGTCTAGGTTTTCTATTCTTTGCATCTAAAAGTATCCTCACTAATGATACACAGTGGGTTTACTGATCAAACTTTGCATTGCCAAATTGCCCTCCAGATGACAGTCTCGAGTTATACTGCCCTGGTAGGATATGAGAATGCCTGTCTCCCCTTACCAGCGTTAGAGTTGTTGCAATTCTTTGCCAAATTTATAGACAACATTTAGTTTAAGATTTATAGGGCCTGCCCATCTAATTGGGAGAAAGGACGTCAGCCTCCTGGGTACACCCATGGGCTTCTGCCTTAATCACAGGTTGGTCTGTCTGTTGAGTCAAGCAGTCCTGTTAAAACATCTGCTTTCTAATGCTTAATTCTAGTCATAGAGTGTGCTTTAAAGTATTATGTCCACATTTAAAGGGAACGCATTCTGTCATTTAAACTTCTCACTGACTGCCACCATATTTGTGGTTACAACCTCGTGTACAGTGAAAATCAGTGGAAAGTAATCAACTAATGTATACCCTCCATCACCACATAACGGGGTTCAGGACATGCTACTCCAAAATAGGGCATGGGGTATATTGAATATCTTAAGCTGAAGGAATTTGAGAAATAGCATGTGCAAGACAGAGCTTCTGACCTTCCCCTGAAGCAGGTCATAAGCCCCTCTTGAGAGAGGTGACCCCCTAGACCCAGAGAGAAGCAGCAGTGTTGCCTCTGAAGACGCAGGGATGCTGGGAGGAATGTGGACGAGCAGGCCTTACTAAGGTCCCCAGGCCTAACATTTCATTCAGACCTCCTTTGTCTTGTCATATTCTCCAACACTCTTCGCTCTTCCTCAAACCTAGCAGAGAAACACACGGGTTTAACTGCTCCTTCGGCTCTGTGTCTCCTGATGGTCTCCCGTGTGTCAGAAAACTTAGATCACATAAATGTGTGTGCTCTTCTCTGTCTTTTATTACCAGGGCCCCAGCCAATAAACTTAAGATGAGCGCAAGGAAAAAATATTTTTCTTCTGCCCACAACAACTTGCTCAGATCAGAGAGGGTGTGGTGTGTGTGTGGTGTATGTGGTGTGTGGGTGTTAATGTGTTGTTTGTGAATGTGTTGTGTGGTATAGGAGTGTGTGAGGTGGGTGTGTGGTGTGTGGGAGTGTCGTGTGTGGGGTGTGAGTGTCTGTGTGTGGTTTGTGGGTGTTAATGTGTGGTTTGTGAATGTGTTGTGTTTGTAGTGTAGGAGTGTGTGCTGTGTGAGCGTGTGGTGAGTGGGTGTGTAAGTGTGTAGTGTGTGTGGTGTGTGAGTGTGGGATTGTATGAGTGTGTGGTGTGTGTGAGTCTGTGGTGGGTGAGCATGTGGTGTATGAGTGTCTGAGTCTGTGTGGTTATGTAAGTGTATGTGTGTGGTGTGAGTCTGTGTGGTGTGAGCATGTGGTGTATGTGTGAGTGTGTGGTGTGTGTGTGTGCGGTGTGTCTGAATGTGTGGGTGTTTGAGCATGTGATATGTGAGAGTGTGCGGCATGTGTGTGAGTCTGAGTGTGTGGTGTGTGTGTGGTATGTGTTAATGTGTGGTTTGTGAATGTGTGGTGTAAGTGTGTATGGTGTGTGTGTGAGTCTGAGTGTGTGGTGTATGAAAGTGTGTGTGTGATGTGTAAGTGTGCAGTGTGTGAGTCTGTGAGTGTGTGGGTGTGTGGATGTGTGGTGTGTGGGAAACAGAGAGGGCGAGCCAGGGAGAGACTCAGAGACAGAGACAGAGACAGAGAAGTCTACACACACAGCCACACGGGGCCTTTCCTGGGAGAACAGTGGTCTGTTCTACATGAGACCCTATTTGGCAGGCAGGTGTGATCGCAGTGGACTTTGTCCCTTGACATCACTTGCTCAGGGTGAAGGCACAAGAGGCATAAAAAAAGGCCTCTGTAGGCTTGACTTTCAGTGCTGTCACTGAATCCAATGTATTTGTTCAAATAGGCTTAACATCAACTCTATTTAATAAAAATGAAGTCTATTTGTTGAGCACTTACTGGGTGCCTATGGCTGTGTTAAATACTCTCATTTATTTCTCACAACAACCTTATTAGGAAGAGGAAGATATTATTGTCCCCATCTTAAAAGAAACAAAATTAAGGCACAAAAATGTTAATGTCCAGGGTCACACAACCAACATGAGGCTATGTGGATGTGACCTCAGATCTAGTTGACCCGATATCCTATTGTGGTACCCACTGCATTACATCCCCTTTAGGGGAGTGCAGGCAACTGCAAGATTGGATTGTATAAAGACTAAAAAGGTAATAGGACTAAATAGCTCATTTGTAATTTGTCAAATAATTTTACTTGCAACTTCAGTTCTGCTAAATCATATGAAACAAAAATATTACAGGCTTATTCTAGCCATTACTAGGTCTTTGAATTTGTTTGTTTTTATTGTTTAACTGTAAAACGGATAATAAAAGGCTATATGTGTTCAGGATATAAATTTTGAAAAATACAAGGAATAATAGGAAATAAAATAAAATAAAATAAAAATCACAGTCCTAATTACTACTAACATTTGATGATAACCCTGTAAAATATGGAAGAATTGCTCTCTATTAGTATTGTAATAATTTTTCTTAAAAAGCAAGTTTCACCTAACATGACTATGATGGTGAAAGAAGCTGTCAATAGCCATATTTGTCAAATACCTTACCATCTCACCACTTCGTACTCTGTTCTGGTCCTAAATGTTTTTAGAAGTAACACTGCATTATTACAGAAAACTACCTGATGTATTCATTATGCATTATTAGGAGAGGTAAGAATCTGGGGTACCTTATTAAAAATAATATAATTGAGCAAAAAACAGATAATAATTGGGCACAAATCAAATTGCCCAATAGAAAAACTGGCAAAAAGCCATGAACTTATGATTCACAAAGAAACATAAATACTTAGTAAATAGTAAACATACTCAATAAACATGAAAATATGCCCAATCTCACTATTGGTCAAAGCAACAGAGTATTATAGATATGACAACTTTTGTGCCTATCAAATGGTCAAAGGTTTACAAATAGCTCCATGTTGGAGAAGGTCTTGGAAGATAGGATCCCCCTATCCCTACCTGATGGGAGAGAAACTGGTACAATCATTTTGGAAGTATCATACATGGCAAGAGGCTTAACCCATGCATTTCTAGATCCCTTCTTTAAAAGAGGACTCTTCTCTAAGACAGGAATAGTCAGAGGTGATCAGCGATATATGCACATGGCCATTCATAGCATAATTTACAATACTGAAAAATGGAAAATGGCTTAAAAGTCCATGAGATAGGGAAACAAATTATGGAACATCTGCACAATACAGAATTAAGCTGTCATGAAAAATTTTTAAAGCAATTTAATGCCATAAGGTGATATTTACAGGAAGGGGAGGAAGCAGAATATAAAACTAAAGCTACACTAGGGTACAATTCTCATACACATACATGCAAAAAAGAAAATTTCAGGGAAATACATTAAAAAACTAACAGTTGTTACCTTTGAATGATTAATCCATGTATAAATTTCGCTTTTTTTTCTAAAATTTTCTACAAATAAAGAATATATCATCAGAAAACATTTTTAAACTTTCTAGTGGTAACTAGGCTCAGGCAAACAGAACATAAATTAAACCCCCGAATCCTACGATATCCTTCGAGGAGTCTCAGTCCTCAACCATCCCTTTCTCAGTTCATAATTATTATGGCAATTGCTAATATTTGTTGAGCAATAATATGAGCCAGGCATTATGCTAAGTACTTTACATTCAATATTACATTTAATTCTTCTAGAAGTCCAATAAGGTAGGCACAAGAATTGCCCCTGCTTTACAATAAATGAGACAATGACTTTGAGACTGAAGCGATTCACTGAAGGCGATTCAGAGATTAAAGCACAATCAAACCAGGTTTGACTCTAGCAAATCAAGGCTGACTCCAGAACAAAAACTCACAATTTTATCTGTCTCTAGGCTCTCCTCCTTCAATTAAAAGAATTCTTAATATCCAAACTATTTAGTTTTCCATGTTCCGAGCTCTTTGAAAGGAAATGACTGTTTAGAGCTAAGAAATAGCTACAGTAAATAGTGAGAGAAAATGTGCTCTGTCACTTTACAGAGCACAGTCACCAAGTCTGGCTTTGTAGGTGTAAGACCTGTGAAGTTGCATAGGGCCTGTGCTTAAAAGGGCTCCATGCTTGATTTAATGCTTTGCTGTCACTGTCGTATAATTCTTAATAATTTTTGAACAAGGAGTTCACATTTTCATTTTGCACAGAGCCCTGCAAATTATGACACCAATCCTGCTAGTCACACGTGAGTAACTAAGCCTCAAACGTCATTTAAAAAGACATAGTGTTTGGGGTTTGGAGTTGTGTTCTTTGCTTTTTATTACCTACCTGGGCCTGAAGCCTAGGGAGAAGGTATTTTCCCCTGCTTAAATGAATCTTCCACTTGAAAACACACGATGGTATTAAAGGAAGCTGGGCACCTCCTCCTCAGCATCTCCAGCGACCTCCATTTTAAGCAGTGCTCTCTGAGCATACATCCTCTGTACTGTGGGATCTGGCCCATCAGACCCTGGTGTGTTTGGCTGGGCCTAGATTAACAGCCAGAGTGTGGCTTGTCTTCAGGGTAAGAGGTGGTGCCTGATGCGATGAAGGCTTTGCATATTTAGAACACCAAGGATTCTCCAGACAAAAAATTTAAAGTTTCCTAGTGCGTACTGTTCTATAAGGTAATTGTCGGGGAGGACAGATAGAGTTGTGTAAGCTGTATGGCCCTACTCTTTTCAACAAGGTTGTGGCTCGGACAGCAGTTTGGTATAAGAAAAACACATTGCTGGTAAACTAACTTCAGCACATTGGGGAATATTTTGGACTGCCAAGCCTTGCTTCAGGGAAAACAATGAACTCTCACCCATTTTCCCTCTTAGAATTGCACAAGACTCTCTATGACTAACTCCTCTGTGTACTTTCACTTCAGAAATGGGGTCTAGGAGAGGATGAAGTTAGGGACTCGGGGAGTGAGTGCTTCTGGCAAACCCTGGCTTTCCTGAGCGTAAGGCACAGCCATTGTGCCTGTGAGAAGCCCAGGGTCTGGCAGAAGACCAAGCAGAAGCCATGTGGGAGAGCACAGATGCTGCTGGGGAAACAAGAAGCTGCATAAGAGACTGCGAAACAACCAGGATTTAGTTGTTTCATCAGTCCCTCTGGCCAAACGAAAAAGGTCTCTTTGGCTACCTTGTTCCATAACAAACACATGGATTTCCTCAAACGTGTGGCCTACTGAAATCTTACAAAGTAACTGTAGAGGACTCTGTTGATTGTCTACCCATCACCCATTCTCACCTCTTTCTTCCTACAAGGATCCTGCTTTTGTTCAGATAGATTCCCTCTTCAGAATAACCAGTCACTCAGAATTGGCTTTGATTAGACTAAGCTCATCAAAGTAATCCCATGGTCCACGCTAGTCACTGACTGAGGATGTCATGCACTCCAATTCTGGAGAAAGAAAAATCTTGCTGGAAGTTTCCAGGAAAGTCCTACCTTGCTTTTAAGAGATAACAATGGGGACATCAGACTGTCAACCTGGTAGGGGTGAACTAGGAGGCATGCTGCCTCAATTGCTACCAACCACCAGCCAGAAGCCAAAGTCAGCTCCCAGAAGGGCACAGAACAGAAAGAACTGCAGAAAAACAGAGTCAAAACCTAGATGGAACCAAGCCTGAAGCCCACCCCGTCTTGGTTTCTCATTACACAAGCCAATGCAACTCTTTATTATTTAAGCTTGCTTGGGGTGGCCTTTCTATTACCTGCCAGTGAAAGCACAAAATGATCCTTCACAGTAGAGTCAACCTGGGATTCTGAAGAATCGGGCTCTAAGCACCAGCCAATTTGCTGTATAAACTACTTTGTGCAAGTCCCAATTTACCCAAACCTCAGTTTTCTCATCTAGTAAAACTGGCCATTGTAATACCTCTATTGTTTACTTTGGCGGAATATCACAAGAGGTGAAAAAATAAAAGATACGAAAGTCTTTGGAAACAAGTAATTGTTATACACATATGAGATACTGTTACTATTAAATAAATTTAAAATCGTCCAAGAAATCTTGTTTTCCTGGATACATACATAAATAACACTGTCTTACTTTGAGTTTCCATATTTTCATTCTCCTTTCCCTTCTCCAACCACACTTAGCACCTCACAGATGTGTAGGAGGCCGTGACAGATCTTTCTAAAATCACTTTTTTTCTCTATTCAGCAGATTCCCAAAATACCAAGCAAAAAGATTCAGTAAATTTTGTAAAGCATCTCCTTGAAGCCCCTCCCATTATGTGCTCAGCACAGGAATATAAGATGTGGTACTGAAAAGGCTTTTTGAGGCCAGAAAGAAATTTGTCTTATCCTGGAACAGGCAGAACGTGGGGGTACATTTATCCTCCTAACAGGTAAATGAAATTGTCAAAGGCCTGTAATGGATTGGCAAAATTTTAAATGGAAACTGTGTGTGTTTTCAGAAATGCACTAACTTGTGATCATTCATTGCAGAGGGAAATTAAACTCAAGTGAGGAAAAGGAAAATCCAGCCTATGAAAAACACATAAATGCAAAGCAAGGAGCACTGAGAATCTGGGAGACCAACTGGTCAATTAAGTACCATGTAAAGATTTCCAATTTTTTTGTAGTAAATTATTTATTTAGCTCTTCCATACCATCAATATATTTTACAAGTTTAATACCCAAATTATAGCTGGCCCACCCATTTATGGCCCCATAAATGAGTCCTGACTTACCAATGTGAATTCTTGTTCCTAGCAGTGTCAGATTTAGATTGGATTTGGATCTATTGCTTTTATCCTTATCAGACATTTCGAGGCTGATATTTTATTGCTATATTTAAAATGGAAAGTGCTTTAAAATAGACTTGGGAGGGAGCACAACTGATTCCTGCCCCGATATGTCATTTCCTGACTTAACATCCCACTATAACCTAGGTTAAAGGGTTGGAAGTCCACACAGAATCCTTCTCCATCGAAAACTTCCCCCCACACAGAGAATTTTCTTGGAGGAAAGTGAGTGATTATAAAAAGAATGACTTTAATCTTAAGTAAGAGTAGCTGGGGCTTTCAGTAGTAAAACTGACAGGCAATTTCCATGCCTATATACTTTGTAAGTCAAATGAATAATAAAGAATATAAATGAAACACATCTCCCCATTTCTTAAGTTTTGAAGTGTATATGGAGCTAAATTGTCAAGCCTTGTTTCTCAAGGTTTGGATTTTGTAAAATACGTAGAACAAACCAATAAATTAACGGCAGAAGAGAAGACTAACAAGTCAAACCTGGGAAACAGCTTCCACTTATGTTATAAAAAGTATTATAGCCCTAAGATTGGTAAATCCCACAGAGTTATAAATACAAAAACAAATGTAAGATATGATCTATGACACCTAAAATTATAACAATATCTGATTGCGGCTTTCAGGCCTTGAAAAAAAAAGTCACCAAAATAATTTTTTTAACCTTTTTACGTTAGCTTTTTGTTTACATTTACATTATAACTTGTTTTTAATTTTTATAAAAGATTGTTTAATGGACTATAAAATAACAAACCTTAACTTGCAGTTCATAGGAACCAGCCAAGCTCCATGGAAGAGGGAACGGAAAAGCTCAGCCTTCACACTCGCCCTGGGAACAGAAGCCAAGGGCAGGCCGCTCCTTGGAGCTCACTGTTCTCATATGAAAAACGGGCTTATCTCCCGGAAATATACCAGGGGCGGAGTGCTTTGGAGAAGCATGGTATTTGGTTTATCAGTCTGTTTTCACGCTCCTGATAAAGACATACCTGAGACTGGGCAATTTACAAAAGAAAGAGGTTTAATTGGACTTACAGTTCTGTGTGGCTGGGGAAGCCTCATGATCATGGTGGAAGGCACAGACTGCAGGAGGCAAAGAAACAAAACTTGCGCAGGGGAACTCTTCTTTTTAAAATTGTCAGATCTCGTGAGACTTATTCACTATCGCGAGACTAGCACAGGAAAGACTTGCCCCCATGATTCAATTACCTTCCACTGGGTCCCATCCACAATATGTGGGAATTCAAGGTAAGATTTGGGTGGAGACACAGCCAAACCGTATTATTTGGTTTTAAGAGAAATTATTAAGAAAAAAGAAAGAAATACCTTATCAAGGTACTCAGAGTTGTTTTTTAAATGTAACCAGATAAGCTTTACAATTCCAGCCCCCAACCTTCCGCCTGGCTCCAGCACCACACCTGCACACCTTCCCCTAGGCCAGCTATAGAATTTGTGGGGCCCAGTGCAAAGTGAAAATGTGGGACCCCTTGTTCAAAAAGCAGGGGGAAATACCGTTAAAGATACTAAATTATAAAGGTTTTTCCTTTCTTCCCTAGTTGTCATGATGTGTTCTTATTTGCTATGTGATGTTGTACTAAAGAAAAATTTTAAGTTAAAATTATTAGCATGAATTTTACCATTCTTTTTTTTTTTTTTTTTGAGATGGAGTCTCACTCTTGTCACCCAGGCCGGAGTGCAGTGGCCGATCTCAGCTCACTGCAACCTCCGCCTCCTGGGTTGAAGCAATTCTCCTGACTCAGCCTCCTGAGTAGCTGGAATTACGGGCGCCCACCACCAAGCCCAGCTAATTTTTGTACTTTTAGTAGAAATGGGGTTTCGCCATGTTTGCCAGGCTGGTCTCGAACTCCTGACCTCAGGTGATCTGCCCACCTTGGCCTCCCAAAGTGCTGGGATTACAGGCGTGAGCCACCGCGCCCAGCCACCATTCATTTTTATATTGTGCAACATCAGTTATAAATGCAAATATAGGAACATTTAACTTGTATGTAGAATCACCAAAATTGCACAATTCACATTTTGTACCTCATACATGCATATGTATTTTGTTCTCACCAGAACAGTAAATATTCTGCACAAAACAAGCTCAGCTTGTCTTCTTTCACTGCTTGATAAGTGCATATGCTATCAACCCTCTCTACCTTCGGCTTACTGATAAGCAAGGGGGATCTGAAAGGAAAGGAAACTATGATTTGCCCTATCTTTCCCTTTCCTTTTATGTCATCTTTTTCAGTGTAAGTGGTGACTATTACAGGGAAGCAACATGAATAAGAAAGGATGTGATAGGGTTCCTTGGCCACTTGTGTTTCTTTCTTTCTTTTTTTTTTTTTTTTTTTGAGACGGTCTCACTCTATTGCCCAGGCTGGAGTGCGATGGCACGATCTTGGCTCACTGCAACCTCTGCCTCCCAGGTACAAGTGATTCTCCTGCCTCAGCCTCCCGAGTAGCTGGGACTACAGGCACGCACCACTACGCCCAGCTAATTTTTGTATTTTTAGTAGAGATGGGGTTTTGTCATGTTGGCCAGTCTGGTCTCGAACTCCTGACCTCAGGTGATCTGCCTGCCTCTGCCTCCCAAAGTGCTGGGATTACAGGCGTGAGCCACTGCGCCCAGTTCATCTGTGTTTCTTAGAATTCCACTACTTCTTCCTGCATTTGAAGCAAATTCTGGAAAGCACGTCTTCTAATGGAAAGCATGGCCTCTTGGGGCTTTCTGCTGCCCTGCTTACTCAGTTGTAGGCATCAGACGCTTCCCTTTTTTTTACACTTAGTCTTTTTGAGTCTTGTTGAATTCTCATGCATTGTGGGACCGCTGAAATTTTGTGCTTATTAAGCATCATGGGTTCTTTATGCAAATGAGGTGATAAGGAACAGGAAACATGAATATTGCAAATGTCTTCTCTGCTCATGTATGTGTTCCGTGTCCCATCAGACTTTATGTACAGAACACAAGTTCAAAAATAAGATTAGTAAGAATTTCAAGATGATGACAGCAGAGCCTTACACTGAGTGTGGGCCTTCTGAGCACCAGACTGTGCCACTGCCCAAGTTGCGCACCCATGAAACTCTGCCTTCCACTAAACCCCTACCTGGAGGGATGCCCAGTGAGGGAGTTGGTCACAAACCGCCAATAAGCTCTTCTGTATTCAGATACTTATTACCTGCACTGCCCTGGCCTTGCTTAGGGAAGTCCCTCTAGAGAGCCATTTCCCTCCTCCTCCCTTTTTCTTTCTTCCATTTCCTCCTCTTCATTTCTTCTCCCTCCTCCTCTTCCTCACCCTCTTGCCCAACACATAGTAATCCCAGCCTGCCCCAGTTACTTCTAGATTTTGAGGAAATGCAAAATAGCTCCTCCAATTCAAGAGCAGAAAAACAGACTACATCCCCATTTGCTTAGATCTTCCCATTTTTCTCTTAAAACAGTATTTATGCTCTATGCAATGGAGCAAATTTCAGTAAACGCTCACTCTTGCCCAATTTTAAAAGCTAGATGGCAAAGAATAGAGTTTTTATTTATTGTATTATCTGGACATTACTTCAGTGGGGGAGGCAAGTTACTTTTTAAAAAATCATGGGTTGGAAATTTTTAAATTTTTATGCATAATGCTACTTTATGTGAGTAAAGAAAGAACCCACCTAAAATAAATCACAAGTTTTGGATAAAACCCATGCATTTCTATATGCAGTGCAACTTAACTCTAGAGGGGAAAAAATGACTAGGCTCTAGAATAATAAGGAAACGGAGTTGAGATGATTAAGATTGCCTAAATGGATTCTGAAACAGACAGATATTTGGAAACTTTTTTCACTCACTGAAAAATGATGTCTGTGGGGAGAAAGATTTTTCCATTTTTTGTTATTTTCCCCATTTTGTCTTTCTCTTCCCAGCTAGCATTTCTAGAGTTCTCAGGTTTGTAGAATACTTAATGAAGAAACAAGCCTCTCAGATCTCAGGTTCCTAAAAAAAAAGAGAGTGAGAGAGAGAGAAAGAAGCCTGCAGAGCTACTCAATCCACAGTTTTTTTCTCATTTTGCAGGTGTCTAGAAATATTAATATTTTCACTTCAACTGTAAGATTGGTAACTGTCCAAATTAGGAAAGGGAACAGGTAGATGATCTCCTCCATTGCTTTTTGAAGCCTCAGAATGGCATCCTAACCGTGTGCGCTAACCAAACCACTTCCCTGTGAGATTTAAGATTAAACATCACGTGTCCAGGTTCCCGCAGATTTAAGCACCAATCGTCCAGTGCGTGAATAAAAGACTCCACATCCTTTTCCAAGAGTCCAGCTTTCTTCAGCACTTAACAAGTTCAATATGTTGGATAGAGCCCAAGGGCGTCCTTCTACAGAGGTTAGGAAACTCGCAGGCCATACTTTACTACATTGATAACTCAGTGGCAGCCAAGAGCACATTCCTCACTTTGTTCATAATCCCCATTAATTAGCCCTTGAATGTGGCCAAATTCCAACTAAAATCATTTTATTCAGCCCTACTTATGCCTTTCCTGGAACTCTAAATGGACATCATTCTTCCCTCCTGTGCTGGGGTGCCAGGCAGCCTTCCTGGAGCTGGTCGACAGCCTGTTGTGGTCTGAAGGTGGTTGTACCTCATGGGTACAGGAAGCAGGAGGTCCCAACAGGTAGATACTTGATAATCACAGGGCCGCTGGTGCATGCTCTCTTCCTTCACATCCTTTAGGAGTTGAGTACCTTGGAGTAAAAGCAGCTTCTCAAAATATAACACATGTCCAGAACAGACAAATCCACAGAGACAGAAAGTAAATTCATGGTTGCCAGGAAATGAGGGAAGGGGTAAGTGGGGGTAACTACTCAGTGGGTTATGGGGTGTTCTTTTGGGGTGATAACAATGTTTTGAAACTAAAGGGAGGTGGTCACTGCACTACATTGTGAATGCACTGAATTCCACTGAATTGTACACTTTAAAATGGTTGTTGTGTTATGTGAATTTCACAATTTTTTACAAAAAGTGAAACACTACTCTCACAGATTTCATTCACCCTTAAGTCAATTCTTTGATGAGACAGAGTTTCAAGGATACATTTTGAGAGAAAATTCATACCACCAAATTAGTCTATAAGAAGAGAATTTAACAATTAGCCAATGAGTCTGTTTAATATTCAAGGTGAAAGAGTGGCCTTTCTTAATTACCTGAATAAACTTCTTCTCATCTTCCCTAAGTGAAGACTGCCAGTCTGTCTCTCTTTAGATGAGGCTATATTCTCACACAGTGAGAGCCACGCACATTATGATGGAGATCTCAGAAGTATTAGCATCATGGTGTGCAGTGAGCCTCCTTGCTCACTGCTGCTGTGTGAATGGCTTTTGCTGTTGAGGGGATACCTCTGTTGGCTGGAATGACAGGGTCCAGTATGATGCACACTGCTGCAGCCCCCCAGTGACTGACCCATTTGCTTTGTCCAACTCGAAAGGATCATGCAACAGACATGAGTGATCCCCTCCATCCCTTCAGTGTGAGGTAGGCTCACTAGACCCACAGTGTTCCACTTTTAATGCAGGTGCTGCATGAAGCAGTAATTAAAGAAACATAGAAGTCACATATGCCAGACCATTACACAATCCAGCCTTGACGGGGGCTTAAATATACCTATTTAGGAATGTTCCACCCTGTCAAATGCATGCAACACAGAACTGCTAAGGTATGAGCTAATTGATTTGACCAATGTTTCTAGTATTTTCCAAAATTCTATTTAAAAAAAAAAACCAAAGCATGTCTATGTTTTAAAAGTGTATATTTAGTTTGAATATTTTATCACAGCAATTGTGACAAATGAACAACCTCACCTGACTCAGTGCCCCAATTGCATGAGATTCTGAGTCTCCATAAACCTTTATTTACTAACTCATGACTGCCCAGCTGCTAAGTTCATTCTAAGTTTTAGCTTTACCCAGTATATAATTAGTGCTGAATTTTTTATTTGTTTTCCAGAAAAATATATAGCATACAATAAAATTTAGAAAAGCTGCTAGCACTCTTTGTAATATCATAGAGGCAAAGAATCAAAAAGACTATAGAGAGTTTATATTCCAAATGCCTCATTTTAGAAGTGAAGTCCAGAGAGGCTGAGTTTCCAGATTTCCACAGTGGGTTAGTTATGGTGTCAGAGTAGAATCCAGCTCTCTGATGCCACTGGATCAAAGCCACTGGATCATCGGTTGGGATCCACCACTTTGACCCTTTTCACTTAAGAAGCTCCAAAGCCAAAGAAGGATGCAATTTCCATGACATATAAATGACATATACCATGATATCACTTTTTAAAATTATTTTTTCATACAGAGTATAATGAAAAAACAAAACAAAACAGTACCTTGGAAATCTGCATCACGTCTCACACATGCCTCTGCCCTGGAAATAGGCAAACCCAGCAGGCCAGCCCTCGCTGAAACTTTAAAACAAACCAGGCCAATTCTGAGGTCTAGACAGGCCCCAGACAGGGTTTCCCAAAGCTTTGAAATGTGACTTTAGAACTGGGTCATTTAGAGGCAATTTAACTCAGAAACCAAACTGACATTCAGAACACTTATTTTGAAAATATTTTTAAAGCATCTACTCACCCCTTTAAAATACGATTTTGTGTTTTACTTGAGGCAGACCAACTGGAATTGCACTGATTATGGTTCCGATTCACTAACTCTTCGTAAGTTCTACACCCAGAAATTGACAGCCTCCTTCCTAGGTGCTCCTACCCAGCATCCAGGAGAAACTTGCTTTGTTAAAAAAATTCCAAAAATTATGTTTAATTTTTACATTGCTTTTGCAGCAATAGAGTGTTATACTTTTAGGCAACGTTTACATGTTCCAGAGGTCTGGAAACAAACCAAAAAAAAAACCTGACTATATCTTTTGTTCAAGGTAGCCGAATTATTCATCTATCCCAAAGCATCATTGGTGCAGAACTTGTCTTGCAATTAGTAGGTACTTAAAATGTTCCTTGTTAGTGAAAAATGAGTGCTCCCCAGATACCTCTCTTCACAGGTACATAGACTGGGACATAATCTTTTCTATAAAGCAACCAGGACACAATTAAAAAGATGCCAGAAATCTTATCACATTCCAAGTGCTGCATATTAAGTGGAATTCCCAGTGTGTAAAGCAACTGTCTGTTTCAGATTCATTTTCCTTTGTGGATCCTGCTCTATATCAGGACAATTTTTCCTTTCTAATGAATGACAGTGTTGGATTTGAACGTTTGGCAAAAGGTATCTGAGACTCAGAACATGCTCCTTATGTCACAATGAAGGCAAATATATGGTTCTTAAAGTATAGATCTCAAGAAAGCACAATTACTCTCTCAACAAAGTGTGATTATGAGACCTATAGTTAACTACCTTAAAATATAACTCTAGGAAATAGCATCAGGCTTCAACAGGCTCCGCAACCTCTGGGTTTCTTCTTTTAATCCTTATTAGTCATTTTAATTTCAGCTTTTTACAAGTCTTCGTCCAGTTGCCCTTCGGGAACAATAAAGTGGCAATTAGGTATGACAAAGGCATGGAATAGACACAATTACTTATTGCCATAGTAAAAGAAAAAAGATGGGTCTATGAACCTATCAAGTCAATCTGCAAAATGGAATGGGTTGCTGGACCGTATGAAAATGTATCCAAATATTTGCAGAATATATTTTTGGCTACCTCCCTATAGAGATTTTAAACCGTTTTCTTTTATCAGAGAATTTACTACCATTACATTTTATATTAATTTAATGACTTTGATCAGGCAATCATCATTTATTTGCCTAAATTACCAGTCCCTTAGTACTTCATCAGCAAATGGAAATATTTCATAGAACATGAGGCAAAGCCTCTAATTACTATTAGAGTATAATTTAAAGTAACTTCAACAGGTATTGTAATTTTGACCAATTGAGTTACTAATTTGGAGAATGAATTATCTCTTAGACTCTTTTAATTTCCTGTCTTGTTTAATTGGCAGTGACTGTCCAATTACACATCTGGCATAGTGGTAATATTTGCATCTGCAAATCTTCAGCCAATCATCCAACTAAACCTTGTTGTCAGGTAATAGTTACATGGGTTTGAAGACTTTGATATATTTATTATCAAATTATTTTTACAATTTGTACCAAATTAGTCATAGATTTTTCTCTTCATGTATCCTTTCTTCATCATTCATCTTAAAATTAGAATTTTTAAGCAATCTTATTCACATAATTTATCTGGTTTTCCTCCTTTCCCCTGGCTCTAATCAAAAGACTTGTCAATCTCAAAAAAAAAAAAAAATCAAAGGGATGGCAAAAACTGAAAAATTAAATAATATCATCCAATGCTGCAAGATGAAACTAGTACAATTATGTACTATTAGTTGCAATGTAAATTATGCAAACTTTTGGAAAGCAGCAGAGTTATATGAGTAATAAAATGTCCATGCACTTTGATTTAGTAATGCCACTTCTAGAGTTTTGTCCAGAGGAAATAATTACATAGAAGAAATAATTCTATATTCCAAAAATGTTCTCTCCAATCCTGACTTTTAACAGTAGCAAACAACAACAACACAAACAAAAACTGAAACCAGAAAAGTCTAACTGCAGAGAAATATTTAAATCAGCTATGTCAGTAAAATAAAATGTCATGTAACTGTTCAATGTGAAAATTATTGACAATGCAGAAGTATGGAAAAAGTCAGTCTATGACAGTAAATGGAATAAGCAAACTACATGTACAATGAGACAATTGCAACAATTTAAAGATGAGTGCCCATGTTCCTTAATAAAAGGAAGTCCAGGAAGTGCTGTGATCTCTTACAGCAAAACTGAAATGCTTTGGGGGGCTTTAGAAGGAGCTGTTACATCCATCTGGGAGACTATGGGAGTGGTGTGTGAAATAGGCATTTGAGGGTTCCAGAAAGTAGAGAAGGGCTTACTGTGGAGGGAAAGGTTCCACACCAAGGGAAGATGTGTCATATTCAAGGACCACCAAGGGTTTGATTTGGCTAGATTGTAGGGTATACACACAGGAAAGGTGACAGGCAGAGGCCGGCATCTTACTGTTGAGGGCAAAAGGTTTTAATTGTTTTTTTCTGGAAGCAATGAGAGAAGCTGTTTTACAGTACAGAGAGGCCACATGCTCCAAGCCGAATGAGAACAGGAGGAGCTAAGCTTGAATCCTGTGGCTGTCACGTGGTAACTTTGTGACCTTCGACAAGTCACATAAGCACTGAGTCCTTGTTTCCTCATCTATACAATGGTATTAATACCTACTTCCTAGGTGACTGTGAGAATTAAAGATAGTGTATATAAAGTACCTGGCACCTAACAGATATCACATAAGCTGTACTTTTTATTGTTATTAATAAGAGTAATCTGATATCAGGGAGTAGGGCGGATGAGGGTAAGGAGAAGATGAAGGTGGCATGAGAACCATTGCAGGCACTTACTCTCCTTGACCACACAAAAAGAAATGAAGTCTGAAGAAAGGGGAGGCCGGCAAATGGAAACAACATAGAATCAAGAATCACCGTGGAGGAAGAATCCACAGGGCTGGGCCAGGGTGGACCCTGGTTTGCTGAGGTATGAGGCTTATATAGTTAGGGGGCCCTCTTTAAAAACAAATAATTTTTTTTGAGACAGGATCTCGTTCTGTCGCCCAGGCTGGAGTGCTGTGATATGATCATGGATCACTGCAACCTCTGCCTCTTGGCCTCAAACGATCCTCCCACCTCAGCCTCCTGAGTAGCTGGGACTACAGATGCACACCACCACACCTGGCTAATTTTTAAAAGTATTTTAGTAGAAACAAGGTCTCACTATGTTATCCAGACTGGTCCCCAACTCCTGGCCTCAAGCGATCCTCCTGCCTCAGCCTCCCAAAGTGCTGGGATTACAGGCATGATCCACCACATGATCCTAGGATTGTTTTCAAATTGAAGAACTCTTCTATTAAGTTGCTTTTCTATGCAACTTGTTTTAGACATGCTCACTAATTACAGTCCTTCTACAGGTTTGTGCCCTGCAAACAGAGGATGATAAATTCTATTTTGTATTATTCTCCTTTTAAAAAGTATAGTACATTCACAATTATATAAATTGCATTTTAGGGTGTATTTCTGATAGGACAGAACTGGTATGTTGACCAGGTGTCAATGAAAAGTGAATCCTCTGCTTCCGATTTCACATGCCTGAAAACGGGAAAACTTTCCACAGACTGCTCCACACATGCACTTCTCGTTCCCCCTTCACACCTGCACAGCACGATACACTTCTAGCCTTGTTTCTTTTTGGCATGATGCCACATAAGTCAGCACAGTGGGTGGTAGGAGTATACTGGAAGCCATCCCTTATACTGGGACAACTTACATTAATCAAATATAAACAGAAGGGTCTTCAAAACACATAAATATGGCCCATTAAACCCAAATAAACACATCCTCAAACTCAATTCAACATCCCCTTAGCCTAATCTCCAAACTGGCATTTGACAAGAAGGGAAGTGTGGCAGAGGAAAAGTTGGACTCAAAAGAGACATCAGCTAAAGTATCTTTTCCAAATTTTACAAAGCCTATGGCATTATGAACACACCCACGGCCTCCCCTGCCCGACCCCCCCACCCCACCCTACTGCCAGAACCCCAGAAAAGGCCGATGCACTAGAGGGGCTCCACAGTTTAAGCTTCATCTGCTTCTTGATAATTCTGTCTCTTAGCAACAATTGGCTGTGGTACGTGGACAGAGAAACAGGAAGTCAGGTTTTGAACCTGAGTACGGGGGGAAATTATGGTGCCATTAGGCAAAAAAGAAGATCAAGATGAAAAGGAACAGGGTTAGTTTAGTCTTGTTATAGAATGTTAGGGAAGACTATAAGAGTAAGCCTATCTTAAATATGGTGAGTTGAATATACCTGTAGGACCTCCAACAGAGATGTCAAACAGGCAAAATCACTTAAAGGAGTCTGTGATTCTCTGATTAACCGAAACTATTCCTCTGAGTTCCAGTCTGCATCTGCAATGCCTGTTTTTTGACCATTTCTCTATTTCCTGACTTCGCCATTCTGTTTTACTGACATAAAATGTACTTGTACTGATCGTTTTTGAACAATAACCCAAAAACCCTGTAGTGTGAGATTACTGTGGTTGGAGTGCAGGTAAGAATGTGACATAAAGCTTCAGTAAAATTGCAAAGTCCTGCTTTCTATTCTCTGTCTTAAATAATTCACAGTGCCTTCCGTGTTTTAAAAGGGTCCTATGACACAGAACCAGCAGGAATCTCCATTTACTGTTCTCTTTCTGCCAATTCTCCTAGCTTGGAATAAAAATAAAAGAGATGATAGATAGTTCACTTATTATCCTGGTGTTCATTTAGACTATTTTGTCTGTGGTGCAAACAGAGTAATCAGAGGATGAATCAACAATGAGAATCATTGTGGCTACTGTACGCGACTGTAAATTCATGCTCATTGAGGCCGACGTTGCTTGACAGACTGTTTTTCATGTATATTAGCTTTGCTATCTATTTGTGTCCTCCTCAATTGATAGTTAATGCATCTTCTGTTACTGTTCCATGTAGCAATTGTGGTTATCTGGTAACAATACAATGATGTAAGAAATTAAATATTAATAGGCAATTTATAAAAGGGCTGAAATTTTGCATTCCAATAGATAAAATTGAAAAATGGAACATTTAAAAGGCTATAAGAATTGGAAGGCTGTTTCTCACTGAATGTATAAATCAGAATCTCTCTGGATCATTTTAGTGTTGTCCAAGGATTAAGAGAAGTTAAAACCAAAATGTCTCCAACTAAAACTGGGTAACATCCAGTCATGAAAAGAAAAACATAAGACAATCTTTGTTTTGCCCTTTTGGGAAAAAGACTCAAATGACTGAATTGATTTCAACTAACAAGACAGAATAAATTTTGGTGAAAAAAAGAAAAAGATCTGCACCAACTCTAAACCAATCACTTACAGCACTTGATAATGCTTATTTTTAAATCTTTTCTCTTCCCTTTCATGTTTTATTTCTGAGGGAGGCATGGATCTCATGCTAGTTCTCGAATTCATCTGGGTCACATCGGCAGTTTTATAACAGCAGGGAGAAATCTATTGCCACAAAATTCTAACCTAACTAGATTTAAGGTCCTAATCTCGTCCGCAAAGCCTGCTGTCATAAAGTTGACTTTCATTCAGCCAGAGCACTGATTGGGCCTCCTGTGTGCCAGCCACTGGCTGGGCAAGCTGATGAGGGCCCAACCTAAGGTGGTAGTGAAAAGGGGATGGATGGTAAATGTTCCAGTTACTTTTGCTATGTTACATTTTCCCCAGAACTTAGTAGCTTAAAACAATTAACCATCATTTTATCATATCTCATTATCTCTGTGGTCAGAAACTTGGGGACCATTCAGTTAGGTGGTTTTCTAGGCAGGGTCTATCATAGTAGTAGTCAAATGATGGTTGAAGCCAGGTAGTCAGCAGAGGGGCAGAGTAGCTGGGACCTAGCCAACCATCTCTCTCTCTTCATGTAGTCCCGGGGCCTCTCTATGTGGTTTCACCACATGTGCTGGTTTGGGCTTCTCTACAACATGGAAGCCTCGTGGCTCCAAGGCACAAGCGTTCCAAGGAGCAAGGTGGAGGCTAAGTCGCCTCTTGGAAGTTACATGGTTTCACTTTCGCCAAATTCTATTAGTCAAAACAGTCATAAAAGTCTAGTTTCCAGGGGAAGAAATACAGACGCACCTATCAATAGGAGAAGGGTCAAAGAATTTGTGGATATATTTTAAAACCAGCGCACTAAGGAATTAGAATTGACAGGGCTTAGTGATTGATTGGATTTGGGGAGTAAAGCACACAGAGTGGAAGATGACTCAAAAATTGGTGACCTGGGCCAGTGGATGTGTAATTAACCAAGGTATGGAACTCAGGAGGAGGAACAGGTTTGATGAGAACAAGGTAGGTTCAGGATATGTCTAAGCAAAGATGACCAGCAAGGCAGTTAGAAAGTTATGTCTGGACCCAGGGAGAAAGTTGGGGGACTGAAAGGCTGTGTAGAGAAGCTTAGCCTTGACTATCCCAGGGAGAGTGTGTAGATCAAGAATAGAAGTCTGTGGACCGAGGGAATTAAATTTTGAGATTATCTGAGTATCTGCAACCACTCCATAGATTATATCTACCCCAAGCAGATATAAATGTGACTGACTCCACAGGGCATGTCCTTAGTGGTGAGTGGATACTGAGTGGGGCTGGCAGCTGGGGGGCCATCGTGAGGGTGGTAGAAAAAGACTGGACCAGGGTTGTGGGATCCCAAGGTCATGGTCATGTTCTTTCCCTACCGCACCTCCTCCCTGCTGTGTGCTTCCTTGTCATAGATGGACTCCATTCAGTTCCCACTTACCAGCTGCCCCCCTCTCCAACCCTTGGTTCCCTTTAATTTTGTGCGTTTTCTCCAGCTTGGGCGTAAGCCACTGTCCTTCCTCTACCCCCATTTCTTTCCCTTTCTCTTCCCTTCTGAATTCCAGGGCTTCCCCCACCCGTGATTATCTCCCTTCTCCTGTGCTAAGGTCTGGACTGAGATTGATTCTCAGCTATGCCCATCTGACAGACGGAGACAGACCACTTGTCCATACAGTATGGCATTTCCCAAGCCATTCCTACTGGCTTGCACTATCTTTTTACATTCAAATATCCACTTCTCCCTACTAAAAAAGCAAAAAAAAAAAAAAAAGCTCTGCTAGATTCCTTTTGACTTTTATTATTCTATTCTCAAATATTTGGGACCTAATCACTTAGACTTCAATTGAATTTGACTTTTCCAGATTTTCATCAAATCACTTGATATTTTCTATCTAACACTGAACCCTGTATTTTTAAAAGCCACATCACCTGGCTCCTGGATCTTAGTGACATTCTAAAGATTCACTTGAAAACAGAGTTTTTTCAGCACAAATGTGAACTCATTTGATTCTGTTAGTCACCCTACAAAGGAGACAGGTAAAATGGGTATTATCATTATTCCCATTTCTACTGATGAAGAAATGGAGGCTATGACAATTCAAGTCACCTGTCCCAAAACATACTGCTGGTAAAGGAAGTAGCCCAAATTTATACCCAGGTCTCCTGTAACACCATGACACACCACACTGCTTCTCAAAGGCCTATTACAGATGACATCCATTATAGTGAAACATTTGGAATAACTTTTAGGTGACACTTATTTGTAATGGAAATAGATATTCTAAAGAATCAATACTAAATCAGGATATCAAATAGATGGCATTATAATCTTGGTCCCACTGAAGGTATTCATCTGTAGGTTTTATTATTATTATTATTTTGAATTTAGGAACATTGACACCTTTATTATAATAACTTTTTTAGGATGACTGGGTTTTGGGGCATTTCTCTGAAATAGCACCTTATTAATCATGAATGGAGTCTTGATTTTTATTTTAATCATGTGCCCAGACATGGAGGGAAAAACGGAGAAACTTCCAGATTCTTGAGGCCAACTTTTTATCCCGTTATTAGAACTCCTTTCTCGTGAGGCATCGTAAGGCAGAAAGAGGACTCTCCTGGCTGCGAAGTGAGACAGAAGGACTCAAGCCACTTCACTTGAGGCCTTTCCTAGTCCTACCTTCGTTTAAACACACACACTCACAACCTCTTTTGATTTACACTGCTGTAGCCCAACTGTTTGGGAAAGCTGATGTTGTGGAATCCCTAAGTCATCTGTGACCTAGGTCACTAAAGACAGGAGCAATTTAGTAAAAGTATTAATTGAAAGTCTCCTGACAAGCCCTGCTCCTTCAGATAAAGTTACACATCAAACCCACACAGGCCGCCAGGCTATTCTGAGCAGGCTGAGATTTTCAATATCTCATAAACAGGCCCTTCAATCACTACAATCTAATAAGGCTATAATCATCATTGACACTATAATGATTAAAATGAATAAAACCCATTAAGAAAAGTCATGTTGAGTTATTAAAAGTTTCGCTCTGTGTGATATGTAATCTTTTATCCATTTTTTATGATGAAATCTGTAACCATCTATCCACGAAAGACCATTAATTTACTGCTCTGTGGATGTTACCATGCTCTTTAGTTTAACAGCTTATCATTGATTTCTTGAGGGAGATATTACATTTGGAGAAATACACATGGAACAAAAGCCCGAATGTTGCTCTAAATTTCCCACTGACAGAATGATCAAAGTATTTGGGTCTGGTCTGCAGCTCGGGGCTAGGGAACAAGTTTTCTAGAGCAGAGCAAGCCCTCTGGCTACCAGGCAGCAGATACATGTTTTCAGGCATCACAAATGCTTCTAAGGAAAGGTCATGTGCACCATGGCGGGAGGGGGGGAACAATAAAATGTCCATTAACCGGAGCCTAGTTAACTGGCTTATTGGCATCTATTAGAAACAAATTGCAAACAAAACTGATCCTATTATAAACTTCTCCTCCTCCCGTCGGTCAAGGGCAGTCTCTGATTGGTTCAGAAGAGGCCCCAACAAATACAGCGTTGTCAGATGGCTCCTTTATTTGCAAGGAGAAGATTGGGTTTCTGCCAGCAGCAGTCTCCAGCCCTGACTAGCAGAGAACTTACAGAGTTGGGAGGGATACGTGGCCCCGTCCCACAGAAACAGCACTGGAAAGGTGACTAATGTACTCCGGCCCGCATTCTTTCAACAGGGACTTTTTCCCCTAAGCAAACAGCAATAAAAAAATCTGAATAGAAGAATGTGGACACAGTGCTGAGCTAAGTGGTGGGGGAGCCCGATTCTTAATGTGTACTTTTTCTTATAAAAAAAACTCTGCTTCAATATCTTTACTGCTCATCTCCTGTTTAATCTTATTAACAGTAAAACCTAAAAAGATTCTGTGAAGCCAAGAAGAGGGTGTTGTCTTTAAAGGCATTCTTCATTTTTCCTGAAATGATTAATAAATCTATTTGCTAGCCTTCTTCGGCTGCCTCTCACTGAACAGACTTGCCAGTGTTTTCCAGCAGGTAAGGACAACACCCACACCACAAGGCAAAAATGGTGGGCTTATGTTTTATCAGATTTCCTTATTTTCCAGATTTGCTTCCATCATTGAGGTCCTGCTGGGTTTGGGGGGGCTTTTTTTCCACCTTATCTAAATAATATTAGGTTATAAACGTCATTCATAACATACTATCTCTTTTACTAAGGGAAGCCTGTTTTTACCAAAATAATCAAATATTCTTTATAATCCTCCCCTTTAAAAGAAAATAGAAAATTCCATTTGTAAGGTTTAAGTATAGTTCAAAGCGCAGCTAACAGACATCGATTTTTTTCAATCTTTGGAGAGTTAATTTAAGCCTACAACATTCCATCATGTAAGACAAAATGGTTGCTAAATGAAATTAAAAGGCAAATCCTCCAAGAATAAAAAGGAAATCGTTCTTTATATAATACATCATTAACCTGTGGAAATAACTGCTTCGGGGCATGATTGAGGCTAACAGCTTAGTAAAAATGTGTAAATGATGTAATACTTCTACAGATAAGAATGGCATTAGCGATTGTGAATTCTAAGAATGTTCACTTTCTGTGCACACACTCGTACCACAGTTGGAGTCGGGAGGACACTTCACAGGCCATTGCCATGCTTCTGCAATTGTTGGTGACACATAAACAGAGCGGTATCCCGTGTACGTACAATTAATGTTTTCTGCTGTTCTCATACCTTCATCTCACTTTTAACTATATTGATATCAACTGTGGTTCAAAGTGAAAATGGAATTGGGTAAATTATTTGTCCATTTCCATGAGGCAAGCCTTTATTTCCCCTCAATTTTTGGGAGGAGGGGATCAAGATGAAATGCACTATAAATGGTCATATGACTATGTCTAAAGACCCTTAAGAGAATTACAAAATTACTTAAGCATTCTGATCAAAAAGGACTGATATCTCGAAGAAAATTGTGCATGTGTGTGTATCTGTATATAACATAAAGTAAAATAAATAAGCCAGAGTGGGAGATAAGGAAATTCAGTACATCAAAGAAGGCTCCTTTTAGTCTATCTTCAGAGAAGGTGAAATTGACTGTTAAAATACCTATAAAAAATTTTAAAGACATTCCTGAATTTTAATTTATCATCATGGTATTAAAAATATAGCTCTTTCTAACCACGGAGGCACTGAAGATTTTGTGACATGAAAGTTTTCCTGGTGTTAATTTGAGCCTTTAATTAATTATAACCTTTTAGAAGGGGGCTGTATAACTGCCACAAAAAAAAAGGTTACATAGAGATGATGAAAAAATAAGACTCATTGCAGATTTTTAGTGAAGCTGCGCATTGGTGAGCTGTGGTTCTCAAGTGATGAGTCAGCACTTCTGTGATTGCAGGTGGAAAGAGCAATAAAATCTTGCTGAGTTTAGTTATTGAAATTATATGGTTTCATAAATAGTATAATGTTGTTCTCAGCAGGTAAATTTTATATTTTAATGACATCTGTATTATAACACATACAAATTCTCAAGCTCAAGGTCAACAGAGCCTTCTTCAATATGAGCAGCTGGAGCCCAGCACTGAGGCTGGAAATGAATAATTCAAGCTCTGAAGTGCTGAGGGCGTGGGAAGAGAAACTGAGATCACAGTAACTTATTAATTAGGAAAAAAGATATTTTCCTGGTAGGCCATTTGGAGGTATAGGAAATATGCAGGTGTGAGTGAGTGAGAATGTTGTATAGATGACTAAGCTTTCTAATGAGGTAACAGAACTGAGTGAAGATTTTGCTATAATGAAGAGGCAAGCCTGCTGTAGAAATGAAGCGCTTTGGATTTCAGCTTTAACTATGTTAAAATACAAGTCAAGTGCTCCTTAATTAGAACCAATATACTCCTGTTCACCTGATCACCTTTAAGCCCAGGTAACCACATTTGCACATCTAAACTCCCTCCTGAACTTATTAACTTAAAAAAAAAATGCCTGAAGAGACTAACTTTGTTTGGGTTGTTACTAAATCAGCTTTGTTTCATTGAAAAGCCTGCTCATTAGCTGTAATCCTTCCAGCTGTTTTCCCTTAGAGCCTCTGCAGGTCTACTGCCAAGACTGGTGTGGAGATTTTTGCTTGGATAAATGGCACATTATTGCTCCTCTTTCAAAACATCTCTATACCACAGGGTGACTATAGTTAATAACAATGTACTATACACTTGAAAATTGGAAAGAGAATAGATTTTAAGTGTTCTCACCACAAATAAATAAGTATGTGAAGCCATGGATATGTTAATCGGCTTGATTTAGCCATTCCACAATGTATACATATTTTGAATGTCATGTTGCACACCATAAATGCATACAACTTTTATTTACCAATTAAAATTCATTAATTTAATTAAATCTCCCTCATGTATGAACCACTTAGTAATTTACAACGCACTTTCCTTTGCATCACATTGTATTGAATCCTCACAGCAAATTCTGAGGTAGACAAATCTCTATTTTACAGATGATAAAACTAAGATCCAGAAAAGCTGATTCATTACTTAAGGTCAAACAGGTAATCGTTGAAGTCCAGGAACACATTTAGGTCTTCTCTCTCCAAATCTGCCTCTCTCCTTACCATACCAAACTTCACAGTAGCAATGTTGAACACTGCGTGATGCTCAGTAACCATTTTAAAGTCATAACACAGTAGTTTGTCATTGCTAAACCTTTTATGGGTTGTGTTTCTTTAGACATTACAGAAAGTGTTTTAAGAGCCGCTGCTCGTTTACTCTGGTTATCCCAAGACAAACAGTGTGGGCGATGGAAGCTAACCTGACTGGTGGTCTGCCCAATAGTTATCCCCTCTGCCTTTCTTTCCTGAGAGAGCCCTGATTTTGTTTGGAGACCTCCCTTTCTCTATGTCATTCATAGTAAAGCCTGAATAGACCAAGCTAAGCAAGGTAATGCTGTCTTCTATCAGTGACTGGTTTAGGAAGGAGGCTGCAACACAATTCTGGCCAGTGAAATGCAAGAGAGACTACCAGAGGCCTTCTCAGGAAAGTTTCCTTAGTTTTAAAGAGAAGCACATTACGAAACATTCCCTCTTCTTCTTCTTCTTCTTCTTTTTTTTTTTTTTTTTTTTTGAGACGGAGTCTTGCTCTGTTGCCCAGGCTGGAGTGCAGCGGCATGATCTTGGCTCACTACAACCTCCGCCTCCCAGGTTCAAGTGATTCTCCTGCCTCAGCCTCCCGAGTAGCTGGGATTACAGGCACACGCCACCATGCCCAACTATTTTTTCTATTTTTAGGAGAGATGGGGTTTCACCAGGTTGGCCAGGCTGGTCTTGAACTCCTGACCTTAAGTGATCCGCCTGCCTCAGCCTCCCAAAGTGCTGGGATTACAGGCGTGAGCCATTGCGCCCAGCTGACCCTCCCTCTTCTTTTAATGAGTAGCATCATCTCATGACCATGAGAAGAGCTAGCCTCAGGAAGAAGCTGATCCACTGAGAATGACAGAGATGGTGGGAAGCCAGGTCCCTGATGAAAAGCTGATGGATTAATCAACCCTAGAGCCACCATGCCCCGGGACTTCTTGTTACAGAAGAAAAGAAAATTCCCTTATTGTTTAAAACAGTTGAGTTGGAGTTTCCTGCTACTTACAGCCAAGCATCTAACAGAAAATTTGTCCAGGTGAACAAGTTGGATACGTATCTCAATTTAAGGCCATTTAAAGTTATGCTACAATCAGCTGAAAAGATCTTAAATTGCCTAACAACTGTAGGATATTATTATATCCATTAGGTGCTCCAGCTTTCCTAAAAATATACTTATTTTTATTTTCACAAATAAAAAGCACCTGAAAGACCATACATAAAATCATCTCATAAATTAATAACAATACATGATTATAAATCTGGAGATCAGCATAATAAAATGGTTAGAAACCTATTAGTTGAAAGCTTGGATAATATATATAGTCTTGAAAACCCCTTTTAATTCTAAATCTTATGATGGAGAAAATTCTTATACTGACATATCAAGCTGTATCATCTATTAACATCACAAAGATGTTTGTGGTAACTCATGGAGTCCCCACAATGACACCTAAGATGAGCCAGGCTCAAAAACAATTAGGATTTACAGTCATGCTGAGAAAAATGTTCTACTATGTCTTCCTTGTGAAATACAGTAATATAAAAGGATGCAATGTAAACCATATTTCAGGGAGAGAGTAACAAAGAGGTAAAACCAAAATGGAGTGGTTACACGTCTGAGATCCACATATCCTTATATGTGTGGGAATGCTATCAATGAAGAACACCTTGAATCAGGAATGCGTGTGCTCTCCATTTTATCGTCAACAAGTCTCAGGAAATTTAACTAGTTTGAGATAAAGGTAGTTTTCCCTAGCTCCTGTGTACACTAGGTCAATATTTCTCCGGGCCTGTTAGATGTTAAAAGATGTGCTCACCTCCCCCCCACTCCCCCCACCACCCACAATAAAGGGAGGGTCTTGGTGTGGGTTTCCCTAGAAATCGGGCCTGAGTCAAAGATTGAAGTGCAAATAGTTTAGGAGGCGATTCCGGGAAACACCAATAAAAGAGTGGGGAAGTGAGGCCAGGAGGGGAAGGTAGCCAGTATGAGGAGTTTGACCAAGTCAGTTTCCACTCCCAGCAGCAGGAACTCAGCCCTAATTTTTGTGATATAGGCACTTTTCGGTCAGTTGGGTCAGAAGCAGATTGAGATGGAGTTAGAAGTGTCAAAGTTCCACTGGAGAGTAACACCTGTGAAAGAGGAGAAGTGGGAAGCAGGCCTGGAGAGGAAGAACTGTCAGACCATCGGGCAGAGCGGGCAAAGTCTCTGCCAGCTCATTGACAGCTCCACAGTGAAGACAGCTCGTAGGAGGAATTCTGCCCTCCTGGGGAACTCTGGAAAGCATCGGGGAACATGCTTCAGTTTCCTATCTGAGAGGCAACTGGGAAACTTATCTGCCACCTGCCTGTCCATCTTTGGTTGAACACTGCTTTTGAGGTGAGGGACATTAACTGTCTTGTTCTTTCAGCTTACCTGTTAACAGGTTGAGTGGACTCCCATCGGCCCCCACCACCACCCTGAAAAAGAAAAAAAAAAAGGCTTCAGGCAAAGAATTGCAGGTGTTCATAGAAAGCAGCCTTCAAAGTGTACAGGTATGTGCTGAGAGGACATGGATGTGGTGCTGACAGCATCTGCTACATAGAGCGAAACACACCGCATTCCTTATCCTCTGCTTGCTAATTTAGAATACACTTTACCATACTGAAGGCTCCAAGAAGACCTGCCTCAGAAACTTGTACAGGTTGGATTAACCTGAGTCAGTGCTTCCAACATGCATCTAGCAGAACTAGTGAGCGGCAGGTTTCACATTGTGATAAAGCTGCTCCAAATGGGTCAATAGTAGTCATACAAAGGAGGTCAGTGATGATGCCAAGACCTATCTAGTTGGAGTCAATTCCTCTCCAGCTGATGGCCCGACTCCTATTTTCATTCCAGGCTATGACATAAGTAGCCAATAAATGGTCTACCCTGAGTCAGCATCCAACCTTGATCTGTGCATACTTGGAGTCTGGGGGCAATTAACATTGTTTGCATGAAGGATAATCTGGGACAATTCTTTGGGAATTTTATTTTGGAAACATGTAGAAATATAGGAAATTAACAGGAGGAGTAGAAACTCAAAGGATGCATAAACAGAAGCCTTGAGGCAGTGTTAGGGTTATGAGGGGAGGGAGAGAAGGGGCTGTGAGGGATCTTGGCAAACTGAAATTATGATTAAGCAAAAAGTATGAAATTTTTTTTTTTTGAGATGGAATTTCGCTCTTGTTGCCCAGGCTGGAGTGCAATGGTGCAATCTCAGCTCACTGCAACCTCAGCCCCCTGGGTTCAAGCGATTCTCCTGCCTCAGCCTCCCAAGTAGCTGGGATTACAGGCATGTGCCACCACGCCCAGCTAATTTTGTATTTTCAGTAGAGACAGGGTTTCTCCATGTTGGTCAGGCTGGTCTCAAACTCCCAACTTCAGGTGATCCGCCCACCTCAGCCTCCCAAAGTTCTGGGATTACAGGCATGAACCACCGCTCCCGGCCAAAAAAGTATGAATTTTTAAAGGATAAAGTAGATTTTAAAAAGAATAAGTGCATTGCCGGGTGTGGTGGCTCACGTCTGTAATCCCAGCACTTTGGGAGGCCGAGGCGGGTGGATCGTGAGGTCAGGAGTTCAAGACCAGCCTGGCCAAGATGGTGAAATCCCATCTCTACTAAAAAATACAAACATTAGCTGGATGTGGTGGCACCTGCTTGTAGTCCCAGCTACTTAGGAGGCTGAGGCAGGAGAATCACTTGAACCCGGGAGGCGGAGGTTGCAGTGAGCCAAGATTGCACCATAGCACTCCAGCCTGGGCGACAGAGTGAGACTCTGTCTAAAAAAAAAAAAAAATTAGAATAAGTGCATTGTAGCTAGTTTCAATCAGAGACAAAGAAGAACAGATACCCAGGTTGCTGAGTCATACCACTGGTGGAACACCAGAGTAAAGATCCATAAACTCCCAGTCCTTGGGCCATTGGGACCACCTTAGATCCAGAAACACCCTCCCGTTCTGGACTTTGAGTTCTGGCCCTGTTTCCACTATGCTCTTGGGATTCTGCGAACATTCACATTAATCCTCATGTAAACTATCTTTCCTGAGCTTACTTGAATAGATCAGTGTTGCTTGCAACTAAACAAGTTTTGTAAATCAGAGGCCAGTGAGGGCCTGCTAACAGGCCCATCTGTCAAGCAATACCTGTGACCAGGAAAGGGGCTTTGACAGACCAGGGAGAAAAGGTAGAAGAGAGAAACGCATGCCGGGTGATATTTCTGGTTGAAAACTCATGAAACAGGATGGGATTTCTGTTTCTAGTCTCAGTAGTGGGAAGCTTCCATGCTGGTTTCAGACAAAAGCAGAGACAGTCAGGTTGACAAAGTGGTTTCTGAAGAAAACTTTATCAACTCTACTAGTTCTTGCCCTAGTTCCCTTTTTTTTTCACTCAGCAACCTGAGCTGGGGCTCCTAGAGCAGAGAATGGTATAGTTTGGAGAACTAAGACGGGGGAGCAGGGCAGGAAATAGCATGAGTCAGGGGCTTGGTGGTGGATGCGGAAGATGACCTTTGCCTAAGTGGAAGTCATCTTCACAGTGTATTTTCCTACATAGTCAGGATTCTCTCTAACAGAAATTTACTTTCAAATAGCATAGTGGGAAGAAGTCAGATGTTGGCCTCACACAGACTCAGGTTCAAATCCCACCACCACCACTTTTAATGTGTGTCATGATGGCAAATTACTTAACTTCTGTGAGCCCCAGTCTTGTTATCTGTAAATGAGAAGAGTCATATCTATCTACAATATTATTTTAATAGCTAAATAAAATGCATGAAACACAATCAATTATACATATGTATTTTCCTAAAAGGAAAGGAGGTCACTGGGCAGTCTGCATTGCCTATGCCTCTTGAAATCAGTTTTATTAACCTGTAACCTAGTTCTGATTAGAATGGGGTAGAACTTAGGAATTTCATTCAATACATATTCTGTGTGGTAGACATAGTGCATAAAGCTACCTCGAATCTTAGGATTTGCAGATCCCAGAGTCTGAGGGACTTTGGGTATAACTCCCTATCCCTTCTTTCATGGGTGAAGAATCCAGGGCCAAGAGGGGTGACATGACTTGCCCAGGTCATACAGCCAGTTAACCGCACAGCCAAGAAGAAGCTGGTGCTGGAGGAAGCTGGCTTTCCAGACTTCCCATTCAGTGTTCTTACCATCAGAATTTTCTGGTTTTCTTAACCTTAGATCAAGTTCTCTATTCACACAAAATACATCAACCCAGAATTTCTTTTGTTTTTCTTCATAGTAAATCTAGAAACACTTTTCCTTGTAGACTCACAGGTGTGGCTCTTGGGCATGGCATGCTCTCTCCACTCTTTGGAGTGCTCTTCCCTATGCCCAGCTTCACCATCCCCTTCTCAAGTTTGGGTTAGGGGTCCGTCCTTAACTTACCTCGATTATCACGTTCTCACTACGGCACCGTTACTGTTGTCTCCTCCTCTTGACTGCCCTCCCTGAAGGCAGGTCCTAAATCTGGTTCCTCCAGGACATGTTGGTTGAATGAAAATTTTTTTTTTTTTTTGAGATGGAGTCTCACTCTGTCACCAGGCTGGAGTGCAGAGGTGCAATCTCGGCTCACTGCAACCGCCACCTCCCGGGTTCAAGTGATTCTTCTGTCTCAGCCTCCTGAGTAGCTGGGACTACAGGTGCATGCCATCACACCCAGCTAATTTTTGTATTTTTAGTAGAGATGGGGTTTCACCATGTTGGCCAGGATGGTCTCGATCTCTTGACCTCGTGATCCGCCCGCCTCAGCCTCCCAAAGTGCTGGGATTATAGTCGTGAGCCACCATGCCTAGCCAATTGGATGAATTTTTAAATGTATGTTATGAACGTTGAAATAGAAGCTCATTGGAAAAGGTTAGAATAACCCTAAATGTTGAGGTAAATGAAACTACCCTTTGATATCAGTGATTTCTCTACCAGGAACATGTAGAGTAATATAAGTAGTCAATACACTGACAACCTCTGGAGAACAATGGTCCAGTCTAGCCAGAGTCCTTAATGTGGGGATGGAGTGAAAGCCCCAGAGCTGTCAGCAGGGGAACAGAAGAAGTCATTTCCAAGTTCTCTATTTCAACTTCCCCGTCTGTAAAGGTGTAGCAAGGAAGGTAGCTTAGATAATGACGATGATTATGATTATTATTATTTCAGACGGAGTTTGGCTCTTATTGCCGAGGCTGGAGTGCAATGGCATGGTCTCAGATCCCTGCAACTGCCGCCTCCCAGGTTCAAGAAATTCTCTTGCCTCAGCCTCCCAAGTAGCTGGGATTACAGGCATCTGCCACCACACCCAGCTAATTTTTGTTATTTTTAGTAGAGATGGGGTTTCACTGTTTTGGCCAGGCTGGTCTCGAACTCCTGACCTCAGATGATCCACCCGCCTCGGCCTCCCAAAGTGCTGGGATTACAGACATGAGCCACCACACCCGACAGATTATTTTTAAAGTTACTTTTAGTTCTAAAATAGTAAAACGCTATATTCTAAGTATATTTGATTAAACTACAACTCTGCTAAAGGCTATGAAACTTTATTGTTGTTCTCAGATCAGATTGCAAAGAAATTACCCATTAATAATACGCTTCATAGCAAACTCTACTCTTAAGTATCCGTCATACAATCAGAAACCCTTGGAAATCTTAGAGCAAAATACACATCATTTACCCCTCTCTTTTTTAGAATCACTATTAGATTTAAAAACACTTAAACATAAAAGGCTTTTATATCAATGTATTCATTTATTCTCTTCAAGTTTACTAAGCTCTTACTCGATGAATAGTACAGCATTTGAGTCCCAAGAAGGCCAATAAGAAGTTTATATCCGGTTAATGATACTGACAGGTCCCTGCACCAAGGAAAAAAAATTACTTTTGAGAGTGCAAAAAGCCTAGTGTCATTTACCTTTCTACCAATAATTCCTTGTGAGTGCTTTCAAAGCTAGAAGGAGAAAGCTAACCATACTGAACCAATATTTTGTTTTTGAGTTTGAAACAAAGTCAAATGCAAAAGCATAGCAATCTGAGGTAAGCTGATCCCCTCTCTAGGGATAAATGGAGAGTTCTCTTTTGAAAATGGTTTGCAAATAATCATACTAACAGTACAGCTATAAGTGAAAAGACCTTGAAAGATGCCTTCTTACCAGAGGACTGTTTATAAGATTCACAAGTGCATGTGCTCAAGTACGAGAAATGCCTTTAAGTTTCCCTTTATTATTTTCAAGAATCCTCCTAAATTGGGTAGGGAAGCAAGAATCAAAGCCGGGAAATTCTTTTTTAATTTTTAGACACAGAGTGCAGTGGCATGATCATAGCTCACTGCAGCCTCCAACTCCTGGGCTTAAGTGATCCTCCAGCCTCAGCCTCCTGAGTAGTTGGAACAACAGGTGCACACCATCATGCCCAACCAATTTTTTAAAAAAATATTTTTAGAGACAGGAGTTTCACTATATTGAGACCAGGCTGGTCTCAAACTCTTGGCCTCAAAGGATCCTTAGCCTCAGCCTCAATTACAGGAATGAGCCACTGTGCCTGGCTAAAGCAGGGAAACTCTAAAAACATATGCTTAATGGGTGAAATGTTAGACTATCAAGCAGCTTGAGAAATAGGAGATTTTCTAGATACTAGTGAACCATGAGGCAGTTAATAAGTGAAGAAAAGTCTTTGGAGTTGAGAAAAAGAAGACTGTGCAGCAAGATCCTCATTACTCTAGGGCAGAGCTGGGGAATTGACTAAATTAAAACTCAGGAAAGATCTGCTTAATATAGATGTAGCTATCGATGATTCATCAGTAATTGTTTGAAACCAGTCACTGTCCTCCATAATAATATTAAAAGATGACCTACCCCCGATAACTCAGATCTAGTGGAAATTAAACCAGGGAAACTTGGTAAGCAGGAGACAAATGGAAGCGCTGACAATTCCAACTAATTTAGTATATTGAACATCCTATGCGATTTTTACTATTTTTACATATGCATTGTACATCAGATTGAAAATCAAACTGAAAAATATTCATTATGTTTGCACTGTGTGTGCATATGTGTGTGCATGTGTGTGCGTGTGTGTGTATGTGTGTAAGAGAGTTCTGGGGTGGAAAGATGAAAAAGTGGAAGCATTTACTTAAAGACTTACACCACAAATTTAAAGGAATTTAAAAGAATGCACAATATTGAGCTAAGGCAATCAAACACAAAAGATATCCTAAAATTTAGGCCGGGTGCGGTGGCTCACACCTGTAATCCCAGCACTTTGGGAGGCCGAGGCGGGTGGATCACGAGGTCAGGAGATCGAGACCATCCTGGCTAACATGGTGAAACCCCATCTCTACTAAAAATACAAAAAAATTAGCCGGGCGTGGTGGCATGTGCCTGTAGTCCCAGCTACTCAGGAGGCTGAGGCAGGAGAATGGCGTGAACGCGGGAGGCAGAGCTTGCAGTGAGCCGAGATGGTACCACTGCACTCCAGCCTGGGTGACAGAGCAAGACTCCGTCTCAAAAAAAAAAAAAAAAAAGATATCCTAAAATTTCATTTATATGATTTACAACAACAGGACAAAGTAACCCATGATGTTAAGAGTTAGGACAGTGGTTAGCCTTGGGAAGCAGTTGTTGACTGTAAGGAAGGCAGCACAAGGGGCTTTTAGATGCTGTTGATAATGTGCTGCTTAATCTTCTTCTTAATGTGCTGCTTTCATGAATGTGTTCAGTTTATAAAAATTCGTCAAGCTGTACCCTTGTGATATGGGCACTTTTCGGTCAGTTGGGTCAGAAGCAGATTGAGATGGAGTTAGAAGTGCAAAAGTTTCACTGGAGAGTAACACCTGTGAAAAAGGGGAAGGGGGAAACAGGCCTGGGCAGGAGGAGTTGTCAGGCCTTTGGAAAGAGTGGGCAAAGTCTCTGCCAGTTCATCAACAGCTCCACAGTCAAGACAGCTCATAGGAGGAATTCTGCAGTAGGTGGAGATGACCTGGCCCTTGCAACAAAGTCTTGCGCAGTCATTGGCTGTGGCTGCCTTGACAAGGAGTGTCCTCAGTTCAAAAGCTGAAGTGGACCCAAAGTAGTTAACAGTGAGAAGCTCTCAAGTACCCTTACTCCTTTTAGCTGGGCAATTAGTTCTTTCTTAAAAGGGATTTGGGCGCCATATAGTGCAAGAGACTGAATAGTGGATATCTAAAAGTACAAAGATTAGCTGGGTGTGGTGGCACACGCCTGTAGTCCCAGCTACTCGGGAGGCTGAAGCAGGGGAATCACTTGAACCCGGGAGGCGGAGGTTGCAGTGAGCCGAGATCGCACCACTGCACTCCAGCCTGGAGACAGAGCGAGACTCTGTCTCAAATAAATAAATAAATAAATATTATAACATAATATATAAATACATCATATGCTACATTTCACTAAAAAGTTTACTTTTAAGAAAACAGAATGCACCATCCACTCCAGGTGTTCTCAACATCTGCTTGCACAGAACCCCAGGGTTATACACATTAAATCAAAGCATTCCACTAATGAAAAATGGAAAGATGATGATTTTTTTCCCACTTTCACAGAACAAAGAGCTAAGATAATGATAAGCTTTCCTTACTAAGCTTTTATCTCATAAATTCTTCTTAAATCTTTGACACATACTACTGAATGTCTGTATAAAAATAAGATGAGGCCAGGCATGGTGGCTCATGCCTGTAATCACAGCACTTTGGGAGGCCAAGGCGGGCGGATCATGAGGTCAAGAGATCGAGACCATCTTGGCCAACATTGTGAAACCCTGTCTCTACTAAAAATACAAAAATTAGCTCAGCGTGGTGGCGCTCACCTGTAGTCCCAGCTACTCAGGAGGCTGAGGCAGGAGAATCACTTGAACCCAGGAGGCAGAGGTTGCAGTGAGCCAAGATCATGCCACTGCACTCCAGCCTGGTGACAAAGCGAGACTCCGTCTCAAAAAAAGAAAAGAATAAGATGATATCTGACCTAGGACAAAATTATATGTTTTGTCATATCAGCATTTCATGAGATTCCACCATGACATCCAGGTGTTGCACCACAGGAACAAGATTGAGGATCAACAAAGCTACTTGGAAATAATGGATGCTAGAACTCTAAGGAACCCACAGAAGATCAGTTCTCAAATCACCAGCCACTGGGGAGCAAATGAGCCAACCTCAAAATTGACAAGCAGTTATGGTGCTATGTGTCTCCCGTGGGTACTGGACACTGTGTTGTATGGGGCTCCTCATCTTGGTAAGTCCTCTGCTTGTTCCCTTAAGTTCAGTTTGAATTTACCTGTATGCTTAGTCTGTTTCTGCCTACATGTGTTTCACTAGTCTGCCAATCTTAGTATCAGAGACACCCAGGCCTAGATCTAATCATGCCCTCTGGATTCCAACACACACACACACACACACACACACACACACACACACACACACTCCTTTCCAACTATCCTCTCTGAACTTTGCCACTCATAACCTCTTATCCTTCACATCATACTCTCTTTCTGACCCACCAACCTGGCCTGTTTCCCAGACCAAGGGCCTTTAGTCTTGCCCTGTCTTGCAGCCACTCTGGTGGTAACATATGTTAGGTATGAGACATTTTTTAGAAGTTCATAATAGAGCCAAGTGTGTGTAGCAGAATATATATATATATTCTCCTGAGAATAGGAAGAAATAGCAATCATTTGAGGGTCATATAATCAGAAATGCAAATATATGAAAGTGTATGAAATATATGAAAATACATGAAAAAATACATGAAATAGTGGTCTTTAAGACATTGGGTATAAGTCAATGAAGAGCAGTGATCCCTGAAAGATGGGAAACGCACAAGACGAGGCTTACAATTACCTTAGTCTACTACCTGGAGAGAGTTTCCAGGCTGTGGCATAGGGAGGGGAAACCCAGGAAATGCCCAAAAATCTCCCCGGGTTGGAGACAGCCTGGAATACAGGGAGGCCAAGGTGGCTAAAGAACACAGGGCAGAGTGCCAGAGAAGAAAAAACTACACGGAGAACTTCACAGATTTGCGGAGAAACTGCCCCCAAGTTTTCAGCAAAGTACTGATTAGTGCGTGTAGGTGAGGAAATCACCTGAGGCCAGGAAAAGAAGTACCTGAGAGGATTCGAGGAAACAATCTCCAGAAATCATTTGGGGCCAGGAATCGTTTCTGTTCCACCAGCCAGAGTGAAGAATCTCATAATTGAAAGGGCATTTGGTAGAGTTCTCAAAAGAAGTTTTCCTCAGTAGTGGGGCAAGGTCAGTGGTGAGGCAAAAGCTCTGGTCTTGCCTGAAAAAAAAAATTAAAAACAAGACCTGAAAGAATCAGACTGTTTCAAGTGACTTAACTCCCTCCCAGAACAAAGCTGAAAAACATGTATAGGAATATAAAAATATCTAGCACCCAATAAGATAAAATTCATAATGCCTGCCATCCAAATAAAAATTACTAGACACACAAAGTAGCAGGAAAATATGACCCATAATGAAGAGAAAGATCAACCAACTGAAACTGACCCAGAAATGACACAGTTGATAGAATTAGTAAACAAGGAGTTAAAAAGTTATCATAATTGAATTACATATGTTCAAGAAACTAGAAGAAGGACTGAGCATGAAAGACTAATATATTTGAAAGTTTTTTTTAAGCTGCAAACCAGGATGTCTGAATAAAGTCTGTACTTAATAGCACCGTACCAATGCTAATTTCTTAATTTTGATAAATACATCATGATAATATAAGACGTTAACTTTTAAGTAAACTGGGTACAGAGTGGGAACTGGGAACACTCTATACTATCTTTGGGAACACTCATTACTATCTTTGCAGCTCTTGTATTTTTGTAAATTTAAAATCGTTTCCAAATAAATTTTTTAAAGTGACAGAACAAAGCATCATGTGCCAAGAAAAGAATATCTAAATCAAATTTCTAGAAATAAAAACTGTGATGTCTGAGATGAAAAATATACTGAATGGAATTAACAGTAATTGCTGAGGAAAGGATTTATGAACTTAAAAACATAGCAATAGGAACTATTTAAAACAAAATACCAAGATTTGAGCTGGGCGCAGTGGTTCACACCAGTAACCTCAGCACTTTGGGAGGCTGAGGTGGGTGGATCACCTGAGATCAGGAGTTCAAGACCAGCCTGACCAACATGGTGAAAACCTGTCTCTACTAAAAATACAAAAATTAGCTGGGCTTGGTGGCAGGCAGCCAGGTACTTGGGAGGCTGAGGCAGGAGAATTGCTTGAACCTGGGAGGCAGAGGTTGCAGTGAGCCAAAATCGTGCCATTGCATTCCAGCCTGGGTAATAAGAGCGAGACTCCATCTCAAATTAAAAATAATAATAATAATAGAAATAAAATACCAAGATTTTAAAAACTAAAAGAAAAGCGCATCAGTGAATTTTATTATATCTTCGAGAGCCTAATATACTTGTAACTGGAGTTTCTGAAGAAAGAAGGGAGGGCTGAAAAATATTTGAAGAAGTGATAAAAATTTTTTTTTCAAATTTCATTACCCACAGATCCAAGAAATTCAATGAACCCCAAGCACAAGAAACATGAAAAACACTACACTCAGGCATATCACAATCAAATTGCATAAAATCAGTGATAAAGTAAAATACTAGAATAAAGAGAAAAATGTTAAACTTATTCAGAAAATATGGGTAAATATACAGGACATTTATTAAGAACCTACAATGAGCCGGGCATGGTGGCTCATGCCTGTAATCCCAGCACTTTGGGAGGCCGAGGCAGGTGGATCACAAGGTCAGGAGTTCAAGACAATCCTGGCCAACATGGCGAAACCCCATCTCTACTAAAAATACAAAAATTAGCAGGGCGTGATGGCATGCTCCTGTAATCCCAGCTACTCGGGAGGCTGAGGCAGGAGAATCACTTGAACCCGGGAGGCGGAGGTTGCAGTGAGCCGAGATCGAGCCACTGCACTCTGGCCTGGACAACAGAGCGAAGACTCCATCTCAAAAAAAAAAAAAAAAAAAAAAACCCTACTATGGTCCAGTGCTCAAAATATTTTTCTTTTCTTTTCCTTTCTTTTTCTTTCTTTCCTTCAGAATAGGAGGTCTAGGAGATCCTATATATGTTTTTACCTTGGACCCTTGGTTCTTTGAACTCCAAAGATGTATGCTGTCAAATAACTTTTTCATAAATCAAATGCCCTCCTTGCCTTGAAGAAAGTTATAGTCTAGAAATTAGTAAAACTACTCAGTATGTAAGCTTTTAGACTTACATTTTATTTTTCTTGCGCTAGATTCCTAGTGCTAAGCATGCCTAAATACAGCATGTTTAAAGTTGCTTACAGATAAAATTCCACAAGTGAAAAATAATTTTTTAATCATTATAAATCTGTTATGAAGGGAAAGGAGTTCTGAAGCTGATTGTAGTTGGTAATTGTATTCAAAGAGGGAAGGAGAAGGGACATCTGAAACTGAAGGGAAGGAAGATTTCCAAATTCAAGGGTTTTGATATTTTTAAAAGTACAAGTGTGAAGAGATGGAAAGTCATCACAGTGTGAGTGAGTGTGTGTGTGTGTGTGTGTGTGTGTGTTGGAACAGGCAGATTTTAGATTGGAATTTTCAAAATCATTCACTTCTAAAAATGTATCCAAGGATTTGCTTATACCAGATATACTTCTGTGTTTATGAACAACACTATGATGATATTAGAAATGTTTCATTTGGATGTTCAGCATGGGAGTGTGCTGCCTGTTGAGAGGGACTTTTCAGCATGCCACTTGGTATATATTTGGATTACCATAATCACAAAAGCCTAGCCTCTGTCTTTCCCTCAGCCTCTCAGCCTCCCTTTCTTTTCATGTATTCCTCTCCCTTACTGTTGATGGGTGCATCACTTCAAAAAGAAAAAAACAAAAAGCTTGAACCAGGAGGATTTCTGTTCACTTTGGCAGTTCCAGAACTCGTTATCCCTCAATTGACCACTGGAGACTCTGCTGCTATATATTTAAATCACCCTAGGCATTAGCTGGGGATGGATTTATCATGAAACTTTTATAATAGAGAGGGCTACAGGGAATAGAGTGCTTTTAAATGTCTCCTCTTCTGCAGGCAAGTGATAACTTCACTCTTTGGTGAGTCCCTGTTGCTTTACTATTACACTCAGATGTTTTCATTCCAAGAGGAAAATATTATGACTGAACATAAAGTTTTAGTATTTGAGATGGTTGGATTGCACACCAGGTAGCTGCATCTTTTTTCTGTATTTAATGTATTCTATGATCAGCTATATTTACTGCTTCTGATTCCAGCTGGTCCCCATGCTAAATGAAAAAAAGACTTGTAGGAAACCTACATAGTTTGAGTTTTAAAAAACTATTTTGTGCAAACTTCCATCCAGGATATAAATCCCTTCTACTGCATTCTTAACAGCACCAACCTTCTCAAATGAATGAGAATAGTATTTGGGATTTATGTGACATGCAAATTCAGGACTTGAACAAAATATTGACAACCAAGGGCTCTCCTAAGTGACAGAAGAGCCAAGGAAGCATGGCTAAAGTCTTCCCACTGCTGTCCTGTCTAAGTCAGAGTCTTTTAAAGAGCTTGAACAGCTGCAGAAGTTCTTCATGTGGGGGTAGAATTTTGGAACAACTGATGAGAGTGTGAGGAGCCATTCTGAGCAATTGGGAACACTCAGAGTCTGTGTGCTAATGAGAGACCCAAACACCAAGCACTCCAGGGGCTGTGGGTTGTCCCATATGCCACTGTGGAGGAAGTGGATGGGGCCGTGAATGCAAGGCCACGCAAGGAGGATGGAAGAGCTGTGGAACCGAAGACAGCTGTCTCAAGAAACAGTTCTCAAAGACCAGGTGCCCACTTAATTGTGAAAAAGATCTTTGTTGGTGGCGTTAAAGAAGACACTGAAGAACATCACCTAAGAGATTATGTTGGACAGTATGGGAAAATTGAAATATTGAAATCATGGCTGACCAAGGCAGTGGAAAGAAAAGGGGCTTTGCTTTTGTAACCTTTGACAACCATGGATAAGATTGTCGTTCTGAAATACCATCCTGGGAGTGGCCACACTGTGAAGTTAGGAAAGCCCTGTTGGAGCAAGAGATGGCTGATGCCTCATCCAGCCAAAGGGGTTGAAGTCATTCTGGAAACTTTGGTGTTGGTCATGGAGATGGTTTTGGTGGTAATGACAACTGTGGTCATGGAGGAAACATTAGTGGTTATGGTGGCTTTGGTAGCAGCTGTGCTGGTGGTGGATATGGTGGCAGTGGAGATGGCCGTAAGGGATTTGGTAATGATAGGAGCAATTTTGGAGGTGGTGGAAGCTACAATGATTTTGGCAATTACAACAATCAATCTCCAGATTTGGACCCGTGAAGGGAAAAAACTCTGGAGGCAGAAGCTTTGGTTCCTATGGTGGTGGAGGCCAATACTTTGCCAAATCATGAAACCAAGGTAGGTATGGTGCTTCCAGTAACAGCAGTCACTGTCAATGGCAGATTTTAATTACTGCCAGCAACAAAGCTTGGCAGGAGAGGAGAGCCAAAGAGGTGATAGAGAAGCTACCAGTTACAACAGATTTGTGAACTCAGCCAAGCACAGTGGTGGCAGTGCCCAGCTGCTACAAAGAAAATATGTTTTAGACAATGCTCACGTGTATGCACAAAAAGCTCAAGGACTGTATTTGTGGCAGGTTATTTTAGGTTCTGTTCTGTTCTGTTCTGTTCTGTTCTGTTCTGTTCTGTTCTGTTCTGTTCTGTTCTGTTCCTTTCTGTTCTGTGGAAAGTATAAAGCATTCTAACAAAAGTTTTTAATGTGCCCATGCTGTGGATTGTTAAATGTAATAGTCTGATCGTAACACTGAATACATGTCTTTTTTAAATAAATAAAATAAAACTCTAGCTAGACATAGGAAAGAAGACTTGAAACATATACACCAAAATATTGGCAATACTTATTTCTGAGTGGTGGAATTAATTTTTAATAATATTTGTTGTGAAACTATTTTTCTCAATTACAAAAGTAATACAGTATACAAAAATTAAGGGAAAAAGAAGCTTAAAAAGACTATGAACATTTTGAAGTATATCTTTCTGAAATTTTTAAAAATTAAATATAACTTTTTTCTTATTATAAAAATAATATCTATTCAATGTTGAAAATTTTAAAATATAGATAAGTTAGTAGAAAAACATTTATTGAATGATTTTTATTTTCTTTCTTTTGCTTATTTTTAAACTACAAGTTTTCAACAATGAGTATACATTGCTTTGGAGTACAAAAGAAAAAATGTATTGATCAGCTGGGCGCGGTGGCTCATGCCTGTAATCCCAGCACTTGGGGAGGCCGAGACAGGCGGATCACTTGAGGTTGGGAGTTCGAGACCAGCCTGGCTGACATGGTGAAATGCTGTCTTTACTAAAAATACAAAAATTAGCTGGATGTGGTAGCGTACATCTATAATCCCAGCTACTCAGGAGGCTGAGGCAGGAAAATTGCTTGAACCCAGGAGGCAGGGGTTGCAGTGAGCTGAGATCGTGCCACTGCACTCCAACCTGGGCAAGAGAGCGGGACTCCATCTCAAAAAAACAAAACAAAACCAAAAAAACAATGTCTTTGTGAGAGCTGAGGTACAGGCAGTTGGAAGCCAGCTGTGTGGGCTAGATCTGCAGATATTGGCCAGGGTAGAAATGAGTTTGGGCCTCCTGGTATATTTGGAGGCTTTCAATGGTTGCAGGTGAAAATGAATTATGAAATTCTCTGAGTAAATTTCATGAAGTATATCTGGTAAATTACCAATAAAACTTAACTGAGTTCATCTCATATCTGGAGACTTTTAAAGCTGCTATCATAAAACTCTACTGATGAAGGACTTTCTTATTGATTGCAATCATTATTGGCTCAGCCCACCCAACAAAAAAATAAATATGCACTTCAACCCTTGAGAAAACATATTTCAGAACCCCCCCAATTTTATGAGACAGGCCTAAGAGATGGAAGTATTTATTCAAAGTCCCACTGTGATTTTTCAGGAGGCCTGCTTCAATCAGGAAGAGCTCTGCAATCCAGAAAACTCCAGAGCAGCAGTGATTCATGCAACCTAGCCATAGTCATGTGGTCTGATTAAAAAGATGCTCCCAGGCCAGGCACAGTGGCTCATGCCTGTAATCCCAGCATTTTGGGAGGCTGAGGTGGGTGGATCACCTGAGGTCAGGAGTTCGAGACCAGCCTGGCCAAAATGGCAAAACCCTGTCTCTACTAAAAGTACAAAATTAGCCCAGTGTGGTGGCGCATGTCTATAATCCCAGCTACTTGGGAGGCTACTGCTTGAACCTGAGAGGCAGAGGTTGCAGTGAGCCGAAATGGTGCCATTTTGCACTCCAGCTGGACGACAGAGTGAGACTCCGTCTCAAAAAAAAAAAAAAGCTCTCAAACCCAAGTAGCCTAATTTGCTATTTTATACTGTATTAACATTGCACATCTATTAACTCGGCATACCAACTATTGATCTGAAAATAAAATTAGTCCTTGCTCTCACATAACAAAGAAGAATTGCAGTTTATAATGAAAGAAATGCTCATACTTATTTGCATAATAGAAATCATTATGTTTTCTTACTACAAAGGCACCTAATTAGCAAAGATTTTCATTTTCCACTGATGTCATGAGGGGCCAGTCACTATTCTAAGCATATAGCTATCCCTTAGGTACATGAAAATTTGCATCTTGCAAATTCCTTTTGAGATAATACCTTAGAATGAAGTAGAATGCAGATTTGGCATGAGATTTTGATGGAGAGAGGATAGAGAGGTCTTTTAAGTAGTGATGGTGTTCTTCAGGAACCAACCAGGGAATTTTTCAGTCTCCCTAGATCTACTCCACAATTTTTCACTCTGCCTAGATAAAAACCTTCTTAGAATTCTCAGCATAATAAATAGGATATTTTATATTTTTTCCTACTGCTCTGGAGGTTCTCATAGCACATCAAAATTTTAAGATATACTAAATATAATCCCAGAAATTATAGTATAATTAGATTTATAAATACAATAAATTTGAATTAACTGGGAACATTCAATACTGGTAAAGATGTGGCAAAATATGTACTCTCATACATCGCTGATTGCATGGTAAATTGGTACCACCCATTTGAAAAACAATACAGTAACTTAATAAATGTTAAATATTTTTGACCCAAAGATCCTCCTTCTGGAACTCAATCCTATTATATCAGACCAAAACTGGAGGAAAAGGCTATGTGTGAAGATGATCTTTAAGGTACCATTTCTGGAAGTAAAAACTGAAAATGACCTAAGTGTTAAATAATTAGGGCATTCCTTTACTTATAAGCAAAAAGTTCAAATGCTTACTTGGCAACAGATAGCAGATGTCAGAAGGACCCTTTTACTTCATCCATTATGATTGTCTAAAATATTACCAAATAGGGTTAGATGCATGGTATCCAGGAGTTTCCTATTCAAATGCAATTCTTTAAAAAGAAAAGAAAAGAAAAGAAAAGAAAAACCTAAAACCAAAAAGACCTAAAAGAGCAAGATGGGAAACATAAGTCCAGCTTTATCAATAATTACATTAAATGTTAATGAATGGCTATATATATCAAAACATCATGTTGTATACCTTAAATTTTATACAATATAAAAGGTTAATGAACTAAACACTCCATTTAAAAGATATTATCAGAATTGATCTTTTTTTTTTTCTTGAGATGGAGTTTCACTCTTGTTACCCAGGCTGGAGTGCAATGCCGTGATCTCGGGTCACTGCAACCTCCACGTCCCCATTCAAGCAATTCTCCTGCCTTAGCCTCCCAAGTAGCTGGGATTACAGGTGTGCACCACCACACCCAGCTAATTTTTGTATTTTTAGTAGAGATGGGGTTTCACCATGTTGGCCAGGCTGGTCTCGAACTCCTGACCTCAAATGATCCACCCGCCTTGGCCTCCCAAAGTACTGGGATTATAGGCCTAAGCCACCAAGCCCGGCCTAGATTTGATTTTTAAACAAAAACAACTCAATGTCAACTGTATGCTGTTTTCAGGAAACACACTTCAAACATAAGGCCTTAGAGATACTGAAAGTAAAAGGATGGAAAAACATCGTTATGCAAATTCTAATAATAAGAAAGCTGGTGTGGCTTTATTATTAGACAAAATAGACTTCAAGACAAGAAATATTATCAGAGATAAAGAGAAACATTTTATAATGATAACAGAGTTAGTTCATCAGAAAGACCTTACAATCCTAAATTTGTATATGCCTACTCACATAAACTTTAAAATATATAAAGCAAAATGAATAGAACTAAAGGAGAAATGAATAAAGCCACAATCACGGGTGGATAATAGACTTTGAGTCATAACAGATCACTGATAGTTTAGCTCGTAATCATCTCTGGATTGGCTAATAACATAGCCCAGAAAGAATGGGACACACACACACACAAATCTCCTTTGATTCTGGGAGAAGGTGAAGGACAGGCCTCAGATTTATATGGCAGTGAGAAATTGGTGGAAGTTGGGCCAACAGGTTAGTTCTAGGGCCATATGGGAGAGAAAGTCCAAAAGGAGAACTGATGACAACAAAGGGGTGGGGGGAGGTTTGAATGGAATTAGGAAGAGTATGACCTCAGTTTCAATACCCATTTCAACACTTATTCAGTAATCCTCAACCAGTCACTAAACTTCTAATATTTTGGCATTTTAAAAAATGGAGGAAATGATTTCTGCCTTATGTGTGGATATGGGAGTTAAACACATAATACATGTGAAGAGTGCTGGCAATCCAATATCTCCCCTCTTTCACACTGTTTCCTGATAGGGACCCACATACTCAAGATTTCTGCAAATAACCAGGAAATGAATTGGACAGGGATCCCAAGATCTAAATCACCGTAGAAGAAGGAAAAATAACTTACCTAGTCCCAACAAGGTATGGAGAACCCCAAAACAGCCCAGTCTCTAGGAGGCCTGGCTACTCTTTCCTTTGGCAAAGTGAAAACAGCTCCATGATAGTTCTTAGTTTCCTTCAATAGAACCTGTTCTAGTGTTCTCCCTACGGATCTACATGCATGTGCTGTCTCAAGGAATTAAAACCGTCTCAAGAAATTTACTAGAATTTTAATTACCCAGACCCTTTGGCGGCCATCAGTTCATTGACTGACCTCCAGACAAGACCTCATATAAAATTTCCCTCAAAGATGGATCTCTTTCTTCAAAACTTGCAGAGAAAGCTAAATTCTTCCCTCCTTCCTTGAAAGTACATTTCAGTGTCTCCTTTTCACAGGCAGAAAGTTCTTCCTGCCTTACCTAAATAGCTATGAAACAAGGCAGAGTCCTATAAAGCTGAAACAGAGTTACAATGCACTGTAGAGGCTGAGGGGAGGAAGAGCCTTTACAGGCTTTGGGAAACAGGGACAAATTATAAAGCGGCATTTATTCCTGGCCTTATAGAATGGGCAGGGTTTTGGCCCATGTGAGGAGGGGATTGCAAATGGATCAAAAGCTGGATAGGGAATGCAGAGCCTGCTGGAGAAGGACAGATGATGGTCAGGGCCATGGGGAACAGGAGGAAGGAGAGAAGGAAAGGTGACGCCATATTGTGGAGGACCCCACACACCAGAAAGAAAACTGTTGGCTTTATTTGGTAGGTAATGTGGCGCGATGTGGCGAGAGGGGGTTTGCAGAAATAGGTGGTGAGAGCTGAATTTCAGGGAGATTGATGTAGCAGAGAGATTCGAAAGGTGGAAGAAAGAAGTGGGGAGAGAGGTGAAAGGTCAGTTAGGAAGTCCTTTCAACCATTCAGAAAAGAGTTCCTGAGAGGCTGAATATTGGTGAAAATGCTGGAAACGAAGGTGAGAACCAGACTGAGGCCTTGAGCACAGAAAGCCTCCTAATTCATCTGTATGGACAGGGCCTGACTCTCAGTAACTATTTCTTGAATCCGAGTTGCTGTGCAGCTATGAGATTGTGGCTAAAAAGAGGTGAGGAGGAAAGAGGAATGAAAGGGGATAATGTAAAAAAGAAAGAGCGAATGTACAGTTGTCCCTGGGTATCCACATGGTATTAGTTCCAAGACCCAACTCCCCCACATACCAAAATCCATGGATGCTCAAGTCCCTGATATAAAATGGCATAGTATTTGCCTTTAACCTACGCACATCCTCTCTTATACTTTAAATCATCTCTAATTACTTATAATACCTAATACAATGTAAATGCTGTGTAAATAATTATTATACTGTATTGGGTTTTTATTTGTATTATTTTTTATTGTTGTATTGCTATTTTTTATTGTTTTTTTTTTTTTTCAAATATTTTTTTCTCTGTGGTTGGTTAAATCCTTGGCCACAGAACCCATGGACAGGGAAGACTGACTGTAATAGATAGTAATTAAATAGAGAGAGCTCTATCTCAAGACTCATTTCAACAGTTTCTGACTCAAGGCTCTTACAATCACTACTAGTTAAATAATTCTAAGCACGTGTCCAATTGATAGTGGGTCACATTCTATCTTTGCGCCTGAGGGACATTGCATTTACTTGATCTTATTATCCCAAAGAGCTGCCATACAGACCAAATTAAAGGAAACCTAGAGAAGTGTATTTTAAGCATATTGTCACAATGAACTCACTTTGTTGAGGATCTATATGTACCAAGCATTGTGTTAAACACTTTACGTGAATTATCTTATTTAATTTTTAACTACCCTAAAAGTAGATGCAACTATTCTCTTTTAACAGATTAAGAAACGGAGGTTTAGTTGAGTCACAAAGCCGGGATTTGAGGACAGGCAGTTTGATTCCAGAGCATGGACTATCTTCCCTAGCACTCCTTCTAAGCAAGAAAATGCACCACAACTGGAGCACTCCTCTGCCATTTATTTACAAACAAATGTCATGTCGTCAGAGAAGTCTTTTCTATGAGTGGTTGTTCCAAGTCAGAGCTTCCCCTTCAGACATTCTGCTCTAAGAAGGTGTAAAAGCACCCTTTCCTTCTGAAGGAGGGTTTGGTGGGAGAGCGCCAGCCTGCCATACCAGGAAGTACGTATTGGTGTGTCAATTTGGGTTTTTGTTGCAAGCAACAGAAGTGAATTAACAATGTTAACAAGGGGATAAAATAATTTAATGGGAGAAAAATTAGAAAAGCTGAAGGATTAGGACTGGAGTAGCTCCAGGCTCTAAGGGCAGTCTCTTCAGGGGGCCTCTGCCTAGGGGAATCAATAACCACCATCTTGGTTTTACAGACTCCACTCGAGAGAACACCTGATTGGCCAGGCTTGGGTCTTGTGGCCATCACTTAACTAGGGGATGGCAGGGCAGTCTCACCAAAAGGGCCCACCCATACGGAAGAGGGAATTCCCCCAAAGAGAAGCTGGTTCTGTTACCAGAAAAGAGGGGAATGAATGCTGGGCAGACAAAAACAGCAGGTGCCCATGACCTTGTGGGAAGTTTCACACATTTGAGCTGCAGCTGTGCCCAGGTGTATGCAAAAGCATCATCCTGATCCTTGTGGTACTACATGAAGAGTTGAAAAAGTGACTCTCCATGCTGCACTAGCAGCTCTAGATTTAGTTAAAGTCATCTATTACAGTGTCATTAGGCAAGTAGCACATGAAATCAACTAGGAACATTTCATTTTAAACTTTGCTGATTTTTCAAATTTGCTTTGCATTCTTGGTAATGATTTCTTGCTCCAGTTTTATGCCTTCTCAGATAAAGTGCCATCATACATGATGTTGGCCCCATTAAACATGAAGTAAGCATTATTTATGATATAATTAGAGTTATGAAGCATTAAAAATAGGAAAGAAAATTATTTCCATAGACCTTTTTCTAAAACTTAGAAGCTGAGGCTTGTCAGACTTTTCCTTTTCTCATGCCAGGAGGTAGTGAAGACTGTTGGGGCAAAACTGGTCAATAGCTGAGGAGTCTCTTGCTTGCATTATCACTTGGAAGTGCTTGGATATTTCCCAGATTCCACCTTAGAAGGATAGGGTCCTGGTCAAACTCAACCTTCTTTGACAAGTTGAATAGCAGTGAGGCCTCTTATATGTGGGTTTTAACCTTATGGGGAGGTTAAATGGGTCAGCCATTGTAAACTGGAATTCAAGGATAACTCAGGATACAGACCAGGTGGCAGACGACTAAGAAAGACTCAACTAGATTAGTGCAGTACTGTACTTTATCAGCATGTGAAACATATATTAATGCTTATGTAAAACCAGTGTGTTTTCCTTCCTTCCTTTTTTTCTTTCTTTCTTTCTTTTTGTCTAACCCTCCTTTATACTGACAAACATGGTACAGAGATGCTTAGGGAAAAGTTGCATTGAAATAGAGGTGGGAACTCAAGAAAAAAGTAAAACAGAAAGAAAATGGTAAGCAAATTTTAGATTTCCAAACAATGAAGTCACTTTAAGAATCATAATAACAATGAGATAAAACTTAAGTAAATAAAAAATTTTAAGGTTCAAATAATAAAAGTGATTTACTTTGTTTTTATCTCATATTTTTCAACTCAATAATAGTTATCCTGAAATGATTATAGTATTCACTTAGCACTTTTAAAAAGTCCTCTGCCCTTAGGCAGATTGCACTGGTCATCATGAAGATTGATACCTTAGACGCTGCTACCATTGACCAACATGGTTCCTGTTGACTGAGAGGCTAGGGGAAGACAGTAAGGAATAATGACCACACAGCAGGAGAGACAGTCATGTCTTAAGTGTTCCTACCTTTCACCCTTCACACTTTCCTGATGCTGACAACTGGAGGGCATTTCTCCAACTTTTACAGATATTTCCCTTGACCTGCTCCTTCAATAGGTCTTCCTGCTTGGGCTGAGGTACTTGGTACAAAGAAATTTTCCTTTGTCCTTGATCTGCAGCTAGAAATCATAACTAATGGTGATTAACATCCATGAGCTAAGAAGTGAATATATTCCACCTTACAATGAGGAAATGTATGCTCAGAAAAATTAGATAACTTTAATGAAGTCACATACCTGCTAACTGATAAAGACAGAACTTGAACTTAAGTCAATCTAACTCAAGAATCCATTATTAAATGTCATGCTTTACTTTTCTAGCTAAATTCTTCTATTTCCTCTAGCAAAATTCTCTCTAATTAGAAAGTATAGATAGGTCATTCTCAGGAAACCAGACCTCCAAGCCTTTCTGAGCATGGGCTCCAAATTGTATACTATCTTTGCCATTAAGAAACCCCAAACCGAAAAGTAAAACAAAAGTTGCATCAAGCCAGACATGGTGGCACATGCCTGTAGTTCTAGCTACTCAGAAGGCTGAGGCAGGGGGATTATTTGAGCCCAGGAGTTCAAAGTCCAGCCTGGGCAACATTAAAAAATAGAACTGGTGAATATAGGGCCCGAGCAGAGAACGCTATGAAACAACTCTAACGCACACATGTGACTCTCGTGGAAAAAGAGATTCAAGGAACCTAGCCCACAGACCTAAGAAATAGGATAATTCACACCCAACAAACTACAGATCGTAGAGTAATTTTAATTTGAAAATTGGTCTGAGGGACCCTCAAAATAAATGTTTAAAATGTTCAGAGAGATGAAGAAATAGAATTCACAAAGTAAGAACAAAAGAACAGGATGAGTTGGGGAAAAAACCAGTATGTATATATCCCAGACAATAACAAATATTCTCACTAAAATAAAAAAACTCAACAGACAAGTTAAACAATAGATTAAACATAGAAAATATGAACAAGAAGTTAAGAGACATGGAAAATAGATCTAAAAGTTCCTGAAGGAAAAAACAGAACGGCAGAAAATCAATATTAAAAGATATCCTGACTTGGAATTTCCCAGATTGTTTTAAAAGTTTTATCAGATTAAAAAAGCACATCAACTTCTCTTCAGGATAAATAAAAACAAATCTACAAAGAGACCCATGAGAGCAAAATAGCAGACCATCAAGGACAAATAGAAGAATCTTAAATGATACCAGAGAGAAAAGACAGATTATCAACAGAAAAACAACAATCAGACTGACCATGAATTTCTCATGAATAATAGATGCCAAAAGAAAATGAAATAAAATCTTTAAAGTGCTAAGAAAAAATAACTGCCAACCAAGAATTCTATGTCATAATGTGGCAGAGGTAATGCCGTGAATTCACTAAACATTCCTCCTGGGCAAACAGGATGACTACATTTCTCAACTTCTTTGGGGCTATGCAATTGGATTTCTGGCCAACATGATACAATAGAAGTAATGTGCACCACTTCTAGGTTTGTCTGAAAAAACACACACACATACACATACACACAAACATGCTAAATAGCCAATAGACTCCCTGGAAAGAACTCAGTGTGGCAGAATCATAAAATGAAAACAGCAAGGATCTCTGAGGCACTGGTTGGAGGGAAGCTACTCAAGAGAGCCACCTGACACGTTAGACTAAGACATGAATGAGAATTTCATTTTAATTGTGTTAAGCCACAGAGATTTAACAATGAAGGTGATAGAGAAGAAAAGGCAGGAACTGGGCACAGTTGACCATTGTGAAGACTGATCTGAACATTGAGACAGCAGCTAGACAGTGCTATTGATCTTTCTATTTATTTATTTATTTTTGAGACTGGGTCTCACTCTGTTGATCAGCCTGGAATGCAGTGGCACAGTCATGGCTCACTGTAACCTCAAGCTCCTAGGTTCAAGTCATCCTCCCACCTCAGCCTCCTGAGTAGCTGAGACTGCAGGTGCACACCAACTTGCCTGGCTAATTTTTTAAATTTTTTGTAGATATAGAGTCTTGCTATGTTGCCGAGTCTGGTCTCAAATTAATGGCTTCAAGCAATTTTCCTGCCTGGGCATCCCAAATTGCTGGGATTACAGGTGTGAGCCATCATGCCTGGCCTATTGATCTTAATATACTAGACAAACAATTATTCAAGGATGAAGGTAATAGCCAGGTGTGGTGGCATGCACCTGTAATCCCAGCTACTTGGGAGGCTGAGGCACGAGAATCATTTGAACCTGGGAGGTAGAAGTTGCGGTGAATCAAGATCATACCACTGCACTCCAGCCTGGATGACAGAACAAGACTGTCTCAAAAAAATAAAAATAAATAAATAAATAAAGTAAAAAACAAAAGAAGGTTAAATGTGACCAGATTCATTCCAAAAAAATTACTAATAAATATATCTCAGAAAAAAGGAAATGAATCCAGAAAAAAGGTAAGGGAAGCCAGTTGCAATAGTGAGCAAAGATATCAGTTGTTAAGTGTTACTAGTGCTAAATAAATATTGACTTATAAAACAAAGTAGAAATAAAACACTTGATTAAAATGTAGAAAATTGAAGAAGAGGATGCAGAAAGAAATTTAAGCATGCCTAGTTTCTTGTATTATTTAGGAGATGAGTAAAAATATTGATTGTCCTTAGACTTTGTTAGAGTGATGTTTGAAATTTGAGTTTTACCACCAAGAGAACACAGGGTAAGGCATAGGTCAACATGGCCCAGTGTGAGTTTCTATGTCCCAGGGAACCCTCATAACTGTTTATCTTGTTTTCTTCTTACTGTAATCCTCCAATACTGGCAACCGGCTCAGTAAACATTGAACAAATGAAACAATTGGGAATGGGGATGGGAAGGATAAAATACAACTGTGAACCAGCTGAATCAAATATGTGCTCTATACTCAAATCCCGATAACCCCCTGGCTAAAATGCCATAGTTATCACTCTTAAAGAGCAGAGAACAGGCCAGGTGCAGTGGCTCACACCTGGAATCCCAGCACTTTAGGAGGCTGAGGCAGGAGGATAACTTGAGCCCATGAGTTCAAGACCAGCCTGGGTAACATAAAGAGATCCCGTCTCTACGAAAATAATAAAAAATATTAGCCAGGCATGGTGGTGCGTGCCTGTGGTCCCAGCTACTTGGGAGACTGAGGCAGGAGGATTGCTTGAGCCTGGGAGGTTGAGGCTGCAATGAGCCATGATCACACCATTGCACTCCAGCCTGGGTGACAGAGCAAGACCCCATCTCCAAAAAAATAAAAAATTTTAAAAAGCAGAGAATGGTTTGGCAGCTTCTCAAAATGCTAAACCTACAGTTACCATATGAGATAGCATTTCCACTCAGGTATATACCCAAACACATGAAAACAAATATCCACACTAAAACTTGCACAAAAGTATTCCTAGCAGCATTTTTTCCCAATAGGCAAAAAGTGTAAACGACCCAAATGTTCATCATATGATGAATGGATAAACAAAGTGCAGTTATTCACACAGTGGAACGTTAGACAACCATCAAATGGCATAAAGTACTGACACATAATACAACATAATGAACCTTGAAAACATGCTAAGTGGAAGAAGCCAGACACAAAATACCATATATTGCATGACTCCATTTATCTGAAATATCTAGAATAGGCAAATCACAGAGTTAGAAACTAAATTCATGGTTGCCAAGGATTGGGGGAGTAGGCGAAATGGGGGGTAATTGCTCAATAGCATGACATTTCCTTTTGGGCTGATGAACATGTTCTAAAATTAGATTTTGGTGATGGTTGCACAACTCTGAAAATACTAAAAACCATTGAACTGTGCACTTTCAGTGGGTGAGCTGTATAAGAATCATATCTCAAAAAGCTGTTTTTAAAAAAGTACCTAGCCTGGCATGGTGGCTCAAGCCTGTAATCTCAGCCACTGGGGAGGCTGAGGCGAGAGGATTGCTTGAGGCAGGAGTTTGAGACCAGTCTGGGCAACGCTGTCTCTACAAATAATTTTTTTTTAATTAGCTGGGCATGGTGGTGTGCACCTGTATTCCCAACTACTTGGGAGTCTGAGGCAGGAAGGATTCCTTGAACCCTGGAGTTCAAGTCTGCAGTGAGCTATGATGGCACCACTGCACCCCAGCCTGGGCAACAGAGTGAGACCCTGAGACCCTGTCTCTAAAAAAGGAAAAAGAAAACAACCTAGATTTCCCCCTACCCAAAACACACTACAGAATATCTGAGATCAAACTGCAAAAAAGAAATAGAGGCCGGGCGCAGTGGCTTACACCTGTAATCCCAGCACTTTGGGAGGCCAAGGTGGGCGAATCACGAGGTCAAGAGTTTAAGACCAGCCTGGCCAACATGATGAAACCCCATCTCTACTAAAAATACAAAAAATTAGCGGGGCATGGTGGCACGTGCCTGTAGTCCCAGCTACTCGGGAAGCTGAGGTAGGAGAATTGCTTGAACCTGGGAGGCAGAGGTTGCAGTGAGCCGAGATCAAGCCACTGCACTCCAGCCTTGGTGACAGAGCGAGACTCTGTCTCAAAAAAAAAAAAAAAAAGAAAAAAGAAATAGAATATTGTTTTTGACTTTGAAATAAACATTACTAGTTTACTTCATGTATATGTTTTAATGTATCCTGAAATGTATTTAATGTATATTTTAAAATAAAAAAGCAAAGAAGACCTAAACTAATAGATATTTCTTTTCCCAGCAAACCATAGCTAATTCCAGTGGATACTCAGCCTGCCACTTACCTTGTGAAATCGAATGAGGCCGGGCTAGACCTGGCAGCAAGTACTATTCTATACGCCATATATTTTAACTGTGAGAGCTCAAGTCAAGTCATAAACCTACATTTCCATAGATCCCAGACAAAAATAAACACAGACTATTATTTCTAATCCTTCCTCTCTGCTTTTCTCAGAGTGCTGATTAGATTGCATATTCTATGAAAGGATGAGTTCAATCTTTTCTAAAGTATTTCCTCACGGGTTCATCTGTGATTAAGGGTATAAGTTTTTCCCATTTGAAAGATGCATGATCCAGCTGTTCTTTTTGTCTGCCGCAACTTCTTGTTAGCCTTTCTGGAACTAAAGAGAGAAAAATAATGTTTGACTATAGTGACCTGAACATGTCCCTCCCAAACGAGAAGAGGGTCTTTTGTATGTACACCCAAGATAATAGCTTTTTTTAACCAGTAGTGATCTGTCATTCTAATTCTCTGTTACAATTTCGAAAGTTGTTGCGTATTTTATCTTTTAGGTCTTTAAAAATTCCATCCGTTTTGGCTAATGTGAAATGTCATACATGGAGGCCTGATAAGTTGAGAGCTAAATGTTTTAAGACCTCTCAAGTAATAATCACTAAGTACTTCATTTTCAAACATACACCATTCATTTGCGGCTGCAGAATAAAATGCTCATCACAGAGTCACACCACTGGCCCCAGGCCAGATTTTTCATCTTGGACCTTTGGTACATTTGGACTCCTCAAGCAACTAGCTATCTCCCTGGGCCTCCCAGTTTTTGCCTTTCATGGTAGGTGGAGGACCACCGTATGTAAAAACGAGGCAGAAAAAGCCTTTCTCCCTCTGCACAGAAATCCAGAGGAGCCATTTCTCAATAAACATCTAGGTCACCTCCAGGGCAGTGGAGGGTGTGTGAGGAGCTGCGCCCGCCTGGGTCCCCTCCTGCAGCTCCTGCTGGAAAGGCTGTCCAGAACACCCTGGGGAATTCTTATTCAAAGGGTCCAGGTTAACACTGTCTGCATCCCCAGGGATCCCCCTACACTCACAGGCTGGCTGATTTCCAAGAACTACCAATCCTCAGCCCTGTCCTAGAGGCAACCAATTTAATTTATATCAAAAAGAAAATTTAAAAAGCTTGTCACATAATCCAAAATAATCAAATGACATATGGACTTGAGTCAATGAATAGCTCTCATACAGGAAACAAGGCAGGCAGACCTGCTGACTGGCTGGGGTCTGGCTGAAATCTGAATTCAAGTTTAACGGGAAAATCAACTTTTCTCCTGGTGAAAGGACAGGAAAGTCAGGCCAGTATTTACTAGGCTGCGGATCTCCAAGTTTCAACCACAGGAAAGGTTCAAACAGGAAGGCAAAAATCTTTCTAGACAGAAAAACTATTCTCATAATGCGTATAAGCTTAAATGAAAAAAAGGAAGGTGCTGAATGGTGTCTAAATGTGCCAACTTTTGGTTTTAAAAATTAGGAATAGAAATATATGTTCCTACTTGCTTGATTTTGCATAAAAAACTCTGAAAGGATACACTAATAACTGATAAAAGCAGTTACTTGATTTGGGAGTGAAGAACTAGGAGGACAGAGATCAGGAGTAAGAGCTGGACTTTTCATCTATATCTTTTGCGTATGTATTTTTATTACTGTTTAACCATGTGTGAGGAAATGCTCTAGGTGCTATAGGAAATATGAGCAAAGAAAATTGATCCCTTAAGGAGCTTACATTGTAGTGAAAGACAACAAGTGTAAACACATAAAAATAAGTACATTAGATGATCATAAAAATAAAAAAGTAGAGAAGGGTAAGGGGGCTAGGAGTTAGGAGAGGAACAGTTTGCAGTAATTAAAAAAGGTGATAGAGGAGGCTCATCACGGTTAGATCTGCAGTGATTTGTGGGAGGTGATGGGGTGGAAATATGAATCTTTAGGGGAAGAGTGTGTCAGGCAGAGGGAACAGCTTTGGTGGTGGCTCTCAACTGAGGACAATTTTGCCCTTTAAGGGGCAACCAGAGATGACTGAAAACATGTTTGATTGTCATGACTGCAGAGGATGCTACTGGCATCCAGCGGGTAGAGAGAGGACAGGATCCTGCTAAACATTCTACATTCCACAGGACAGCCCCCACAACAAAGAATTGTCCAGCCCAAAATGTCAGTAAGAGCTACTGCGAGGACATCTACCCAGTAACTGCCTATCCAGTGTCGGACTGACATCACCCTCGTTGTTGATCCTTGTAGCCAAAAATAATCATTTCAAAACAATTATGTAATCCTCTTCATTTTTCCTTTAAAACCTTTTATCTTATCTTACCTCCTTGAATACGCACGTAGTTTACTATGGCACACATATTCCCATTGCAATGCCCTATTTCCGAGTAAATATGATTTTTGTAACACCCTATTCTAAAGATACTTATTCAGGAGGAGGACATTGCAAGGGGGAATTGCAATGCCCTCTGTTTGTTATTTAGATTGACAGTTCACAAGGCTACTTCTTTACAACAGTGCTCATACTTCCTCTTATCATGCACAGCAGTATTTGAAAGGTCCTTCATTCCTCCTCTCCACCATCTCTAGCCTCATTACAAAGCATAGCTTCACAAAAATTGCAGAAACTACCATTGTTGGGGCTCTATTCTGTTCTTAGTTAAGAATGGAGGGCCGGGCACTGTGGCTCATGCCTGTAACCCCAGCACTTTGGGAGGCTAAGGCGGGAGAATCACGAGGTCAGAAGTTTGAGACCAGCCTGACCAATATGGTGAAATCCAGTCTCCACTAAAAATACAAAAATTAGCTGAGTGTGGTGGTATGTGCCTGTAATACCAGCTACTTAGGAGGCTGAGGCAGGAGAATTGCTTGAACCCAGGAGGTGGAGGTTGCAGTGAGCTGAGATCGCGCCACTGCACTCCAGCCTGGGTGACAGTCAGACTCTGTCTCAAAAAAAAAGAATGGAGAAAAAATCAAAAACAGAATATTATCTTGTTGATAACTAAACCTCAGGTTGTGGGGGTCAGGTCAAAAAGAAATGGGAAAGATGGAAGCAAATCGAAGTAATGAAGAGGGAGGTGGTTTTCTTTCCTTTTCAAGGAAAAAGAGGGATTGGTGTCTCTGCAGAGGTAGAGAGCAGAATGCAGACTTCAAGTCTCCCATCTCTGTTGACTCAGTCAGTGATCAGAGACTCTAGAAAAATCCTGGAGTTTCCTATCCTTTTTGTCTCCTTGTTACTGTTTTCCCATTTGTGGCTACCTAGTAATTGCTCTATAATTTTTTTTTTTTCTTTTGAGACTGAGTTTTGCTCTTGTTGCCCAGGCTGGAGTACAGGCATGCGCCACCACACCCAGCTAATTTTGTATTTTTTGTAGACATGGGGTTTCTCCATGTTTGTCAGGCTGGTCTCAAACTCCCAACCTCAGGTGATCCGCCCACCTTAGCCTCCCAAAGTGCTGGGATTACAGGCGTGAGCCGCCGCGCCTGGACTTGCTCTATAATTGTTTAGCAGAACCACTGCAAAACAGAACTGAATGACGTGAGGACTCTTCTCAGCATTTCTAGAACCAAAGTATCTACTGGTAGGCTGGAAAACACAAGGTTTATTTGAGTAAGAGTGACTGGTTTCGTTTAACTGGAATATCACTCAGGTTTGAGAGAGTAATGAACAATAAAATTGGTTGCTGGGGTGATATTAAAATATTTAATAACCACTATGGTTATAAAAATGAATACATAAACTGACATATTTCGGACACTTGAAAATATATCCCCTTGTAATCATAAGTGAACTAAATCAGATGTGTGTGTGGAGCCATATGGCAGTCGTTAAGAGCACAAGCTTTAGTGTCACATCAACCCAGGTTTCAATCCTGTCCCATACTAATTTTTACCAGCTTTGAGACCTCAGGCCAATTATTGAAGTGCTTGAGCCCCAATTTCTACAGCTGTAATATGGAGGTGATGACAACATATCACCTCAACAATATCACTCATAGAAATGCTGAGAGGATTAAAAATATAATGTAAGTAAAATACAAGGCCTAGCAATAGTAAGTGCTTAAGAAGGCCCATGTTATTAACATTAAAGTAATTATTTTGCATTCTTTCTATGCCAAGACAATAAACTTCTCAGTTATTTCTTATAATTTTTGTCATTACCACTGTCATTACCAATCTTTGCTTTTACAAAAATTACCTGAGTAAGGACTTTCTGTCTGAATCATCTGGATAACTGCATGGCTTTGGCTAGAATGGTCTGGTCAGAAAGAGAGGTTAGGAGGCAGCTCCCTGTCGGCTGTCTCAAGGTATGAGTAATAAAAGCCAGCGTCCAGATGAGGACACTGGTTTCCATAATGCTGGAAAATGGAAGTGTTCTATCTCTGTACAGAGACATAAATAAAGGGAGAAGATATATTTAATGAGCCATTTTAAAATGAAGTAAACATAAATAATAATGAATTGAAAAAAGGCTCCAAGATCTTGTGTTAAATCAGAAAAACAAGGTATGGAGCCATGTAGGTGTGTATGCACACATACACGTATGTTGTAGATGCATGGAATATCTCTGAAGGGATACATAAAAAATAGGTTCCTTCCCCCTGGGAAGGAAAACTAAGGGATAGGGTCAGAAATGGGGAGTGGACTCACTTTTCATTGAATGTGCTTTTCTACTTAGATTTTTTTATCACATACCTTTACTTTAATCAAAAATAATTTTTAAAATTATAAACAAAAAAATGGCATGTAAAATGCATCAACAAAAAAGCTCTACCTATACTAGTTAAAACATAAAATGCTAAGGTCTAGGAATATCAGGTGTTGACAAGAATTGGGAGAAATACAAACTCTTACCTTTTTCTCCTGGAAGTCTAAACTGGCACTCATTTTAAAAAGCAATTAAGCAATAACATAATGGTAAGGTTAATAATGTGCATGCCTTACAATTTCACTCTTAGACATATACCTAAAGAAATTCTCACATGGCCTGGTGCAGTGGCTCACTCCTGTAATCCCAGAACTTTGGGAGGCCAAGGTGGGTGGATCCCTTGAGCTCAGGAGTTATAGAGACAAGCTTGGGAAACGTGATGAAACCCATCTCTACAAAAAATACAAAAACTAGTCGGGTGTGGTGGGGCGTGCCTGTAGTCTCAGCTATTCAGGAGGCTGAGATGGGAAGATTGCTTGAGCCTGGGAAATATTGTGCCAATGTACTCCAGCCTGGGCAACAGAGCAAGACCCTGTCAAAAAGAAAAAAAGAAAACAAAATCATCAGTTGGGCGTGATGGCTCACACCTGTAATCCCAGCACTTTCGGAGGCTGAGATGGGCAGATTGCTTGAGGCCAGGAGTTCAAGACCAGCCTTGCCAACATGGTGAAACCCCATCTCTACTAAAAATACAAAAATTAGCCAGGCATGGTGGTGGGCGCCTGTAATCCCAGCTACTCAGGAGGCTGAGGCAGGAGAATCACTTGAACCTGGAAGGCGAAGGTTGCAGTGAGCTGAGATCACACCACTGCACTCCAGCCTGGGGAACAGAGTGAGTCCGTCTCAAAAACAAAAAAAGAAAGAAATTCTCACATATATATTGTATTTAAGGACATGTTAAATGTTCACAGCAGTATTGTTTATCAATAGGGGAAGTGACAAAAATAATCTATAGCATAATTATGTATTGTAATACTGTACAGCAGTTAAAATGAATGAACTAGGTGTACATAATCAATGTGAATTCAAAAATATAATGTTACAAACCACTGCTCAATGAAATAAAAGAAGATACAAACAAATGGAAGAACATTCCATGCTCCTGGGTAGGAAGAATCAATATTGTGAAAATGGCCATACTGCCCAAGGTAATTTATAGATTCAGTGCCATCCCCATCAAGCTACCAATGACTTTCTTCACAGAATTGGAAAAAACTACTTTAAAGTTCACATGGAACCAAAAAAGAGCCCGCATCGCCAAGTCAATCCTAAGCCAAAAGAACAAAGCTGGAGGCATCACGCTACCTGACTTCAAACTATACTAGAAGGCTACAGTAACCAAAACAGCATGGTACTGGTACCAAAACAGAGAGATAGATCAATGGAACAGAACAGAGCCCTAGAAATAACGCCACATATCTACAACTATCTGATCTTTGACAAACCTGACAAAAACAAGCAATGGGGAAAGGATGCCCTATTTAATAAATGGTGCTGGGAAAACTGGCTAGCCATATGTGGAAAGCTGAAACTGGATCCCTTCCTTACACCTTATACAAAATTAATTCAAGATGAATTAAAGACTTAAATGTTAGACCTAAAACCATAAAAACCCTAGAAGAAAACCTAGGCATTACCATTCAGGACATAGGCATGGGCAAGGACTTCATGTCCAAAACACCAAAAGCAATGGCAACAAAAGCCAAAATTGACAAATGGGATCTAATTAAACTAAAGAGCTTCTGCACAGCAAAAGAAACTACCATCAGAGTGAACAGGCAACCTACAAAATGGGAGAAAATTTTCGCAGCCTACTCGTCTGACAAAGGGCTAATATCCAGAATCTACAATGAACTCAAACAAATTTACAAGAAAAAAACAAACAACCCCATCAAAAAGTGGGCGAAGGACATGAACAGACACTTCTCAAAAGAAGACATTTATGCAGCCAAAAAACACATGAAAAAATGCTCATCATCACTGGCCATGAGAGAAATGCAAATCAAAACCACAATGAGATACCACCTCACACCAGTTAGAATGGCAATCATTCAAAAGTCAGGAAACAACAGGTGCTGGAGAGGATGTGGAGAAATAGGAACACTTTTACACTGTTGGTGGGACTGTAAACTAGTTCAACCATTGTGGAAGTCAGTGTGGCGATTCCTCAGGGATCTAGAACTAGAAATACCATTTGACCCAGCCATCCCATTACTGGGTATATACCCAAAGGACTATAAATCATGCTGCTATAAAGACACATGCACATGTATGTTTATTGCGGCATTATTCACAATAGCGAAGACTTGGAACCAACCCAAATGTCCAACAATGATAGACTGGCTTAAGAAAATGTGGCACAGATACACCATGGAATACTATGCAGCCATAAAAAAGGATAAGTTCATGTCCTTGGTAGGGACATGGATGAAATTGGAAATCATCATTCTCAGTAAACTATCACGAGAACAAAAAACCAAACACCGCATATTCTCACTCATAGGTGGGAATTGAACAATGAGAACACATGGACACAGGAAGGGGAACATCACACTCTGGGGACTGTTGTGGGATGGGGGGAGGTGGGAGGGATAGTTTAGGAGATATACCTAATGCTAAATGACGAGTTAATGGGTGCAGTGCACCAGCATGGCACATGTATACATATGTAACTAACCTGCACATTGTGCACATGTACCCTAAAACTTAAAGTATAATAATAATAAAAAAAAGAAAAAATACATATAATGTTTAATTTTTTTAAGTTGTAAAACAACCCATTGAGTATAGTACCATTTATGTACCATATAACACATAAACACCCCCAAATAATTCTATATATTATATGCAGGTACATGCATTTGTAGTTAAAATACAGAAATATTCAAGGGAAATATACATCCTAGGCCCCATGGCAGCAGCTACCTAAGGTGAGCGGGGCAGGAGGGAATAAATTGTGAAGAGGTGGGAATGGGGGCTAATTATGTCTGTAATTGTCTGTAATATGACATCAACCAGGATCTGTGAGGTTGGGCCAGGTTTGAACTCTGTTTTGAATGAACACCTGGTTGTTTTGCCCAGGAGCAGACACACAATTTGTGGATGAGACAGTGTTGTTCACTGCAGGGCATAGCTCTGGGAGTTGGAACCTGGCTTGAACCCCTGGGAGGGCACCCTGTCTCTTTAGTAGGTATTTAACTTCTGGGTGCCTCAATTTCTCCATCTGCAAAATGAAACTACTGATAATACCTAACTCATGGGATTGCTATGAAGATTCAAGGAGAAAATAAATGTAAAATACTTAAAGCAAAGCCTGGCACATAATACGTGCTCAGGAAGCATTAGCTATTCTTGTTAGACAGCTGTGAGCCAAGTCAAGAGCTCCTTCCTGCCCACCTCCTTCCTGGAGGAGACAGCAAACAGCAGATTTCCTAAGAGAGGCCCAAAGAGGGCTGATGTGTTGGACAGTGACGTTCCCTGAGAGAAAGCACAGACATCCCCAGGGGCCTGATGGAGTGCCACCACCTTCAAGGAAGGCTGTCTCAGGAAAGGACATTACAGGCAGTGAAGTCAGTAAATGAGAAGATAACACTTGCAGATAATGGCCCCGGGTTGTTCAAACATCTCTAACAGAAACTGAGCATCAAGACAGAATCTCTGTGATCTTAAGTATGCAGCTGGTTTATAAGGGAAACATTTTCAACTCTGTTTTAAAAATTTGGCTTTTAACTTATGTGATAATTGGAACCTAGGAGCAACCTGTTGGGATAATTTGTTCATGAGGTTTCTAAACCTCTGGAGGCTTTGAATATATGGAAAAATAAGATCATCACATCCCCCAAAAATACATCATACCCTCCCATTATAAGGCAGCTTCTGAGGTCCAGATTTGAGCATACTGTTGGTGACATAAGGACAGAGCCAGGTGCAATGAAGAGTGAAACTTAGCAACAAACGATCTGGGAAATAATAGTAATATCAGTAAATCAGTGGCTAATATTCATTCTGTGCCAGGCACTGTGCTAATTATTTTTGGATGAATTATCTCATCCAATCCTTAGAATCTCTGTGAGGAAACTGAGGCAATGAATCATCAGGTAACTTGCTTGAGACCTAGTAGAGCCAAGTCCCGACTGTGAGCTCCTGGGCCGGTCACCCCACCTGGATCTCAGTGGCTTCCTCTGTAAAATGAAGAGTGGACTAGATGATTTCAAAGGACCCTTGTAACACTTAGATTTCATGTTGCTATGAAATTGTCACCCCCTTCCATTAATTTTTGATGGGGAAAAAAAGCCTTTCATAATACAGTTTGCCTAAAAAGAGTAGGCTCCTTCCCTAATATTATTATTAAATAAAAATTTGAGTGTTTTGGTCAGAAAACATAAGGGCTCTGTACAGCCACATATACAACAGTGCTTGTGTTTAGGGGTTTTTAGGGGGTGCTGTTAGGGGGAGGGAAGGAGACAGAGCAGGCAATTGTGCAGGAGGAGTGAGGTACTGGTTTCTGGAAAATCAAGAAAGTATCTCCTGCTTAAAATCATCAGTTCCACTAAACCAGGATCCCTGAAAACCAACCTTGTGACCTTCTGCTGGGAATACTAAATGAGCCCCCAAGGTCTTTAGAAATATGGGACTTACAAATAAGGCCAAATATTTCACCTCTGATTCTGATGAAAGGTTTATGAGCCCCAGAATAGTTCAAGCACGACATGTCTGGATTGAATATTTGGTGCGCACTTAACACCAACGGGTTTCAGAGGCTTCGTGTTTCACAACCAAACTTTGGCAGAACTGTGTTAGTTACCTGATACCCATGGTAGGGGACATTTTCTCACTTCTTGGTGCCATAAATAGTGCAGGCTCCTGTCTGTGGCATATGTGAGTTAATTAGCCACATTAAGCTTCAGGATTTGCTGGCATTGCTGTCCCTTGATTTTGCGACCATAGAAAAGAAGGCTATGAAGATGATGACATGCAGCCGACTGAGGTTCTGACAGGGTAACTGTTGGGAGGAGGGTTCCAGAAATTTCAGTATAGGTGTTCTGGAGCTAGAGATGTGGCCAGTCAGGATCAGGTTTCAGAGATCAGACCCTCTTCATTCTGACATGCTGCTAAACAGGCCTTGGTCATAGGCTAGAACATGAAAATAGAGGACAGAGCCAGAAATAAAATCCCCTGGATCTCAGAGAAGAGTCCGTTCTCTTTGGACATAAAAGAGCAAAGCTGGCACTGATTTGTTCTCAAATCACTACTTCATCTCATGAGATCTATGTCTTTAGGAAACATACAAGTAGGAATTAAAGGCAAGCAACATGAAGGCCATCAACACAACTCCTTCTAAAAGAGAATGGCCTTGAAGATGAGTGGCAGATGACAGTTTACAAAGCCCTTCTTCACACATAAAGTACTTGTTTCATGTTCAACAGAGAGATGAGAGTCAGTCTCCTCACTCCAAGGTTGTTGATGTCAACTACTTCTGGCTGCTTTTATTCCCATTCACTGGGTATTTAAGTACCTACTGTGTATAAGAAGCCCGGAAGAAAACAGAGATGAATAAGACAATACAACCTCAGGCTTAAACTAACGATGAACCTGAAGCATGGAGGAGAGAGAGTAGAGGAGGAAATGGTTCTGCTGCTTGGGGGGTGGGGGCCTGAGAAGATTTCCCTTTGGAGCCCTTGTTCAGAGGCAATGGAAGAGTTGCCCAAATAAAGTTGGCAGGAGGGAAGTGTATGTGTCCAAGGAGGGAAGGTGAAAATGGAAGAACATTCTAAGAAGTGGAACTGGAAGCAAAGGCACACACCAAAACCACATGATACAGTCAGGACCAAGAAACCCAGGACAACTGGACATGGGCAGACTGGGAACGTGGTGGGAGAGAAAGTTTAACAGATCAGCCTGTGAATGCCATGCTAACAAGTTTCTACAACTCAAAAGAAGAACAGATTTAAAGAAGCCCTTTCTGGCTCCCTAAGACTTGTTTTGTTTTGTTTAAGTTTTTAAAATTTCTTTTCTTTCTTTCTTTTTTTTTTTTGTTTGAGATGGGGGCCTCACTGTGTTGCCCATGCTGGTCTTGAACTCTGGGCTCAAGCAGTCCTCCAGCCTCGGCCTCACAAAGTGCTGGAATTATAGGTGTGAACCACCATGCCTGGCCTAAAATTTCTTTTCAAACTGATAAATAATAATTTTTATATTTATGAGGTACAATGTGATATTATGATACATGTATACACTGTAGAATGACTAAATCAGGCTAATTAACATACTTATCACCTCACATACTTACCCTTTCTTTGTAGTGAGAACATTTAAAATCTACTCTTTATCAATTTTGAAATACACGATATATTATTATTTTTATTTTGTTGGTTTGCTTTTGTGACAGGGTCTCACTCTGTTACCCAAGCTGGAGTGCAGTGGCACAATTACAACTCACTACAGCCTCAACCTCCCAAGCTCAAGCAATCCTCCACCCTCAGCCTCCCAAGTAGCTGGGACCACTGGCTCATGTCCAGCTAATTTTTAAAATTTTTTGTAGAGACAGGATCTCACTATGTCGCCCAGGCTGGTCTCAAACTCCTGGACTCAGGCAATCCTCCCACCTCAACCTCTCAAGTAGCTGGGGCTACAGACACATGACACCACAGCCAGTTGATTTTTTACTTTTATTTTATGTAGAGACAGGGTATTCCTATGTCTCCCAGGCTGCTCTTGATCTCCTAGGCTCAAGTGATCTTCTTGCCTTGGCCTCCAAAAGTGCCAGGATTATAGGTGAGAGCCACTGTGTCCAGTCACAATACATTATTATTATCAACTATAGTCACCATGCTGTGCAATAGATCACTAGAACTCATTTCTCCTGTCTAACTGGCACTTTGTACCCTTTGACTAACCTCTCCCGTTTCCACATCCTCCCCATGCTCAGCCTCTGGTAACCACCATCCGCCTCTCTACTTCTGAGTTTGACTTTTTTAGACTCCACATGTAAGTGAGATTACATAGTATTTGTCTTTCTGCTCCTGGCTTATGTTACTTAGCATAATGTCCTCTAAATACATCCATGTCATAAGTAAAACATGTTTTTAAGGGTTTTCTTCCTTTCTTTCTTCTCCATTTTTTCAAGAAGTTGGCTTTCTAAAATTCTCAGAGACCAAAACATTTCTCAGAGGCCAGCAACTGCATAGATAATCTCACTTTAAGAAATAAATAAGGCTGGGCGCAGTGGCTTATGCCTGTAATCCCAGTACTTTGGGAGGCCGAGGCAGGTGGATCTCTTGAGGTCAAGAGTTCAAGACCAGCCTGGCCAATATGGTGAAACCCCGTCTCTACTAAAAATACAAAAATTAGCTGGGTGTGGTGGTGTGTGCCTGTAATCCCAGCTACTCACGAGGCTGAGGCAGGAGAATTGCTTGAACCCAGGAGGCAGAGGTTGCAGTGAGCCAAGATCACACCACTGCACTCCAGCCTGGACAACAGAGTGAGACTCTGTCTCAAAAAAAAAAAAAGATACTTTCAAAGAGCAAAAGCAAAAAGAATGAAAGGAAGGGCAGACATTTGTCTGACTTCTCCTTAACGCCCTCAGCCTGGTTTCATGCGGCATGGGCAAGCAGCCAGAATCCTTGTTCATGTTTAGACTTGTGTTCAGCAGAGATGCAGGCTGCCCTGTTTCTTCCTTACCAGGAGTATCACTCCCCATGGTGCCCTCCCTAGCTCAGAAAAATAGCTCCGGCACTGAAGATGCAGGCTCAAAGCCGAAGAGAGCTCTCCACCGGGGAGCCAGGGATCCTGGAATCCACCCAAGGGCTGGCTCCACTCCACATCTCACTGAAGGTTATAGCCTGATGGGCACTGAAGACCCCCGGTACAAGGAGGAGTTTCCTTCCCTGAGTGACCCATATCAGTCTCAGCTGAGTCCAGGCTTTAAACTAAGTATGTTCTGCCTGGGTTAGGGCTTCCAGGAGCACTCTGAAAGATATCAAATTATACCCATATCAAATTGTATCTGCATAAGCACTTGCTCTTCTTCAGAGCTCCTCCACATCTAGTACCTTTCATGATCCCAACGACAACCCTGGTGGCTGGCAGAGGTGTTACCATTCTAACTTGGAAAATGAGGCCCAGGTTATAGAATCTACCCAAAGTCACACAGCAGAATTCAAACCCAGCACGTCTCATTTTAAAAGCATTGCCATTTTAACATTGCTTTAAAGCAATAATCAGCAAACCATGACCTGGGCATGAGCCAAATCCAGCTCACTACCTGATTTTGCAAGTAAAGCTTTATCTGAGTATGGCCATGCCCATTCACTCTCGAATTGTCCATGGCTGCCTTCACAGTGCAGAATTGAGTAGTTCCAACAGAGACCATATGGTCCACAAAACCTGAACTATTTTCTTTTTGTTGTTGTTGTTGTTGAGAAACAGAGTTTTGCTCTTATCGCCCAGACTGGAGTGCAATGGTGTAATCTCGGCTCACTACAATCTCTGCCCCCTGGGTTCAAGCGATTCTCCAGCCTCAGCCTCCTGAGTAGCTAGTATTATAGGAGTATGCCACCAGGCCTGGCTAATTTTTGTATTTTTAGTAGAAATGGGGTTTCACCATGTTGGCCAGGCTGGTCTCAAACTCCTGACCTCTGGTGGTCCACCCACCTCAGCCTCCTAAACTGCTGGTATTACAGGCATGAGCCACTGTGCCCGGCCAACCTGAACTATTTTCTAGCTAGTTCTTTTCAGAAAAAATTTACTAACCACTGTTCTGAAGTATTATTTTACTACTTTAAAAAATTGAAATAATCTGGTATACACATATTAACAGGACTGACCACATATTGGCCACAAGGATGTTGTCTCTTGAAGAAAGGAAAAGTACCACTTACTAGCTGTGTGGCCTTGAGAATACTTAACTTTTCTAAGCTTCATTTTCCTCATTTGTAAAAGGGACATAATAATAGTATCTACTTCTCTTAGTCTGCTCGGGCTGCTGTAACAAAATACCACAGACTGGGTGGCTTAAACAACAGAAATCGATTTATCACAGTTTTGGAGACTGGGAAATGCAAGATTAAGGTGATGGCCAATTCAGGTTCTGGAGAGGAACCTCTTCCTGGCTTGTAGATGGCCAACTCATATGGTAGGGGTTGGAGAAGGTGTTCTCTGGTGTCTCTTCTTATAAGGACACTAATTCTATTAAATTATTGTCCCACCCTTATGATGTCATTTAACCTTAGTCACCTCTTAAAGGCCCTTTCTCCAAATACAGTCACACTGGAGGTTAGGGCTTCAACATATGAATCTTGGGGCCACAGAATTCAGTTAATAGCACTACTTCACAGGGCTTTTGTAAAGGTTAAATAAAGTAATGAATATAAAAAGATTAGCATAGACTCTGGCATTTAGTAAGAACACAATAACAGTAAAAAGTATCGACTCTGACTTGTTAACAAAATACATAGAAAAAGCACAGTGCTTAAAGTCAGAGGACTTGTTTGATCTTGAGCAAGTCACTCAACCACTCTCACTTCAGTTTCCTAATCCACAAAGTGGGATTGCACAAAACCTGAAGAATAGTGCCTTAACATATGAAATGTATTTTTTTAATTTATTTGGTGTGTTGGCTTCTATTCAATTGCTTGTCATTTCATGATTACAAGATGGCTGCAGCACCTCAAGCCATTTCATCTACATTCCACACAAGAAGATAGAAGTAAAGGCAAGGCACAGGCCAGCTGGATTTGTCTGTTTTTACCAGAAAAACAAAAGTTTTCCCAGAAACTGTGTCCAACAGACTTCCACTTATGTTATGGTCATAACAGTGTCACATGGCTACTCTAACTGGAAAATAACTATGGAGAAGGGGTTTCTGTCAGTGTTTGCCATAAAATAGGTTTTCTAAAGAAAAATCAGTATTCACATACCCATATTATTGTGGTTGCACTAGAGATGACAAGGAAGCCTTATTGTAGGGTCACCAAGGATGGTCACCTTCATCATATGTGGTCACTGGTAACCTCTACTAAGAGCAATCTGATCTACAAAAAGTATCAAGAACTGACTTGAGAAAGAGAGAAAAGGGACACTTAGCCAAATCTGAAAAGAAAAAAAAAAAAACCACTACAGCACATGCAATAGTAGACAGAGAGGCTGGCTTCCTCTGTTTAGGTAACGAGGATGTCTCCATCCTGTCCGCCTTCCTCCTAGCAGGCCTTATTTTCACAGAGAAAATTTGGGCAGTCTCAAGGGAAACATGACTCACCCCCGGTTCATATCACTCCTAACCAAGCCACAGTGAGAAGTCCCAAGCCCTGATCTGGTGCCTTGTCCTCCTCCAAAGGCTAAAAGGCTTTTTCATGAGTCAGGCAGGTGACTAGATCTCAGCCAGAAAATCTCATTCCCACAAAGGAAGGATCAAGGTCACAGAAGGCAGAATAAGCATTATGTAAAGCACGGAATCTAGGCAGAGTGGGGAGTCTTCATGCCATGGGGAGAGAAAATGTCTAAATAATGCTGCAGACATTCCAAAAATCTTCAGCTCCTGAGGGGTAGAGAAGAGGTGGCCAACTCAATGTTTTTCATGAGTCTTGTCATGAAGGATCAGTGGCTTCTTTTTTATCTACAAGCGAAAGCAAACCAATGACCGAGCCATGTTTATTCCGGGAGGTTTCATGCAAATATTTTAAAATTCAGCTTTTGTCAAGCTGGTTTAACTAGGAAAGCTTAGTTGGAAGAATATGCTAATAAGTCATTAAAGTGCACTCATATCATGCCATATGGTACACTTGAAACATAAAACACTGGGTTCTATTCTTTGGTCAGGGCCACTGATAAAAGAGAGCCCTGGGGAAAAGATTGTTGCCCTGTCAACCCACACTTTATATGCTAACTCTGATTCTAGGGGCTTGTTTGTTCTGAGGAGGCTTGGCAGATATCTGTAAATGGCACTCCATTTGAGAAAAGGATTGCAGATAATGTGTTCATCTAAAACCCAAGCTGGCAGAAATATGCTTGCATGAATTCAGTTTCTGGGGTGGCTTTTGTTTTGCTAATTATTCGTAAGCTTTTTGATAATTATACTCTAAGCTCCATATCTATTATTTCTGGTCTTTAAAATACAATCATTTAAAAATGAAATATACTTCAGAGGGGTACATATGACAGGTAAACAGATTATACATTGATAGTATGCGTTAGTGGATGTCTTTAATATGCAAGTCAGGCCTAGGGAGATGTACTGGATTCAGAAACTCAACTTGGCAGTTTGGGTGTTTAATTGCACTGTGGCCTGTGGACTGCATTTGAGGAAATGTGCAGATGCATGCAGAAACCCAATGCTCAATCCCTGGCTGCAGCCTCACTTCCGAACTCATCCCACAACCTGGCAATTCAGAGAGGGGAGATGAACTCAGTCCCCAGAAGTACCACCAAAGTTAAGACAGCTTCTGCTCAGCACTGGGTTATTTAGGAAAATATATATTTAGAAACTTCAGGACAGGGACTCTGCTTTTTACTTTTGCTTGAACCACAGTGTTCACTTCTGGCCCTGAGCACTTGGCACATGATTAATAAGTCAAATAGGTTTGTCACAATGTCTCACCTTGACATCCTATGGGGGAGTTTTTAAAAAAGTTATTTGGAAAGAAGATTCTGTCTTGTAGTCTATGGGAGCAAAAGATGAAAAGAAGAAAGAGAACCACTGCCAAGCACTTTGCCCATGATGGAAAGAGGTTTCCTGAGAAAGTCCACTGGCTGCAGGGCTTCCTGGACTGCACGCCGGCCAAATCCAGGCAGAGGATGGAGGCAGAACAAATTTAAAACAGGATTAAGACTTGGATCTTCTGGATTCCCAGAACGAAGCAGCATACCAATTATTTGTACTAATAAATTACATAAGCCTACCACTGATCAATTAATAAGAAGTATGCCTTCGATTTTTTTACCTCCATGATTACAATTTCTGAGCAATGCCTACATAGTAACTATAGTTATAAGAACTACTATAGGCCGGGCACAGTGGCTTATACCTGCAATCCCAGCACTTTGGGAGGCCGAAGTGGGCGGATCATGAGGTCAGAAGTTTGAGACAAGCCTGGCCAACATAGTGAAACTCCATCTCTACTAACAGTACAAAAAAATTAGCCAAGTGTTGGCCAGGTGTGGTGGCTCACACCTGTAATCCCAGCACTTTGGGAGGTCGACGTGGGCAGATCACGAGGTCAGGATATTGAGACCATCCTGGCTAACATGGTGAAACCCCAAACCCTGTCTCTACTAAAAAAAAAAATTAGCTGGGCATGGTGGCACGCGCCCGTAGTCCCAGCTACTCAGGAGGCTGAGGCAGGAGAATTGCTTGAACCCAGGAGGTGGAGGTTGCAGTGAACCGAGATCACGCCACCGTACTCCAGCTTGGGTGACAGAGACTCCGTCGCAAAAAAAAAAAAAAAAAATAGCCGGGCGTGGTATAAAACCAGCTACTTGGGAGACTAAGGCAAAGAGAATCGCTTGAACCTGGGAGGCAGAGGTTGCAGTGAGCTGAGATCGCGCCACTGCACTCCAGCCCAAGCGACAGTACAAGACTCCATCTCAAAAAAAAAAAAAAAAAAAAAAGAACTACCATAACTGCCTATACAATAATAACTCCACCTCCCTAGATATAGTGTTAAATTAAAAAGCAATTTGTAAAACCATGTCTAATATGGCGCCATTTTATTATGATTACTTTTCATCACATCCAAATTGGTTGGGTTTTGGGTGGGGAGTTCCCAATGACAAATAGACTACATGCTCAAACAAGTTCAAACACAAGAGTTAGCACTAAATGTCAGCTCCTGTGATCCCCTCCCCACACAACTACCAGAGATAACTAGAGGTAACAGTTTAGCAGATTTTCTTCCACACTTTATCTGTCAGGTAGGATTTTTATGGTAAGCATTTCTGAGATGGAGGGTGTGTGTATGTGTGTATGTGTGTGTCTTAATAAGCATGTGATGCTGTTATCTGAAACAACAGTAAGCCTATACAATTTAAGAAGAAAAATTTTTCCATCTTTTCCAAAATTTTCCAAAAATCCAAAAGGTGCAGTACAAAGAAATAAAGCATTTTTAAAGTCACCAAAATTCTCTGTTAACAGTTCTGCATAATTCTGATTCCTCTGTTATCCCCAAGAGTTCAGGTGAGCATTCAAAAATCACCAAAACCTAGAGGTTTCTGCATAACCAGGTACCTGGGACTCCTTTGAATATAATTACAGGAACCAAAATATGACCTGTGGTTTGCACCTTCCTCCTCAGAGAGATGACAGTCCCTGCGGTCACCCTTGTTGCTGCCTTCCTGGATCACTGCAACCGCTGCCTGCTGGAGCCCAGTGGAGTGTCCAGAACATCAATGTGGAGATGGATTCGTCTCCCTGCTCCCAGCTTCCATCCCCATGGACCCTTTCCGTCCTCCCGGCCAGATTAATCTCAGAGGGCGATGGGAGGAGACGGCTGGAGCGCAGGTTTGGAACCAGAGACCTCAGTGTCAACTTCTCAGTGCTCCTCCACTTCCTGGCTACAGAGTTGCTTAAATTAGATAAACTACAAAACGAGAGACAACCAGCCATTTTGTGCCTCCTCATGAAAATATACATCACGACCTCTAAGTATTGTCACCAAAAGATGGACTTGGAATGTGATCGAGCCCTTGTAAACAGCCAGCACTACCAGTTTACAGGAAAACAAAGGGGAGGGAAACACATTGCACTAAAGAAGGGCATGCATCAGCCAACTTCAGAATGTGCAAACACTCAGGACGGATCCTAGTTTCTTCAACAAATAATCTCCAAGGGAAAAAAGGAAACGGAGGAGGAGCTTTTCAATTAAAAGGGACTTAAGAGACATAACAACCACTTTCAATGTATACGCTTTATTTGGATTGTGATTGAAACAAAAGAAATTATTTGTTTTTAATATATGTGACAATCAAGCGAATGTGAACAATGGCTGGATATTTGATGACATAGATATTAAGGAATTATTATTAATTCAGCAACAATAATAGTACTGTGGTTTTTTTTTTTCTAAGACACAGTCTCGGTCTGTCAACCAGGCTGGAGTGCAGTGGCGCAATCTCGGCTCACTGCACCCTCCACCTTCTGGGTTCAAGCGACTCTCCTGCCTCAGGCTCCTGAGTAGCTGGGATTACAGGTACATGCCACCGCACCTGGCTAATTTTTATATTTTTAGTAGAGATGGGGTTTCACTATGTTGGTCAGGCTAGTCTCGAACTCCTGACCTTGTGATCTGCCCGCCTCGCCCTCCCAAACTGCTGGGATCACAAGCGTGAGCCGCTGTGCCCGGCTTCCCACTGTAGTTATTTTTTTTAAGAGTCTTTATCTTTTAAAGACATACATTGAAATATTTGTGGTTGAAGAGATGTGACAACTGGGATTTCCTTCAAAGTAATTACTGGAGGGATGATAAAGGGGATATCAATGAAACAAGATTGGCCATAAGTTGACAATTGCTGAAGCTAAGTGATGGATACATGGAGAGTTTATTATACTATTTTCTCTTTTTTTGTATATGTTTGTAATTTTCCAATTTTCTTAATCTTTTTTATTGTTTTCATCCTGTACTTTCTGGGATTCTGGATTGTATTTTTGTATTTCATGTATCATTTAACATGCTCCTCTGTTCTCTGCTGGCCTGTAACCTATTGGTAGTATTTAGAGACTTGACGCCATAGAAGCTCTATTTTTGGCAAGAATACTTTATGGGTGATTTTTGTACTTTTATCAAGAGGCACATAATAGTCCATAATAAAAACATTTCTTAAAGCTGAAAAATGAAGATGCTTCCTGGAGAGATAATTTTGAGATGAAATTATTTATGTAAGTAAAAGACCAAGCACAGAGCTTGGCACATCATGGGTGCTTTACAGGTGTCAGATTTCTTCCCTCAACCTATTAATAAGCTCTCTAATAATGTCCATGATCTATTGGATCAAGATTTAAGTACACATAGAATTCCAGATCTCCCATGATCTGTTCCTGGTTTACCTTTCTGTCTAGTCTTATTGCCTTCCTCTCTTTAAACACACACACACACACACACACACACACACACACACACACACACACACACACACTGCATTCATTAACCTCATTCCTTAGCTTACACCAGTTCCCCCACTTGAGATGTCCTCCTTGCCTACTCTCTGCCATCCTTCAAGACTCAGGTCAAGCCCCATCTCCTTCAGGAGAATATCGTGATCTTACAAGCCTGGTTATACCTCCCTTAATGCTGCCTTGAATTGTTGTTCAGCACTTACATTAATAAACTTCCCATGAAATGAGCTACTTCTCCAATAGCCCAGGGCAGGGCAGTTCACTGGCCCTGCTTATGTCTTTCATGACAGTCTGCACCATGCACACAGCAGCATGCCACACATGTTTGCCAAATTAAGAGAGGAAATAATTAACCAGGAAATAGCTTCAACTTTAATAGAGGAGGGCAAACTGCCCAGTCACACATAAACAGATGCTCAATTTGGGGAAGAGGAGGAATATACGAAGATGTTTTTATCTCACCTGAAAGAGAAAATACCTGCCAAAATGTCCATTTTTACTTCACTAATCTCATCCTAAATTTCATGTATGAAGAAGTCAGAAATTTCCCAGGCCCTAAAATTAGTGAGTTCAAGATTAGTGGACAAGATTGAATAAAATAAAGTGGCAAACTCAAGTGTCTGAACACACAGTTTGGGTCACCAACTATGACTGGATGGGGAGGGAAAGGGGGATTAAAGTGCATATACGGGTCCATATGAACCAACAGCCCCACAATCATTTCAGAGGACAGCTACCCCTGTTCCAGCAAGATGTGCCTTGAACCTACCTAAATGTTGAAGTCATGAAGAAGTCATGACTGCCTGAGTCATAAGGCGGCAAAGGGACTCTGGAACATTCTATGGTTAAGGAGTCAAAATCCAGCCTCTTCTCTTTTTCTCCCAAGACCCAGAGAGGTCTCCAGGCAGCCAACAGACCCCTGTTGGACAATAATGACCTTGAGATGACCCTGAAGTCTCCATAGCTCTTTGCCATATAATTAGGAGAGGTAGCTCTGGGAGGTTAGAATGTTTGTCTCACCTACAAAGAGACTTAGACTCCCACACAATAATAATGGGAGACTTTAACACCCCACTGTCAACATTAGACAAATCAACGAGACAGAAAGTTAACAAGGATATCCAGGAATTGAACTCAGCTCTGCACCAAGTGGACCTAATAGACATCTACAGAACTCTCCACCCCAAATCAACAGAATATACATTTTTCTCAGCACCACATCACACTCATTCCAAAATTAACCACATAGTTGGAAGTAAAGCAATCCTCAGCAAATGTAAAAGAACAGAAATTATAACAAACTGTCTCTCAGACCACAGTGCAATCAAACTAGAACTCAGGATTAAGAAACTCACTCAAAACCGCTCAACTACATGGAAACTGAACAACCTGCTCCTGAATGACTGCTGGGTACATAACGAAATGAAGGCAGAAATAAAGACGTTCTTTGAAACCAACGAGAACAAAGACACAACATACCAGAATCTCAGGGACACATTTAAAGCAGTGTGTAGAGGGAAATTTACAGCACTAAATGCCCACAAGAGAAAGTAGGAAAGATCTAAAACTGACATCCTAACATCTCAATTAAAAGAACTAGAGAAGCAAGAGCAAACAAATTCAAAAGCTAGCAGAAGGCAAGAAATAACTAAGATCAGAGCAGAACCGAAGGAGATAGAGACACAAAAAAACCCTTCAAAAAATCAATGAATCCAGGAGCTGGCTTTTTGAAAGGATCAACAAAATTGATAGACCACTAGCAAGACTAATAAAGAAGAAAATAGAAAAGAATCAAATAGACGCAATAAAAACTGATAAAGGGGATATCACCACCGATCCCACAGAAATACAAACTACCATCAGAGAGTAGTATAAACACCTCTATGCAAATAAACTAGAAAATCTAGAAGAAATGGATAAATTCCTTGACACATACAACCTCCCAAGACTAAAACAGGAAGAAGTTGAATCCCTGAATAGACCAATAACAGGCTCTGAAATTGAGGCAATAATTAATAGCTTACCAACCAAAAAAAGTCCAGGACCAGACGGATTCACAGCCGAATTCTACCAGAGATACAAAGAGGAGCTGGTACCATTCCTTCTGAAACTATTCCAATCAATAGAAAAGGAGGGAATCCTCCCTAACTCATTTTATGAGGCCAGCATCATCCTGATATCAAAGCCTGGCAGAGACACAACAAAAAAAGAGAATTTTAGACCAATATCCCTGATGAACATCGATGCAAAAATCCTCAATAAAATACTGGCAAACCAAATCCAGTAACACATCAAAAAGCTTATCCACCATGATCAAGTGGGCTTCATCCCTGGGATGCAAGGCTGGTTCAACATACGCAAATCAATAAATGTAATCCAGCATATAAACAGAACCAAAGGCAAAAACCACATGATTATCTCAATAGATGCAGAAAAGGCCTTCGACAAAATTCAACAGCCCTTCATGCTAAAAACTCTCAATAAATTAGGTATTGATGGGACGTATCTAAAAATAGTAAGAGCTATTTATGACAAACCCACAGCCAATATCATACTGAATGGGCAAAAACTGGAAGCATTCCCTTTTAAAACTGGCACAAGACAGGGATGCCCTCTCTCACCACTCCTATTCAACATAGTGTTGGAAGTTCTGGCCAGGGCAACAGGCAGGAGAAAGAAATAAAGGGTATTCAATTAGGAAAAGAGGAAGTCAAATTGTCCCTGTTTGCAGATGACATGATTGTATATTTAGAAAACCCCATCGTCTCAGCCCAACATCTCCTTAAGCTGATAAGCAACTTCAGCAAAGTCTCAGGATACAAAATCAATGTGCAAAAATCACAAGCATTCCTATACACCAATAACAGACAGACAGAGAGCCAAATCATGAGTGAACTCCCATTCACAATTTCTTCAAAGAGAATAAAATAACTAGGAATCCAACTTACAAGGGATGTGAAGGACCTCTTCAAGGAGAACTACAAACCACTGCTCAATGAAATAAAAGAGGACACAAACAAATGGAAGAACGTTCCATGTTTATGGATAGGAAGAATCAATATTGTGAAAATGGCCATACTGCCCAAGGTAATTTATAGATTCAACGCCATCCCCATCAAGCTACCAATGCCTTTCTTCACAGAATTGGAAAAAACTACTTTAAACTTCATATGGAACCAAAAAAGAGCCCGCATTGCCAAGACAATCCTAAGCCAAAAGAACAAAGCTGGAGGCATCATGCTAACTGACTTCAAACTATACTACAAGACTACAGTAACCAAAACAGCATGGTACTGGTACCAAAACAGAGATATAGACAAATGGAACAGAACAGAGCCCTCAGAAATAATACCACACATCTACAACCATCTGATCTTTGACAAACCTGACAAAAACAAAAAATGGGGAAAGGATTTCCTATTTAATAAATGGTGCTGAGAAAACTGGCTAGCCATATGTAGAAAGCTGAAATTGGATCCCTTCCTTACACCTTATACAAAAATTAATTCAAGATGGATTAAAGACTTAAATGTTAGACCTAAAACCATAAAAATCCTGGAAGAAAACCTAGGCAATACCATTAAGGATGTAGGCATGGGCAAGGACTTCATGTCTAAAACACCAAAAGCAATGGCAACAAAAGCCAAAATTGACAAATGGGATCTAATTAAACTCAAGAGCTTCTGCACAGCAAAAGAAACTACCATCAGAGTGAACAGGCAACCTACAGAATGGGAGAAAATTTTTGCAATCTACTCATCTGACAAAGGGCTAATATCCAGAATCTACAATGAACTCAAATAAATTTACAACAAAAAAACAACCCCATCAAAAAGTGGGCAAAGGATATGAACAGACACTTCTCAAAAGAAGACATTTATGCAGCCAACAGACACATGAAAAAATGCTCATCATCACTGGCCATGAAAGAAATGCAAATCAAAACCACAATCAGATACCATCTCACACCAGTTAGAATGGCGATCATTAAAAAGCCAGAAAACAACAGGTGCTGGAGAGGATGTGGAGAAATAGGAACACTTTTACACTGTTGGTGGGACTGTAAACTAGTTCAACCATTGTGGAAGACAGTGTGGTGATTCCTCAAGGATCTAGAACTAGAAATACCATTTGACCCAGCCATCCCATTACTGGGTATATACCCAAAGGATTATAAATCATGCTGCTATAAAGACACATGCACATGTATGTTTATTGCAGCACTATTCACAACAGCAAAGACTTGGAACCAACCCAAATGTCCAACAATGATAGACTGGCTTAAGAAAATGTGGCACATATACACCATGGAATATTATGCAGCCATAAAAAAGGATGAGTTCATGTCCTTTGTAGGGACATGGATGAAGCTGGAAACCATCATTCTGAGCAAACTATCTCAAGGATGGAAAGCCAAACACTGCATGTTCTCACTCATAGGTGGGAATTGAACAATGAGAACACTTGGACACAGGGTGGGAAGCATCACACACTGGGGCCTTTGTGGGGTAGGGGGAGGGGGGAGGGATAGCATTAGGAGATATACCTAATGTAAATGACGAGTTAATGGGTGCAGCACACCAACATGGCAGATGTATACATATGTAACAAACCTGCATGTTGTGTGCATGTACCCTAGAACTTAAAGTAGAATAATAATACTAATAAAAAATCAGACACAAGTTTGTTCCAACCAGAAACAGACTAGTGTTTGCCTGCAGTCCAAAAAAAAAAAAAAAAAAAAAAAGAACGTTTGTCTCAGCAGAGTCACGCAGTCACGCAGCAGAAGCATACTGGGCCCAAAAATGTTTGTCTCACCGGTTGAATTTTAGCTATGATTATTTTTTAGTAATACTAACAATAGAGCATCCTAAGTCTCTTACATGGTATCGTTCCATGGTGCCTGGCATGTAATGTGCATCTATGTCCCAGCTTACCAAAGGCTCAAGGGCAGAATCTGATGAAAGTGTAGCCCTTCCCCTAAGAAAAATATGCATATACATACAAAATGTCACATATCATTTTATATATGTTTCTGAAATGGCATTTAAGCAACTAGTTTACTCCCTCACAGTCCCACCAAATCTGCTTCTTACCATTTAGGAACAGTGAAATACTATTTCTTTACAAAAAAATGAAACCTCCCAAAAGCATATCACATTCCCTCGGAGAACATGTCACATTCCTTGCTTTCATGCTGTAACAATTCTCCAACATTTCAAGAACTATTTGAAACAATGGTCAGGGTCAAGTGGCCTTTGTAAGAACTTTGGGCAATCTTGGATGATTCTTAATAAAGCAGTCATTATTTTTTCATGAGGGCGAAAATCCACACCACTTAATAGAATATGTTGAGTAAAGGCCTAATAGATCACGGGGCTGTGAACGTGAGGCTGAAAATAGAGTGATATTGATTTGGGGGACTGATCTAAGGGAGCAGTTAAGGGACCCTCTATGAGTATATCTTACTCCAGGCTTGACCCCTTTTGCTTCCCTAGTACAGTCCAGAAGAAGTATTTTGGCAGTCACAGTCAGTTATTAATGGAGTGACAAAAAGAGGGCACAATTCGCAAAGTCACTTTCTGCTGTGCCAAATTCTCCATTGTTAAAATGGCTCCTTACTTCCTCAGGCACTAAATTCACAAAAGATTCATCCATTTCCCTGTAGCCATGTTTTTACTGCAGTTCCGAAACAAAATCATCATGATGTTCCCTATTATCTTAACTGCCCATAGTTGATAACTTTCCTAATTAGCACTACACATGTTTAAGTCTCTCTAATTACTTAATGATGGTCACCAGGTAATCCATAATAGCAATTACATATCTGAACTGTCATGGACTATTGGACAAATATGTAATGAGGCATTATAAAAGCATTTAAAATGTAACGCTAATTAGAAAGGTTATCAAATAAGATACCACAATAGGGAACATGTTGGGATTTTTATTGCCAAAAAGAAGGGAAATGGTTCTTATTAGGACTTAGATTCTGTGAATGTAAGAAGAAAATCAAAGGATGTGGAGAATTATCTGCAGCCAGATACATGGATTTAATGCAAGGTTCTTGTTTTATTTACCCATTTATTAGACAAGCAACAATTATGGGTAAATAAAACTGCATTTTTCTGAGTACTAAAAGCTAATACCAAAAAAATAAGGAAGACTATATTGCTTGCTTCTGCCCTTGGGAATCCTGATATCTGGTTGAAGAGACAGGTTGTAGAGAAATAGAATTACTGGAGGCCAACGAACTAATTGCAATTGATATTGTCACCATACAAAACAGTCTGTAGGCTGGGCACGGTGGCTCATGCCTGTAATTCCAGCACTTTGGGAGGCCGAGGTGGGTGGATCACGAGGTCAGGAGTTTGAGACCAGCCTCAGCAACATGATGAAACCCCGTCTCTACTAAAAATACAAAAAAATTGGCCAGGCATAGTGGCACATGCCTGTAATCCCAGCTGCTCAGGAGACTGAGGCACAAGATTTGCTTGAACCCTGGAGGTGGAGGTTGCAGTGAGCTGAGATCACACCATTGCACTCCAGCCTGGGTGACAGAGTGAGACTGTGTCTCAAAAAAAAAAAAAAAAAAAACAGTCTGTAATTCAACTATGTTCAAAGCATGAGAAAAAATGACAAAGACTTCCATATGAGACAAATTTCAAGAAAGTTCTTGAAAGGGTTGGAGAGTAGAAGTAGCTGTGCGTCAACAGAAAGCCAAAGAGAAAGTATCACAGATTGATACAATTGAGAGTTTGCAAGAGAAAAGCTCAAGAAAGGACACTGGGCATGGAATCAGAGAACTTAGGTTCAAATCCCAGCTCTGCTTCTTACTAGTTTTTTATCTTGAACAAGGAAACCCCTCTAACTCTTAGTTTCATATTAGAGAAATGAGGATAATAAAACCAATCTCATGGGTTGGTTGTAAAGATTAACTTAGTGAACACGGGCGAAAGCATCATGTTTAACAACATGTTTGACATAGAAGGCATAATGGATGCTTTTTAGATGAATAACCAAGCTGTTGCCAGAAGTTGAAATAAGTAGTGTTTAAAGACTAGTAAAGCCATATGCTTGTACAAGTAGAGTTGGTTCGTCTGATAGAATTCCTTGAATACAAGGCAGAATCACTTTGGTTTGTTCAGAATCCACCACCAGTTCTTGCATAGGGATGAGGGAAGGTAGCCACGATATTGTCCCGACAGTTATAGGAAGACTGGATGGAGAAAGGATCAGCCAAGGACTGGGAAACTAAAGGGCTCTTTGAGTGTTTAGACATGAGGAGATGCAACTGCAAGCAAATGGAGTTATTAATCAAAAGAGAGAGACAGAGGGAAGCAATCGCAGTTGAAGATTAAGTATGGTAGTAATCTGCATAAAGTTACTACTCAGCACTATCACCCTAGTCCAAGCCACCAACTCCTGTTTTTAAAAATTTTTGTGAGTACATAGTAGGTATATGTATTTATGGAGTACATGAGATATTCTGATACAGGCATGCAATGCATAATCATATCAGAGTAAATGGGATATCCATCACCTCAAGCATTTATCCTTTGTGTTACAAACAAGTCAGTTATACTCTTTCAGTTATTTTTAAATGTACAATTAAATTATTATTGACTGTAGTCACCCTGTTGCCTGCTGTGCTATCAAATACTAGGTCTTATTCATTCTTTTTTTTTTTTTTTTTTTTGAGGCTGAGTCTTGCTCTGTTGCCCAGGCTGGAATGCAGTGGCGCAATCTCTGCTCACTGCAACCTCCGCCTCCCAGGTTCAAGCAATTCTCCTGCCTCAGCCTCCCAAGTAGCTGGGATTACAGGCACATGCCACTGTGCCCTGCTAATTTTTGTATTTTTAGTAGAGACAGGGTTTCATCATGTTGGCCAGGCTGGTCTTGAACTCTTGACCTCAAGTGATCCACCTGCCTCAGCCTCCCAAAGTGCTGGGATTACAGGCATAAGTCACCACCCCTGGCCTTTATTCATTCTTTCTAACTATTTTTTGTACCCATTAACCATCCCTACCTCCCCCAACCCCCACCCCCACTAGCCTTCCCAGCCTGTGGTAATCAGCATTCTGCTCCCTATCACCATGAGTTCAATTGTTTTAATTTTTAGCTCCCATAAGTAAGTGAGAACCATGCAAAGTCTGTCTTTCTGTGCCTGGCTTATTCACTTAACATAATGGCATCCAGTTCCACCCATATTGTTGCAAATGACAGGATCTCATTCTTTTTAGGGTTGAATAGTACTCCATTATATATATGTACCATATTTTCTTTATTCATTCATTGTTAATAGACACTTAAGTTGCTTGCAGATCTCAAGCTACCAACTCCTGCCTTGACCCCATGAGAGCCTCCAGGTTAGTTAGAAATGCTTTCAGCTACAGGTAACAATTTAGGTGATTATTAGTGGCTTAAATAATAAAAGTATTTAAGTGTTTCTAGATCAAGAAGTATGGACAAGATGGCTCCAGTGTTTGTTCAGTGGTTCTGTGCCTGTGTCTCTAACTTTCTTGATCTTTCCCTTGTGGTCACAAAATGGCTGTCAGCTATTACTGTTTCAATGGCAGAAAGCAAGGGCACATGGCAATGGCGAGAAGGGCCAGCTCTCATATTATATCTGTTCCTTTTATCAAGAAACACAGACTCTTTTCCAGAAGGCTCCCAGTAGACTTGTTTTATGGTTCAGAGGTCAGATCTAGCTGCAGGGGAGGTTGGAAAAGTAAAAAGTAGGTTTCCAGGGCTGGGTGCCGTGGCTGCCTGTAATCCCAGCACTTTGGGAAGCTGAGGCAGGCGGATCATCTGAGGTCAGGAGTTTGAGACCAGCCTGACCAACATGGCGAAACCCTGTCTCAACTAAAAATACAAATAATAATAATAATAATAATAATAATAATAATAATAATAATTAGCCTGTAGTCCCAGCTACTCAGGAGACTGAGACAGGAGAATTGCTTGAACCCAGGAAGCGGAGGTTGCAGTGAGCCAAGATTGCTGCTGCACTCCAGCCTGGGCAACAGAGCAAGACTCTGTCTCAAAAAAACAGACAAACAAAACAAACAAACAAAACAAAACTAGATTTCCAGACAGTATGGTGGGAGGAGCAAAGAGACTAGGGATTACGTTTAGATAGCCAACCAACAGCATCTTCCAGAACAGGGGTGTCCAAACTTTTGGCTTCCCTGGGCCACATTGGAAGAAGAATTGTCTTGGGCCACACATAAAATACACTAACCCTAATGACAGCTGATAAGCTATAAAAAAATTGCAAAAAACTCTCATAATGTTTAAGAAAGTTTACAAATTTGTGTTGGTCCGCATTCAAAACTGTCCTGAAAAAAAAAAAAAAAAGCCGTCCCGACCCACATGTGGCCCATGGGCTACAGGTTGGGCAAACTTGTTCTAGAGCTTCCTAACTAGTTCCTTGCTTCCAGACTTGCTCCCCAAAGCCCATTTTCTACACAGCAGTCAAAGCATTCTTTTAAAAATGTACTCTGACCTTATTGTTCCCTTACTTAACACTATTCAAAGGTTCTCTTTTTACTTAGATTAAGTCTGAACTCCTTCCTCAGCCTACCATGCCCTGCACTATCATCTGAGCCCTGTCCTGTTCTTCTGACTGTACTTCTCATGCCCATCTCCTAACTCACTATTTCATGCCCATGATGACCTTCTGTCAGTCCCGCTTCAGAGACTCTGCACCTGTTTCCTCTTTGGGGATAATTTCCCTTCCCATATTTCACCCAGCAGCTCCTTCTTACAGCAGGTCTCACCTACAGACTACACTATTTAAAGTAGGGTTTGTGGACTCAAATCCCATTATTCTCTTTCACCAAATCTTGTTTATTTCCTTAGTTGCACTTATCACAATGCTTAATTTCACTTATTACAACTAGTCATTATTTTATGTTTGTATTCTTATTGTCTGCCTCCGCCACTAGGATGTGAGCTATAGGAAGATGAATATCACCTTCTTGTTCACCCTTTTATGACCACCTTTCAGCACAGTACTTGACACATCATAAGTGTTCAGTAAATATTAGCTGAATGAACAAACACATTCTCAAGAATTGGGGCCAAGTGCAGTGGCTCATGCCTGTAATCTTAGCACTCTGGGAGGCTGGGTGGGAGGATCACTCAAACTCAGGAGTTCAAGACCAGGCTGGGCAACATAGTGAGACCTCATCTCTACAAAAAGTTGAAAAATTAGCCAGGCATGGTGATACACACCTGTAGTCCCAGCTACTTGGGAGGCTGAGGTGGGAGGATCACTTGAGCCCAGGAGGTTGGGGCTGCAGTAAGCCCTAATCACTCCACTGCACTCCAGCCTGGGAAACAGAGCAAGACTCTGTCAAAAAAAAAAAAAAAAAAAAAAAAAGAACTGGTCTTAGATGATGAGAGGAGGAAAAAGAAGCAGAAGGTAATCAAAGGCATAAGAAGATATGCTCAAAGGAGTATATCTCATAGGCCAGGGGAAGATATGGCTTCAGGAGGGTAAGGGTAAGATTCACCAATATCAGATGCCATGAAAATATCAAAGAGAAGAAAGAGTTAACAACATCAATGGATTTGAGTTGGGGGAACAAGTGGTGAGTTGGGTCTAAAAGTTATATAGGCAGTGCATGTTGTATCTCTTGCTTAAAGAGCCTCAAAATCAAAGAGATAATGTAATGGCCCTGAAAGTAAATGGTTTGCTTTCCTTCTTGGATCCAAGAGACACTATATGTACCTTTTTTATGCTTCAATTTTCCGACTATGAAGCAGCAAAAGAAATTTTTAAAATCTTCCTCCCTACCTTGGTGGGATACCTTGAACATCAAGTAACAGACATAAAATAATTTAAGCACCCAGGATGCTAAAAAACAGAATGTTTTAATACTAATCCAGGAGACAGATGTGTAATTGGAAAAGGACCCAAAACAAGCATGTTCATTCTTCTCCATTGGAATAACCAGTCCCTCCATATTATTCCATAATCTTTACTGCACTCTAAATCTACTCCGCCTAATATAACTTCCATACTTAATTATTACTAGTAGGTTGGCACAAAAGCCACACAAGTTTTGAGTGGAGAGACTTTCAGAGTAATTGCCCATAAAGTTTTATCCTTTTCATTTAATTGTCATGTGGTATGATTCAAGTCATCACAAGAGGAGCAGAGACAATTCGGAGACACTGCCTATGAATCATATTAGAATGGAACTTGGTGAAATTTAGGAAAGAATATTTGAGGGAAATCAGAAATGTCTGATGGCCGTCCTTCCCGAGTTATCCTCATAGCACAAATTCATGTGGCTATTTCCATTATACATCCATGAACTCTAAAATATTATCCTACATACTTTTAGAAAAGTCAACAGAAATAAATGCCTTACCTTCAGATCTACAGAGTAGGTTTTATTTGCACAACATCAAAATTGTTTCTCGTGAATAGCCCCACAGATGGAGGAAAAGGTGGATCAGAGGTTAGGTGGCCAAGATTCCATCTACATCCTTAACTGTGACAAGACCAAAGAACTCCACTAGGTCTTAGTAAAAGTAAGGGTCTACCTAAATAGTCTGTTACTTAAGTCTATCTAAAAATTAATGAGAGCACAGCCTTTAATTATAGCATAAAATGACATTTTGGAAATTAAAGTATGCTTTTCTTCATTGAAAAATTTAGTAAATGAATTGAGGGAAAGGATAGCTGGTCACTGTGGAGGTATAAATTAGAGGCCAAAAGGAAGAAATGTCTCAATAACAAAAATATAAAGAGATAGAGGAAAAAAGATAAAAGGCATAACGGATATCTATTTTGTGAGTAATAGGAATTCTAAAGGGAGAAAAACCAATGAAAGAGAGGTAATGATTAAACAAATGGAAGGAATATTCCTTAGTCTGCAGCTTAAAAGGGCACACCAAGTTACTGGCAAGTTCAGTGATAGAAAGCACACACCTGGGAATATCACTCTAAGATTCCTGGACTCCAAGGATACAAAGGAAAGCTTGTCAGCTTTTAGACAGAATGAATAACTCACAAAGGACGCAGGCTGACACCGGATTTCTTTTCCTCAACACAGGAATCTGAAATAACATCACAGGTTTTCTAAGAAAGGCTATTGTCTTTCAAGATGTCATTCACCTATAGAGGCGAAAGGATGATATTTCCATTTATGGAAGGACTAAAAAATATATCACCCATGGGCCTCATCTGAGGATATTATGGTCTAGATTAGAACAGAAATCACTAAATACCTCAGCCTAACCTAGGAGATGAGAGCAGAGGATGAGTGGGAAGGGAAGAAAAAGACTTCAAAGACCTCATCTGGAAGAGGAAGGAAACAGAGAAAGAGGGATAGGAAAGTAAAGGTCTGATTTATGTTGAAGGAAATGGGGTCAGGGGGATATAACATCTTATCAAGGTACAAAGTAAGCTTTTTTTTTTTTTTTTTTTTTTTTGAGACGGAGTCTCACTCTTTCGCCCAAGCTGGACTGCAGTGGCGCTATCCCGGCTCACTGCAAGCTCCGCCTCTTGGGTTCATGCCATTCTCCTGCCTCAGCCTCCCGAGTAGCTGGGATTACAGGCGCCCACCACCACGCCCGGCTAATTTTTTGTATTTTTAGTAGAGACGGGGTTTCACCGTGTTAGCCAGGATGGTCTCGATCTCCTGACCTCGTGATCCGCCCGCCTCGGCCTCCCAAAGTGCTGGGATTACAGGCGTGAGCCACTGAGCCCAGCTGCTTTTCACTTTCTATATAGATTGATCTTTTTACTATAAGACATATTTTCTAAATTTTCATATTATCTAAAAAACTAGATAATTGAAAATGCACGGGCCAGGCACAGTGGCTCACACCTGTAATCCCAGCACTTTGGGAGGCCAAGGCAGGTGGATCACCTGAGGTCGGGAGTTTGAGACCAGCCTGACCAACATGGAGAAATCTTGTCTCTACTAAAAATACAAAATTAGCTGGGTGTGGTGGCACATGCCTGTAATCCCAGCTACTCAGGAGGCGAGGCAGGAGAATCAGTTGAACCAGGGAGGTGGAGGTTGTGGTGAGCCAAGATTGCGCCGCTGTACTCCAGCCTGGGCAACAAGAGTGAAACTCTGTCTCAAAAAAAAAAAAAAAAAAAAATGCACATGTCCTTTTACCTAGAGATTACATTCCTAGGAAGTTACCCAACCATCCAACACTATACCTGCACATGTGTGGAAAAATAATGGTGTAATGTGTGTCCTTGTACATAGGTTTACAATAGGAAAACAAAACGAAAGTAGAAACCACCAAAATATCCACCAGTAAGGAATTAGTTAAGTAAGTATTGGTACCTTCTTACAATGGCATATTATACAGCCACCAAAAAGAATGAAAGAGATCTATATGTACAGATGTAGAAAGATGAAGTTCAAGACATCATTTACTGAAAATAGCAAGTTGCTCAACAGTATTGCGATCACATTTGTAGAGCTTTTTAAAGGACATATATACATATGACAGTGAACATTGCTGGCAGGAAATTTTAACCCTGTTTACCTCTGGGTAGTATAATTGAACATTGAGAAGTAAGAAGGTGAACTTTTGTTTTTTTCCTTATCTACTTCTGTCTTTTGCATAGTTTTAATTTTTTCCCATGAACATAACCTTTTTAATTTAAAGTAACAGCTAACTTTTTAATAGTATAATAAATACGTGTGGGCCGGGCTTGGTGGCTCACGCCTGTAATCCCAGCACTTTGGGAGGCCGAGGTGGGTGGATCACGAGGTCAGGAGATCGAGACCATCCTGGCCAACATGGTGAAACCCTGTCTCTACTAAAAATACAAAAATTAGCTGGGCATGGTAGCGTATGCCTGTAATCTCAGCTACTTGGGAGGCTGAGGCAGTAGAATCGCTTGAACGAGGGAGTTGGAGGTTGCAGTGAGCCAAGATCGCGCCACTGCACTTCAGCCTGGCAACAGAGTGAGACTCTGTCTCAAAAAATAAATAAATAAATAAATATGTGTGTATACATGTGTATGTGCATGTATGTGTGTGTGTGCAACTGCACCTCATATATTAAAAATATCAGAGAATATAAAATATCAAATGCTGGTTACAAAAATATATTACTACATGGCATCTTTATTTTATTATTATTTTTTTTCGAGACGGAGTCTTGCTCTGTCTGCCCAGGCTGGAGTGCAGTGGCGTGATCTCAGCTCACTGCAACCTCCGCATCCCGGGTTCAAGTGATTCTCCTGCCTCAGCCTTCCGACTAGCTGGAATTACAGACACCCGCTACCACATCCAGCTAATTTTTGTATTTTTGGTAGAGACAGGATTTCACCCGTTTTAGCCAGGCTGGTCTCGAACTCCTGACCTCGTGAACCACCCGCCTTGGTCTCCCAAAGTGCTGGGATTACAGGCATGAGCCACTGCGCGCAGCCATGGCATCTTTATTCAATAACTTGCACTTAATTTTAAATTTTCAAGCATTTTTACCTTGGTATTCTTGGATACCTTTTTCCACCTCCTGCAACTAATTACTCCCACTGTTTCTCCCATAAAATGTATGGCCCCATTAGGAAGCCTGACTGTGGGGTACATGTACCGTCCCTGTCTTCTGAAATCTTCAATATCCTGCAAAGCATTTGAGAAACATTTAATCTGTAATATATAAAAATGAGAAAATCAATTTAATGTGCTATTTGTAAAGTAGAGCATTTTGAAAATCTACGGCTGAACAGTTTCATCAATTATATTGACGTAAATCAAATCTTTGAATAATAAGGATAGTTTTTAAATCTCATTGGGTCTGTTATAAGAACATTTTTATTTAAAAGGTGAACATCTGTTAATACAGCAATGTTACCTGCATATTCAAGAATCGGATGTCTTAGTATCTTTCTATTATAAAATATTTGCCTCATTTCTCTTTTGCAAGTTCATTAGAGTCCACAAATCTTGCTCATGTCTCTCTCCAATGGGACACTTATCTTCAGGGATGAGAGGTAAATTCATTAATACTAGAAGAAATTGTTCTCAGCACAGAAATGGAGGAGTCCTATAATGACATATTAAGCATAACATTCAGAATAGAGATAAATCTTTAGAATATTAGATTTTATCATCTAGTTAGTTTTCCAGGAGTATTTTTATGTTATCACAAATACAGAACAAGAAACTTCCTTCTTTCTTTTCACTTATGCACCTGCTTCTTGCTCTCATAAGTGAGGAGATAATGATCAAACTAAATCATTTATTTGCTATCATTAGACACCACCAAGTGCCTATAGAAATCACTGACCATTCAAACATCTTTCCAAATGGAAACTGCTCCTCAAAATAAAAACCAAGGTGGCTATAAGCTATGATTCAAGGGCAAGCTTTCAGGATTGAAGTCACAGAATCTGGGATCCAAATTCAAGTTTCTCATTTTCTGTTACTGGGAGCTTTAAAAAAACCACAGAGATTTTTCTGAGCAACATTTCCCTAGTTTGCCAAAGAGAAATGATAATTATGTCTATCTTCCATCAAAATCATTCAATAACTATTGATTCTAACAGCAGCAAGATTATATGGAGAGGTAGATGTCATAATATATTTGCAAACATGCACTAGGTATGACATTGAGGGTGAACTCTAGTTCCAGCACAGATCAGAACTTTCCTTGTGGGATGTGGAATTGCTGATGGTCTACACGTGCCACATTTAGCCACCTTGAGCAATGACCCCTCTGGCTCCTCCCACCACATACATCTAACAGAATCATGGAAATTAAAATGCTCCATGGTTGTCCAAAAGCCCTCAACTGCCTACATGCTATACAAGACACTCTGACCTAACCCTTTATAAGGACAATGAAATCCATTGCAGACTGAAAGATTAAAATACTGAGCCCTGGCATTGTTGGAGTAATGTACTGGCATCCCCCAAACCTCCTGGGAAAGTGCTTTCCTAGAGCAGTAGAAAAAAATATAATGCAAATTTACTGTGATTTAAAAAAAATGTTTGGAGTCACAGATTCTTTTGAGTATCTGATAGAAATTATTCCCCTCTCCCCAGAAAAAATACATATGCCCATATATACAATTTCACATACAATTTCAGGGAGTTTGGGTGCTCCCTGAAACCCACCCATAATTAACCTCAGTTTAAAATATAAGTGTGCAAGCCAGGCACGGTGGCTCATGCCTGTAATCCCAGCACTTTGGGAGGCCGAGGCGGGTGGATCACGAGGTCAGGAGATCGAGACCATCCTGGCTAACACGGTGAAACCCCATCTCTACTAAAAATACAAAAAATTAGCTGGGCGTGGTGGTGGGCGCCTGTGGCCCCAGCTACTCGGAGGCTGAGGCAGGAGAATGGCGTGAACCCGGGAGGCGGAGCTGGCAGTGAGCTGAGATTGCGCCACCATACTCTAGCCTAGGTGACAGGACGAGACTCCATCTCAAAAAAAAAAAAAAAAAAAGTGTGCAGATGACAGAATACAAATGTTTTAAAGATCAATAGATACAAAACATGTTTATATCTAAGAAAAAGTATGCCAAAAAAAAATTTTTTTGAGATGGTCTCACTCTATTGCCCAGGCTAGAGAGCAGTAGTGCAATCTCAGCTCACTGCAACCTCCACCTCCCTGGCTCAAGCAGTCCTCCCATCTCAGCCTCCTGAGTAGCTGGGACTATAGGCATGTACCACCACACCCAGCTAATTTTCGTTGTTTTTTGTTTTTTTGTTTTTTTTGTGAGACAGAGTCTCACTCTGTCGCCCAGGCTGGAGTGCAGTGGCGTGATGTCAGCTCACTACAACCTCCGCCTCCTGGGTTCAAGTGATTCTCCTGCCTCAGCCTCCTGAGTAGCTGGGATTATAGGCATGTGCAACCACACCTGGCTAATTTTTGTATTTTTAGTAGAGATGGGGTTTCACCATGTTGGTCAAGCTAATCTCGAACTCCTGACCTCATGATCTGCCCACCTCAGCTTCGCAAAGTTCTGGGATTACAGGCGTGAGCCACCGTGCCTGGCTAATTTTTGTATTTTTAGTAGAGACAGGATTTCGACATATTGCCCAGGCTGGTCTTGAACTCCTGGGCTCAGGTGATCCACCTACCTTGGCCTCCCAAAATGCTGGGATTACAGGCGTTAGCCACTGCATCCAGCCCAAAACATTAATTCTGGGGTTTTACATCCCTTTTGCCAGTTTTCACTGTTTCCCTTGATGGGCTTATATAACTTTTATGGTTAAAAATTCAAGTACATGAGGCTGGGTGCGGCGGCTCACACCTGTAATCCCAGCACTTTGGGAGGTCAAGGCAGGTGGATCATCTGAGGTCTGGAGTTCGAGACCAGCTTGACCAACACGGTGAAACCTCATCTGTACTAAAAATACAAAAAATCAGCCAGTTGTGATGGTGCACGCCTGTAATCCCAGCTACTTGGGAGGCTGAGGCAGGAGAATTGCTTGAACCTGGGCAGTGGAGGTTGCAGTGAGCTGAGATCATGCCACTGCACTCCAGCCTGGGCTACAGAGTCAGACTCTGTCTCAAAAAAAAAAAAAAAAAAAAAAATTCAAGTACATGAATATTCACACAACACAACACAGAAAAATTCAGTTTGTAACCTAAATTTGAACAATTATATTCAAAGGTAAAAATTCCTATTTGGTAGGTAGGTGATTTTGTTGATACAAATAGGGTGAAATTGAAGAGAAATTTCCAGGAAGTGAGTGAAGAGTTCACCACTTGTTTTTACTTGGTAAAAGACCTCTGGAGGAGGTAGGAGTCAGGTCTGTGAGGATGGAAGTTCCCTGATAATTTGTATCCATGGAGAGAGTAACCATAGCAATGGAGCCTGGTCTCCCCATTACCGACCCTGTTATCAACCCCAGTTCTGAAACAGACAGCACTGGGAAAGTCTGAGTGAGCAAAGAAAAAACACAGCACCCTGCCCAGCTTGGGATCCCAAGGACCTGGTGTTCAGCTAGTCTATGAGTCACAACCAGTCAGAAAGACAAGCAGAAGGTCAGGTTGGCCTTTGAGAGCAAAGCAAATCAGAACATGCATTTACTCACGGAGTTCACTGCCTTGTGACAGTGCCAATGTAGCTGGGGACTAGCCCAGGTAAAAGGTCAGTCTATAAATCAGCTGCTAGGGTGGAGAACAGGCATAGAAAGTTTGAATGAAATGACAACTGAAATGAACATAGGTACCTTTTGCCCAGAGTTTTTTTTTTTTTTTTTTTTTTGAGACGGAATCTCGCTCTGTCACCCAGGCTGGAGTGCAGTGGCGCGATCTCGGCTCACTGCAACCTCTGCCCCCCGGATTCAAGCAATTCTCCTGCCTCAGCCTCCCAAGTAGCTGGGATTACAGGCATGTGCCACCACACCTGGCTAATTTTTTTGTATTTTTAGTAGAGACGAGGTTTCACCATATTGGCCAGGCTGGTCTTGAACTCCTGACCTTGTGATCCACCCACCTCGATCTCCCAAAGTGCTGGGATTACAGGCGTGAGCCACCGCGCCTGGCCTTGCCCAGAGTTTTATAACAAAGTTCCTTTCCTAATAACTAATACTTAGGGTATCTTATTAGTTATTTGGTCCTAACCACAATCCTTCTGGATATTAATAGAATGCATGGTAATTCTCAACCTTCCTCATTAAATGTTCCCACTGGTGGAGGCTGAACTTTGATCCATGAAGTCCTGAAGAAGTAGCTCAAAACAGTACACAGAAGCCATGAAATTTCTTTGAAGTTCCTGTGTGCTTATACTTTGATCTTTTTTTTTTTTTTGAGACAGAGTCTTGCAGAGTGCAGTGGCATGATCTCGGCTCACTGCAACCTCCCTCTACCTCCAGGGTTCAAGAGATTCTCCTGCCTCAGCATCCTGAATAGCTGGGACTACAGGCACTCACCACCATGCTGTTACCGGGGGTCCTTGCTCCCAGAGCCCCCAAGATGGTGGCAGGCCACTTCCAAAATGGTGGTGGGCCACTTCCAAGATGGTGACAAGCCTCGTGTTCTCTGACCTGGGGTTCTTGGCCTCACAGATTCCAAGGAATGGAATCTTGAGCCATGTGGTGAGTGTTATAGCTCTATTAGAAGCCATGGGTCACGGAAGAGAACCATGGAACCCAGTGACTAGTGTTCAGCTCGATTAGGACGAACCCAGGCACTTAGCCCTGCAGGAACAATGGCAAGCCTCTAGCCCAATCGGGAGTGGCAATGGGCACCTCGCTGGATCAGGAGCACAGCGGACACCCTGCTGGATCTGGAGGGATGGAAGTCAGTGGCAGGTCTGCGACGGCGGCAAACAGCAGTGGTGGACGGTGAGCGAAAGCTCAGCTTGAGCCATAATAAACATGGACCAGAAGAGAGTGCAGTTGCAAGATTTAATAGAGTGAAAACAGAGCTCCCATACAAAGGGAGGGGACCCAAAGAGGGTAGCCGTTGCTGGCTCGAATGCCTGGATTTATATCCCGATCATTATTCCTCCTGCTGTGCTTTCAGGCAATAGATGATTGGCTATTTCTTTACCTCCTGTTTTTGCCTAATTAGCATTTTAGTGAGCTCGCTTTACTACCTGATTGGTGAGGTGTGAGCTAAGTTGCAAGCCCCGTGTTTAAAGATGGATGCGGTCACCTTCCCAGCTAGGCTTAGGGATTCTTAGTTGGCCTAGGAAATCCAGCTAGTCCTGTCTCTCAATGCCAGGCTAATTTTTGTATTTTTAGAAGAGACGGGGTTTCACCATATTGGCCAGGCTGGTCTCAAACTCTTGACCTCAAGTGATCTGCCTACCTCGGCCTCCCAAAGTGCTGGGATTACAGGCGTGAGCCACTGCGCCCGGCTGTTTGCTCTTAAAATCATGCAAATTTCACATTCTAGTCAGTAGCATATCTGTTTAATCATTCAAAATTATTGTTCCTAAATTTTCTAACAAAGTGAATGTTAGAACATTTCTGCTTACTTGAGGAGTAAAGAGTAAGGCATTACATTTTCTCCATTTTACAAATGAGGAACCATTTTACAAGTGAGGGCCACACAGCTATTTAGTAAAAGAGTTTTTTGTTTTATGTTGTTATTGTTGTTATTGTTTGAGATGGAGTCTCACTGTCGCCTGGGCTGGAGTGCAGTGGTGTGATCTTGGCTCACTGCAACCTCCGCCTCCCGGGTTCAAGTAAGTGATTCTCCTGCCTCAGTCTCCCAAGTAGCTGGGATTACAGGCGCCTGTCACTAGGCCCAGCTAATCTTTTGTATTTTTAGTAGAGACGGGTTTCACCATGTTGGTCAGGCTGGCCTCAAACTCCTGACTTTATAATTCGCCCGCCTTGGCCTCCCATAGTGCTGGGATTACAGGCATGAGCCACTGCGCCCGGCCAAGAGCTGAGTTTTAACAAGCATCTCCTTCAAAACCGGCAACATTCTTTATATGATTACATGTGGCAAATCAGGAAAAGGTGGAGGAATGGGGAAAGGTAAAAGACTTCTTGGTGGAAAGTTTACAGTCAGAAAATGAGATGGTAGATATGGAAATTTGTTGAAGGATTAAATAATGTAATAATCAGCCAAGTACATGAGAATTTCAAAACTCTCTGCACCTCAGTTTCCCCATATGTAAAATGGAGCCAATAACATCTACCTCATAAGGCTGTTGTTAGGGTTAAATGAGGTGATCTATGGAAATTCCTCAGCCCAGTACCTGACCCATGGTAGGCATTCATTAAACAAATGATAGTCTTAGTTATTCTTGGTCAAGAGGACATCTCTACTGTACATCTCTTGAGCACCTTAAATTGAACGTTCCCCAGGCCAAATGTATCACTCTTTTCCTTCCCCCTTCTCTTCCTTCTCCTAACCCACAAGAGAATGTGTTCCCCTTTCTGTGTAGTCTCAACTACTGTTAATGGCTCTACCATTCATCCAACTTAGACCTTCAAAGTCATCCTCAGTCCTCCCTTTTTCTTACCCATCACACCCACTCTGTTAATAACCTCAGAACATTCTATCTCTTACATAGATCTTGAATCCATTCCCTCCTCTTGTCCCCTTTGCTCCTGCCTTTCTCACCTGTCTCCCAGATAACTACAATAAGTCGCCAACTGATTTTTCTATTCTCTACACTGCAGACACAGTGATTGTTCTAACATATAAATCAGATAATCTCACTACCTGATGAAGACGGCCAAATTCTCTTCACAATCTGGCCCCGATGTATTTTCCCAAGTACTCAACCTCTCCACACACACACATACTCTCACACATGCACACACACGTATGCACACACACACACACATGCATGCGTGCAAACACATCAGAGCCCAGCCTTACAGGCCCTTTCAGCATTTCTCCTAAAACCTAGAATCTTCTTGCTCTCAATGATATGGGAAAATATCTACTTATCCTTCAAAACCCAGCTGAGCCAAGTGTTGTGGTGTGTGCCTGCAAGCCCTTCTACTCAGGAGGCTGAGGTAGGAGGATTGCTTGAGCCTGGGAGTTTGAGGCTGCAGTGAGCAATGATTGCACTACTGCACTCCAGCCTGGATGACAGAGTGAGACCCCAACTCAACAAAACAAAACAAAGCAAAACAAAAAAATCTGAAATGCCAACTCTTTGAGAAGCTTTTCAAATATTTTCCTTCTTGCCTGGTTCACCAAATTAGTCTTCTAATTGGTCTCCTGACATCCACCACTAACCTTTTCCAATCTGTTCCCCATGCTGTATCCAGAGTATTCTTTTCAAATGCAAATCTAATCCTGGGTCAGGCTGTCTCCTCAGCATAAACGGCTTCCCATTGCTAAACCCCAAATCTTTACCTCGACACACACACTACCTATCTCCATAGTCACATCTTGTGTCCCTTTCTCACCATTTCGCTGTGATCCAACCACACTGGCCTTCTTTCAGTTTTCACAAACATCAATCTCACTCACGCCTCAAGGTATTTAAATATGCATCTCCTTCTATCCCTACCCTTGTGCTAGTTAAAGCTTACTCATCGTTCAAAACCCAGATCAAATGTCACTGCCTCCAGAAGCCTTCCCAGATCCACCACCCTAGACCAGATTATGGTGTCCCCAGCACCTAGGGTAGTGTCTGGCACACAAGAAGTATTTAGTAGATATTGGTTAAAATCTCTCCCCTGCACACCCGCCACCCCCCAGCCTTTACTCGTACCTTGGCATTTAGCACACTGAAATAGAATTATTTGTACTGAACTGTGTCCATCTGTAGGGTCTGGAAAAAGGAAAAAGTTTTCTTTTTATTTTCTCTTTTATCCCTTTTTTTTTTTTTTTCGAGACAGAGTCTCGGTCTGTCGCCCAGGCTGGAGTGCAGTGCATGATCTCAGCTCACTGCAATCTCCGCCTCCCGGTTTCAAGCAATTCTCCTGCCTCAGCCTCCTGAGTAGCTGGGATTACAGGTGTGTGCCACCATGCCCAGCTAATTTTTGTATTTTTTTTTTTAGTAGAGACGGGGTTTCACCATGTTGGTCAGGCTGTTCTGGAACTCCTGACCTTGTGGTCTGCCTGCCTCAGCATCCCAAAGTGCTGGGATTACAGATGTAATCCAGCCTGTGTGACAGAGACTCCATCTCAAAAAAAAAAAAAAGAAAAAGAAAAGAAATTAAAAACACAGCCAGGTGCAGTGGCTCACGCCTGTAATCCCAACACTTTGGGAGGCCAAGGCAGGCGGATCATGAGGTCAAAAGATCAAGACTATCCTGGCCAACATGGTGAAAACCCATCTCTACTAAAAATACAAAAATTAGCTGGGCATGGTGGCATGCGCCTGTAGTCCCAGCTACTCGGGAGGCTGAGGCAGGAGAATCACTTGAATCTGGGAGGCGGAGGTTGCAGTGAGCTGAGATTGCACCACTGCACTCCAGCCTGGAGACACAGCGAGACTCCATCTAAAAAAAAAAAATAATAAAGAAATAAAAAACAAAAACAAAAAAATGGATAGACAAAAAATGATAAACATAAACTCAAGCATATTAATAACTATATTAAATGTAAATGGTCTAAACATACCAATTAAAAGACAGAGATTATCAAAATAGATTTTTTTAAACATGACCAAACAAACTGTACTCAATATATAAGAAACTCACTTTAAATGTAACTATATAGGTAAATTGAAAGTAAAAAGAAATAAATAAAATAAATAAAAGCATGTAAATACTAATCAAAAGAGGGCTGGAGTGGGATTATTAATAGTAATCCTACTATTATTTTTTTGGCATTTAGCACACTGAAATAGAATTATTTGTACTGAACTGTGTCCATCTGAAGGGTCTGGAAAAAGGTTTCTTTTTATCTTTTCTTTCTTCTTTATTATATCCTTTTTTTTCTCAGTATCCCCTCACACAACCCTGTGCCTGTTGGTTCATGGTTGACATTTCAAAAAATGTTTGTTGAAAGAATGAACTTTACTACAACATAGTCTATATATGGCATGGAGAAGGTCTAAGTCACCATTATTATTTATTCTAAATTAGGATGCATTTTACAAAACAGTCCTGTGGATCAAGGCTCTTTAAAATAGTATGCAAACATTCCATTATATTTCCTGGAGAAGGAGCGCAAACATGTAGAATGATTCTGTCACTTTGGACCATTCTGTTTCAATGTGCTAAATGCCAACTAAAAATAGAAAAAGTAGACTTCAGAGCAAAGAAAATTACCAAAGATAAAGAGAGACATTCTATAATAATGTAATAAAAGGGCCAATTCACCTAGAAAACATAATAATAATTCTATGATGAAAACATAATAATCCTAAATCCTGTTATTATGCACTTAATAACAGAGCTTCAAAATACATGAACTAAAAACTGACAGAATTAACAGGAAAAACAGGCAAATTCACAATTGTAGTTGGAGGCTTCAACATTCCTCTCAATGACTGAGCAAACAAGTAGACAGAAAATGAGCAAAGACCGAGAAGGCACAAATAACATCATGTATATCAATTGGACATATTTGACATTTATAGAACACTCTACCCAAGAGCCACAGAATACACATTGTTTTGAAATGCATATGAAATGGTCTTCTGACCTGTATCTTGGGTCATAAAGCAAACACTAACAATTTTAAAATAATTAAAAACATGCAAAATATGTTCTCTAGTCAAAATGGAATTTAACTAGAAATCAGTAATATAGAATAACTGAAAAATCACCAAGCATTTTAAAGTTACGCAACACACTTCTAAATAATCCATGAGTCAAAGAAGGAGTGTCAAGGGACATTAGAAAACAGTTTGAAATGGACAAAAATGAAAATACAACAAATCAAAATGTGTGGGATGCAACTAAAGCTGTGCTTTAAAAATGTATAGCATTAAATAATTGCATGCCTATAATCCCAGCACTGTGGGAGGCCAAGGTGGGCAGATCACTTGAGGTCAAGAATTTGAGACCAGCCTGGCCAACATGGCAAAACCCCATCTCTACTAAAAATACAAAAATTGGCTGGGCGTGGTGGCACACACCTGTAATCCCAGCTACCTGGGAGGCTGAGGCAGGAGAATTGCCTGAACCCAGGAGGTGGAGGTTGCAGTGAGCAAAGATTGCACCACTGCACTCCAGCCAAGACTCAGTCTCAAAAAAAAAAAAAGAAAATAATCAAATTATTCCACCTAAAGACACTAAAGAAGAGTAAAATAAACCCAATGCAAGAAGAATAGAGAAAATAACAAAAATAACAACACAGATCAATAAAATTTAAATCAGAAGAATAAAGAAAATCGATTAATTCAAAAGTTGGTTTTAAAAAAAAAATCAGTAAAAATGATAAGCCTCTAGCAAGACCAACAAAGAAAAAAACAGAGGAAACACAAATTACTAATATCAAGAATAAAAGAGGGACACCATAGATGTTGCAAACATTAAACGCATAATAAAGGAATGTAATGAATGACTCAATACACATAAATTCCACAACTTAGATGACATAGAATAATTCCTCAAACCAAAAATAATGAAGTTCATCTAAGATGAAACAGATACCCTGAATAGCCCTATATTTATTAAAGAAATTGAATCAGCAGTTGAAAAGCTTTTTATAGAAGAAGTCTCCAGGTCTGTATGGATTCACTGGTAAATTCTACCTAACATTTAAGGAAAAAAATAAGGCCAATTGCAGAGACTCATGCCTGTAATACCAACACTGGGAGGCGGAAGCAAGAAGATTGCTTGAGCCCAGGAGTTCAAGACCAGCCTAGGCAACAAAGCAAGAGATCCCATCTCTACAAAAAATTTAAAAATTAGCTGGGCATGGTAGCATACATCAGTGGGCTTAGGTCTTCAGGAGGCTAAGGTGGGAGGATCACTAGCCCAGGAGGTGGAGGGCTCCATTTTGCCACTGCACTCCAGCCTGGGTGACAGCATGAGACTCTGTCTAAAAAGTAAATAAAGAAAATAAAATTTAAGGCCAGGCGCTGTGGCTAACACCTGTAATCCGAGCACTTTGGGGGGCCGAGGCGGGTGGATCACGAGGTCAGGAGATCGAGACCATCCTGGCTAACACGGTGAAACCCCGCCTCTACTAAAAATACAAAAAATTAACCGGGCGTGGTGGCCGGCGCCTGTAGTCCCAGCTATCGGGAGGCTGAGGCAGGAGAAAGTCGTGAACCCGGGAGGCAGAGCTTGCAGTGAGCCAAGATGGCGCCACTGCACTCCAGCCTGAGTGACAGAGCGAGACTCCCTCTCAAAAAAAAAAAGAAAGAAAGAAAGAAAAGAAAATTTAAAAATATATACAAATTCTACATAATCTTTGTCAGAAACTAGAAGAGCAGGAATACTTCTCAACCTACTTTATGATTTTGCTAACAAAATCATACAAAGACAGTGAGACAATTATAAAACAGTATTGTAACCAACATAGATGCAAAAAATCCTCAATAAAATATTAGCAAATCAAATCCAGGAATATATAAAAAGAATAATACATCATGACCAAGCAGTTTGTCCCAGTAATACAAGGCTGACTTAATAGTCCACAGTTTAAAACATGTAATCCACCATATTAATAGTCTAGCTCTTTCCCTCAGAGCAGGCAGCGGCGGTGGCCTATGCAGCAATGGCCAAGATCAAGGCTCGAGACCTGCACGAGAAGGAGGAGCTGCTGAAACAGTTGGATGACCTGAAGGTGGAGCTGTCCCAGCTGCACGTCGCCAAAGTGACAGGCGGCGCGGCCTCCAAGCTCTCTAAGATTTGAGTCGTCCGCAAATTGGACGTGTTCTCACGGTTATTAACCAGACTCAGAAAGAGAAACTCAGGAAATTCTACAAGGGCAAGAAGTATAAGCCCCTGGACCTGTGGCCTAAGAAGACACGCGCCATGTGCTGCCGGTTCAACAAGCACAAGGAGAACCTGAAGACCAAGAAGCGGCAGCGGAAGGAGAGGCTGTGCCTCCTGCGGAAGTACGCAGTCAAGGCCCGAGTGGCGCGTTGTCAATAAAGCACAGCTGGCTGAGAAAAAAAAAGTCTAAAGAAGAAAAAACATAGGAACATAATAATTGATGCAGAAAAAGCATTTGGCAAAATTCAACATACATTTATGGTAAAAACCCTCAGCAAACTGGAAAAGAAGGGAACTTTCTCAAACTGATAAAGGGCATCTTAAAAAACCTACAGGTAATAACATATTACATATTACTTATATGTGACTATACAAGTCACATGATATTACTTAATAGTGAAAGACTGAATGTTCTTCCTCTAAGACTAGAAACAAGGCAATAATGTCTACTCCTACCTCACCTATTCCAAGTCACATTGAAGTCCCAGCCAGTGTAATATCATGAGAAAAAGGAATAAAAGTCATATAGATTGAGGGAAAAGATATAAAAGAGTCCCTATTCTCAGATTATGTGATTGTGTAGAAAATCTCAAGGAATTTGTATTAAAAAACAAATTTCAAGACATAATTTAATTTGGCAAGGTTACAAAGTTAATCGACAAAAATCAATAATATTTCTATATACTAGTAATAAACATTTGGAAATGAAAAATTTAAATAACATTTATAATAGTTTTTAAAATGAAATACATATACATGTATACATGATATAAGTGATATTTAATGGCATAAATCTAACAAAATAAGTACAGTATCTCTATCCTACATACAATATACCATTGAGGACAGAAATCAAAGAAAACCTAGATAAATGAAGACATATGCCGTGCCAATCAATTACAAGATTCAATACGGGCCAGGCACAGTGGCTCATGCCTGTAATCCCAGCATTATGGGAGGCCAAGGCAGGCAGATCACGAGGTCAGGGGTTTGAGACCAGCCTGGCCAACATGGTGAAACCCCGTCACTACTAAAAATGCAAAAAAAATTAGCCAGGTGTGGTGGCACACGCCTGTAGTCCCGGCTACTCGGGAGGCTGAGGCACGAGAATGGCTTGAACCCGGGAGGGAGAGGTTGCAGTGAGCCTAGACTGCGCCACTGCACTCCAACCTGGGCAAGAGAGCAAGACTCTGTCTCAAAAAAAAAAAAGATTCAATATAATAAAGATGTTATTTTTTGCAGGCCGGGCGCGGTGGCTCACGCCTGTAATCCCAGCACTTTGGGAGGCCGAGGTGGGCAGATCACGAGGTCAGGAGATCGAGACCATCCTGGCTAACATGGTGAAACCCCATCTCTACTAAAAATACAAAAAATTAGCTGGCAGTGGTGGCAGGTGCCTGTAGTCCCAGCTACTCCGGAGGCTGAGGCAGGAGAATGGTGTGAACCCGGGAGGTGGAGCTTGCAGTGAGCCGAGATCACACCACAGCCCTCCAGCCTGGGCAACAGAGCAAGACTCTTGTCTCAAAAAAAAAAAAAAAAAAAAAAAAGATGTTATTTTTTCCAAAGACAGTTATAGATTTAATGCATTTCATTTCCGGGTGGTCACAGTGGCTCACGCCTGTAATCCCAGCACTTTGGGAGGCCAAGGCGGGCAGATCGCCTGAGGTCAATCAGGAGTTCGAGACCAGCCTGGCCAACACGGCGAAACTCCGTCTCTACTAAAAATACAAAAATTGGCCAGGCACAATGGCTCATGCCTGTAACCCCAACACTTTGGGAGACCAGGGTGGGTGGATCACCTGAGGTCAGGAGTTCGAGACCAGCCTGACCAACATGGAGAAACCCCGTCTCTACTAAAAATACAAAATCAGCCGGGCGTGGTGGCACATGCCTGTAATCCCAGCTACTAGGAAGGCTGAGGCAGGAGAATCGCTTGAACCTGGGAGGCGGAGGTTGCAGTGAGCTGAGATCATGCCATTGCACTCCAGCCTGGGCAACAAGAGCAAAATCCCATCCCAATAATAATAATAATAATACAAAAATTAGGCGGGCATGGTAGTAATCAAGACAGTGTGGTATTGGAAAGAAATAGACAATAGATCAATGAAACAGAACAGACAGTCCCTGAATAGTACAACCCAAAAATATGGCCAATTGACTTTTGACAAAGGTGCAAATGAAGGAAGGATAGTCCTTTCAACAACTAGTGTTAGAATAATTGGACATCCTTATGCCAAAAACAAACAAAAAAACCCCAAAAAAACTGCAAACTAAACCTCACATCTTATTTTAAAACTTACCTCAAAATACACAAAATATAAAACATGAAAGTACAAATTCTTTTTCTTGTTGAGACGGAGTCTCGGTCTGTCGCCAAGACTGGAGTGCAGTGGCGCGATCTTGGCTCATTGCAACCTGCACCTCCCAGGTTCAAGCAATTCTCTGCCTCAGCCTCCCAAGTAGCTGGGATTACAGGTGCCCACCACCACGCCCAGATAATTTTTTGTATTTTTAGTAGAGGCAGCGTTTCACCATCTTGGCCAGGCTGGTCTTGAACTCCTGACCTCGTGATCCACCCACCTCGGCCTCCCAAAGTGCTGGGATTACAGGCATAAGCCACCGCACCCGGCCAAAAGTACAAAACTTTTAGAGGAAAATGTAGAAGAAAACCACTGTGACCTGGGTTTAGGGCAAAGAATTCTTAGACACGACACCAAAAGGACATTCATAAAATAAAAAATTGACATAAAATTAAAAAAAAATTGGACTTATCAAATTTTAAAACATTTGCTCTGAAAAAGACACTATTAAGAAAACGAGATGGATTGGACAGATGTTAGTCAATGGATTAAAAAAATAAATAGAACAAAATGAAAAGACAACCTACAGGCTAGGGGAGAAAATATTTGCAAATCACAAATATCCAACAATGAATATATGAAGAACCGTGGCCCAGGCATAGTGGTTCACACTTGTAATCCCACCACTTTGGAAGGCCAAGGTGGAATGATCACTTGAGGCCAGGAGTTCAAGACCAACCTGGACAACATGGCAAGACCCCGTCTCTACAAAAAAAATTTTTTTTTAGGTTGCCAGGCATGGTGATGCACATCTGTAGTCCCAGCTACTTGGGAGGCTGAGTTGGAAGAATCGCATGAGCCCAGGAATTTAAGGCTGCAGTGAGTTATGATTGCACCACTGCACTCCAGCCTGGGTGACAGGGTGAAACCCCGTCCCTAAAAATTTAAAAAAAAAAAAAATTAAAATGTATTTCTTAAAGGACTTGAACAGACACATCACCAAAAAGGATATACTAGTGGCAAATAAACATAGGAAAAGGTTTTTAACATCATTAGCCATTAGTGATATATAGATTAAAACCATAATGAGATACCACTATATACCTACTAGAATGGCTAAAATATTTTTTTAATTATTTTTAACTGATAATATCAAATGCTGGTGAGGATGTGGATCAACTGGAACTTTCATACATTGCTGGGAGGAATTCAAATAGTTTGGCAGTTTCTAATAAAGCTAAATATACACTAACCATAGGCCCTGCAATCTAACACCTAAGTATTTACTAGAGATGAAAACTTAAGTTCACATAAAAATCTGTACATGTTTATAGCAGCTCTTTTCATAATCGTCAAAAACTAGAAAAAACCCAAGTGTGCTTCAATAGGTAAATGGAGAAACAAACTATGGTACATTCGTCAGTGGAATACTACTCAGCAATCAAAAGAGATGACCCATTGACACACACAACTTGGATAAATCTCAAATTCATTATGCTGACTGCAAGAAACCCCTGGCCTCAGTTTCCTCCTCTATAAAAATGTGGGCCTCAAGAAGGTCTCTTCCTGGCCGGGTGCAGTAGCCCACGCCTGTAATCCCAGCACTTTGGGAGGGCAAGACGGGTGGATCACTTGAGCTCAGGAGTTTGAGACCAGCCTGGCCAACATGGTGAAACCCCGTCTCTACTAAAAGTACAAAAATTAGCTGGGCATGGTGGCACACGCCTGTAGTCCCAGCTACTAGGGGGGCTGAGGCAGGAGGATCGCTTGAACCCAGGAGGTGGAGGTTGCAGTGAGCCAAGATCATGCCACAGCACTCCAGCCTGGGCGACAGAGTGTGACTCTGTCTCAAAGACAAAAAAAAAAGAAAGTCCCTTCCAGTTCCATGTCCACAGATTTATGATCCAAATCAGCTATACTCTGAGAAGGGAGCTGGAAGTTCAGTCTGGAACCTTCTGGGACTCCCAAAACTGTAGAAAGCTCTCAAATGTCTACTCAAAGTCAGGCCCAGTTTGTGGTCCAGGTACAGTCTGAATACATGGTATGGGGCAGGATGGGGCCAGCGTGGGTAGGGAGAGTGAATCCAGGGCTGCTCTCTATTGTTGGAGTCTTCTAAAGCTCTCATATAACTGAGTATAACTCATTTAAGGCTAGGGCTTTGCAAACAATGGACCGACACCCTCTAAGGAGTAAAAAATTCAGCTGGTTACAACCAGCATGCTTTGTAATGAAATGGAATCAAATGGAATAGAGGAGAAACCATCAGAGTGTATAAGTAAGTGTAAATATTATTTCAGCAAGCTTTTATCTGGGGAGGAGGTTGTCATGTAAAACATTTGAAAACATTGAAACATTTGAAAATTAGTGAATATGTGGAGGGAGCGGGGTAGGAAAGAGGTGCCTTTCCAGGCCGGAAATAGCCTTGGGAGATGTTGAGAAACAGACCTGAATTAGAAGTGATCCCATGGCCCGAATCCCCAACCTGACCCTCTGCAAATGATCTGAGAATCCTTAAAAAAGGTAGGAGAAGAAGGGCTCTCATTCCCAGAAAACAGCCCTGGCCTCTTCCCTGAGTGCCCTGGGCACTGGCCCATGCAATAGCTTGGGTTTTCTCTGTGTGTGTGTGTGTGTGTGTGTGTGTGTGTGTGTGTGTGTGTCGTTTTGTTTTTTTTGTCTATTTGTTTGTTTGTTTTGAGACAGAATCTCACTCTGTCGCCCAGGCTGGAGTGCAGTGGTGCGATCTTGGCTCACTGCAACCTCTGCCTCCCTGGTTCAAGTGATTCTCCTGTCTCAGTTTCCCAAGTAGCTGGGATTACAGGCGTGCACCACCATGCCCAGCTAATTTTTTGTATTTTTAGTAGAGATGGGGTTTCACCATGTTGGCCAGGCTGGTTTCGAACTCCTGACCTCAGATGATCCACCCACCTCGGCCTCCCAAAGTGCTGGGATTACAGGCATGAGCCACTGTTCCTGGTCCTGTGTTTTTTTTTTTTTTTTTTACTGAACAACTCACCTCACCATCTTGGCGCCAGCCACTGTGCTTTGCATAGCCTTGATATTTCCAAGATTCAAAATGTTTCAAACAGGATTTTAGTGACACAATTTGCAATTCTCACTCCAAATAGATTTTATGTATACATCGCCTGCAGGGGAAGTAATCCCTGCTGATAAAGTCTGCACTTCAAAGCTTCCTGCCTTATCTTCAGGTAAGGGAATTGTTAGAAGGATGTGTGTTAGTAATTACTCAGTCTTTGGGGTAGGCAGGAAGTTTGTGGTATTGCTATCAGCTTTACATTCCTATTCAGGAGCTAGGTAAGTATTCTTCCTCAAGGAAGACCCTGAGGTTTAGGAGGTTAATTTTAACACACAGCCAATAAATGGTGAAAGGGGATTTGAACTCTGGTTTGCCTGGTTTCAAAGTCTAAACCTTTTCCCCTACAGTTACCTCTTTTATTACTGAGTGAGCAACCCCACTTCCTATGAAGCTGAATCTACTTCATTTTGAGCTGTTTTTTAAAAAATGTTCCTACCGTTCTCCCAGCTGAGGAGTTCAAATTATTCTACAGTGCAATAGCACAAACTAGTGTTTCACATGCTATGGAATTCTCAATGAACTGGGTTCATCGGTGAGTGTTGTATTTAGTAGGAATTGAAAATCATATAGGATGACTGTTCATTTGATCAGCTTCTTTGAAGAGACAGTAGGAGAAATAATTGCACAGAGACCAGGCATAGAGAATGTTGCTTGACACGAATACTGGAATTCTAAAGCTAGATTTCCAATATGTGTTAGATCAAAATAGTTTATATAAGAAAATATTTCCAGCCCAGGCATGGTGGCTCACGCCTGTAATCCTAGCACTTTGGGAGGCCGAGGCGGGCAGATCACTGGAGGTCAGGAGTTCGAGACCAGCCTGGCCAACATGGTGAAACCCTGTCTCTACTAAAAGTACAAAAATTAGCCGGGTGTGGTGGCGGTCGCCGGTAATCCCAGTTCCTCAGAAGGCTGAGGCAGGAGAATAGCTTGGCCAGGAGGCAGAAGTTGCAGTGAGCCGAGATCTTGCCACTGCACTCCAGCCTGGGCGACAAGAGCGAGACTCTGTCTCAAAAAAAAAAAAAAGAAAATATTTCCAAAATTATAACCAAAATCATTAGTAGAGTATGATTAAAACACAATTCCTTTTAATAGAGCTTTTTCATGGCCACACCAACTGCAGAAAATTAAGTCAAGTTATATCAACCCTTTATATATTTATGAGTGCTTATAACATACTGGAGGCTGGGTGTGGTGGCTCACACCTGTAATCCCAGCACTTTGGGAGGCCAAGGTGGACAGATCACCTGAGGTCAGGAGTTCGAGACCAGCCTGGCCAAAATGGTGAAACCCTGTCTCTACTAAAAATACAAACATTAGCCAGGCATGGTGGCAGGCGCTTATAATTCCAACTACTCAGGAGGATGAGGCAGGAGAGTCACTTGAAACCGGAAGGCGGAGGTTGCAGTGAGCCAAGATCACGCCACTACGCTCCAACCTAGGCAAAAGAGCAAAATTCTGTCTCAAAAAAAAAAAAAAAAAAAGCACACTGGAAATAAAATGTCCTTTGAAGATCTAACTCTTTGAAAGCCATTATGCACTCTTACATGAGTGTCATTTTACTTTGGCTAATTTTTGGCTTCTGAGATCATACATTTTCCCATTTTCCTCTGAGATAAGCCAGACTGAAGAAGCTTAATTTTTCATCTTTCAGAAAATCGATATATATACATTGACCTACTGTGCTAAGTAACTGATAAAATTTTGGAAATTAAGTATCCTCACTCCATCCACACAGCATTTTCAGGCCTCTGTGCCATTCACTATGACTGACTCATATTTCATGACTCAGTGTGATGGGAAGGGAGACATCCTGAAGAATGAAATGGGATCGAAGGCAGAGTGCTTATTTCAGACACCCCTTCTCCCAAGGATGTATTGCTTTGTCCTGAAATTGGAATAATTAAAGGAAGAAAGGAATATGGCACAGAACTTGTTCTAGGCCACGTACGTTAGCCAATATCCAAGGCAACTTCCTTTAACCAACGTGATTGTCCATTAACAGGCAGCACTCCACAAAGCATTCAAACATGATCTATGTCAAGGTAATTTCTTGGGCACAATTTGTCTAAGAATTACATTGTGGGAAAAGGGCCAAACTAACTCTTTATGTCATTGGGACTTAATTTCACAGGTAAGGAGAAAAATTAAGGGGTCCACAGCTGATCGTTGAAGATAGAAATCCATCTCAAAATCATCATTGGTGTAAAAGTACCATTCCACCACTAGACAAACCTATATCACACATCCAAAAATACACTATGTTAAAGTAGCGTTCAGTTAAATTCACAACAATCACTTCTTTACCAAAGTCTCAACTACCCATCAGCTGAAACTGCCTCTGGAAAGGCTACTAATAAACTTTAAAAAGTTTTATAAAGCTGGGCATGGTGGCAAGTGCCTGTAGTCCCCCACACTCAGGAGGTTGAGGCAGGAGAATCACTTGAGCCCAGGAGGTTGAGGCTGTAGTGAGCTATGATCATGCCACTGCACTCTAGCCTGGGTAACAGAGCTGGTCAAAAAAAAAAAAAAAAAGAAGTTTTATGAAACTCATCTAATCAGGTGGAGACTCCAATTGGAAGAGTGTTCCTCAGTAGAATTTTGGAGAGAGAGGTTGTGGAAATAGAATTTGAATCTCAGTTAACTGTAGGAATGTTATATGAAATGTAAAATTTTAGAAATTAAAAGTCTGAGTTGTGGGTGAATAGTCCGGGAAACCAGCCCAAGCCACAAACAAAACCAGAACTTCCCTCGGTGGCTTGCCAGATCGGTGTAAACCTCCCATTTCATCCTTTTCAACCAAAGAGAGGCCATCCTGTAACATACAAGCATGGAGTATTCCATTAAATGTCCATCCTCACATAGTCACGTGAAGTCATCTACACTTCTGCATTCCCCTTTATGTATACCCACATGCCTGTATCCAAGCCTGATTGGGAAAGTACAGTGAAATTAATTGAGGACCCCTTGTCACATCTTTCTAAAATGTGACATAAGATGAAATAAGGGTAAAATTTTTACCAGATCAAAATAATAATTCTAATTAACGAATTTATTAAAAAAGTATCAGATCTGGGATAGAGTTTCCAGTATAGGAGTATGATCAGTGACTTTCCCGTAGGTCACCTCCAAGTGATTTGGACCTTGTATACTTAACAACATGAGCTCAAATCCAAGTGTGGGTCTCCAAGACCCAAGCGATGATTCCTGTTTCCAATAGTTGGCTTTACAGCTTGAGTGATTTACCAAGATTTGTGGTTATATTCAACTCTCCCTTTCTTTTTTCTCTTCTCTCTTTATCTCCTTTGATCTAATGCAGACCTCTCAACTAATACAAGCCTCTGCCTTATGGCATCAGGGAGAAGACAACCTTATCAAGATAGCTCTGTTAGTTCAAGAATTACTACGTATGCATTGAATTAAATCTATTTCTTCAAAAAATAAAATGACCTTTTTTCTCTGCAGGAAGTAGAATTATTGGCTCTTTTGCAAGGGAGATCATGATAGCAGCAGACCTGTTCAGGAAGGGCTAAGAACACTTTCCTGGAATTTTAAAAATTCTCTTTGGAAGTGCCGGACTATTTTTGTACATATTTCTTCCACAGTCACCACTATCCCGAAAGATTATCTCTGATCTTAATCCTAATTCCCAAAGGCACCTGGCCAGTTCTGGCCATCTAGATAAGAAACTGGCAGGGCTCTCTAAACGTTTTTTCCCCTAAGGCACACTTAAGTCAACATGCAAGTTTATCTTCTGGAGTCCGCAACCTGAGCTTGCAACTCCTCCTTTGCACTTCCTTCCTGGTAGTTTAGAGGGGTAACATCTAGGTGAAAGTATGCCCGATTGCCCTTTTTTCTTGTTTGTGTTTTTTGGTTTTTTTTTTTTGAGACAAGAGTCTTGCTCTGTCGCCCAGGCTGGAGTGCAGTGGCGTGATGTGGGCTCACTGCAAGCTCCATCTCCCGGGTTCACGCCATTCTCCTGCCTCAGCCTCCGGAGTAGCTGGGACTACAGGCGCCCGCCACCACGCCCGGCTAATTTTTTGTATTTTTAGTAGAGACGGGGTTTCACCATGTTAGCCAGGATGGTCTCGATCCCCTGACCTCGTGATCTGCCCATCTCGGCCTCCCAAAGTGCTGGGATTACAGGCGTGAGCCACCGCGCCCAGCTCCCTGTTTTTCTCAATATTTGCATTTCACTAACTTCGGTTGCTGACCCCAGTGATGTACAACTGAAATGTCCACTTCCACTGAAGTTCCTAGACTGGCCATTAAGAAATGCAGCTTTGGGGCCACCATTTTGGGAGGCCGAGGTGGGAGGATCACCTGAGCCCAGGAATTTAAGACTAGCCTGGGAAACACAGAAAGACCCCATTGCTACCAAAAAAAAAAAAAAAAAAAAAGAAGAAGAAGAAGAAGAAAGATAGAAAGAAAGAAAGAAAAAAGAAAAAAATAATAACTGGATATGGTGGCATGCACCTGTAGTCCCAGCTACTGGGGAGGCTGAGGTGGGAGGCTGAGGTAGGAGGATCACCTGAGCTCAGGATGCCAACCAAGGCTGCAGTGAGCCTTGATCACGACACTGCACTCCAACCTGGGGGACAGATTGAGACCCAGTCTCAAAAAAAATGCAGCTTTGGCCTTTGGATCTGGACACATTATTGCAGCCCAAGTGAAATACAAAAGACACATAGGGCACCCAGCCTCTCCTCGCCATCAAAATAAGATGAATAGAAGTTGCGTATTTCCTGTGTAACATCCTGTGTCTTCTCTAAATCCACTGTAGGCATAGAAGGTCCATTTTACTCACAGAAAACTGAAAGACCAATAAAGTGAAGTAGATTGGCTAAACAATTGTGTTTTTTGTTTGTTTGTTTTTTTGAGACAAAGTTTTTCACTCTTGTTGCCCAGGCTGGAGTGCAATGGCATGATCTCAGTTCACTGCAACCTCCACTTCCCAGGTTCAAGCGATTCTCCTGCCTCAGCCTCCCAAGTAGCTGGGATTACAGGCGTGTGCCACCACGCCCAGCCAATTTGTGTATTTTTAGTAGAGACAGGGTTTCGCCATGTTGGGCAGGCTGGTCTCGAATTCCTGACCTCAGGTGATCCACTCGCCTCGGCCTCCCAAAGTGCTGGGATTACAGGTGTAAGCCACCGTGCATGGCCTACTAAACAATCTTGAATGTTGCTCCTGGCTCTAAAATGTCAGAGTGTCTCCAGTTACACAGTGTCTCTAAACTACTAAAACTTGAGTTAGTCAATAAATAATCTGAGTGGACCATGTGTATTTAAAGAAAATAAGGAGACCCAGATCCTTTCCCTATGAATCTCAATCTCATGTCAATTACAATGCATTGCATTACTGAGTACCCACCAGGTGCTAGGACATGCATCTCCTTTCCCTTCTCCAGCAGTTCTCAATTTTCACTGTACATCAGGATCACCTGGGGGAGCTTGGAAAAAGACTGATGTTCAGACTGCCCATGCCAAGACTTCAATTGATTTAGGGCAGAGTCTGTTGTAAAAATTAGCCCAAGTGATTCTAATACGGAGCCAACATTGAGACTTCCATAGCTAAGTCCGTCACCACCACCATATTCTGTGGCAAATTCCAACAGGCAGAATTTACATAAGTGGCCTCTATTTCCTTTCATACCAGAGAAGGTGAGACCGGGAATTAAGTCATATTCTCAGTCCAGGGGGTAAATGGAAGTTAGGATTAGGGGTAAAGAGTAAGAAAAAGAACAAAGAAGACAGAAGGGAATTAAAATGCTTTGTGCTTGTTATCTCATTTAATCATAACCACCACCCCTCAGATAAGCAAACCAAAGCTCAAGGGATTCAACAGTTCTCCAGATCACTCAGCCAGTAAGCAACAAAACAAGAATTTAAACCAGCCTCTTACCCCAAAACCTAGGTTCTACTCATGCTACCCTCCTCATCCTGCAAGTCTAACTTCAAGCTCCGGTACCATAAGCAACACCTCCTGTCTTCATTATCAACCAGATGTGAATCTGGGTGCCAGTGGTCACATCCCCCAAGTCCTGTCTCCTTGTGCAATCAATATTCAAAAATGTCTCCTGCTCACATTTGGCCTTCTTAGTCTTAAATACTGTATTAGTTAGGATTAGGTTCTACTCCATGGAACAGAAAATACAAAATGAGTGGCTCAATTAAGGTAGTTCTTTCTCATGTAAAGGAAGCCCAAAGGTAGGCGGGTCCAGGGGATTCGGCAGCATCAGGGACCTGTGCTGCTTTCATTTTGTCATTCTGCTTTGCTCAATCATGGCTTCCTCCAGGTGCAGGGTAGCTTCTTCAGTTTCATCCAATCTGACTGGTGGTGGTGGCTTATGCTATAATCCCAGCACTTTGGGAGGCCAAAGCAGGAGGATCACTTGAGGCCAGGAGTTGGAGACCAGCCTGGGCAACATAGTGAGGCCTTGTCTTTACTAAAAATTTTAAAAATTAGCCAGGCTTGGTGATGCACACTTGTAGTCCCAGCTACTCAGGAGGCTGAGACAACAGGATTGCTTGAGCCCAGGAGATTGAGGCCGCAGTGAGTTATGATTGCACCACTGTATTCTAGCCTGGGCTACAGAGTAAAACCCAGTCTCAAGAAAAAACAAGACAAAAACAACCATAAAAAAAAAAAAAAAAAGATGCTTCTGTAAGCCACACACACTCACCAGTTCCACTTACATTCCAGTGGCCATAACTTAGCCACATGGCTACAGTTAGCCAGCTGGGGAACAAGGCCTTTATTACAGGCGGCCATTTGCCCAGGCAAAAAAGGGGGCTCTTTTACTAAAGAAGAGAGGGACAGGACAGGAACAGTTAAGTCTCAGTCATGGTTTGCTGCCTGGCACTCCAGTGTTCCCCTCTAGGACTGCAGCCGTAACCTGGACACCATCAGCCTCGCAAGTCCAGGAGCCTGATTTACTCACTCTCCTTGCACCAGCTTCTCTTGCCAGTCCCACAGCTTTTCCCTTCATGTCAGACTTCCGGGTAATAATGTACCATCAGCTTCTGTGCCTTTTGCTACTGGGCTCCACGGCTCCACCTTCCTAATTGAGAAACCCGGTACTGAAAACTTGTGGAATCAGGACTGAGTCCCTTTAGATGCTGTGCCTTGAACTACTGACCTCCTGACCTCCTGGCCTCTGCCATTGGTTTTTTTTTTTTTTTTTTTTTTTTGAGACAGGGTGTCACTCTGTCGTCCAGGCTGGAATGCAGCCTTGACTTCCTAGATTCAAGCAATCCTCCCACCTCAGCTTCCTGAGTAGCTTTAACTACAGGCACACACTACCATGCTTGACTTATTTTTTTATTTTTATTTTCAGTAGAAATGAGGTCTCACTATGTTGACCAGGCTGGTTTCGATCTCCTGAGCTTAAGGGATCCACCCACCTCAACCTCCTAAAGTGCTGGGATCACAGGCATGAGCCATCGTTTCTGGCCCTGGTTTCCCATTTTTGAGTCAGCTTTTAGCTAAGTTGATTTTACTTTCTGGGCCAGGCAGGGCTAGAAGCCCTAACCCAGTATCTGACATATCGCCCCCACAGCATTATATTCATGCCATATGGCTTTCCATGACTCCAGCTGAAGCTGTAACTTCATGGGAAAGAAGTTGGGCAGCTAAGTCAGACTGCAACAGAAAGATTCAAGGGCATAGGGTAAGACAGCCCGGACTGGAGTCTTCGATTCCCTACTTAATAGCTGTATGACCTTTCTGGGCTTTCCACTTCATCTCTTTTTTTTTTTTTTTTTGAGACGGAGTTTTGCTGTTGTTGCCCAGGCTGGAGTGCAATGGCACAATCTCGGCTCACCACAACCTCCGCCTCCCGGGTTCAAGTAATTCTTCTGCCTCAGCCTCCCGAGTAGCTGGGATTATAGGCATGCGCCACCATGCCTGGCTAATTTTGTATTTTTAATAGAGACAGGGTTTCTCCATGTTGGTCAGGCTGGTCCCAAACTCCCAACCTCAGGCGGTCCGCCCACCTCAGCCTCCCAAAGTGCTGGGATTACAGGCATGAGCCACTGCACCTGGCCTCCCCTTCATCTCTAAAATAGAAATAACAATTTTTATTTCACATAGCTGTGGTGAGAATCAATATGATCATGTATGTGGAAATACTCTAAACAGTGTAAAGCTGGCCAGGCACAGTGGCTTATGCTTGTAGTCCCAGCACTTTGGGAGGCTGAAGTGGGCGAATCACTTGAGCCTAGGAGTTCAAGACCAGCCTGGGCAACATGGCAAAACCTGGTCTCTACCAATATACATATATACATACTCTCTCTCTCTCTCTCTCTCTCTCTATATATATATATATATATATATACATATATATATATATACGTACATATATATATATATATGAACTAGTTGAGTGTGGTGGCACATGCCTGTAGTCCCAGCTACTTAGGAGGCTGAGGCAGGAGGATTGCTTGAGCTCTGAAGGTGAAGGTTGCAGTGATTGGAGATCACACCACTATACTCCAGCCTGGGTTCTGGGTGACAGAGCAAGTCATTGTCTCAAAAAAAAAAAAAAGTGTAAAGCCCACCATAGGAGACAAGGGTCTCCTACTTTCCCTTTTGTCTCTAGGCACCCTCCCCCAGAGTTTTTCAGGATCTCCCATCCTATCCCCTTTCTATTCTGTTTCCTCAGCCTCTTTCCTTGCAGCAGTTACTGTCTTGCCTTTCCTACACTCTTTTACAGGGCTTTGCAGGAAAAAATTAGAACTGTTGACATAGGAGGGTCTAGATGAAGAAATGGGTGCTCCATTGGATCAGAAGGATCACTCATGCTGATGATCAGAGCAAACAGGTGCTGTCCTAAGCTCTTCATAAATATAAAACCATATAAGCCTCAGAGCTGTTATATAAAAGGGGTCTGGGCAGCAGCCTCTAAGACAGTCCCCAGTGATCCCTGCCTCCTGGATTTGATGCCTTCTGTAATCCCCTTTCCTTTAGTGTGGGCTGGATCTAGTGACTCACTTCTAACAAATATAATATGGCATAGTGATGGAAAGTCACTTCCAAGATTAGATGACCAAAAGAGTGTAGCTTCTGTCTTGGGTGCTTTCTCCCCCCTCCACTCTCACTCTTGCTTACTCAGTCTGAGGAAAGACAGCTGCCACTTTATAAGCTACCCTATAGAGAGGCTCATATGGTAAGGAACAGAGAAACCTCTGGCCAACCACCAAGAAGGAACTGAGGCCTTCAGCCAAATAGCCCACCAGCAAGGAACTGAATCCTGCCAAACAACCACATGAGTGAGCCCGGAACATATCCTCACCCAGCTGAGTCTTTAGATAAGACCACAACCCCAGTGGAATAGCCTGGAGCCAGGGACACACAGCTAAGCTCACTAGATTCCTGACTCACAGAAACTGAGACATGGTTTAGTGATTTAAGCATCATTGCCTTCCTTGAGGCTAAATGCCCATCACCCAGAAGCTTGAAGAGTCCCAGCCTAGCAGCCGAGTTTCCTGATTGGTGGATTCAGAAAGTAATGTTTCAAAATTAGCTAAAGAGTAAACTTCCTAGGCCGGGCACAGTGGCTCATTCCTGTAATCTCAACACTTTGGGACACCAGGGTGGGAGGGTTCATTGAGCCTAGAAGCTTGAGACCAGCCTGGGTAACACAGCAAGACCCCATCTGTACCCCTCAACCAAAAAAAAAAATTATCCAGGCATGGTGGCATATGCCTGTGGCCCTTGCTACTCGGGAGACTGAGATGAGAGGATCACTTGAGCCTGGGAGTTTAAGGCTGCAGTGAGCCTTGATGGGGCCACTGCACTCCAGCCTGAGCAACAGAGCAAGACCCCATCTCAAAAAGAAAAAGAGAGAGAGAGAGAGAGAGAGAAATTCCAACTACTGAAAGAATATATAAACCAAAAATTGGCAATATTAGATGCATACAACTTGGGCCTCCTAGTCAAATTCTGCAACCCTTACCCTTTTGTTCTCTGCCAAATCACCAGGATTCAGGAGGGGACCTTCTCTCTACTCTCCTACATAGTATCTCTGTTAAGGAGCTACTTCTGCAGTATTTATCCACTGACTTCCTTGCCAGTTCAACAAGTTCTTCACAGCTTTTGTCAATGCCTTTACCTTTACCTCCATAGTTTCTCTACCCTGTACATACATACCCATCCTATTCTATTCTCTTTGAAGTTCTTTCTCTTTCATCTTTTGTTATAAAACATTATATTTGAGAATAACAGGGGAATATGAACTGATATTCTGCTCTCAGTTAAAAAATACATACTGCACCATGACTGGTGCAGAGTAGGCCCTCAGATATTTGCTAAATAAAATTCTTTTTGACTGCATCCTGCAAGGTTTAGGGGAGACAGAGCATCTTATAAGGTGTTCAGTTCCCTAACTCTGGTGGGAAGCTGGACAAAAGAAGAAATGCTGTACATCATCTACATCAAGCCCCATCTCCTTTCTCTTACACAGTAGAAAAATGAAGCTGGGAGAATAATGTAATAAAAATTCTACAGTGATTTAGGGGCAGAACCCAGACTAGAAACCACATCTTCTGTCTTCTAATCCAATGCTAATCCCATGTAGGCACAAATTGCCAGATGCATGACATGTAAGGACTGGGAGGCAGGGGATGGCCACCCCTCCTCAAAAGGGGGCCTTTGGTTCAGACCCCAGATGCTCCATGTCTGCCCTCCAGCCAACTACTCCGAGGGTTTGACCTCCACACCTCATTGGGGCTGACTTCTATGTGGATTTTCTGTTTGACATGTGGAAGAGTTAGACCTGTCCTGGCATAGCAGGACACCCTGAAGAGGGAGACTAGACCTTGCCTCCTCTTCTACCCCGGGGCTCCTTGCAGACTGTGCTCCCATCTCCCTCCAGGCTCCAGTGAGCCAGGCGGCTCCAGCGCAGGTCTCTGCACCGCGCGGCTTCCAAGCGCCTTGATGAGACGTGTTTAATCTTCCACCCGGATTATTTAACCTCCGCATCCTTGTTAACAAACAGCCATTATTAACGAGATGGTAGACCACATGGGGTGGGTTTGTACAGACAATGAGAGCTCCCTAGGCCTTTCTGCGAGCAAATTCATAATCCTCAGCGACTCAGCCGGCCCGAACCCTCTTACACAGAAAACTGAGTCGAACCCGGTGGTCTGGGCCCTTCCCCACGACCCCCGGGGCTGGAGGCTCCGTCCTCTGCAAACAGCTGCATCTCTCCCTTTCTTCCCTGCCTCCCACTCTCTTTCGCTCTCCCAAGGGGTGGCCACAGTGTGTTATAAATTTTACCTTTCCAGTGTGCAGGAGAGGCGAGAGGAGGCTCTGTCCCAGCTCCGGGCCTGCCTGTCTCCGAGGACACCAATTAAAGGCACTAATTGGACAGCAATACATCAAAGTCGCTCCCGGGAGTGAGTCCTCAGAGCACCAGGAATCCGTTAGTTGGGCTTTTGTTTCAAACACAGAAATACAGAGGAAAACACACACACACACACACACACACACACACACACACACACACACACACCTCTACGCGGGCAAGAGTAGGGCTCGTGCTGTGCCGCGTGGGCTCCTCTGTCTCCGCGCTCGCTGGGAGCCTCTCCCTCTCCTCTCTTTTTCCGGCTCGGCACATCAAACGATCGTTCCCGCTTCTCTGTTCTGAGTTCACCTCACTTACTTCTCCAAAGAGTGCCGCCTAGAAGGCCCACTCTTCTGGGACACGCACACTAACAGAGCCCGCGTAGACGCGGCACGCGGTTTTACCCAAGAGCGCCAGTTTCGGGAGAAACAAAACCACCTCCCCGCGCACATCGTTCTGGTCTTTCCCTAAACAGGTTGAGGGAGGGCAAGTAGACACCTGGGGAGGCACCTGTCGCCTGGACTCAACTGCACGGGGTCCTCACGAGGCTCCCGGACGCCTGCGGGAGGAGGGCGACAGAGGGGAACTGGCCTCACCCAGGAGGGGTTATTTCAGGATACAGAAAGGGACACTTCGATGGGGGAAGGAAAGGATTCTTCTCTGAGGGAAGTAGACGCTGCTCACAGGCCCAAGGGCCCCCAGAGGAGCCAGCCATGGAAAGGGCTCCGGCCCAGAGGGACGTGAAGCGACCCGGGCGCGCTTCCCGTCCCCAAATGGCAAGCGGCGGGGGTCGGGGAAGCTGTGGAAACGAGGTTCTTTCCCCGCCATCGGCTTAGAAGGAAGGCCAAGCCTCCAGAGTCCAGAAGCTACCAGCAACCTGTGCCGCGCTCGCAACGAGGCCTTCCGACTTCAGCTACAAAGGCCTCAGCGCCCTGTGGGTCAGACCCAGGCCCGGGGGTACGAGCCCCGTACGGGGAGGGACGGAGACCCGGGCACAAACTGGGACGTCCTGCAGTCAGCGTCCGGGGGCTCGCTGTTCCTCGGCTTGCCCAGCCCGGGCCACACGCGCCCGCTGCCTGCGCGAGGGAGGCGGGAACCTGAAGCCGGCGAGAGCGAGGCCCGGCCCGAGTCGCCACCGCAGCCACAGCCACGGCGCAGGCTGGCGCGCCGGGGACCCTCGGCCTCACCTGGGTCTTGGGGAGGTCAGAAGCGCCCCTAATCCTACAGGGCCACGCCCGCTCCTTTCCCTCGGGGAGCCAGATTGGAATGGCTGCTTTTGATCCCATTTGTTACCAACCCCGGCATTTGTTTTCCATTTTACAAACGCTTCCCTTTAAGTAATTGTCCCTGTTAACAGCGTATACCTTTCAGCAGCGCTCACTGCGCTATAAATAATCTCGATGAAGACGCAAGGATATGACTTTCACAAGATTGGACAATTGATTCAATCTGTGACCCGCGATGGCGAATAATATTGGAAGGCTATTTAAACAGATGAAGGCCTAAATTGTCTTGCTTGTATCTGAATTAATTTCTCATTCATCATCATTATGAAGTGATTGGTCTATTCAAGCTCTTCAGCCTGCTGGAACGGAACGGGATTTAAATGAGATTGTAACACAATTTAAATGCTTGCCGACTTTAACGAGGCCAATTGAGCAGCTGCAATAAATATAAATATTTTTCTAAACAGCCGTGTTTTAAATTATTACTTAATGCTTTCATGTTTTTTTAAGTGGCAGTCTTTCTCTCCCTCCTGCTCCTGCTCAGAATATCACATACTTATTTGCTGAAAAGGTGATTTTGGAAACAACTTTGTGTTTCTGTTTGCTTTGTAGACAGTAGGATATGTTTTGTGATTGGGTTTTGTTTTGTTTTGTTTTGTTTTGTCTTTTTCTCAGAGTCAACATTTCCAGGGTCCCTCAAGCTGGCACAAATGGTGAGCTGAGCCTTAGTTTCACCCTAAAGCAGTCTTCTGTGCTGCCCCCGCAGAGCTTGGGAGGAGCTGAGTGATGGAAGAAATTTGTCGTTTGGATCTAGTCACTTATCCAGACGCAGTTTAGCTGGGTTTTGCAAATGAATCCGTGTTATTGCACTTACAAATGACACCCTGAAGAGTGGCATTGTTTCTGATTTGTACTGATGACCGTCATCATCTTGAACAAATCAGAATTCCAACATATCCCAAAGGTATCCCTTAGAAAGCTCAATCTGCTGGCAGTTTGGCTTCCTGCAAATCAAAAGGAGTAGGTGGAGGCTGACTGAGGATTTCTTTATTAGGGAAGGGGCACAGAAAGAGAACTTTGCCATAACAAATGGTGGCAGGATGGTGGAGGAGGGGGTTGATAATTAGAGAAATGCCAATTTTGTGGCCTCAACCTCCTTTCTCTCCTATCTGTAACCCCACTCCTACTCTTTCCTCTACCATTCTTGGGTGATGATGTATGGAGAGGATGCTAAGATCCCTACTTTGAGAATGCCATCCGTCTGGACACCTTTGGCGGCAACTGTCCACCGCGACACTCACGCTTATTCTCCGGCGGACATATGGTGGCTGGTGTTTCCGCAGTTGGGGAATAATGGAAGCAACCAAGCGGGAGAAGCCTGAGGAACAAAAGAATCTTTTAAACTTTAGTGAAAGGGCCGGGGTTGGGGATGTGGGGGGACACTCGACTTACTGTGAGGACCTGAGCCCAATTTCGGGGTGACTGTCTAAGGCCATGTCCCCCCCGAAAGGCCTAGGGCAAGGAGATGCATTCTGAATCTCTTCTCCCTCAATCCCTGGTCGAGGGAGAGGGACTTCCTGTCTGGAGAGTGCGGGTGCAGGGTTTGAAACTAGGAAGGTGGAGTCAACATAATCACTAAAGAAACCGTTCGTGGGGCATGCCACATTGGGAGACAGGATCAAACTGTAGGACAGAAAAAAAAAAAATACGGACAAGGATGCAGAAACCAAGTAGCGATTTGCTATGTAACTGAGCAATTTAATGCCATAGTTAGGGAGCTGCTAGCCAGAATCATTTTGTCTTCAAGGCTCTGCGGAGCTCATCCTCTTTATCCTGTTGTTTAAAATGAGCATTATCCCAAACATATGCAATGCAATCAGTTTGGTCACACTTACAAGAACACGCTTTAATAAGGCAATCAATCACACGCTAACAAGCCAGCAATTGCCGGGGGCCGGTGCACACTCGGGCTGCGGGGTGGCCAGCCTTGCCCAACTGGGCGAATCTGGGCTGGGCGCTGGACCGCGCTCCCAGGCCCTGCCGGCTGGCCGGGATTGAAGAGCCCTGGGAAAGCGTGAGTCGGGAGTGAGGTGTCAGGCTTCACTGGGGGTTACCTCAGAATCTGTGCCCCAGAACAGGGTAAGAGAAGAGGAAGTGGGAGCCCGGAGCTCATAGCTACATCGGCCACTAATAGCTGTGTAGACCTGGAGCCTCCGTTTTCCCTCCTGCAAAATGGAACCGAGATGAGGCAAAGCTAAGTAGAGACACTGAGAGAGTTGAAAAATGAAAACAACATCATGCTAGGCCCTGGTCTAGCCTTCTCATTTTACAGATAAGGAGGCTGTGATTGTGAAGGGGCAGTATCTTCTTCAAGTCAACTCCCACTTCCTCCCTGCCACCACCCAAATGGAACGTGTCATGCCAGATGGGGTAGCCTGATGCAAGTGGGCTAAGAATATTTGGGGGGAGAGGGGGAGTGAGAAGTCGTGCCTAGCGCCAAACCGCAAACCTTGGCAAAAGGGAAATTTCATTATGAAGTAATGAGTAATTCCTCCTGGCAAGATGTATTGTTATATCTTCCACTTCAATTTGGAGGAAGAGAGGCTCAATTACCCAGAAAATACAGTCAATTAAAGGCTGCTGATTGGACACGAAGCTGGATCATCGATCTTGTACTTTCCAATATCTCTGCAGACACCTCATTTTCCCTCCCTATTAACTGAAAATACGCCTGGCATTAAGGCAACATGCAGCCCATTTACCTGTCGCAAGCAATCTCTGCCCAATATGGAGCAACTGCAAAATTTACCAGGATTTGGCACTCAGGAGCTTTTGGCTGCAGGAGAGGGGGTGCTGGAAACCTCAGGGCACAATTTGCTTGGGAGGGCACCTGCTACTGTGTGCAGGAGGATTTGCTGTGGAACCCAAGGAGGGAGGAGGGCATTTGAGGAGTCTCTATGTGCTGGCAAAGACAGTGGCAGAGGACTCCTCGTGTCTATGCAATCCAGAGCCTCCTGGACTCCCAGAAGGCACCCATCTCTCCCCTGCTTAAGTGGAACTCCACAACCAGCCACATTTGGCTCTCCTGTGGGGGATGCAGGTGCGGGCTGGAAGGTAGCTGCTGAGCACTCCTTTCCTCTTGTCCTAACCCCTCAGAATCCCACCCTCAAGATGACTTCCAGTATGAGGACAATTCAGACCAAGATGATCCCAACCAAGGAGCCTTCCTCCCTGCTGTCCTCCACCCTCAAGTGCAGACCCAGTTTGACCAGAAAACTCAGGTCTCTGCAGTACTCAGGCTCTACTGCCACTGCCCCACTCACCTTCCCTTTGGGCTGGGGTGGAGGCAGGTTGCTCAGAGACCACAACCTGGGTCCCCTTTCTGTTGCTCAAAGGATTGGAACAACTGGAGAAGAAACCACAGGGGTGGGCCCCTGGCAGCACTCTGCTGCCACTTTACCAAGGAACTGTTCCCAACATACCCAAAATTAAGGAAACATGCACCCCAGGGCAGCTTGGAGCCTGTCTTCTCCACCTCCATGCAATGGCTGCTTGGAGCCTACCAGTGACAAACAGTGGCTTGGAAGACTCTGTGGGTCCATCTTTTGGTTCCTTCCCTATTCGAACCCATGGTGGCTGAAATAGCAACTTTAAAATTCAGTTAAGAGCTGCCTGCTGCCACAAAAACTAAAATGTAAAGTGAGAATTATGTCCAGCTTTTATTGCAATATGGTTAACGAATCATAACAGCAAGTTCTTTGGGCTTCAAAGGAAAACCCCAAATCAAACCAAATTCATTCCCTACAGGAAGAACCACTCCCTCTCAGTCAGGGTGAAGCTTGCATTGGGGTTACACGTTCTCCTCTTCCTCAAAAACTGGCTGCAAGGATGAGTGTGGGAGTGAGGATTTGGGAGTGGCTCTAAACAAACCCTGGTGGAGGCCACAGACAGGGTCCCCAAAAGGGACAGAAGGCTCCCACTGGTATCTGAAAGTCAAGCTCCAGTGGTAGCTTGGGAAGAAAATGAGAGAAAGTTGTAAAATACCCAATGCAAAGGGTAGGGCCAGAAAGTTCCTGGTGAAGTGAAGGTGAACAAGCAAAGGATGAAAATTGCCTCTAATTTACCGCCAGATACCGAGAGAGGGAGGTGAAGTTCCCACTCCCTAAGCTCTTCCCTGGGCGCCTTGTTAACAGCTCAGCTCTGGGGTCAGTGGCCAGCTCCATGGTGATCATTATTACACATTCAACATTCACAAACCCTCCTCGCACACATCACTTGCTAATCAGGGTGTGTGCTGGGCCCAGGGAAAAAAGGCTTGGCCTCATAGAAGCGGCAAAGGGCTCCTGGGGCATCTGCAGCCTCCCTGGCCAACAAAAAAGTGGGGGCAGGGAGAGATGGAGCCGCAAGTTGAGAAGTGTCACAAAGCTGGGAATGAGGAAAGAGATCAGGTGCTGGCAGACGCCAGACCCAGAAGATGCTGTGTAGTCGAGGCTCCAGGTCCCATGCCAAGGGGCTGGATTCTCCCTGGTAGTAAATCATCTCTCACTCTCTCCTCCAAATGACTGGTATGTTGCCATCCACCAGCCCCTTGTCATGCCTTGGAAAAGCTGGCAAAGATTAATCTCTACCTGCTCTGCATACACAGCATTTTGTTCAGAGAGACAGCAATTTCCCTTTCCAGTGCTTGGGCCTTGGCTGGGGAGAGGGGGCCCGGTGAGAAGGGAGTGTGAGGTGGAGGGTGAGGGGCCGAGGGGCCGAGGGACTGGATATTGGTTGCTGTTGCTGCTAAGTTTTGTTTAGCTTTGGAGCTACAGCCTCGACCCTGGTGGGGGGCGGTGGGTCCGGAGGCTGCCCCGGAGGAAGGTCTCTCAAGCTCTGCTTCCCTATCCCCACTCCTGCTCCCCAAACGCGCCAGCCACCGCCACTTCCTAGGCTTTCCAATTCTTGCGGCCGGATCCCGCTGGTCCTTTTCCGCCCTCTCCTTTCCCCCTTGGCGTCCTAGGGGCGAGGAGCGAGGAGCGAGGAGCGAGGCTGGCTGAGTCCCGGGGCCGGGGGGTGACCCCACGGGCGTCATGGAGCCGGCAGCCAGCCGGCGGCCCCTTATCTAGTGAGGGGCACCTCCTCCCTCTGGTCCAGCGCGACGGAGGAGGCCTTGCTGAGCACCGAGGGCGCGAAGGTGAGGAAGGAGTCCGAGCGGGAGGTGGAGGCACAGGTGAAGTCCGAGGCGGCGGCAGCCCGGGGCGCCAGCCCGTTGGCCGGGCCGCTGTGACAGGCGAGGCAGGAGCAGGGGCCGCCGGCAGAGGCGCCCAGTCCGTGCGCGGGCCCGGGGTAGAGCGGCGGGTGGCGGAAGGCGCACAGCAGTTCGGGCCGCGGGTAGGGCTGCGACAGCACGCGGAACGTGTCGAGCGGGCGCAGCGAGCCGCTGAAGGGCGAGGCGGCGGCGGAGGCGGCGGATGCGGCGCCCAGGCCCACCGGCGAGTAGTAGGGCAGGGGCAGGTGCGATGGGAAGGGGTAGGGCAGGCCGCCCGCGGCCGCCGCATGGCTCATCATGTAAGTGTAGAAGGCGGGGTCCGCCGGGTGCGGCCACGTCATGGCCAGGCGCTGCCGCTTGTCCTTCATGCGCCGGTTCTGGAACCACACCTGGGGAGAGGAGCGGAGCAGGTTCAGTAGCTGGACTTGGCCCGATGCTCAGAGGCCAGTAGTCTGGTCCCGCTCCGGGGACAGTGTTCGCAGGGCAGGAACAGCCAAAGCAGACACCAGCCGGGTAGAGACCGACCCCACCACCACCACCTGGAGCTGGAATCCCTCCGAGAGAGGTTTGGGGAGTGACTCCAGCCCGCTCCCTCCTTCCTTCTGCCCAGGTGGCCAGGCCCCCGGGGTGCCAGAGGCCAGTGTGTGTATGGGAGGAGCAGTGAAAGGACATGGACTCAATTGGTCTGCGGCCGCAGAGAGCGTGTCCCCAGAAACTTCCTTGTCACCCGCACAGGCACTCTATCCCCTTCCCCCACGCCCACCCCTTGTCTATTTAACCAGGAAAGGGACAGAGTCAGCCACATGGCAGCAATGCCTGCCTAGGAGCTGTCACGAGGGTCAATCTGCACGCGCCGGGCAGGGAGACCCCAGGCCCAGATTCCTGGCCTGCGTTTCAGGGAGTTGGCAGTTGGCATTTACTTCCCGCTAAATAGGTGCACACCCGCCTCCCCAGCCTGGACCCCGCATACCTTGATGGTGGTTTCCGGCAGGTTTAGGGCGGCCGCCAGCTCACATCTCCGCGGCCTGGATACGTAGTTCTCCCGGTAGAATTCCTTCTCCAGCCGCGCAATCTGCTCTCGGGTGAAGGCGGTGCGGTAACGACGCATCTGGTCACTGGCGCTGCACGCCAGGGTGCCTTGCGAGCCGCCCCCACCACTGCCGCCGTTGCTCTTGGGGGTCTCGCTCCCTCCGTTCGGACTGCCGACCAGCGCCTCGGAGCCGGACCCTGCACAGCGAGTCCAGAGCACAGGCGTGTACAGACACAGACACACAAACGCCATTGAAGTGGGGCTGTAGGCCTAAGGTGGGAGGGTGATTTGGGAAGGGACACCCTGTCAGCCACCTCAGTAACTGTTTCTGCTAGGGTACTGCGGCCTCTGGGGAACCCAAGAAGGGAAAATAAGGGCCTGCCCTTGATTGGGTAGGTAGAGGTCTTTGGGGAGGCCTTCCCTTCCTCTAAGGCATCCTGGGTACAGGGGTTCCCAGCCGCCCTTCCCACCTGCCCTGGAGCATAGGTGAGATTTCTGCCTCCCGTTGGCAGGGCGTGCACTTCTGACAGGCACATGAGTTGAGATGCACCTTTGTGCTAGAGGGTTGTAAACTCTGGGTCAAGTGCATTGTAGTATGCTGGGCATTCAGAGAGTTTCCTTGCTCTTATGTGTGACGGGCTGCCAGAACAGGTGTGGGAATGTGTACTAGGTTCCGTGTATTGCAGGGCTGGAGTGAGAATGCATGTTGAGTATCTTATTTATTACCTTAGTATATGTGAGTGGAGTCCAGGTTGTTCTGAGGGTTATGGGAAGGAGGCTGGGTGAAATCGGTGATAAGATAGTAAGGGGTAGGTGCAGGTATTCAACAAGGCGTTGGCTGCCAAGACCAGGGGGTGGTCTTTCTCCCCCCCGCCCCCAGGCTCTTTCCACCCACTCCTACAGTTCTGTGGAGGAGTGTCTGCTGGTGGGCTCCCCTCTCCTCCCCCCCACCAACCCGCGCCCAGTTTTCTACCCCCTTCTGGGGAGGTGATTGTTGGCACAGAGGGAAACTCCCTTCCGGGCTATCCACCCCTTTCCCATTAGCCTTTGGTGGGGAGGGGTTCTCCAGTTAAACCAGCCCCCCTTTGGGCCTACCTCTGAGAAGGGTGGGGCTCCAGCCCCCTGCAGCTCCTTTTCCTTTGGGTGGAGAAGTGGGACTAGGAAGGAAAGGGGAAGGGGGGAGGACCCGATCTCTGCCTTTTCAAATGCAACCGGAGACCAAAGGCAATTAGACCATTGGGACCATTTCCGACCTGGCGCCGCGAAGCCCGGGAAGTGACAAGGTAATTTGGACCTCTGACCGACGTGCAAACTGGTCGGAGGGCTGCAGCACCCGGGCTGCCCAAGTGGGCCGCAATTTTACGGTCCTTTATGGACTCCTGGCTTCCGCGCCTCCATGCCTCTTACACCCTGCCAGCCACAAACTGCCCGGATCGGCGTTTGATCTTGCCCTCGCCTGGGGAAAGTGTCTTCCCCGAGCAATTGAAGCATTCCCCGAGCAGTTGAAACACTGGGTGCTTGGGGTGAGCTTCGAATCCCCCAAGTCCAGGACTTGCATCCGCCCCCTCAGCACCCCGCACTCAAGGCACTGCTGTCACCCTCAGTCCCGCCAATGCCAGAACACAGTAGGAGACCCCCGCCAGAACGCAGATAGCAGAGAGAGTTGCTCAGGTGGGTCCCCCCAGCCATCCTGCCCTAGGGGAAGGGAGTGTCTTCCTCCTGGCCTGCGCCGAAGTGAAGGGTGGGCGCAGTGGGAGGCCCGGGGAGCGGAGGGGCACGGTGGCTACCTTTGCTGTGCTGGTACTCGGCGTTCCCGGTGGCGCAGTCCGGGGTGCAGCTCACCTCGATTTCTTCATAGAAATCCGACTCGGTGTCCGAGCTACTGGGTTGCCCCTGTCCGGAGAGGCTGTCGACTGAGGGGGCCGGGGGTCCTGGGCCGAGCATGGCCGCCCCAGCTACCTGGGGCTCGGCGCCCGGCCCCGCCGCGCTGCCTGCGAGTCCATCTACCGGCTCCTCCTCCGGGCCTCCCCCGCCGCGCTCCCGGGTGGCCGGAGGGACGGCCCGAGGGCTCAGGCAACCACGGGGCACCATTTTCTCGGGCGGCTCCGGCAGCGGGCTGCCCACGGCTTCGGACAAATTTGAGACTCTCTTGCCAACCAGAGTGCCAAGCTGACCCCCATCCAGAAACACAACCATGTCCTTTCGGCTCTCCATCCCGGGGCTCTCCGGTGGGGGAGGGGAAAGCCCCAAGTGAGTTCCTAACCCCGGCTCCCTGGGTCTCCAGCGGCCGGACGGATCTTGGTTGCAAGAGGGAGAAAGAAAGGCCGGGTGCCTGGGAGGGCGCGGAGCTGCTGGAGCGCGGTCTGGACCGCGACCGCGGCGGTGGCGGTGGGAGCTAGGGTCACCTTGTGAAGCGAGCGCTCCTCTGTGCCGCACCGCCTCTGGGAGGAAGCCCCATTGCCCTCTTCTTTCTAAGCTGTCATCCTCCTGCTGCAATCGTCATTACAGTACCGCTGGTGACGCCACTCGGCGAGCGCAAGTGGATAAATAGAAACGTCTGCCACAGCGAAGATGAAAGGAAACCCGCAGCTAATGGCTCGGCAGTGATGCGCCAGGTGTGGGCCTCGCTCGATTGGGGAGGAGAGTGTGAAAACAGACAGAGAGACACACACACTGAGAGAGGGAGACACCCAGGCAGAGGGGATGCAAATGGAATTCCGCAGAAAGAAAAGAGAGCTTAACGCGCGCGGCGAGTTCCGCAGGGGCAGCGGGACTCGGTAATTAAATAAGCTTTTGATTTTTTCTTTTATTGTTGTTTTGACTTTTGTTTTCTTAACTTGGTGCCTTGATCTAACACCGATGAAAGAATCCATAACTGCATTTTAGAAGTGTGAAGCCCGGCTTACAAGCCTCAATTCTGTCGGCATTATTACAACTGTCTGCCCCTGGCAGCTAACCTCAAACTGGCTGAAAAGTCTTTTTACAAGCTACGGAAAAATGTATTCCCCCGCCCCAAGTTGACTGGAGAGCTTGAGGCTGGGCCATCTTTTCCTCTTTTCTCCTCCCTCTCCCTACCCACCTCTGTCTCCTTACTCCTGCGAACCAAACTTTGCTATTTTTCTTCCCTAAGGGGCAAGAAATAAATACCTTATTATTATTTTTTAATTTAAAGACCCGCCTTGGCTTCTGTAAGAGTGTGTGCTGATTTCTTTTAAATACCTCCTTCCCATCTAGATGGCCTTAAGTTTTCCACAGCCTGGCTTCATCTTGAGATGGCTATTCGTACAAGAAGTCGCTTTCCCGTTTGCCTGGACCTCGCCTGCACTCCAGGTATGTTGGGTGGGGAGAGTTTCTAAGAGTTGTCTTTTTTTTTCCCTTGCCCATATTTTAAAGTATTCGTTCAGAATCAGCGAAGTCTCCTGGAAAGAGGTTTTTCGAATGAAGAGGCGCCAGGAATGCGGCCCCTGCTGTGGCAGTACTGGAGGCCCCTACTTGGGAGAAGGCAGTAGCTTTCACCGCGCTATTTTGGGCAGGGGTTCAGCCTCCCCGAGTACAAAAAGGTTGGGGTTCATAGAGGTTTGACTCATAAGGTCCTCTCCCAAGTCCCTGCCTAGGGGCAGTGGTACCTGTCTCCAAAAGTGGATGGCGTTTGAGGTAGAAGAGAGTGAAGTCGCTGAAAATGCCCTAAAACAGCAAGTAAGTAGGGACTCTGATGAAGGGCTGGAGGTGGGGGCAGGGGTTGTGGAACTTAATATCTGGAAGCTGCCATAGGCCTCTCTTGGCTCCTCTCCCAGGGAAGAAGCTGGTATAAAACTCCTTCAAACTGACCCTTTTTGAGCTCCAAGCAAGTGTGCTGGGGCCAGGTGGGTGGGCTGAGTCTATCCCCACATTGCTGAGAGCAGGAGGTGGGCACCTTCTATGCTCAACCCCCCTTTCTCCGCCTCCTCCCGAAGAGCTTCTAGCCCTAGGCAGCCAGCTGCAAAGGGCAGCCCAGCACCTCCCTCCTTTCTGTGTCCCTAGCAAAGCCCCAGCTTTTACAGGTAAGTCCTCTTCCGTGACCTTTTTATCTGTTATCTCCTACTTTTCTCTCCTCCTTTTTCTCTTTCTGTATTCTTCTCCTTCTTTGCTTCTCTCCTCCATCTTCCTATCCATAGGGTTAAGGAAGGTAGAGGAAGTAAGGGGTCCAAAGAAAGACAAAGTTTCCTCTTCACTCCGGCTTTCCACTTCTCTTTCAGTCTAAGACGATGTTCATTAATCTTGCCTGGGGGCGGAGGCAGCGGGATCCGGAAGGTAGTGTCCACATAGATATTTCTACTCCTTGGGACTCCTGAAGCCACTATATGCTGAGCACTGCTAGCCCCAAAATCCAGGGAAATGTTTTAGAGGTGAGAGGATCAATTGGGAGTGAGGGGAGTCAAATCCTAGAACCTTTTCCTGCCTTGGAGAGCTGTCCAGGTATTCTATCTTTCTCTGTCCTCCCTACCAGCAGCCACAGCCTGAGGGAGCACCTGGCTTGCTCTCTTTCCTGTCAATGGCAAGCCCCCTGGGCATCTGTCTTAGAGCTTCCAAGGTTGCCTACTCTCTATAGGGCCCTCCAGCACTGGGCCTTTGAGGTGCCCACCCTCCTTTCCTCCTTGAGCGCTTAACCTTCTCGTGAGTAGCCTGCTGCCCCCATCTCCTGGGGGCTGGGTCCTCAGAGGGACTCCTGGCTCCCCACCCCGCCCCCAGCTCTGCATTCAATGGGAATCCTCTGTTTGATCCGCTTTTCTTCTGGGTGAGATGAAAGCCGAGTAGGAGTGAGAGATCAAGGAGTGCCACTTAGTCTGCTTCCTGGGTCGGGCCCTACGGAGCAGGGCTTACATCCCGCGGAGAGGGCTGGATGGAGCTGAGGACCGGCTTTTCAGAGGGAGGTTGCCTCCCTTGGGCTCCAGATCTGAAGCTTCAGGGACACATCCCCTCAGCCCAAAGCCTTCCCCAGCCCTCTCCCGACTTCTGCCCCGCTCTTTCAAAGCTGACTGGCCAGTCTTAGGAGCCTAGGGAACCACACCCACCCCCGCCCCTTTCCACCGGCGCATTAGGGGGAAAACGTTTTAACCAAATGTCACTTCTTCCAAAAGCATCCTTTCATCAACCTCACATTAAGAGCGGTTGGGTTTTTAAAGGAAAGAAGACAAAAAAAGAGAGGACTGGATAAGAACACTGTTTTGGTTTTTTGGGCGGTGAATGTGGGGGGAGTATTTAATAACATCGTTATCACTGTGTCGTGAAGGTTATTCGCGGCACGGCTCGAGAAGGAAGGTAAATTCCGAGAGCAAGTGAAGCCCTGCACAACCCCATTAAGCCTGGGCAATCCCATGACAGCGGAGAGGGGGTGATAGCAGCTGAGGTGGAGGCCGCTCCAGGCCCGGCGGCTTCTCATTTCTCGCGGCGGGGGACACCCATCCCCCACCTGCCACACGGCAGGCCCCCCGTCCCTTCCCCCGCTGGGGCGACGGGCTCCGGTCCAGCCGGCTCCTCTCGGATTGAAATTCTCCGGACTTCAAAAGCTCCCAGCTTGGCTTCCGCCGGGGCTGGGCTGGCCTGGCCCGGGCCGGAGGGGGGTGGGTGGGAACCCCGGGGAGGCGACGGAGATAAGATGCGCGGGTCGTTTTAAATGGAATCGGAAGCCGGGCATAGGCCCCCAGACGCGCGGGTCAGCTGGAACAGCTTCGCTCCTGAAGAAAACCGGGCTCGGAAAAGCGGCGCGTGTGGGGCCTGCCTCCGCAGTCTGCCCGCCCGGCTCGGGGGAGATGGCCCGCGGCCCCGATCACCCTCCCCAGCCTGCAGCGGGCCTTTCAACGGCGACAGGGCCCCGAGAAGGGAGAGAGCGAGGAGTCCTGAGCCGGGGGCCAGGAGCTGGCTTGTCGGCTCAGGTGTCGGTGAAAATGTGATCAGGAAAAAAATGTTTTCGCTTCTCTTTGGTTAAAAAGTAAGAACAAAGGGAGCTTCCTTCTAAACAATAAGCGTGGTCTGGCTGTCGTGAATATTAGTCTTGGGCCCTCCGTCATCTTCCAGGCCGTGGTGGGGGCGCCAGACTGCTGGGTCCTCGCGGTGGGGACAGCCGGAGGTGGGTGGTTCTGGGACCCGCTTCCCCCTTCTGCCTTGGCAGCTGCTGATGCCCTTTTGGGAACCTAGTGCCACTGCTGGGTGCACCCCTGGGGAATAAGGTCGAGTGGATCTCACACTTGCAGGTAGATGAGGGTTGACCACTCCTGTCACCTCCTTGCACTGCAGTGGAATCTGCTGAGAAAGTCGGTGGCAGCTGTGTAACTGTGGCAGGCACCGTGGAACACTTTCTCCTTCAGACAGGGGGAAACTGCGGCTTCTGGAACTCTGATTTTGAAGAGTGCCCCCTCCTCTCCACCCTCCTGGAATGGAGGGCCAGGTCCTGGGAGGCAGCTGACCCTGCTGCACTCCTGCCTGTACACCTGTCTGCCTGGGCTCCTTAAGGCCAGCCTGGTAGCTTCCTGGCCCTGTGCTAAGGATGTCTGGTCCACATCCCCATTCCCACCACTGGCCCATCCTAGGGCTGGAGGACCCAGGGTGAGACTGGCAGCTGAAGACCTCCCCAAGCTCAAGGTTTGCTGCCACCTCAGCCACTGACTGGAAGGGCCCAGTGCAGTTTGTGTCCAAGAGCAATTCTCCAACACCCAAGCACCCAAAGGCTCAGACATCTCCCTCCTCAACCCTAGCAGAGATGCTATGGATTCTTCTTCTTCATTATTGTCCTGAAGTTTGCTTTTATTACAAAGAACATCAACACCCATTTCTCATTTAATCTAACAATCTCATTTAATTTAACAGTCCTTTAAAAGGCCTCAAGAGTCCACAGTGCATTTTTTCCTACAGTTGTAGAATGACTAGTGGTCTTGACTCAGATAGCTAGGTCAGGGCTGAGTGTCAAACCAAGCTCAGTCTCCCTTCCAAGGCCATGTCCCTCCCTGGCCTTCAGGGATGCCTCAACCCCCAGCAATGCTTTAACTCTCCATAAGGCAACCCTCCACAAAGCCTCAGCCTTTACTGGGGTTTAGGCAGGTCTGTGGGCCTCTCAGAGAGTGTCCCTCCTGCCCTTAGAAGCACCTGCATGGCTGGAAGGCTCAGGGCCCACACAGCTGGATGGACTAGTCCTCACCCTGCCACCCCCATCCCTCACCCACACCACACATACTTTTCCAGGAGGGCAAAGAGAAATCCCTCTTAGAAGTCTGGAGTTCCCACATGATAAGAGCAGTCACTGCTCTAAGCGTTTCACATGTATTAGCTCTCCAGCCTCACAACAGGCTCTGAGGAAGACAGCATGAATCATCTCTATTTTGTGGCTGAGAAACCCAAAGCACAGACAGAAAGCTGATGTGTAAATGAGCATCAGGATTCAACCCCTCCCTCCAGCTCAAAGGCCACTTTCACAATTTGAGAATTAGGAAGGTGCTAAGCATTGCCTTCTGAGACTTCTCTTCCAAAAATTTATCTTGTGATTTTTTGTGACCAAGGCCTCTTCTCTACCTCATTTCTAGATTAACTCATGGAGGGGGTTGGGAGAGCCACCCTCAGGAATGTAGGGTAGGAGAACTGCTCTGCCGAAGCATGTGGGAAGGGTCTCAGGGCCTGAGGCCAGAATGTCAGAAATATCAGTGCAGCTGCTGATCCTGGAGACCCTAAGAGACAAAGCCCAGTCCCTCTCTGACCATTGCAATCCACTGAGGCCCTGAGAACATTTCTGGAAAGGAGCAGGACTCACCAAGGTCACCCAGGCAGTTTTAACCTCTTAGGTATGGCCCCTTCACATAGCCATCAGCCCTCTTCCCACGAAAATGCAGAGGCAGAGAAGTTGGCCTTCAGTTCCCAGATCCCCCACACCCTTGGAGCCACCATACTCCAGGCACAATTCCCTGAGCCATTTCATAGAGTACCCTTTACCAGGGTATTTTCCCTTACATGGCTGCTACCCCCTTCAAATTGACCTCCAGGATTGATTGGTCCAAGGGGCAAAACCCAAGAGTCTGGCCAGGCCTGGTCACACCTGCAACCTGGCTGGGGACATCCTTTATGTTCTGCATGTGCCTCCATCCAAACCTCTAGGCTCTGGACCTGCATCAGGGAGAGAATCACCCCGCTGGGGTTTCTCCTGTAAAAGACAGGACTCGGCTTGGGCTGACCTTCCTTTGGGATAAAGGAAACCCAGAGTCCAGGGAACTGTCCTGTTATTATCACTGTATTACAACATTGCTTCATTTACATTATTGAGAAGAGATTGGAGTGGGGTCAGGGGAGGATATGTTTTCAGGATCTTTTGTTTGTTTTTAATAGATTTTGTCCAGGCACAAATCCTTTCCAAGCACTGGGCTATCCAAGGGCCAGACAAACCTGACCACCTTGCTCCCCCTACTCCCAGTCCCCTGCCATGGGGCACCATCTCCACCCTCTTCCACCCCTGCACTGTAAGAGGGAACCTGCCCACTGCAGCGCCTGTCAGGGCCACCCAACAAGGGCAATGCAGGACCACAAATCTGGGTGGAGGCATCATTTCGGGCTGTGGAGTAGTAGAGGACAACTCGATGGTCCCAAAATTCTTCCTCCAGGGTGCGGGTGTCTCTCTGTCTCTGTGTGCTCTCTGACCCTGTGTCTCTCTCAGTTCCCAAGCTGAGGAGGCCAAAGCCCCTTCCCCTCTCCTGGGCCCGGAAGACGGAAGACTCGGTGGCGCCTAATAAGGAGTAGAGGAGTCGGTTTACCAGGTGTGGGATGAGAGAACTGCCCCGACGCCCCCTTTCCCCACCCCAGGCAAGGAAGTCCAGCTGGTTGGGCTGGCTTAGCCTCTCCCTCCCGTGAAATGGAAAACTCTCTCTATGCGGAGTTCTGGGGACTGACTTGCCTAGAGACCCCTCCTGGCCCAGACTAGTCCCCACTCCCCTCCTACTGAGCTTCTGAGCGTCCGACGAGGCACAGTCCCTCCCGTCGTGCAGCGGGAAAACGGACTCCCCGAGAGGTTGAGGAATTTGCTCAGAGTTACACAGTGGGGAAGAGGCCAAGCCAGGATTTTAACGCAAGTTGTCCAGACTCCAAGGGCCAGATTCTCCTCTGACATTAACGCCGTGCCCCAGGACCATGGACTGCTTTCCCTAACACCCAGACAGAAAACTGCGATGCCTTGGGTATGATTGAAAGACCCAGATAGGGATCCCCCTTCCCAAGTGGGTTGGGCGGATGCGGCCGCTGTCCCCGCGGGCGGTGAGCGACGCGCGGGAGCCAGGTGAGGTTGGTATCCGGGGAGCAAGGCACGAAGGCCGGGTGGCTCACCGGGAGGGGCCTCAGGGCGCCGCGACGTGGAGGGACTGCGCGATCCCAGCCCAGAAGCCTGGCGGTGAGTCTGTGCGGGTGAGTTTCAGAGGGTGGGGGAGCGGCTATCAGGGGCGTGTTGCAGCGGGAGGAGGGTAGGACGGATGCCAGCCCAGAAGCCAGGGAGCCGCTGGCTCAGGACTGAAGCACGCGCCACAGGTTGGGCTCCGGCCGGGAGTATCAGTCCCTCCCCTTGCCCCAGGTGCTGCCTGGAGCCCCTTGAGGGTCCCTTTCCATCCTGGGAGCTGGTCGGCCGCCTTGTCCTTTCTCCGCGGCCCCTTTCTGCGCCCTCCGCCCCTCGCCGCCTCGGTGACAAAGCGCAGCTCCCGAACTGCTGTCTTGGTGCGCCCCCCACTGCCGATCGCCAGAGGCGGAAGTCGCGGCGAGTCCCAGCATCCTTGCTGGCTCGGATCCCGCGGCTCTGCCCGGAGCAGCGGCCCCAATCCCCCATCCCCAGAGGGCAGCCTGTTCCACCAGGCCCTATGCGCCCGCTCTCTGAGCTGGACCCTAAGCGGGATGGGTGATAGGTCAGAGCCACTTAACCTCGGCTTCTCTAGACAGTGATTAACCGCGGTGGGGCGGGAAGTATCAAGCAGTTCTCCTGCGAGCTCCTTCCTCCCAACCCCACCCCACCCCGCCCTGTCGTTTGAGAGGAAACGCTGAACACTTTCCCCCAAACTCCCCCCGCCACCACATATCAGCCAAGGTCTGGATAAGGAGAGTCTCATGGGTGAGAGTGCCTGGTCAGCCTATATGTTCAATCATGCCACCAACACACTAGTAGGCCCCATTTGTTGTGGCTCAGGAAGTCCAGGCTGTGGGAAGCCCCTGGACTCTCCTATCTCTGTAGCTCCTTGGACTCTTTCTTGGGCCTCACTTACGTCTGAGGACCATTTCTAATAAGACAGCCTTACAGCAACTCTTCTCAGATTCCCTATGACAGTGATTGTGGTCCCCACGTCACCTGGGAACTAACTAGAAATGCAATTCCTGAGGCCCCACTCTGGACCTATTGAATCAGAAATTTTGGGGGTGGGCCCAGCAATGTTTTAACAAGCCCTTCAAGTGATTCTAATGCACACTCAAGTTTAAGAACTGCAGCCCTACGAATTTCATTATTCGACTTGATAAGTTTCTGTGATTCTCCATTCTGCCTGGAATGGCTTTATTTTTTTTTTTATGTTATTTGTTTGAGATGGGGGTCTCACTGTATTGTCCAGGCTGGTCTCGAACTCCTGGGCTCAAGCATTCCTCCCACCTTGGCCTCCCAAGTGCTGTGATTACAGGCATGAGCCCCTGCACCCAGCCTGGAATGGCTTTTTGAAAGTGTATCTTTAAAAAAAAAAAAAATCCCTAGTACAGATTTATGCATCTGTTACCCCCTGCTCCTTCCACCTTATCACCTCCATGTAGATCTTTGTGCACTAACTTATTACCTAATGATGCCATTATCTAACTTAGCTTCTCACTCACCCTCTCATTCATCCACTGCCTAAGGACATGGAAATCCTCACTCTGTGACAGCAGGTTAGAAACTGCTCTGGAACTGCAGGAGCTGGAGGAGGGTGGAAAACTTGCCCTACCTAGAGATTTCTTTCACAAAAGGGGACCAGAGGCCTTGAAATATGATTGGCTTGCTGGCTCTAAAATGGAGAAGGCCAGGCATGGTGGCTCACGGCGGTAATCCCAGCACTTTGGGAGGCCGAGGCGGGCAGATCACCTGAGCTCAGGCATTCAAGACCAGCCTGGCCAACATGGTGAAACCCTGTCTCTATTAAAAATGCAAAAATTAGGCAGGCATGGTAGTGGGCACCTGTAATCCCAGCTACTCGGGAGGCTGAGGCGGGGAGAATTGCTTCAATCAGGGAGGTGGAGGTTGCAGCCAAGATCATGCCACTGCACTCCAGCCTGGGTGACAGAGCTAGAGTCTGTCTCAAAAAGAAAGCAAATGGTTTTAGTAGGAGCCAAAAGGGCCTCAGCCATGTAGCTGTAGATATAGATGCTTTTTCATTCAGTCATATTTTTCTAGTATCAGGCTTACTCTGGGATGCTATTTGATAAGTTAAAGTTACAGCAAATGTTGTAAATTAGGCAGTATGGGGCCAAGGTGCCACCAAGAATACCCGAGAGTAATACCCTATATCCAAGAATAAAGATACCTACAAATATCTTCTGTGTACTGGATAGCACACATGTATTATGGCACTTAATTCTTACAACTCCAGCAGGTAAGAGACTACATAATTATCATCCCCATTCTATGGATGGAGAAGCTAAGTCAAAGAAGGGTTAAATGCTTGCTCAGGATCACATAGCCTATTAGTGGCAGAGATGAAATTTGAATCCTAGCAGTGTCATGCCAGGAGCCAGGCTCCTACTCATTAGGCTCAGTCCCTGCCTGTGACTACCGTGTGATCTCAAAAGATAGATTTCATTTCCAAAGGTGACCAAACTAGTTGAAGCCCTGGAAGAACACTGGAACTTCTTCTAGGAGAACTACTATCAGTATTAATAATAATTAACAGTTAGATGGTCTCTTCCAAGTAACATTTTCACACTCACTGACCCATTTGATACAATAGTCTTATCAAATGGAAAGAGCAGCTATTATTATAATCCCCACTTTACAGATGAGGAAGCTGAGACCCAGAGAGATTAGGATCACTCAGCTAATACATGGCAAATCAGGGAACACCGTTACTCCTTTTGACTACGTTGTCTCTGTTTCTTATTTTTCTTTCATTTCCACTTCAGACACATATTCACAGATCATCATATTAATCCTTAACTTCCATCTATTACTTTAGGCTGCTCAGGTGGACTTCTGTGTCCAGCAGTTTTCTTGTTTGTTTGTTTTGTTTTGTTTTGTTTGAGACAGAGTCTCGCTCTGTCACCAGGCTGGAGTGCAATGGCATGATTTTGGCTCACTGCAACCTCCACCTCCCATCTTTAAGCAATTCTCCTGCCTCAGCCTCCCAAGTAGCTGGGACTACAGGTGTGCACCACCACCCCTGGCTAATTTTTGTATTTTTATTTTTTATTATTTATTTATTTATTTTTTGAGACAGAGTTTTGTTCTTGTTGCCCAGGCTGGAGTGCAATGGCACGATCTCAGCTCATTGCAACCTCCGCCTCCCGGCTTCAAGAGATTCTCCTGCCTCAGCCTCCCAAGTAGCTAGGATTACAGGCATGCGCCACTACACCCGGCTAATTTTTTGTATTTTTTTTAGTAGACACGGGGTTTCTCCATGTTGGTCAGGCTGGTCTTGAACTCCTGACCTCAGGTGATCCACGTGCCTCGGCCTCCCAAAGTGCTGGGATTACAAGCGTGAGCCACCGCACCTGGCCTATTAATTTGTGTATTTTAGTAGAGATGGGGTTTCACCATGTTGGCCAGGCTGGTCTTGAACTCCTGACCTTGTGATCTGCCTGCCTCATCCTACCCAAGTGCTGGGATTACAGGCGTGAGTCACCATGCCCGGCCATGTCCAGCATTTTATTAGCTCCTCTCCAGGTTCCTAATAAAGTTGGAGGGGCCAGAATTGTTCTTTTCAGTTTCCAGTTGAGGAAGCCAAGATTCAGAGAGTTCAGAGGACTTGGCCAAGTTCACAGAGCCATGACAAGAATCAGTCTCAGACTCTTCATGGAGCAAGAGTATGAATTTTGTAAAGAATTCTACAGAATGAATAAATTATTCTTAGTCCCTGCCTCATCCTTGAGGCCTGGAAATACTGATAGATGCACAAACAAAAGGCAGATGGTTGTGAAATGCTACCAACACTTTTAATTACACATGGCGTAACGTTTTTGTTTTTGTTTTTGTTTTGAGATGGTGTCTTGCTCTGTCACCCAGGCTGGAGTGCAATGGCATAATCTTGGCTCACTGCAATCTCCGCCTCCTGGGTTCAAGTGATTCTCCTGCCTCAGCCTCCCGAGTAGCTGGGACTACAGGCACGCACCACCGCACCTGGCTAATTTTTTTTTTTTTTTGAGACAGAGTCTTGCTCTGTCACCCAGGCTGGAGTGCAGTGGCACAATCTCGGCTCACTGCAAACTCCGCCTCCCGGGTTCAAGCAATTCCCTGCCTCAGCCTCCCCAGTAGCTGGGATTACAGGCGCCTGCCACCATGCCTGGCTAATTTTTGTATTTATTTTATTTTTTTTTTTAGAGACAGAGTTTCACTCTTATTGCCCAGGCTGGAGTGCAATGGTGCAATCTCAGCTCACCGCAACCTCCGCCTCCCAGGTTCAAGTGATTTTCCTGCCTCAGCCTCCCAAGTAGCTGGGATTACAGGGATGCACCACCATGACCAGCTAATTTTTTTTTTTTTTGTATTTTTAGTAGAGATGGGGTTTCTCCATGTTGATCAGGCTGGTCTCGAACTCCTGACCTCAGGTGATCCACCTGCCTTGGTCTCCCAAAGTGCTGGGATTACAGGTGTGAGCCATTGTGCCCAGCACTAATTTTTGTATTTTTAGTAGAGATGGGGTTTCACCATCTTGGCCAGGCTGGTCTTGAACTCCTGACCTCGTGATCCACCCCCCTCGGCCTCCCAAATTGCTGGGATTACAGGCGTGAGCCACCGCGCCTGGCCTAAATTTTTGTATTTTTGGTAGAGACAGGGTTTCACCATGTTGACCAGGCTGGTCTTGAACTCCTGACCTCAGGTGATCCACCCGCCTCAGCCTTTCAAAGTGCTAGGACTACAGGTGTGAGCCACCATGCCTGACCAATGTATTGTTAATGTATATTTTTATTATAATGGACTTAAAGTTGTTTCATAACTTCCATTATTGGCAATATAGTAACTTCGTTTTCCTAATTATTCTGGAGTTTACCTTACTATTCTTAGAAATAATTCAGGCCGGGTGCAGTGGCTCACGCCTGTAATGCCAGCACTTTGGGAAGCCAAGGCAGGTGGATCACCTGAGGTCAGGGGTTCGAGACCAGACTGGCCAACATGGTGAAACCTCATCTCTACCACAAATACAAAAAATTAGCGAGGTGTGGTGGTTGGTGCCTGTAATCCCAGCTACTCGGGAGGCTGAGGCAGGAGAATTGTTTGAATCCAGGAGGCGGAAGTTATAGTGAGCCGAGATTGTGCCACTGCACTCTAGCCTGGGCAACAAGAGCAAAACTTGAAAGAAAAGAAAGGAAGGAAGAAAGGGAGGGAGGGAGGGAGGAAGGAAGGAAGGAAGGAAGGAAGGAAGGAAGGAAGGAAGGAAGGAAGGAAGGAAGGAATCAAAGATGAAAGATAGGTCCTTGTTTCAAAAATAGGCATGAGGCTGGACACAGTGACTCACGCCTATAATCCCGGCATTTTTGGAAGACCAAAGCAGGAGGATTGCTTGAGGACAGGAGTTCAAAACCAGCATGGACAAAATAGCAAGATCCTGTTTCTACAAAACATTAAAAACAATTAGCCAGGCATGGTGGTGCACACCTATAGTCCTAGCTACTCAAGAGGTTGAGGTGGGAAGATCTCTTGAACCCAGATCCAGGATTTAACTCTGTCCTGGTCTTGAGCCCTGAGGAAAGGGTGGTATCACTTTTACAAGTGGCAACAGTCAGGTGATGATTTTCTCTTAGATATGGACCTTTAACAACTGAAAAGCCAGATTCACTCCAAAAATTGGCCAATTTTCCTTTTATTAGAACTGTCCTTCCCTCATAACCCTCACCTTTTCCCAGTACAGGCAATGGAAAAAGAAAAATCCCATGTGCTCTGGCTCTAAGTCTTATAACAACCCTCAGAGGGAGGTATGGGTCTCCCCACTTTACAAATGAGGAAACTGAAGCCTAAAGAACTTAAACAACTTGCCTGAGCTCACACAGATAGTAAGTGGGAGAGTCAAGGAAAAACCCATGCTTGTAAACACCAAATCTTACTTCCAATAGCCATGAATCCACTTTCTCTATGAATATATATTGTGAGATCTTCTGACCCAGCAGGAGAGGAGCAGCAAAAAGCTGGTGTGTGGTGGAATGAGGCCTGGATTTTGAGTCCAGCAGGAAGACAGACAGATCCCAGGGAAATTTGGGAAGATGGAAACTGGTCTGTAACAGCTAGGAGAACAGAATCAACGGTGGAGCAGTGCTCTCAAACTTGCCCAGCCAAGATTTCTGGTACTTCAGAGGTAGTTGATGACATGTCAAGAACCTGGACTTGGAAGCCAGACAGTCCTGAGCTTGAACCTCAGCTCTGGAGCTTACTCACCAGTGACCTTGGGCAGACCAAAGCTGCAGGATGTCAGATCTAAAATAATACAAGGCCTACCTTTCAGAGCCGTTCTAATGGAAAGGGCCTTGCACAGTGTCTGGCCTACAATGGGTACTCCGCAAATGCAAGTTACTGCTTCTCTCTCACCTTGACGGTCCCCCTACTTCACTCTCTACTATGTCTGTGATTCTTTTTCTCAACATTCCACTCTTCTGAGTGAAAAGCAGCTGTGGATGAGAAGTGAGGGTGAATGGTGCTCAGGGAATCACATCACATGTTTGCCCCCCTCTCCCTATGTGGTGGTTAACATATGCCCAGAAATAAATAACTACAGAGCAAAACTAGGGTGCATTAATGCATTTGTTGGAAAGCAGCAGATGTGGAGATGGTAAATGTGAAATTGAAATAAAGAATTATCTGGCTGCTATCTTTGCAGTGCTATAGTAAATGGCATCCAGGATTTTGTGTCCTTTTTGCAAAAGACATTCACTGGGATTTGGAATAGTGAGAAGAAAATCAAGGCATGCCCGGTGTGATAAGGGAATGTTCCTTTTGTAGTAAAGGCGTAAGATGATCCATAAATAATAACAGGGTACAATTGTTGCCGTCTTAATTATAGTGGCAATTTAGAATAATGGTTAAGTGCCCATACTTAAATTAGACTGCTTGGGTTCTAATTTGGCCCCATCTGTAAAACGGGGACATATGAGGGTAAAATGAGTTAGTACACACAGAGCACTTCCAAGAATATCTAGCACTCACTAATCCTCAATAAATGTTAGCTATTACTATTGTCGCATGTTACTTCCCTAAATGTGAGCCTAAGGAATTTCAGTAAGTTTATATACTGAAAGGAAGAGGAATGAAGCAACAACTCCATACCTGGAACAAATATACTAGTGGGTGGCCACTTATATTTAGAGCCAAATAAATTCTGGCCCATTGGAATGTCAGCAGAAATGTCCTGTAGCAAAATCCAGGCACACTCCTTAAAAGACAGAGATGTACAAGCTCTTTGCATGGTTTTTTTTCTTTCTTTTCTTTTTCTTTTTTTTTGAGACAAAGTCTCACTCTGTCACCCAGGCTGGAGTGCAGTGGCGCAATCTTGGCCCACTGCAACATCCACCTCCCCAGTTCAAGTGATTCTCCTGCCTTAGCCTCCTGAGTAGCTGTGACTATAGGTGCATGTCACATCCAGCTAATTTTTGTAGTTTTAGTACAGATGGGGTTTCGCCATGTTGGCCAGACTGGTCTCGAACTCCTGACCTCAGGTAATCCACCCACCTCAGCCTCCCAAAGTGCTGGGATTATAGGCCTGAGCTACCGCATCCGGCCAGTGGTTTTCTTTATCCCTCCATTCTGCCGCCTGGAGCTTGTCTACTGACATCCTGGGCCTGGATAAGGTAGAGCAACAAGATAGTAGCAGCTCAGATCTCTGACATCATGAAGCATCACACCAGCCCTGGAGCCCCTATCCAGGCTTTTAGGTGGAAAACTGTAAACTTTTATCCTGTTTAAGCCCTGGTTATTTTAAGTTTTCTAAGACTGGAAGCCAGAGCTATTCCTTACTAGCACTATTATCTGAGACCAAGTTCTTGGCCTATAGGTGATGAGAATATGGTATGCCTGTGCCGTACTCTGCCTTGCAAACATAAAGGTAAAGAGAACAGGGTCACAAGGACCGAAGGTCTACAAGAGAATGGGAAATGAAGGAGCCATGTTTTCCAAATGAGAGAGAGAGAAGAAGAAAATGTAAGTTTCCCAAGTCTTTCTGAGTGGTAATAAAGGGGTATGCATGTGTGTTCATATATATTTTTCACTGACAAATTATACATCTTCATAGAAATTTAGGCTACAGTAAACCTTTTTCCAGGCAGGCAGCTGAACCTTTTTCCAGGCCGGCAGACTCAATTATTTTTATGTGTACAACATGCCACTTTAAAAATAAATTATTTTACCTGCACAGTGATAACACCTAAGTGAGATATTAAGGAGGGATTGTGAAGAGGACAAATAAAACGTTTTTCTGGAGATAGAATTAAAATGAACAAGCCTTTCTCAGGAGACCAAATGAGAAAAACAGTTAACTCTTCTATTTCTGCTCCCAATGTGCTGTAAGACCTTAAGTGAGCTATTAAACATCTTGGACTTTATTAAAATGGGGTGGTAATTTCATACAGAGTGGGTGTTGTTAAGCCTTCTTGATTTCAGATCCAAATTGAGTTTCTCCCACAGAAACTGCAGCTTTTGTAAGCTGTTCACTTACTCCTAGGGAGGTAAGAAGATACGTCTGAAGAGCTAATGCAGTCACAGATAGATATTCCATATGTTAACATAAATGCCTCAAACTTTCATTTCCTTAAGGAGAAACATCAAAGTCTCTGGCCTGCTTTGCATGCTTTAGTCTTGGGTAGGGAATGCTCCCAAGTAAAATAAGAAGCCATTTCAGACGTACTTCTTTTCCCCACACTGGCTGTTATCTCCAGCCATTCATTTTCCCTTCACTGTGTTTCCCTGTACTGGTTTTAAGATAGGGAGTTTCCACCCCTATGGGCCTTCTGATAGTCTAGCCACTTCTTTCTGGCTCCCAAATGAAAAATGTAGGACAGAACTCAGAACTGTGACAAGGCTGGCAAGTGACATGGCTGTTTCTTTTCCAGTCTCCCTTTACCCTGGAGGTGGCAAGTATGAAGGTTTGGGAAACATTCCCCTAATAGCTAGATGCACTGATTTCCAATGGGATTGGATCAGTAAGTTCAAATACAATTGCTATAGTATGGCCAGGTGTATTTTTAGACTATGCAAGAAGATAAGGAATATCTGCCCACAGTTCGATGCAGTTGTTTCTTAGGCAAGAACCCAGAACCTGGAAGCTGACAGCAAGACACAAGCCAGCCCTCATGGACTCCCTCCATTCTATAGCTACAGACAGAGGCAGTGGAAGCTCAGTTGGTCTGACCAATGACTAGGTGTTGGGTCAAAGCCTGAGAGCCCAAGCAAGGGCTCTTTGGTCATAGGCTGTGTTTTACTGGGGCCCCTGTGCGGTCAGGAGAAGGGGCTAATGGTCAGAAACGTGGGCTCTAGGCGTGCCCCTGCCGCTCTCTGGCTGGGTGGTCCTGCAGAAGTCTCTTCCCTCCTCTGGGCTCTCATCAGTGAATAAAGTGCTAATCTCAACTCTGCCACACCCTGGGTAACCTTGACCAATTCACAGCATCAAATATCAGTGGGAGCTAAAGGGTCTATTTTTCTGAAATATATGAAAATATATTCTATTTTCATGCCCCCACCATGGTATTCTATGACTCCAACAGGGGACACACATCAATGCCTACAGGAGTGGGCTGGTAACAGAAATGTAACAGAAATGAGAGAAATGGCCATGGTCACATTTGGGAATTGAGAAGACTGGAGTCACAGAATTCAGCTCCAGCTGATATCATTGTTAGATATTTCATTTTCAAGTGTTTCTACATGTTGGCAACTAATTTGAATTATTATAAAATTCTGTATCAGCCAAAAAATGACTCTAGGACAGAAATGGCCCACTAGGCCAATTGGAGTCATCTGCAGTCCACTGACCCAAGGAAGAGACCAACTAGGTGGGAACCTGGGGGGCAGTGTCCCCCACGTGCAGTGGCCTCAGATACTGGCCAGAGCTGGGGGTCACCCATCTGAGATCCTCAGCCTCACTGCAACCACCCGGGCTTCAGTGTCCCCGGCTTCCTCTGCATTTCTGAGGTGGTGTACCCGGGCCTATTCTCTACACACAAGTAGGGGCCGACAGGCTTGAGCGCCCTCCTGGGGTCCCGACAAACCCGGGAGCAGCGCGAGTCGCCCGCGGACCGGGAAGCCAGGGCAGCGCGAGGGACTCTCCAAGCTGGCGACAGGTTCTGCTGCAGCCTGCGGATTAGCGGCGCTGGCTCAGATCCGAGGAAGTAGAGGCCGACGGGGCGCCAAGGCGCGCACTCTTGGCGGTGGCCTCTGCGGGCTCTGCGGGTTGCAAACTCCTGGGTGCAGGCAAATGCGGGATGACGCGACTTTGGCGGTTCAGGCTGCGCGCACGGCCCGCCAAGAAACCCCAGGGCGCGCGGCTTCCCGGGTTTGCGCGCCACGGAGGGAACTCCCTAAAGAGAATGTTTTGGATTTATGGGGAGGAAATTTGACCCTCTAGGAGCGGTGGTCTGATGTCTCAGCCCATTCCTTCCTGGGGGTTAAAAATGAATTCTCCATCTGCTGAGAAAAGCTCAGGCTTCGGGCGGCGGCCGCCGGCCCCTCTGAGTTACGGGGAGCCCTGCAGACACCCAGCCCCTGGGGATCCTCTCCCCGACCTGCCCTTCCCCTCCGACACTTGCCAGTACTCCCCGGCCTGGTATTCCTTTCGAGACCCCCTCACCTATTCCAGGCTGTCCTCCACTGAGGCGAAGCTCTATGAAGTAGCCCAATTTCAATATAATTCACGTTGTGTAAAAGAACTTTGAAGACGGACTACATCGTGCAAGGACACCGTCACCCGAAAACCATTGGTGGAACGTTAAAACAAACAAAAAACAAAACGGCAAAACCTTTTTGAAGGCAATTTTGACATTTATGAATTTACAGTTATTATTCGGTTTGTCCCTGAAATGTCACTTCTGAAAATTTGCATAGTTTTCATTATCACTAAAATAATCTAGTAAATATTCCCGAATGAATGCATTCAAGAATATTCACTAAATTATTTTAGTGATAAGGAAAAAGTGGAAATAGCTGACAGTCATCAATTTATAAATAAAATGATGGTTAAATAAAATGATGAACATTCATATAAAGGAATACTCTATATTCAGACGAGATCTGTGTGCTCACAGGCAAACAGGTCTAAGCTTACTTTAAATGAAAAAGGATAAATTGCAAAAAGAATAGTTTGTGTAATATGATTCCACATTTGTAAAAATGGAGAAAGAAATTGTAAGCAAATGTCTGCAAGCAATCAGATATGATTAGTGACTTAATTTCATGGATAGTTATATAGGAAATATATGTATATTTTATATGCACATAGATATGGAGGAATATACATTCAACTGTTACTTTGGGATTATGGGGGCATATGGGGCATTAACTTGCCACACTATTTCTTCAAAAACTGATTATCTTTTTAAATGAACATGCATTAGTTGTGTATTTCCTCCCACACAAAACAATAAAGGTTTTTAAAAATTATACCTCTTCCCCATCCCAAGGCCACCAGATTGTGATCACTTGACCACTTTTCTCTAATCTTTTCATTACTATGTTAATTTTCTTTTCAACCTCTCCCTCCCTGTACAGCATCCAAGAAATCTGCATTCCTTTCACTTAAATTTACAAGTTGCCTGTTTTATACATGCAAATAGTTTTAAATCACTTAAACCAAAAGAATGAAAGAAATGGGAATATTATTTTCACTTAATCTATACATATAATTTAAATGAAAAAATAGTGCAATATTTTTTGGGCCTTGGAAGCATTGAAATTTTTAATCCTTACTTTTCAAGTTCTGTATAGATATGACCTGTTTTTTCTTCTAGCTGCACACATATTCTTCCTCAATGCAGCAAACCAAAAGAATGGATCTTTAAGGCATAATTTTTCTATTCAATCCAGAAAGACTCCCTATTTCATGGAGAAAAGAGCATTGGAAGGGTAAAGAGGGACAGGAATGAGGCAAAGGGCACAGGGATGAAGGAGGCACCCGGAATGAGACTGGGGGAGGGGAAATGGAGCTTGGCAACATGGTCCAAGTAATTCTGAGATTGTTTACATCAGTCTGAATGTTGTTCCCAAAACGTGAGCTCAGTTCATACTCTGGGAAATGAGCATAGCCACACTTCAAACACAGAAGTGAAGGGATTGTCTGGCATTTTAAGATATTCATATACAAAAATGATATCCATGCTGCATATTATCCATGCAATAGATGGTGGAGCAAATCCACCCCCCCAGCAAGATATCTGGTGTGGTTCATATTTATATATAAAACAACATCACATTTTTAAAGCAAAGTCTCAGAATGTTCCAGGCTCACGCATCCACACAATGTAACTCCAGATTTTTGCCCAGAAACCTGACATTTCTCTCCTTCTTTTTATATGTATTAATAGCATCAGGGTAAAATGCAGGTGCTTTGGAACAAGCTACTTGGGTTCAAATCCTGACCCTGCCATATATTAGCTTATGACTGTGGTCAAGGTATTTACATTCTCTATGCTTCAAGTTCATCATCTCAAAAATGAAGATAATGACACTACTCATTTTATATTTTATGCAGAAAGCTTTTAGAACAGTGCCTGGGCACACACTGAGAGTTTAACAAAAGTTAGCCACAATTATTATTCACTCTTTTACACTCCCCCAAAAGCTTATTTCTCTCCATTCTTCCCTCTTTAAGAAACTACCACCTCCACATTCTCAGAATTGTCTTAGTTCCATTCTCTTATTTAACGGAGATTCTAACCATAGCTCCTCCCCTGCTGTTTGCCTTCTCTCTCCTACCCAATGGGAGGTAGCAGAGTCTAAAGAACACCTAATAGGAAACCTAGATTCTATTCCCCCTCTTCTCCTGTGATATTTTGGGTTTTTAAAACAACTTTATTGATGTATATGTTATGCATCATAACATTTACCCACTTCAGGTGTACAAAACAATGATTTTTAGTAGTAGCTTTACCAAGTGGTACAACCATCACGATAAATCCATTTCAGAACATTTTCATCTTCTCAACCCATGAGATCCCTCGTTTTTTTTTTAAGTTAATTCCCCTTTCCACGTCCAGCTTGAGGCAACCGCTAATGTTCTATCTTAATAAGTTTACCTTTTCTGGGCATTTTAGACAGACATAATCACACAACAGGTAGTCTGTTGGGTCTGGCTTCTTTCACTTAGCACAATTTTTGAGGTTCATCCATGCTATAGTAAATATCAGTAGTTCCATACGGTTTTATCACCTATAAAATCAGAATGAATTTTTTCTGCCATGTCTAAGAGAATCATATAAGAATATTGATAATATATATTGAAAGCTAACTAGTATTGCATCTACATTACTTTAGGCACTGAGCTAAGTGCTTTATTTGCATCATAGAAATTAAACTGCACAACAGCCTTATGGGCTAACTAGGTGATATTGTTACATCCATTTTCGAGTTGAGGAAGCTAAAGTTAAGAAAAATATAAACAGACTTGCCGAAGGTCACAAAGCAAATAGATGGCAGAGTGGTGGCTCAAATCTAGGTGTCTGTAACTCCAGAGCCAAAGACAGAGTCACCTTGCATTCAAAACACCAAAGGCTCTTTGCACTCAGTACCCTTCCATCATCACGAAAACAAACACACAAAACCCAGGGAAGTCTTCCTATCAACCCCACTAAACATGGAGAAATGGCCAGTGCTTTGTCAACTGTAAATCTCCACTCATATGGAAGGAATTCTTACTCCATCATTTTCTCCATACCTGACACTGCCCTTGTTAGAGAACTTTTAACCCCCTTGGGAAGGCACTGGTGGCCTGAAGGACTTAGGTCTGCTGATGAGGATTCTGATTTCTGATGAGGTTGCCTTAGGGAGTGCCCTGGTGCCTCTCCAGGCCAGGGAGCCCAGGAAGGGAGGTTGGACCTTTACCCAATCATCCTGTATTCACAAGGGATGAATGTGTAGGGAGAAAACTACTTAGGGATCTATGCCTCCTACTGTTAATTTTTAGGTTGGGATTCATGGCAGCACCTTATAACAATTAGGCTAGACCTTCCAACCTACTACCTCCTTTCTTAAAGAGGGAAGAATGGAGACAAATAAGCTTTTGGGGGAGTGTCAAAGAGTGAATAATAATTGTGGCTAACTTTTATTAAACTCTCAGTGTGTGCCCAGGCACTGTTCTAAAAGCTTTCTGCATAAAATATAAAATGAGTAGTGTTATTATCTTCATTTTTGAGATGACTGCTTTAGAAGACTGCTCAGTAGAAGGATTCTATTTGCACAAGAAGAAACGCTCTTCTCTAAAGCCACCTATGAGAACTTCTCAGTTGGTAAAGTAGTGAAACCTTCTTGGGATTTCATGATGAGTCACAGGCCTCACATTTCTTCCAGCAGCTCTGCCAAAGACATTCACCTGCAAATGTGTATTATCATGAATGTGTGGATAACATTTGTGTTAGTAATCATAAATACAAGAAGCCACACTCAAATTGTGTCCTATTATTTCTGAAATACACCCAAGCCACCCTCATCAGTCACAGGAAGTAGGGTCCTTAGTGTGAAGGCCAGCCGCCTCATTCCACTGAGGAGTTCCAGAGAGATCACAGGAGGTAGCCAGGGTGTTTAGTGACAGAATGGAGCCGAAAACCCATCTCCAGTCCCAGAAGAAGCAAGTACTCAGGTAAATTCATCCCAGATCAACAGCAGGTAATGTAGAGAAGAGGCCTCTTACTGACAACACTTTATTGCAGTGTGCAATACTCTCACACATTGCCAATAAGTTTTACAGAATCATTTATTTGTTGAATGAAAATAAATATTTGTTGGTGTTAGATGATCTTATGACTTTTGCACTTTTTGTACATAGTATTTCAATAAAGTATACCAAAAGGACACGATGCAAAATTAATATTTTAGAATGAATACAGAAGTGCCTAGCACAGCACCTGTCATATAGTAGGTGGGCATTAAAAGCGTGTTCATGGAATACATGATCTCGTTTGTTCCTGTCCCCTATGGGCAGGCAAGCACGTATGCTCCTGTCAGGGGTGTCATTCTTAAGCTTTCTTCACAGATGAGAAGTTCCCTGACTGCGAGGGTCACGCTGCTGGTTAGGGGCGCAAAGCCCCGGGTTCCTCCCACCGAGCGGAAGAGGGTGGATCACGGTTTGCACTGGGCCGCGGCCGCGCGGGGCGGGTCCACCCACATCCCCGGGCAAGCCGGGCAGGCGGGAGGCTGCTCTGCAAACACGAAGCCCCGAGCGAACTCTGAGGACGCGGCCAGGTCGGGAGGAGGCCTCACCGCACCTCGGCCCGGCCTGCAGGGTCCCCGCCAGCCCCGCGGCCCGGCCTCCTCCGTGGGGCTGTGGTTTCTCGCGGTCGCGGCCTGGCCCGGCCCCGCCCGACCGCCACACCAGGTCAGTCTGGCGGCGGTGTGTCCCTCGGTTCGTGCATCCTGCGCCTGGGGGCCCTTGCCCCAGGGATGGTGCCCTCTCACTCACCCCGGGGAGGAGGGGGGACTTCTCATCACTCGCGGATAACTTATAAGATGGGGCTGGCAGTGGCACGGGGGAAATACAGAAATGTAAGACGCATGCAGCTTTTCCTTATGAGAACCTTCTTAAAGCAAGCAAGGCCTCAATTCAAAATCAAAGCCTCCCAACTAAGTTTCCCCTTTACCAGGGCTTCACTGCAGGTGCTGGGCTTCCTCCTATGGACCGGTTCAGAGCAACTCACAGAGGCTCTCTGCCACCCAGCCACGGGACCTTGCCCAAGTCACTGACCCTCTCTGCCTGTTTCCTCATCTGTAGAATTTGGGTAACACAAGTACCTACCACATGGGGATATTGTGAGGGTTCGATGAGATCATCCCTGCAAAGCACAGCACCTGGTAGGTGCCAGACAATGCCTCCTTTACCCTCCCTTCCCCTCTAGCCCAAGAGCCAGAGTTTGTTCCCAGCATCCTCCTTGCATCTCCACCTGGGACGGCCCCTCTCCACCTGTCCAGGTCATTATCTCAGCCTCCTTGCTGCCCACCCTCAGCCAGACCCTGACACCCCACACCACTTGGCACCCGGTTCATACTGCTCCATCCCTAGGTTCTTATCTCAGCCTTTGGTGCAATCATTTATGTAGCTGTGTCACCCTCCATGTTTCCTTCACACGCAAACCCACGCATGTATGCACATTCTTATAGATGTGAAGGCTGCCTGAGGGTAAGGACCACCATGCTCACCTTAGTGCCAAGTGGGGCCAGGGACCTAGACCGCAGCATCGCACGTTACTAGCCCAGTGTCTGTTCTGAGGAGGCTGTGGGCTGTGGATAGAGAAGGCCAGCTCCACCTCCAGCCTCCCCTCCCCACCCCACCCTCCACAGCCCCTCCCCATCCCTGCAGCTGGTGGTGCTAAAGAGTAAACCTCCCCCCTTCCCCCAACTCAGAGGCCATATTCACCCTAGCCGTGGTGACAGGTTGATGACTCCTATTACAGGCCCCTTTCCTCTTCTGGGGGTTCCTGCCTGTATGGAGCCTGGTGGAGGGGCCACCAGCAGGGCCGGAAACCTGGGGAGAACGTCTCTGGCTGCCACTGATTTCTGTTCCTAGAACTGATGTTTTTCTGCAATTACAAACTTCCCTCCTTCATTATGTCTCCCTTGTTCCCGAGGCAGTAAATACCGGGGATATATATTACATTTCCCATAACTTACTTTCAATTATCAGAAAGGCTTATATTAATAGACACACTGTGGACAAGGAATCCGGCCCCAAAGCTCAGAATGAGGCTTCCAGAGCAGTGGCTACATCCTTAGAGATGCCCACCTCCCCAACAGCTGTCCCCTGGGCCACTGTCCCTACCCAGCATATTAACAATTGGCAGCAGAAATTAGTCATTGAAAATATGGACCCAGCTGGGTGAGGTGGCTCACGCCTGTAATCCCAGCACTTTGGGAGGCCGAGGTGGGCAGATCACCTGAGGTCGGAAGTTCGAGGCCAGCCTGACCAACATGGAGAAACCCTGTCTCTACTAAAAATACAAAAATTAGCCAGGCATGGTGTCGCATGCCTGTAATCCCAGCTACTCGGGAGGCTGAGGCAGGAGAATTGCTTGAATCCGGGAGGCGGAGGTTGCAGTGAGCCAAGATCGCACCATTGCACTCCAGCCTAGGCAACAAGAGTGAAACTCTGTATTGAGAAAGAAAAAAAAAAAAAAGGAAAGAAAGAAAGAAAATAGAAAATATGGACCCTAAATCCAATGCCTCAGTCCAATCCTAGTGTTGTCCCTTAGTAGCTGGATGACCTTGGGCAAGTTACTTAAGCTTTCTAGGCCTCTGTTTCACCATCTGTGAGATGAAGATGATTATAATAGTTCCTAGAGGTGTTCAACAGATTACATGAGTTAATATTTGTAAAGTGATGACCACTCTGTAAGCATTCGACCAGTGATTTTAGTCAAATACCTAAAGCTTAATTCATTTGGCAATGCTGACAGCTAAATATGCCTAGCCCTAAGTGACTATAACCCACTCTAGATGTGAAAAATATATATAGGGGTCACATAACTTAACCCTATTGTTATTGCTATTAATGCAATGCAAACTTGATAGAATTGTCTTTGTCAGTTAATCAGTTTCTCTTAATCTTTACCATCCTTCATTTGTGTTCTATGTGAACACATTCTGGAAAGAAAATGAAAGGAAGAAACAAAGGGAGGATGGGAGGGAGGGAGGGAAGAAGGGAGGTAGGTAAGGAGGGAGGGAGGGAAGGAGGGAAAGAAAGAAAGAAAAAGAGAGAGAAAGAAAGAAAGAAAAAGAGAAAGAGAAAGAGAGAAAGAGAGAAAGAAAGAGAAAAAGAAAGAAGAGAGAAAGAAAGAAGAGAGAAAGAAAAGGGATGGGTGGATCTGGTTGAGATGTCTGGATTGTGATAAAATTCTTTTTTTTTTTTTTTTTTTGAGATGGAGTCTCACTCTGTCCCCCAGGCTGGAGTGCAGTGGTGCAATCTCGGCTCACTGCAACCTCTGCCTCCTGGGTTCAAACAATTCTCCTGCCTCAGCCTCCCGAGTAGCTGGGACTACAGGCACCCGCCACCATGCCCAGCTAATTTTTGTATTTTTAGTAGGGACGGGGTTTCACCATATTGGCCAGGCTGGTCTCAAACTCCTGACATTGAGATCCACCTGCCTCTGCCTCCCAAAGTACTGGGATTGCAGGTGTGAGCCACCGTGCCCAGCCTCCTATTTTTTTAAATATTTTCAATCAGCATTATAATAGTAATACCAAGTGTTCAATAAATTATGTCAAGCTCCTACTTTCTAGGATCTTAACAGTTTCCAGAAAGCCTGTGTGAGAAGAGCTTGCTGAGAGTCAGAGCTAGAGGGAAGAGATGGGTAGGAGCTGTAAGACCACCTACTGCATAAGAATCTGGTAACAGCATCCTAGACACTACCTCTCACCTCAATATGTGTAATAGGCTTTCCATTCCCTGATAACCTCAACAACCATTTTATGAAAACCCAGCTGTTTCCCACTTCAAGGCCAAGTATGCCAAAGAAAGAGCTTTCAAAGCTGCAGGAAAAGGTGAGGCCTGGATCTCTTTTGCCTAGCATTTATCTTATACAGACCCATATATACACCTACCCACCCACCACCTTCCCCACACACACACACACACTTATCCTGGATTCAGTGTGTCTAAAGATTAGGATTATATGCCCTGGCAGCTATGTCCTTGCTCAAAGCCTTAATGAAGGTGTAGCACCTACAGTAAGGAGATCAAGACAGCCCTGGGAAGGAATTCATGATCTGCCCTGCTGGAGAGGTTCAAAGAAGGAGCGGGAGTACCCCGCCCTGCTCCCCTAGCTCTCTGAAACTATACAAAGATCATTTCAAGCAAAGCACTACACTTTTTTCCCAGAAATGCCTGCCTCACAGAGGTCTACACTGGTGGTTCTTAAGTGGGGGCAATTTTTGCCCCCCAGGGGACATTTGGCAGTGTCTGGAGACTTTTCTGGGTGTCACAACTGGGGTAGGCACTACTGACATCTGTAAGTAGAGGCCAAAGATACTGGTAAACATCTTACAACGCACAGGACAGCCTCCACGACAAGGAATTAATCATCCAGCCCAAAGCATCAATATTGTGGAGGTTTGAGAAATCCTAGCCTAGACCAAACCCCTGCTGCCTTGGAGAAAGCATTCCCTCAGAACTCCTCCAGCCACTTAGGCAGGCAGCAGACAGGAGCATCCAGAGGGGAGTCCAAGAGAATCCCTTCTCAGGCCCCAAACTAAGAATGGGGAGGTCTAGCAGACTTCTTCCTCCTTCTGCTTTGCTCCTAGAACACAAAACCCTGGCATCTGAAAAGATTAAATACAATCCATGATTCCCAGCCCGCCAGGCTGCATAACCCTGCCCCTCATATCCTATTTCCCTCCTGCATCCCCTCATTCTTGAAACACAGTTGGAAATTCAAATTGCAATCTTTACTGTCCAGCCCTCAAAGGCTCGGCCTGCTTCCTCTCCCAGGGACAAAGTCTCCTCAACGTCCTGCCTCCCTTTGAGATGAACCCCCAACCTGATTCTTTCACCAACTGTAAGTTTTTCTTCCCCACCTCCCTCTACCCCTCCTTCTCTTTCTAATTAAGCTACATCCAGGGGGCTAGGAGGGAGGGGAAAGGATTCTGAAGACTTCCGTGCTGCAGGTTCTGCGGGCCTACAGCCTCATGTTTTTTGTGAGGTGCCAACCATGCTGTGATCATTAAACCCAACAGTGGTGGTGGGGATTTTCTTGTTACTGTTAACCTGGGAGCCAGCTACATCTTGTTTATCAGACTTGTTTTAATTCAGCTTGGTCAGGTTCCAAGTGTTGAGGTGGAGATTAAAGGCAACTGAAGAATCCAATTAGCTGCCCAGTCTTCTTTAAGCCAAAAACTCAGGTCACAAACTAGATCAAAGTGAAATTATTTCTCGACAGCTCTGTTCATTAAGGGGAGGGTGGGAGCTCACACTGCTAAGCTGGGCTCATTACTGGGACTGGCATTTTAAATACAGTATCTCCCCCAAATTACATGTTTCAGAGGTCGGAGGGAGAAACCCAGATTATCTTACATGAGTCTCTGGCTAATAGAAAACAGAAAGCCAAAGAATGAGCACAAGACTTCTAGGAAAAGATTTAAATGAGGCTCCAATTTTCCTAGGCAGGCAAACCAAATCTGGAAACTGGAATTGGCACTGATCACTCCCAGTAGAGAATCCCTCCTCCAGGAGATGTAGAGTTGAGAAATCTAGGTCTTCGAGGTGGCCCTGCTTACCATCTTCTAGAGTCCTTCAAAAACTCTTTCCACCCCTTTCCCTGGTTGGGTGCAGCTGCAAGGGAGGCCCTCTCGCTGTGCAGGCAATCCCAGCCTCAGGACCCAGCAGCCTTTGAAGAAAAACCACTCACCATTTCTGGTCTCTGGGTCCCAGGCAGAGTCAGTCCCAGTGGCAAGAGACTCCTCATGGGTCTCTCTGTGTTTCTATGGGCTCTTTTGAATGAGCTGCAGAACAGAAGAGAAGGAGGAGGAGAGTGAAGAAGGCCCTGATCAGATTCACTTTCTATAGGGAGAATCAAACACTGGATTGCTGTGAGGGCACGGTTCTATGGGAGCAAGAGAGACAGAGAGAGAGAGACAAAAATTACATTCAAGAGAGCAGTCACAGGACACATGCCCTCTTCAGTGAGCCCTGATTTTGAACTGATCCTGGATATCTACAGAAACAATGGCCTTTTTCCCTGTCCCCTCTTGCTTGGGAAATTCTGCTCAGCCTCTCAGGCAACCAGCAACCTCTGAGTTAAAAGATCGCACATTTTAGGCCTTCAAAACTATAGGCTTGGGGGACGCTCGAATGTGGTTAAAGTTTATTTTTGCAGGCTTTAAGTTATAGCCACCTCTGAGGTGTCTGAAATCTGAACCAAGTGTGAGACCTGTCCTTAAACTTCCCAGTCTCTCTGGCCCATCCAGGTAGGGCCTCAGAGCAAAGCCACTTGCTCCTGGAGGCCTGAGTCTCTGGAAAGGTGGCAGAGAGAAAGGCAGACACAGGGGGTAGGAAAGAACAAGAGGTAGGAACCTGAAAGCTTTAGTCTGCACCTCCTGCCAGGGTCTTGCTGTTCCCAAACGTCTAGTTGCTGCATAACTAACCACCCCCCTCCAAGTCTGGGGGGCCTGGGAAACTTTGTTATGCAGAGGCACTCAAAGCATGGGGTTTACTTTGGGGCTGCAGCCACCCAGGAATCCTACTAGCCTCTTCCTCTCCTTTTCCCTTTGTAGCTACAGCTTGCACCTTCACGGGGGAGATTGGGAGTGCAAATTTCAGGGAACTACCCCCACCACTGGTGGATCTGAGGGCCCCAGACCCTAAGCCCCAGTAAATGTAGCCCAGAGGGATTCTCTTTAGATGATTCATTTGGAGCAGGAACAAATCACGTCTAGTGGGTTTTGTTTTTCCTCTCTGTGTGAGCGTTTCCCTCCCTGGGGTTTCATCATCCTCCCAGATCTTTCCATGTCCCCCTGTTCTCCATGCCCTGGGGCTGCAGCAGCGCTGCCAGGCCCCAGAAAATGCACCCTGGATCCCACACAAGTTTTTTTTTAAATGTGTCCCACACTACTCCTCGAGCGCCCAGTAGTTTGGTTTGGTTTTGTTTTAAATCATTGGCCTAAAACGAGTCTTAAAATCCAGTCTTTTTCTAAAGAGAAACGAGAGGACACAGGCCCGCGTTGCGCTGAGGGTCCCGGCAATGACTCCGGTGGGGTGCCTGCCCGCTTCCCGCAGAGAAGCCCTCGGGCAGGCGCCGGCAGCATCCTCTCCCCTGCGTCTCGAGGGCCGCCCTTGAGGAGTTTCATGCCCAGGGTCGCGGAACCAGTGGCTCCCCAGGCTGTCACCCGGGGTGAGCGCCTGCACCACTCTGCGGCCTTGTTGATTTTGTCCTAAAAGCCTGAGCGAAATGGAAATATGGGGGGCAGGGGTCTGCTGTTGGCTTGTGAATGCTCGCCTTTGTCCCTCAGGCGGTCGGCCACCAGCCTGGCATTCTGTCCCTGCACTGGTCACTCTCATTTGGCAGGCGGGGCCGCAGACTACATAGAGGAAGTGTGCCGCGAGTGGGGTTAGGTGCCAGCACGAGGCCTTACAAGGTTCCCGGATAGCCCTGGCGCACGCCTTGGCCATCATAGAGGAGGGAGGGGGACCTGACAGGGCGCGGACGTGCCGGCCCGAGGGTGGAGGCGGGGGTCCCCCATCCCAGCTGTTCTCCTGGCCCTGCAGCACCCGGGACCCGAAATAGCAAGTTCACCCTGGGTCACACTTGCGAGAACCAACCCGCACCCCACCCCAGAAAGGGCTCAGTCCGCACCTTTCGAGAACTGCTCGCGGGCCCAGGGAGTCGGCCTAGCGGTCACATTTCAACCTGGAGCAGCTTCGGAGGAGTTGAGTCTGGGGAGCAGGGGAGAGCGACCTGATTGGAAGGAGGGTGCCGAAGAGCCCTGGACAGCGGGAGTGCCCGACCCTGCCCAAGAAGGGGCCTGCCCGCGGCCGCGAGGGCTCCGGGCCACCAGCCTCAGCTGCCACCCAGTGCCTGGCCAAGACGCAGGGCCCGGCCTCCGAGGGCCGCGGGCACCGGGGACCTGCGTAGGCCTCTCCGCTGCGCTCCTCTGCGGGGCGCCCTCTCCCTGGCGCGCCTCTGAACCTGGCATCGAAGCCGCCCGATAGATACTTCGAACAATCCGGGAGAGAAAGAAAAAGAACTCAGTTTGCCCGCGTAAACGCTGCTAGTAACTCTCAGAAGTTTCCTGGTTTCTCGTAAAGGTGGCCGGGGCCGTTTACAGTAAGAACGGAATAATGTTTGCGACTGTACGACATAATTATCTCCAGACTTGCCTCTACCCCGCCCCCAGCTAGGGTTTTCACCAGCGAAAGCGGCTAATGCATTTGCACACATTAAACATCTTGAACGCATAATTACAGGCTGCAGACAGGCTGGACAATAAAATATCTCGGCTCGATATTTTTGGAAGCCTTTTGTGATGGTGCCTGGAATAAATAACAACCGCTTTCTATGTCCTCAGCCATCTAACTGCAGCCACCGTTATTTCAGAACACCCCCACCCCACCTCGGAGGGGCAGAAGTGGGGGACTTCAGCGGAAGGGTGCGGTCGCCTGAAGAGGTCTCCTGAGCCTCGGGTGCGTGTGGGCTTGGAGGACTGGAATAAGAAGAAAATATGTTCCAAGCCCTGAGGGCCCTCTTCCTCATTAGAGGCACACAAGTGGGGCCCTCTAGGCCCCACACCCTCTGGGCGCGTGCCCTCCCTGACTCCCTACGCCAAGACTAAAAAATTTGAAGACTCAGACCACATGTTCCTACCTCACAATCTCTCTAAAAAGAGCCTCTCTATACTGAACCGGCTCCTGTCACCTGAGAAATCTGCTGGAAAAGAAAGCTGGATATTGAAGCAGCAAGACCCAGAGGAAGAAGCTGCTGGTTAGTCTCTGGCTGGTTATTTTCTTCCACAGATGCCTGGGACCCTAGCTTCCCTTGAGTCTTAGTTGCTTTGTCTGTAAAATGGAGATGATTGTAATAACCTTGGGACCAACCTCACAGGTTGTTAGGAGGAAGCACTTAAAAATTTTTTTATTGCCATATAACTTACGTATAGCAAAGCATACAAATCTTAAGCCCCCAGTTCACTGAATTTTTATATATGTATACATTTGTGTAACTACTACAAAGATCAAGATAAAGAGTATTAGCAGCCCCCAGAAGGCCATGAAGAAGCACTATGAGAACTAATTTTAGACAGTGATAGTGTTATCTCTAAGTCAAGAGATCAACAGGTCAGTCTAGTATGTGGCCCTTGAAGACACTTGATAGTGTCTTCAAGACAAGAATTGACAAACCAAATATACATGTCAAGGGGCTGTGGGAATCTCTGGTCTGGAGGAGCATTTGTGGGCCTTTTCTGCAAACCCCTAGGCACTCAGGGATTGGGGGAAAATTGAAGATCAGGCTTTAATTCGTTTTGAGACAACGCATTCTCTTTTGTGAATGGCTGGGGCTGGCATGTTCATTTACAAGTTAGGGGTAAGCCCAGAGAGAGAGGCCTGAGAACCTCTCCCAGGGGATGGAAATCTGAGTTGATGTCCGTAAGACTAAGATTCAAGCCTTGGGGTAACTTATTTCAGTGTTCTCCCCTGAATCCAAGGCTGGTATGATGTGTGGAGGAAATTCCCCAAAGGAATATGTGGCCATGAGATACATAGGGTAACCAGTTTTCTGAAAAGTATAACCTCAATAGCTAATACATACAATTGGTGCACTTCACAAACACTACAAAAAGATTTTATAGAAAAAAAATTCTCTACTCAGATCCTCTGAACACCAGTTCTTCCCAGGGGAAGCACTGTTACTGATGACTTGTCTGTCCTTCTAGCCCTTTTGTACATTCCTTCTTTTTTAAAAGCACAGTGGTAAGCTCTCACTACATATGCTGCCCTGTTCTTGGAGCTTTTCCTAAATACTGCCCATGACAATTCTCCATGACAGGTATACTGGCTCAGAAAGATATGCTCATCCCAGATAAAATTGAAGCCAACCTTGTCTAGCCTGACACACAGAAGGGCTGCTTTAGCCTGGGTTCTAGATCCTGGCCCACAGTTAATGGGTTTGGTGACCTTAAAAACAGTCAGCTAACTTGGCCGCAACATCATTACCAGCACCCCCTTTCTCCCTAGGGGAGCAGAGCCATGGGGAGGAGGCAATAAGGCACTGACCATGACTAGACCTTCAACCAGTTTCTGGAGTCAGGGGAAATTGAAAGTGCTTCTTGGAATTTTTAACTATTCTGTCTAGCAGCTATAAAAACTGTGCTCAGGTCATTAGCCCACCCTGAGTGTCTACCTCCGATCCCATTTCCTTAGTCCTCTTTGGAGCTCGATGGGGTGGCCCTGGGCCTGGCCCCCACCCAGGCCTGACAGAGGCAGGAGGGTATGGCGGGGGCCTAGGGCTTTGCCCCAGACCTTGGACCCCGCAGCGTCTGCCAGGAGACGTCGGAGGAAACGCTTTTACCACCTGGGCGACCTTGACTGCAGCCGATTAAAGTTTAATCCGAGGTGTGTGCTCAGACTTGCCATGTTATTTAAACACATCAAAGGTCATAAAAAGATTCCAATGGCGTGAGCCGCTCCGACGCGGGCCCGCAGGGAGCCAGCATTTGATTCTGGTGGATTTCCAGAGCCAGGATTTAGAGCGCAGGGCGGGAAGGGGAGTATAGGAAAAAAAGGGAAAAGCCAGCTTTCACAGAGGAATGCTAGACTTCAAAAAGCGGCAGGGGAAACCGAGTCTCGGCCCGAGGAGCAGAGACAGCGCCCTTGAGTTCCGATTAACTGGGAAGACATCTAGTGGGAAGAGGTCGCAACTGCAGCGGTGTCCTGCGAGCATCCTCCGCCGCCGCCCACAGCGACTGCAACCTCCTGGATTGGATGGGGGTGGGAGGCCTCAAAGAGAAGCCTCTCTCTCCCTGGCCTCCCCGTCGACAGTGGAGTGCTTACTTTATTGCCTGCGTGATTGCAGGGCTGGGTCTGGGTTCCCACCCAGGGCAGAGACGCTATTTCCACCTTGACAAGAAAGATCTAGCTGTCCACCGAAAGCACAGGGCCCAGGATGCCTGGATTCCCATCTAACTCTTCCTGGGGCTCCTGATCCTAATGCGGGCAAATCCCTGGAGCGCCCATATGTAGGTTCTCCTGGAGGGTGCAGAGTGGCTCTGGGGACCAACAGATTGCTGCAGAAGTTAAGTGAGTCCAGAGGCTGGCATGCAAAACCGCTGGAGCTACAGACTGCTGCCCACGAGGCCTTTGGCAAAGCACAGGAGCCTAGCTTCTTAGGATTCGAAGGTGACATTTTCCCCATCTCTGCCGTGGGGCCATCTGGCCAGATCTGATCCTGGCTGCCTTCTTGCATCCAGATTCTAATTTCTGTGAAGGATTGGCCTCTCTCACAACCCCATGGAAATGAGCCCCACATATAGAGAGCTGGCTCTTATCTGAGCTCCTCTGGCCCCACCAGCACCTCCTAACCTTATGGCCAAAAGATAGAGAATTCTGTGCAGGCCTCTCCATGTGCCTCTGAGATGCTCACTGCAGGTTCTCTATTGGGTGCCTTCGCCTGCTTCAAATGGGGTCCGCCTTGTAGGGGTGTGCCTCCTTGCTGACCACTTTGGCTGAGTCTGAGTCTGAGTTCTCTCCTTCAGTCTTTTTTTTTTTTTTTTTTTTTTTTGAGACAGGGTCTCACTCTTTCGCCCAGGCTGGAACATAGTGGTACTATCATGGCTCACTGCAGCCTCAACTTGCTGGGGATCAAGCAATCCTCCCACCTCAGCCTCCCCAGTAGCTGGGACCACAGGCACATGCTACCACACCTGGCTAATTTTTGTGTTTTTTAAAGAGACTGGGTTTCTCCATGTTGCCCAGGCTCTCTCAGTCTATTAGTTGTGGCATTAGATCATCCTAGAATTGTCAGGAAGAGTGGCACCAGTATACTCCTTTTGGGAATGATATAGAAGGCCAAGGAACCATGCTCCACATTTCAATGTATGAATCCCAGGACATTGTGGAGCCCCCACAGGCAGCTCTACCGATAGAGTTTCCAGGGCTTCTGTAGGAGGCCCCCCACCCTGTCATGCTCAAGTCTCTGGGACCTAGCATCGGCCAGGCCTCTGGGAAGCGGCCTCTTCCTTTTCCATTTTACCCATCAAGTTGCCTACCCATACTCCTCCAGGGTTCGCACTCTCCCTGATTCTCAAATGAAGGCTTAAGGGACCCTGTTCTTTGGCTTTGTTACACAACCCCCTACAACCCCCACCCCCCTTGAAAAAATGGAAGAACTGGAAATAGTGGAAGAGGCCATTCTAGCAAATGCCTTGAAGCCCTTCACTGAGACATTAGCCGTCTCTTATCACTCACAGAAGTGTTTCCCCAAAGGGGTACAAGGGCTATGACTCCTTCTGTGCTCCCACCAATCACCTAATGGCTGGATAAACCTCAGGTAGGAAGACTCCGTTGTTTTATTTAATCAGCTACAGACTATTAAAGTAGCAGTGGGTAAGGGCTAGGGGAAGAAAGGACTGCAGGTGGGCTAACCAGATTTAGCTTCAGAAAAACTGAGACCCAGATCATGTCACAAGTGAACCTGGGATCCAAGGGCCTGGATCAGTCCAGGTCACATGCTGAGTTCCAATGGGCTGCTGTGTGAGCTTGGAGCAGAGCTGATCCCTTAATCCTCTCAACCTGAGACAGACAAACATACACACACACACACACACACACACACACACACACACACACACACGATCCAGAAAGTCCCCTCCCAGCTCACCTGGTTAGGCCCACACTGGACCCCTGTCTGGATTCCACACCCCCAGCCAAGCAACCCTGCTCTGCTCCCAGCAGAAATCACAGGGACTTCTATTCCTCAGGGTGACAAACGAGTCTGCTTGCTCTTGGTGACATCAAATTACTTTGCACCAGCCTAGGGTCCCATGACCTGACATAACCTCACATTAGATCCTAGAAATGTAAAGAAATATGGCCTTTTAAAAGTGGCTGAGAGCAGGTAATTGCTAGCAGGCTTGAAGGGTTGTCCCAAGCTCAGCTCGCGACCTCTGCCTCCGAAGCTGATACCAGCAGGAATTCATGCGTTTGGACTCTCTATGGGCAGAAGGTCGAGCCTGCATTTAACTCTGGACAATAATCAGGTTCTTAAAGCCCAGATTGTTTTTGTGCAGTTACAGAAATCACAGGGAGGCTTTGGACCTAAATGGCAAGGAACACTCGACAGTGGCACCGCCCCCACTGCCCCCCAGCCAGGCTTCCACAAAGAACAGGCTTCAGCGGAGAATGGGCTTCTGCTAAGCTTTAAAAACAGGCCTTCTTTGAGCTGCTGTAGCTTAAATTTTTGTGGAGAATTACAGTTTCATTGCTTCTTATTCTTCTCCCTCCCATCTCTCCCTTCCTCTTTGTCTCCTGGCTTGTCTGTGGCTTCTCTCTTCCCCTCTCCCTCTTCCTCCGAATTGTTTGACTTCTGCAGTCCCCACCCTTACCCTGACCCGAGCCCTCACCCCTGCGGTGAACTCCATCTTAGGATCTGGAGACATGGGACCCTTAAACCCACCACTGTGCCCAAGGCTTGGTAGGAGTCAATCTTGCTGATACCCCACAGACAGTGGGCAGAGAGCTCATGGCTTCTGCAACATATAGTTGGAGTCGTTCGAGATTATTGTAAAATATGTACACACACTTTCTTCTCTTTTTTAATTTACATACCCCTTATGAGTTTCATCAAATAGCTCTTTTCTAATACCATGAGAATTTATATGCTTAGTGTAAAAGCATCCCAGATATTTAATCACTACTCAAAAAAATTAATTAAGAAACCATAAACAACCCAAATACAAAATACTGCCATAGAAAAGATGATCAGTATCCACTCAGACAAGTGGGGTTAGAATTTATTAAGCAGCCGGGTAGTGTAAAAGTTGTCAAATTCAACCGTGTGCTATTTTCTGTTTTTACCTTTTTGCTTTCTGAAGTTGCCAAGCCTTTCAGTTAAGTCACTTTCAGAGTTCGACAGGGAGAATCATGCTCGTTGTAAATGAGACTACCAGATTAAAACAAAAGAAACCAGAACATCTTTATTCATTCTTTTTTAAAAATAATCCCTTATTGCTAGGGGGATATTTTCAACGCATGGCATTGAATTTCTTCCTGAAAACTGCGGTTGCTCTGATAAGCCATCAATTCAGTGCAAACTTTCCTAGTTTAATCATTAGAAATTTCTTTTGTGTTTCTACCAGGGGAGAAGTTGTGCTGAAATGAAATATAGTCATTTACCCACTAATAAGTGAATATGTGTTAATTTAGGACACACTAAGGACTGAGGTATGTTTTTTGTGTTCCTCCATAATTCTGATGCAGCAATAGAAATTTTCTATTAAAGGACGATTCTCTCATATAAAAAAGTAACATAAATCTTCCTCTTTCATATGTAATTTTTAGAAAGATGAGACAAGATTTTTAGGCAAGATGGGTCCACCCCTCAAACCCCTTTTTTGTCCAGCTTACTCCTGGGTGAACCCTCAAGCTTTTTCTAGAGTTTCATTGCAATAACCCAATTTCAAGCCCTTTTACTCAATCTTGAAATATAACAGATCTTTGAAATCCTATGGTGGGGGTGAAATGATGTGATGCTATCTGGGATTTACTTTAAAATACTAAAGATAGAGAGAGAGGAAGTGGATAATAAAACACTGAAGATGAAATTATAATAGGGGTCAAAACTTGGAGATGGGTACCTAGGGGTTTGTTATGCTTGTGTGTGTGTTTGACAAATTCCATAATAAAAGGATTTTTTTTTTTAAATTGTATCGGGCAAAGGTGGAAAAACTATCCCTGCCAAAGGGCTACCAAAAAACAAAAAAGTGGTCTGTTGGTTAGCACCTGTAGTTGCCCATTCCTAATTCTTGATTTCCAGAAACAGAAAACGACCTTGCTCCCTTTTCATTTCTCTGGAGTCAGCGGCCAACCTTGATGCTTTCTTTCCGGCAAACTCCCTCTCCCAACCCATAAACTGAATATCTAAACCCAAGGTTGGAGTATGATTAATGGAACTTCCGTACTCAGCTCCCCTCACCAGAGTGTAAATACCCATACAAACTAATATCAAAAGTTCTTACTGAGCGCTTCGTTTCCCTGAGAGCTGGGCCGAACGGGGCTGGAGCCGCGGGACAAAGGAACCGCGGCTGTTCCTTGAAAAGTGCTGGGTGCTCTAGACCCGCTCAGTGAGAGTCCCTGGAGCCAGACGGAGGTTCTGGGGAGGACATGCGAACCTGGCAACGCCAGTCCAGGACTCACCTTCCACGGAGGGCAGGTGTATTTACCAAGCCACAGGAGAGGGAATGGTGAGGGGTCGGAAAAGTAAGAGTGAGTAAGGAGATGCGCCAGCGAAGTATGTCACCAGCCTGGTCCGACAGGGTGAATTTTTTTTTCGTAGGGCTGGGTATGATGCTTGTATTTCACCCACATGACATTGGATGCGCACATTCACTCTGTGTGTGTATGCACGTTTGATGCGTGAATATGCGTGCATATCAAGGCACACACATCGTTATGATTACAGCATATAAAGTGCCCATAAAACTCTGATCACACCTCAGTGTGTACTTGAAGGGGTCCTGAGTTCCCCTTCCTCGTCGCTGCGCTGGTGAATTTCCTTCCCTCCGTCGCGTTGTGCATTAAGAATTCGCAGCTGGGAACAGGGCCGTGGGAGTTCTTAGGAGTCTAGGGCGAGATGGACCCCCGCGGGCCCAGGCCGCCTGGCTGCCTGCGCCGCTTTCTCAGCGAGAAAGCCGAGCCCGGCGGGGCCAGGCTTACGTGCAAACCCCCTCCTTCCTTCAAACGCTCGAAGTCTTCAGTGTATTTGTTGACTTAAAGAATGCACTGCCCAGTCCTGGTTTCCTGTTTTGTTGCGGGCGTAAGCATCAAGCTAGGGTGGGGTGGGCGCTCGCGGGTAAAATTCCTTTGGGCCAGTGGCAGCGTCGGGTACAGAGACCCCTCGTCCTTTTCCCGTCGCAGCCGCACGGAATTCTCCGGGCCGTCCCGCGCTCGCCCAGCGCCCCGGCTGAGTGACCCGCAGGTCACTTCCTGGGTGGCACGGGCCCCTGCAGTCCAGCAAGCCGGTGTCCCCCGCGGGCTGGCCGCGCACTGCGAGAAGGCGTTTCCTCCTTCCAGCCGAGCCCTTCACCAAGCTCCCTCTGCTTCTAACGCATGCTCCGGTCCTTTCCGCGAAGGCTGTTTCCAGCTCCAGTGAAGAGCGATCAGTGGCACTGTCGGGGAAAAGAGCTCTTCCACCACCACGGCCGCTGCCGCGGCTGCCGCCGGCTTCGGAGTCACTTAGGCCTCCCAGAGCCGAGTTTTGGAGGACGGAGTTTGCGCCAGCTCTGAGGAGTCCGGGCGCGGCTGGCCAAGGCTCTGCAGTGGGAGATGCTCCTCATGGGAGTCTGGAACCTGGTTGTTCTGAAATGGTGTGTGTGGGGTGGAGGTCTCCTTGCTCAGGGACTCTCTGGGGGAAACAAGGCAGGGCTGTACTCAAATTGGAGTTTTCCTTGGGCTCCTGCCGTCTTTTCTGAGTCCCTGTGCACTAGTGGCTTTGTGGTACCTGAAAAAACAAAACAAAACAAAAAACTCTACAGGCAGCAGGAGAGCTGCTCCTCCAAAAACCTGCTGTCCTTGAGATCCACCCCATGAAGGGATCTTAAAGGCAAAGTGGGGGTCCCTGTAGATCTTCCTGGACCTTGCACTTCCACTTTCACCATGTTAACATTTGGTCACCACAGTGACAATAGCCCAAAACTATCCCACAGCCTCAAGCCTTTTACTGCCTTATTATTGTTTCAAATGCACAAAAATCTGGAACAAAAGGTTGAGTGAGTGACTCGATGCACCATTTCCCTGTCCGCTGGCCAACTTCAGCCCAGATCTCAGGACCTACCAACCCTTTCCCCTTAAGAAAGAGGGTACAGCTTCTACCTGATGGGGACACTCAAAATTCCCTCCATAAGCAGAGCAGTCCCCCACTTGCTCCTTTCCCAAATGATCTGCTCAAGTTTGGCTTCAGAGGTGCTACACTGTTTGACGATTTCGTCTTTTCTCTTTCTCTCTCCTCAGCCCCTCAACCAGTTTTTCCTCTGGATCTTTCTTCCTTTGCCATTATCTCTGTGCCCCAGCCCACCTAGGGTGGGAGAGAGAGGGTTAAGATGTTCTGCAAAAGTGGCTTGTAAAGCTGCTTGGATACATTAAAAGCACATGAATATCCTGAAATACAAAGTGTCTTTAGAATCAACCAAGGAATGTTTATCCTAGTGCTGGATGGATGCAAAGAAATAGTGCCAGGGAGCAGTGCTGACAGCCTCCTCAGAGTTAAAGTGAGAGCAGGTAAATTTCATTTGCTAATGAAAATCAAGCTCGATTAAAACCTGGTTTCCCTTTTTCCTTTTCTTCTCCAATGCTGGGAGCCCAGAGCCGCGTGGACCAGGCTGGCATCCAGTTCCCCACCCAGAAAAACCTAGCTGCGGTTTTTTTCTTCAGTGAGAGGTTTTTGGGCAACCAGTCCCTGCAGGGCACCCTGGCCTACCCCAGGAAGTAAGAAGCCTTGTCAGCCAAGGCATTTTGGAACACTGAGAAAGGCTCTGGTGATTCCTGAAATAAAGGCCGTGCTGCAGAAACTACCCTCCGGTCCTGCCTGCACTGCCCTCTCAGGGCTCCTCCGGGGAAATCAGTGCACCAGACAGTACCTGGGAAGTGACTGCAGCCTCTCCCACCTCTCCCACCTCTACTCATGCAGCCCTCTGCTTGGCTGTCATGCCTAAGGTGCCACCGCTGCCGGCCGATCCTAGTGGGTGCCCTGGCTTCCCCAGTCTAACCCAGGAGGAGCCTGAGAATATAAAATTATCAGGTTGAAGGTGCCTCTGCAATCCTATAGGAATTCCTGAGCCTGGAGAACAAAAAATCAGAGGGACAGACAGCTCAGAAGATCAGGACCCACTACCTTGGCAGGCAAGCAAATCTTGACCTTGCCGTTGGGAAAAGAGGAAAAATGCTAGGAGGGTCTGTGCTTGCTTCCCAGAGCACACCCGTCTCAATCGTCCTCCAAACTTTCTTTTGCCACAGCAAGTCAGTTTGTTGGCTGCCTGGCAGGGAAAGAAATCATATTGGGAAACATTAATAAATATCTTATCTCCCTTAGCAGAAGACAGGGAAGGAAGATTATTCTTGCTTAAAAGTGAGTAGAAATTCTGAAACTCAGACCCAAATTATTCAGAGCTCGTTCTCCTTCTATAAACGACCTCCACTGATTGGTGGCTACAACTCAATACTGACAGGACATGCAGACATTTGAAAACAGTGGGGCATGCCAGGACGCCATGGACATGTCTGGTAGAAAAATAAGATACATGTTGAGATCCAAGACAAGAAGAGAACAAGCAGGGTGCCTTCCTCTAAATAAGCATGTCTTGAGAGGGGTTTTTTTTTTTTTTTTTTTTTTTTAATGATAGGGACACATCGGGGAACTAAAAAAAGTCCAGATAAATTTGATCAATAAGGTGCACCATAAATCTCAAGAATTCAGTCCCCAAGCTTTTTCTTGGCGAGAGCGCCACATTTAAGGAGCAAAGCTTAATTTGAGATGCAATCCAAAGCCTTCCCCCAGCACCATCCCTCTCAGACAAACCTGCTTGTGGCTCCTCGGCCGACAGATGAAATCTTGTCTCACCATTTTTGGTGAGGAGGGACCCAGTCGTCTGTGGAGCTGAGACCCTTTCTCTGCGCGCAGGGTTCGGGGCTACGGTGAAGTGGGAGGGGGAGGGAAGAATGTGGAGCTGGCCTTGGCCGCCGTGTGCACCGGCAGCTGCGCCATGGCCAGAGGTGAGCTGGCACAGGCGCCGGCTAGTGGGGGCTCCCCAAGCTGTGTTTTCGTTTTTCCGGGTCTGGCCGGAAAACCGAAGAGGCTCAAAGCCCTGGCTGAGCAGGGCGGAGGCAGAGAAGAGTCGGTAAACACCGCCCCAAAAACCCCACGAAGGCACCAAAAAATTCTGGGCAGCCGAACAGAGTCAGAGGCGAGAATTTTAAAAAGAGAGAGAAAATTAAGAGTGAGGGGATGTGGGCAATGGGCCTTTTGCTGCTGCCTGTGTCTCTACGCTCGCATGGCAGTTCTCATGCTGGCTGGACTGCAACTTTCAACTTGACCTTGGCCTCCAGCCGTGTCTGACCAGTATGTAAAACCGCCTTCAAGTCCCCAGGAACAGGGGCCTAGAACCCTACTCTGTCTCTTTGTCACTGTGAGTTTTACAATGCCACTTGGAGGGAGGAAGGGGGGTGGTGAAACGGCCAGAAAGTAACAGAAAAATCAAGTCCCTACAGAGGCTAGTTCCTGAGTCTGCAAATGGCCAGTCAGGGAGAAGGTAAACTGGGGGCAAATCAATATTTACCCAGAACTGCTAAAAAGTCAAGAAGGAAAGGGCACACTTGGTGGGGGGGTGGCTGGTGTGGGGGTCATAGAAGGTTTTATTGGGCGACACTTACATTGGTCAGGACAAATCCAGGATCAGGACAGATAAAAGCCCAAGCCCAGCCACATTGGTCTGGATCCTGCAGGAAGCCCAGGGGCCTTAGACAGCAGATGGTGGGGTGTGTGTGAGGGGTGGTATGCGTGCTGCTCTGAGTTTAGGGCTGAGTGTGCAAGCTAGGAGCAGAGGACAGGTCCAAGCCTGGCTTCTCACCAGTCCGCCTGGGGTGGAAAAGAATCCAGCACTCTCCCCAGCACTATTCCGGTAATGTGCCCACTTTCACTTTGAACGCTTGTTCCTCTTCTAGGCATCTGACCAGCTCACAGTAGTGAATCAGGAAGTGGAAGTATGTGGCTCTAAAGCAGCAGGACCCCCAGAACCCCTCGACAAAACATGGCAGCTACAAGACGGGTCGCTGCTTGGTTCTTCAGCACCAACACCCTACCATGCTCCCAAGAAAAGGTTGCATTTCCCAGGCACAGAGGAAAGGCTTCTTGGACTGGTTCTTGGGCAAAGAAGGACTAGGCACCCTCTGCAGGCTGGAGATCCTACTTGAGGGGAAGGCAGGAAGTGGCCCCAAAGAGCCCCTTTTTCTTGTCCCAAAATAGAGTGAAATAGCGGGTTCCCAGATTCCTGGAGAGTCAGGTCCGGTCCACAAAGAAGCGTGGCTTTAGGGCCCAGAAGGGGGGTTTAAGTCCCAGCCAGAAGCACAGCTGGGGCTTGTTCCTCTTAAGCCCCTTCCAGAACTAAGCCAGCCATACTGGCGAGGTGGGAGCATGGATGAATGGTGCACAGGGATCGCTCGCTCTATCTCAAAGTCTCTGGAGGAGGAAGCGTTGTTACCAGGTCAGAGCAAGGATCAGGCTGTATACCTAAGTGTGCGAATGTGAGTGTGTCAGTGTACACTGTGTGTGTGTGTGATGAGTCGTTCTGAGTCTATGGGTCTAAATGCAAACATATGAAATTGCTCACTAACAGTGTGGACAGGGAAGGGATAGGGGCTCCTAAATGCAGTCCAAGCCTCCAGTGGAATGTCCTGGGACCCAGGCATATCCGCAGGAACCGATAAGCAGCAAACACCCTGCCACTGTTTCCCTGGAAAGAGCAAAATCGCAACTCCATCGAAGCCGAAGGCGCCGATGTCCGTCCTGTGGTCTCACTGCAGAAATACGCGCCGGTTCCTGGAAAGAAAACAGTCCCAGAGGCTCCAAGAAACACCCATTCTGAGCTAGGCTGGTCCCGTCCTCCCCACTCTCCCATCCCTGACCGCCGGCAGAATTACCTGACCTGTCCCCACTGCTCCAGATCGCAACCCAATCGCGCGCCCACCTCCCCTCCCCGCCTGGTTGCGCGGGTCTGGGCCCCACTGGGATAAAGGAAGGGAAGGGGGGCGGAGATGGGGCCGCCTTCCTTCCCTGCCCCACCCGCACGTTCCTCCGCCTCTCCCCCGGGTGAATGGTGCGCGGCCGCGCGGCTGGCGCTGGGGACGGCGCGGGCCGCGGCGGGGACGACGGGTGCACCGTGCAGAGCTGGAGTCGGAGCCGCCCGCTTTGCATACGCCGTGGGCGGAGCGGGGGGGCCGGGCCAATGGGCGGCCGCCTGGCGCGACCCCGCGGGGCGCGATCCGCCCCCCTCGCTCGGGCCCCGGCCCCGCGCCGCGCGCTCTTCACTTCTTGGGGGCTTTTTAAAACAGCGCCACTGGGGTCTTCTCCATGCGGCTCGGGCTATGACAGCCTCCGTGCTCCTCCACCCCCGCTGGATCGAGCCCACCGTCATGTTTCTCTACGACAACGGCGGCGGCCTGGTGGCCGACGAGCTCAACAAGAACATGGAAGGGGCGGCGGCGGCTGCAGCAGCGGCTGCAGCGGCGGCGGCTGCCGGGGCCGGGGGCGGGGGCTTCCCCCACCCGGCGGCTGCGGCGGCAGGGGGCAACTTCTCGGTGGCGGCGGCGGCCGCGGCTGCGGCGGCGGCCGCGGCCAACCAGTGCCGCAACCTGATGGCGCACCCGGCGCCCTTGGCGCCAGGAGCCGCGTCCGCCTACAGCAGCGCCCCCGGGGAGGCGCCCCCGTCGGCTGCCGCCGCTGCTGCCGCGGCTGCCGCTGCAGCCGCCGCCGCCGCCGCCGCGTCGTCCTCGGGAGGTCCCGGCCCGGCGGGCCCGGCGGGCGCAGAGGCCGCCAAGCAATGCAGCCCCTGCTCGGCAGCGGCGCAGAGCTCGTCGGGGCCCGCGGCGCTGCCCTATGGCTACTTCGGCAGCGGCTACTACCCGTGCGCCCGCATGGGCCCGCACCCCAACGCCATCAAGTCGTGCGCGCAGCCCGCCTCGGCCGCCGCCGCCGCCGCCTTCGCGGACAAGTACATGGATACCGCCGGCCCAGCTGCCGAGGAGTTCAGCTCCCGCGCTAAGGAGTTCGCCTTCTACCACCAGGGCTACGCAGCCGGGCCTTACCACCACCATCAGCCCATGCCTGGCTACCTGGATATGCCAGTGGTGCCGGGCCTCGGGGGCCCCGGCGAGTCGCGCCACGAACCCTTGGGTCTTCCCATGGAAAGCTACCAGCCCTGGGCGCTGCCCAACGGCTGGAACGGCCAAATGTACTGCCCCAAAGAGCAGGCGCAGCCTCCCCACCTCTGGAAGTCCACTCTGCCCGGTAAATGACGACCTATTCCCAGCCCTGGTCTTCCGGCTCTGCTCCAGCTTCTTCTCCGCTCGCACCCGGGCGATCCCGGGTGCGTTTCTGTTCTCTTCCTGGTCTGCCCTAGCGGCTCTGCACCCCTGGGAGCCCGAGCATGGCTGGCTGGGTCTGCCTGCACTGCCTCGAGTTGAGCTGGTCCCTGGCTCTCCCTGGGTGAGGGGTGGCTTGTGGAGACCTCGGCTAGCTTCCCTCTCCCTCTGCGCCCCGCCCTCCCCAGCCCCTGACACCAATTTAAGGATGAGAAATTGACCAGAAAACAGCTCCCCAAATTGCCCCTCCCTATTCATTCTCTCAAAAATGGCTTCAGTGTAGAAGCTTCGAGTATTGGGACGGGCACCCAGAAAGGAGGCAGGCACAGAAGTGTTGTACCTTGAGCCTGGCGCTAAGGTGTGGGCCGTTGGACCAGGCTATCACTCGAGGCTGCCTACGCGCTGCTCCTGCAGGATGGCCGGGTTGGGGAAGTCACTGGAGCCCTGGGTGATTTCATTTCAGTTCAGAACTAACTACCTTCCCCACTGACCCTCTAGGCTTTAGCAGAAGACAGGATTGTACAGCGGGTGGCAAAGAGCAGCCGGGCGCTGCAAGGCGGGTGGCTCAGATCGAGCTGTCGCCTATGCCCTGGCTGGGGTCCGATCCCTGTGTAACTTGCCTTCTCCCTTGTCTTCTAGACGTGGTCTCCCATCCCTCGGATGCCAGCTCCTATAGGAGGGGGAGAAAGAAGCGCGTGCCTTATACCAAGGTGCAATTAAAAGAACTTGAACGGGAATACGCCACGAATAAATTCATTACTAAGGACAAACGGAGGCGGATATCAGCCACGACGAATCTCTCTGAGCGGCAGGTCACAATCTGGTTCCAGAACAGGAGGGTTAAAGAGAAAAAAGTCATCAACAAACTGAAAACCACTAGTTAATGGATTAAAAATAGAGCAAGAAGGCAACTTGAAGAAACGCTTCAGAACTCGTTGCTTTGCCCAGATAATGATAATAATGCTTAATAATAATTGAAGAATGGGAAAGAGAAAGAGACAGAGACTGGCATTTTCCTCTCCCGAAGGAGATCTCTTTCTCTTTAATGGAATCTACAACTGTTTTAAAACTTTAAGAAAGGTAAAGACTGCCAGTTCTTCCGCCAACCCCATCAGCCCAGCCCGTTAAATGTCAAACGTCAACCCCCAAAATACGCAATTTCAGATAAGTTACGCAGTTACTGAAATCTTGTAAGTATTTAAGTGATCGTTACATTTTAGGACACTGCGTTAGATGGTAATAATCTGGAAGTTGGTTACAAACGCAAGAGGCCATTGTAAACATCTGCTTGTCCTTCTTAGGTCGCCATTCCCTTTGCATGTTAAGCGTCTGCTCAGGTAAATCTTAGTGAAATTCCTACCGTTGTTGTACGTTCTGCAAAACATTTTATGTATAGATTTAGAGGGGAAACGAGAAGGTACTGAAATAATGATCTTGGAATATTTGCTGTGAAGGGAGAAAGGGAGAGAAAACTCTTCTGAGGATCATTTGTCTTGGTAGTATAGTAAAACCAACCAGCTGAACCTTTCAGGCTACAAGAGAACCCGGGTCGGTAATGTCTTTTTAAGAATAATTTTTAATTGCTTATAACAAGCATATTTTGTGGCATTTGAACTATATTTACTGCTCCAATATCCGTTATTTTCCAAAGGATTTTGTATCTTTTTGAAAATGTTTACATCATCAGATGATCCACAGAATTCACTTTATGTGAGATCTCCCGAGAGTTTCCATCCCAACATGATGGACTTTGGTTTGAACACAATTCGTTTTTTCATTTGAATTGGCATTTCCCAATATTTGCTAAACATTTGCTGGAGAAATCATTTTTCTTTTTTCTTTTTTAGAAAACTCAGAATGAAAATTCATTCCCCTGAAATATTTAGGTGTCTATATTCTATATTTTGATCTATTAAGGGATTAGTATTTTTCCATGTTTATTGTGTTATCAGAGTGCATTAGAAAGATTAGTGATTCATCTTCACAGCACATTTTTAATCAAGCAGTTATTTCAACCAGCACATTCGTTTTGTTCATATTCACTATAGAATGATATCTTGTAAATAAAGACATTCAGCACACTGTGAAAATGTATTTGTGCACCTGCTTTTTAAATATTTCTACTAAAAATGAAAAAAAAAAACCCTTAGACCTGTAGATAGTGATATCGTAATATTAATTGTTAATAAAATAGTCACTGCCATTAAAATCTGCAGAAAATACTCTTTACTTTCCTATGCTAAATGTGCACTGCACAGAAAGAAAAGGAGCAGGTTTATCTTATATAAACCAAGGACCATTCTTTATTATTATTCAGTACTTCTTTTGCTACCAAATTTTTAAGAAAAGGGAGAAATCCCTCATAACTAAAATCCTAAAAAATGATAAGTGCTTCAAGGAGATTAAAGTGTCAGGTATTACAAAAGGGAGAGAAAAGAAAGGAGGAAGAGATAGTATGAATTCCCAGGCTCCCTGTGGAAAATGAAAACCAGTTGTTTTGTAGCAGCAATGCCTAGGCTGTCGTATTTTAAAATCTGCTGTTGGGTCTGCATGTGTCTGAGAGGGCAGGTTTTGATATTTGTTGAAATGACAGGACTACGAAAGGCCTTAAACCTTGACCTTGACGAAAAAAAAGACAATTTGTGACCTTGACTTTTGACAGCTCATGAATTGGCCTTAGCTGGATTAGTAGATCAAGGGCGCCACCTCGCGTTGACAAGCCTCCTTGTAATTCTTCAACCAAGGGAATCAAGAGCTCTTACCTCCTTGACTTTAGAGATTCAGTACTCAATTATTTGGCTCCAGCTGGAGCAAATTTGAATATATGTAAATTATACATGTCCCTGTATATATGTAAATATATATAATATGTGTACACATGTATACATTTGCATATTAGTGCTTGTGTGTGCTTGTATATATATTTGTAGAATCTGTACAGATATCATATCATTAATTGCTAATGACGCAAGATATTGTAATTTAAGGTGATTTCTAGAATTGAGGTACAAAATGTACTTTACAAGATGAAGCCTTGTTCCTTTTCTCTAATGGCCAAATTTGATTTGTCTTCACAGTGGCTTGCTCTGCATCAGATTTCTGCAGATCTGCTTTAAAGCTGTACATTTTTGTTACAGTCTAAGATGTGTTCTTAAATCACCATTCCTTCCTGGTCCTCACCCTCCAGGGTGGTCTCACACTGTAATTAGAGCTATTGAGGAGTCTTTACAGCAAATTAAGATTCAGATGCCTTGCTAAGTCTAGAGTTCTAGAGTTATGTTTCAGAAAGTCTAAGAAACCCACCTCTTGAGAGGTCAGTAAAGAGGACTTAATATTTCATATCTACAAAATGACCACAGGATTGGATACAGAACGAGAGTTATCCTGGATAACTCAGAGCTGAGTACTGCTCCAGGGTGGTGTGCAATCTTATATTGATGCTTGTGAATCTGCCATTTGATTTGTAGGATAAATAAATATGTTTAATATTAACAACTTCCATCAAAACTATAATAATAATATTATATCTACTGTTGACCTCTAACAACAATCAGGTGCTGTATTCAGAGTCATAAAGAATACATATGTATGTTTGTATATTTAATATACACATAGGATAATGTGTTTTTGTCAAATCTATGCTATGCGCATATGTATTAAAATGTTGGTGGAATCAGTAGCCGTGGGATGCAGAATTGTGAGATGCAGGCTAATTTTATCTTTACGTTAGAGGAAAGTAATAGTGAATGGAAGAACCAGATTCATCATTTTATGGAAAATAATATTGATTGGTTACAAAAGTGGCTGCCGGAAACCTCTCCAACCTCTCCTGAGGACTCACAACTTCTTTATAGATGAGAATTACGAAAGAGTCTCTAAAGCTGTCTCAAAAACAGGCTGGTGTTGAAACATACATATCGAAAGGTCTCGAGAAATTCAATTATATTTTGCTGCCCTGAGGATTTTCACTCCACTTGTGGAAACAAATGATAATGTTGCTTCAGACCCACCTCTCCACCTCTTGTTCCAAACAGTACTCCATTTCCAAATGAGCTGCCATCAAGCCAAAGTAACAACTTTCTCCCAAAATGTTTAAAGTGGTGGAAAATCCCCTCAAAGCTGGATCAAACTGTGTGTTTAAGAACAGCTCCAAAAGGGACTCTTCTGTTGACAGGGGATATTTTTCTTTAGATGTAAGAAATATTCTGAGCCTCGAGCCTAGGAAGGAGGCCAACAGCAGCTCTCCAGCCGGGATCCCGCCCCTTTCGAAAGCCATCACCACTACAGGAACCCTGGGTAAAGTAGTAGCCTTCTTTTTTTCTCTCTCTAGTTTTTGAAACTGTAATGACAGAAGACATTTCAGGGTTGTTGTGGGGATTTTTTCCCCCCAGTTCTAAAATGGTCATTGATAGTGTCGATCTTACCTAACTCTCCTCCTATTTAAAATTTCTGTGGATCTACCAGATAACCTAAAGTGGGCATGGATTATTTATTATGGCTCCTTTAATGCCCAAATAGCAATCAGTCTAAAACCTTAAAACAAAAACAAAAACAAAAACAAAAATCAAGGAGAGACCAGCCACCTCCTGAAAAATAGGAATAATAGTATCAGCCACTGACCCATGGATAATGTTGTTGAAAGCCTGATTAAAGTATTTTTTTCTAAAAAGAAAACTCTTCCTGAATTAAGAAAATAAAAATGGGACTTTAAAAAAAAACGCTACTTTTTCTATCTGCTCTCAGTACTATCATATTTATTTACTTATTTTAAGTGGATGATTGTTAAATGTCGCTATGCATTTCACTCCTATTTGTGACTGATGCAGAGCTGAAGCCACCCATTCAAGTTATTCAAGTTGTGGGTTTTTAAAAAAAATTAACAGAAAAGGGAAGAAAAAAATTAAAACAACCTAGTTGAAATCTTTTCTTAAAAATTCACCACTAGGCAGTGAAATTCAGCTGCAGATGCAACATTTGTGTGCGGAGAGTTGACACAGATTTCACTTTGTAATACATGTAAGTGCAGATTGCACTCTGCTGCATGTGTTTGGAGGCCTTGGTGAAGATGCAGTGTCTTGCTTCCTCTGTGAATTCCCGAGTTCAGGAGCAGAGACGGAGGTTGCCCTGGACTGCTAATCCCCAGACCCGGTGGGTTCAGAGGCGCCCTCCTGGATTTGCGGACCTCTCCCAAGGAGACGCTAGGGGCTTGCTGATTTATGCGCATTCCTTTAAACTTGATCGAATGCGTGTCAGCCGACCAAGACCTGGAGAATCAGAGAAATGTGCAGCGAGTTGCTCACATCCCATTTCTCATAAGCAAAGATATAGCGTTATCCAAAAGGCAGAGGGAGATTTATGCCTAGGTTTTAGGACAGGCACGCTAATTAAGTTTTCATCTGCTAGGCCGCCGGTCTATAACAGCCGGCCTCATTCTTTATGAAAATGCCCACTCAATCCTCGTGCATCTATCTATCTCTGATGAATGCCTGAGAAGTGCTTGCTATTTTTAATTTTATTTTAAAGGGAAGGAAAAAGACACTGGCGCAGAAAAACTCCTCCGTGAAAGCAGCCAAGGCCTTGCCACAGTTGATTTCATTTCTGCCCGGCTCTCGTGACGCTGAAGAGCCGGATCCACTGGGCAGAAATAATTACAACGGGTCTCAGAGATTTCCAAACCTCTGCGGGCGGTTATGCGGCGACATAGGTCCTCCCCCAGGTACTGGGGTGTGAACTCGGAGAGCTACCTGATGTCGCGCCCCTCGGGGACAGAGGCGCGGCCCCAAACCCTCCACGCTTCTACAAGAACCCCCTACTCAAAATGGAGGCTCAGGCCGGTGTAAAGCGGGCCTCCCTCTGACGGCACGCGGGCCAGTCGGGGCTGCGGCAGGACGGCTGGCGGAGGTCCCGGCGCGGAACAGCAAGGGCCGTGTCTGTGCGGGTGAGTGGCCCCGCAACTGCAGGCTGACGTCACCGCAGGCCGCGCGGGCCTTCGTGGGGCTCCCCGGGCGCGGCTGGATCAGGACAAGCCTACTTCAAGGAATGTTTGGTGTGGGTGCCCACTTCCCGGCCCCGCCCCGCCCTCCCCAGGAGAATAATCGGGTATTTAATCTCTCCCGGTCTTAATTCTTGGCAGCGTGGAAGGTGGTTTGCAACGGGAAATAAAACTTGACAGGAGCATTTTCTCTAAAAGGGATTTTGAGACGAGCTGAAAAGAAACCGTGTTTTTCTCTACCAAATACTTCCGCTTTCTGAGCCCGGAGCCGAGCGGTGGGAGCTATCCGAGGGAACGGAGAGCGAGCCGGGCACGCGGGGCTACGCTGTGCACCCCAGCGGCCGCGCCGTCCGCCCGGGCGGGAGGCAGCCTCGGGCTGCGCTGCGCCCCGCGCCTCTGCCACGCTCCGCGCCGCTGGGCTGTAGGCCCCGAAGCCGCCCGCAGCCCGAGGCCGGGACCCGGCGCACGGGACCGTGGCACCGGCAGGTCCCGGTTGGCACCCAGAGTGGTACCCAGGAGCTGGCTGAGGGCGGCTGGGGTCAGGAGCTGGCTGAGGGCGGCTGGCGAGAGAAGAGGGCCCTGGAGAGGGCCTTAAGGGGCTTAGCGTTAGCTCTGAGCCTCTGGTCTGGGGGGTTGGCGACAGCAGCTTGCAAGAAGGGTGGTGAGAGCAGGGCTGGGGGCTTTGTTTCCGGCCGCGGGTCTGCGGACACTGCACAAAATGGAGGGGGAAAGGGGGTGAGCGCGCAGCTGGCGTGGGTCGAGCGGACTGCTATTGGGTGGAGGAGGCTGGAGAGAGCAGCGTCCCCCTCCCTGCGGCTCAGCCAGCGCCCTCCTCTCGTGCCGTAAAGGTCAAGTCCTCCGCGCCACGGCCGCCTCTATGGTCAGGGCCGATCGCTGCCGCCGCCTCAAGAAGGCACAGGACGCACAGTTACCTTGCTGCAAGCGGGTTCTGGTAGCCTGGGCTCTGGGCTCGTGCACTGGAGGCAGAGGTTCTTTCTTGATTTCCAACTCTCCCATCCCCAGCCCTGTTGGAAAGGAGTCCCGGCAGCCACGGGTGGCCCAGGCCGTGTCCCCGTCCCAGAAGAGCGGGGTTTGCCCCAGTCCAGCAGACTTCGGAGCCCGCTAAGGCCTAGCGGGGGCGAGAGGGAGCGCCTGCAAGCCCAGGGGAAAGGACGTGGCTGGATCGGAGTTCTGGGTCCTGGTAGGAACATAGGGCCGACTTGGCAGGGAAGAGGATAGGGGAGCCAAGACCCTGCTGGAGAGACTCTCCTGGGGTCCCAGAATCCAGGCCTCTCCCTCAGTGAGTGGCAAGCCTTTGGTGAGACCCTTGATGCTCTTCTCCTGCCTAAAATCCACACAGATGTGAGGCGCACTCTTCCAAGGTAAAAACTCCTGACTCCCAGCCCCCAAGAATCCTTCACTGCGCTCTGCGAGGGAGAGAGCCCCTTACCCCCTGCCTATAGCCTGCCTCCAGCAGATCAGAGCATCAGGCCCTGCGGTAAACGTTAGCTTAAGCGTGATCTGCCGCTGAGCCTATCTCTCCAGGTGAACCAAAGAGGACATGCAAAGGATTTCTTTTCGCGGAAGCCAAAAATCTGGATTGTACCCCTAGGGCTGCGTGGATGGGCTGGGCTGGGCTGTGGGGGCATATATAGCAGAAACAATGATCTGTGAATGGGTCCCATCGCAGAACTGCCTGGAAGGGTGTGTAGGGGAGGAGGGCTGGATGGGGTGATGGCTCTTCTCAAGCCTGGAATGTGAGCCAACATGAGCACTGAGTGGAAATGGAGCTGCCCTAGGAAGCAGTTGGAGCTTTGTGGCGTGGGGGCTTCCTGTGAGCTACGGCTGTAGAGACCGAGACCCAAGGACCAGAGCCAACCTTCGGGTTGGGCCACCCCCTTTTGTCTTCTTTATCTCAGACACACTCTGCTGGGAAACCTGTTTGGGCCAAAGCTGCATGGGGAATGGAAGGCAGACACTGAGAACTAGGGCTTCGCCCTTCAAAGTCTCCCCCACCCCATTTGTTCCCATGCTATAGGAAAAAGAAGTCTAATAATTGGCAACAATAAAAATAAAAATAGTTATTAAAGGAAGTAATCTTCTCTTCTCCCTTCAGTTTGGGATCCACTAAAGTAAATGATAACTAGATTGCTTAGGTACTTGAGACCCTCAGCTGAGCCCTGTGCCCCACTCTGCAGTGGCCAGGGGAAGGGTATGGGCCTTTTCAGATATTTAGGGGCTTTGAAGGATGACTGAAACTGCCAGTCAGACCAAGCAGAATTATGAGGTCCACTTCAGGGCATTACCTGTTTCTGAGCTTTTAGGAAGTGTTGGGGACCTTCGGGGAGGGTGAGGTGTCTCAACAAAGGGACAAATTAACCCCTGCCTCCACCTGGTAGTGATAGAGGTGATCTCTTGATTTTTTAATTGAAGCTTCAGTGCTGCCTCTGGGCAGCGCCTGGAAAATGTGATGGATTGTCTATGATCTGGCAATAAGCCATGCCCTGAGAACAAATACGTGGAGATCTCCTGGGCCTTCCCAGACAACCCATCTCCCCTAGCTCACCACATAAGACAGATGTGCCCACAGGAACCCTTTGATTTGGAAGGAGATATTCCTGTAATGGAGAAGAGCTCTGTTGCCATTTCTACCCGGGGCCTCCGGGCCAGTTCTTGCACCTGTGTGCAGTATGGTCACCAGGGTTGAAATACTCTTCTGTGTAGCTTTCTAGAAACAGTGTGACATTTGTGGACAGAGGAAAGTAAGGGATTAGGCAAGCAGGAGGAGGCAAAATAATGATGGTGCCCTAAGCAATCCACCAAGAGAGAAACTTAACTGTAGCCATCTGGGAGTGAGATTCAGTCTGTCAAGTGGGTCCTGACCCCTCCCAGGCCTATCCCATCTGGGTTGCCCAGCCTAGAAAAGCAGCAGCTGGGTCCGCAGAAGAGAAGGAGGAAGTGTTGGGGAAGAAAGGAGGGTAGAGAAGGGAGGGGAGAGGAAGGGAGATAAGCCAGACTTGGTGGGGCCTTGAGGTGGAGTATTCCTAAGAAGGAGGTGGGAGACTCAGTTCAGGCTCTGGTGGAAGCCCGAAGTTGGGGGAGAGTCAGGGACCTAACAGCCCCTCTTCTCTGCGCCTGAGTATTGGATGCCCTCCAGTGGCACCTCAGCTGTTGCTCAGTCTAGCAGAGGCATCAAAAGAGGTAGGGAAGAGACAGGAGGTCCCAGCAGGTGAGAATGGCTGGAAGGAGGCAGGGCAGGAGACAGGAACTGTAGGGGGGACAGGAGCAGGATCAGGAACTGTAGAGGGACAGGACCCCCTTGAGAAGGACAGTGGTGACTGGGGCAGCTTGGCATTGACATTGAGACTGTGGACAAATGCTGGGCATTTAAAGGGCTGCATGTGCAAGTACTGGGGACTTCGAATTCTCAGATTTCTGGGACAAGGAGCAGCTGCTGCCTCCCAAGCCAGCCCCAGGGAGAGAAGAGGGTGGCCCAGCAGCTTTGCCAGTTGGAGCTGGGAAGCCTGGAGTGTGGAGGTGCTCCCGGCCACCCAGCTGTATCCTCCCTTGGAGTGAGAGGGTGTTAAGCCGCCTGTCAAGTGACGATCCTTGCAGCTCACGTCCCTTGAATGACTGTGCTGGAAACGCCCCCAGCACAACAACCTCGGTAACAAGGCCTCGCATTGCCCGGTGCTCACCGACGGCCTCGAGGCGACCCCGCCTGGGCACTGCCCGCCGGCGCCCTCCCGCTGCCTCCCGGACCATTCAGGCTGCAAGAAGAAGCGGAGGCGGCAGAGGCGCCTGGACCCACTTTATTCCGATATTCCGCCTGCAAAGGCTGTGGAAAGAAGCGTAAGGCTCAGGGATGGTAGTCCCCAGAGAGGAGGGTCCCTGAGGCTCTGCGCAAGCCCCCCCTCCCCAACCTTTCGGGCCAAGTCAGACGAAGCCTCGGAAAGGCTGGGTCTGTTTTGCTGACCAAATCTCCTTGTTAGCCGTTTCCGCCTGACAAGCCTGGCGCAGGCGTTGGCCTTCTCCTCTCCGGGCGGCCACCTCCAATGCCGCGCGGGGAGCAATGGGGCCCGGCCCTGCAGAGGGCTGCCTGGACCTTGAAGTTTGGAAAAACAAGAAGAGACTGAGCCGGCTCCCTCCCTTCTCTGCAGACACACACGCACCGTCAGGCCGCCGCCACTTCCTGCCTTTGTTTTTCTTCCTCCAAACATTTTTTGGCCTCTTGCATTAGCCGCGGTGGGGCTCTGGGTTGACGATAAAAGGAAATACACTCTGAAGACAGTTTTCTGGAGATGGCCCGCGCTGTGGAGCTCCTGAGAAAGAACAGCTCCTGGGAAGCCAGTCGCCAGGGCCAATGTCACAGCCTTACGCGCGCCGGCCTCTTCAAGAAATGGAACTCGGACTTGGCCTTCCGGGGCGGCTTTAGCCTCAGTCGGGTCTTTCCCAGAGCCCGGTGGGCTAAGCTCGGCTGTTGGACCTCCTGCAAAGCGGAAGAGTCAATCATAGGCTCAGAGCAAAGTCAAAACCAAGGACCCGAAGGTCTGCCTCCCCTTTTTCCCCTAGATTTGGTCTGATCCTCAGAGCTGCGCCCACCCCTCGCCCCAGCCGCCTGCCTGGAGAAACCTTCACATTCACACCGCCAGCATATTCCGAACACGAGGGCAGGAGCGGGCAAAGCTGGGATATTGCGCAGCCTTGGGGAGCTGAGTACCCGTCTCCTATTCCTGCTGGGCAACTAAAAGTGTTCGGCCACTCCAGGCGTTTTCCCTTCTGCTGATATCAAAAACCTTTTCCCTCATCCATCTTCACGGCAGCGCCCCCACACACCCCCTTCCGGGCGGCAAGTCCCTCCGGGCACTCGGCTTCGGTGCAGCCTGCCGAATTGCCCTGCCAGCCGCTCCCGGAGCGCCTTTCTCAGCCCCAGCCTTTTCTCCGGAATTCGCCTTTGTCTCCTGCGGACACCCGTGGGATCCAGCCCTGCCAGCACCCTCTCGGTTCGGCCCTCGAGGAGGACATGGGAGGCAGTGGTTATGCGGAACAGCGCACACCCCCATACCGACCTTTCTGCCGGGACCGCTCTCCCGGACACCAGGGGAAAACCGATCTAATTAAGAGAGGGGCTGCGTGCCGCTGGGGGAGGTGGCCTGGCATCCCCCGCTGGCGGGCCACCACAACCCCGTCTGCTCAGGCACAAGCTGAAGTTGACTGCCAAAACTGCTATAAAACCGCAGGTCTGTCTAGAACTGTTTTCGGTTTTCCTAGACGCCCCCGGGTTCAATTATGGTCTTAAAAGCCCTAATACAAGTGCAAGAATTTGTTTGCCTTCACCCAGGGGCGGGGCGAGCCCCGCAATGGTGGCGCCTTTGTTATGGCAAAGTCACTGAAACCCTTCATGCATTCCTTTTGTTCGAAGGTAGGGGTGGCGTGGACTGGGTGGGCTGCAGAGAGAGAGCTTGGGATAGCCAAAATCAAGCCAGGGAACAGCTCGAATACCGCTGTTTGAAACCTCTCCTTCTGTCTTTTATATTCTGTCTCTAAAAAAGAGATGCTGTGGAGAAACAAACATTTTGCCTTGTTGGTCACTGCTGGAAATAGAAGTTTTTTCGCTGCAGGGCAATTCTGTAAATGTGCTTCCCAGCTTTAGGAGGTCTGAGGCTACTCTTCTCCAATAACCTTCCTTCCCACTGGACCTTCTCACTCACAGCACTGCTGCCCTCTGGACAAGCCACAGTGGACAAATATGTCAAGCTGAAGATGCACAAATAATTTCAAGTTCAGTTCTCAGGGATTCAAAGGACATGAAAATTCTTGTAGCAAATCTTGAATAAAGAGTTCATTAAACCAATGTGTCCAAGTAGCTTGATTTGTGATAAGCAATCCTTGTAAAGGTGGTGGTGGGGGGAGGTGGAGAGCCACATAAACATTAATGCTAATAAATTAGTTTACTCGACTACAGAGTAATTACTTCATATTATTGATATTTACAGCAGGTATTCAAATGCAATGGTAGGCCATTATTTGGAGAAAATACATAATAAGAATATTTCTTTTCCAGTGCAATACACGATTAGATTTGTTATTGAGTCAGTTACAGTCAGCTCAGCAATAAATAAATAAATCGATGTTGACACTTAAATACCAAAGATCTTAGAGTTTATACTCTAAATCTCCCCAAGATATGTAAATAACTTTGGCTATTTCCTGGAGAGGGAAAAACAAAAGGTTATCTTTTTACATATTTTTTTATTTTCCTTCAGCAACATCCCAGATCCTTCCAAGAAGAGAGTTGTTGGGAGGCCTCAGGTCTGGGCCCTTCTCAGCTCCTGGCTCTGCCTGGCTGCTCTGTGCTCTGTGTCCTCTCCTTTCTTTCGCTTCCTCCAAACATTGCTCCTTCAATCCTGCAGGATGGGGAGCATATTTTGCCTTCTTAATTTATTTTTTTTCCTCTTCTCAAGAAAGCTAGACTCAGAGTATTGCTATGGCCTCTCTCTATCCTTAGCACAAACCTAGCTTTTTAAAGACATCCCTGTTTCCCCAGGTGCAGGGAGTTCGGGAAGCACCTCTCCTTTCTCTGGTATTGTATTCCTCCTGTGGAATGAGCAGTAGGAAAGGCACAGAGCTCTCTGAGTTTTTGCCCTGCACATCCCTTGCTTTCACTCTCACACATTGCAAGGAAGGAGAGTAGGAGAGTAGGTGGGTTACCCCTTTCTCAGCCACCTCTCCTTGGCCCTCAGCCCGTCCTTTCCACCTCCATTCTCCCCACACCCCTGGAGCTCTGTAAGCAGCCTGATGGGCCCCCCACGAAGATGCAGCATACCCAGGAGAAGTCTCCTCGGATGTCAGCGCCTCTAAAGCAGCCCAAGGCTTGCCTCAATTGCATGGTTTCCCGAGTCCTCAGCTCCAGAAGACCAGGCAGATGGGTGGACCGGTGAGCAGCAGGGCAGCCCCTGTGCCTCTGTCTCTGCCGAGTCACTCCGAAGCCCGGCAGGCAGCGAGGAGGAGGGAGTTTCTCCAAGGACAGAAGGTGGGATGAAGAGGTAGGCAGGGAAGATGAGGGGAGAGGTGGATCCCGGGTAAGACGAAGGCCCTTCCGGGCCCTGCGGATCAGTGACAAACCGCGGGGAGAAGCCGTTCTGGCTGTTGGCGGTTTAGGGACGGAAGGCACTAAAGCGCTTCGGAAGTGACCATGAATGAGAGAGTGTAATCAAGTCACCGTGCAAATCGGACAAGCCACCAGGCAGGCACATCCACGGCTTCAAACTCTGGCCCCGAAGGGGTTCCGGCTAGGGTCGGAGGCAGAGGCGCTTCCCAGAGCAAGTCTATGGGAGGGGGACTGCGAAGAAGGGGGTGCAAATGCGAGACTCCAGGAGAACAGACTCCGAGACCACAGGCCACACAGCGACGGACTCCCACCTGGCTATCCCCAGTCCAGGGCATCCCTCACCCACCCGGGGAGCTGCGGGTGGGAGGTGGGGACGAGAGTTGAGCTCTCACCGCCCTCTGCACACTCGAGAACGAGGACCCTGCAATTGAGCACAAGCATGCTGCATGGGGGCGCACCCCAGCCTCTCCGCGCGCGCCGGGAGGCCCCCCAGCCAACATGAGTTACACCGGCGATTACGTGCTTTCGGTGAGAACACCGAGTGACGATCTGTTGCTTCCCCTGAGGTGGCTACAAAGAAAGGAAGCCGGGAGGGAGGGGAGAGGAGGAAAAAAAAAAAAGGAAAGGGGGGGGGAAAAGGCCCGGACTAGCTAGCAGCTTGTCAATTTCAACATCGGGTCACATGACCAGCACCTCCCTGCTAAGGATGGGGATAGATTTCCACGTCAGCTTACGTCTCCAAATTTCTACTTCACGGATCCGCTTCAAAGAGGCAGCTGCAGTGGAGAATCATGTTAAGCTCGGCTACTGCGGAGAGCCCAAGGTAGCCCAATAATGGATTTTGATGAGCGTGGTCCCTGCTCCTCTAACATGTATTTGCCAAGTTGTACTTACTACGTCTCGGGTCCAGATTTCTCCAGCCTCCCTTCTTTTCTGCCCCAGACCCCGTCTTCGCGCCCAATGACATACTCCTACTCCTCCAACCTGCCCCAGGTCCAACCCGTGCGCGAAGTGACCTTCAGAGAGTACGCCATTGAGCCCGCCACTAAATGGCACCCCCGCGGCAATCTGGCCCACTGCTACTCCGCGGAGGAGCTCGTGCACAGAGACTGCCTGCAGGCGCCCAGCGCGGCCGGCGTGCCTGGCGACGTGCTGGCCAAGAGCTCGGCCAACGTCTACCACCACCCCACCCCCGCAGTCTCGTCCAATTTCTATAGCACCGTGGGCAGGAACGGCGTCCTGCCACAGGCTTTCGACCAGTTTTTCGAGACAGCCTACGGCACCCCGGAAAACCTCGCCTCCTCCGACTACCCCGGGGACAAGAGCGCCGAGAAGGGGCCCCCGGCGGCCACGGCGACCTCCGCGGCGGCGGCGGCGGCTGCAACGGGCGCGCCGGCAACTTCAAGTTCGGACAGCGGCGGCGGCGGCGGCTGCCGGGAGACGGCGGCGGCAGCAGAGGAGAAAGAGCGGCGGCGGCGCCCCGAGAGCAGCAGCAGCCCCGAGTCGTCTTCCGGCCACACTGAGGACAAGGCCGGCGGCTCCAGTACGTATAAAGGCAGCGCCCTGCGCTTTATGAAAGGGGAGTTGGAAATCTAGCGCAGCACCGCTGTTAAATTTTTATATGCTGTTTTATAAGCATATAAGGTTTATGAAGGGCCTTTAGGTTTCCCCCAACAAAACTTTGTTATAAAAGGCGGGATCACGTGGCGAGTGCTGAAATTGGCCGTGAAATACCCACCGGCCAAGGCATGCCTGCAAAAAAAAACAACTCCCCTTTTCCCTTTTTTCCCTTCTCAGCTCCCAAGCCCAGCAGCTCGACCCCGCTCGGGGCCAGCTCCAGGCTGGGGAGCCGGAGGTGGGCGCCTGTAAATTCCCCCTGCAAGGGCTTCGGGAGCTTTTGATAGCGAGGTAATCCGGAGATTTTTATAAAAGCCATGTGTTGCGCCGGGACTCCAGTCCCGGCCGGGATTCAAAGGCGTCGCTGTTTAACGACGGCGCTAGGAGCGCGTTTAACAGATAAAGTAGCCCGCTTAGCTCTAGCAATATATTAAAAGAACAAATTAACCCAAAGTTGGCCTTTTTGTCCAAAGGAAGCCATTTTCCTCTGGCGTGGTGGCAATTACGTGCCTCCTTCTGCCCAACTGCATGTTATTCACAATTGTTATTCAATCTGTCAAAAGCGATTTTTTTTTTGTCTTGTGGGTCTTTTTTTTTTTTTTTTTTTTTTTTTTAAAGGGGGAGCAAGTAGAGCCTGCCCGCAGCTTCGGGAAGCCCCCTTTCCCTTCACCCTACCTAAGATAGAGCCGCTGCTCTGCCGTGTGCAGGATGGCCGTGTGGCCGTGGTGCTCAGCGAAGGCCTAGGGTAGGGGGCTTCCGCCGCCACCTCCCCACCTCGGCGGAGCCGGAAGGCTGGCCGGGGAGGCAGAAGCTGGTGGCCAGGACTCAGGCTGACAAAGACCCGGCAGCCGCCCCAGATGTTAAGGACTGCCCAGTCTTGGCCGCAGCCGGGAAAGACTGGGACTGGAGCCGCCTTTACTGCCTTGGGAAGGGGCAGCCCAGGTGCTGGAAGGTGAAATGTCCGCAGGCGGCTGTTTGTTTAGTCTGGCCTGCGAGAGGCAGCCGGCAACCCCCACTTGGCTGCTTTCAAAGAGGCTTAGGCAGCGCAAACTCGCCTGTTGCTGTGCGAAGCTCTCCTTTCTGTTCTGGGGGCAGCGGGAGCAGCTTCCCCGGGGGCCTATTTAGGGAGCTGGCTTTTATCTGTGGCTGAGCCTCCAACTGCGGCCGTTCCAAGCATGCAGTCGGAGCGTTAAAGGCAGGGGCCTGGGCAGACTTTGACGGGGCTTGGGCTGGACCACCAGTCCCCATGGCAGCCCTTCTCCTCAGCTATGGGCTCTGGGGTGGATTGCAGCCCCCACACCTGGCTCACCCCATGCCTTTTCTCCCTCCACAGGTGGCCAACGCACCCGCAAAAAGCGCTGCCCCTATACCAAGTACCAGATCCGAGAGCTGGAACGGGAGTTCTTCTTCAGCGTCTACATTAACAAAGAGAAGCGCCTGCAACTGTCCCGCATGCTCAACCTCACTGATCGTCAAGTCAAAATCTGGTTTCAGAACAGGAGAATGAAGGAAAAAAAAATTAACAGAGACCGTTTACAGTACTACTCAGCAAATCCACTCCTCTAAGACTCCAGCGGCTGGAATTGGGTGGGGGGCTTCATACACATGAGATAATATGCAGATTTTGCCCTTGACAAAGTCAAGCCACATGGTGACTTTTGAAAAGAGGTGTGCAAGAGAGGGATGCATGGAGATAGCCCCACAGGAGGTGGTCTGGGACTCTCTTGATTAAGATCTCAGTGGTTAAGATTCCTAATAATCATTGGATTCTGAGAGCTGTGCATCAGCTAGAATGACAGGTTTGGGACCCCTGGTGGTTCACTCTTGGAGCCTGCAGAGCTGCGGGCTGGGTGTGGTCTCCACTGGGGATTGGGCCCCTGCCAGACCCCCTGGAGACTAACCCCACCACACCCTCCCTCTACTGGGAGCCTACCCACCCCCAGGACCCCTGAGTAAAAAAGCTGTGTGCTCTCCAAGCCCAGTTCAGCTTGGGGACAGGGGCAGGAGGAAGGGGTAGGATTACTAGGTGCCCAGAATGAGGCTGCTTTCCAAAGCCAATGTGAACAGCGGCTGGACTTGGAGGTAGCTTTGAGGTGGAAGAGGGCTGCAAATCCTTGTGGGAAAAGAAATCTATGATTCCAGGTGGCATCAGTGTCTTTCCACTCCTCCTAGCCACCCACCACACTGATCCAGCCCTGAGTTCCTAGCCACCGCCTCCTACAGCCCACCTGGCTTTTCTTTCTACCAAATGAGGGTCTTGGTTCCAGCCTGCCACTCAGGCCCAAAGCCTCGACACAGAGTGGACTGTTCCCTGAGGTGGGAGATGTGGAAAAGCCAAGAGGCTGCAGCCAGGCCACTGGCCCCTGAGATCTCTGCAGGAAATGGCTGTGGAGTGTGGCAGTTTGGCAAACTCTCCACCACACGTAATGAAACTTGGATTTGCTCAGTGTCTGGCTGCAGAGCAGTGGGCCTGGCCAGCAGGTCCCCAGCTTTGGCTATGAGGGCCTTGAGTCCCCCAAAACACCGGGTTCCAGCACCACACTCAGCCCTCATTGGCTCTTGAACTGAGCTTGGAAGCTTCTGGTGACCTTCCAAGAGCCTGAGAGTGAGGTGGAATTATTTTAAAAGATAAATATTATATTATATATATATATATTTCCCTGAAGGAACCAAAGCGAATTTTAAAAGATGCAATGTAGAGGGGAAAAGAGATGATGAAAATATTTAAAGGCCCTATCTGTTTACAGTGTTCCGTGGTTAAACTCGCTCACTGCTAAGAATATTTGAATGTATGCTTCATACAGGGATGGTGTTCAAAAAACTTGTAAATAAAGGAACCATAATCAATTTTCTTTTCTTTCTTTCTCTTTTTCTTTTTTCTTTTGCCATTAGTTGATTTCCTTTAGGGTGTTGGAGGGGGTGGAAAAGGTATTGAGAATGGTCTTTTTAATCTCTTGCAACATTTGGAAAGAGTTAGGGAAATGCTCAGAGGCAGTCGGCCTGGCCGGCCTGGGGATCTCATCTGGGAAAGCCAGGCACCCTCCCATTGAATCTCCTTTGCCTCCCTGTGTTAAGAAATGTCTGTTGGCTCCATTTGTACTGGGAGTGTTGGCCTGTCCTCAATTCTGGTTCTTACCCACCGTGTGTGTTGCAGCACTTATACAGGCAACTGGGCACAAGGAAAATAAAGACGGTGGAAATTTGAGTATCCTGGTGTGACATTCCTCTCCCTGATCGCCTTTTACTACCAAATGTCTGCCCCCCTCCCCCCACCCCCCCAAAAAATGCCTTACCTAGTTGAGGAGCAAGTTATCAGGCCCCTGAGGGGGTGAGAAGGTGACTGAGTCAGGAATTGGCTACAACAGAAGCCAGGCTTAGGAAACCAAGGTGGTTGGCTACGTCCTTGTGGGAAGTGGGGACCTGGGTGGTATCTCAGGGCCTGGAATATAGGACTTTATCCCCTCAGACTGATCTCAGCCCTGGAGAGGGCCTTGGGGCCTGAGGTGGCCAACAGGTCAGACCCCAGGCTGCCCTCGCTCACCTCAGGACAGGTAGGCCTGCAGTGGGACCGTCCGGGGGCCCGTGGAGGCTTCAACAAGAGGGAGCCTGGTCTGGGTTCCAAGGCAGAGCAGACTCCCAGGAGCCTCTAAGGGTGCTTTCTCCCCAGCTCCCAGCTGAGGCTGCTTTTTCCCTTTGGGGGAAAAAAAAAGGATGCCGATTTCCTCTTTGTTTGCTGCCTTTGAACTTCTGCCTTAAAATTGGACATCACCCATAACCTTGAGGAGAAGGGCTGAAAGGACAGAGCCCTTTGTTGCCCACCCCACCCTCTCTTCAGCCACCCAGGCAGGGCCAGAGCAGCAGATAGGGTCGCATTTGGAGAGAGGCCCCAGACCCCACTCTGTTTATTTGTTTGTGTGTTTGTCTAACTGGCGCGACTGGGGAAATCGAGCTGAAAGGGTAGTGGGACAGATCTAGAGATGAATGTCTAGGTTGATAGGCAGACACGCAGACATGAACAAGGGCCCTCCTGGGGGGCAGGGAGGGGGCGGGCTGGGAAGCCTGGGTTTAGGGAAAGACTTCCTTTGGGATGGTTAAAGATTAACCAAAGTCTCTCAAGTTGCTAGAGAGAGTCTAGCCAGGAGGACTGCTCGCGGGCGGGCGGCGGGCGGGCGCGGGTTTGATTTCTGAGCCCTATAAAAGCCCATCCTCCGATGGCTGTGACAATGTGGTCGTAAACCCGTCCGGGGCCGGCCAATTTGCATATTTGGAATGCGCCGCTATAAACCCGGCTGGGGTTTTGCAGCGATTTCTTAGATGTAAAAATGAGATCTCAATAGCAGCGGGCTGGGCACATCCTCTCCTCTCTCCTTCTCTCTCTGCCCGGAGCTGGTTTCCGTCTCTCGGCTCGGGGCTGGAACTCCGGCCCAACCTAGGCGCGCAGCCGCCACGAGATGGCGCACTTCCGATCAATGTCAAAGCCGCCGGGGAGCCGGGAACCCCAGCATGATTCTTGGCCTTTGTTCGCTTCTGATACTAAGAGCAGCACGGTACATTATTTCACTTGTCCCGCTCCCCTTCATAACAGAAAAAGGGGACTCACCCTCAAGAAGTGATTGGTATGGTAATTTAAAGCAACGCGCATTCGCTAGGCCTCGCGAGCGTCGCCGCGCGGAGAAGCCAGCTGTCCCTTGGCAGTGATTTCGGAAATGTGTCAAGGTAAGAGGCCACAAGTTTAGCAATTTCAGTCTGGTGGGGCGGGAGTGGGGAGGTGGCCGATGTCTAAGCAGGGCTCTCGGGAACGTGGCTGGGTTTGTGGGGTGACGCGGTAGGGAGCCCCCACCCCATTGCTCCCTAAGGTTGGAAAGCAGGGGGAGGCCTAAGTAGAAAAGTTGAGGATTTTAGCTCCTTGCGCCAGCATTTCACTCAAGGCGAATCTTTCGATTTTGTAGAAATACACAGAATAGAATGGGCTAGGGATGAGAGGCATCTAGGCGAAAGTGTTCCAGCTGTGCTGCGATAGGGGGTTGTGGGAGGGCAAAAAAAAAAAAAAAGGTGATCGCGGGTTGAGGAAAACAAAGTTTCCATTCTAAACAATGGGGTGGTAGAAGTCTGCGGCCGCTAAGGCGAGCTTATTCCCAGGGGCAGAAGTCCTGGAGGTCACTGGTTTCCTACTAGGTGCATCTCTATGTCTGCCCGGCAGCTTGGAGAAAACCTTTGTTCCGAAAAAGGCCAATTCGGAGAAGTCGCATGTGATTTTTGAGAGTGCCAGACAAGTCTCTGTGTTGCATACTTGGAGTACGCTGTTATAAACCCAGCTGCAATTTCGCAGCAATTTCTTACATATGAAAATTAGATCTTTTGTAGAAGATATTTTGCAAATATGCAAAAATGTATTGGTAAATACTAATACTTTTTTAAAAAGCTGGAACCGAGGATAAATTTTGACGGAGCAATCACTCCATTGGGGTTGTCATCAAACACATTTTAAATGAAAAAATTCCATTACATTTTGAAGGATCGATTCAAATTCCCTCTTTCTCCTATATTTAATTTTTTCTACTATTTTTCCATTAGTTTCCCACATCTTTTTCTTTTCCCAAATATACAGTGCGTGGTGAGTGGGGTGAATCCCAGAGAAAGTAGGCACTGCCTGTTTGTTGCGTAAATTTTGCCTATCATAGTTACTAGTCTTTGTTGAAGGCTGGCTCCCAAACTATGACGGAGCAAAGCAACAAGGCAAGAAATGAGCGCCCACCCAGTGAGCTGCTCTCTGCAGCGGGAGCCCTCCCTACAATGCCAGAGCCGCCTCCAGTTCTAAGGCCAGAGGCTGTTTATTATGAACAAATCTAAGAATATTGCAATTCAAAGGGTGTGTGAAAAGGCCCCAACACTTCCCTAACAGGGGAAGGGCCATCTTAATGGTTGGATTTAGAAAACTTTAAAAGTATGTTGTTTAGTAATAGATTGCACCTGATAGATTCAAAACAGACACATCAAATATCCCTGAAAATGTTGACATTCTTAAAGATGAATGGGAAAAGAACATCATTGCTTGTGGAAAAATTTTCTAACTATGCATAAATGCATGGATATGAGAAGCTCTGATTTTTTTTTCTTTTTTTGCTAAAGCCAGATATGTAAAAGCAGCCTTTATTTTTCCTCTGTGGGACTGCAGCCCAACTCCACCGCTGGATAATTCAGAGTCTTGAAAGCATTGAGAGTGCCCTCCAGATATAAATTGTTTACTAGCAGTTTCGATCTCAGGACCTGGTATCTTTTCATTAGGAACTTGTTTTTCATAATAGTTTATTTCTCACTGCTTACAAGGGCCTACTCAGAAGGAGTACCTAGTGAACTGCAGCCTAATCCTTGCCGAAGGCCTTAATCCATGGGCCTGGTGTTTACTTTGGCCCCATAGGGCTGGCAGGTTATTACCCGGGTAGAAATGGGCAATATTTCCTCCTAAATAAAACATGGGCTCTGGAGGTGACTGTGTAACCGCTGCATAAGGCCTGGTTGAGGCAAGCAGGCACTGAAGATTTAGGTCAAAGTTACCCTGAGGGAGAGGGAGAAATTTAGTAGCTGGGAAGAATGGCAAAAAAGAAAGAAGGCAAATGAGCACGAGGGAGGAAAAGTGCTTGGAAGCCGACCCACACTACAACTGAATCGCTTTCTTCATCTCTTGGGGTGGGGAATCTCAGGAAAGCCGAGGCGCTCAATAAATGGAATATTTTATTGAGAAACCTAACACTCCAGTGTTAAAGTCTAGAGAGCATGGGAGCCTTGGGGGTCGGTCAGGGATGCTGGGGGCTAGGAGACCAACTGAGAGGGCCAAGGAGGCGTTTAACTTGAGCTTCTGCTGCGTTAGTATCCTCTCATTTGAACCAGCAGCAGCCGGCCCGCCTGCAGCCGGCCAGCTCACCGGCAGTGTCTCGCTGCGTTTCCCACTCAGCAAGCCCTGGTGGGAGTTGGAAGGCAGTCCTGGGCCAGAGAGGGGCTGCCATACATGAGCTTACACACTCTTTTTAAAAGCCAGAAGGAGCTCAAGCCCAACATCCCGTTTGGTTTATTACAAGGGGGAAAAAGTCATACTAAAGAAACACATCTGGCTCACCACAGAAAGGTCACTGAAGACCCAAGTGCCAACGCCACGGCTTGCGAGGCCCATAGCAGGCCTCCCAGCTCCTCTACTCTTCGGCTGGGGCAGCCTTTTGTAGCAGATGCGATACAAACTGACTTTTGTAACCTTGGTTGGCACGTGCAGGTCCCTGGATTCTATCCAGCCTAGAAGCCCATTTGGCTGCCCTACGGGGCCCTGACCTGAGCTGTCTGCTGCAGGGCACCCAGCTTGTCTTGCCAGCCAAATTGGCAGGGCCCCCAAGTCCCAGGACACTGGGGGACTCTGGAAGACCCAAGGAAAAGACTGAGGGGTGTGTGAACTCCTTCGAAATGATGGATCAAATTGTGGGAATATACAGATATGCATTTTTCACAGAATGAGTCAAAACTTACTTGGATTTTCCAGAAGGGTCCTGACTCCCTAAAAGGTTAGGAAAGATAGGTTAAGATCATTGTCTTTTACTTTATTTGTATAGCCTCCACTATCTCAAATATATACTGGACCTTCCCAGATGTCGGCCTGGGAAGTTGCTTTCTGCATTTAGCCTGGAGAGGCATGACTCTAGGCCCAGGTCCTGGCCCACTGACCTGCCACGGCTCATTATCCTTGAGGAAACCTCGAAGGTCTTGGGACCCACTTGCCAAATGACACAGCTTTTCTGAGAGGCATGGGCAGTGCTGAAGAGCAAAGCTTCCTTCCTAGGCAGCCCCCAGCTCTGTGGCATTTCCAGGTGGCATTGCTAAGGGCAACAGTCCCAGCCAGTTCCACCCTTCTGGTGAGCAGGGTAAGGACCAGGCAGATCCGGGAAGCTAAAGATAGGGCCACTGGCTGCGGTGCTCTGAAGCTTTTCTGCACTCAGGTTCGTCCGTCTCATGGGCCTAGAGGGTAGAGAATTTGCCTTGGCCTTGGGCGCAGGAGCATGCGAAGAGCGAAGGAGAGTTAATGATCTCTTGGCACAGACCCTGTCTTGATCCCTCTAAAGCCGCTGCTGCAGCTTCAAGACCCTGTCAGGCTGGAGAGAACTGGCTTTCTTATTCTCTCTCCCCTCCTGTTTCTCTCTCTTTTCTCTCCCTCTGTCCGTCTCTCCTTCTATCTCTCTCTTTTTCTCTCCATCCTCCTCCTCCGCACCCTGATGCTCAGTCCTTACGGCCGGGTCACCGTGGGGCGCCGAGGTTGAAGTGGCTGGAGCGCCGCGCTAGCGGTGGAGCGGCCTTCTGGGCCCGGAGCTCGGAGCAGCCACTGCCCGCAGCGACCGCAGCTGCTTGAATCTCAGAAGCCAGAGCTGGAGCTCTACCTAGCCAGCTCTCTCTGCGCTTTCAGGGTCCTCTCAGGCTCCTCTTCCACCTTGGGCTGGATTCACACTGGGAGGAAGGAGGCAAAGTGCCGCGTATGACCCGGATGCAAGAGTCTTTCCCAGCTGAAGGCAGCGGCCTGAGCGGTCTATTTCCTGGGATGCCGGCGTTCAGTAATGCCAGCTCCGACTGGGGCCGGAGGGGCGGGCAGGCCTAGAGTATCCTGGAGACCTGTAGCCCACGGGCCAGGGGCAAGGCAGCGACCTCCCGGGCTCCACTGGATCTGGCCGGAAAAGGTTGCATTTCCTGAGACTAGCATGAGGCTCACACTTGGGGGCTAGCACCCCAGGCCGGCCATTTCCAGTTGGCTAAAACAGAGCCCCTGAGCCTGCTGAGCAAAGGGCCTGACCTCCACATGCTCTTATAACAGGACCATGAGCCCAGCCCGGCCTTGCAGGGAAAGGATTTCCTCACCGAGGCCTCGTTAAAATGCACACACTGCAGGAGCAAGGACTGCCCTAGCTGAGGGTATGGGAGGGAGGGGAAGAGGGGAGGGGACAGAGAGGTAGGAGTGTAGTGACACTGGTTCTTGTTGTAGCCTCCAGGAGCATATGAGTGCCAAAGCTAACAGGAGAGCAGGAACATAAAGCAGCGGAGGTGTACACCGGGCACACCCCTCCAAGTCTCTCACTTTGGGCCAGCCAAGGACCCCAAGGCCAGCATTTTACTTCCCCGAAATGACTGTGGGCTTAGAGTCTTCCCTAGGTGATGAGGGGATGCTTGGATCTGGCTCTGGCCTTGGGAGTGGGAGTGGGGCCGTCTTTCCATCAAGGCTGGCAGCCGCTTCCCACCCCCAGTCCCGCCAGCCCACCAAAGTCCACTGACAGGAGTTGTAGAGAAGGCAAGCCGGGTGAGCACAACACCAGAGGAGAAGATCCTAACTGGATCAACGGACTAGGGGAGAAAAGTGTTGGGGGTTAGGGGCTAGGGAACAACCACTGCATTTTGGGGAAAAATCTGTGGATACTGGAAGTAGAGGCAAGTCAGCTTCTAGTTCACTCTGGGCTCCTGACACTCTGAGGATCCTGACGGCCATAGGGCCAGGTTCGCCACTTTTGAGGAGGCAGAATTCAGACAAGGGGCCAGTTCCAGATCCAGAGCTGAATGGGAAGCGCGTGAGTCCCCGACACGGCCGCTTCAGTGGTTAGAGTACACCGGGGACTAGTGGCAGCTTCTGCGACAGGGATGGTGAGCACCCAAGGCAGACTGGGCGCGCACCATAAACACCCCACTTGTTAACTGCGCGGGGCCCAAGGGCCCTTCTAAGGGACCCCGGTATGGGGCTCACGTCCGGGTAGGGGCGGGGCGAGCCCAATGGCCAGGCCCCCCACCAGCCACGTTGGGGCAGCCCCCACAGCTCCCGGCCTTCGGGCCAAGGTGTCGGGGTGCGTCTCCTGGCCCATCAATACAGATTACATATTTATATCAATCGCGGGCTCTGAGGGCGCCCTCGGAGAGCGGCCCCGCGCCTACGAAACCAAACTGGGAGTGGTCGCGCGGAAACTCTGGCTCGGGATTGGCTGCGGGCGCCCGCCGCGGTGCGGGGGGATTGCTAATCGTATTCAGCATGTTTTGCACAAGAAATGTCAGCCAGAAAGGGCTATCTGCTCCCTTCGCCAAATTATCCCACAACAATGTCATGCTCGGAGAGCCCCGCCGCGAACTCTTTTTTGGTCGACTCGCTCATCAGCTCGGGCAGAGGCGAGGCAGGCGGCGGTGGTGGTGGCGCGGGGGGCGGCGGCGGTGGCGGTTACTACGCCCACGGCGGGGTCTACCTGCCGCCCGCCGCCGACCTGCCCTACGGGCTGCAGAGCTGCGGGCTCTTCCCCACGCTGGGCGGCAAGCGCAATGAGGCAGCGTCGCCGGGCAGCGGTGGCGGTGGCGGGGGTCTAGGTCCCGGGGCGCACGGCTACGGGCCCTCGCCCATAGACCTGTGGCTAGACGCGCCCCGGTCTTGCCGGATGGAGCCGCCTGACGGGCCGCCGCCGCCGCCCCAGCAGCAGCCGCCGCCCCCGCCGCAACCACCCCAGCCAGCGCCGCAGGCCACCTCGTGCTCTTTCGCGCAGAACATCAAAGAAGAGAGCTCCTACTGCCTCTACGACTCGGCGGACAAATGCCCCAAAGTCTCGGCCACCGCCGCCGAACTGGCTCCCTTCCCGCGGGGCCCGCCGCCCGACGGCTGCGCCCTGGGCACCTCCAGCGGGGTGCCAGTGCCTGGCTACTTCCGCCTTTCTCAGGCCTACGGCACCGCCAAGGGCTATGGCAGCGGCGGCGGCGGCGCGCAGCAACTCGGGGCTGGCCCGTTCCCCGCGCAGCCCCCGGGGCGCGGTTTCGATCTCCCGCCCGCGCTAGCCTCCGGCTCGGCCGATGCGGCCCGGAAGGAGCGAGCCCTCGATTCGCCGCCGCCCCCCACGCTGGCTTGCGGCAGCGGCGGGGGCTCGCAGGGCGACGAGGAGGCGCACGCGTCGTCCTCGGCCGCGGAGGAGCTCTCCCCGGCCCCTTCCGAGAGCAGCAAAGCCTCGCCGGAGAAGGATTCCCTGGGTAAGCAGGGCTGCAGAGGGCTGCAGTCAGGCGGGCAGACAGGCAGACACAAGGAGGAGAAGGATCAGAAAACTAGGAGCCCGCGCAGCAGCCGGCCGGCCTTGGCCCAAGCTGCAGGCAGGCTGACCTTGTGAACTTGCTTTTTAATATTTGGGCGTGGGGACGCAGTAAAATTCATGTCCGGCTTAGCGCCCCACAGCAAGACGTCCTCGGCGCTGGCCTCAGCTCCCCCTGACTAGGGACGAGGACACCAGCGAGCAGGCCCCCTCCTGTGCGCTCTTTCCTGTGGCCGGGAGGACCCAGAGCCCTGGTCCCTGCCCAGCCTGCGCGGCGCGGCCCACGCGGGGGGAGGGGGAGGGAGGGAAAGTAGCTCGCCCGCAGATAGCGCGGATGTTTGTAAGGCATCCAAAATAAGCAGCCGCCAGCGCCAATAAATAAGCCCATTAACCGGCGAAGTTCGAGTTTACGATCCCCCATGCTTTTTTCAAAGTTGCTGAGGGGCGGGAATCTTCGTTGCGGGAAGAAGAAAAGGCAAATCCGGCCTGGAAGCGGGGGGCCCTGAGCTGAGAGCCAGAGAAGGGCCATTTCCCTTCCCCTGGACCTCGGAATCGCCCAGCTATCTATCCCTGGCTCCTGGAGAAACTTGAGGGAGGGCCCTTGACCCCCGAATCGGTTTTTCCTGCCTTCCCCATTGGACCAATGATGCCCTTCTTTCTCCCCTTATCGAGTCTTGGGCAATCAGGGCCCTGGGGTGAGACAGCCAAGCTGCCTGGCCCATCTTCCAAGTAAGCACCCCGCGCTCCTAGCCTGGGGGCTACAGGAAATGCTTGTCTGCCATATGGCAAGAGGCAAAGAAAAGCGTTAAGTTCAAGATGTACAGCCTGCCCTCCCAGGCCTTTCCTTCTGCAAGCATCTACGGCTTAGCGCTAAAACAGGTGTTTGGAAAAGTGGGGGAAATGTAAATTGGAAGGGTCATGTAGATTGAAGGCCCACTCAATTTTTGTCATGACTTTTGGAGGAACTGCTTGCTCTCAGCAAGCCAAAAACGGGGGCACGACTCTCTTCTCTGTGACTTGGGACATCTCTCTTATGGGAGAAACGGAGGCAATTCACCCCCGCGGGCAGCCCGTGTGGCCTCGACTTAATCATCCCCTCTTTATTCTCTTACATGCCAGGCAATTCCAAAGGTGAAAACGCAGCCAACTGGCTCACGGCAAAGAGTGGTCGGAAGAAGCGCTGCCCCTACACGAAGCACCAGACACTGGAGCTGGAGAAGGAGTTTCTGTTCAATATGTACCTTACTCGAGAGCGGCGCCTAGAGATTAGCCGCAGCGTCCACCTCACGGACAGACAAGTGAAAATCTGGTTTCAGAACCGCAGGATGAAACTGAAGAAAATGAATCGAGAAAACCGGATCCGGGAGCTCACAGCCAACTTTAATTTTTCCTGATGAATCTCCAGGCGACGCGGTTTTTTCACTTCCCGAGCGCTGGTCCCCTCCCTCTGTCTTCAGGCTCTGCCCAGGAACTCGCACCTGTGCTGGAGCCCTGTTCCTCCCTCCCACACTCGCCATCTCCTGGGCCGTTACATCTGTGCAGGGCTGGTTTGTTCTGACTTTTTGTTTCTTTGTGTTTGCTTGGTGCTGGTTTATTTGTTGTTTTCTGGGGGAAAAAGCCATATCATGCTAAAATTCTATAGAGATAGATATTGTCCTAAGTGTCAAGTCCTGACTGGGCTGGGTTTGCTGTCTTGGGGTCCCACTGCTCGAAATGGCCCCTGTCTTCGGCCGAGCTGGTTTCCTGCCCAGCCTGGGGCAAACCTAGCCGGAAGGCCGAGGTCCCATTGTTGGCGCTGAGGTGTCTGGCCTGAGGTCAATGGTGCAAAGGAGCCGCCACCGGGCATGTCTGCCTGGAGTGCTGTGCTGTGTTTAATCAGGGGATACAGGCCCCTGGGTTTCTTTTTTCTTTCTTCCTTTCTTCCTTGGCCAAGAGAAGGGCTTACAGGCATGGACATGCAGGTTGGCAAACGGGCTTGACTTTGGCTGATTTAAAAAGTGAGAAAGAAAGTAAAAAAGGTTAATTTTTCCTTCCTCTGTAAGATATCCCAGCTTTAAAAAGAAAAAAAAAGAATTACCAAGAGAAGGGGACTTCTCTTCCAGTTTCTGTAAGGTCTTACATTGCCTGACTAAAATGTTTCATTTACCTCTAAATTTCCATATCCTTCTGGCTGTAGATAAATAATGTAGTTTTGTTTATGCATTTGGAATTAGTGGATTTTTTTGTCATTAAAATTGTTACCACTGGTAACATGTGACAAGCACACCACAATTCTCCCTATCTTGTGAAGTTGTTTTTTTAAATCGCCTTGAACAAAAAGTTTTTTTTTTGTTTGTTTTTGCTTTCTGAAATTCACAGAAGCCTAGGAGGACTGGGGTAAGCGGAATAAACTAGAGAAGGGAGACATTGTTTGGATTTCCTTTATACTGTGAAGTTACATGCATAAAAGGGTCAAACCTGTAGATGCAGAAAAAGAAAAAAACTATAAATACAAATCTGTATAAATGTCTATTATTATGAAGAATTGCCAATCTTGTTTTAAGCAAATGCATTCTATCGTTATTATAAATGTTAGTTCTAGCTCTATTTACTTCTAATCTTAAATCAGAATAAATTAATATTGTATTGCTGCTGTGCGTGGAAAAAGACGATGTTTATGTTCTTATAGAATAAAAGCTGTGGAATGAAGCTTTTTAATTTTACCTCTTTTTTGACTTCTTATCTTCACCTTCCACTTTATCCCGTTCACCACTTTTACAACAGGAGGACTAACCCGAGCCCCTGCAATTACTTTAGGCATCTATTTAAATATTACCTAGACGGTCGTAATTTGTCTGGGCCCTATAGCCCTGGTGCCGTAAGGTTTGTCGGCTTTTGTTCAGTTTTATGGCTTGCTAGTATATCTGGATTGTGGCTGTCTTGGACCAGTGATTTCAGTTGAGAGGGGAGCTACATAGACAGAGGAAGCCAAACAGGATTTCTTTCGGGAGCCCCAGGGAGGCTTGCAGAGGCCGGTTATTTTGCGGGTGTCTGGGTCACAGATGACCCTCAATCTGAATCGGGGAGCAGGCCTGGCCCACAGCGCATCTCTAGCCGCTGGAGGCAGCGGTTAGGTGGACCCGGGCTGGACTGCATGGGGGCCTCCCCCTCCCCCAGTACGGCCTCCCCCACCTGGCGGCACTCCTTAGGGCCACGCGTTTCCTGCTTGCCAGAGTGGGGGGGGCGGGGGCTAAGGGGAGGGGGCGCAGGAGCGCGCGCCCCGGCGGGCGGGCAGCTAGGAGGGAGAGGGGGAGAGCGAGAGGCGGGAGGCCGGGGCCAGACAGGGAGCCGGGATCTGTACCGTCCCTGGCGCTTTCGAGCCTTCCACGGCTACCGCCTCTTGGCGCCGGCTCGCTGGGCTGCAAGATTTGGGAAAGCGGCGCGCACACTGCTTCTCGGAGCTGCTCTCGTCTCGCCTGCTCCCCGCCTTTATTCCTCTCTCCCTGCCTTTCCTCCCTCTCTTTTCCTCCCTCTCCCTCCCAGGAATACCTTACTGGGGCCTGTGGCTTCCCCTTCCTTGACGCATTTGCGGCCGCCTGGGGCACTCTGTTGCACTGGCGGGCGCAGGTTGCCTAGGGGCTGGGCTGGGCCGGGCCAGGCGCGATGGCAGGGTTCTCTCCTTGGCGGCGGCGGCAGCGGCGGAGGCGGCGGCGGCGGCGGGCGAGGCAGCCCTTCGCGGGCAGCACCAGAACTGGTCGGTGATTTAGGTAGTTTCCTGTTGTTGGGATCCACCTTTCTCTCGACAGCACGACACTGCCTTCATTACTTCAGTTGAAATCGTCTCCAGGTACCTCTGCGCGCGGGGGTCGGGCCGGGCGGGGCATCACGGCCCTGGTCGTGCCAGGCCTGCGGTGGCAACCTCGGCTTTCCCTGCTCAGGAGCCTCGTGTCTTTCTCCGCAGCGCTTTGCCAGCCGGCCGGCTTTCCCCTTCCACCACACACCTCCACCTGGTCACAGCAGGTAGGGTTAGGTTGGCTGCTCCTTCGCGGACGCCGGGGGCGTGGTAGGAATTCTGGGCTTTGGGCCATTCAAGGTCAGGGGCGCCCGCTTCCATCCTGAGCCTCCCACTGGAGGCCTGCGCCTGCCCAGGGACCTCCTGCCATTCTCTTGTAAGGCTGGAACACACACACACACACACACACACACACACACACACACACCAGTCCCGGGTGTGAGCTCAGGAAAGAACCTCCTTCCAGTGGAGACTCAGGCTGGACTAGGAAGGATAGGGCAGGCTGGGATCCTGGCCTTGTCACTTACCCTTCTCTCTGTAAGCTCGGCCGCTGCTAGGAGTCGCCTCTCTTTTCTTCCTTCTTTTCCCTGTCTTCCCTTCCTCTTTTATCTCTTCTTTCTTTTTTTCTTCTTTCCTTTGCTCCTTCCTGCTTTCTTTTCTTCCGTTGGTCTTTTTTTCATCTTCCGTCTCTGCCAGATTCTATCTCACCTCCTTATCTCCTTCCCAAAGCATCCTTGGGGAGGGGCCCAGAGCTGGCTTCAGGAGAGCCTAGGGGGTCTCACTTTCCTCTGCGGCTCAAGTAGAGGTTGGGAAGTCTGCCGAGGAAGGGCCCGCGTGGGGCGGCTGCCGAGGGCGGTGGGTTTGGGCCTGGTGTGTTACTCTGCAGACAAGGCCTCGGTTATGATCACGACCGGATGGCGGCAGCCTTGCGTTTCTTCGCCTGTCGCTAACGGCTGACTAGGAGATCTGATTAGGGGACATTCGCTGCAGCTTTGTGTGCCCATATCGAGGGCAGGGAGGCCTTCGCCAGCCTCACTGGGGACTGGAGCTGAGGCCCAACCAGCCTCGCTGGAGCCTGGCCATTCGCTGGGAAGCTCTTAGCTGGCTCTTCCCGGCCTGCCGGTCACAGCTTGGGGTTTGACCGCATTGAGGGAGACTGGCTAGGGCAAAGCTTGACTGCTTGCTTACTAGTGGCTTCCATTAGGTACAAAATATGTTCCATACAGCACCTTTGTGCAGCTGGGTGCTGGAGAAGGGGACCCTTCCAAGAGCCAGTATGTTTTAAATGGGCAAAAAGAATCCCAAATTCCAGAGCCATTGATATAAACTTGAGTCATCGTTCCAAATTGTAGTCTACAGATGGGAGCCAGTCTGACCATTTTCCCTACAGAAAACAGAAAACAAACTATCTCTCCCTACTCCCAACACACACAGTTACAGATTCGTGCCCACAAAGCTGTTTCCTTTCCCTGCCTGGACTGGAGGCCCAGGAACTCTTTCGTTGCACAGCCACCGACCTGCTGTCTGAAAGGACCACACACCCCATTCCCTTCAACTCCTCCCTGCCATTTTCTGGACCAGGGCATTGGATTTATTTCAGAGATCACAGTTTCAGAAATCTCAGTCGAGAAGGGGCCGCTTTAAATTATACTCATTTATTATTTCTTTATGCATACGCAATCTCTTTCACTTCGAAAATAAAAGCAGACAAAAAAGTCAGACTATTCTGGCTCCAAACCTTTGGGCTGAAGGAAGACAATATTTGGTTTTCTGATTTTTCTCCGCTTTCTAGGCACCAGTAACATCTGCTTAACACTCAACGCCTGCTAATTGTTCAGTAACTCTCTTATTTTGGGGCTAAGGCTGTTTAAAGGAACAGCTTTTTTACTTAAAAAATACTGAAATAATCAGTGTCTTCTCAGGCATAAAACGTGGAAAAGGCATCCAGACATGCCCAGCCCATTTGCAGACACTTAAAATTGGGAGCCAGGGTTTCCTCCAGGGTTAATTTTTTAAATGAAAATCTCAGAGGCCTGGCGGACTGCGGGGTATTTAGGACACGGTGGACTGTGGTGGGGGTGGGCATGACCTAGAGGAATTTATGGGGCAAGGAAAATATTAGGGGGAGGGAGATGAGGCGGACAGGACGGGGCCATTTCGGAGTTCATTGTGTCGGCCACTTCCCTCTTCCAGGCGCGGGTGCAGGAAGGGGCACCCAGTCGGTATCCGCGCGGCTTGGCAGCCTCGCTGGTATTTGGGAGTCCCAGCCGGAAGTGTGTCAGGGTGTTTGAGGGGGGGATTACTGGAACTGCTGGTGAGGATGAAGGCAAAAGAGAGAGAGAGAGATGGAAGCGCCCGAGGCCGCCAGCCTCGCCGCCAGGGAAGTGGGCTAATGAAAAACACACTGTTGCAGGCACAGTATCCACACGTGAATTTGATTACCCCTGTTCTAGGAGTCGCTGCTTTCTGTTAGGAATTGGGGGCAGGGGGAGTTTCCTTCCAATTAACGGAGTGGCGGCGACCTTTTAATTTACCCCCAACGGGTGAGAAATAAACTTCCCCAACGTGGCCAGGCCCAGGAATGGGACTGGAGTCGATGCCCTTTTACCCCTCCCCGTTCTAATTTCCAGCCCTGGCCTTGAGCTGTGGCTGCCTCTCTTTGGGCCTTGTACCTCTCCGCCGAGTCTCCGGGCCCCGTAGGTAACCAAGGCGAGGCCCGGAGTAGCAGCTGGAAAGGGAGGAAGGAGCCCTGAAAGGCTCACGCGGCCCCGGGACAGGCCACATCGGTGCGGGCCTCCCAGGTTCCGGAGCTGCGGGGTCTCTTAGGCGAGGCTGCCTTTTCCCAAACCGAACTTGCCTTCCATTCATGCCACTTGTAGTTTTTTCCCCAGCTGGGATTCACGGAGCGCAACCAGGCTTGCAGCGCTCATGGTTAGAGCCTCTGAGGCTGGAGCACAGGGCTGGGTCGCCAGCCGCCTGCGCCTGGGAATCCTGATTGCCAGCTGATGAGAAAGGCGGGCTGGGCGCGCGTGTGCGTGGGGTCGAGGGCCGGGGACCGAGCGCGCCGCACAACCAACCAGGCCCTCAAAACCTTCGCCCTGGTGGCGGCTGGCCGCTCCCTCCTGGCCAGCTCCTCCGTGGGGTCCTCGTAGCAAAGGCGAATTTAAGGGTTGCCCGGGCGCCCCTCGCTCCAGGCGGGTAGCTGTGGGGACCTACACCCGCGGTACTCCCTGAGCGGCCGGTCCCTGCCTGGAGTGCCCTGGTAGGGCCGGCGGCGGCTCCGTTTGGGACGGATCCTGCGTTGAATTTGACTTTTCGAGGGCGGCCGCGGGTAAACTCGCCTCTCCCGGGGACCGCAGGGATTATTTACAGGGAGCTCGCCAACCAAACACAACAGTCTAACCTTTCCAAGTCCTCGTAAATTTTTACAGCTGGGAGCCACGGCGAGGCAAACGAATCTGTTGGTCGTTTCCGACTTCCCGCCAGCCTGTGTGGCTTCTGAAACAATAACTCCTTATGAAATATCATAAATATAGATTTAAATACAGTAGAGCGACAATGCGATTTGGCTGCTTTTTTATGGCTTCAATTATTGTCTAATTTTATGTGAGGGGCTCCGCTGGCCGCACTCGCACGCGGGACCCGCGCCTTCTTGATGGCGTGATTAATTGTGATATAAAATAGTCCGCTTAAGAAGTGTGTGTATGGGGGGGGAGACGGGAGAGTACAGAGACAAGGCTAGATTTGATCTTTTAATCGTCGTTGGCCACAATTAAAACAAACCCCATCGTAGAGCGGCACGATCCCTTTACATAAAAACATATGGCTTTTGCTATAAAAATTATGACTGCAAAACATCGGACCATTAATAGCGTGCGGAGTGATTTACGCGTTATTGTTCTGCTGGACGGGCACGTGACGCGCACGGCCAATGGGGGCGCGGGCGCCGGCAACTTATTAGGTGACTGTACTTCCCCCCCGGTGCCACCAAGTTGTTACATGAAATCTGCAGTTTCATAATTTCCGTGGGTCGGGCCGGGCGGGCCAGGCGCTGGGCACGGTGATGGCCACCACTGGGGCCCTGGGCAACTACTACGTGGACTCGTTCCTGCTGGGCGCCGACGCCGCGGATGAGCTGAGCGTTGGCCGCTATGCGCCGGGGACCCTGGGCCAGCCTCCCCGGCAGGCGGCGACGCTGGCCGAGCACCCCGACTTCAGCCCGTGCAGCTTCCAGTCCAAGGCGACGGTGTTTGGCGCCTCGTGGAACCCAGTGCACGCGGCGGGCGCCAACGCTGTACCCGCTGCGGTGTACCACCACCATCACCACCACCCCTACGTGCACCCCCAGGCGCCCGTGGCGGCGGCGGCGCCGGACGGCAGGTACATGCGCTCCTGGCTGGAGCCCACGCCCGGTGCGCTCTCCTTCGCGGGCTTGCCCTCCAGCCGGCCTTATGGCATTAAACCTGAACCGCTGTCGGCCAGAAGGGGTGACTGTCCCACGCTTGACACTCACACTTTGTCCCTGACTGACTATGCTTGTGGTTCTCCTCCAGTTGATAGAGAAAAACAACCCAGCGAAGGCGCCTTCTCTGAAAACAATGCTGAGAATGAGAGCGGCGGAGACAAGCCCCCCATCGATCCCAGTAAGTGTCTCCTCCCTTCAAATCCGCCGCCGCCTCCACGCCGGCCTCCCGGATCTGCTGGCCCGCCAGGTTTCTCTCGAGCCTGCCTTCGTCCTCGCTGGAAGCCTCTCGAGTTGGGGCCAGGAGCCAGAAGTTGGTGTTTGGGACGCCTCAGATAGGGCCCCAAGTCTGGAGAGCAGTGAAGAGCGGCCCGCAGGGCTACGGGAGAGGAGGCGGCTGCTGCAGCGAGAGGGGGCGGGGCGGGCACTTCGGGACGAGCCAAGACTGGCCGCCCCTCTCCTTGGCTGCCCAGGCCCAGGACCGAGATACTTTGGGCCGTTCTTCGAAAGCAGTGCAGCCCAGAGAGCCTTTTGTACAACTAGATTGTCCGTGAGCGGCGGCAGCCAGGGCAGCCGGAGCTGGGACGCTGGGGGAGACGGCCGATTCCTTCCACTTCTTGCCTTCGGCCAGTGGCGGCGTAAATCCTGCCAAGATGAGGCTGCGGGCGACCCGGGCCACAAGGGTCCCCATGACAGATTATTCAAATAAGCCACAGACGTGATCAGCGGCCTTAGGGCGCCCTGACGGCTTGCCCAGCTCCGAAGGCCTTCCAGGAAGGTTAAATAAGGAGTGGGGGGCGTAGAGGGACAGGTTGGGAAAGAAAGACGAAGTCAGTGAACGGGACAGAGGAATCCTAATCTTGCTACAGAACACAAGGCAGCATGCTTTCCCTCTGCGTGGCAAGGAGACCTGTTTCCAAATTTCATTCTATACAGCGTTTTGAGAGTGGGAGGAAGGAGAAGGGGGACAAGAGGACAGAGTAGGAGAAAGGAAGGTCTCGGAGGGGAGGGCGAGCCAAAGTTTTACTGCGTGCAATTTTAAGTGACTGTCTGTGCGTCTGTCTGCCAGGGTTCCATTGTGTCCGAGGCCTGACTGCCTTTCCTAACCAGTTCAGCAGAGTTCTGCACTTCGGCCAGAGACCCCATGCAGGAGGCTCATTTGCCCCAGCGGGATGTGCGTCTTCTGCTCCTAAACCCAGTGTTTCTCTTCCCCGCAGATAACCCAGCAGCCAACTGGCTTCATGCGCGCTCCACTCGGAAAAAGCGGTGCCCCTATACAAAACACCAGACCCTGGAACTGGAGAAAGAGTTTCTGTTCAACATGTACCTCACCAGGGACCGCAGGTACGAGGTGGCTCGACTGCTCAACCTCACCGAGAGGCAGGTCAAGATCTGGTTCCAGAACCGCAGGATGAAAATGAAGAAAATCAACAAAGACCGAGCAAAAGACGAGTGATGCCATTTGGGCTTATTTAGAAAAAAGGGTAAGCTAGAGAGAAAAAGAAAGAACTGTCCGTCCCCCTTCCGCCTTCTCCCTTCTCTCACCCCCACCCTAGCCTCCACCATCCCCGCACAAAGCGGCTCTAAACCTCAGGCCACATCTTTTCCAAGGCAAACCCTGTTCAGGCTGGCTCGTAGGCCTGCCGCTTTGATGGAGGAGGTATTGTAAGCTTTCCATTTTCTATAAGAAAAAGGAAAAGTTGAGGGGGGGGCATTAGTGCTGATAGCTGTGTGTGTTAGCTTGTATATATATTTTTAAAAATCTACCTGTTCCTGACTTAAAACAAAAGGAAAGAAACTACCTTTTTATAATGCACAACTGTTGATGGTAGGCTGTATAGTTTTTAGTCTGTGTAGTTAATTTAATTTGCAGTTTGTGCGGCAGATTGCTCTGCCAAGATACTTGAACACTGTGTTTTATTGTGGTAATTATGTTTTGTGATTCAAACTTCTGTGTACTGGGTGATGCACCCATTGTGATTGTGGAAGATAGAATTCAATTTGAACTCAGGTTGTTTATGAGGGGAAAAAAACAGTTGCATAGAGTATAGCTCTGTAGTGGAATATGTCTTCTGTATAACTAGGCTGTTAACCTATGATTGTAAAGTAGCTGTAAGAATTTCCCAGTGAAATAAAAAAAAATTTTAAGTGTTCTCGGGGATGCATAGATTCATCATTTTCTCCACCTTAAAAATGCGGGCATTTAAGTCTGTCCATTATCTATATAGTCCTGTCTTGTCTATTGTATATATAATCTATATGATTAAAGAAAATATGCATAATCAGACAAGCTTGAATATTGTTTTTGCACCAGACGAACAGTGAGGAAATTCGGAGCTATACATATGTGCAGAAGGTTACTACCTAGGGTTTATGCTTAATTTTAATTGGAGGAAATGAATGCTGATTGTAACGGAGTTAATTTTATTGATAATAAATTATACACTATGAAACCGCCATTGGGCTACTGTAGATTTGTATCCTTGATGAATCTGGGGTTTCCATCAGACTGAACTTACACTGTATATTTTGCAATAGTTACCTCAAGGCCTACTGACCAAATTGTTGTGTTGAGATGATATTTAACTTTTTGCCAAATAAAATATATTGATTCTTTTCTATTTTTTGCGGGTCTGCTCTTTGCACCTTCTTCTCTGGGTCAGGGGAGCCTATGTAGAGTCTCTGGGTAGGGGCGGGTTGGGGTGGTGAGAAAGAGCCCCAATTTTGCCTCTGGCTGGCTTTCAGGAGCGGGACCTGCCACAACCAGTCCGCCGAGCTAAGCTCTCCCAAACAGGCCAGCTGCCTGGCGGCGAGAAAAAGCTGGGAAACCCGGCGGAGGAGCCAGGCTCCCGGCCTTGTGTCTATGTGCGGGACGGCGGAGAAGCCCCTGAGGAGCTGGTCTGGTCTGGCCAGTAGCAGTGGAAAGACCACTCTCACCTTGGTGCCCCCGAGAAAATTCCCAAACCTGGGCCTTCGTTAGCTTGGTGAGGAAAAGGGGGAGAGGGTGACAGGATAGAGAGCTGGGAGCCGCCTTCTAAGCAGGCTCTGAAGAGGGAAATAGGAGCCCCACCGGCCCAACGTGGCCATGCAGGCAAACATTTTGGGGGCTTGCAAAGGAACAAAGCCCTGCATCCTCGCACCGCCCGCCACCCCCGCGGAGTCCTGCCAGCCTGGCCCAAGAGAATCTGGGTCCTGCACTGCAAGCACCTCTCGAGCACAAGGCCTAACAGAGGCAGGGCTGAGGCAATTGACGAGCCCCTAAGCGCCATAAAAGAAAATGAGGGCTGTTACCGTTTATGGGGTGTAAAGGGCTACGAGGGGCGGGGGGGGGGGAACGGCCACAACTTCGGAGGCCTGAGCGCTTTCCAGATGTGGCCGGAGGGTTCGGCCTCGCTTCCACCCCCTTGCTTCCCTCGCCCGACCCCCTTCCCCCACTCCACGACTTCTGCAAAGTTGGATGTGTTCTAAGCTTAAAAGGGGAACCAGGGCGCGGGTGGATGAGGCGTCCCCTAACCCCCACCCCCACCCCGCCGCCAGGTTGGGACGCCCTCTGTTGTTGCAGACAGAAGGAACTTCAAAGAATAGGCAGTAAGAGTGTGCCATAAAGGCCGGGTCTGCGAACTGTCTGGAATTCGTCCCTTAATGAGTTTACAACTGTCCAGCCCCAATTAGGATATTCCACCAAAGCCCTTTCATTTGTTCATTTGTTCTGTCTGCCGCCGATAAAGCGGCTGCGGAAACACCTCTTTTATTGGCATTGCCTCCTCTGCAGTAGATTCCGGGCTCCACGCAGACTCCCCGGGACCTAGGCCCACGCCCCTCGTTTGGGAGTGGGGTGCGGTGGGCTAGCCGGCGGCTCCCAAAGCTCAGGCCGGCGGAGGTAGCTGAGGCTGCAGTACCAAACGGCGGCCAGCAGATGGCAGTGTGGCTCCATGCAAGAGGCTTCCGCGCCGCCATCTCCCGCCTCCGCGACCCTTGTGAAGTTCCTAAGATGTCGACTTGACACGAGCCTTTCTGGAATGGGAGCCCCAGATTTTAGTGAACAGCCGCCCTATATTTTCTGGGCTGCTCAAGCCTGGCTAGAAGCCTCGCTGGGAAACAAGGAATCGGCGGGGGCTTGCCCGACCCTCACCGCTCGCGCCTCCCTGACCCCATCCCGGGGGCCCAGTGCTGCCGGGCTGCAGCTGTCCGGGCGGCCGCGGGGCTGCAGCTCCAGGCGCGGGCGCGGCTCCAGGGTCACCGTCCTCAGCTGGGACAGGCCTGACACAGCCAGGCGCCAGAGAGCCCCGGCTGACTGGCGGACACAGGAGGAACGCCTGCAGCCCCAGAACTTGATGACCGCCCAGAGGGTGTGCACGGTGCGTGCCGAGGGCTCACACCGTGACCGCGGGGTCCGCGGCCGCCCAGGAGGCCCCCGAAACCTGCGACCTGGGTCAGGGCCCGGCGAGCCAGAACCCAAGACAGAGCCAGGACCCCGGGACTCGGCTGGCTTGAATCGAGACAATAAAATTAGGCGGTGAAAATTGGGCGTAAAGGCAATCTCGGTGTCTGACCACTGTAGGTATAGGGGCCGGGCCGAGTTGGCTGGGAGGAGAATCCTGGGGGACAAACCAGGGACTGCTTTGGTTATTTTTTTAATGTGATGTTTAATATAACAATCACACCGTAGCACCAAAAGTGTCGCACACAGTGTGGAAGCCGCCCGGGCTGTCTCTGGCCGCGGCATGCCCTCCGCTGTACAGGAACCGAGGCTGCTCTGGCGTTCACCCATCAGGAGGCCAGAAGGGAGGGGACCCCAATCCAGGCCCAGCCTCTCCCAGACCCTAGGCGGGGAACACGCTTCGGCCTCCTCTCGGGTGCGCGCATCAGCCACGGATGTCGAATGGTTCCAGAGGCAAAACGCAAAAGCAAACAGAGAACCTTTCGAAAGGCCCCGGAGCCCTGTGAACACGCTACACAGTGCATTTATTTGGGTCGTAATAGTCTCCGCCAAGCCCACAAAATGTTTACGACCCGCATCCCAGTGCTTTCACGCTGTAAAACTGGGGACTGGATTTTGGTTGATGTCTCTCCCGGGTGTTTGTTCTCTCTTTCCTTTCACACACACACAATATCTCTCCTTTCTCTCTCTCCCTCTCTGTCTCTCATCTCATATATACATATACATATATATATGGATAGATAGATAGATAGATACAGATATTACAGACACACACCTTCATTACATTTCCGTATATAATTTCACAACGTCTGATTGTAAGAAGGGTTTTATAGCTTCCCTGGGAGTCAACCGTGGCTTTGTATTCAAGCCGCAGATAGAGAGCTCAATTTATGTTAACTGCAAATAAATAGTGAAGTCGCAGATCCGTGGATGCAGAGAGAAAGCTCGATTTGTGTAACTACAAATAAATGAAGTCACAGATCGGTGGCGACTGCGTCTCTCCACTGATCACGGAGGCCTCAGGTAGGTGCAGGCCGCCCAGGGTCTCCCAGGCCTGGGTGGACTGTCCAAAGGCTCCTCCCTTGCCCTTGGCAGGCTGGTGGCTGGGAGTCTGCTTTTCCTCTGGGAAGCCTGGGAGTGGCTTCCCCGCTGCGGACCTTCACCCAGGCAAGACCCCGCACCAACCCAATCTCATTTGTACACGACAGGTACGAGTTTGTCTTTGCACCCAGGCTAGGGATCACTCACTCACTGGATGGGGAACAGATGCAGCTGGTGAGAGAGGCAAGGGTGGAAACCTTTAGGAAGCAATTTGCCTGCCACCCAAATCTCTGGAAGGCGCTGTTCCCTGCCTAGAGCTGGCTTTACCTTCATAATTGAATTTAAATATTGGTATTTGGTAACAAGAAGCAGAGTGAACACGCTCTGCCAGTAGGTAGGAAGGAAGCTCAGGGACGGCAGTGGAAAATGTCTATCTAAACATAGCTCTACTGATTAGAAACCCGCCTACATGTGCCTGCTTCAGGCTGAGGGTCAATGAGTATTTCTGTGAAAATTATCTCACATAACCTAGTGCATTTGTGTCTTTTCAGTCAAATAAGTAGAGAACCAATGAATAGAGAACACACAGTTAAAGAAGCCTTATTGAAAGCCTGATTTTATCCGACCTTTTCGTTTTAAATCAGACCACAGAGGGCAAGAGGGGAGAAGGAAGCCTGGAAACGAAAGGGAGGTTTCGGTGTCCGCAGGACTCGGCCCAGTTGGCTGACTTGGGTCCATAAAGGCCGAAGCCTTGCGGGCAGTATCCGCATCCTCCTTGGCCGGGGCAGAGGGGCAGTGCGTCCTGCCAGAACCTCCTGGACGCGCATCGGGCAAAACCGGAGCAGGAATGAGCCGGTGGCGAGGGCACCCGGCCCTCCCTTGGCGAAGTGCGTTCCTTCCCGCGATCCCCGAAATCGCTCCCTGCTCGGGCTGTTGGACTGGGCAGGTTCTACTTTAAACACCAGCTCTGTTGGCCCCTTCAGTCGCTTGAGTCTAGACAGACGGCGGCGGCGGGGGCCTTGGTCTTTTCTCTTTGCGTCTTGCTGTGTGTCACCCCAGGAAAAATTTATTGGTCTAAAACGGTCTAATTCTGCCTCTTTGATCTCCTAGCCTTCTTGTTTGCTTCATCTTCCTTTAACTTTCTTGGGTTTTTATTTCCTTCCAGAAGGCGATGCGACTGGGATTATTTAGGTCTTTTCTTTTTGTCTTACTCCCTCTATTCTCCATCGGAGACAAGGTATCATCTGATCCGCCATAAAGGCGTCCCCGGATGTTGTCCCTCACTCCACACCCCTACCCCCAGGCTTCCGTGGCCCGGGAGGAGACAGCCCAGCGCCCACCTGCCCCACCAGCCCCCGCCTTCCTACCCAAGCCCCGGTGGTTCACTGCGCAGGAACTGGGGCTCCGTGGCGTCCCGATCTGAACCCTCCCTCCACCTTTTGTATTCCTGGGGCCCCCTGAGAGGGTGCGGTAAACGGGGACGGCCTGGACCCTCTGAAAGTGATGGGAAGTGCTCAGTACACAAGGAACTAAACTCTACAATTTACAGGAGAATTTCCGGGGCAATTCCATTGTGAGGTCGGGTTTATGGTGTGTAATCGAGCTGAGCAGTAAAAGGTGGCCGGGCTTCCAGCGCAGCCGGGCAGTTTATGAGGCGTTTAGGGGAAGGGTTCTCCCCACCATCCTCCACCGAGCGGTGGGCGGCAGGGGCTTCAGCTGGTGCAACATGGTGCAGGGGTCGGAGGCCTGGAAGGTAGGAATTGGAGGCCTGGATGGGAGGAAGTGAGACCACTGTGCGCTCAGCTCCATGTGAGCTGGTACTTGGATAGGTGAAGCCTCCACAGCTGGGTGGCCTTTAGGGGGTGGTTTCCCCTATTTGTTTTCGGTGTCTTCAAAAGAAAAGGAAGTCCACAGTGGGTTGCAGTCCCTAGACGCCAGAGCCCCCTCTCCAAATCCGCTCTAAAGCATGTATTGTTCCCAGGCACCCCGGCCTACCCCAGAAACCTTCCAGTATTGGGAGTGCCTGGAAGGGTGCAGGCCCGAGATTTTTCCAAGCTGGGGGAAACAGCCCTGGCTCCCCATGCGCCAGAGGGGAACCAGAAGTTGTGGAAAGGACAAAGGAATCTTTAGCAATTTATCGGACTGCTGGAGCCAGCCAGGTGCCCAGGAGCGAAGGCACAGAGCCTGCAGCACTACAGCGTCCGGGAGGAGGGAGGGGAACCCCACGTTAATAAATCTGTTGGCAAATGAGTCTCATTAATAGATAAATATTTCACTGCTTCCTTTAGGGCGGATAAACAGTGTGCCTCCGATTAAGGAAAGGAAGCTGGGAGACGTTGACTTTATTCGAACCACATGGCTCCAGTTTGCGGTGGCAATCTCTCTGCAGCTGCAAGAGATGCTGCGCCTTCCCCGTCTGGATCCGAGTCTAAGTCCGGCCTGTCGCCCACTGGACCTGGGTGAGAGAAGACTTGGGCAGAGTCGATCTGCTCATAGCTGAGTCCTGCCCACAAGGCCACCGCGGGGCAGGCTGTTGCGGGGGACAGAGACCCTTCCAGGGTCTGGGCAGGCGGACAGGAGAGGGATGGGGAGGATCCCAAGCTTGGTCCAGGGCTCACTAGCAGGAGTCGGCGGGGGGGCGGGGTGGGGGGTGCTGCGTGGGGCCGGGCCGCCTGGCGTCCGCAGACCCCAGTGCGGAGGTTGGCCGCCAGCTGGGCGCTCCCGCGGAGCCTCCAGGTCTTTTTCCGCGGGACGCGCCAGGCCCGCCGGGCGCGGGCGGATTCTTTGGCCGCATATTTGAGCCTCTTGCCCTTCCATTCTAGGCGGCTGCGGGCCCTGCGGAGCGAGACCACCTGTGAGGACTGCTGAGATTGGCGGAGGCGGTCATGTGGGCGGTCACGTGCTGCGGCGAGCTCCGTCCAAAAGAAAATGGGGTTTGGTGTAAATCTGGGGGTGTAATGTTATCATATATCACTCTACCTCGTAAAACCGACACTGAAAGCTGCCGGACAACAAATCACAGGTCAAAATTATGAGTTCTTCGTATTATGTGAACGCGCTTTTTAGCAAATATACGGCGGGGGCTTCTCTGTTCCAAAATGCCGAGCCGACTTCTTGCTCCTTTGCTCCCAACTCACAGAGAAGCGGCTACGGGGCGGGCGCCGGCGCCTTCGCCTCGACCGTTCCGGGCTTATACAATGTCAACAGCCCCCTTTATCAGAGCCCCTTTGCGTCCGGCTACGGCCTGGGCGCCGACGCCTACGGCAACCTGCCCTGCGCCTCCTACGACCAAAACATCCCCGGGCTCTGCAGTGACCTCGCCAAAGGCGCCTGCGACAAGACGGACGAGGGCGCGCTGCATGGCGCGGCTGAGGCCAATTTCCGCATCTACCCCTGGATGCGGTCTTCAGGTAGGCGCAGTCGCTAGGCGGGCCAGGCTGGCGGAGCGGGACCGGGAGCGGGGAGCGCAGCGCTGGGGAGCGCGGAGCGCGGGGCGCGGGGCCGGAAGAGCGGAGCCAGGCTGTTGCGAGCCGGTAGCCCCGTGACTCCCGGCGCAGCCTTTCTGGTTTTAATTGGAGCGGAGGCGCCATTGCGTGGAGCCCATAGCATTGTATGTAAATGAGGCTCATAAAACTTTTTATGGCCCAATTAATGGGTTCGATCCTCGTAAATTTATTTAACTCCATTTGTCTTGGAATTTTAACATTAAGTTTGTTCGCTATTCTGTCTCTCTTTCTCCCTCCTCTGTCACCCTCCCTCCCTTTCTTCTTCTCTCTCTCCTCATTTTCCTTGCTGCCTGACATTTCTTTCTCAAAAGCTAGGAGAGCCAAGCCCTCCAGGGCCTCTCACCCGACCCTGTGCCAGGGTCCATTTCAAGATGGGGGCGAGGGAATGAGGACAGAGGGTCGGGGTGCCCTAGGAAGGTCCTGGGGATGAGGGCTCAGGCTGCTGGGAAGAGTCGCCCACTTGCCTAGCAAGGCAGGGGAATGGCCGGGCTCATCTTTGAATGGCAAAAGTGCAGCGTTTCCCACTTGCTCACACTCTATATTTACAGTTTTCCTTTGTCAGAGGAAGCAGGACATTGTGGAAGCTTAGCCGGCTGGAAAGGTCGGTTGTAAAGTTGAGATTCTGTGCCTTTGCTCATTACAGAGCTGCCTGCGCGTCTGGCACTGCAGTTGGGGTCTTTCCCTAACACTCCCCCTCCTCCCCTAGCTCAGTTCGGGGCCTGGGGCAGAGGGGGATGCTCGCTGGGGACTAGGCCAGGAGGAAGGTGCGGGCTCTGGGACAGCAGCCTAACGAGTGCCCTGTCTACTTGTCTGTCCTTGTGTTCATGTGTCTGCATGTCTGTTCTCAGGACCTGACAGGAAGCGGGGCCGCCAGACCTACACGCGCTACCAGACGCTGGAGCTGGAGAAGGAGTTCCACTTCAACCGCTACCTGACGCGGCGCCGCCGCATTGAAATCGCCCACGCGCTCTGCCTCACCGAGCGCCAGATTAAGATCTGGTTCCAGAACCGCCGCATGAAGTGGAAGAAAGAGCATAAGGACGAAGGTCCGACTGCCGCCGCAGCTCCCGAGGGCGCCGTGCCCTCTGCCGCCGCCACTGCTGCCGCGGACAAGGCCGACGAGGAGGACGATGATGAAGAAGAGGAAGACGAGGAGGAATGAGGGGCCGATCCGGGGCCCTCTCTGCACCGGACAGTCGGAAAAGCGTCTTTAAGAGACTCACTGGTTTTACTTACAAAAATGGGAAAAATAAAAGAAAATGTAAAAAACAAAAACAAAAACAAAAAAGCAACCCAGTCCCCAACCTGCACTCTACCCACCCCCATCACCTACTCCAGCTCCCAACTTTTGTGGACTGAGCGGCCGCAGAGACTGGGTCGCCTTGGATTCCCTCTGCCTCCGAGGACCCCAAAAGACACCCCCAACCCCAGGCCAGCCGGCCCTGCTCTGGCGCGTCCAAAATACTACCTAGCACAGGCCTCTGCTCGAGGCACCCCCAAACTACCTATGTATCCAGCCCCAGAGGGCCTCCATTCCCAGGAAGTCCCTATGTATCCCAACACTGGCAGACACCCAGCACCACCCTCCCAGACCCGCAAGAAAGTGAATCTCACTACTACCTACTCCCCTAAAACTACCTATTTTGTGCTGGCTGGCTTGCCTGCTACCTAGTGCCGACTGCTCCCAGGCAAGTCCCCTGCTGCTTACAGCCCGCAGCTTTTGGGGTCCCTGAGGCTGCCCTGAGAATGTGCTGAGGTCCAGGATCAGGGTATTGGCATCTATTTAAATCGAAAAATAATATATTTATTCCAAAAAGCATCCTAAGTGCTTGCACCCTAGAATCAATCCCTCCTTCTCTGGCTTGGCACCCACAGCTCAGGCCCATCAACCCCCACTTCTGGAGGGGAATGTTCCTGAGCTGGCTGCAGATCTGTGGGTTAGCTTCTGCTTAGCAGGACTGTGGAGATGCTTCCAGCTTCGCTGTCCTTTCCTCTGGCTCCTGTATCTTACTGTTCAGCTGTGTTAAATATGTACGCCCTGATGTTTCCTATAATAGCAGATACTGTATATTTGAACAAGATTTTTTTTTATCATTTCTATAGTCTTGGAGTTCATTTGTAAGGCAGTGTCTTGACTTGGAAAGGATGTGTTAATGGGGTGACTTTGTAGCATGGTATGTTGTCTTGAGTTAACTGTAGTGGGTGGGGAGGTCCAATGCCCTCCGCAATGCCCTTCATCTCCTGTGTTGTCCTGTACCCTGCTCAGCTCCATCCTGGGGTTCAGGGAAGGCACACTTCCCAGCCCAGCTGTGTTTTATGTAACCGAAAATAAAGATGCGTGGTGACAAAGAAAAATGTGGACTGCCTTATCCAGAGGGGACTGGGAAAGGGGAGGTGAGTATGGCTGGAGGGCAGGGGGCAGTGGGGAAGCAAAAGTGGGGTGGCTGTCCTTGTGATGGTCCAAGTGTTGGGTACCCATGTATTGGTGTCATGTATCTTTTTAATGTATTTTTATGTGTGTATTTGTATGAGTATGTGCTTATTTTTCTGTGTATGTATTTCTGTGTGTGTGTTTTTACCTAATTCCACAATTGTATATATTTTGGTGTCCATAATTGGGTGCATGTGTTTTTGTGTGTCCATAATTGCATGTCATTCTGTGCCCACAATAGAGTGTATGCCCTTCCCTGTGTGCATAATTGTATATGTGCCTTTATCCGTGTAGAGACGTTTGTCTGGTTTTTGCGTGTGCACTAACATCTTCTAGATCCCTTGAAAACGGAATCTTTGGTAGATACGTTATATTCTATGAATCTACCTAAAAACCTCCATCAATTCCATGAGGAAATTTCAAATCCACACTTTCCTCTAAGGCTGAGCAGTGGGCTTGGAAAGGGGCATTACCCAGAGCTGATTCCGGATTCGCATGCGCCCTGAACCCAGCCCCAGGCTAGGAAATGGGATTTAAGGTCCCCACCCCGCCTGCAGACCAGGCGAGGGGGCCCCAGGGTCCGGCACTGCAGTAGGTGGCGCGGGGAGGGGCTAGGACCGCAGACCCCCGCTAGGCTACGCAGCCTGGGCAGGGGCTGGGGCAGCTGGATGCGGGGAAGGGGCGAGGGGTGAAGGTCCAGGGGTTGTGCGGGCAGCTCAGAGCATCCTGAGTTCCGCCTGCAAGACCTCGTCTCCAGTCTCCTGCCTGGGCTGGGCCCGCTTCTTATGGCTCTTTTAGTAAAACCTGGCCCAAAAGGGTCTGTAAAACCTGAGGCCCCAAGTCGGGGCGGCCTCGGTGGTAAGATGGCGCCGGTGTAAGAGCTGCCTCCTCTCAGTGATGGGGAAAGGGTCATAAATCCGTTGTTGTTTATGAAAATTTACAACTTTGCAATACAACTTTATGAGTTGTTCGGCCCTTCCATTGGCCGCTGTCGGTCATGTGGATGAGAACCGTGAACATGAACTTTTTTATAATTTCCCTTGCGAGAATAGAGCCGCATTCTTTTGCTCCGCTCCGTCCTGCCTGCTTCGGAGCTCTGCCTTCCAGCCGGGCTCGGCTGTGCTTTGTCCGGAGATGGCGAGCGAAGGGAAGCCCCGGCCAGGCCAGGCCTGGCGGCTCCCGCTGGAGATTGGGCGCGCTCCGTTCCCGGCGCCGCGGCAGCAGCTTTGCAACTCGCAACCTGGCTAATTTCCTGCGTCCTCTGGCACCAGGAAAGAGGACAATTCTTCTCTCGGGCTGCCCAAGCGACAGCTGTCAGAGGGGCAGGAGCTTCTGGGAGCCACCGTCTGAAGGTGAGACATGTGGGGAGGAGATAGGAGCAAAGGTGGTGAGGCGACAGCCGGCGGCGGTAGCGGTGGGAGAGGGCACCCAGGGAGGCTTTAAGAGGGGCATACTCCCCCTTACCCATACTCACCCATTCACACTTGCCCCCATCACACACTACAGCCCACACACGTCACACACACAGGCACACACGCGCGCACGCACACACACACACACACCACTCCCTTTCTCTCCCCTCCCTGGCTCGCCTTGGCAGTAAGTGCCCGCCTTCCTTCGGCCCTCCGTGGCACAGCGCCAAGGCACAGGGCAGCATCCCTTGGGTCGTCTCTCTCCCCTTCCCTAGCGACCCCGTGAAGCCCAAAAGGAAGTGGCCCGGCACACTGTGTTCCCCGCCAGCCCTTTGGGTTTGGATTTTTGTGTTTTCATTCATGGCCCTATTTGGTTTTGTTGGATTCCCCAACAAGAGGAGACCATCCTTGACCTGGGAAGGTGGGAAGAGGTGAGGGCAAAGTGCATTAATCCACAGGCATTTTATTAGCATCAGCACAGCACTTTCTACTCCGTGGGAATTGGTTTCAGAGAGAAAGGTAGAAGGGGGAAACAGAAAAACTTACTAATTCAGCCAGAGTTCTCCGCTCGTTGCCGGCTTCCCTTCGCCCGGTTTTTCGATGAGAGAGGTGTCTGAAGCGCTGGGAGGGGGAATAGGTGCGTGGGTGGAATTCTGTGTTGGAGGAGAGGATGGGATTAATTGGGTGTTACTTGGTGGGAAGTTTCGGTGCAGAGGACATAATGCTGTTAGCGCGCGTGGCAGGGTCCCGCAGCTAAGGTTGAAGGAAGGACGCAAACCGAGTCTGGGCGATAGGGGGACCCCCCAATCCACCTTGGCGCAACGGACTGGCGACCGCACTCCCCACCTTCCGCGAGCGGGGAGAGGATGGTGGAGCTGCCCGGGAGGAAGCGCAGAGCGTGCTGCTGGCGGTGGCTTTGCGTAGCGCGGTGGCTCGAACTGTAGCTCGGCCTAAGTGCACATCAGACCAGATTTGCCCCGAGAACTCCTCGGACAGCGACAAGAAAAGAGTCCGAGGTTCTTTTTGTTTGTTTTTTGTTTGGGTTGTTGTTTCCCCAACTTGAGACAATATCTTGGTATGGATTCGATAAATAGGAAGGGGCTGTGGATGTTTAGGACGTTAGCCCGTGCTCTGCGTGCGCTCGGGGCGGATAAAGCGGCGCATTTGCATCCTAGGTCCGCCGCCTTCCTGACTGCGGCTGCCGCGGGCCGATTATTTATTGCGACCGTGCTGGCGCTCGCTGCTGCCACGCCGTGGCCGTCGCCGGGACCGGCGCCAGCTGCAGCCCGCCTCTTGCAGCCTGGCGCGACTGCTGTACTGGCCCCTCAGAGATTTCCCAGCAAGCAGGGTAGAGGGGGACGCAAGGGGACCTGGGGGGCGATCACCCAGAGCCTATATGGCCGGGAAATCTCCCCGCCTCGGCTACCCCTGACCGGAGCTGGACGCCGTTATAGACTCGGGTCCTCCCCCACCCCCACTCCAGCACCATGGAGACTGGTTGCACAGGCCGCCTGGCACGTCATGGCTGCTTCTGTCCAAACTGCGCGTCCCAAGGCGTTCTGGGGGCGCACGCTGGTTCAGGGAACACTCTGGCTTTGGGATTCTGCAATCGGAGAGACTACCTGTAGTCCTGAGGCCTGTAGGCCTGGCTGCTCTGAGGAGGATTGGCTATGGCAAAGAAGGACGGCTTTGGCTCCAGGAGAGGGCTGTGAAGGGCAGAGGCCGCACCTGTGTGCTTTGGGCTCTGGTCTGGGCTAGCGAGCTGGCTGGACCGAGGTGGCCTTCAAGGTCCCACACCTACATACTCCCAGACCACCCTCCAGGCTGGCAGAGGTGGAGCTGTTCAATGGGCAGCCCAGGGCAAGGGCAGACAGTGGGGCCCAGCTCGCCGTCCTGCCCCCCTTGGAGAGAAACTGAAAGGTAAGTCGCTTTCTGCGTGGCTTTGGCAGGGAGGAGAGAGAGCCCTGGGGTGGCCATTCTCACCATCGCAGGAGAGGCCCTTTGGAGGGTCTGGGGTGCCTATTCTTGCCGGAATAGCCCTCTCTCTCTAGAGAGAGAGAGAGAGAGAGAATATCTGGTTGGAGAAATGATATGCACTAGCCTTGGCTAACATGTAAAGATTCCAATGTAATATATGTTTTTCCATCTTAGTGCCTATAGAAGCTAGAAATATAATGTTTTCTGGTTCTTAGCTGAGAAATCAAATTCTCTTGTTAGCTGGAACAATAATTAGATCGAGAATCCTGGTCAAGGCATGACAAATAATAATAATAGTAAATTGACACTGACCCACCACTATGTGGGACATGGCGGAATGAAAAGGAAATCATAAATGTAAACATTGATTGTCATCTCCAAACGGTTGTTTTCATTTTAAATAATAACTTGCTTAAAATCACTGTTGTCTGATAATTTTGTTTAAGAAAAAAATAACACAAACATGTTTTTCTTCAAACAGCTATTTTTAAAAGTCCCTTTTAATTTTTTGACTCGAGTTTTCATTTTCACCTATTGAATTCTTTCCCTGAAGTAATGTGTGGGAAATGCCCAATTCTATCCTCTCATTCGAGGCCCTGCTTTATATGCAAAGTAAACCCTTTCCAGGACGGATCGACTGGGGAACAGGCATCCGGCTTCCAGGGGTAGCCCCCGTTGCCGGGCTAGCAGCCGCCTTCCAGGAGTGCCTCTTGGGCTCTTCGGAGGTCGACCTTAGGCCAGTCCTTTCCCAATTTTTTCCCTTTGTGGGAGGAGAGTTCAGGAAAAAAATTGAAAAGCAAGGAAGAGACTAAGTCATTACTAGATTCCTACTGGAACACTGCCAATTGCCACCTCCCCACTAAGTCCTGAACCGGGTGAGCCTGCATTGGCCAGGGTTTTACAGATCTTGTAAACAGTCTCCAGAAATCCATCCAAATCACGTAAATAGTCTTTCTTCAACCTCCACAGAATTGAGGATTTTAAAGCTAATTCAAGGGGTTTTACAAGCCCAACAAACACAGTTGTAAAAATGCCATTGGGCTGCTATCACATTTTACAAAACGAGATTGATCCATGTGTTGTAAAAGTCAACTATCTCGAAGGCACACCTCTCAGGCAAGAGTGAGCAGCTCAGGACAGGCTTTTAATGTCCTGTCTGGGGACCGCCAGGCCTGGGACAGCAGTGAAAGCAATTCAGGATTTCTGGAGCCGGTGAGACTATTCCCGGTTCCGGAGCGACTGAGGGGCGGCAGCCCTCCCTGCGGTCCCAGGAAGGGCAGTAAAGAGGGCGGCCCCAGGACAGTGCCGGTTGTCGGGCGCCCCGGAAACCGAGCCCATCAATTATCCCGCGGCCTTGGGCCCTGCAGAGCTGCCCTCTGTGCCCAGCTTGGCCAGGGCCTCTGCGTCTTCTGTGCCTCTGGAATGTGGACAGAGAGATTCCACATCTGGATTTTTATCTGCCTCAGCTCTGAGCGGTTCTCGCAGTGGATGCTGAGTCCCCAGGCGCTAGGCAGGGGAGCAGGTCCCTCGGCTGTCTTAGGAGCCCAGTCTCACGGCCACTGCTCTGTCGGTCCTTTCTTGTTGAAACCAGTGGTTTCTGGCCTTTCAATTCCCTGGGTTCAAAGGTGGGATGGGGACGCCCAGCTGGAAGGAGTGCTTTGACACCAGGCAGGCGCGGGCCATTGAGCCCCTTGGGACTCAAACAGGATGTGTATGTGGGAGGAGGGAATGGGTGGGAAGAACCTACGTTTGGCTGAGTCCTGGTCAGCTCGAGGTGATCCTTCAGCTCTGGGCTGCAAGGCCCAGGCCCCTGGTGCTAGCGGAGAAGGAGAGAATGAGGGAGTTCACCGATTCCTAAGGCGCACGAGTGAAGAGCATAGAGTGAAGGCCTGGTTTCTCATGGCCCTTGCTCCAGCTCAAGAACTCGCACCCACGAATAGGGGAGCGCTAGGGGAGGGGCAACTCTGGGCCGTGCCTGGAGTGCAGGCCGGCAGGGAGCAAAGCCACCTTTGTCACTGCCCCTCCTGGAGCAGGACCTTCAGGTTTCCTGTTTGGAGGAGGAGGGGCGGGGAACCCGCAAAATTCAATAAAGCAAAAAGGGGAGGAGGAAGGAGGGGACCTGGCGGGGCCTTTGAGGCGGCCCAAGCATTAGTGTCCCTACTCTGGCCTGATCTGCTCGCCACTGAAAGGGCCGTGCCCGCCGCTGGCGTTCGGGAAGAGAGCCGGGCCGGCTAGCTGTGCGCGCCCATTAATCTGCCGGGCGGGCGGCGGGCGGGCGGGCTGGGGGCTGTTTGTAACTTTGCTGCCTCGGTCGCCGCGGTCCCCGGGGAGCGGGCTCCGGCGTTCGCTCCCATTGGCCGCCGCCGCGTCAGCTGGTGCGATTTGCTGCTGTCGCTTTTGGCGTTCGGCCATCCAGAAACAAACCAGTTCGATGACTACTAATAGTTATAGCCAGATGTACTAATACACAACAAATCACAGTCCTGCAGAGGGGCGCGCAAATGAGTTCCTATTTTGTGAATCCCACTTTCCCCGGGAGCCTTCCCAGCGGCCAGGACTCCTTCTTGGGCCAGCTGCCCCTCTACCAGGCTGGCTATGACGCGCTGAGGCCCTTCCCGGCCTCGTACGGGGCGTCGAGTCTCCCGGACAAGACGTACACCTCACCTTGTTTCTACCAACAGTCCAACTCGGTCCTGGCCTGCAACCGGGCGTCCTACGAGTACGGGGCCTCGTGTTTCTATTCTGATAAGGACCTCAGTGGCGCCTCGCCCTCGGGCAGTGGCAAGCAGAGGGGCCCCGGGGACTACCTGCACTTTTCTCCCGAGCAGCAGTACAAACCCGACAGCAGCAGCGGGCAGGGCAAAGCACTCCATGACGAAGGCGCCGACCGGAAGTACACGAGCCCGGTTTACCCTTGGATGCAGCGGATGAACTCCTGCGCGGGTAAGACATATCCCAAGACAGTGGAGGGAGAGGGGAAAGGAGGCAGGAAAAGAAAGAAAGAAGGAGGAAACAGAGTAGAAAGAGGAATAGAGAGAAAGAAAGGATGAAAGAACCAGCAAAGTTTCTTTGGCTTCTTAAAAGAGAAGAAAAAATCAGTTCCCAATGGGGCTATCAGGCCATGGCAGAGGAAGGGCAAGGCCCCAGTGTCCATGTAAGCTGACACCTTAGGGGAGGATGGGGGCACTGGCACGTATATGAGACCTGTGACAGGGACAGCCTGAAGAGAGAGAGAGGCTGGTGGGGAGGGACAGCCTGTCCATGCACCCTGAGTACCCTGCTCAGCTTCCCAAGCCAGAGGGCCTTTTGCACTGCGTCACTGATAAATACCCTTTGCTTCCCAACCCCCTCTCCTTTCTGCCCTTCAGAAACCCGTACAGAGAGGTGGCCATTTGGCCTCTTCCAGTGTCTCCCCAAAGCCTTGGAGGGCCACAGCCCCAGACTCAGGATTTTTTTCTCTCTCCTCCCTCATCTCCCCCGGCTTCTACTCAACTGCCCACTCTTAGCCAACTTCTGCCCTCTTCTGAGCCCATGCCTGAGCTTCATACACCTGTCTTGGAGGGACCCCCCACCACCCTTGGGGAACTTTGGCACCAGATCAGACAGCCCAACACAATCCTACATTGCCAGAAATCCTAGACTACCTATAGCTCCATCTCTTAGCCTCTGGTTTCCAAGGACTCCACAGGGAATCCCAAAGACTCCTAGGAATTCCCTAGGACAGAGCCTAATGCGGATTGTTAAAATTATAATGTTTTCCATTAACATCCACTTTATCCTTGGGGGAGTTCTGCATTTCTCAGAAGGGTCATATAATTTGGGAGAATGTGTAAAGATTCAAGAGGGCTGACCATTTTTAACTCTTCAAAAAATGTGTTGAGTTCCGACATGGCTGGTCACAGTAGCATCCTCAGAGAGACCACTATGAATTCAGAGTGTGTACACTACTTACATGGTTCCACACCACCCACCCCAGACACACACACACACACACACACAAACACACACACACACCCTGCATCCCCACAAAAACACGACCTGGGCATCCCAAATTAAGAATGCTCATTCTGTTATTTTGCTTGTAATGGTTTTCCTATGAGGCAGATTTTTCAAAAACGATAATGTCCACCCCAAGTCGTTATAGGTGGAAAACATCTCGCTTGGTATGAAATAATCTCCCATTCAGTATGCTTTGGGCCCCAGACATAGTGGGAGAGGCTGGAGTGGAGGCGGGGTGGTTTCTAGTCTGGGTGCCTCTTGTGGGAGGCACTGGGCTGACTGGGTCAACCCTCCAGGCCCTGGCTTACCGGCGCCCGGCCGTTTCTGCTCGTAGGTGCTGTGTATGGGAGCCATGGGCGCCGAGGCCGCCAGACCTACACGCGCTACCAGACACTGGAGCTGGAGAAGGAGTTCCACTTCAACCGCTACCTGACACGGCGCCGCCGCATCGAGATCGCCAACGCGCTCTGCCTCACCGAGCGCCAGATCAAGATCTGGTTCCAGAACCGCCGCATGAAGTGGAAAAAGGAAAACAAGCTCATCAATTCCACGCAGCCCAGCGGGGAGGACTCAGAGGCAAAGGCGGGCGAGTAGATGCCTGGGCAGGGACCAGGCCAGCGCTGCAACCTCCTTCGGCTTTGCCCCCTTGCCCTCGCCTGTTCCCCAACTTTTCTCCCCGCCTGCTCCCATCTGGGGGCTTCCGCAGCTTCAGGGGAGCCCGGAGCTTTGCAAGCGTCTGTGCATTTATTTCTTACAAAACAAAACAAAACAAAACAAAACAAAACAAAACAAAACAAAACAAAACCTCACACACAGCCAATACCAGCGGTGGAGCGGGGCGCACTGCACACACCCAGTCCCGCTCCACAAGGATGCCCAAACCGGCTCCGGAGTTCTGGGGTGCGCCCTGAATGCGTCTGGGGCTCCTGTGCTAGTGTCTCTGAGCTCCCCGACCTCGGGACGCGGGGCTGCTGGGGAGGAAAGAGCCCTGGGCCGAGCCCCGTTTCGTGTCTGGGCGTCTCTGCCTAAGTCCCTCGCCAGTAAGTCCCGAAGGGCATCATCAAATCATCTCTGGCCAGTGGAAAGAGGGGGTCTAAGAGCTGGAGCCCGGCCTTGTCGCGGCCTCCCAAGCCGCCTCCCAGAACAGGAAGGAAGCTCGAGGAACAAAGGGGGCCCCAACAGAGCCCAGTCTCTCGGTCCCGCGTGTGCAACCGTCAGTGGAAGAGAAGCAGCCTCAGCCGAGGCGAGTTAACCTGGGCGCGGGTGGAACATTACAGCCCGGGGTAGGCTCCCGGCTCCGGATTCCCGCTCCCAGCCTCCGATAGCGCCCGCGTCGCCGCCACAGCAGCGTTCAGGACCCAACGAGGGGCCCAGGGCCATGGGAGCCGCCAGAGTCCTGGCTTCCAGACGTGCCAGGGGCGCCTGCAACGCCGGGCCTCCAGCGGGGAGACTCCACTTGCCTCTCAGCTATATTTGTGATTTACTTGAGTCTTTCGGAGCCGTGGAAAATAACTACAGAGATACTAGGCACTGCCAAGGAATGCTTCCATTATCGCCCTCATTTTACTCCTGGAGGTCTAAGCAAGACCCCAGTAACCCGCCCCACGGATCCCCAGACCCCAGGCAGCCTCTGTGGCTGCAGGGAGCCTGGGCCCACTCGCTGGGTTCAAGGAGAACCCTCCGACTTGGGGCCCGGCTGGCTCGAGGAACCGGACCCTGTGATGAAGATTTTCCAGGCTGGATACGTAAGCAAATCAAATCGCAAACTAATGACACGAAAACCATATTCACACGAAAGAAAAATCGACTACGGTTATAAAAGTGTATGGAATTTGACCTCGCCTTGGAGAAACACTACACAAAAGCTATCTTTAATAGACGCCTGTCATTTAAGAGCGGCAGGGACACTGTCCCTCATGCGCTCGCAAAAACAGAGCCGTAATTGTAGCTGCTGCTGCTGCGGGCAGGATTTATTTCTCCAATTGGCTAAATGGCTTTCCCCCTTCCCCGAAGGTGATATCTGTATTTTCAAAATTCAGAGCTGCTGGCAGGACGGTCAGTACCGACCCCAACCTCGACACAAAAATAAGAGGGGCTGCAAAACGGGGGAAATAAAGTTGTTGTAAATAAAATGCAAGTCACCACCTCCCCCCAATCCTCTGCATCCTCGCCGGGCGCGCGATCGGCAGCTGACGGCCTAACAATTGGTACATCCTAATGGAACTGCGAGGGAAATGCAATAATTTTGCCATAATGGGCTGTAACCTCAATTCGACCCCGGCCCTTGCAGCCCCCGGTCGGAAGCTGGGCGATGAGCCCTGCCTCCAGCGGGTGGCGCTCGAGTCCGGCTGAACGGCGGCAACTGGCGGCGGGCACGCGCCCGGGGCGCGCGCGCCACCCCCCTCGCCTCCACCCAACTCCCCTATTAGTGCACGAGTTTACCTCTAGAGGTCATCAGGCAGGATTTACGACTGGACAACAAAAGCACGTGATTCGAAGTCGTACCCCATATTTGGGTGCCTACGTAGGAGGGAACCAAGTACATGTCCCAGTCATTTCCATAATTCATCATAAATTGTGCAAGGGTGCTATAGACGCACAAACGACCGCGAGCCACAAATCAAGCACACATATCAAAAAACAAATGAGCTCTTATTTTGTAAACTCATTTTGCGGTCGCTATCCAAATGGCCCGGACTACCAGTTGCATAATTATGGAGATCATAGTTCCGTGAGCGAGCAATTCAGGGACTCGGCGAGCATGCACTCCGGCAGGTACGGCTACGGCTACAATGGCATGGATCTCAGCGTCGGCCGCTCGGGCTCCGGCCACTTTGGCTCCGGAGAGCGCGCCCGCAGCTACGCTGCCAGCGCCAGCGCGGCGCCCGCCGAGCCCAGGTACAGCCAGCCGGCCACGTCCACGCACTCTCCTCAGCCCGATCCGCTGCCCTGCTCCGCCGTGGCCCCCTCGCCCGGCAGCGACAGCCACCACGGCGGGAAAAACTCCCTAAGCAACTCCAGCGGCGCCTCGGCCGACGCCGGCAGCACCCACATCAGCAGCAGAGAGGGGGTTGGCACGGCGTCCGGAGCCGAGGAGGACGCCCCTGCCAGCAGCGAGCAGGCGAGTGCGCAGAGCGAGCCGAGCCCGGCGCCGCCCGCCCAACCCCAGATCTACCCCTGGATGCGCAAGCTGCACATAAGTCATGGTAAAGCCAGCCTTTTTCTAAATCCACGCGACCGCGGGGACGCGGCTCTCGGTCCCCCCTCTCTTCTCTGCCGCCCTCTCCCAGTCTCTCTTGGTCTCATTTCTCCCAGCCCTGCGGAGCTCTCCTTGCCGTTCTCCCTCCCCTGCCTTCCTCCTTCCTCCTCTTCTTTGCGAGCACCCTGCGCTCACAAATAGTGGGGGAAATGGGCGTTCTCTGGGACAGTTTAGACGTTGGAAGGGGGAGGAAGCAAAAAACCCCTCTGGAACCCCACGCCTTGGGACGCGCTCCCGGGTCAGGCCAGCCGAGCAAGGCGCAGAGAGGTAGAGGATGGCTGTAGCAGCCGTGAATCGGGCTTGTCACGGCGGATAATTTATGAGGAGGGCTACGCTGGGGAAACAGCGTTACTAATTACAGCCCCCGAAAAGGGGCTTGGGGGAAAGAATCGAGGCGAGAGCCTGCAGGATTCTGAATTTTGGGGGCAGGAGGGAGAGAGAAGGAAAGGGAAGAAAAAGAAAACAGGCTCCCCAACCCTGCAGGCTGGAAACGGGAGGCGGCTCTCGGGGCTGGAACTTTGAGGGAGGGTGACCCGAAGGCCACTTGGGCGCTCAGGAAAGGGCCTTGCTTCCTGGGTTTCTGTGCGGTGGGCAGCCTGGGAGGGCTGTGCCTCCCGATCGGGGCGCCCGGGGCAGGGCGGAGGGGGCAGGAGAGGGGCCAGGGAAAGCCGGAGTCCGCCGGGACACGGCCCCAGCCTCAGATGGGCAGATTGTTCCCAGGGTCCAAATCGTATTGTTTTCTTTCTAGAAAGGAAGAGAGAAGGAAATTCGGGAGGGGTGTGCGGGCTGGTAGGCAGAACTTGTTGAGCTTTTCGCCTGGGTTCCCTGCTCATGACCCAAGCTTGTCCCCCTGGCGGACTTTGGAAGACAGGAGTTGGTGGCTAAACCGCTGACTTTTCTATTGCAGACAACATAGGCGGCCCGGAAGGCAAAAGGGCCCGGACGGCCTACACGCGCTACCAGACCCTGGAGCTGGAGAAGGAGTTCCACTTCAACCGTTACCTGACCCGCAGAAGGAGGATTGAAATAGCACATGCTCTTTGCCTCTCCGAGAGACAAATTAAAATCTGGTTCCAAAACCGGAGAATGAAGTGGAAAAAAGATAATAAGCTGAAAAGCATGAGCATGGCCGCGGCAGGAGGGGCCTTCCGTCCCTGAGTATCTGAGCGTTTAAAGTACTGAGCAGTATTAGCGGATCCCGCGTAGTGTCAGTACTAAGGTGACTTTCTGAAACTCCCTTGTGTTCCTTCTGTGAAGAAGCCCTGTTCTCGTTGCCCTAATTCATCTTTTAATCATGAGCCTGTTTATTGCCATTATAGCGCCTGTATAAGTAGATCTGCTTTCTGTTCATCTCTTTGTCCTGAATGGCTTTGTCTTGAAAAAAAATAGATGTTTTAACTTATTTATATGAAGCAAGCTGTGTTACTTGAAGTAACTATAACAAAAAAAGAAAAGAGAAAAAAAAACACACAAAAAGTCCCCCTTCAATCTCGTTTAGTGCCAATGTTGTGTGTTGCACTCAAGTTGTTTAACTGTGCATGTGCGTGGAAGTGTTCCTGTCTCAATAGCTCCAAGCTGTTAAAGATATTTTTATTCAAACTACCTATATTCCTTGTGTAATTAATGCTGTTGTAGAGGTGACTTGATGAGACACAACTTGTTCGACGTGTAGTGACTAGTGACTCTGTGATGAAAACTGTGACTCCAAGCGGTGTGTCCCTGCGTGCCTTTATAGGACCCTTTGCACGAACTCTGGAAGTGGCTCTTATAAGCGCAGCTTCAGTGATGTATGTTTTTGTGAACAAAGTTACAAATATTGTCCAAGTCTGGCTGTTTTAAGCAAACTGTGATCAGCTTTTTTTTTTTTTTTTTTTTTTTTGTATTTGTTTTTAAGGAAAAAATACTGACTGGAACAAAAAATAAACTTTCTATTGTAAGTTCTCTTGGTCTGGTTTGTGCCAAATAGTGAGCGGCTCTGTCTGCTTTTCTGTCTGTCTGTGCAGTCTTGGAAGCTGTTGGGTCTGAGGCTACCTGAGCAGATGACCTGTGCAGGGAGACCTCATACCAACACTGTCCCATCGCTTCCCTACCTCTGACCCATTGCAAAGTTCAGGGCAGAAGGTGGAAAAAGCTGTAGGCTGTTCCAAAGCCCCAGAACACCCTGTCCATCTCTGAGGAAACCAAGTTAACTTGCTGGGTACAAAAAAGAGAGAAAGAGCAAGAAAAAAGGAGAAAAAACCCAGGGCTTTGTTAGCCGCCCTCAGGCCACACAGATCCTGCCTCTTTCCTAAGGCTGTCCTAGGCCTCCACTTGCTGAAGACGCTGCTATGTCTGTCTGTGGACCCCAAACCCTCTGCCCTTAACCCATCCCAGCACCCCTTCCCCACTCTTCACCCGGGACCCAGTTGGCTTCTTTTGCTACAATTAATTTGCTACAAATTGAAGGTACTTACCCCATCCTAGCTCGATTGGGAAACTCCTCAGAGCAGCTAAAGCGCAACTAGAGATTTGCACATTTACCGACTGCTTACACTGATGCCGTCTTTCCTTTTAAAAGTTATAAAACAGTAAACTTTATAAGCCCCAGTTCCGGCTATATGACATTTGGGTGCCAAATGAATAGGGTTTTGTCTATGAATTAGATCGTAAAATCATCCATAGCACAGACAGATCGGCTCACTGGCTATAAAACGTCACGTGGGGCCATTAAAGTAAGTTTTATGGTTTTGGGGAGTTGACATCCAACATTATATACCACATAACATATAATCTCACTAACGCTGGACTCCATTTGACTCTTTTGCAGGCTACGTGTGCCGCCTGGCCATTCAAACTGTCAATTTTAGGTCCAGAAGTGTCCAAACCACAAGTTCTCAAAACTCTCTGAAAAATGGCTCCCTCCGAGTTAAGGTAAGCTCGCCTCCTGAGCGCTTTCAAGTTTATTTGTACTTTGGAAACTTTCTCTCTCTCTCTCTCTCTCTCTCTCTCTCTGGTTCAATAACTCAGGCTGCCTCTGAATTCGAAAAGGCAGAGCAAACTTTCCCTCTGCCCAAAAGAGCAGCGCCAGGAGCCAACTCTGCGGAGGCAGCAGAGTGAGCAGCGCCTGTGGCCGCGCCGCATCCCCAGGCCTAACTTTAATTGCAGCACAACCGCGGATGTTAATGACTTCCGCTGCTCCCGCCGGCGTGCAAAAAGATGATTTTTGTGTGCGAATGGGCCTGTGTGTGGGGACCTGGCAGGGCCGCACCCCCAGTCCCCCGCGCAATTGCTGGGCCGGCCGGGGCCAGCTCCTGGGGGTCGCGGAGCCCTGGGGTCGGGGCTGGGAGACAGTGGGGCGCCGGCCGCGGGCGCCGAGGGCCGCGCTGCGCTCAGGAGTTTGAAAGAAAGGCCGGGGCAGGGCCGAGGCGGACTCTGGCGGGATTCCTTACGGGGCTGTGGCAATATGTCTTCGCGGGCCGGGGTCATTTGGCAGGGCTGAATTGAGGCGGCGGCCTTCGGGGCCGGGTTTCAGGCTAGCTCGCGAGAGCGGGAGGGTGGCAGAGGCCGGCGAGGCTGGGGCTGCACCTCCAGGCTGGGCCCCCGGGTTGCAAGGTGGATCCTGGGCTGCTAGCGCCCACTGGACCCTGAGGACCAAGGATCCCCACCCTGGTGTGGGGGGGTGTTCAGGACCCCCTCCCCCGCACCCGGGACCAGGCCCTGAACCCTGTTTGCCTGCATGTTCTTTTTATTTCGGCGGGACTGTTCTCAGCCGCTTGTGAGTCTGAAGCAATAAACTTTATGGCCGGATTTAACTTTAGTCTTTGAATCCCCAGGCTAATTGAAAGGGGTTAAAGCGCTTTCTTTTCTTCCGCTTTGCCTTTCTTCTCCCTCTCTTCTTTCCTGTTCCTCTCCTTCTTTGTAGAATTAAAAACATCTACGCACAGGACCCTCAGAAGGCAACTTAGGCGGCCCCCTGGATAACATTAAGATTGGAGAAATTCACTCCCCCTCAACATACAGGCGAATTCTCTGTTCCAAACTGTGCTCTAAAGTTTTGGGGGAAATTGAGGTGTCTTCAGTGCCCAACTTAAAAGTCCCCAGAGCCATTAGGTTGTTTTTCCTGACACATCATAAACGGTAGTTTAGGGAAGAAATTGGTCCTTTGTCAGTAGGAGATTTCCGCCTTTCTTTTGTTAGTTGCTCTTTCTGTTTGATCCCAGGAAATTTACATAATCTATGATTTCCAGAACAGTCTCCAAAATTGCACCAATGGGTGAAGTAAGGTGAAATAAGTTTATCCTGGGCACAATTCCATATTGGCCCCAGTCACCCCTTCTGGCCCCAACCCCCCATATTCTTCAATGGCAAAACCCAAGCCCAGTGACTGGGGACTGTGGCCTGTCCTGGGATCTTTTTCTGGATGGGTACCCACAAGGGACCCAGTAGATTTCCTCCAATCCTATTTTAGGAATTAAGCCAAATTCTCCTACTGCATTCAGAAATGAAACAAAAAATAGGATCTGCTTTTCTCCTTAGGAGCTGGGCAGTTTTCAGCAAGTATTAATTGGTAAAGATACCTATTAAGTGCTTAAAGTGAAAAAATTGAAAGTATAGATTTGGAATTTCAATAAACTTATTGTGCAGAGGCCACCTACACTCAACATAAGTCCAACAGATGTCCCTAAAGTCAGAGGTCCAGAAAGCAAAACCTAGAAAGTTTTTTTGAAAAATCAAAACCCTCCCACAAGTGCTACTTCTCATGAATAGTGGCAAGGTGAAGAATCCTGAAGTCATTGTGTGTAACCTATTAAAGTAAACATTGGTATTTCAGCATTCAAGAAGATGTGTCCACATCTTAGTGGGAACAAGGATATAAACTCTACATGGGTATGGGTTCTCTTTTATAATGTTATGTGTCTGTGAGAATACTGGATTCCTTGTTTTGCTGCTCTGAATTTTGGGCTCCTTATTGGAAAATATTGCGTTATGGTTCCATTTTAGTTACTGATTTGGTGATCTTGCTTGAGTGATTTCTTGGTGATTGAAATTAGAAAAAAAAAAGAGTGACGGGGATTCTGCCAGTTTAATTTGAGTTACTTACACAGAAAATATCCACACTACTTCATGGCCATATTCCACCCTGGGGTGTGGGAATGAGCAGAAAGCCTGTTGAAGTCATATCCAGTACCACAGAACATAGAGAATCTTTCCAAGGAATGAGAAAAATTACAGGCTGTAAATATTGTCAGCTTGCTTATTTCTGTCTGTTTTAATCTTCACAAAACTTAAGTAGAATTTAAGAGAGCAGGCAAACCCACATGGCCACATGGAATTAAAATGACTTTAAAAATACATCATGCAGTCAGACCTATGTGTTACTGGAAGATTTTTTTCTTTCTTCCTATTTTCATAGGAAGCATAATAAAGAGGATGGCTGGTTTTCTGCTCATTCTGTAGATAAGTTATTTCTTTTGTGGATTCTTTTGGGTTGTTCTTGCAGAGGAACTTACTAAGAAAAAATATGTCTGTCACTGAGGGCTTTATGAAGACATCCAGCCTCAGCCGGTGGCAGAAGTGCGTGTCTGTGCTCCTCCTCAGCGGCAATGTGCGGGGGCTCGTTTGTTCCCACAAGCTGAAGAGACAATATTTCTGAACTATAAATACAACAGGAAGCTTCTGGTCACACTTACTTAGTGGTTTGTTAGGGTTTCCATGGTCTAATTTCACAACATTATGCCAAGATTCCCTTTCTCCTGCTCTTTCCCCTGCTTCATTGTTGGCGGCTCTGAGAGAGCAAGACAGAATTTCCCACCAAAAAACAGAGTCCTGTTCATTTGTTGAGATTCTGAGAGTATTATATCGAAATAATTAGTGAGTGGAAAGCAAATCACATCTTAAAAGATAGGCAATTAAAGAGGAAAACAATCCTTTTAGCTTAAAAGATGCCCTTCTCAGCCTCCCCCCTGCCTTGGCTGGGGGTCTGTCCATGGCTTGCCCACCATGGAGAGTGCAGAGCATTGTGGGCTCCCTCCCTTTGGTTTCTGAGGAGGAGTTTCCTTCTAGTCAATGGCAAAACTATAAACGGGGCTCCCAGGCAGGGCTGAGGGGGTCAGCCTAAGCTCCCACCCAAGTAGGGGAGGGGATCCACAGCCCCAGCCATTCTAAGCCCCAGAACTTGAAGGTCTGCCCAGGTTTGTTTTGTTTGTTGTTGTTCACAAATAAATTTGTTCTCCCACCAGGTCCCCTCCCCACAAACCAGTCTTTTCAATAATAATATTTGTTATGAAGGTTATTAGATAATTATTGCGATTTTGTGAAGCAGCCCTTGCTGGAGGTGAAGTCTGTCATCGCCTAACAAATGACGCCCGCGCAGTTCACTGCCGGGTTAAGTAAATGCAGAGAAGATAAATCTGCACACCCTAGGAATCGCCAGCAGAGCACGCTTTAGTACAAGTTCACAGTCAATTCACCCGCTTGGGCCAGCTCTCCCAACAATTAGGGCTGCGTCTTTAGTTTTAAATAAAGGGAAAAAGTGTCTCCACCTCCCATTGCCTGCTTTCCCCCATCTTCTCTTTTCTTTCACTTTTTGCAAGGTTCTCCCATTCTGCTCCAAATTTTCCTTGTAAAATAGAATCACGAGTGATTTCAAGTTAATCTAGTTCCTAGGTGCTAACGAAGAGGTCATAGGCTGATTTAACAAAAAGTACAGTCACAAACACACAAAAATATCCATTTCACCCTCTAATTTCAAATGGCAGTGGCAGAAGCAGGGCATCCTGAGATGCTGGGGGGCCCCTTCCCCCTGAAAGAAGAGGCTCGGCTTTGTGTATCTTTGCGGTTAGTGCGTTACAACTGCAGGTCAAAAAGTTGAGGGTCAAAAGTTTACATTGTGCAGTGCTCTTAGTCATCTGCCCAGACAGAGTTTGATGTCAATGTTAGAGCTGTGATCTTGACTATCAGCACAAAAGATAAAATGGCTCAGAGTGACGCGTGTATCACGGTATGGACTCCAGGTGAACCCTAGTGGTTGAATGACCTCAATTACGGAGGAAAGGATAGAAAATTCCTCTTTTCAAGAGTAATACATGCTGTATCTCATCTTGAATTATCGCTCCCATTCTGAGGGAATAGCAGCAGGTAAATAGGCATAGATTACTGAAACATCAACACCTTAGGTGTTGGAGAACCAGGAGTCTGTGGGTTTGTCACAAAATAAAAATGCTAAAAACTCATCTGTGGAGCTTTAAAAACTAATGTCACAAGTTTCCAATATTTCATTATGCCTTCAAAGGCAACAGAATGGTGCAGGAAACCTCCTTTATTTGAAAAGAGGGATTCTGATTGGCCGGTTTTTTGTCTTTTTAGTACACATGATGACCCCTAAAGTGTGTAAGAATAAATGCAAACACAGACACTTCTTGCAAAATATAATCTTTGCAGTTTTCAAACACAGAATATGCTTTTTCTGAAACTACAGTCCGCTGAATGCAAAGCGTTCTGAGATCTGAGAAGGGGAAGGAAGGAAGTGGAAACCCTCCTGAAAGACACAGAATTCTCCCTTCACCCCTTCCACCACCACTGCCAGTGACAAAATGCTTACTGGTGCCATGAAAATGTTCCTGTTTGGAAATTTTTTTAATGTTTATTATTAAACCACAATTGAATGTAAGAGAAATGCTACAAGCTATAAGTGAATAACTAGACTGTAGGGAATGCAGAAAGGTGAAATCCACAAATAACAGGCTACTCTGTAAGACCACCAGGACAGAATAGAATATTTTCTATTCTTCAGAATGTACTTTTTAATGATACACGTGGAATTAAAAAAAAAAGCCAAGGAGAAGATAAAGCAACCTAAGAAGAAGGGTGGGAGAGCAGAAAAGAAAGAGAATAGTGTATTAAGGAAGCCGACTAGAACCATGCCTCATGTGTGAGTTGCAACTGAAGAGCTAAACAATATTTTATTTTTCATGCATCTAGAATGGCTTTAAGTGTTGGTGCTGTAAGAATCTATTTTCCAGAGGACATATTTCCCTTTTCTATGAATTGACCTTCAAGGGATCAGTATAGGAAAACAGAGAAGAGAAAAGTGAAATATTTTCCCTAGGTTTTTCTTTTTTAACTTTGGAAATAATTCATCTACTCAGAATGTGGACTCTTGCAGGAATGTTTAAGATCATCCCAATATTTTGGTTGATTGGATTTAATGGTGCCAGGTATGTTCAGTGGTAAAGTAAATATTTTCCAAACACTGCCTTCATGGAAGTAATCAGGGTGCTTCTGTGCAATGTGTAAAGTTTTCACTCTGGCCAAGAGCTTGAAGCCAAATGGGGGTTTGCCAGATGAAACAGAAGAAAGGAAACAACTGTGGTGATTGCTGTTGCAGCAGTGAACATTTCACCACATTTGGGCTAGTGAAATGAGGAAAACTGAAACCCCTCGATGAGTCAACAAGACAATTACGTGTCTCTTTGGGAAAAACCTTTTTATTGTGCTTTTTGGTTAAAAACATGTGACACACCTTATAGACATGTCAGCTTCAAAAACCATAGATACCTCTTAGCTAGTCTTCAAAGTAAAAGAAAAGAGTACTTGCAGAATTTATTGCTTTTAGTGTGCTTGCTTTATCTGGAGGATTTTGAACCTCAGGCCTCTCAAACAATCCCAGTTAAAATTCATGTGTAATCCCAATATGAATATCAGTCCTCATCCCTGCGTTGTGTGCATTATTTTAAACTACTACAAGAAAATTATCCCCAAAGAATTAATTGGTCAAATGGCTGGTAAAGTGTTGTTCCTCTCAAATCTTGTGTCTAGTGTAGGTGGTGGGGAAGCCTTCAAATGCCACCATCAGGCGTTTTGAAATTCTGCCATTCCACTGTTCAGCTCTAGAGACATGCATCAGATAGAGAACAGTCTGGGGGACTCTCGCTCTAAAGAACAAAGGACAAATACAGTCAATACATTCCATAACGTTTACATTTCCTTTGGCTTTTCCCCTTGGTTTTTCCTGAGAAGGAGTGACCTGGGCAAAGCACCCTGCTCTCTAAAAGACACTGTATAGACCTTTTAGAAGCGCAAAGTCCAAGGCCGAGGTGAACTTCAGGTCAGTGCGTCTAACAAATATGAAAATGTCGGCTAGTGAAGGGCGCGCCTTGTGATTTAACAAAGACTGTCAATGTGTAAGATTAATAAGAAACAAAATGCACACGGTGTCACTGTTCGGTCACTTTGAAACTTGGGACAGGGTTGCATTCAAGAGGGAATGCTGTTACAAATATATTCAAAATGATTCAAATCAGATTCAAACCAAGCTGCAAAACATTGCCTCCCTTGCACCCTCCCTCTCCCTCCGACTCCCTTCACTCTTCTCCATCTGGGATTCGAGGACATGATGAAAAGTTATTTCACCTAATGGGATTTTAAGAAAGCTTTTGTTGGGAATATATGTTATCCCTGCACGTGGAAATGAGCAAACGTGCTCACCAGTTTCCTAAGGAAAGGATAACGCTTTCACCCCGCTTGGGACTGGAGCCAGTTGGTGTGTGAGGATTAGCATGCTCCCTCTCTGCTACATTTCAGGGCATCCCATCTTTTCTCAGGCGAGATGCTGCTGGTAAACTTCAGTTTGTTTATTAATTGAGTTAGTTTCTTCCTGGCTTTACTTTGGTGTCTTGGATATTGTGTAAAGGCAAGAGGTATTTTTTTTAAATGTTTTTCAAAAGATTATTTGATTCAATGGAATGATGCTATGGTTTGCAAAGGGAGATTGAGGAAGGTTCAGAAAAGGTACTGAGATTGTTTATTACAGCCATAAATCTTGCAGTAAAATGTCAAAATGTCGGTGTTGAGATAACACTTGGTGGTCCTGGCTCCGTTTGTGTTTATGATACGAACCACAAAGACAAGTTACAGGCCTTGGGGGATTCTGTGTAAGGCCATCTTCCTAAAGTAATAGAATCACACAAAACACAGGCACAGCTAACTCGTTTGGGTTAACCGTATACAAAACAGTGTTTATGTCTCGTTAATACTTAAAAATAGAAACTTGGTACAAGGTTCTGAGGCTAAACAACAGAATTTTGTGTTTTAGTGTCTGTAAATATTAAACAGATATGGTTAAGACCCTAGTACTCAAGGCTGATGACATGAGAAGGAGGGAAGATTTCCTTGTCATGCTTTTTGTCCCCCTGAAACTTATAGGGTTCAGATTTGTAATACGTATGTCTATATATTATTTATATTACATTTTATATAACCTATGTGTATATTATTTTTTCTTGCTAGGGAGAGATATTGGTTCAGGTAGATGTATCACATTCTAAATTTTTCCTCCAGTCTAGAGAGGATGGCTAAAGATTACACTCAGTGTTGATTTCTGTCTGTGGCTCAAATTTCTTTAAAAACAAATTTTCAGGGTGCCTCATGTGAATGGACAGCACTCTTCACACTCATATACACCTAACGTGGAAAATCTCTTTGTACCTCTTCAGGGTGATTCCAGTTAGAAAGCTAATATGATCCCCTTTTTAACCTCTTTTCCTAAATTAGTTTAAAGATTAGTCCCATATAATAGGCTTTATGTGGCTAAGCATTAAGTGACTATCCATCAAATGGATATATTCCAGCATTTAGTAACTCATATGAGTAACCAGTATGAATGAAGATAGAATTGACATTCCTTTTCAAGTGTCTCCAGGCTTAGGAAATAATTTTCCTTGTCTGCGTTCCAGACTCAGTTGTGAGAAGGCTGTTTATACTGCTCTTTGAAAAATCAACTAAGGTGCACCAGCTGAAAAATCCTTGCTTTTGCATGCCAATATGAAAATATTTTTAGAATGGTGACTATGCTAGTTTACACTGCTTTAATTTAGGCTGAAAAGTAGAGGATCTAGATATGTCTACTACTCAGAAAAGAAAGGGAGAAAGCACACAGCACAAATAAGGCATCAGTATTTACTTCAAAGATCAACATTAGGTGGAATTAATAAGTAATTTATTTGTTAATAATGGCGTAATTAGTGTACCCATCAAATTTCAATTACCAAATAGCAGGCAACAGTCTCCTCTCCCTCCTTTCCGGAGCTTCTGATATCGTTAATACGCTAATTTTCAGCAATTCAGAAATTATAGACTGTCCTGCAAATATAACTCTAGCCTCAGATACTGCCTGAGAAAGCAGGATCTAAAAGAGAAAACATGAAATTCTTAGCTGGAAAAGACCCATCAGCGATCAGACCCGGCAAGGTGTTTATTCTACCCTTAGCTTGTTTTTGTTTGGGGATAGTTCTGAAATAGGAAGTTATTGTTTTCAAAGCTCGGTTCTGTGGAGGTGTTGCTTCTATCCATTCCCATCCTTGGGCCACCTTCTCTCTCACAATCGCACCTAGTAAATGCGGGCATATTTAGCTCTCACATCGACAACCCCCGTCAAATTAGATGCTATTACGAAGGTTCCAATTTTTCTTAGGAAAACACGAAACAGATTGTCTCTGAAAGAAGGAAAAAATGAAAAGTGTCCATCCAGTTATAATGGAATGGCCTCGATTTACATCCTTGGGTCGATTTCTCTTAGCTGCCCGCCCACCCTTTGCAGCTTCTGCCAAGCTTCTCAAAGCAAGGGCTCTCAGGCTGACACGCAAGGAGCAGGGTGTGGGGAAGGGGGATCTGCGGTTGAGAAAATGTGTCTGGTGGCCTCTCAGTGGCGTACATAAAAACCAGGATGCCCCTCGGTCCCAACGCCCTTCCTTTCGCCTGTTAGCCTAGAACCCCTGAAGGACACGAAGCCTGACTGGGTTGCGCCCGAGGTCAGCGCTGAGTCGCGGCCGCCAGACAGCCCGAGGCCTAGGCCAGCAGTAGGGCAGGCAGAGGGCTCCCGAGAGGACCTACAGCCTGACAGGGCCTGAATTCCCAGCGGGAACCAAAGCTGGGGGGCTGGGGTCCAAAGCTCCTGCTCCCTCCCCCAGCCCAGGGGCCGGACAGCAGCATCCATCACGCACCCGCGCGTTTCCTGATCCGGGTCCGCGCGCGCGGTGCGCCCATTGGTGGGGGCGCTGCACGTGGGGCACGGGGCGGGGCGCGCGCTGGGCTGGGGAGGAGCGGCTCGAACTTTGGTGGCGGCGTCTGCGGGAGGGGGAGGAGTGGGCACTTGACAGCGGGGGGAGGGGAAGGGCGCAGAGGAAAGGGGGATGGGAAGCGAGGCAGGAGGGGGAGGGGCCTCGGCAAGCCCAGAAAAAACGACAACGCGAGAAAAATTAGTATTTTTGCACTTCACAAATTAATGACCATGAGCTCGTTTTTGATAAACTCCAACTACATCGAGCCCAAGTTCCCTCCCTTCGAGGAGTACGCGCAGCACAGCGGCTCGGGCGGCGCAGACGGCGGCCCGGGCGGGGGCCCCGGCTACCAGCAGCCCCCAGCGCCCCCGACCCAGCACCTGCCGCTGCAGCAGCCCCAGCTCCCTCACGCGGGCGGCGGCCGAGAGCCCACTGCCTCCTACTACGCGCCGCGGACCGCCCGCGAGCCCGCCTACCCTGCTGCCGCGCTGTACCCCGCGCATGGGGCCGCGGACACCGCCTACCCCTATGGCTACCGCGGCGGCGCCAGCCCCGGGCGGCCGCCCCAGCCCGAGCAGCCCCCGGCGCAAGCCAAGGGCCCAGCGCACGGCCTGCATGCGAGCCACGTCCTGCAGCCCCAGCTGCCGCCGCCCCTGCAGCCTCGCGCCGTGCCCCCAGCGGCCCCGCGGCGCTGCGAGGCGGCCCCCGCCACCCCAGGCGTCCCGGCAGGGGGCAGCGCCCCCGCGTGCCCGCTGCTCTTGGCCGACAAGAGCCCGCTGGGCCTGAAGGGCAAGGAGCCCGTGGTGTACCCCTGGATGAAGAAGATCCATGTCAGCGCCGGTACGTGGCGCCGCTTGGGAGGCGCGGGAGGTGGGCCGGGGCTGGGCCTGGGTTCGAGGGTCGGGGTCAGGAGGGAGAGGCTCAGGGGAAGGGGGCCTCGGGAGGGGAGCCCCCATCTGACCCGGGCTGCGGTGAGATGTGGGTATGTGCGCGCCAGCCAGCCGCCTGATCCCAACATGAGAACCCTTTTGTACCCAGGGTCCCTTTATCAGGAGATTTACGAGACGCCAAACTGTTAGGGCAGTAATTATAGCCCCCATAAATTTAATTGCCCTGGCAGAGGCTTCAGGCCATGTGTCTTTGAAGCTTTTCTTCAGCCCCAATGCCCAGCACCATTCTTTATGGCTCTCGGGTGTTTCCCGTTGTCAATAGCCTGTGAAACATTTTCTTTGCCGTTTTATGTATCTTGCGTGAACTTGGTGTCAGGTTATTATATAATGATGATGTCCAATTGCTCTTCCCCACCCCACCTTCTCTCTCCTCCTCCTTTCCCTCTCTTCCGCTCCCTCCTCCTTGGCCTTCTATTTCGGGGTTCTGGGTTTTCAGTTAACCCCAGTTATAACGGAGGGGAGCCTAAGCGCTCTCGAACCGCCTACACCCGGCAGCAGGTCTTGGAGCTGGAGAAGGAGTTCCACTTCAATCGATACCTGACCCGGCGGCGCCGCATCGAGATCGCCCACACGCTCTGTTTGTCTGAGCGCCAGGTCAAGATCTGGTTTCAGAACCGGAGGATGAAGTGGAAGAAAGACCACAAACTGCCCAACACCAAGATGCGATCCTCCAATTCGGCCTCGGCCTCTGCCGGCCCACCAGGGAAAGCACAAACTCAGAGCCCACACCTCCATCCCCACCCCCACCCGAGCACCTCCACACCCGTTCCCTCCTCCATATAATCTTCTAGAGATCTTAACCAGTTTCTATCCCTTACCTGCTTTTCTCTTCTCTTCTCCTGCTCCGTTCCTCATCCACCCCTCCCCATCTGGACCATAATAGACACCAAAACAAACCCAAATTGGTGAAAAGAATAATCAAAAAGAAGACATTATCCGGTTAAGAGTCTGTGCTGGTTGCCACCCAAGAGAGAACAGTTGTCCAGGATGCTGGCTGGTGGAACAACCTGCTGGCCCGAAACAAGGCTGCCAGGTGTGGATACCTGAGAAGGACTACTTGGTATCAAATACTTTTGAGATGGCTACAGTCAGCTAGCTGGACAGCCCATGCTGAGTGGGGACATACACTTGCATCTTTGTTGAAAGCAGAAGAAGACAGACCCTTTCCCCACCTTCCTTACCTCCTCTTCCCCCATTAAGGCAGCTCATCCAAGCTTGTATTTAACTGAATAAATGAGTAGACATTGTGGACCTCACAAGATTATTTAATTCTTAAGATGTGTAGACCTTGATGGTAGGTGTGACATGTTAGTTTTTCTTACTTGCATTTATTTAAGACACTGTTACAGAGATACTGTTGTCCCCTTCTGGGGCACGGTCTTTGGGGAGAGGGGAGTGCATTTAGACTTATGTGGAACTGTACAAATTGTGATGTGGCTACATAGAAAGCCATGTGCTAAGAATAAACTCCATTTAAAAAACATTAAAAATCTAAGATTCATGTGTTTTCTAAGCTTTTCATTAAGAAAACAAAAGTCCTCTGGATTGAGATACTTGACCTTGCATGTAAAAACCTTGTAGATAGCTTGAGCTGGATTCACTTGGATTCTGACGGCTCACATAATTTGTGTGTGAGAGTGTGTGTATGTATGTTCAACTTGAGCTGAACTCTTGTCAAGCTTGGCCTACTGTGGAAAAGTTCCAAAGAGTAGGAAGGCTCTTGAGCTCTGAGAGGGCTCCTCTTCTTCCCAAACTTGGCCAGGCTTTCAGGCTTCAAGTCTCTGTAAGGCATAGAAACGTGTCCTTCCCTGCAATGAAAGTTGAAACCATGCAGTGCTGTGGGCCCAGGAGTTTCTGCAGCTGTTCTACACACTGAACTCTGAGCACACTTGGAAAGAAGTGGTCTCTTTGGTATTTGGTATTTGTTGCACCTTCACACTTAATCTGCCTGTTTCCCAGGAGATAAAAAATAGTTTGTGCAAAGGGTTGAGATTAGTTTTTGTTTCCTGGCTGTTCTTAAGGTCCTCTTCACTAACTACAGACTGGGAATTTTTGTTTGTTTGCTTGTTTGTTTCTCTTTTTTGAAGAAAGAGCTTTCAAATAAACTGAATTTTACAAGTACACTCTCCAATGTCTCTTCTGAGGAAAAAGCATAATATACCCCTAAAGTTCACCCCATGCAAAGTAGACCTGGGAGAGTTTACTGCTGGAAAATAGCCAAACTGGGTCACTTTCCTCAAATGCTTTGTGAATTTTCTGCTCGATTCCAGAGATCTAGATCCAAAAGGCTGAAAATCAAAACCCACTTCTCGATCTCTATAACCCTAGTATTTGTTTACTGATTTAGATTTGATGCTTACTGCAGGGAGTTCCCTACAATAAGACCACAAAAACCTGTGCACACTAGCCCCAGAATATTAGAACTGTCACCTGGCCTTGAAAAAGTGCAACTTTTAAGTAATGTAGTAATTTTAGCATAGATGGGAGTAAGTGCTCACCTGCCTCTGCAATATCAGAGAATTTTTAAACACATTTCTCTCATTAGTGGCAAAACCCTTTAGCCAGTGTCAGAGCTGGTACCCCTTTCACCCCTGCTGCCCTGTGTGTGATACAAACAAGGGTGATCCGTTCTATACCTACAAATCAGATTTGAGAGGAAAGTGATAGATACCAGTCTCTGAAGAGCCAAGAAAATTCGGGAGCAATCAAATACACACTTACCTTCCCAAATCAGGATAAACCTGGCATAAAGTGCATTTTATAAGGTGTGAACGGGTGCCAGGGATTTCTGGAGGCAATGCAACTGCTGCTGAAACTTATTAACCCTCCCCCTACTACACACACTTGTAAAACAAAATTAAATCACGCTGAAAATAGCAATTTTCCCAGGAATCATTAATCACCTCAAACAATAAATACTTCTTTGTAATTCAACAGCAATTCTGAAAGGCATTCTCTGGGAAAAGTCTGTGGAGGAGAGAGGGATCTTCTTGCAAATAATGTGGTCTCAGGCAAGGACACAGCATCTTGGCTGTCTGCTAAAAAAAAAAAATGCCTAGACTCTCAGTGGAAATTGAGTGTCAAGCTGCAAAATCTCAAATGGCAGACTATCATCATTTAAGGTAAATTCTTATATTTCTCCTTTGTGGGAAAAGAGGGGTATGGGAATATTCATTAGCTTCATGCTGCAGGCAGTTGTATGAGGATGAAAGGGGTGACTTTCTTTCACTTGCACTTATAAGTCCATCCAGAAAGGGAAGAGAGAGGATTGAGATCATTTTTCTGATATTCCAGGACAAGATGGCATTTTTGTCCCAACTGTATTGATTATTAAGGTATTGGTGAGTTTTACAAAACCCAGATTATAGAAAATGATCCAAATGATTGCCATTTCTTAAGTGTTGTTTTGCCTGCTTCAAATTGGCCTTTAAGGGAGCTTGTTATAAGAGATTAGAAAATCCCACTTTGTGCTTCAAAATCATGCATTGTCTGCCCTTTGCTAGGGCAACCATAAGAGTTCACCGAGAGGACAAATTTTCTATCTCATTAATTGTTTTTTTTTTTTAAGCAAACCCTACTGGCCCCTCAAATCCTTGACCTTTAAAGACAGTATTTTGTGTAAGCTCTATAATTTTACCAAAATGAGCCTTACACATACTCTCCTTTTCTCTCTTTCTCCCTCCCTCCAATACACACTCATCTGCTTTAGTCACAGAGCCAAGTTGTGCATGACTCCGGAGACAAAAGTTTTGTCAACATCTGAAATCGACCTAAATCGGATAGGAGACACTTTAATGGTCACAGTTTGAATTAAGTACTTAACACTCTCCCCCTTGAAGAAAAATGGCACTTTGCAGGCTTCCTTCCCTAGTTTTGCTGAAATCTATGATATACCCGGTGTTTTATTACAGCAGGAATTCAACTGTGACAGGCATAGTAGAGTACTTAATACCCAGGATGGAGCCATGGGAAGATTACCTAGATAGATGGGGGAGGAGGGAAGTCCCTTCGCATAGCATCTCTGACTTCATACCCAGTTGTCCCAGCGGGCCCCATTCCCCTATATCTCAGCCTCCTCCCTATGGGGTGGGGTGGGGTGGATATCACCATCTTTCCTCTGTCCCCCTGTTCCCCTAAGCTTCCAAACTCTGCTCTCCTCACTGTTGCCTTCCCTCTAGCAGTTCCCACATAGAAACAGATCAATGACTCTTTAGAATGAAAGAGAAGAAAAACCCAAAGAATCAATGTAGCAAAAAAGCCTGGGGCTTCCCCTCTGAATGAGTGGGTTCTGTGCAGGCAGTAGGCTGCCCTTGGCACTCCCCTGGTCTCTGCATCCCTAAACACAGTCTTGTATAGCAGAACACAGGCTCACCTTTCTCAACTGCTGCTGTGTTGCCCCTTCCCTATATTATACACTGTCCCAAGAATAATTCTGCTTCGTGTTCCAAAGAAACACATGGGCTGGAAACAATAGGAGGAAGAGACGTGTGTTCTGTTCCCTTGATGGTATGAGGGAGGCTGCTGTGGCTGTCTTGAAACCCTCTAGGCTGCAACTTACAGAACTCTGGCACCTCTTCTGAAGACTCCAAAATCACGGGGCAACCCCTTCCCTTTCAAGCCAGCCCTACTTTCTCTGGGATTGTTTCCTGGGGCTGAAAGAGATTCCCAGATTGAAAGACTGTCCAAAGTGAAGGAGACCTGGAGGCCATTTTGGTTCAATCTTCTTAATTTACAGATGAGAAAACTGAGGCAGCCGAATGATCCTCCCTCCACCGTTCCTTAAGTTAATGAGTACGAGGGTGGAATGCAACCTTTAGTCTCACTCTAGAGAGCAATAAGAGCACAGACATCTTTCCTCTTAGGAAGATATTCTGCCAGGAATGGAGGTATGCATCTAAGCTTACACTTGACCTGGACGGTCACAGGTGTGTACAGCCAGAGAAGAAGGATGGGTTCTTGCCTCATGGGCCATCAAAGCTGCTTGGGGAGATTTTGTAACCAAGCCACCCTAGTCATAGAGCTCAGACAGGTGGACTGGCCACTGGGCTCAGGAGGGGACAGATGTCAGGGCATCTCGGAGAGCAGTGGACTCCCCACTATCCACAACGGTCATAATCCCAGGATGACTAATTCTGTCATGCTTGCCCTGCTATTTCCATGGTGGTGGCTTGCCTCAGACCAGGGCAAGGATGAATGTGCCCCGGAGGCCGGCAGAGCCAAAAAAAGGACCCTGGTTGCAGCTGATAAAGGTGTAGCGCCTGTGCAAGGGAGATATTGAAATTGTAATCTTTGAGGTCACGTGACTCATTAAATAATTAATGCAGATCGTCAGGAATGGATCGGAGTCGTCAGGGCCTCACTAGGAATGAATCTCTCAGAAGTGAGATTCCAACTTACCATTTGATTTTTAAAAACACACACCCTCAGATTTATCTCCAAAGGCTTTTAACTCCTTCAGGAAGGCAGGAGAGAGCCCTCGGCAGGGAGGACGGAGCTGGCAGGCCCTCACCAGATCTTGGGGCCTTTTCCGCAGGGTTTCTGCGAGTCCAGGGAGCGCGCCGCGTCCGGGGAAACGTGAGTTCGGGCTTGGGTTTTCTGCGGTCACATCCTGGCTTTGGTGATGAAGTGGGACGGATGCGCAGACAGTTGGTAATGTTCTGATTCACGCTGGGGAAGGCTGCAGAGATACCACAGGACGGGCGCGCGGCTTTGTTCAATTTTCCCGGCGTTCATAAATCACCCGCGCCGGGCGAGCGAGGGAGCAAGCGAGCGCCAAAAACGCGGAGAGAGAGGCCACGGCGGCGGCGGCAGCCATTGTAAAGTGAGAGACCTGGGCAGCATCTCTCTGTGACTCATTAGTCTGAACGATTTATGGGGTACAGCAGCCATGAATATTAGACTTGGAGATAAGGAAACAGCAAAAATAATAACCATAATAATTACATACTCCTAAGTGTCACGCAGGGGAGTGGTGGGTGGCGGCATAGCGGATCTTTCTGGAATGAAATTGAGAGGCAAAGTGCAGGATGGCTGAGTCCACCTTGCTCATGGTCATGCCAGGAGCCCCAAGACCAGGGGGCACTCCCTTTGGGGACACAGAAAGCAAGTTTGAACAAGAGAAAGGGGGCGCAGCGCGCAGCGTGGATCCTGGGTCCTTTTCCTTTGGTTTGTGGGGGCTACGGGTCGAACTGTGGCAGAGCGCAGCTACCGGTGTGCGGCCACTTGTTCCACGTGCTAGGGGGCTCCGAAGCCAGGGGTCAGGGGACTCCTCAGCTATTTGATATCCCCTCTTAGCGCTATCTACAGAATTGCGTGAAGGCAGACAGACAGCGGAGGGCTGGTTTGGGGCAGGCTGGGGTAAGAGGTTACCTGGGTCTGAGTGAAGGGGTAGTCGGGGCAGGGATAGGTCTGTAGACGCAAAGGGCCCGCAGAGTCCCAGCGGAGCGCAGAACTTCTCCAAGCCAGGGTCCGGCGAGCGGACGATTCTTTCCTCTTTCCCCATCATCTCCCACTCCCAGAAAGCTGACTGCCGGCTCGGTGACCATTTGCTGGTTAGAGGGCAAGAGAGGGTTGCAAATACTGTGAGGGACGAGATTTGAGCAGAATCAAGGCATCAGATCGGCTTGTGGCCGTTGCGCAAGGCCAGGCAGGAGCAGGGCCCCTGAGCAGGTATTGTACCAGCCGGCGTCCCTCTCAGTTTCCAGCAGCCTTAGCTGGCCTGCTCTGAGGGACTAGGTGCTGCGGTAGCCCCGCCAGCCCACTAGGACCTAAAAGGAACGCACCCAGAGTTGAATAAACCAGAACACAAATCCTCCCAAGACTGCCTCTGGCCAGTGGAATGAACCCGGGTCTGATTTCGCGCCTACAGAAATGAACACATATTAGTGAGGTTTCAGGAGAGTCCGTGATTGAATGCTCCCAGACAAGGCTTCCTTTTGTTAGGAAAGGAAAATAAAGCAAGCATTCACATTCTCCAAGTTGTGGTGCCTGAGGAGAGAGCTCTCTGAAAGCAGCCCACACCACCAGCAAAGCCACTTCCACCTTCTCAGCTTCCTCTGTTTGCTTCATGTCCTTTCCTTCCCCACTCCCCCGCCAAAAAAAAGAAAGAAAAAGGAGAAAGTATGGGTGTGGAGATGGAGTATGTATTTATTTTACAAAAATAAATCACCATCTTCGGACCATTTGTAGACTGGAACATTTCGAGCAATGAGTGCGCCACACGGACGAGTGCCCTGGTGACTCCCTGATGTTCGCGTCACCCCCAGGGCCACCTTGGCGCCCGCATGAGCCTCGCTTCCCACTCCCGGCCTCCAACTCCCTTCCCTCGCAGCCGCCATTCACCTTCTGCTGTTTATTTGTCTGCAGAGCGCCTGGACACCGGAAAAGGCGATTCCCTGAGCGCCTGGAGTTGGAGACAATTCCTGGTTCAGAATTTAAACATCTTTCTAGGTAAGCGCTGCTCCAAAACTCTTCGCCGCGTGGGACTTTGCACCAGGGCGGTTGGGAGGAGTTGGCCCTCCACGGTTCCTGGCAACCGCGGCCTGTTGAAAGAGGTTCTGGTCAATATTTAACTTCGGAGGAGTTTGGAGTTGGATTCCTTTAAGCTTCTTGCCCTGCGAGTGCGGGGCCTCAGGCAGACAAAGAGCCTACCCCAAAACCAGCGATGGGCAGGAGAAGCGGTTGCAGAAGGCAAAGATGGGTTGTGGAGAGTCAGAGGGAGTGTGTTTGTTTCTTCCTGCAAGCCCCAAACAAACCACTACACTGAACTTCAGGGCAAAAGCAAGTAAAGGCCACGGGCACGGGCGCGGCGGCCGCTGCGTGGGCTGCTCTCTTTGTCGACTAAGGCGACTGCGGAGGCTGTGAGTTAAGAAATTGTCGCCAGTCCCAGCTCGCTGTTGAGGAAAACTTGTATCACACTCTTGCAGTTTCTTAGACCATTTTGCCTTTCCTTCGGCATGAGAAAAATTGCTGTATTTCTAACCTTTAGGCCTTCGCAGACAGCGGGTCTTCTTCCTTCTTTCATCAGGGCTCATCATCGGTTCTTCCTACGGGAAAAGCGTGGTTTTCTATGTCTTGGCGTTTCCTTTTCCTATTTGAAACAAGGGAAAACTCTTTTAAATTATTTTCAAGTTCTGACTTAATTTGTCCTCTTAGTTTGGGATGCAGGGAGGTAATTACTGTGGTTTATTACCTTGTAAAAGATCCATAAATTACATGCCTGTTTGGGGGAGGGGCTGCTGGAATAGCTTTCAGAAGCATGGTATGAAGGAATGAGTTTGCTTTGTTCTTTCAGGAATTACTTCTTTTTAAAAAGTTTTGAGATTTTGTATTCTATTTCCTAGGCCTCCAGTCTTCCCTTAAATTTGCTCCCAAATAGATATCAGGTTGTTAATTAATTGCAACATGATATTCAGTCGTGCTATAAGGCTGATATGGTGTTCTGGATACAATTATTTTTTCCAATAGAAGGTAAACAGAGCAATAGTCAAGCTGTGTTACTTTCTCAGCTACTGTATGTCTGTTTATATCAAATATAGATGGAACATTTCAGGAATTTGTAACTCTGTGTATATGATTTCCATCTCAGCAAACAACAGAACAATTGCATGTATAAATAGTTGCAGGAATTTGGGGCCTTGTGTATAACACAATATACACATCCACACGTGTCCAGAGAACTTGGCCCATTTCTCTACTGCACTTGCACCCACAGGAAATATCTCATGTTAAATAAGAATCTATCATACACACACACACACACACACACACACACACACACACACACACGCACACAGTGGGCTAAGAGAGCCTTACCTGATGCTGAGTAGAAAATCCACTAGATTTAAGTAATGGGACAAAAATGTTAAGTGTACTTTTGACAGAGAAATCAGATTGCAGTGTTTGAGTACAGATATATCTAATCTGCCAACAGCCTTGCAAATATTGGCTAACGGTGTGTACCCTTGGTTGCCTGCTTTTTCCAAGCCAGCTTTCCCCCTATTTTGGCTCTGGTGACCAGGACCACAGTATCAGTCCCAGCGCAGGCCAAGTTGGAGGCCGGTGAAGTGAGTGAAGAGGGACTGGCAGCTGGGTTTTTAAAAGGCCCGTAGCTTTGCTCCAGGAAACTGGATTGCAGAGTGGCAAAGGAGGACTGTCAGCTGCTGGTTCCCCAGATAGGCTGCCCAGGCCAAGATCTCTCATAGAGAAGCTGTTTTTTAACCTCAAAAGTTAAATGTCTTTTGACTTTTCAGATTTTTCCCTTCTCATCCCACCAAATCACCCATCCCACCCCAAGTCATTAATGTTAATTGTTAAACAGCAGTTGGAGCATTAACTGGATGTTAGCAGCCGTTTGGAGGCCCCAGGCTGGAGCTGAGATGCCTCTGAGCTTTGCTGGCGTTAAGGCATTTCTCTGAAGCAGTACCAATGACTTATTTCATTGATTTATGGCTTTTTTTTTTTTTTTTTTTTGACAGAGTCGCGCTCTGTCCCAGGCTGGAGTGCAGTGGTACGATCTCAGCTCACTGCAACCTCTGCCTTCTGGTTTCAAGTGATTTTCCCACCTCAGCCTCCCGACTAGCTGGGATTACAGGCATGCACCACCATGCCTGGCTAATTTTTGTATTTTTAGTACAGACGGGGTTGCACCATGTTGTTCAGGCTGGTCTCGAACTGCTGACCTCATGATCCACCCACCTCGGCCTCCCAAAGTGCTGGGATTACAGGCATGAGCCACCGCACCCGGACAATTTATGGCTTTAAGAGTTTTCATTTGCTCGACTGTTCCAAGAGCTTTGAAGGGGGCCCCTTCTCATCTTTGAGTTGATGCCTCTTCAGAAACTTGGGGGTAGGGAGGAATTTGCCAGCAATACCTCCAGGTCCCTTTCTAGGGTATCTGGAGAGCTCAGTGTGAATGATTGGTGAGGGGTATGAGGCAGGCAGCAGTAAGAATGAGAGGAGTGAGTTCTTGGGGGTCAGGAGAACGCTTTTTGGAAACCAGCTTCTACTCCTGTCCTCTATCCCCCAAACCTGAGAGAGGCAGGTTTTCACTTGGAGTTCTTACTTTCCAGCTTGTAACTTAGATAGGAGCTGGAAAAGTTCACATGGAGGTTCTCTTCCAGCTACACCACAGATTGAACCTTACTGAAATATTGTCACCAGCTTAGGCCAGGACTTGCTTCCAGGGGATTAGGTCTCTTCTTTTATTGCCTTTCTGATTTGGACAACCCATGAACAAGTTCTCTTATGAAAGGCCTTACATTTTCATCAGACCCCTTCTGTTCCTCTGCAGGGGAGGAGTGAAGGGGAGGAATCATGCACAGCCTCCTGCAGCTGCTATAAGTGAGTCCTCACACTCAGGCATAGCCAGCTGAAGACCCATTCTCCAGGAAAAAAAGAATATGGCCTGAGGATCTCACTAGCCTCAGAGCACTCTCAGAAGTTCAGAAACTAAGACCAGAAAAGAGAAGATTTTTAGACAGCTCATGAAACGGTACAATGTTGAAATTAGTGGGCAATGTCATCAGGCAGAAGGCAGGAGTAGGGGTGGAACCAAGGGTGGGAGCAGCTTATTTGTTTCAGTTAGGTTCTTCCTGAGCACAGTTGGTTCTCTACTGGTTTTCTGCTCAAGATTATTTTGAGAGTTCTGAAGGGGGCTCTTTCTCATCTTTGAGTTGATATCTCTATAGGAACTTGTGTGGGGGTGGGGAGAGAATTTGCTGGTGGACACAGAATTGTCTTGGAAAAGTGGGTGGACAGACCTGCCTGTGGAGAGGGTCCCAGATTGCCTTGTTAACTTAAGGCACTCCAGTGAAGGTTGATTCTTTTTCTTTTTTTTCTTATTTTTTTTGGGGGGGGGGGTCTCTTGCAGAGCAATTAGATCATTTCCTCTGATATTTTTTATGTTTAGAAACTTATAATTCCATGTATCACTCAGTTGTGCACTGAGGAAATGCTTAAGTGCAAGTTTAGTCAGGGCACTAGGTTTCTCTAGATTTTGCAAAACCCGGACCCACCACTCTATAGCCAAGCACATCTTTCCTAGTGGGCTCCCACTGAACAAAACCAACTGGACTTGGAGGAGATGCTTTAACCTTTTGTCAGGTAATTATGTGCCTTTTTGGTGTTTCTTGCGTCTGTAGTGTATGGTGTGGGTGTTAGCAAACTCCATACAATGGCAGGCTGTGAGGAAGTCCGCTGTCCAGGCCAGTTATTTCTGGGCCTGCCCCTTGCCTTTTGATATACTGGCCTGTGGGCCAGAGGAGACTGGGGTGCATGGGTGTGCAGGATCCAGCTTGTCCGTGGGTGGGAGGCTGTAAGGAAAGTTAAATGGATTCTAAAAATGTGAATAGCATTGCTGTAACCCTTGTGTTTGGAGGGTGTGTAAAGAAATATAAGTGGAGATAAGCTTGTATGTCTTATATGGCATTCATGGGAGGATGGCTCCAAGCATCCTATTGCTTAGACAGAACTCTTAAACTCAAAACTGCTGGTCAAGGTTCCCCACCTACCCTCCCCCAAAGCTAAATATTCTGTTTGGAAACCTAGTTCCTTCAGTGGTTCCCTATTTCAAATAAAAGGATTTAAGTTGACGTATGACCACGTGAGCACATAATACAGCGCATTATTGTGGCATTTGGAGCGGAGACCCAGACAGGCTTCGCCTGTGATTACGTTTTCTAGATTCTCTACAGAGCCAGAGCTTTCCCCCAACCCCCACGCACCCACCTCCTCCTTCTCCTTCCCCTTCTCCGGAGAGCGCTCTCTGAGCCGATTGCAGTTTTCAGCACTCATGGAGCGGTTCTGGGCGAGCTAGCCGATGGAAGTCGAGGCTATACCAGGAGGATGGAATTTATTTTAAGGTATTTCCGCCGATTGTTCATATCTAGAGTGAGTTATGGCTGTGAGAGACAAAGGTCAGGCGAGGAGACCCTGGCTCATGGACAGGACCCTCAGCCTCTCTCTTCCTTTGTTTCTCTTTTAGAACCGAAACCATTTGAAAGATTCCCAGTAGCGCCTCAGACTCTGAATTTAATTCCCTGGAAAGTGTTGGGGGTGTAAAGGAGGGGGCACTAGGGGGGCTCCTAGGTGGGCCCAGTGGCCCCCAGTGCAAGGGTGGCTTTGTCCACTGCAGCAGGGCAGGGCTGGAGTCTCAGGAGCTGATCCCCAGGCGGAAAGAGGGTCCAGAAGCCAGGTGCAGGCAGAGGTGGACCGGCTTGCAGGGCTAGATTGCCTGGGAGGGGTGGGGGATGGGTGGGTGAGAAGGGGAATCTCTCCCAGGATGGCGGTGTTTTCAGGCAGGGGATGGAGGATTAGGGGCTGACCTGAGCAGCCGGAGCAGCTGGAAGAGGGAAATCGATGAGGGAAATGTGCAGATGCGCTGCCATTTTATTGATGATGCTTCCAGGCACTTTGTTTAGTGCCAGATTGCAGAGCATGCTTCCCCACAAGCCGGACCCAAGAAGCCAGACCCAAGGATCTGAACCGGAGGGCCCGCCATTGTTTCCCTGAGCACCCTCTGCCCCAGAGGGTTGAAGAAAGACAGCTCAGACCTAGGAGAGCCTTGGGGTGGGGTGAGCATGCTGGATGCCCAGGGGCTCCTTATTCTAACATTCGGGAGACAGAGGAAGGAGGGAGCCAGGATTAGGTTTGGACTTCATCAGTGCGCCTGGTCTGGGCATTCCTTGTGTACCCCCAGCTGGCTTGGAGAGTTCCAGAACTGGCCAGTGGGCCCTGGGTTGGAGGGAAGTCCAGAGACAAGAGTCCTCAGGAAGCAGAGGCAGACATCTCTCCAGCTTCAGAGCCTCCAAAACAGAGCTGTAGCCAGGGTGGAGGCAGATGAAAGTTAAACTGCATGTTTCCAGATTATTGGGAAAGCCCCAGCTAATTGGGCTTTGGGGACCCCACACTCCTGGGAAGGGTGGGAACTCCCTGGAAAGGTGCAGGAAACTCTATTATGCTCCTTGCAGTAGGGAAAGGGATGCTTATAAGGAGTCAGAGGTCGGATGTGCCCCTTTCACTTCTTAAAATATAGATTATTTCTTTCTGTACGTGAAAAAAAAATCAAATCAGGCATCCCCTACTTGAGTGGGATTTACTACCCCAGAACGAAAGGGCCCTTCTGCCCTCCCCAGTGCCGGCCTCGGCAGTAACCAAGTGTTTAACTGAGGCCCTTTCAAGTGCTCTAAAACACCCCTTGGAAATAAAATGTAAGCTTTAATTGCTGTTCAATTACTTGTCAGCATTTCATATGATTTATGACCTAGTTCTGGCGCATTTTTGACCCAGTTAAAGACTCATAAATAATATAGTTTTGCTAGAAAGAATGAGAGAGGGAATAGAGGTTTGTTAGAGGCATCTTTTTATTGTTGCTTCAGTGCCAGCAAGCTGAATAAATATCTAAGGATGGACTCTGGTTCTACATAAAAGCATGCACAGTGAGAAGCCAAGAGCCACATTTATAGAGCTCAGATTGGTTTTTCCTCCCATGAAAGTGCTAAAGTGAGTCCATTACGTATAATGCTAAACTATTAGATATCAAAAAAGGCTAGTCCCCTTCTACCTCGAAATGCCAGCTTCACCCTCACAGGCAAGTACATTTCCTCAATAATTTTCCTCTCTATTCTGTGATTTTGGTGCCTCTTCTTACCCACGATATTCCTCACCTTCCTCCCCGGCTGCACAGCCTTGGAACCGCCAGAGGCCCTCTCAGACGCCTTCAGGAGGACACCCCTTGAATGGTAGAAAGACACCACGGGCACCTTTGCTGCTCCAAGTATTCTTCTAGTGCTGAGAAAATCTTTTCTTCTAGTCCCCCTGGATGAGAGATCGGGAGCCACGGGGATTTGGGGGAATTGGTGGAACCAAGGGGTCCTCTCAGTAAAGAAAAGCTCTGCGGTTTTGGGGGAGCCGGGTGAACTGCTGTGGGATTTGTCTAGAAAGGGCGCAGCGGCGGCGGCTGGTAATTTCTGGAGGTGGAAATCAACAATCGGCATTTTCGCTTAAAAAACAAAACACCAATAGCAAACCAACAAATAAAAACCTTCCGCCAGCATAAATTATTATTTTAAAATAATCTCGCCTACGCTTGCTCCAAAGCCAGTCCTTTGGATTTAAGCAGAGCGGCTTGAGGCTGGGGCACCGACCATCTGCATGCCAGGACGCTGGACCTTCATCTTGAGGTCGGAGCCCCACTTCTGCCCGCTGAGGCCCGCGGCCCAGGAGCCACGTATCGGGGCGGATAGAGGCCCTGGCCGGAACGAAGCTCCCGCCCCAGATCTCCCTGGGCTCCCACGGCTCCTCAGGTCTGGTCCCCGCGTTTTGCCCGGCAGGGTCTTGGCGCCAGTGGAAAGGTATGCTTTCAGGGCGCCCCAGCCCTTGCTCGGGAGCCCTCGGTCCCCTTGGCCCAGAGAATCCCTTCCCCTGGCAGGTTCTTACGGAGAGCTGGCCTTCCCGGCAGCTGGCTTAGCTGAGAAGGCGGTGAGAGTCGCGTCAGCAGTTTGGAGGAGAAAGTGCGGGTTGATTATTGACCCACGCCTTCTTTCTTCAAATGCCACATCCGACCGGGCGGGTTTGAAGAGAAAATGCCGCCGAACGGATTTTTGCGGCTGGCTCTCACCTCCTACGCGGCCAGCTCCCCCTTTCAAGTTGCTCTGCAATATGCCATAAGGAGCAAGTGTTTGCTGTTTTGTGCTCTGTTTACAGCTTTGGGGCGCCGAGTCATAAATCTTGCCCAGCCATAAATGACAAAAACCATTGGTATGCATGAGGCCACCCTGGCCCGGAGTGCTTTTTGATTTCTCCCTTTTCCCCTGGCTTTGTTTTTGCTCTAAGGTGACACTTTGGCTCCTTGACAGTTTAAACATACTACTTATATTTTTAACACCTTCCTTTGAGAAGGACCCGCCGTTGACGCCTTGGGATTGCAGCAAAAGAGAGAAATCTCCATTTCTCTTTTTGCCACACTCGTACCCTTGCAGAGTTTGCTTCTGAAGCTGGGAGCAAAGGAGGCTTTAGGAGGAAAATCATCCACTTTCAAGTTGTGGCAATATTACCAGGCAAATTCGGACCTTTCTTTTGCCCAGCTCAGCGTTACTCCATCCCACTAATGAGGAAAATATGTATATACATATATATAATATATATTATATATATAATATATATTATATATATAATATATATTATATATATATGTATGTTTTAGGAATCCGTTTGAGAAACCACATATTCCTCTGCCCTGCGTGTGTGTGTGTGTGTGTGTGTGTATGATGTCGGTTTCTCTTGGGGTCAGAGCTTTCTCTGTCTTCCCTGTGGGTGAGCTGCGTGTCTGCACTCTGAAATGGGCACATGAGCCCTGGAGATCCGCGTTTCTAAACACCCTTGTTTGTACCTGAGCCCAGAGCATCCCATTTCACTGCTGGAACAAGTACCTGTCTCTCCCAGGACATTTTTCTCCTGGCTGCTAGGATGTCAGCAGTTTCTGCCTGAAAATTTAACCAAAGAGAGCCCAGTTGGCTCTTGAGGGTCTCTAGAGAAAAGCCTTATCCCAGCTCCCCACACCCCCACCCAAAGATCTGTTTGGGAGTTGCAGGTGAAGTAAACTGGGCAAAGTCTGGGAAACTCACTTTTCTTGGTTCTCTTTCCCCTCACCCCACAATTGGAAGTGTCCAGGGCAGAGGAATACGAAGTTTCTCAAACGAATTCCTAAGAAATAGAGCCCAGCAAGAGAGCCCCTTTGTGAGAGCCGTTTGTCCTCATTAGCATAATTTTCCTGGACTTTCGTGACGCCTGGGAGCAGGAGAGGGAGGGCGTTGGGGGGTGGGGGGAGGCTGCCCTCCTCCCGCCACCGCCGAGCTCCCCTTCTCCCTCCGGTCCCTCCCCTCGCCTCAGCCCCATCCCCCACACCAGCCCGCGCTTCCCCAGCCGCCTTGGTCTCCCCTCCCGCCCGCCCCAACACCCCCCACCGCACCCCCGGACCAGACGCTGCTCCGCGTGTAATATTCATAAGAAACATACCCAAGTCGGTGCCACTAGCCCAGGCAGAGCCCGGCGCCGCACTAGCGCTTATCTCCGGGCCGCGGCTGCTGCCCTCGGGAAGGGCAGGGGGCGGGGGTGTGGGGGAGGGGTGGGTGGGTGGGGTGGGTGGGAGGGGGGTCCAAGCCGCCCCAGTCGGCCCTGGGCGAGCCGTGCTGGAGCAGCGAGGCGGCCACGCTCTGCGCGGCGGTGACCGGGCCTCGGGGTCTCCAGCCCGCCTGCCATCTCGGCTGATGCTGAGGGTCCGTGCCCATCCCGCGCCGAGGGGACCCGGCCGGGCCGCCAAGCCAGGCCGGGGGCCAGAGCCCGTGTCGGAGCCTGAGCCCGAGCCTGCGCTCGTCAGAAGTTAAGGTAAGCAGGGCCGCAACCGGCCGCTCCCGGCGCTGAATGGCGGAGTTTACGTCTCGGTGATTTATGGCTGCAGACTTAAATCTCGGTTCAAGAAGAGTTCACAAGCCGGAGCTTCCTTCCCGGCAGTGACTGATACCCTTACACTTCGAGTTCAGGCCGCTTTCCCATCCCCGCCCCCACCTCTTGCCTCTCCCCTAGCCCAGCCTTAACTTTTCTGGGTTGCAGAGGGAAGGAGAGGTGGGCAGGGGACTCGGGGCTCCTATCCGACGAACCCGCTCAGATTTGGGGTGAGGGAAGGCTAAGAAAGAGGAGGGAATGGGAAGAGGGAGCGATGTCTGAAGGACGGAGGTTGAATTTGGGCACATCTTCCAGAGAGACAATAGGGCTTGCTTCTTGCACTCAATTTAGCCTCTTCAACTCTCTTTCGGCTCTTGCACCTGGGGATTATTGTCCAGAAACAGATCTTTGTGGAGGAATCTCCCCTCATCCCCAGCCCTTGCTTGGCGGTACAGAGCAAAGTTTCCTGGCTGGCAAATCTCCAACTTCTTTACTAGGTTGCAAACTTTGGGGGCTGGGTTGGGGTGGGGGGATGTATGAGCTCCAAGGTGGTGGTCTGCTGACCTCGAACAATAGGAAGGATTTTGGTGGGATCCCAGAATCGAATTTATATTTTAAGTTTACGAGGGCTGTTGTATGCTCTTTGATTTTCAAAGATATTTTTGTTATTTTGTAAGACAATGCACAACTTGATAAAAAGGCTTAACTAAGTAGCAGGCTGGTATAACGTGATAATGGATTAGCAAGTCACTAGAAATATTGCATGTGCAAAATCAGCTTAATTTTGTTTTATCTAATATCTTGCTGTTCGAGTGTCTAATTTTCTTAACCTGACATTTTATTTTACACAAGCCTGGTATCTAAAAAATTTGTAATGGCAGACATTGACACTGCCAAATGTAATAGGAACTGTTTTCAGTAAAAGAAAAGGAAACGGATACACTAAATTGCTATTCAGTTTTAAGTTTTACTTTATCCTTTATTTACTTTCAACCATGGTATGTGTAGCTTCCTATTTCCAAAAGAGAAACAATGCTCCAGGGCTCATGATCACTGACAATAACTCTGGATAAGCGATGCTGTAATTTTTAATCGAGGTTCTGGAAAATTAATTGTGCCTGTTTTGCAGATGTTGGTAAGATTGTTGGCTTAATAATGAAATCTAAAGGAGTCCATTATCAACAATGGAATTATAATCATCTACTGGTAGATGCAATACATTATCTTTTTTTTTCTAGTTAACAAAGCATCTAATATTCCTGGAAAACTTGAATAACTCTGGGACTCAATATACATAGTTGGATTGCATGTTAACCATTTTCTTTTGAATTTGTTATAATTTTCTTGAGTGGTCAGAGGGACTAAGATTCTGAGTGTGTGTGTGGGTGAATATTTGAAACTCACATGGAACTTTTCTGTGCTGAGAACTAGAGGTTGACCATGCAGTGGTTGAAAACAAAAAGAAAACAGATTTAACTTTTGCAAACTGCTTTCTAAATGAAAGAGGGTTGAGGAGGTTTTCAACTGCTTTTTAGATTTTCAGGGTTATCCTTTACTTGGTATTTCTGAAGCAGGTAAATAGGCCAAGTAACAAAATATCAACAACAACAACAGCACACAAAGATCAGGAAACTCTGGCAGGATTTTATGGCTTGTGCTTCCATCCCTCGTCGGGAGCCAAATGACCCCCATACATCAAATTACATAGCAGTTTCTAAGACAGAACCTATTATCGTTAAGTTGGAAGGAGAGTTCAAACTGTGGTCATGGAGATGAACGCTGGTTTTTCAGGTTCCTGGAGGGGTTTTTTTTCCCCCTCTAATCCATCATGTTTTAACAGGTAGAATTTGATAGTTGCCCCGAATAACAGCACCTTAGAAAGTCCAAGACAGGAGGTTCTGGGAACCTTCTGTAACTGGGGGAAAGAAGTAAAGAAGTGGGGGTGGCTTGCTGGGAAGTGCCTGAGAAACAGGGAGAGGAAAGGAGTAAAGAACTCTCCAGGATTTTAGTTGTGACTTGCTGGGTGGGGTGTTACTGTTGGTCCCTCACCCTAAACACACACACACACACACACACACACACGCAATGTGTTCCACACAAAGTTTTCCCTCCCCCCTTGGCTTGGCCACAAGGGGTTCATTTGGAGGAGGTGAGTCATATCCCCAACAAGGTGGATTAACTTCCTAACAAGCTCAGCTTCTGAAATCCAGCATGGTTGGATGGGGCAAATTGCCTGAAATTTTTTGTGCAAACCTCTCTTGGGAGCAGGAAGGTCCAAGAAGGAGCTGGGTGGGAAGTTACCCCATCTCAGGGCTCTTTTGGCAAACATCAGTCCTAAAGCGGAGAAAACATTGGCGACCCAAGCTCCCCTTTGCCTCCTCGTTCCCTTCCCAACATTCCCAGAGTGGAGGAGTCTTGGGCCCTCTGGAGGAGGCCAAGGAGCAGAAACTAAGCGACACCCCAAGTTTCTTCTTCCCTGGAAAAGAAAGATCCCAGCCTTTTTCCTTTCTAGCCTATCAAGCCTTTCTCCTTTTGGATCCCGGCTCCTGAGAATCAGCTTGCAGCCCTCACTCATTCTCCTTCTCCCCGGAAAATCCCCCAACTCCAGACGCAAGTTAAGCAAATATTTGTAGCTGCCAGTAAATTCCAGCGGTTTTTTATAGCACGGCTCCCTGCGCCCGGGGCCAAGTCGTGCTGCTAAATATTGCTGACCACTTTTTCTTTTATGGCTTTCATGTCACTTAGCTATTGAGAGTAAGATGGATTTGCGCGGAGCCCTCACCGCGCTGCGCTTCTCGCCCCACCAGGTCTGCGCGGGGCGGCCATTGGCGGCGGAGTGTCACGTGACCGCGGGGGCGTGCCAATGTGCGCCCTCACGGGTGTCAAACCCCTGTCAGAGTGTGCGATCAAGATCGTGAAACAACGCGATGCAAAAAGCGACCTACTACGACAGCTCGGCGATCTACGGTGGCTACCCCTACCAGGCAGCCAACGGGTTCGCTTATAATGCCAATCAGCAGCCGTACCCGGCGTCCGCCGCTTTGGGCGCCGACGGCGAGTACCACCGACCCGCCTGCTCCCTCCAGTCTCCCTCCAGCGCCGGGGGCCACCCCAAGGCACACGAACTGAGTGAGGCGTGCCTGCGCACCCTGAGCGCCCCACCTAGCCAGCCTCCAAGCCTGGGAGAGCCGCCCCTGCACCCGCCGCCGCCCCAGGCCGCGCCCCCTGCCCCACAGCCGCCTCAGCCCGCACCTCAGCCCCCTGCACCTACCCCTGCCGCGCCCCCGCCTCCCTCTTCTGCCTCCCCTCCTCAGAATGCCAGCAACAACCCTACCCCTGCCAACGCGGCCAAGAGCCCCCTGCTCAACTCACCCACAGTGGCCAAACAAATCTTCCCCTGGATGAAAGAGTCTCGACAAAACACAAAGCAGAAAACCAGCAGCTCCAGCTCAGGTAAAGGAGTGCCTTCTGGAAGAGGGTCCTCTGGCCTGGCTCCTGGTCCCCAAGCTACTGCCCACGACATCCAGCACAGCCTAGGAGCGATGGAGCATGTCTGGAATTCACTGCTCCCACACCACTGCCCACCAAAAAGGTTTTCATAGTCTTTGCAACTTAGGGAGGTGATAGGCCTCTGTAGGCTGGAAAACACCAGAGACCTGCTGGGAGTCCCTCTGGACTTCTCCAAGGGCAAGTAGGGTCTAGTGCAGTTGGAATCTCTTCTTGCTCCACTCTTGGAGTTAGGACCTCTGTGCAGAAACAACCTGAGCTCCACTGTCTATCTTTTTAGCACAGCTCTTCTAATGAAACAGTGACATCCTCCCCTTACTGAAATGTGGCAGAATAAAAACAGGCCTAATCACCCTCCAAGACAGAATCAATGCTTTGCCTATAATCAGAGCCAATTTTTGCTCCAGCAGATGGAGTGGCTGCCTTACCTCTGGGAAGACCCTACTCAGACTTAGTACAATGAAAGCAGCCAAAGATCTCCTGGGGGAGGGGGATGCAGACTTATCATCCTAATGGGAACCACATGGGCCTCCTGAAAGCGGGCTCCAGTAGAGGAAAGGCCCCAGGCTTTAGGCTTCCTAGCATTTTGGTTACCTTTGCCCCTGCCTTCTCCAGTTGCCAGTGCCCTGCTCTGAGCCTGAGCATCTGGGACTTCCAGAGCTAGGATCTGGGGGGCCAGGGAAGACAGAAGGGTACAAGATTAGTGGACAAAAGCTGGGGCTGGCTGCTTGATGACATAGGGAACCCTAAAGAATAGGACCTAGCATGAAGGGCCTAGGCCTCCCCACCAGAAATACCTTCAATGGGATCTCTTCTTTGGGCAGAGAAGGCCTTCCAGTTTGAGGTTTCCAGTCTGCCCATCTCCTCTGGGTAGAGAGAAAAAAGTGGCCAGTTGAAGCTACTGCCTAATTATTGTCAGACAGTGTGGGAGGGAAATGAGTGTGTACATTAGGTTTCCCACATTTCAGTTACTGTGAAGAGAATGGAGATGCTGAGACCGGCCCACAGGGAGGCTGTTGTCCGATAGGCCAAAGGGACCAGTAAATGAGTCAGAAAGTTAATAGCTCTAAACAGAAAATCCAGACCAGGAAGGCAAACCGGGGGTTCTACTTCTCTGTCCTTTCCCCCGAGAAGGCTGTGATTTGCTCCTTGGCTAAATGAGGGAGTATCACTGTTTTACCCACCAGGAGAGAGGATAGCACCTAGTTCCTACTTCTCTCTGGGACCTGACGGATGCAGGAACCTTTGGGGCCTGGTGGAAGGAGGGGCCGGGCTGGGTCAGGGGCTGGGCGGGGCCGCGGCAGCCCCTGACGCCGCTCTTCCTCTCTCTGTCCTCGCAGGCGAAAGCTGCGCTGGCGACAAGAGCCCGCCGGGGCAGGCTTCGTCCAAGCGCGCGCGCACGGCCTACACGAGCGCGCAGCTGGTGGAGCTGGAGAAAGAGTTCCACTTCAACCGCTACCTGTGCCGGCCGCGCCGGGTGGAGATGGCCAATCTGCTGAACCTCACTGAGCGCCAGATCAAGATCTGGTTCCAGAATCGCCGCATGAAGTACAAAAAGGATCAGAAGGGCAAGGGCATGCTAACGTCATCGGGGGGCCAGTCTCCAAGTCGCAGCCCCGTGCCCCCCGGAGCCGGTGGCTATCTGAACTCTATGCATTCGCTGGTCAACAGCGTCCCGTATGAGCCCCAGTCGCCCCCGCCCTTCTCCAAGCCCCCCCAGGGTACCTACGGGCTGCCCCCCGCCTCCTACCCTGCGTCCCTGCCCAGCTGCGCACCCCCGCCACCCCCACAGAAGCGCTACACGGCGGCAGGGGCGGGCGCAGGGGGCACCCCCGACTATGACCCGCACGCTCATGGCCTGCAGGGCAACGGCAGCTATGGGACCCCACACATACAGGGAAGCCCCGTCTTCGTGGGGGGCAGCTATGTGGAGCCCATGAGCAACTCCGGGCCAGCCCTCTTTGGTCTAACTCACCTCCCCCACGCTGCCTCGGGCGCCATGGACTATGGGGGTGCCGGGCCGCTGGGCAGCGGCCACCACCACGGGCCGGGGCCTGGGGAGCCGCACCCCACCTACACGGACCTTACCGGCCACCATCCTTCTCAGGGAAGAATTCAGGAAGCACCCAAGCTCACCCACCTGTGATAGTGGGCTTGGGGCTACGCGCCAGGAGAGTCTCCCCCCACCCACCTTTTTTCTTTGGTTGCTTTTTTTTTTTTTTTTTTTTAGGTTCTTCCTGCCCTTTCCTTCCTTCCTTTTCTCTCTTCTCCGCCCCGCACTCCGTTTCCCGGTTTCCCCCCTCGTTGGTAAGGCGTTTTTATAGTTTATGTGACGTAGCAATCTTGGTTGCTGGAATGGCTGTATCATAGCGATATTTATCTCTTCCTGCTCCTCGATAGGCCACTGGCCCTGCACCCTTTACCTTCTCCACTCTTTGATCAGAAACAGGGTATATGAACAAATTTTCTAGTCGAGTTTTCAATGTGAATTTGTTCTTACATTATGGCTCCCGAGGGGAAGCGATTACTTTTTTTAATTTTAAATTTTTTTTTTAATTGCACTTCTTGTAAAGAGTGAGAAAAAAAATCAAAGGCGCTTTGAAACAGGGGCTCTCTGTGCAAGGATGACTAAGTGTACGTCTTTCCGTGTGTGTATGCTGGTGAACAGTCAGATTTATTTATATTTTTTTGCAAGCATTGAATAATCTAAGTTTTAAATATTATTTATCCCCATCCGTTCGTATTTATATTAAAGAATTCTGTACCCTGATGGTTCAGAAGGGTTCTTGGGCCTTTTGTTCAATTGTGTATTGGCGTACTTAGAATTTTTTTTATTTGAAAGAGAAATATAATTCCTTTAAACGGTAACGATACAATAAAACCAGAGAAGATCCAGCTTTTGAAAACAGTGATTTAGGTTTGTAACATCCGGCAAAACTGAAAAAAAAAATCTGTAAACGCGAAAAATACTAGATTTGTTTTGAGAGTTCTTCATTCCTTGCTGCTCACATTCTGAGAAACAAAAAGAAATAAAGTTTTTATTCTGAATAATATCCGTGTTAAGAAGGGGTTCTTTGGCCGAAGACGTGGGTCTGCGTGGAATTCAGGCCGAGGCGAGCCGGCAGAGCAGGCCGGACGCAGCAGCCCTCTGGCTCCAGCATGGGGCCTGGCCAGGCTATTCGCCTGGAAGCTCGGCGAATTCTCAGGATGGCGGCTGGGGCTCCAGGCGGCTGCGGCAGCTCTGGTAACGCCGTGCGGCGGGCCAGCTGGGCTGCCCGGTTCCCAGCTGCTGCGGAGGCAGGCTGAGGGCGCAGGGGCTGCCGAGTGCTGTGCACGGAAGAAACAAAGACATCCCGGCCCAAGGCGCAGCGGGAGCGCACAGGTGCCCCGCGGCCCAGCCGGGGGATAACGCAGGGCGGTCTTCTGCTCCATGCTCTTCCTCGGGTCAAAGCGGACCAACTAACGCCTAAACCTCGGTATTAGCCAGCCGCGCAGAGGATGCCGAGCACTTTCCGGGAGCAATCGGACTCCTGGTCTCCTCCGGGGATGCTTCGCGGTCTGTTATCGCGTCAGGAGGAAAGAATTGCTCCAAAAATCTGCACGCGGAGCGAAACAGTTTGAAAGGGACTGAGGCTCACCCAGGTCTCCAGCAAACGGAGGACTGAACTGGGGAGAGTCACCCTGAGCCAGCCCTTCCCTGGACTGCCGGAATCCCAGCATTAGCTTCCTGCTGAATGTAGTATTTGGCATTCTCTGAATTTATTTCCTCTCCTTCCCCCACCCAGCTTTCTTTTTATGGCCCCAGGGGGAGGGGGAGAGAGCAAGGAGATCGGTATCTTTGTAATAAAACTGCAATTTTATAAATTTTTCATTTGATGTTGTAGGAGCTAAATATTACATTTCCACTCCTGGATTTAAGATAGGGCTGCTTACTGACTGGCTAGAAGAGGCAAAAGAAGGCACAGTAAAGGGAAATATTTTCATCTTCAGATTTAAGGATTCCTCGAGAAAGGAATCAAATTCAGAAAATGCAGACCTCAGACCTGCATCCCCATCATCACCCCCTTCAGAGCTAGAAGCGAGGAACTGCTTTCGTCTGGGGATCAGGAGCATCGGATGTGAGAAATAAATCCCTATTCTCCCTGGATTGTATCTTTCAGAGACAGAAGTGGAAAATGTCGCCATTTTGTTTGCAATCCAAAATATCCATCATCATGGCCTTTATCTTCCCCCTGTGAAGCTCCCTCAGATTATCCTTAGAAGCAGGCACTGGAGCCATTTCTGGGTACCTGCTGGGTCCCAACGAGCTGCTTTTAGAGAAACTCCTCATGGTTTAAGGAAAAGGCTCGGAGGATGCCAAGCCAGGCTGCTGTGGAGAGCTCAGTGTTTCTCTCACACCCAGAGGTGCTTTCCCCATATCTGTCCTAAGGCTGCTGATATATATATCCTTTTTAAAGGGTTTGGGCTATGGGAGAAATAGATTTCCTCTCCGCACCTCAACCTCTGCGCCAAAATATGGCGCACCTCAGAAATGCAGAGGCTGCAAAACCAGGCTTTGTGAAGACTAGAGCTTCCACCTCTTCGTCACGCTAAGCAGATACAGGAGTCTTCTTTTAAGTAATCAGCTTAGAGACACGTGTAAAATTACCTGGAAAAATAAGGAACAGCTAGGGGAGAGATTCACCTAAGGATGAAGATCCTTCAGGGATATCACTATTTGAACACGTTTCTGAAATCTACTCTTTAGCTGAGGGAGGGGTGGTTTGGAGGCTTCCTCCTTCCCCCAGGGCTAAGATTTTAAAATGAGATTCTAATGTGATTTCCCGCATCTTACCAGTCAAGACATTCATTTTGGCTTTCAAAGAAAAAAGTATTGACTTCACCCCCCAGTTTCCTAGATATTAAAAAGAAATCCTTATTAAAATATCTCATAAGTTAAAGTAATAGATTTGGGGAAGATTTCAGTGTTGAGTGGTCAAAGAAAAGGGTTTTCTTCCAGATGGTATTTGAATTAAGGCGGCTGAGGCAGCAGAAAGCTCTCACCCACGCAGCCCCTGACAAAGCCTCAGAGATATGGGGGCAGCGCTGCTCCCTCTCTGCACCCCCCGCCCACGTTCCCTTAAGCCTGTAATATTTTCTGGTAAAAGCAGATGCCAAAAGCTGCCATCCCAGGGTTCGCAAAGCACCCTTCCTAAAAGGAGCCCTATAACCCTTTTCACTGCCAAAATATATTTTTTAAAAGACTAGTTTTCCTTATTTACTTGCATTTCCTGCTCTCCTCTTTGCTCGGCCACATTTTATCTTGGAAGGAGCTGGAAGCTGAAATGTGTTCTTAAGGGCTAGAAGCTGTCAAGGCTTTTGGTGAGCAAGATTGATCGCGCCCAGACTTCCTTTGGAGCTTTGTTTGGAATAAAAGCAAGAAAACTAAAAAACCTCACATTTTCCAAAATAGCATCTCTATCTGCAAGGCAATGCTCTGGGCTGGTCAATGATATAGGCCACTTATGTCTAATTTCCACCCCAAACCCTCTTTGACGCTGGCCTCAGAGATGGGGTCCTGCCTTTGCTCCTTGGTTGGCCTTTCTTGTTTTCTACGTAGATTTTTCTCCCCCTCCAACCTCTCTCTCCCTGACCATCAGAATGATTTATTTTCCTGCCATTGATGCCTGCCGGCCTGGGGGAGTCTGATCAGTTAGTCTATTTCAAAGGAAGCAAAAGCGAATCACCATCCTCAGGGTTTGGGGGGGAAAGAGGTACCTCCAGATCTACCTCTCAGCCTCCTCACCTCTTTCTGGCTTGGTGGATTTTTTAAAAATTATTTTTTGGTACCTAAAGGTGTTATCTTTTGAACCCTCTAGCACTGTCCAAGATGCGCTCAGTCTCAAGTCTCCGAATTGGAAAAAAGATAATGAAGGAGAACGAAAACCTTTATAATTCCTCCTTGGGTCGCCTCCTCTCCCCCGCAGTGCTGTTTCCCACAACAGAACCCGGAAGCAAACATCCCCGGTGCCCAAGGATCAGGAAGGTGTGGGAGGCAGTTCAGGCTGCCAGGGAGCACTCGCTGTATCTAAACCAACCAGCCCCCAACCAGAGCGACAAGGACAAGAAGAAGGGTAGAAAAAAAAGAGAGAGGGAGGGAAAGAGAGGAGCAAGCATCTTCTCTTTCCCTGCTGGTAACTTCCAACAGACTTCCTGGAAATCGGAAATACTCACCGCACCCGAGCCCTACGGGTATGAAACCCAGAATGCCAGGAGCCGCACGCGCCTGCTCGGGGCGGCATTTCTTTGGCTGGCCGCCGCCCTGGCTACGGGGATTTGGACACATGGACCTGGGGTTGTTGTCTCGCTTGGCACATGCATCTTTCTCCAGCCACTCCTGAGAAGTTGATGGCGCAGGAAGGTCGGGAAGCTTCGAGAGCCGCCTCCCGTTTTCCGCTTCCCGCCGGAGCCAGATGCAAAGCTGCCGTGGAATAGCCTGCTAACAATGGGCCCGGGGCGCAGACTCTGGGCTGGACACTGGGAGGGGGGCGAGAGGCTGAGGGGAGAAGGGGAGGCGGACAGAAGAGAGAGGGAGGGAGAAAGGGGGAGAAGAGGAAAAAGAGGGAAAGGGACAGACAGGAAGGAAAACAGACCGAGAGAGATCAGTTTTGAGATCCAGGAACTGCTTTTAGGAAAAGTGAAGGAGGAAAAGGGAAAGAAAAGGAAGACCCCTTCCCAACCAAAATCTTTCCTTTCTTCTCTCTTTTCTGTCTTCTCTTTCTCCATCTCTCAAACTCTCTCTTCTTCCCTCTCTCTTTATTCTCCCTCTCTCATCTCCTCTCTTCCTCTGCTCCTTTCTCCTGCTTTAACAGAACTTATGTGGCTGGGACGCAGGGCCCTCGGGTGTCAAAACTTTGAAGATTAATGGATTACTTTGTTAATGACTGCAGGCGTCAGACTGAGGTGCTTAAATGATTTGTGAGGTGCGAGGCGTCTTCCCGACAGTCCCAAACAATGCGCGGAGTGTGCGGGGGAGGCAGAGGGCAGCCACCGGCGGGACCGACAGCAGGGCTTACACTCGCGCACATTCACACACACACACACACACTCCCAGGCACACACACTAGATAGATCCTTGCAGATCAGGAGGCACGCAGGCACCCTCGCCCCCACGTACTCCGGGACATCCCCACCCACACCAACATATATGTATTTTTGCTCTGAAAAAAGTGTAAATAAAGCCTCGCTGGCCCCCAATGAGGCGTTCCTTCCCGACTTTTTTGGATCAATCAAACAGACAGTGGCTTCTTTTGATTAAAGCCCAAATTGTCATTGGGCAGAAGCAATCATGTGACAGCCAATTCGGTCCAATTTCAACCTTGTCTCCATGAATTCAATAGTTTAATAGTAGCGCGGTCCCCATACGGCTGTAATCAGTGAATTAGAAAAAAAACACCCTAGCAGCGATATTCTATGATAGATTTTTTTTCCTCTGCGCTCGCCTTTTTCCTAGGCCTTGCCCCCCCAAAGCCCCTCCAAAAGAGGGAACTTTTTCTCTGAGGGGGCTCCAAGGAGAAGGCCATGAATTACGAATTTGAGCGAGAGATTGGTTTTATCAATAGCCAGCCGTCGCTCGCTGAGTGCCTGACATCTTTTCCCCCTGTCGCTGATACATTTCAAAGTTCATCAATCAAGACCTCGACGCTTTCACACTCGACACTGATTCCTCCTCCTTTTGAGCAGACCATTCCCAGCCTGAACCCCGGCAGTCACCCTCGCCACGGCGCTGGCGGCCGCCCCAAGCCGAGCCCCGCGGGCAGCCGCGGCAGCCCGGTGCCCGCCGGCGCCCTGCAGCCGCCCGAGTACCCCTGGATGAAGGAGAAGAAGGCGGCCAAGAAAACCGCACTTCTGCCGGCCGCCGCCGCCGCCGCCACCGCCGCAGCCACCGGCCCTGCTTGCCTCAGCCACAAAGGTCAGTCCAAAGACTTGGCCCCAGGTCTCTGGGACCCTCTTCCTTCTCCGGGCTGCCCCGAGAGTGGCTGTGGGGGGAGGGGAGAGTGGGCTGGGAGAGAAGGAGGAGAGGGAGAGATGCTTGGTTGCCTTGTCCCTGCCCCTGTGGGTTCAGGAGTGGGTTTGATGGAGAGGAAAGGGGATCCTGCGCTCTACAATGAGACATATATATTTTTAGGAAGTGGGGGGAAACTTTCCCGAACTTGTGTAATGTGGGATGATTTATTTGAGTTGGAACTGACCTCCTCCTGTCTAGTTGTCCTAGAGTTTGGCTTTTTGACAGTAATGAAGAGTGATAGATCGCTCTTGCTCAGCTAAGCAGCTGACGCATTAATTATAAATTGTGTTGTGGCTAATATAAAGTTTGCTCCCGGATGAAGAGGTTGGGGGGAGCCACAGGCATGAATTCGATAGAGATGGAGGAGACGGGGTCTGCCCAGGCTGGGCTCCCAGGAAAGGCAGCACAATAGCTCTACTGCATCCAGGGGCGGCCATTTTGTTGCAGTTGATCTTTTCTGCTATATTTATTCTCCAGTGGAATAACCCCGCTCGGACCCCTCCACCTCCAACTGTGCGTGTGTCTCTTGTTGGTTTCCCTTTCCGCAGAATCCCTGGAAATCGCCGATGGCAGCGGCGGGGGATCGCGGCGCCTGAGAACTGCTTACACCAACACACAGCTTCTAGAGCTGGAAAAAGAATTTCATTTCAACAAGTACCTTTGCAGACCCCGAAGGGTGGAGATTGCAGCGCTGCTGGATTTGACTGAGAGACAAGTGAAAGTGTGGTTTCAGAACCGGAGGATGAAGCACAAGAGGCAGACCCAGTGCAAGGAAAACCAAAACAGCGAAGGGAAATGTAAAAGCCTTGAGGACTCCGAGAAAGTAGAGGAGGACGAGGAAGAGAAGACGCTCTTTGAGCAAGCCCTTAGCGTCTCTGGGGCCCTTCTGGAGAGGGAAGGCTACACTTTTCAGCAAAATGCCCTCTCTCAGCAGCAGGCTCCCAATGGACACAATGGCGACTCCCAAAGTTTCCCAGTCTCGCCTTTAACCAGCAATGAGAAAAATCTGAAACATTTTCAGCACCAGTCACCCACTGTTCCCAACTGCTTGTCAACAATGGGCCAGAACTGTGGAGCTGGCCTAAACAATGACAGTCCTGAGGCCCTTGAGGTCCCCTCTTTGCAGGACTTTAGCGTTTTCTCCACAGATTCCTGCCTGCAGCTTTCAGATGCAGTTTCACCCAGTTTGCCAGGTTCCCTCGACAGTCCCGTAGATATTTCAGCTGACAGCTTAGACTTTTTTACAGACACACTCACCACAATCGACTTGCAGCATCTGAATTACTAAAAACATTAAAGCAAAACAAAGCATCACCAAACAAAAACTCCTTTGACCAGGTGGTTTTGCCTTCTTTTATTTGGGAGTTTATTTTTTATTTTCTTCTTGACCTACCCCTTCCCTCCTTTAAGTGTTGAGGATTTTCTGTTTAGTGATTCCCTGACCCAGTTTCAAACAGAGCCATCTTTTACAGATTATTTTGGAGTTTTAGTTGTTTTAAACCTAACTCAACAACCCTTTATGTGATTCCTGAGAGCAGTATGAGGCCTGCAAGAAAGTGATCATATAATTGTATCTTCACTTTCTTTTTATTTTTGTATTACATTGGGATGCATTGTCATGCATATTTTTTGTAGAATAAATTCTCCTTTGCTATAAGTAGCTTATTTTTCTCCCCCTCTTTTTTCAAGGCTCATAACGGGTTCTTTTTCTTCTTTTAGTCTAACTTCGTAAATAAAATTCGTCACAATTTATCCTCTTTTTTCAATTTTAATACATTTATTAAGGCGGCATGTTCAAAGTCTTCAATGGACAGCAACAAAACAGAAAGCCAAAAAATGACTAGGGCTTCTAATAAGTGTTTTTTCTTTCTTTTTTGCTTCTTCTTCTCCTCTTTCTTTTTAAAGGATTTGATTTTCAGTGCACAGGTTCAAGCCATAGATTTAAATTGGTAATAGAGGCAGAATTGGACAGTCTAAGATTTGGGCCAAGCCCAAGCTCTTGAAAGTGGAGAAATAAAGTGCCTACAGAAACCCCCAACTCCAGGAATGAGTAACACGGAGTTTCTTTAATAAGCTACCAGTCTCCAGGTCAATAACTAAGTTATCAACAATTCATTTGTTTATACACTTTTGTTTCAAACACCCACATTTCAACCCCCTCCCCCATAAATCCCTCCACATTTTCAGTGTGGTTGATTAATCTCCCAGCTGTTGATGGGTTCAGGCAAAACAGACCTAAAAGATAGAGAAAAACAAAAATAAAACAAAACAGTGATTACTATCTGGAAAATGCACCCTAGAAAATGTTCTTTCCAATCCTCTGGTTCAGTCACTCTAGGATTTTTTTTTTTTTTTCAGGGTCAGAAAAATCAATATTTCATTCTTAAACCTGTTTACATTGCTAATAATAGATCGTTAATGCTTCGAAGTCAGGTTAGCAAGTTGAGATTTAAAATGGTGTGTTTCTACACCCTAGGTTATAAATTAACGCAGGTTCTAGAGAGAGAGAAAAGCACTTTAAATGAAATATCAATAAAATGTGATCTAGGGTGTGTCACTGGGTTGTTGCTTTTCCCCCCTCCCTTGTTAGGTCTCCCCATGTTTATTTTTCCCTTTCTGAGCTCTCTTCTGATGCCTACTTACTTACCGTGAGAAAACGCAGCATGTAAGCAACATGTGTGTGGGGCGGGTTGATTTAAGAACCTGGCTCTTAACAGCAAAGGCTTGGAAGTTCCAATGACAACGCGATGTTTCTTCATAGGTTTGCTCCCTACCTTCCCTCGCCCCTTCCTCCGCTAAATCTCAGCTGCGGCGGCGGAGTGTGGGGACTATGGCTGGTTTCTGGCCCCAAGCTCAGCGCGGAGCAGGGCGTCCCGGCAGCGGCCAGGGCTGCGCAGCTCCTGGATGCGATTCGTCCTACGCTCATAAATCAAACGCTTTCTATGAATGAGAATGTCATCAAAGAGATCAATTGCAGGAACACATGCACAAATAAAAATCCTCTTACGTTATTTGCCGGGGATCCCCGTCCGAAAGCATTAAGTTAGAAGGCGTTTAGTCATAATTCATTTTTATTGCTCTTTTAAAACAACAGCTTGGCTGAGCCGCGGATGCCATGAACAGTTCAGGGCCTCGGCGTCATTTTATCTCCTCCTTATTCCTTTCCTTTCTAGCATAAGAGCCCTGAAAGAGGCGTTTTGAGCCAAGAGAACCGCTTGTAGGCGATCATTTTAAGCGTAACCAAGCTCGCCTTTCACCCAGTCTCCCAAGGCGTTGAAAGAGACCAGCTCCAGTCTTGGGGCGCTGACCTACTTGCCTAGAGGGCCAAGGATCTCCTACTCGGTGGAACGGCCCCCAGAATTTCTTGGGGGAGGGGTGTGGGGAAAGAACTGAGCTACAGAAGCCTAAGGGCTAGAGGCCAGGGGAGGCTGCCTTTGTGTGCTGTTCCCGGGGAGCGGCGCTCTGGGCTGCCAGGCGAGGCATAGCCAGCCCGGCTGCGAGCACCCGGCCTGCGGGGAGCCGGGAACAGTAAGCGGAGAAGGGCGGCCGCCGGGCCTGTGTGTCTGCGGGCCTGTGTGCGAGTGCAAGCTCGTGATCCCAAGAAAAACACTCCACCCAGGATGCCCCAGAAAAGAGGCCAGGAGAGAAGAAGAGAGGCTGAGGGAGAGCAGGGCCGAGGCAGCGAACTAGCAGAGAGAGTGGCTCCTGCCGGGGTCGGCTTTGTGGCAGGCGCCCTGCAGCCGAGGGGGTCCTGCAAACCCAGGCTGAGGAGGGCAACCAAGGTACAGGAATGAGGCAGCGGGGGAAAATGTACCGACTTGCTCAGGCTTGGAGGGAGGATTGCTCGCATAGCCAGCACCGACCTACTCACATCCTGCCCCCTCTCCCACAGGAGCTCCTTCTCTCCCCGCCGCTGGAAGCTGGTGCTCCCAAGGAAGCCGCCTCCAGGAGGACTGCCTTGCCTTTCCCCTTCTCCAGTCGGAGGATTCCCAGGAGCCGAAACTGGGGCAGGGGTGGCTGCCCAACCCCAGAAAGTGGGCCTTTCCTGCCCGTGCTCCCTCTTAACCATGCTTGGGATGGATCAAAGTCACAAATACTATTCTGAAAGGAAATGTTTGGGGAGAATGTTTCATTGTTACTGAGGGAGTCCAGAGTCAGCATGGGTTTTTTCTCTTGAGAGGACAGGTTTGGGGGAACTTCGGTACGTGGAGAACAGAATACAGAAGACTGAAAGGGTGACTAACATATTTGAAATGTACCTTCCTTGAAAAAAAAAAAACCTTCCTTGTTCTAACGGGAGGAAAGGCTGAAGAGGAGTGGAAACCCCAAACCCACATACATTCATTCACTATAAATTTCATCTGATTCCAACATTGTACACATGGTTGGAGTAAAATTTATACAGCATTGCTTATAATTTATACAGCAAAGCTTCCTGGACAAGCTCTCGATTTCTCCTACCCAAGACTGCATCAATTCTTGGTCTCCGTTTGGCTTTTTCTCTCTACAAGCCCAGGGTTGACGTGAAACCTAATAGTAAACAACAATTTAACGACCTCAGCAGCCTCAGGGAAGTAGGGTGATGAGGAACAGGACCCCTGGCCTGGGATGAGGCTCAGATTTGCATGTGTCTCTCTAGGGAAGGACTTGAAGGTTCTCATAAGCAACTACACAGCCAGTTGGAAAGGGGAGGAGGTGTCGTTGGGGTAAAGTGTCCCGTCCACCATCAGCCATTTGTCCACCGCCCCTCCCACCTGCCAGCCCCCACACCCACTCTAGACGTGCAGCAGAATGAGGAAGGTTATAAAAGGAAGCTCTCTCTCTCTTCTAACATTCCCCTCCAGAAAAAGAGGAACGCAACGAAGGGAGTTCAGCTACTATGTTGGAGCTGTGGACCGGCCCTGTGAGGCCCACGCGGGAGCGCGGAGGCTCCTGGGTCTCAGGGCGCCGGCAGATGGCCTGCAGCGCACCGCCCGGCCCCCGCGCTGGCCACGTCCGCCAGCGTCATCTCTCTCCCCCGCCTCCTACCCCTAAAAATCCGGCGGTCGAGTAGCTCCGCATCCCGGAGGGCTCCCGGTGCAAAACTGAGTGGGAAAGAGAAAGGGGCGGAGAGCGACGAGAGAGGGAAGGTGGGGAAGAAGAGCCCGGCCGCCCCCGGCCTTTTCCGGCGAGCTCTGAGTTTCCAGGGCTCATCCGCCCCTCCAAGTCGAATTACAGAAACTCCTCATTGCCATGCTAATGACGAGAGGGGCTGTGGGGAGAGGGTTTCGAAGACCCTCCTGGAAGAAGGGAAGTTTCTTTTCTTGCCCTCGTCTCCTTCACGCCCACCCGAGTTCCTCCCAGCCAGCCCTCTGCGCTCTTCCCCCTCCATTCCGAGCTTGAAGAGCCGGTGGCCCAGCCTCGCCCTCCACCACGGTTCTATGCGCTCCTCACAGCCCCACGGTCTCCCAGCCCAGCCTCAGAACAGAGGAGGTGGCCTGGGAACCCGGGGCGCGGTGTCAGCCGGATTCCCCGCCTTCCGGCTGGGCGCGCTGCGGGCTGGGCCGGCGTACTTGCGGCCACCCGGCGAGCTCTGGCCCACTGATTCCCGCCCCGAGAGAGCCGGGAGCCCTCTTCCCTTCTCACCTCTCGCCAGTTCATCTTTCATTGAACGGTGGGGAGGGGGCGGGAGCGGGGGACGCCTCCCAGCCCCCACCTCCCGGAGGCCTGGCGGGGCGGGCAGCGGAGTCGGGCGCGCGCAGAACGCAGCTTTTGCTCTTCTTCGCTCCAGCACTCCAAATCGGCCTTTGCAGTCGCCGCAGCAGCTGCCGCCGCCTAGGCTGCCTGGGGGGGCGACTGCGCGTCACCTAGACGGCGGAGCGCCGGGGATTTAAATGCCACTAAAACGGTGATCCATCACTGCGGAAGCCGGCAAACTTTTGCAGGAGGCTCAGCCATTGGCTGACACCGTCACGTGCCCCTCCTCCAGCGTCCTCCGCCCTCCCGCCCCCCCTCTTGCGCACTGTACATTCATATCATTTTTCTTCTCCGGCCCCATGGAGGAAGTGAGAAAGTTGGCACAGTCACGCCGGGCTTCGCAGGACCAGGTCACTCAGTGACAGATGGACAATGCAAGAATGAACTCCTTCCTGGAATACCCCATACTTAGCAGTGGCGACTCGGGGACCTGCTCAGCCCGAGCCTACCCCTCGGACCATAGGATTACAACTTTCCAGTCGTGCGCGGTCAGCGCCAACAGTTGCGGCGGCGACGACCGCTTCCTAGTGGGCAGGGGGGTGCAGATCGGTTCGCCCCACCACCACCACCACCACCACCATCGCCACCCCCAGCCGGCTACCTACCAGACTTCCGGGAACCTGGGGGTGTCCTACTCCCACTCAAGTTGTGGTCCAAGCTATGGCTCACAGAACTTCAGTGCGCCTTACAGCCCCTACGCGTTAAATCAGGAAGCAGACGTAAGTGGTGGGTACCCCCAGTGCGCTCCCGCTGTTTACTCTGGAAATCTCTCATCTCCCATGGTCCAGCATCACCACCACCACCAGGGTTATGCTGGGGGCGCGGTGGGCTCGCCTCAATACATTCACCACTCATATGGACAGGAGCACCAGAGCCTGGCCCTGGCTACGTATAATAACTCCTTGTCCCCTCTCCACGCCAGCCACCAAGAAGCCTGTCGCTCCCCCGCATCGGAGACATCTTCTCCAGCGCAGACTTTTGACTGGATGAAAGTCAAAAGAAACCCTCCCAAAACAGGTCAGTCCTGCTGGTTGGTGGATGCTCCTTGATTATTCTGGAAGGAGCTGGTATGCTTAATTTCCAAGGAAATTAATAATGATCTTTTTTTTAAAAGGCTTTTGTATCAGACTAGTGTTGTAGTGCATGGAGAGGGTGCCCAGAGGTGTTGGGGCAAAGAAGTCTCAGGGATTGGTGTGTTTTCAAGGATTTTATACATTTGGGAAATAGGAAGTATGTGGGGGTGGTTATTGTGACGGTAGTGTTCTGTTAATATCTTGAGGCTCCATTAATCACCGGTCTGACCATGCTAATGGTTTACATCAGGTTAACACTTTACACCTCATCACTCACCCTCCACAGCCCGATTTGTGCTGAGTTCTTGATCTTTTCTTTACCTGAGTGTTGCCATGAAGCGTGTGGGGAATCTCAAGTCGATTTAAAAATTTTTACATTTCCGTCTCATGGCTTCCCACTTTGCCCCAGGGAAAGTTGGAGAGTACGGCTACCTGGGTCAACCCAACGCGGTGCGCACCAACTTCACTACCAAGCAGCTCACGGAACTGGAGAAGGAGTTCCACTTCAACAAGTACCTGACGCGCGCCCGCAGGGTGGAGATCGCTGCATCCCTGCAGCTCAACGAGACCCAAGTGAAGATCTGGTTCCAGAACCGCCGAATGAAGCAAAAGAAACGTGAGAAGGAGGGTCTCTTGCCCATCTCTCCGGCCACCCCGCCAGGAAACGACGAGAAGGCCGAGGAATCCTCAGAGAAGTCCAGCTCTTCGCCCTGCGTTCCTTCCCCGGGGTCTTCTACCTCAGACACTCTGACTACCTCCCACTGAGGCGGCTCCAGCCCCAGACAACAGCCCAGGCATCTCCTTGGGCTGGGACTTCTTACCCAAAGCACATGCTTAGCTTATCTTTCTTTCCATTTACAGTCTCTTTCTTCCTTTCTAATCCTATCTGGGGAGCTCCTGGCCAGGATAATATATTTGCAGATAATTCTGGACCAGAGACTTGGTGCGGGGTTAACACCTTCATCCAGATTGGGTGCCAGCATACATTTTCTGGTGGGCCTTAACATCCCTCCTGCTTTTAGGAGAATTCACAGAACCTACTGTTCCTTTCAGATGACCTTTTGGAAAATAGTTCCCTTTGCCAACAGAAACATGCCAGAAGGAATCTTCTCATCTTTTATCTAACTATATGTACAGCTCTCCCCTCCCTTGTCCTTGAAAGTAGGATATAGCGAAAGGCGAGTCCAGGAGCTCAGGAAGAAGAGATGCACTATATGTTTACACAATTAATTCATCCCTTAATTTAAGTCATTTTCATGTGTGTGAGTTTGCTGGTTGTAAATACTTTGTCCTAAGAGATTTATCTTTATACAGATTTTCTAGAAATGTTTAGGTTACTAAAACAGGGTGGGCAAACTCTCTAAACTGGTACAATTTTATAGGTGAAAGAAAAAATTCCCTCATTTAAACCCAATCAGATGCCTCAGAGGGTAGCCTTGATTTGTTCTTACAGTTAAGAAGCCCTGCAGAGCACAAACTTCAGAAACCCGGCTTCCTGTGCTAAGTCTTTCCCAATCTCTACCCCTTTCTTCTCGGGCCACCCTCTGTTTAAAATTTGTGCTGGGTTATTCAGAACCTAAAAGTATTATTCAAACCAATTTCTTCCTTCCACAGTTATCTTAGCTGGATATAATGTATTTTCAGCTCAATTGTTAATGTGATGGATGGCACAATGAATGTATATTTTGTGTTATTCGTGAATAGTCTTTTGCATGTCGCACAATGTTTGATGTCCCCAAAGTACCACACTGAGTTCTATCAGTTATCCTTTGTGAGCCTATGATATTCCCCATTTCCTGTACAATCATGAACAGCTCTGAGATCCTGGAGTGATATGATCCAGAGCAGAGTTTACGGGTCTTAGGATGTCTGTAATAAATAAATATACTCAAGTTTCAGGTATGCTTAAGCATCCGTGTATTTGGCTGGGCTACAATTTGTTAATTCCTATGAAGTTGGCACATTTCATGAGGGGAAAGGGAGAAGGGTGGTAAATATTTTCAAAGAGATGGGCCTTTTCTTGAATAAAAGTTAATAACAGCTCCTTTATTATAATCAAAGCTCATAATGGAAAAAAAGACTGATGAAGAAATTTATGAAGCAGATTTATTTTTGAAACAAACATGGATACTTCCTGGGTCAAGTGCTAACCTTTTCACCTCCAACTGGATGTTGACGTATATATAAACAGAACTCCCTTCAAAAGCCAAAACTGTCTTCAGTCAGTCTTTCCTCACATCAGTGAACCAAGAGCTAAGAGATTCACATTTAATTAGCTCCAGTATAAAGTTGTTGTGAGGATGGGGCCCTTATTCCACTCCTCTTCCTTCTTTTTGGATTGTCAGGCAGAGTTCTGATATATTCCACCCTTGAAATGGAGTGTTTTTAGTAAACCCTTGCATCCCTTCCCCCATTCTTCCTGTCAACATCCATCCCTTCCTGCGGCTCTTCACCCCTTCTTCCCCATCTCTGGGTTGCACATCTTATTCCCTTCAGACTCAGCTTTGATTTCATAGCCGTCATGGCTGTAAAGGATCCACAGTTCTAATTCCATGCCACATAACCCAGAAAAAAAAAGTCATTTTCTTCTCTGGGCTCCACAGGTACTTCCAGGTGAACTTGTGGAAGCTACCCTGAAGTCTTTCAATATCCAAGTTGTTTCTGACCAAGGTATGTATCTGCTCTCAAAAGAGGAAGCCAGCAAATGATAGAGTTCAAAGTGGCTCTCCTCCCAGGCCTCTTTATTGCTTTCCTTTACTTTCACACATTTTTGGAGGCATTTTATTTAGCCCAACAGTACAGCAGAAAATTTACAGCATTGAAAACAAACACAGACAGATGACTTCCTTCCTCCCCAAAGGGTGTTTTACAAAGGACGGGCTGGAGGAGAAAAACCCTACAAAAATTTGGAATTTGCAGGCCGTCTAGGGCACTTGTGAGAATTCCTGCACTTCCCTGTCAAAGAAGAGAAGGCTGAACTTTGCGGTGCAGTTGCTGCGGCCATATCAAGGGCACCGGGTGCCCTCCCCTCAGCTGCTGGGTTCTGAGGTTGCCTGTAAAAGACTCAAGTGGATGGAGAAGAACTTCAAAGACGGTCAACCCTTTCTTTCATTTCCTGCCTGGCCTTATACTGTATCTTTTGTTTATTAGTGTAGGGCCACACAGCAAAACAGATGGCTGGCTTCCAAATACTTTAATGTGTTAAAGTGTCATTTGCATGCCATTGACTCCATTTCAATATCTAAAAGCAGGGCGAGATCCACTGGAATCCCAGAGATTCCAGTCTTTAAGATGCTGGTTTTAATGTAGCAGCAAGAGAGAACAATAAATTATGGCTAACCATCTCTAGCTTTCTCTAGGTCATGGAATAAATCAGTTAACAAGCAATGCATTTAGGAAACATTAATACACCTTTCAACAAGGAAAACATTTGTATCTTTTTAGCTGTCTCAATCGATTAAATCAAAGGCGCTTAACACATCCTATTTCAAGGTCTCTCTGCTTTGGTCTCTAAGGAGCACAGTTAGCTACTTGAAAAATGACAGCAATGGTAACTGAAACAACACAGAGTGGGAAAACTGAAAATAACATTTTATTGATACATTTACAAAGGAAACAAGGGTCTCAGTTAGGCACCTGGGATAACTGCGATACAAAATTCTAGTTTTCCAATGTTTTTTTCCTCACTTCCTCTACATTTATCCACAGTACTCCCCAAATACAGAGTGTTCCCAAACTAGGCTGAGTTGAGGTCTTGCTTTGGCTCTGAAGTCTGCTCTGGGTTTCACCTTTTAAAGTTTACTTTTGGAGGCTATTCAAATGCGGTGGTGTTTTCCTCTGGGGCAATCAGATTCAAACCGATCAATATTTACTCAGTCTGAAAGGGTTGTTGAAAAGGCTGCTAACAACAAACTGCTTAGCTGCTCACCCCTGTTTAATCTCAGGTTCACCGAAAGTTCAAGAAGAGATGAATGCAGTGATGGGTCACTTTAGAATGAGTCCCAGCAGTTTATCTGAGCTCTCAACTAAAGGCAACAATTATAGTTCCATCCCTCTTTGGAAAAGGGGCAACTTTCCTATTATTCTTTTGCTAAACAATGTTTACTAGAAACTTAAAACACTTTCCTCTCCCCTCTTGGTTCTTTTCTTTTCTTCCTTTTTTTCTTTTTTGTTTTTTGTTTTTTGGAAGCTTCCAGCTGCCCTTCTCCTGCCCCCTCCTCTAGTTTTCTGCCAATCCATTCAGTTTCATTTGACTTTAAATAAATCACATCAAATATTGTTAAAATGTTAAATTAGTCTGACAGAAGATATCTGATTTATTTCAGATGCCACAAGCTATGAAATGAAGCTCTTTGGGCCATTAGAGTTTATCTTTGTGAAAGTACAGGGCAAGATTGAATTGAAATCCATTTGTGTTTGAGTAATATTGACAATCAGAGCCCCAATATCCATCTGAGATGGCTGTTGAGTGGGAAAGGGGGGAGGGAGAATTGGCTTGCGCAGAAGCAAATACCTCAGGTGGAAAGTCAACTTTTAAATTTTACGCCTTCTTAATGCATGAAGTATTGAGAGATGAAAAAGGAAGACACAAGGAAGCCAGTGGGGAATGGTGAGTAGAAGATGCTAGACACTGAAGCTAATTGCTACAGCTCTTCAGAGGTCAAAGTTCATGTAATCACTGCATAAATGCATACTAAATAGGGATTTATTAAGCTTTCCTGATGGCTGAGCACGTCTGTGAAAAATGGTCACTGCTGTTTGTGTTTCCTCCTTAAGAATAATCATTCTTAAAGCAGAAGCTCTAGGCATTTCAGGCTTTAATTTATTTTGAGAGACAGGCAACTCCTGTGCTTAAAAATACTGAAATTAGTGCATGAACAACATCTTTCTTTATATTGGATGGGGCTGTAAAAGAAACGCTATGGCTTTTTCAGTACATACAAGAACACCCTTTAGTTAGCATGCCACTATTGGGATAAGCTAGTCACTGGTCAACTTTGGTGACCCTCTGCCTTAGATAAGTCCCCTTTGTGCCTGCATTTGTGAGAACACACAAAAATTCTGCCTTAGGACTCCTTGTGCCTAAATGACCAGAATTGAATGGGACCCACATCCCTAATCTCTCACTCTATGGATCAGAAAAAGGCACCCAGAGGTGGATTGGTTTGACTGAGAGCACAGTCAGTATCCATACTCTTACTTCCTAAATAAAAAAACAGGGCAGCTTAGAACCTGAGTCCAGTGCACTTTTAAATTCTAAAGTCCTGATTCAATTTTGTCCCTCCCTGATTTATTCCATGTAATTTGTTTCAGACTAGATATGATTTATTTTTCCATTTCTGCTTTACTGGCCACCCACTCAGTCAAGTCCTTGACTTTGAGGCCATTAGGAATACCGAATCTTTGAAACAACCTCTGAGTTGAATGCTTCTGCCATCTTGTTTGAATAATAAAATGTGCTACTTACCTTTAAATACATATGTTCTTAAAATATAAAAATAAAAATCTGGAGGGCAAGTAAAATTCAACACACACACATATATTTCTGTTTTGTTTTTAAACTTGGATGGGAAAGAATAAATGAAAGAGGAGTTGCCTACACACAAATTCGACCTCCATTAAATTGTCAAGAAGTATCATCTAGAAGGGGCTTCAAGATGCAAGGGACATTCCAGGAGGGGTTCTAACTCTGAACCTTTTAAAAATGTGTTTGCTTTTTCTGGCTAGTTTGTGGCGCAGCATACCTTCTAAATTGTTCTGACTCACATATCTTAATTTTTTCCAAGACTCACTCATGTACCTAACACACACACACACACCCAAGCCCAAACTATTAACATAAAGTCTCCTTGCAATACAACTTTCCACATTCTCCTCCATCTCATCCCCATGGGGTCCTACTGATCTCAGCAGAACCTGATGCCCAAAGGGACATCAATGGTTGTCAGTGTTTGAAGAGGTGAGCTGGAATCCTCAGCGTTTTAGTGCCTTATTTTTAATAGCACCAGCCATCAAATACAGCTAGCTGACCTTTGATAGCAGAACTACAAACAAAATATCAATTAAACAAGTATGTTCAGTAGGCGCTAGCCTCTAAACACCTTTTTTTTTTTTCCTTAGGCAACTCTAAACCCTCATCATATCCTGCAAAACATCCTTAAATGACTGCATTTTGAGTTTACTGGAAAAAATGAAAAGACCAATGTCTCTTTTTGCAACATGTTCAAACACAACTAAAACACGTGTCTCTATTTTTAATCAGCCCATTACATTTTACTCTTGTATTAAAAACCTGTTGGTAAAACGTCTAATCACAAGGTTAATCTATAGAAATCAGATTTTTTATATTTTCATTTAGGCTTGTGTGGTTAATCGGTTGGGAAAAAATACACAAATGCTTGCAACAGAAAATAAAAGAAAAATTATTGAGCGACTTTTCTTTTCAAACTGGGACACGTTTTAGCCGCGTTGGACAATTTTACGATTTACGACCCACTTCGTTCTAAGTCGCCACAGAACCGTAACAAGAATGCAGAAAGCCACGATTTAAAATGGTAACCCCAACCCCCGAAATATCAGCAACACGGTTCTGGCAAAGTATGCACGGGAATTTTCCCATTCTGAGGAACAGATGGGGTCTTTCCTTTAGGATGCGCAGGGGTCAGCTGTCCAAGGCTTGGGAAGAGGTCGGCTCGGGCGATCGAGTCGCTCGGGCAGCGGCGGCCGCGGGAACTCCGGCTCTGCTGGGGCTGCGGGGAGCGGGCGGGGGGCACCAGCGCCTGCCCCCGGCCGGCTAGGCTGCGGCAACTGCGAGAGGAGATGCCGCAGGACCTTCGCGACCCTGCGGGGTTGTAGAGGAGCCCCGACGCCGAGGTCAGGACGGCTTTCCTTCCTTGGCTTCCCAGCCTTCACCCTCTGAGTTCTTGACCCAACGTCGCCGTTCCGTTTCTCCTGCTTCCTGGGCCCCAGGCAGAGCACGAAGGGAGCAGCATCCGGGCTCTTCCCTGGCCTGCAGGCTTCGCGCCTCTGGATGGACCTGCGCCGGTCCGGGGCGGGAAAGGAGCAGCATCCGGGCTCTTCCCTGGTTCGCGCTCAGAGCCCATCTTGGGCCTGAGCGTTTCCCGGCCCGCGTCGGTGGGTGGTTTCGGAGGGAAGGGAAAGTGAGTCCGGACAGGTCCCCGAGGCTGCGAAGAGCTCCGCTTTGTCTCGGGGGACAATGAGGCCTCGCGTTTCTTTCTGCCAGCGTCGCCCAGCTTCGAGGGCTCCTGAGGCGCGGTCTGAGCTGCCCCGGGCCGCCACCTGACTCTCCCGAAGAGGGCTTCGGGACCCAACACTTCCTCAGAGAAGGAAACCCAGGTCAGAGGCCTCGCCCCTCGTCTGTCTCTAAGATTTGAAAGGGGAAAGGAGATTTGATTCCCTGTCCGCCCCATGCCCCAGATATCTTCAGAATGTACTTAATTAAGTAACATATTCATTCTCCTCCTAGTTCAATTGAGTTGTTTTCAACAGTAGCGGTGCGGGTTTCTGAATATTGGATGTTCAGGGACGCATCCTTGCCTTTCCTCTCAGATCAGATGCCTTCTGCTACTCCAATTGCTGAGTCGAATGCCTTAACACCTTGCCTCGTCTCACTTCTTTCTAGAAAGTTTCCAAGTACTGCTTCCTACTCTTTCGGCTTCCCCCTCCTAACAATAGCACTTTTTTTTTTCTTTTGAGACGGAGTCTAGGTCTGTCGCCCAGGCTGGAGTGCAGTGGCGCGTTCTCGGCTCACTGCAACCTCTGCCTCCCGGGTTCTAGCGATTCTCCTGCCTCAGCCTCCCGAGTAGCTGGGATTACATGCACCTGCCACCACGCCTGGCTAATTTTTGTATTTTTAGTAGAGACGGGGTTCCACCATATTGGCCAGGCTGGTCTCAAACTCCTGACCTCAAGTGATCCGCCTGCCTTGGCCTCCCAAAGTGCTGGGATTACAGGCATGAGCCACTGCACCCAGCCTCCCGCCCCCCGCCAGCTTTTTTTTTAAACTTGCATAAGTGAACAAGGACTTGGGATAATTATCGACATTAGAAATTACTGACATTGGCCGGGCGCGGTGGTTCACACTTCTAATCCCAGCACTTTGGGAGGCCGAGGCGGGCAGATTTCCTGAGGTCAGAAGTTCAAGACCAGCTTGGCCAACATGGTGAATCCTTGTCTCTACTAAAAATACAAAAATTAGCTGTACGTGGTGGCAGGCGCCTGTAATTCCAGCTCCTCGGGAGGGTGAGGCAGGAGAATCGCTTGAACCTGAGAGGCAGAGGTTGCAGTGAGCTGAGACCATGCCATTGCACTCCCGCCTGGGAAACAAGAGCAAAACTCCCACTCAAAAAAAAAAAAAAAAAAATTACTGACATTAATTAATTATATCTACAATCACAGAATCAAATAAGAGACTTTTAAAATAATCTAATCTGGCTTCTCCATGGTACAGGTGAAGAAACTGAGGCCCAGAAGGGTGTTAGCAGCAATAATGGTGAGAAAAAAAATTTAGTTATATCTTTAATATGTACTTTAAGTACGTATTTAATAAAACAGGCAAAAATTAATTCCAGGCTAGATATATTAATAACATTAATAATTAATTACTATATTAAGCATGCTAATTATAGTTATCATTAAATATTGAAGAACTTAAAGTTATTAAAAATAAGCAAGTTTGAATAAGCAGATATTTGGCCAGAGGGTTTTTTCCTTCCTGTTTACTTTCATGAACCCTATAGGAAGGGTAACAGCTTAGATCTCTCCTGCCCAATGGGTAAAGAGAAACTGGTTGATCTATTTTATGTCTTCCATTTCACAAATTCCTTACATGATTTGCCAGACGAGACAGACAAAAAAATCAAGAGAGCAAGCTTTATAATTGCCCTGCCCAAGCTGCTCAGATGGCATGTTAGCTCCCTAGTCAACTGTTTGATTCAAGAATCTTGGAAATTGAGGGCATTCTGGCTACGTGGATGAACCATAAAGACTTTACTTGCAGTTCATTATCTTACATAAAATATACTCTTCCCTGTTGGGGGCACGGTGGCTCATGCCTATAATCACAGCACTTTGGGAGGCCAAGGCAGGAGGATCACTTGACCTCAGGAGTTCAAGACCAGTTTGGGCAACATGGAGAAACCCTGTCTCTACAAAAAATACAGAAAATTAGCTGGATGTGGTGGCACATGCCTGTAGTCCCAGCTACCCAGGAGGCTTAGGTGGGAGAATCACCTGAGCCTGGTGATCAAGGCTGCAGTGAGCTGTGATTGTGCCACTGCACTCCAGCCTGGGCAACAGAGTGAGACCCTGTCTCAAAAAAAAAAAAAGTACTCTTTCTATGAGAAAAATCTAGACTTCAGAAAATTATGACAACTTATATTTTTATGTTAACATTTACTGAAGACTTTTTTTTGGCACTAGATGCTGAGCTAAGGGTTTTATATGAATTATCTTGTTTTTCCTCACAGCAACCTTATTATATGGGTTTTATTATTCCCATTTACACATGGAGAAACTGAGACTTAGGGAAGTTCTGTAAGTTTCTCACCATTACACAGTGAGTGATTAGCAAAGTTGGAATTTGCAGCCCATGCATTTCATTCAGTTATCACATGTTGAAATCTCATATTTTAGGACTGCAAAAGTAGAAATGTAATTAAAACTAATCCTAAATTTAACTTCATATTTAAAATACATTTATATTTTAGAAGCCTGGTGTTAGGTTGTTAAAATCTATACAGATGGAGCATCCCTAATCCAAAAATCCAAAATCTGAAATACTGCCAAATCTTGAACTTTTTGTGTCAACATGGCACCACAAGTGGAAAATTCCATATGTAAGTACTTAACAAAAACTTTGTTTCACACAAAAGTTATTTAAAATATTGCACAAAATTACCTTTAGGCTTATGTGTATAATATGTACATGAAACATAAATGAATTTCGTGTTTAGATGTGGGTTCCATCCTCAAGATATCTCGTTAGGCATATGCAAATGTTCCAAAATCTAAAAAAATCTGAAATCTGAAACACTTTTGTCCCAAGCATCTCAGATATGTAATACTCAACCTGTGTATACAATATGATCTTAGTTTTGTACAATAAAACATATATGACTATATACACACATAGAATAAAGTTCATTTTTATTTTTTTGAGATGGAGTTTCTCGTCACCCAGGCTGGAGTGCAATGGCCTGATCTTGGCTCACTGCAACCTCGCTCCCTGGGTTCAAGTGATTCTCCTGTCTCAGCCTCCTGAGTAGCTGGGATTACAGAAGTCCACCACCACGCCTGGCTAATTTTTGTATTTTTGGTAGAGATGGGGTTTCACCATGTTGGCCAGGATGGTCTTGAACTCCTGATCTCAGGCAACCCACCCACCTCAGCCTCCCAAAGTGCTGGGATTACAGGCATGAGCCACTGCCCCCGGCTTCTTTTTTCTTTTTTGATGAGGTTTGCTACTGTCTGAACCTTTTATGTTTAGATAATTTTTCATTATAAGTCTGAGAAGTCCATATCCTCTCTTTCTCAGCAGAGTCACCTATTTCTAGCACAGCCATGATAAAGGAGCTAAAGATGGCATCCAGTAGTGACCAGGTCTAGTGGCTTGACAGTGCAGGTGACAGCATGAGGTTTGGGGCAGAAGCAGTTGTCTACTCACCAGCCTGGCTTTGTGGTAACAGTTAGCCCTAGATCTGACTGCCACGCTTTTCATTTTTCAAGCTTGATTCCCAGTCTTTGTAGCAATGTTCTGAGCTACCCATCTGTTCCTGTTCCAATTAAAACACCCATAGTCAGTTGCTGTTGCTTACAACTAAGAAACCTGATATGTGTACCATATAATATACCAAATTTGAGCTTTGAAATGTTTTGGGGCCTGTGGACTGTGGTCTGGAATTATGGGAGGAAAATTGGACTATATGATTTAGTAAGTATCTATAGAAGGTGGACCAGAAGCCAGCTTCTTCATATTCCATTTTTTCTCTTTGCCTAGCTTTGGTTTATTTTGATGCATACTCTCTTGCCTTGTTAAACCTATACAAATATATAAAAAGAGTGAATGATGGCCCTTTTCTTTACCCACCAAGAAAACACAAATTTATCCAGCTGAGTTGGAGAGCATAATTTATTTTCTATTTTATTTTAAAGCCTTCCCATCGTATCAGCTTGAGTATTTATTCTTCTGAAGCTCCTATATGTATAGCAGTAGTTGACACTTGTTGATCACTTACATTGTGCTGGGCACTGTGCTAAGTACTTCACATGGATTGACTCATTTAAATCCTCTTCACAACCTTATGAGGTGTAGGTGCCATTATAACCCACATTTTACAGAAGAGGAAACCAAAGATGAGAGGTCACCCAGCTGTGAAATGTCAAAGTCCACTTTTAAACTCAGCTGCCTGACTCCCAAGCGCTCATTCTTAATAACACTCTCTACTCTTTTCCCTAACTGGTTTGATTGACTAGAAATTTCTTTTTTTTTCTTACCTTTCCTCTTTCTTCTCTTCTCTCTCTCTACTTTCTTTCTTTATTTGAGAATGTCATGAAGGCATCTGTGGAGACCCTGATTGAGCATCTATAATTGTGTTAGGTGAGTGGTTGAGCTTGATTCAAAGAGCCAAGCTCTTTCTTGCCTTGGGTCTTTCTTTGCATGCTAGAATGGACTCCCTCTCTCCATTTCTTTCTATGACCTTGAGGCCTTAGCTAAATGATGCTTCCTCAGGGAGGCCTTAGTGGACTATTCTACTCAGAATGTATCCTTCTCTGTTATATTCTACTTCAGCATTCTCTTTGTTTCCTTTTCATACTTAGCGCAGTTTAAAAATTTAGTTTTACATTTTTTGTTAATATCACTTTCTAGAGCAAGCTTGTCTAACCCATGGCCTATGGGCTGCATGTAGCACAGGATGGCTTTGAATGTGGCCCAATACAAATTTGTAAACTTTCTTAAAACATTATGAGTTTTTTTTGTGATATATATTTTTAGCTCATCAGGTATCATTAGTGTTAGTGTATTTTATGTGTGGCCCAAGACAATTCTTCTTCTTCCAATGTGACCCCAGGAAGCCAAAAGATTGGACACCCCTGTTCTAGACTATAAGCAACCTGTGTTCTGGGAGCTTTTCCGCTTATTCGCCACTTTATGTTTACCCAGAAGACAGTTCTTGTCACATAGTAAACGCTCAAAAGACATTGAATAAATGTTTATATTAACTAGGGTCCAGCTAAGCTACTGTGACAAAGAAACCAAAAAATTAAGTGGCTTAAATATGGCTGAAGTTTAATTCTCTTGTATGTAACATGTTAGAGGAATGTAAGCATCTACACTGGTGGGGTACCTCAGCATGTGAAGTCATTCAGAATCTGTTTCTTTCACTGTGCTGCTCTGACATTCCCTAGTCTTTTCTACATGGTTGAAGCTGTGTCAGCTCCACATCCCTATTTCAGTTTTTAGGAAGAGGAGTAGAGCAAAAATGGAGAGCAAGCAATTTCCTGTGAAGTAAATGATTTGTAAGTTGTACACATTACTTCCATTTACATTCTATTCTTTTTCATGTTTCTAGAATCATAAAATTTATTTCTGATGCAAAATATATAGTATAGATGAAACATTAGTCAAGATAAAAAGCTAGATCAACAAACATTTATTAACATAATACTGGATGGGTACTGTTGGAAATAAAATATATGTTAGACAGGGTTTCTGATCATCAGGAATTTACAATATAGTTGGAGATTTCACTGACATTCCATTCTGATAAATGTAGTCATGTGGCCACACCTAGGATACTAGGAAATACCATCTGTGGGTGGGTGGCCATGAGCCCAGCTAAAGTGGAAGAAGGAGACAATGGGCATTGAGGGGATAACTAACCCGTTGCCTCACTGTTGGATAAATGCTGTTGAAAGAATGAATATATTTTTAAAAAGAATAAAGAATGGATATTCATTGTTAACATTGTCAGAGTTTGGAATAATGTAGGGGTTTGAGGGCTATTTTGTTTTTGTTTTTGTTTTTGTTTTTTGTGACAGAGTTTCACTCTTGTTGCCTAGGCTGGAATGCAGTGGTGTGATCTTGGCTCACTGCAACCTCTGCCTCCCAGGTTCAAGTGATTCTCCTGCCTCAGCCTCCCAAGTAGCTGGGATTATAGGCGTGTGCCACCACGCCTGGCTAATTTTTGTATTTTTAGTAGAGAGAGGGTTTTGCCATGTTGGCCAGGCTGGTCTTGAACTCCTGACCTCAGGTGATCCATCCACCTTGGTGTCCCAAAGTGCTAGGATTACAGGCGTGAGCCACAGTGCCCAGCCTTGAGGGCTATATTTTAGAACTCTAAGAAATACGGTTGTGATACAAAAATATTAGACACTGACTAAAATAACATCAAATATGCTTTATGACAACCTATTCATCTGCACATTTTGGGGCAAGGGAGGGTTAAAGACCTAAGAAAGTTGCTTAGGCCAAGAAATTGTGCAAAAGAGGTCAGCACTGGATATTGTAGAGACACACCTGGCTTTGCTAGAATTTGGGGAGGAGGGAATAGGAGCTTCTCTGCCTTCAGCAAGCTTCCAGGAATAAGCCTTTATCTGCTATAGCTAGGCAAGACCCCCTCTAATACTTCCCTGGCTAGAAGGAAGCTATTTTGAGGCAAGGACGTTGTTTGATTACAAACCTTTGTGATCCTAAATTCAACACCAACAAAGGCTTTGAAATTCTTAGGCCAAAAACAGGGCAAAACCAAATTGTAACTATTTTAAAGGATGTGGATAAAATTTATGTTCCAATGATATATCCTGATACAAACATAACTTTTTAAAGAGTGTAGGCTGAGTATGGAGTTATATGAAAATGTTTGCACCTGTCCTCCCCTAAAGTGGCTAAGGGCATGTTGGCAAGGCTTGTCATCAACTGTGTTCTCTGTGTGACTACAGATAAGAGGAAGGGGCCCAGCTGCTGCCACAGCCCTTTTTCTTTGTGGCTGCGGTGGACACTGGGCTTGTCATTAGCTTCTCTGGCCTTAAATTCCCTCTGTGCAAAGAAAGGTAACCCATTCCCCTCCTCCTGTCTCCTTTCATATTTGGCTGAAAGTTTGGGAAACCCATTTCAACCCTTTCTTTGCCTTTCAACATGTCACATTCCTTCAAGCTGAGCTCACAGGTCTGTCCGTATGAAACCTGCTCTGACTCTCCCCAGGGCAAGTGAATCCCATCTCTCCTGTTCTTTTTCAGTGTTTTCTACTTGTCAGAGCGCTTCTCACTTTTGGGCTTTAAATATTTTTAATCTGTTTGCGACTCCTCCTTGCAAACTACTTCAGGATAGAGACCATATCTTATAATTCTGTCTGCCTTGTACAATACCTGGCACGTGGTAGACCCTTGGTAAATGTTTACTGAATGCACGAATGAGTGAGTAAATGAGCAAATGATCCTTTGGGTTCTTTCTTTATAGCCTCTCAGCTATTCTTTTTGTTGTTGTTGTTTTTTTGAGACAGAGTCTTGCTCTGTCGCCCAGGCTGGAATCCAGTGGCGAGATCTTGGCTCATCGCAACCTCCGCCTCCCGGGTTCAAGAGATTCTCCTGCCTCAGCCTCCTGAGTAGCTGGGACTACTGGCACATGCCACCACGCCGAGCTAATTTTTTGTGTTTTTAGTAGAGATGGGGTTTCACCATGTTAGCCAGGACGGTCTTGATCTCCTGACCTCATGATCCGCCTGCCTCGGCCTCCCAAAGTGCTGGGATTACAGGCGTGAGCTACCGCGCCCAGCTCCTCTCAGCTATTCTAATGTGGTTCATGACTCCCCAAGACTAGGAATACAAAGTGTAGTTGCAAGTTCTTCCTTGTTTCCAAAATATTTCTCACTTGCTTACTGAAGTTAAATTGAAGGTCAGAATTCTTTAATGGAGAAGCAATTGGCCTTTCATTATGCAATAAGGGATAAAATGGCTTAAAATGTAAATATTGCTTGAATTAACATACTGCTAAAACTTACTAGAACTAAAGTGGGCCAGGTGCGGTGGCTCATGCCTGTAATCCTAGCACTTTGGGAGGTTGAGGGGGATGGATTAGTTGAGCACAGAAGTTGGAGACCAGCCTGGGCAGCAGAATGTTACCTCATCTCTACTAAAAATTAAAAAAAAAAAAAAATTAGCAGAGTGTAGTGGTACACACCCATTGTCCCAGCTACTTGGGAGGCTGAGGCAAGAGGATTGCTTGAGGCTGGGAAGTCAAGGCTGCAGTGAGCAGTGACTGAACCACTGCACTCCAGGCTAGGTGACAGAATGAAACTCTGTCTCAACAACAACAACAACAACAGGAACTTAAGTGTAACTAGTCAGTCAATCAAAAAGTGTAAATAACATACTAGTTTCTTTTCTGTTTTGCAGGGGGTGGAGGTCAGAGAGAAGTTAGTGTTTGGGTTTTAGTGAGGGATGGGAGGGGAAGGGGGTCAAAAGGTCATTTAGATAGCTACAGAGCATAGAAAGAGAAACTAGAGATCACTGATTTAGCACTTCCTTAATGTTTCAATTTTCAAGAGAAGTATGGCATAACTGCTCTTGTTTGCAATTTTATGAGAATATTGTTAGGAACTATGTAGCACAATGAACACCATCTTATATTATAGAATTTGATAAGATCTGGGGTGTTTGTGAATGTGTGGACTTAAAAATGTTGACTTTGTTTCAGAGGAACTGAATTTTCAGAGGAGTTAATAAAGGAGTCATATAATCTGGATTGTACCTAAAATACCTCTCCCAGTGGTAGAGCAGTTTGGGTACTTTGTATGACTAAGTGACATTGGAGATGGCCCCAGACAGGAAGGGGTAGATGGTATGCCAAGATTTAGCTGGAGCTTCCTAAATAGAGGCTGTCATAATCTGCATTTTTGGGTAAATTGCTATTATCAAATGATCACGGATAACTCATATATATAACAATAATTTTTTTTTTCTTAGAGACAGGATTTTACTCTCTCACCTAGGCTGGAGTACAGTGGCATTTGGGAAGTGAAAAGCAAATGTAGTCATATGTTGCTTAATGACAGGACTATGTTCTGATAAATGTGTCGTTAGATTATTTCATCTTTGTGCAAACATCATAGAGTGTATTTACAGTAATATAGATGGTATATAACCTAGTACACACATAGGCTATATGGTATAGATGTTCCTAGGCTACAAACTTGTACAACTTATTACTATGCTGAATACCGTAGGCAATTGTAATACAGTGGTAAGTATTTGTGTATCTAAATGTTGAAAAGATACAATAAAAATACGTATAAAAGATAAAAATGGTATGCCTGTATAGGACACTTACCATGAATGGAGCTTGTAGGACTGGAAGTTGCTCTGGATGAGTCAGGAGTGAGTGGTGGGTGAATGAGAAGGCCCAGGTCATTATTATCCACTGTTGTAAACTTAATAAACACTGTACACTGGCCAGGCGCAGTGGCTCAGGGCTGTAATCCCAGCACTTTGGGAGGCCAGGGCGGGTGGATCACCTGAGGTCAGGAGTTTAAGACCAGCCTAGCCAACATGGTGAAACCCCATCTCTACTAAAAATACAAAAATTAGCCAGTCATGGTGGCAGGCACCTGTAATCCCAGCTACTCAGGAGGCTGAGGCAGGAGAATCACTTGAACCCGGGAGGCGGAGGTTGCGGTGAGCCGAGATCATGCCGCTGCACTCCAGCCTGGGTGACAGGCAAAACTCCATCTCAAAAAAAACAAAAAACAAAACAAAACAAAACAAAAGCCATTGTACACTTAGTCTACACTAAATTTATTTATTTTTAAAGTTTTTTTTTTTTTTGAGACGGAGATTCACTCTCGTTGCCCGGGCTGGAGTGCAATGGTGCAATCTGGGCTCACTGCAACCTCCACCTCCCGGGTTCAAATGATTCTCCTGCCTCAGCCTCCTGAGTAGCTGGGATTATAGGTGTGTGCCACCACGCCTGGCTAATTTTTGTATTTTTAGTAGAGACGGAGTTTCGCCATGTTTTTGAGATAGAGTCTCACTCTGTAGCCCAAGCTGGAGTGCAGTGACGTGATCTTGGCTGTCTGCAACCTCTACCTCCCGGGCTCAAGCGTTCCTTGTGCCTCAGCCTCCTGAGTAGCTGGGACTACAGGCATGTGCCGTTATGTCCAGCTCATTTTTTGTGTTTTAGTAGAGATGGGGTTTCACCATGTTGCCCAGGGTGGTTTCGAACTCCTGAGCTCAGGCGATCCGCCCCGCTCAGCCTCCCAAAGTTCTGAGATTACAGGCCCAAGCCACCGCGCCCAGCCCACTAAATTTATCTTTTAAAAATTAGTTTCATTATATCCTGACAGCTATGACATCACTAGGTGATAGTAATTTTTCAGCTCCATTATAATCTTATAGGACCACCATTGTATATGTGGTCTATTGTTGACCAAAATATCTTTTTTTTTTTTTGAGACAAAATTTCGCTCTTGTCCCCCAGGCTGGAGTGCGATGGCGCCATCTCGGCTCACTGCAACCTCCTCCTCCCGGGTTCAAGTGATTCTCCTGCCTCGGCCCCCCGAGTAGCAGGGATTACAGGCGCCTGCCACCACGCCTGGCTAATTTTTGTATTTTTAGTAGAGATGGGGTTTCACCATGTTGGCCAGGCTGGTCTCGACCTCCTGACCTCAGGTGATCCACCCGCCCTGGCCTCCCAAAGTGCTGGGATTACAGGCATGAGCCACCGTGCCCGACCATTGTTGACCAAAACATCTTATGTGGCACATGACTGTATGTGCAAACAGGGGCCCAGTATTACACAATTAGTTGAAAATTTGCTACTTCTTTATTATCAAATGATCAGTTTGACTTTTTAAAAATCTCGCTTGAACTGGAATTGAACCAGAGTCTGAGAGTCAGTTGTCCTAGGTTTTCATTTCTGCCTCCACAACTGACTAGCTGTGTGATATTTCAGAGATCATTACTCCTCGGTAGATCAAAGTGAGATTATGTGAGTTTCAGGGCCCATTCCAGGCCTAACACTTTCTGTATTTTTATTCAGTAGCAACAATTAAAGCATTTCACATAACACACCAGTAGCAAAGTCTGGACTGGAATGCATGCCTTACAACCCACTTAACCTCCTTTTTTTTTCTTTACTTTTCAAACTTTTTAAAATTAAAATATAATATACACATAGTATAGGAAGTACACACAGTATACTAATCTTTGTTTTGAGACAGAATTTTACTCATGTTGCCCAGGCTGGAGTGCAGTGGTGCCATCTTGGCTCACTGCAACATCCACCTCCCGGGTTCAAGTGATTCTCCTGCCTCAGCCTCCCGAGTAGCTGGGATTACAGGCATGTGCCACCACGCCCGGCTAATTTTTGTATTTTTAGTAGAGATGGGGTTTCTCCATGTTGGTCAGGCTGGTCTCGAACTCCCGACCTCAGGTGATCCGCCTGCCTCTGCTTCCCAAAGTGCTGGGATTACAGGTGTGAGCCACCGTGCCCAGCCAAAGTATACTAATCTTAAGTGTTTAGATTGTTGAATATTTTCAAACTAGGCAACAAATTATAATTGAGCTATAAGATTCATCCTTTTAAATGTATAATTTGATGAATGTTGATAACTATGTAGAGTCAGATTACCACAACCACAGTCAAAATATAGACTGTTTCTATCATCCCCAAAAGTTTGCTTGTAACCCTTTGCAGTTCCCTCCTTTTACCCAAATCTTCTGGTAACCACTGACCTATTGTCTATCCCTCCAGTTTTGTCCTTTCCAAAATGAAATCATACTACATATAGACTTTTGTGTCTTTTTTCTATAACGCTTTTAAGATTGATCACATACCTGTATTTGATGTGTATCTCGATCATACTTGATGTGATGTGTATCTGATGTGTATCTTGATTACTTAGATCAAGATATAGAACTTTTCTAGCATCCCAGAAGATTCTTTTGTGTCCTTTTCCAGTCAATTCCCACCCCTCATGCCTCACCCCCACTATTCTGACTTCTACTGCTGGATTAGTTTTCCTATTTTTGTATTTCATATAAATGGATTCATACGGTAGATACTGTGTGTCTATTTTCTTAATGTAATATCCGTAGGATTTATTCATGTTATAGCTAGTAATAATAGTTGTCCTTTAAAAAAATAACTGTGTAATATTCCATTGTATGAATATACCATGTTTCATTTATCTCTTCTACTGTGGTGACATTTTGGTTGTTTTGTATTTTTGGCTATTTTGAGTAAATCTTTTCCTTTTTAGACATGGAGTCTCACTATGTTGCCCAGGGTGGCCTTGATCTCCTGGGCTCAAGTAATCATTCCACTTCAGCCTCCTGAGTAGCTGGGACTGCAGACACATGCCACCACACCTGGCTTTGAGTAAGTCTTATAAAAAACTTATAAGAACACTCTTCTTAATGTCTTTTGGTGAGAATATGTATCCATATCTCTTGGCTATGTTCCTAAGAGTGGAATTGTTAGATCATAGGCTAGGTATGTGTTTAGCTTTCATAGAGGCTGCCAAACACTTTTCTAAAGTGGTTGCACCAATTTGTTTATTTATTTATTTACTTATTTATTATTATTTTTTTGAGATGGAGTCTTGCTCTGTCACCCAGGCAAGAGTGCCGTGGCATGATCTCAGCTCACTGCAAGCTCCACCTCCCAGGTTCAAGCAATTCTCCTGTCTCAGCCTGCTGAGTAGCTGGGACTATAGGCGCCCCCCACCACGCCCAGCCAATTTTTGTATTTTTTTTAGTAGAGACGGGGTTTCACCATATTAATCAGGCTAGTCTTGAACTCCTGACCTCAGGTGATCCGTCTGCCTTGGCATCCCAAAGTGCTGGGATTACAGGCGTGAGCCACTGTACCCAGCCGGTTGTATCAATTTAATACTCTCACCATCAATGTATGAGAGTTCCAGTTACTCCACATCCTTGCCAACACTTGGTATTGCCAGTCTTACTAATTTTAGCTTTTTGGAGAGTGTACTGTAACCACTGCTTTTGGAGTGAAATTGCATGTACACCACCAATAGTGTCATTTAGAGATGTAGAGAATCAGGAGTGATCAGTCAGGTTCCTTATGTTTCTGGGCAGAGACTTAACAAGGCAACCAGTAAGGATGAACAGTGGTAGAGCCACCTTATATTGCCAAGAAGACCTGAGTCCTTAATTACCATTCCACCATAGTGATAGTACTGGGGAGCCTTCCCTCCCTAATTCTGTAACCCTAATCCTCTCCTTTAATATTTATTTAATAGCAGTTTCCCTGGAAGAAAAAATATGGGGGATTGGTTGGTGAGGACTGCCCTTGTTCAACCTTCTTAAATGAAATCAGTGAGCTTATTGCTCCTTCATTTGAGATGGCCTTTGGAAGCCTGTATCAAATCTCCACTGCAATCAGGGTAATTAATCATCAAGAATGGCAAGGTGATTGTAGAGAATCCAGGAATGGACTGTGGATCCATGTGCATGTGTAGAGCAAAAATCTGCTTTTTATTTGCAAAGATAGTAGTCTCCAGGAAACATAGTGGGGCTGAAAGGTCCATTTAAGGTTTGGCTGTTATCCTTGATGTTGATAGTAGCAGTTGGGTTTGAGCTGGTGGGTTTTGGGTGTGCACTGCAATGTGGTTGTTTATCTAATAATAATATGCCTATGAAAATAAAGCCAAAACTGCCAGATGTTTTTTACTCTAAACCTGATGTGGACTGTATAATGGGGTTTTTATGTGTACCTAAGAATCACTATGCTTTTAGAGTACTTCTGGCCACTCTACAAATACATGAATCAGATTAAAGAACAGTCAATCAGACTTGAATTAAATATATATTCCCATAATGGTGATTATCTTTTTTCTTGGCTTGGCATTATTATAGCAAGCTAAAGTAATAGGAGATAAGTAGCTATTATAAATGAACCATTAAAAGCAGCAGTAAGCCAAAGTTCTCATTGATCTCTCCCTGTCTCTTACTTTATAAAAACTAATGTGAATTGCGATGGAGTTACCTACTTTAATAATAAATCTGTTGTGTCAGGGTAGTGACCTGATTTTTTTTTTTTTGCATATAATTTATAGCCTATTGATTTAATCCTCTGAATATCTCATCCTATTGGCATAGCATAAACCATTTCTTAATTGAAAGACAAAAGTAGCTTGGAAAAATATTTTTATTGAAGATATCCATTTGATCAATAGTCAAATAAATATGAGCTTATTTGAATGACAGTTTCAAGTTTAAAAGACTAAAAAGGAGGCTGGGCATGGTGGCTCACGCCTGTAATCCTAGCACTTTGGGAGGCCGAGGTGGGCGGATCACGATGTCAGGAGGTGGAGACCATCCTGGCTAACACAGTGAAACCCTGTCTCTACTAAAAATGCAAAAAATTATCCGGGCGTGATGGCACATGCCTGTAGTTCCAGCTACTCGGGAGGCTGAGACAGGAGAATCGCTTGAACCCAGGAGGCGGAGGTTGCAGTGAGCTGAGATTGCACCACTGCACTCCAGACTGGGCAAAAGAGCAAGACTCTGTCTCAAAAAAAAAAAAAAAAAAAAAAAGACCAAAAAGGAGATGCTTTGATTCATCACCTATTTGGGTGATAGATTTATAGGTGTATTTAGAAATTTAGATTTTTTTCTTCATGAGCAGGGGTGTGAGGCTTATGGAGACATTTTAAGAAGACACTAGCTTTTTGAAAAGTAAGTCATAAACTAGAATGTGGAAAATGAACTCAAGTAGCAGATAGTTTAATGTGACTACATAAAACATTGATGCTGTGCTGCTAAAACTCTTCCTTCCCTTAATTTATGGAAGAGAAAATCAGTAGTTTATGCTCTTCCAGCCAATACCTGGCACCTTTCCATTTGGCTATACATGCCAGGATGCCAAGAACCACACCACTGCTTTGTCACTTGAATAGAGCTGCTGACTTCCTCTTAATGCCAGTTTCAAATTTCTGGCAATGACTGACTGTTACCATAGTCCTCTCATCCCTCCTGTTCATCTGTACATATCTTAAGCTTAGTGTTCAGCTCCTGAACTTTTATTACCTGTCTCAGGCAAAAGTGTAATGAATATCTTTAAATATCACTGAGAAAAAACTGAGAAACAGAACATGTAATTAACACATGAATAATTAATTTGGGAGAGTGCTTTTCTCTAATTTTTTCCACTTGCCTACTTATTCATTTGTTGCTTTTCTTTAGATGTCACAGATCTAACCCAGTTAGTCTAAACAAATGACCATGCATCACTGTCATATCATAAACATAACTCAACTTGGAAGGAAGCAATTTGAGGGTGGCTATCCTATTACTATGCTTTATTTTTTTCTTCACCTAATGCATGTAGCCATAGAGAATATGGAAGATCTTAATACTCACTCTTTGAAGAGAAAGCAGTGATTTTTTTTTCTTTTTCTTTTTTTTTCGAGACAGAGTCTTACTCTGTTGCCTAGCCTGGAGTGCAGTGGCGTGATCTCAGCTCACTGCAACCTCCACCTCCTGAGTTCAAGTGATTCTCCTGCCTCAGCCTCCCAAATAGCTGGGATTACAGGCAGGCACCACCACACCTGGCTAATTTTTGTATTTTTTGTAGAGATGGGGTTTCACCATGTTGGCCAGGCTGGTTTCAAACTCCTGACCTCAGGTGATCCACCCACCTTGGCCTCCCAAAGTGCTGGGATTACAGGCGTGAGCCACTGTGCCTGGCCAGAAAGCAGTGATTTTTTTTTTTTATGGTCCTTATTACTCATGCTATCAATTTTATCTGTAATAGGTCCCTGTCAAAATCAGAGTAATTAAATGGAATGACAATCCTGTTAAATGTGTTCATGCCATTGCATTGGCAATAAAGCATGCACATATTTACAATTAAGCCTTGTCTTTTTCCTTTGCCATGGAGAATTGTGATGAACATTAAGTTGCACAGGCATGGGGATCCAAAAGGGTATTCATAAAAATCAAAACACCAGGTGTATACGCTCAGGACTATAATCTCTTCTTATGCAATTACTTATTTTCACTGCATATTTTTTCACTGAATAATAATTACCTTTGCACTGAGAAGAGGCAGGATCAGCTAGTTTCAACCTTTTATTATAACCTCCCTTTTAAAAATGTGTAGCACAGCATAGAACCATAACTATTTATTCAAATATATTTGTTCCAGTTCTTAGTTTTTAAAGGGTAGCCGACTTTCACATAACAGCACACTGAGCTTTTAACACAGTCACTTTGGTGCTACACAACAAAACATTAAGATGCATACTGATAGTATGGTTAATTTCTTAACCACTGGGAATCATCAATATAACAGAGATAAAGGAGACTTGAAACCTAGCCCAAGCAGTGAATTGACAGCCGTCTTTAACCACTATGACCTAAGAATGACCCTGAGCTCTGCTGGGTGCAGGAGATAGATCTGTTGCAGAGCACAGGAATCAGATATCTTAGAGGCCTAGAAACTCCCATTGTGCAACAACTGCGGAATCACTTGCAAAGTCTGATAGACACATAAGTGATAAACAGCGATACAAACGCCATGCTCTTTTAGTATATATTTTGAAATAAGCAGAGTTGTGAGTGGTTAATATTTTATTTGCTTCTTGCTTCATAAAGCTAACATTATAAAAGAACAATTAATAAGTTTTAAAGTATTATTTGAAATTTTCTAATTTAACCATGTTTTCAAATATTGGTACTATATGTAAATATATATATATATATTTATTTGAGATGGAGTCTCGGTCTGTCGCCCAGGCTGGAGTGCAGTGGTGCAATCTCGGCTCACTGCAACCTCTGCCTCCCAGGTTCAAGCGATTCTCCTGCCTCAGCCTTCTGAGTAGCTGGGATTACAGGCACGTACCACCACGCCCAGATAATTTTTGTATTTTTAGTACAGATGGGGTTTCACCATGTTGGTCAGGCTGGTCTCGAACTCCTGACCTTGTGATCTGCCCACCTCTGCCTCCCAAAGTGCTGGGATTACAGGCGTGAGCCACCGCACCCAGCCAATATATGTAAATATATATATATATACGTATATATATATATACATATATATATATACGTATATATATACACATATATATATACATATATATACACATATATATGTATATATATGTGTATGTATATACGTATATATATATATCTTTCTTTTCTTTCTTCTTTCTTCCTTTCTTTCTTTTGTTTTCTTTTCTTTCTTTCTTTTTGAGAAAGAGTCGTACTCTGCAATCTCGGCTCACTGCAACCTCCACCTCCCAAGTTCAAGTGATTCTTGTGCCTCAGCCTCCAGAGTAGCTGGGATTACAGACGTGCACCACCATGCCTGGCTAATTTTCATATTTTTAGTAGAGATGGGGTTTCACCATGTTGGTCAGGCTAGTCTCGACCTTCTGACCTCAAGTGATCCACCTGCCTTGGCCTCCCAAAGTGCTGGGATTACAGGTGTGAGCCACCATGCTTGGCCTGTAAATACATTTTGTACACCTACACATACATATCAATAATTAATTTTATGTCAGTGGAATGATATACTCTAAAGTGCTTAAAGTCACATGTGGCATTTTATGATAAAATATACCTTTGCTTTGTTTTGGTAGCTCTTTAACCATAAGATGTGCTTACATTTAAACTTTCTCACATCTTTCCAACTGGATTAATGATGATAGTTTAGTAGCGGAAGCGCACAAACATATATATATATATTTAGATATATATTTAGCACGATAGCACGAATTTAGGGTCATATACCCCCAAAAGACATACATATATATATATTTAGATATATATTTAGCACTAATTTAGGGTCATATACCCCCTCAAAAAAAAGTTTTTTTTTGTTTTTTTTTTTTTTTAGACGGAGTCTCGGTCTGTTGCCTAGGCTGGAGTGCAGTGGCGCAATCTTGGCTCACTGCAACCTCCACCTCCTGGGTTCAAGCAATTCTCCTGCCTCAGCCTCCCGAGTAGCTGGAATTACAGGTGCCCACCACCATGCCCAGCTAATTTTTGTGTTTTTAGTAGTGGCAGGGTTTCACCATGTTAGCCAGGCTGCTCTTGAACTCCCGACCTCAGGTGATCCACCCACCTCAGCCTCCCAAAGTGCTGGGATTACAGGTGTCAGCCACCATGCCCGGCCGAGACAGTTATTTTAATAAAGCAGAGTTATTAATAAGGGAATAGACATTTAGAGGAACTAAGTAATAGGAATGCAGCCTACTTCATTAGCTTTTATTCGTTAAAGTAGAGATTTTGGGGGGTGTTTTCTTTTTTGTAACACTTTTTCCTCTAGGGTTCTCACAAATGAAAAGTAGATATACTAAAAAAATATATAAACAATCTTTTTATACTTTCAGCTTATATATAATGACTAAAATGTTTATATGTCATTCACTGAAAATGCAAATGGATGATTTTGGTACAATCTTCTCCAAGTGTAAAATGCATTTAAAAATTATTCAACCCTGGCCTGGCGTGGTGGCTCACGCTTGTAATCCCAGCACTTAGGGAGGCCGAGGCGGGCGGATCACGAGGTCAGGAGATCGAGACTATCCTGGCTAACGCAGTGAAACCCCGTCTCTACTAAAAATACAAAAGAAAAAAAAAAGTTAGCCAGGCGTGGTGGCAGGTGCCTGTAGTCCCAGCTACTTGGGAAGCTGTGGCAGGAGAATGGCATGAACCCGGGAGGCGGAGTTTGCAGCGAGCCGAGATGGCGCCACTGCATTCCAGCCTGGGCGATAGAGCGAGACTCTGTCTCAAAAAAAAAAAAAAAAAAAAAAGCATTCAACCCTGGGAAACATAGTGAGATCCCATCTCTACAAAAAATTTAAATATTAGCCAGGCATGGTGGTGTGCGCCTGTGGTCCCAGCTACTTGGGAGACTGAGGCTGGAGAATCACTTGAGCCCAGGAGATCAAGGCTGCAGTGAGCTATGATTATGCCACTGCACTCCAGCCTGCATGACAGAAGAGAACCCTATCTTAAAAAAGAAAAAAGAAAGAAAAAAAAACTAATAACCCTCTGCTCCTCAAGTTTCTCTTTCAGTTTTTCAAAGGCTACTGCAGCTTGCAGGTAGATCCTGCATTGGGAATTTGCTGGAGTCACTTTGGGAGTTCCATGGGCAGTTCCATGGGAACTGGACTCCCAGGTCTTTTGGGGGTATATGACCCTAAATTAGTGCTAAACACAGGATAGAGCTGGAGCTCCCAGCCTGACTCCACTAGGGGAAGAAAAAGCCCTTACCTCATACTTGTAGCACTGAAAAGTGATTAGAGGTTTTTAATTAAATCCTAACAAATACCAGTATTAGCTGAATCACCTTTCTTCCAGGGTCATTAGAGAATGCTAAGTTCAACTTTCATATTTACCTTCAAGCCCATCCTTTTCCCAGCATAGCATTTTGTGGTTTTTTATTCCTTGCTGTGCTTTTTATGAGAGAAACAGGTAGTGATCTGCGTATTCTAATTGGTAATGCTTTCTAATAATATTGTAATTATTATAACAGTTCTATAATAGTTCTTCTCTGAAAAGTGTGGAGGGATCTGTGGCTAAGGGAAGAGCATTGCCTCCCTTGCTCTGTGACAAATGAGGATTTTAATCTGATTCATAACCTTTTACAAACAGCTACATCTTGACCAGACCACTGTATTTGGTGACCTATTCAATTCATTAATGTTTCACATTGGGCCTAAGTGCCTACAATGGGGAAATGACAACAAGTGAGTACCAGTGACCTCATTAACTTGGGTAACACTGCTAAACAAATGGCTTGGCATTATGGAAATTTGCCCCATAGAAACCTGTCTACCTGAGGACAGTACACAGTCTTACTATTGGCTGCTTCAGAGATTTATATGCTCTGCCGCTTTGCTCACTTGCATATACCCCAATGCTTTTTCCAAGTAATTTTTTTTTGTGTCCAACTGACACCTCCCTGTAAATGAGATGCATCTTTGGTTTGACTTGTTTATCATCACATATCTATAATGCTTTAGAAAGTAGAATGCTTCAGCATTTAGTTTCAGGAAACAGAAATCATTCTAGATCTTCTATGAAGAAAGAGATTTAAATATAGGGAATTAGGTCCTCATAAAATTGGAGTAGTGAGCTCAAGGTTGGGCTTGCAGGAGTGACTCCCAGAATAATACTGATAAACTGGCCTGACATTTTAGCTGCTACTTGATCATGAAGGTGAGGAATCAGGAGGCTGCCATGGAACTGTAGAATATAAGAACTCACCACAGTAGCTTCACAAAGCTAGTGACAGTATGCTGGAACTCTGCTGCAGAAAAACCCAGCATCTCTCCTCCCTAACCATACAGAGAGGGCAGCAGGGTGATTGCCATCATGTCTCTTCCACCTTTCAGATCTCACGTGATTGCATCTTATTGGTAGGTCCTAATTCTAGAACTCTTGCTGCGGGGGAGTATAGGGAAAATATGAATTTAGCGTTCCAGCTTCTGCAGTACTGAAAGGCATTTTGGAAGGTTGTTGGAATGGTGTGGCTAATTTGTCATTTCCATCGAAAGAAGAAGTATGTAACAGTAAAATCTGTAGCCAGTGCAGTGGCTCACGCCTGTAATCCCAGCACTTTGGGAGGCTGAAGCGGGCAGATCACCTGAGGTCGGGAGTTTGAGACCAGCCTGACCAACATGGAGAGACCCCGTCTCTACTAAAAATACAAAATTAGCCAGGCATGGTAGCGTATGCCTATAATCCCAGCTACTTGGGAGGCTGAGGCAGGAGAATCGCTTGAACCTGGGAGGCGGAGGTTGCCATGAGCCAAGATTGCACCATTGCACTCTAGCCTGGGCAACCAGAGTGAAACTCTGTCTTCAAAAAAAAAAAAAAGGAAATCTGTGGGTTCTCTTCCTCTTCCTATGACCTTTGATTTTCATTTAGATGAGTACATTTTTTCACTAAAGTAGTAAAAGTTTAAAAATGGCTCTCCAATATTTTTCTACTATTATCTGAAACAGCTTAGCACCTCCATAGCCCTTTCCCAAGTATTGATTGAAGATGTGATAACCAGGGTCTCAGAGGTTCTCCGTCTTCTTCCATCTTCTCTTCCAACCAGTTGCTCCCAATTTCTCCACTGACTCCCATTTATTTCTCTCTTACCCTATGTATAGTCCCCTCATATTATTGCTTTGGTGGGATTGTGTTGCTTGTTCTCAGCTTTCTTTCCAGAAGCTATCTTTGGGATCTTCATAGTTTCTAGACTTAGCAGCCGTAGAGTTTCTTACTCAAATTCCCACCCCTGTTCTTAAAAACCTAGACTGAGTATGTCACCTGGACCCCCAAATATCTAGGAGGATGTCTGACTAGTAACAGTTATGTTACTGAAATGCTCTTAAAATGTTTCATTATAGGCTGGACGCGGCAGCTCACACCTGTAATCCCAGCATTTTCAGAGGCCAAGGAAGGTGGATCACAAGGTCAGGAGATCGAGACCATCCTGGCTAACACGGTGAAACCCCGTCTCTACTAAAAATACAAAAAGTTAGCCAGGCGTGGTGGCGGGTGCCTTTAGTCCCAGCTACTTGGGAGGCTGAGGCAGGAGAATGGCGTGAACCTGGGAGGCAGAGCTTGCAGTGAGCCTAGATTACGCCACTGCACTCTAGCCTGGGCGGCAGAGCGAGACTCCGTCTCAAAAAAAAAAAGTTTCATTACAAAAATTTCAAAAATAACTAGATATGTCAGTTGAGCAAATTAAAACATTTAGGGACTGCATTTATCTTCCGTTGCTGAGCTGCCCTTATCTTGCTAGAATCAGCACTTAGCACAGTCACACAATAGGCATGCAATATTGGTTGAATTAATCACAGAATTTAATGACCATGACGCCACAGTTCCAGAACTCATTCATGTATTTTGATAAGTAAGAATTATGCTTTAAGTTTATGCATCTTGTTTTGGCATGCAAACCTTAGAAAGTGCTATATTATCAAGCTATCTGACTATACAGTGTGGCTTAATTATAAGAGGAAGTGATTAAACTATGGATTAGCCAGCACTCAGGTAATTTATTGGCTCACATAACAGAAAGGACAGGAACAGTCTTCAAGGGCAGCTGGTCAGAGCTCACATGTTGTCTTTAGAACCTATCGTCTTTTCACATCCATTGGCTATATTGCTACTTTCTGCTGTATTTAATTAATTGGCAGGCCATCCATGGTGGCTTCAAGCCCTACAAGAACACATTAACCCAATACCAAATCACATGAGAAAGAGAGTTCACTTCCTGGCAGCACAAACATAGGTTTAAGTCTAAGACCTGAACCTCCCTTAATTCTGATTGGCCTGACTTAGGTCAGGTGCCCATCTATGAAAAAGTCAGTGTCTGGGGGAATGGGATGCTCTGACTTACTCTTGATCTTAAACTCCACCCCCACATCCAAAGGTAGAATCGGCCTCATCATGGACTGAGAATGGGGCTAGGGTGAATCCCCAAATGGAAATCTAGGGATTTTTTTAAATTACGGGAAGCAGTGTAAATCCTGGACAGCAAAAGCAACACATGTCCACCACAAATAGAAAGCAAGCTACCTCTACCAAGAAGATACTGTGTCCGCAGAAACTTAGAAATGAGATATGAAGTCATGAACCATCCTGAAATTTCTGACTGTGTTTTGGTGCCCTGGACCACAGGCACATCTCACTTGGTTGAGTTAGACTTTCGGAGAAAACATTTTAAAAATTTATTATTATTATTATTATTAGAGATAGAATCTTGCTCTGTCACCCAGGCTAGAGTGCAGTGGCACAATCATAGCTCACTGTAGCCTCTGTCCTGGGTCAGGAGATCCTTGCACCTCAGCCTCCCTAGTAGCTGGGACTATAGGCATGTGCCATCATGCCTTGCTAAAAAAGACACCTTTTTTTTCTTCCCTGAGATGGAGTCTTGCTCTGTTGCCCAGGCTGGAGTGCAGTGGCGTGATCTCGGCTCACTGCAACCTCCACCTCCTAGGTTCAAGTGATTCTCCTGCCTCAGCCTCCTGAGTAAGCTGGGATTACAGGTGCACGCCACCACGCCTGGCTAATTTTTGTATTTTTAATAGATACAGGGTTTCACCATGTAGGGCAGGCTGGTTTCGAACCCTGACCTCAGGTGATCCGCCTGCCTCAGTCTCCCAAAGTGCTGGGATTACAGGCGTGAGCCACGACACCCAGTGAACCCTTTTTTTTTTTTAAAGGAAACAGCAAAGCTGAGAGCCAACATGCAAGCTTTAAGGACATGAGTCTAGAATTAAACTAAGATACACTAAGATGGAATACACCCTGCAGTTCTCAAGAATGATTCAGGACTCTAGGCACTGTTTGTCCAGATTTCTGTTTTTAATTTAAAATTGTTATTGCAATAAAGTAACACTCAAAAAGAAAAAATCCAAACATACACAAATGTTAGAGAAGTAGTACAATGAACTGCCATCTACTCACCACACAAATGAAATTACTGTCTAGACTTTGTCATTTTCTTCATCTGTCATCTCCTTTTCCCCCTTTGCTGAAGTATTTTAAAGCAAGTCCCAGATACCATGCCATTTTACCCCTACATACCACAGTATCAACTTTTTTTTTAAAGAAAAAATGGCCTTGTTTTGTTAGTTATTTAATACAGCTAGAAAGGATTCAGCTACAAATCCAAATATGCTGGGGTATCAGAAGCTTAAACTCATTTTTCCTAAAACCCTAGAAGCCAAATACACCTTTGACCCAGTATCAGGCCTAGAGAGCATTCACAATACAGCAGTATTACAGTATTCCACACAGTAAGAAAGGAATTAAAAGGGTAAGTTTGTTCTATGCCTGAATGGACAGAACTTTGGCTGGCTTCCTGTTGAAGCAGTTTAGACATTTTGAAAACTGCTGCAGCTGCCAGTTTTGTGGATCTGATTGTCTTTAACGGTTGTCTTTTTTTTTTTTGAAATTAATGTTTTCTCTCTTGGGATTTCAACATGATTGTTTTCTGGAAACGGAATTCCTTAGAAAACTACTTATAAATTGCATGTGAAGCTCAAAATTTATTTTAATGTTTTAAAATGCTATCTTGAGTTTCAATACAGGCAACCCAGTCAGTCTGGTTAGCTTGAGCTAATTTCTTTCTTTCTTTCTTTCTTTTTTTTTTTTTTTTGAAACGGAGTCTCACTCTGTCCCCCAGGCTGTAGTGCAATGGTGCGATCTTGGCTCACCGCAACCTCCGCCTCCCGGGTTCAAGCGAGTCTCCTGTCTCAGCCTCCCAAGTAGCTGGGATTACAGGTCCGTGCCACCACGCTGGGCTAATTTTTGTACTTTTAGTGGAGACGGGGTTTCACTATGTTGGTCAGGCTGGTCTCGAACTCCTGAGCTCGTGATCCGCCCGCCTCAGCCTCCCAAAGTGCTGGGATTATAGGCATGAGCCACCATGCCCAGCCCAGCCTGCATCAATTTCTTATGTACGGATTGATATGCTGGGATAACCAGGTTCCAAGATAAACTGGTGATTGGAATTTTTACACTAAAAATTTCAATTAGGACGGTTGTTAGACAGATTATAAATCAAAGTTTAGACCTGTGGCTTAACAGTATCTTTTTTTTTTTTTTAGAAGGAGTTTCACTCTTGTTGCCCAAGCTGGAGTGCAATGGTGCGATTTCGGCTCACTGCAACTTCCACTTCCAGGGTTCAAGTGATTCTCCTGCCTCAGCCTCCCGAGTAGCTGGGATTACAGGTGGCTGCCACCATGCCCGACAAATTTTTTGTATTTTTAGTAGAGATGAGATTTCACTACGTTGGCCAGGCTGGCCTCGAACTCCTGACTTCAGGTTATCCGCCTGCCTTGGCCTCCCAAAGTGCTGGGATTACAGGCGGGAGCCGCTGCACCTGCCCAACAGTATCTTTTTAAGTAAAATATCTGGCATAGTTTCTACCAAGTTGTCAGTGAGCCTTCCACTCCCCCGCAGCCTATAATTCAAAAGGTCCCATTGAGGTTTTGATCTCTAGCAGCATGTCTATCGTGATCAGCATGTCCACTGATGTTGAAACAAGGCAGGGTGGAAAGAGCAGCTGGAAATAGCTATTGATGTATTCATTTGATAAATATTTTTGGAGCTTTTGTTACATGCCAAGTGCTGCCAAGTTCTGTGGGTAACTTAAAGTGGAAATGACAAGAACCCTGGTTACAAGATGCTTACCATCTACTGGAGATAAGCCCTTACACTAAGTAGAATATGAAGTGCCATAAGAGGAAAATGGGAATTCTGAAAAGGAGAAAATTTGTTACTCCCAGATTCTGGGATCTGGGAGGCTGCATGGGGTTGAAATAAGCTGAGGAATATATACTGGATTTGGATATGCAGAAATATGCAGGAAAGAACATAAAGGCCTTGCAATTATTATGAAGCATTGCATTGTTTTTTTTTTGTTGTTGTTGTTGTTGTTTTTAAAGACAGAGTCTCGCTCTGTCACGCAGGCTGGAGTGCAGTGGCTCGATTCCAGCTCACTGAAACCTCTGCCTCCCAGGTTCAAGCGATTCTCCTACCTCAGCCTCCTGAGTAGCTGGGACTACAGGCGTGTGCCACCATGCCCAGGTAATTTTTGTATTTTTAGTAGAGACAAGGTTTCACCATGTTGGCCAAGCTGGTCTCGAACCCCTGACCTCAAGTGATCTGCCTGCCTCAGCCTCCCAAAGTGCTGGGATTACAGGTGTGAGCCACCACACCTGGCCTGCATTGCATTTTTTAGGGAAGAGCCATAGGGAGGCTGGTGCCTGAACAAGTGATATTGTTGTTTGTCAGCTTGCCTATGTCTTCTTCTTCTCCTTTTTTTTTTTTTTTTTTTTTTTTTTTTTGAGACAGGGTCTCATTCTGTCACCCAGGCTGGAGTATAGTGGCATGATCATGGTTACTTCAGCCTCTACCTCCTAGGCTCAAGTGATCCTCCCACCTCAGCCTCCTGAGTAGCTGGGGCTATAAACGTGTGCCACTCCTGGCTAGTATTTTTTGTATTTTTCTTTGTAGAGACAGGATTTTGCCATGTTGCCCAGGCTGGTCTCAAACTCCTGGGCTCCAGCAGTCTTCCTGCCTCAGCCTCCCAAAGTGCTGGGATTACAGGTGTGAGCTACTGCACCTGGCTGTCAACTTATGTCTTATATAATACATATGTATCATGTATAAGTTATCTCTAAGTTATGTCTTACTAGTTGTAAAAGGGACAAAAGAAATGACATGACAATAGCCAGGCATGGTAGCACATGCCTGTAGTCAGAGCCACTTGGGAGGCTGAGGTGGGAGCATCCCTTGAGTTTGAGGCTGCAGTGTGCTATGATTATGCCACTGCACTGGGTGACAGAGCGAGACCCTGTCCCTAAATGTTAAAAAATGGGCTGGGCTTAGTGGCTCACGCCTACCAGCACTTTGGGAGGCTGAGGTGGGTGGATCACTTGAGGTCAGGAGTTCGAGACCAGCCTGACCAAACTGGTGAAACCCCATCTCTAGTAAAAATATAAAAATTAGCCAGGCATGGTGGTGCACGCTTGTAACCCCAGCTACTCAGGAGGCTGAGGCAGGAGAACTACTTGAACCTGGGAGGTGGAGTTCTGCAGTGAGCCAAGATCATGCTGCTGCACTCCAGCCTGGGCGATAGAGGAGACTCCATCTCAAACAAAAGTAAACAAAACCAAAAAAAAAAAAAAAAAACCAACAAAGAAACAAAAAGACAAAAAAAGTAATAAAAAGAAATTACATGGTGAATATTCTTTTATTTATTTAAATTTACACATGGTAATTGTACATATTTATGGGGTGTATGTGATGTTTCAGTACATACAATGTATAGTGATCAGATCAGGGCAATTAGCATTCCATCATATCAAACATTTATTATTTCTTCTTGTTGGGACATTTCACATCTTCTCTTCTAGCTATTTGAAAATACATACGATTGCGAATTATAGTCATCTTAAGGTGCTATAGAACACTAGAACTTATCCTCCTATCTAGCTGTAATTTTGTAGCCTTTAAGGAGTCTCTCCTTATCCTTTTCTTCCCCATGCTCTTTCCAGTCTCCAGTAACCTCTGTTCTACTTATTATTTCTAGGAGATCTTTTTTTTTTTTTTTTAAAGCTTTTCTACATATGAGTGAGAAAATGTGGTGTTTAACTTTCTGTTTCTGGCTGATTTCACTTAACGTAATTTTCCTTCAGTTCCATTCATGTTGCTGTGAATGACGGGATTCCATATTTTCCTTATCCATTCATCTGTTGTTGGACATTTAGGTTGATTCTATATCTTGGCAATTTTGAATAGTGCTGCAGTAAACATGGAGTGTAGATATCTCTTCAATATACTGATTTCCTTTCCTTTGGATAAACGCCCAGTAGTGGAATTGCTGGATCACTTGGTCGTTCTACTGGTAATTTTTTGAGGAACCTCCATACTGTTCTCCATAGTAGCTGTACTAGTTTACATTTCCACCAACAATGTATGAGTTCCTTTTTCTCTGCATTCTCACCTGCATTTGTTATTTTTTGTCTTTTTGATAACAGCCATCCTAACTGGGGTGAGATAATATTTCATTGTAGTTTTGATCTTCATTTCATTGATGATTAGTGACGTTGGGCATTTTTTTCATGTATTTGTTAACCATTTGTATATCTTCTTTTGAGAAATGTCTATTCAGATTGTTTGCCCATCTTTAAATTGGATTCTTTGTTTTATTTTGTTTTTCTGTTGAGATGTTTGATTTTCCTGCATATTCTGGCTATTAATCTCCCTGCAGGATGAATAGTTGGCAAATATTTTCCCCCATTCTGTAGGTTGTCTTTTCACTCTCTTGGTTGTTTCTTTTGCTGTACAGGAGCTTTTTAGTTTGATATAATCTCATCTGTTTATTTTTGCTTTTGTTGCCTGTGTTTTTAAAGTCATATTCATAAAATCTTTTCCCAGACCAATGTCCTGAAGTGTGTCCCTTATGTTTTCTTCTAGCAATTTTATGCTTTGGGTCTTTAAGCCATTTTGAGTTGAGTTTTGTATAAGGTGAGACGTGAAAGTCTAGTTTCATTCTTTTGCGTGTGAACATCCAGTTTTCCCAGCACCATTTATTGAAGACACTGTCCTTTCCTCGGTGATTGTTCTTGGCATACATGGTAAATAGTTTGATGCTACATCTAATCAGTATTCTGTGAATCTGTTGAAAGCTTTGCTTCCATAAATCCCCTAAGATTTTGAAATGAATAGAAACAAGATATTATTTCCACCAGTATTTAATGTGAACTAGCTTTAGTTTGTAAACTTTGAATCCCCTCCCTATATGTAAAATGCACAAAAAGTATAAGTAGAAGGGGACAAGATATAATAAACAGTGCTAATTAATTTCTGTTTTACCTCTTAAGTCTTTCTAGAATCTGCTTGCTTTTTCTCACGTTCATTGCCACTATTCTACTTTAGGTGGGTAGCTAGCTCTCATTTGCGACTCCCTGTCTTGAGCCCTGATATCTTTCACTCCATTCTCCATCCTGCAGAGTGAAATTTCTAAAATACCAAATCTAATAGTTTCTCGTTTTAGAATGCTTGTTCAATGGCATTGCATTGCTCTTAAGATTTGAATTCTATTACATGATTTGCAAAGTTCTCTATAATCATTTTATCAGGGTTGATGTGTGTGATCGAAGAGTATCTAAATATAATGCAAGCCACTCAAAAAAGTCAGTTAAATGTTATGGTATGAGTAGTAGGCAGTAATAGATACCACATGATAATACATTTACTCCATCTTGTTTGATACTTTTCTTATCCTGTTTCTTACATGAGCCGTTAGCTGAAGCTTACTTTACGGAATAGATGGATTCTTTAAATATTCTCTATAAAGTGAATTTCTGTATTTTAAGTCTTTTCCACACTAAATTTCATTATATATAGAATTAGAAATTGATCCTTCTGTAAGGACTGTTGACCTTTTAAGATAAAAAAATTGAAACTTTCTAGCATATATTGAAAGGAAATGAAAATATGATATACTAATTTAACTCGTTTTAATATATAAACATATATTTAATATATGAATTTAAATAAAGATTATTTCTATTTCTAATCTAATGAAATAAAGGTTAAACTAAAAAGATGTCAGTAACTTTATTAAATATAATACAGCAGAATGAATAATCTTCATACTTTATCAACATCCAAGTCCCAATAATTTTCAGCAGGATAGCATGTGATTTTCATATCTTGCTGAAAATTATTGAGACTTGTTCTTTAGTACCTTTAGAAATTGTTGACCTTGGCTGGGCACAGTGGTTCACACTTGTAATCCCAGCACTTTGGGAGGCCAAGGCAGGTGGATCATAAGGTCAGGAGATCGAGACCATCCCGGCTAACACAGGGAAACCCTGTCTCTACTAAAAATACAAATATATATATATATATTAGCTGGGCATGGTGGCAGGCAGCTGTAGTCCCACCTACTCGGGAGGCTGAGACAGGAGAATGACGTGAACCCAGGAGGCGAAGCTTGCAGTGAGCCGAGAACACGCCACTGCACTCCAGCCTGGGTGACAGAATGAGACTCCATCTCAAAAAAAAGAAATTGTTGACTTTGGGAAACATAAGTTGATCTTGGTAGATGATGTAAAATCGACATTGACTTTAACAAATGGCACAGAACATTTATTGGCACATATTCAAAGAGAAATAGGGTGATCAGAGAGTAATATCATACATATGTTACTAAAAGGTCAGGGTGTTCTTGAACTTTTCAGTAGTCTATCATTCATTCATTTAAATGCTTATTCACATTAATTCAGAAATAATTACTGAGGCCCTGTGTGGTCATTCACATCTGCAATCCTAGCACTTTGGAAGGGCCAGGAGGGAGGATCACTTGAGCTCAGGAGTTTGAGAACATCTTGGGCAACATGGCAAAAACTCATCTCTACCAAAACAACAACAATAACAACAACAACAACAAAAATTAGCCAGGTGTGGTGGTGCATGCCTGTGGTCCCAGCTACTTGGGAGGCTGAGATGAGAGGATTGCTGGAGCCCAGGAGTTCAAGACCAGCCTGGGCAACATTGATACAAAAAATTTAAAAATTAACTGGACATGGTGGCACGTGCCTGTAGTCTCAGCTACCTGGGAGGCTGAGGTGAGAGGATTACTTGAGACCTGGAGATCAAGGCTGCAGTGAGCCATGATTGCACCACTGTACTCGGGCCTGTGTGACAGAGCAAGCCCTGTCTCAGAAAAAAAAAAAAAGTGATTTCCACATTTTATCAATGATTCTCCGTTCTGACTCTCTTAGAATTTGCAATCTAGTGTGGAGGTGGTTGGGAACAGACAATAAATAAGTAGATAATAAATAAGAAAGTTAATATCTGGTAGAGGTAAGTTCCATGAAGGAAATAAGACAGTAGGAGGTGAGAGAGACCATAAAGGGAGTGGTTATTTTTACATAGGCTGGTCAGGAAAGGACTTTTCTAAGTACAGAGTAAAGACTTCTGTGATGAAAATGAGCCAGAGAGGGCGGGCACAGTGGCTCATGCTTGTAATCCCAGCACTTTGGGAGGCCGAGGCAGGCGGATCATGAGGTCAGGAGTTCAAGACCAGCCTGGCCAACACAGTGAAACCCTGTCTCTACTAAAATACAAAAATTAGCTGGGCATGGTGGCAGGCACCTGTAATCCCAGCTACTCAGGATGCTGAGGCAGGAAAATAGCTTGAACCCGGGAGGTGGAGGTTGCAGTGAGCTGAGATCATGCCACTGCACCCCAGCCTGGGTGACAGAGCCAGACTCTGTCTCAAAAAAAAAAAAAAAAAAGAGCCAGAGAAATAAAGGACTGGGAGAAGTGTTTCTTGTAGAGGGGATGATAAATGCAAAGGCCTAGAGGTAGGAATAAATTTGGCATGTTTGCAAGACACTCAGGGGGCAGTGGGGAGGTATAAGGTGGACAGGCTGGGGAAAGATCACAGTGGGCCATTAGGCCATGGTATGGAGTTTGGATTTTTATTTTATTTTGTTATTTTATTTATTTATTTATGTTTTTTGAGTTGGAGATTCACTCTTGTTGCCCAGGCTGGAGTGCAATGGCGCGATCTCAGCTCACTGCATCCTCTGCTTCCCAGGTTCAAGTGATTCTTCTGCCTCAGCCTCCCAAGTAGCTGGGATTACAGGCTCCTGCTACCATGCCTGGCTAATTTTTGTATTTTTAGTAGAGATGGAGTTTTGTCATGTTGGCCCGGCTGGTCTTGAACTCCTGACATCAGGTGATCCGCCTGCCTCAGCCTCCCAAAGTGCTGGGATTACAGGCGTGAGCCACCTCACCCGGCTTTTATTGTTTTATTTTTTTGAGACAGGATCTTGCTCTGTCACCCAGGCTGAAGTGCGGTGGCGCGATTACAGCTCATTGCACCCTCGACTTCCCAGGCTCAAGCAATCCTCCCAAAGTGCTGGGATTACAGGTGTGAGCCAACTTGCTTGGCCTGGGTTTTTATTTTTAATGAAATTATTGGGTACCTGCTATGGTTTACCAGAAATACAGAGAAATAATACAGAGAAATAATGTCAAGTCAATGTGATAAATTTGGAAATAACTGATTTCTACCTATTATCAGTAGTTCTCAGTTTTGGCTGCAAAGTAGAGAAAGTTAGGAACTATACATTTCTGGGTGCCATCACCAAAATTTCTGATTTTAATTGAGTCGGGCTGGGGTCAGGCCTCCGTATGTTTAAGAAGCTGCATGGGGATGGTAATGCCATCGAAGTTGCTAACTGCTGAGGACAAAAGCTTGATTCCAGGGGCAGATGGTAGTTTCCAGACAGGTTCACTCAAGGAACCACAAATGCAGCACCCTGAAAAGTTTATTTGAAGATCAAGGCTGGAACCAGACAGCACATGCAACGTCTACAAGTTAATGTTTATAAAAATGTATTCAAGTCCAGGCGCGGTGGCTCATGCCTGTAATCCCAGCACTTTGGGAGGCTGAGGCGGGTGGATCACCTGAGGTCAGGAGTTTGAGACCAGCCTGACCCACTTGGAGAAACCCCGCCTCTACTAAAAATACAAAATTAGCCGGGCGTGGTGGTGCATCCCTGTAATCCCAGCTACTCAGGAGGCTGAGTTAGGAGAATCGCTTGAACCCGGGAGGCAGAGGTTGCGGTGAGCCGAGATTGCGCCATTGCACTCTAGCCTGGGCAACAAGAGTGAAACTCCGTCTCAAAAAAAAAAGTATTCAAAAGATAATCACAGAGGTGGGGATGGTTGTGGTGGCTCATGCCTATAATCCCAACACTTTTTGGGAGGCCCGGGGTGGGAGGATTGTTTGATGCCAGGAGCTCAAGACCAGCCTGGACAGCAAAGTGAGACCCTGTCTTTCAAAAAAAAAAAATTAGCCGGGCATGGTGGTGTGTACCTGTAGTCTCAGCTACTGTGGAGACTGGGACAAGAAGATCTCTTAAACCCAGGAGTTCCAGGCTGCAGTGAGCTATGATCACACCACTGCATTCCAGCCTGGGTGACAGAGTGAGATCCTGTCTCTAAAAATAAATCAATAAAATATTAAATAACTATATTAATGAAAATTTAGAGGCAACACTTCAAGAATGACTCTTTAGGCTGGGTGCGGTGGCTCATGGCTGTAATCCCAGCACTTTGTGAGGCTGAGGCAGATGCTTGAGTCCAGGAGTTCGAGACCAGCCTGGCCAACATGGTGAAACCCCATCTTTACTAAAAATACAAAAATTAGCCCGGCTTGGTGGAGGGTGCCTGTAGTCCCAGCTGTTGCAGGAGGCTGAGGCACAAGAATTACTTGAACCCAGAAAGCAGAGGTTGCAGTAAGTCGAGATAGCACCACTGTACTCCAGCCTGGAGGACAGAGTGAGACTGTCTCAAAAAAAAAAAAAAAAAAAAAAAGAGAATGACTTTTTAACCTTAGATTTTGACAATAGAATTTAACAGAATATACTTAATGTATTGAGTTGATTCTGATATCTCAGTTCAGTACAAACACACTAACCTTATTAGTTTTACAATCTCTGTGTTATATAGGTATGTGTATGTGTTTGGGAATAGTTTGGACCATTTAAACTTATATCCTGCTCATTCTGTTTGTATTTCATATTTTCTCTATTAAATCACTCTATTCAATAGTTTCTCCTATGCAATAGTTTATCCTACTTATTTTTATTTTTTGCTTTTTCCAAGACAGGGTCTCGTTCTGTCACCCAGGCTGGAGAGCAGTGGTGCGACCACACCTCCTGGGCTCAATGGGTTCTCCCACCTCAGCCTCCTGAGTAGCTGGGACTATAGGCTTGCACCACCACATCAGGCTAATTTTTTTGTTTTTGCCATGTTGCCCAGGTTGGTCTTGAACTCCTGAGCTCAATTGATCCGCTCATCTCAGCTTCCCAAAGTGCTGGGATTACAGGCATGAGACACCACGCCCAGCCAAGTTTCTTCTTTTTATATTAAAACTTTTAAAAAAATATTTTACTAAATTACCTTTTCTAAAGTCAATTAAGAAGATGTCAACAAATAAGACCATCTAATCTATTATTACATTGTACTACTCCAGTCTTATTCCATACTCAGAGACCATTTCAACTGCCTATAGAATTAAATGTATACTTTTCTCTCTATGGCCTTTAGGACAATAGTTTCTAAACTTTTGGATTTCATGTACTTGTAATATTGTAAAATAAAGTTAGGAAACTCATATATGTTTGCAAATATTTTATTTTCCTAAGTAAGGCCACTAACGAAAACAGATACCATCTAACAGAATTATCATTCCACTTAAACAGTGTTAACTCAAAAAAGTAAGGACTCACTGCTTTAATATTTCTTCAGTTCTAAAATTCTATTTTAAATGCTGATTGTATAGAAGTGATAGTTGCCTCTCCACATTCCTCTATAGTAATTGCTACCATATTTAGCAGAGTGCTAAATACATAGGTAGTGCCCACAAAATATTTTGAAACTGATATTCTAGTTGTTTTAGACTCACATGATATTGGATAGGTAGCAGTAGCTATTCAATAAAGGTTTATAGAAATGGTCAGTGAATAAATGAATGAATGTTCATTGTAAGTATATCCAGAGAGCTTGGACACTGATTCCCAGCACTTTGACCAGGTAGATACCATTACCAAAGCATGAAGATTGGATTCTTCTCTATATCTGTCTCTGTGTTGCTGTAAATAAAACAGCCACATTCAATGGAAATACGAATTTTGATTACAAATGGTTGTGTTTCTGCTATTAGCTCATTTTATATAGATAATTTTTAGTAAGTACAGAGATTTTCCAATTAAATTTTTATTCTTGTACTTGAATGTGAACTGACTGGTAAATTTGTAAGCAGTTTTGATATTTTTCATCTATTCCATTCTTTCCCCTAAGTACAATAATCTTTTCTTTTTCCAACACTTTGCCATTAAAAAGTTGATTTAAAAAGGTAACTTCTTAGGGAAATGATCCATGTGTTTAAATGTTTCCCGGTTGTGCTTTGATTTACAGGCTGCATGTTTCTATTGATTGTTACATTGGACACAAGTGACTTAGCTCATTATTCTTTTATTGAAAGCTATAGCAATTAAAAGCAAGAAATTGCAAATGGACCTAGGTCTCAGTCCAATTAAAAAAAAATTGTAACAGTAGTACCAGCTTACTGAGAATATTTTTGTTTGTTTGTTTGGAGACAGGGTCTTGCTTTGCCGCTCAGGCCAGAGTGCAGTGACATGATCATAGCTCACTGTGAGACAGCCAAGTATAAAGTGGTCCACGGAGAACTTTTGACTGGCCTGTGCACCCAGAGAATGGGGTAGAGCCCTGGGATGTTCGTGCCCTTTGCATGGGGGAGGAGTCTGGCCTCTGCTATTCCTGTGTGGTAACCTGGGATTCAGTCTGTGAGGCAGGAAGCCAGCCAGCAGGACTCTTGCTTTTCTGAGAGTCCCTGTTTCCTTTTTTTTTCCTTTTCACCCAATAAATCCTGCCTTTCTCACCCTTCAAAGTGTCTGAGAACCTAATCTTTCCTGGTTGTGTGACAAGAACCCTAAGGAGAAAGTCCTATGACAACTGCAACTTGAACTCCAGGGCTCAAAGGATCATCCCAACTCAGCCTCCTGAGTAGCTGGGATTATAGGCACCAGTCACTGTGCCCATACTTAAAAAACAAAACAAAACAGTCTGTGCAATATGGTGAAACTCATCTCTACAAAAAATACAAAAAATTAGCCAGGCGTGATGGCAGGGTGTCTGTAGCCCCAGCTACTCAAGAGGCTGAGGTGGGAGGATTGCTTGAGCCTGGGAGGTGGCAGTTGCAATGAGCAAAGATTGTGCCACTGCACTTCAGCCTGAGTGACAGAGTGAGACCCTGTCTCAAAAAAACAAAAACAAAAATAAGATCAATCTACGTTCACTTTTAGGTATTTGCTTTTTAAAAAATTTGCTTATATCTGAATACCTTCATGCCTTCCATTTTCTAAAAAAAGTAAAATTTATTTGCTTTCAGTTCCCAACCCATTTTCTGTCATTATAAAAATACTACATTCTCATTAAATGTAAATATAAAATGTTTGGAAAATGTTTGGAAAGTACTGAAAAGTAAGTGTGAAGAACTAGAAAAAATTCACCCACGGTCTCCTCAAACTAGAAGCTACTATTGTTGTCATCATTTCTATTTGGTCTTTTTATTTTTAAATCCAATTTCCTGCCCTCCATTCCTGTTTACATCATAGAGCACATATAATTTTGTATCTTGCCTTTTTCACTTAACATTTCATTAGAAGCATTTTGGCTTGTCATTAAAAAATATTTGTACAAGCCAGGTATGGTGGCTTGTGCCTATAATCCCAGTACTTTGGGAGGCAGAGGTGGAAGGATTGCTTGAATCCAGGAGTTCAAGACCAGCCTGGGCAACATAGCAAGACCTTGTCTCTACAAAAAAATTAAAAACAAAAAAATTTGCCCTGCATGGTGGCATGTAGCTATAGACCTAGCTACTTGGGAGGCTGAGGCAGGAGGATCCTTTGAGCCCAGGAGTTACAGGCTGCAGTGAGCTGTGATCATGTCACTGCACTCCAGCATGAATGACAGAGCGAGACCCTGTCTCTTAAAAAATTATATATCTATAACATATATATATATAATTATGCATGCATTTATATATATATACACAAATATATGTTTTATATATATATATATATATAAATGCATGCATAATTTTTTTTTTTTTTTGAAACGGAGTCTTGCTCTGTTGCCCAGGCTGGAGTCTTACCATGTTGGCCAGGCTGTTCTCGAACTCCTGGCCTCAAGTGACCCACCCACCTCGGCCATCCAAAGTGCTGAGATTACAGGCGTGACCCACCACACCTGGCCAATGCATGCATAATTTTTAATAGCTGCAAAATACTTCATTCTTTGCATTACCATAATTTGCTTTAACATTCCTTTTGTTGGACTTAGATCATTTCTGGCATTTTGCTATTATTAACATCTTTGGCACATTTTTGGGGGTAGTCAGCATTTTGCGTCACTTTCTAAGGATAGACTCCCAGAAGTGGTAGTACTGGGTCAAAGGGTGAGATTGTTCACAAGGCTCTTGATTCATATTAACCATATTGCTTTTGGCTGGGCATAGTGGCTCACATCTGTAATCCTAGCACTTTGGGAGGCCGAGGGAGGTGAGTTGCTCGAACTCAGGAGTTCGAGACCAGCCTGGGTAACATAGCAAGACCTCATCTCTACTTAAGAAAAAAATATATATATATTGGCCGGCTGCGGTGATTCACGCCTGTCATCCCAGCACTTTGGGAGGCTGAGGTGGGTGGATCATCTGGGGTCGGGAGTTCAAGACTAGCCTGGCTAACATGGTGAAACCCCATCTCTACTGAAAATACAAAATTAGCTGGGCATGGTGATCCATGCCTGTAACCCCAGCTACTCAGGATGCTGAGGCAGGAGAATGGCTTGAACCCGGGAGGCGGAGGTTGCAGTGAGCCAAGCTTGTGCCATTGCACTCCAGCCTGGGTGACAGTGTGAGACTCTGTCTCAAAAAAAAAAGAAAAAAATTAGCCAGGCATGGTGGCACACCCCTGTAGTCCCAGCCACTTGGGAGGCTGAAGCAGGAGGATCACTTGTACCCTGGAGGTCGAGACTGCCGTGAGCTGTGATCATGCCACTGCACTCCTGCCTTGGTGACAGAGCAAAACCCTGTCTCAAAACAAACAAATTGCTCTCCAAAAAGTACTAATTTACTTTGCAAAATGAAGTGAATATAAGTGTCCAACTTTTTGCACCATGGCCAGCATTAAGAATTAAAATAAATTTAAATCTGTACTAATTTGAATTTTGGAGATAGTATTTTATCATTTTAAAATATTTTAGGGCCAGGTGCGGTGGCTCATGCCTGTAATCCCAGCACTTTGGGAGGCTGAGGCAGGTGGATCACTTGAGGTCAGGAGTTCGAGACCAGCCTTACCAACATGGTGAAACCCTGTCTCTACTAAAACTACAAAATTAGCTGGGTGTGGTGGCGCATGCCTGTAGTCTCAGCTACTTGGGAGGCTGAGGCAGGAGAATCGCTTGAACCCAGGAGGTGGAGGCTGCAGTGAACCAAGATGGCACCACTGTACTCCAGCCTGGGCAACAAAACGAAACTCTGTGTCCAAAAAAAAAAAAAAAATATATATAGATAGATAGATAGATACACACACACACACACACACACACACACACAGAGATCATTCTCTTCCTCTTTCTGTAGTGACCCATATACTTTATATTTGATTAAGTTCCCTACATAGAATCTAGCACATATAGGAAGAAAGCTAACAGATTTAGCATCTGAGGTCTTTGAATGCAAATAGTTTGTCTAACCGTGAGATATGTAGTTGGCTTATAGTAATGGTGGTAATTTTGTAGCTAGAATAGAGTTCTCACCTATGAGATTGCAAACATTGCTAAATTATATCAATTTAGTATCTCTCTAGTTCTGTCTCTATGAAACAGAAATGGGAATATAGGGGTTTACAAATGTAAAAGTAATCTGAAATGGTACTACCAGGAAAATCTTGCATAAACTCCTACAATACAGAAGCTAGCAAAAGAAAGCTTCATTGTGAAGTAAAGAACAAGGAGTTTTATTTAAATGGTTGAAAAACATTTCCATTCAATTTTAATGTCTTAAATGATACATCCTACTGTTAATAGCAGTAATCCCCCTGGTGAGTAATATTCTTGTTAAAGTCATAATAGATCTCCATTCACTAATTTAACAGCTTGAAGGTACACTTTTCAGACAGTAGAATGGTAATTAATCTTTGCAGCAATATTTCTTCAATAACTTCCGAGAAAGCAGGATTTTTTTTTTTTTTGACACGGAGTCTCACTCTGTCGCTCAGGCTGGAGTGCAGTGGCGCAATTGCGGATCACTGCAACCTCCGTCTCCCGGGTTCAAGCGATTCTCCTGCCTTAGACTCCCGAGTAGCTGGGACTAAAGGCACGTGCCACCATGCCTAGCTGATTTTTTTTTTTTTTTTGTATTTTTAGTAGAGACGGGGTTTCACCGTGTTAGCCAGGATGGTCTCGATCTCCTGACCTCATGATCTGCCCGCCTCGGCCTCCCAAAGTGCTGGGATTACAGGTGTGAGCCACCGTGCCCAGCCTGGATTTTTTTTTTGAGACGGAGTTTCACTCTTTTTGCCCAGGCTGGAGTGCAATGGCGTGATCTCGGCTCACCGCGACCTCCACCTCCCGGGTTCAAGCGATTCTCCTGCCTCAGCCTCCCGCGTAGCTAGGATTACAGGCATGCACCACCACCCCGGCTAATTTTGTATTTTTAGTAGAGACGGGGTTTCTCCCTGTTGGTCAGGCTGGTCTCGAACTCCCGACCTCAGGTGATTCACCCGCCTCAGCTTCCCAAAGTGCTGCGATTACAGGCGTGAGCCACCGCACCCAGTGAAAGCAGGATTTTTATTAATTTACCATTACAGCTGGTGAATATGTTAAACTATTTAGAATAAGTTAATTTAATTTAATTAATTTATTTTAGAAATGGGGTCTTGCCATGTTGCCCAGGTTGGTCTCAAACTCCTGGCTTCAAGCTATCCTTCTACCCTGGCCTCCCAAAGTGCTGGGATTACAGGTGTGAGGCACTGTGCCTGGCTGATTTACTTATTTTTTTAGAGATGGGGTTTCACTATGTTGCTCAGGTTGGACTCAAGTGATCTTCCTGCCTCAGCATCCTGAGTAGCTGAGAATGCAGGCACATACCACCATGTCTGGCCTAGAAGAACTTTAACATTAATTTTATTTTATTTTATTTTTATTTTTTATTCTTTTTAGTCTTAGCATTTACTTTCCCCACCCCCCATTCTTGGAATACCCTTTAGTTCTATGGGAAATGGCACTGATGGAGAGAAGGCGGGCATTACCTTCATGAAAGGGCTGTAAGAGCTGCCTGGGAAGAAGGCGTGCCTTGGGGAACTAGGAAGATGCCGTCAGTGTGGGTGGGCAAGAGGACAGCCGGTCGTCCCGCCGTCAGCCCAGTAGCTTCCAGAGGCAGGTGCCCAGGTGCTACTGGAGCCCCTCATAGGGGTAGGGGTAGGGACTGCACCTCCTCCAGGCACTTGTCGTAGGCCTCCTGGTACTCCTTGTGGGGCTTGACCATTATCACACAGGTGGGGCACTTGGAGCCTGCGGCTGCACCCAGGTTCATCTTAGAGGGATAGAGACATAGGCCAGATTTCGGTCCTCACACATGACTGGAAGATGGCAGTATACCTCAATGGGCAGTGTGTCTTCTGCCAAAACCATGATCCCTTTTTCTCCTTTGTTGACAAATTTCTGAACCTCTTTCACCCCGCGCCGAAGCTGCTTCTGCTTCATGGCTTTCTTGATGCATTTGTAGAGGTTCCGCGTGAGGCGGCGAGAAGCCAGGGGCTGCACGATGGGGTTCTGGTTAACCAGCAGCTCCTGGTAGGTGCGCTCCCCGGAGCACGCCTCCTCCTGAGCCTCGGGCCCATCGAATCTACCTTTATTTTGGTCATCGCAGCAGCCGCGGAAACCTAGTCCCAAGGAGGCCGAAGAACTTTAACATTTCTATAAAGAAATTATTTTCTCTATAATGGTAAATTCTAACTTTGGCCCATGGAAATTATATGTTTTCTACATGTCATACTATGCCTTTCATTGAAAATTTGTCAAAATGTTGTTCTGATATTTAGCAAAGTTTTATTTATTTATTTATTTTGAGATGGAGTTTCGCTCTTGTTGCCCAGGCTGGATGGAGTGCGATGGCGCCATCTCAGCTTACTGCAACCTCTGCCTCGCAGGGTGAAGCGATTTTCCTGCCTCAGCCTCCCGAGTAGCTGGGATTACAGGCATGCGCCACCAAGGCCGGCTAATTTTTTGTATTTGGTAGAGTCAGGGTTTCACCATGTTGGCCAGGCTGGTCTCGAACTCCTGATCTCAGGTGATCCACCCGCCTCAGCTTCCCAAACTGCTGGGATTACAGGCGTGAGCCACCACGCCCGGCCCAAAGTGTTTTAATATAATAACAATCTAACTTAAATTCCATAGTCAGTAATCTCAGTTACAATCTAAGAACACATTTTTATCAAATAAAAATTTCATGTATTAGACCAGGCACGGTGGTTCATGCCTGTAATCCAAGCACTTTGAGAGGCTGAGGCAGGTGGATCACCTGAGGACTTGAGTTCGAAACCAGCCTGGCTAACAGGGTGAAACCCTGTCTCTACTAAAAATACAAAAAAATTAGCCGGGTATGGTGGCGGGCGCTTGTAGTCCCAGCTACTCAGGAGGCTGACTCAGGAGAATGGCTTGAACCCGGGAGGCAGAGGTTGGAATGAGCCGAGATTGCACCACTGCACTTCAGCTTGTGTGACAAAGTGAGACTCTGTCTCAAAAAAAAAAAACCCAAAAAACAAAAGAAACAAAAAAAAAAAAAAAGAAAAAAAATTCATGTGTTAGACTACAGAAGTACATTATCTGAACTGGGTCTTTATGAGTTTACATTCATTTCTCATTTTCACTGAAAGGTCTTAATATAAATATAGTCTATAGATATTTTCCGAATTCAGCAATTGTTGTTATTCCTTTTGAAAGAGAAACAGAGGTTAAGTGCCTTGCTAGGGTCATAGAGCTAAGAGGAAGTTACCAAGATTGCTGATTCAATCCTTAGTCATTAGACCAACTGTTAGTATATAATGATATATAACAATTGTTAACCTTTTGCAGCCTTTGAAAAACACACATGTGCATAGGAAAGGGAGCATGTTCTAAAATCAATACAAAGCTAAACCAAGATTTGATTAAGGAAGAGCTCATTAAAAAGGAAGCATTGATAACTACAGTATTTTTCATTGTTATCCCAGTGTGCTTACAAAGTATTACCTTATGATAAATACATATCATAATTTTCTTTTCCTTTTCAAAATGCAAAATGGATTTTTTTTCCTTTTATTTTAAGTTCAGGGGTACATGTGCAGGTTTGTTATATAGGTAAATGTGTGTCATGTGGGTTTGTTGTGCAGATTATTTCATCACCCAGGTGATTAAGCCTATTACCCTAAGTTATTTTTCCTGATCCTCTCCCTCCTCCCACCCTCTACCCTCTGATAGGCCCCAGTGTGTGTTGTTCCCCACAATGTGTCCATGTGTTTTCATCATTTAGCTCCAACTTATAAGCGAGAACATGCAGTATTTGGTTTTCTGTTCCTGTGTTAGTTTGCTAAGGATAATGGCCTCCAGCTTCATCCATGTCCCTGCAAAGGACATGATCTTTTTTTTATGGCTGCATAGTATTCCATGGTGTATATATACCACATTTTCTTTATCCAGTCTATCACTGATGAGCATTTAGGTTGATTCCATGTCTTTGCTATTGTGAATAGTGTTGCAATAAACATACACACACATGTGTCTTTGTAATAGAATGACTTGTATTACTTTGGGTATATTCCCAGTAATGGGATTGCTGGGTCAAATGGTATTTCTGTCTTTTTTTTTTTAAATGTTTCTTTTTATTTATTTATTTATTTATTTATTTATTTATTTATTTTTATTGATTATTCTTGGGTGTTTCTCGCAGAGGGGGATTTGGCAGGGTCATAGGACAATAGTGGAGGGAAGGTCAGCAGATAAACAAGTGAACAAAGGTCTCTGGTTTTCCTAGGCAGAGGACCCTGCGGCCTTCCGCCGTGTTTGTGTCCCTGGGTACTTGAGATTAGGGAGTGGTGATGACTCTTAATGAGCATGCTGCCTTCAAGCATCTGTTTAACAAAGCACATCTTGCACCGCCCTTAATCCATTTAACCCTGAGTGGACACAGCACATGATTCAGAGAGCACAGGGTTGGGGGTAAGGTCACAGATCAACAGGATAAGAATTTTTCTTAGTACAGAACAAAATGAAAAGTCTCCCATGTCTACCTCTTTCTACACAGACACAGCAACCATCCGATTCCTCAATCTTTTCCCCACCTTTCCCCCTTTCTATTCCACAAAACCGCCATTGTCATCATGGCCCGTTCTCAATGAGCTGTTGGGTACACCTCCCAGACGGGGTGGTGGCCGGGCAGAGGGGCTCCTCACTTCCCAGTAGGGGCGGCTGGGCAGAGGCGCCCCTCACCTCCCGGATGGGGCGGCTGGCCGGGCAGGGGGCTGACCCCCCCACCTCCCTCCCGGACGGGCGGCTGGCCGGGCAGAGGGGCTCCTCACTTCCCAGTAGGGGCGGCCGGGCAGAGGCACCCCTCACCTCCCGGACGGGGCAGCTGGCCGGGCGGCGGGCTGACCCCCCCCACCTCCCTCCCGGACGGAGCGGCTGGCCGGGCAGGGGGCTGATCCCCCCACCTCCCTCCCGGACGGGGTGGCTGGCCGGGTGGGGGGCTGACCCCCCCACCTCCCTCCCGGACGGGGCGGCTGGCCAGGCAGAGGGGTTCCTCACTTCCCAGTAGGGGCGGCCGGGCAGAGGCGCCCCTCGCCTCCCAGAAGGGGCAGCTGGCCGGGCGGGGGGGCTGACCCCCCCACCTCCCTCCCAGACGGGGTGGCTGGCCGGGCAGGGGGCTGACCCCCCCACCTCCCTCCCTGACGGGGCGGCTGGCCGGGCAGAGGGGCTCCTCACTTCCCAGTAGAGGCGGCAGGGCAGAGGCGCCCCTCACCTCCCGGATGGGGCGGCTGGCCGGGCGGGGGGCTGACCCCCCCACCTCCCTCCTGGACGGGGCGGCTGGTCTGGCGGGGGCTGACCCCCACCTCCCTCCCGGACGGGGTGGCTGCTGGGCGGAGACGCTCCTCACTTCCCAGACGGGGTGACTGCCGGGCGGAGGGGCTCCTCACTTCTCAGATGGGCGGTTGCCAGGCGGAGGGTCTCCTCACTTCTCAGACGGGGCGGCCGGGCAGAGACGCTCCTCACCTCCCAGACGGGGTCGCGGCCGGGTAGAGGCGCTCCTCACATCCCAGGCGGGGCGGCGGGGCAGAGGCTCTCCCCACATCTCAGACGATGGGCGGCCGGGCAGAGACGCTCCTCACTTCCTAGATGGGATGGCGACCGGGAAGAGGCGCTCGTCACTTCCTAGATGGGATGGCGGCCGGGCAGAGACGCTCCTCACTTTCCAGACTGGGCAGCCAGGCAGAGGGGCTCCTCACGTCCCAGGTGATGGGCGGCCAGGCAGAGACGCTCCTCCCTTCCCAGACGGGGTGGCGGCCGGGCAGAGGCTGCAATCTCGGCACTTTGGGAGGCCAAGGCAGGCGGCTGGGAGGTGGAGGTTGTAGCGAGCCGAGATCACGCCACTGCACTCCAGCCTGGGCACCATTGAGCATTGAGTGAACCAGACTCCGTCTGCAATCCCGGCACCCCGGGAGGCCGAGGCTGGCGGATCACTCGCGGCTAGGAGCTGGAGACCAGCCCGGCCAACACAGCGAAACCCCGTCTCCACCAAAAAAATACGAAAACCAGTGAGGCGTGGCGTCGCGTGCCTGCAATTGCAGGCACTGGGCAGGCTGAGGCAGGAGAATCAGGCAGGGAGGTTGCAGTGAGCCGAGATGGCAGCAGTACAGTCCAGCTTCGGCTCGGCATCGGGAGAGGGAGAGGGAGAGGGAGAGGGAGAGGGAGAGGGTTTTCTATGTTTCTTACAGCGGTATTTCTGTCTTTAAGTCTTTGAGGAACACTGTCTTCCACAATAGTTGAACTAATTTACACTCCCACTAACAGTGTGTAAACATTTCTTTTTCTCCACAACCTCACCAGCATCAGTTATTTTTTGACTTTTTAATAATAGCCACTGACTGGTATGAGGGGTATCTCATTGTGGTTTTGATTTGCATTTCTCTAATGATCAGTGATGTTGAGCTTTTTTCATATGATTGTTGGCCACATGTATGTCTTCTTTTGAAAAGTGTCTGTTGATGTCCTTTGCCCACTTTTTTATGGGTTTTTTTTCTTGTAAATTTGTTTAAGTTCCTTGTAGATGCTAGATATTAGACCTTTCTCAGATGCATAGTTTGCAAAAATTTTCTCCCATTCTGTAAGTTGTCTGTTTACTCTGTTGATAGTTTCTTTTGCTGTGCATAAGCTCTTTATTTTAATTAGATCTCACAACATGGATATTTTTTAAAAAAGAAAACAACTCCAAAATTACATTACTCTAACTTAACTATTCACTTGTTTATGAAATATATTGCTGTTTGTGGATTGCTTTTTAGACTTTGCTCACACCCATGATTTTTTCTTTACACAATTGCAATTATAATGTACATACAACTTTTTCTATGGAATTTTGTTATTTTATTTTACATTGAGATTTAAGTAATTTCCTAAGGACCCATATGAATTGAAAATTTGCAAACTCATAAACAAAGTCTAGGCATTCTCATAATCTATCACATACTGAGACCATTTTGCAACACAGACACTTTGTTAAACTTTGTTGTTTTCATACAGAGAACCTGCTGGAATAATGAAATTAATTCATTAGATATAGTTGTGAAAGGAGAACAGCAATACAAAAATTCTCAGTGACATTTCAGAATAGAGTCAAGTATGAACAGGCCACTTGGTGCAGAACTGGCAGAATGGGAAGGAATAAGACTGTAATTGACCTGAGGTCTTTGAAATGATCATTATCATGAGAGACTCTGGGTAAATTAAGAGAGAAAGTCCATGCTCATGGGCACTCCATGGTAGGTATATGGGGTGGAAGATATTCCAGTAAAATGTCGTGTATCTCGAAAGTCCCATGTGGCGATAATGGTCCTCAACAGGCATGCAAAACATAGGTACAGAGAACCCAGAAGCTTGTGATATTTGAAAACCAGCATGGTCAGGTTGGCAAACCCTTGGTTCAGGACTTATGATCTGCTGCAGGATTCTCTTCCCTGCGAGGGGCCTGACAAGTGTATGGGAGGGTCCCAATCCCCAAGGACTGAAGTACCAATTTAAGTTCAGGGAATGAGACCATCAAGGATTTACTTACTGTAATTGGAAATTTGGATGGACACTGATGATCTATGGAATAAGACCAAAGTGCTCTAGATAGAACTGGGCTATTTGAGCCAGGGATAAATTGAGCTTGGTTCCATAGTATTGAGTGAAAACTCATTAAATCACTATTGTCTAAGGTCAGAATTGATGGTAGACACAGGGGTCAGAGTTGAGCTCAAGGGTGGGGAAGTAGGGGAAGAGAATGAGGACGGGTGTGGAATGCTGTCAAAATCAAATAGCTTGAACTGTGCGGAGGGGTGAGAAGAATGGGGAACCTGCCAGGAGTAAATTGTCTGGATGTGGCTGAAATATCCTGGTAATTTTTAATATTCTGTAAAGTTTTAATATTCTTTACAACTCAAAATGGAAGTCAGAAAATTTCTTAGTTTCAGGGATACTTAGGGTAAAAATTACCTGAGATCTTTCAGTAAAGAAGGACAAGTATTCAGGCAAAATAGTGTAATTACTGTACCAGTTATGCAAAGCTTCAGTTGCCATTTTTAAGTGGTTTGTCTTAAGTGGTTAAGACACAATCAAACCAGCTTTTATTTTTCCTGGAATAGTCTCTTTTCTTCTAAATAAGTGCTTGAAGTCTTCTTCATTTAGAATAATGCATATTATTCTATGCATATAATAATGCATATTATTAAAATGATATGCATGATTTGCTTTTCCCCCTTTTGACTTTTACTCTCTTGTGCTATTTGATTGACCCAACCCTAACTGTAGATATCAGCAGTACTCTGACCAGGCAGGTAATTTTTTAAAGAATTATAACTGTGGTAACTATATAATTTCTTGTCCAAACTGGTACACTTGCGAGAGTGGAAAGGGGTGCTATTAATAATTAAGCTGAGACAACTAGTATTGGTCAAGACTGTCACAAGCAAACTAGGATATATGGTCACCCTAGTATTGGGACATAACTCTCCTTGGTTCTCAAATATTTATGCATGTCTTGTGAGCAGAGGCACTGCTAGCCTCTTATTCTGGACTTTTTTTCATGAATTTTGGTATAGCAAACAGCCTTGGAAGAGAGAATGTCTTTCTCTGGAGCAAAGGGAAAAGACTGAGGTTTTCTAAGCTCAGGGTTACTCTTCTGTAATACAACCCAGTGTGTGTGCACATGTCTCGTAGCCCTTGTGTCACCCTGTGGGAACTGGGGCTTGGGCTACTGCCACAAGAAAATGAAGATGCTCTGGCTACTGCCATTGCTATTAGTAATAAACTGTCACTTGTCTTTGATCCAGGAGTCTTGTGTCTTCTGTCAGCACCCATGAAACTAGCAGACTAGTTTGCAGACTGGTAAGGTAAAGTCTCAGACCTTCACAGTTCTTGCTACCTGGTATAATTATAAATCACTGTGTAAGTGTAAGGTATTACTACTACTACTATTGTTTTTCTTATTAATTCAGTAGAAATTTTATTCTGTGCATTTAAGAATTTATCTTCCAAAAAATATTTGAAGACTTTAACAGCAGAAAAAAAAAAAACACAGGCATTATTGGATCTGGTCTCACAGATGTCAGATAGGCTCTTTCAACTAATAAGATTAAACATGTAACTATTATGATTAACAATTAAATTATAATAAAATAAATTATAACTTTATCTTAATGCAATGTATACTTTATTTGCTTAGTTCTATTATAGATTGATTTCTTAAAACTATGTAGCATATTTTGAATTCAAAATGTGTGTGACTAAATTTTTTCTTCTAGCATAATGATCTGTAATTTCAAGAAACATGTAATACGATGTAACAAAAAGCATGTAATAAAACATGTCAGATTTTGAATTTCCCTTTCTTCTGCCTTACCTTAGCCTACATGCTTTTTTTCCTCTTGAACTTTCTTTAACCTTTTGTAAATATTCCAAGAGAGAGGCAGCCTTACAAGCCACAGCATTTTAAGGTGGCAGATAATTGCAAAGAGATATACAATGCACACTAATGATAACGTTTAGTACTTAGGCAGTGCTTTAAGACCATTAACCAATTAATTCACATAGCACCCCATATGAAGCAGTAAGTAGTATTATTTCCACTTATATAGAAAATGTGTATATAGAAGCTGGCTTACTTTCCTGAGACATTAGAGCCAGTGAAATCTTGAAAACAAATTAAAATTCTCCTGTGTTCAAACTACTGAAATAGGCTCTGTTCATAATAGAAGTTTATTTGAGAGTCCTTGGAGAAAAGCTTTATTTTTAAGACTATATGTCTTGTATCCATTCATTTTCTTTATTTTGCAAAGCATTTTATTGAAATTCCCTTGTCCAAAAAAAAGAAATCCTTTATTAGCCAAATGTTTTGAATTAAATGACTTTTTATAGCAATCACAAGACATTATCCTCATAAGAACTCTGTGACAAACTTTACAGTTATAATAAAATGATACAGGGTTTCTATATTAGTTTGTATTACTTTAAGGATCAGCAGTTAATGTTATTATTTTACTCTTTTTTTTTCATTTTTTACCTGTTTATTTTACATGTGAGGTTGCTGGATGTTAATTTAAGCTGTGTTAACTTATAATTTTTTTTCACATTTTAATAATTTAACTTTATTTTTTATTGTGGCAAAATATGCATAACATTAAATTTACCATTTAACTATTTAAAATGTACAATTTAGTGTCATACACATTGTTTTGTAACCATTATCTCCAGAACTTTTTATTTTACCCTTATAACCAAATCTCACATACTGAAATATTGGAATTTTTCATATCAAAAGGATGCACAGTTCATTTATTACCTGTTTAATTTCTAAATTATCTGTATTAGAATGGTGATGAATTGTGTTAAACTATTTCTTTCTGCCTCTGCTTGTCTGATTCTCCTTGCAGTCATAGGAGAGATGGCTTGTTGGATGGAACAAGGTATGAAATTGTGACTAGAATAAGGCCAAAAGATCCTTTTGGGAATTGAGTCCTTGACCTCACTTCCTTGCACTAATAAACTGAGCTAATTAGCCACAGTGCCTGTTGCAGTATGGTACAACTTGGCAGTTGCTTTTCAATAAGTCAACTGTGTTGTGGTATCACTGGTTTAACAAACACTTCTTAAGCACTTACAATGTGCAGGCAATGGGCTAGATACTCAGTGTACAAAGGTAAAAGAAATACATTTCTTGGTCCGGCACGGTGGCTTACGCCTGTAATCGCAGCACTTTGGGAGGCTGAGGCAGGCGGATCACCTGAAGTCAGGAGTTCGAGACCAGCCTGACCAACATGGAGAAACCCTGCCTCTACTAAAAATACAAAACTAGCTGGGCGTGGTGGTGCATGCCTGTAATCCCAGCTACTTGGGAGGCTGAGGTAGGAGAATCGCTTGAATCCGGGAGGCAGACGTTACAGTGAGCCGAGATCACACCATTGCATTCCAGCCTGGACCAAAAGAGCAAAACTCCATCTCAATTAAAAAAGGGACATTTCCCGTCCTTGAAAGGACTAATGATCACCTATATGTAGCAAGTAAAATTCTGCATTTGTAAATCAAAATATATGCTTTCATATACTAACCACACTTTAGAAAGGTTTCAGTGAATATCCATAGACAAAATAGTCAAACCATTCTGTACAGATGAACTACCTTCTCAGCTCATCACTGTTTCTCTTATTGGTAAAACATAACATGTATGTGCCAAAGAAATGGTGCATTTTGGCATAATGGGAACTGGTATATTACAGTACATTTTGTTTCTTCTCAAAATAGCATCACTAGCAGCTCTTATCCTTGACCTGATTTGGGCACTTGATAAGGCATTTGGGTCAGTTAGATGTGAGTGAACAAATTCAATACAAAGACATAGTCATAAAATTAACTTGGGAAAGAGCAATGACATAGTCAAATAAGGCAGTTTTTTTATTCAAGTTCTCTAAAAGGAAGATTTGGGTTTGGAAAAAATTTAAAAGTTAGATTTTTTTCTCCTTGGTAAAGACTATTTGCTATGTAAATTAAATCAATATAGATATTACTAGAAAGAGAATGGGAATTGCAAACTCCGGTAAGAGATGTGTTTTAAAAAGTGCATGAAAATTACCAGAAAATGAAAAACAAGTATTTTAATTTTATATTTAAGGTAACACAAAATCATTCACATTTAGAAACATGACTTTATGGAATGAGATTTTCTGACAAGTAGTAGACATTTTCTTTTCTTCCTCTTCTTTTTTTTTTTTGACAGGGTCTTGCTCTGTTACCCAGGCTGGAGTGCAGTGGCACGATCTCAGCTCACTGCAGCCTCTACCTTTTGGGCTCAAACAGTCCTTCCACCTCAGCCTCTTCAGTAACTGAGACTACAGTCACCTGCCACTATGCTTTGCTACTTTTTAAATTGTTTCTTGTAGAGATGAAGTCTCACTATATTGCCCAGGCTGGTCTCAAACTCCTGGGCTCAAGCGATCCACCTGTCTTGGCGTCCCAAAGTGCTGGGATTACAGGGGTGAGTCACCATGCCCCACCCCTCTTCTTTTTGTAAAAAAAATTTCCCCCAGTATGGAAACGTTAAGTACCATTAAGTACATTTGAAAAACTTGTGAACCTTGACATTTGATGATGATCTAGAAAAATGCTTAGGCTTGTTGAACACATGGGCAAATATGATTCTTTCAAACAGAGCAAGTTTACTTAAGAAGGTTAATGTTCAGAAGTGAGTGAAAGAAAAGGTAGCTTTGGATTCTGAAATACTCTTAAAGATAACATTAGCATTTATGACACACCTATAGAGACAGAAGACAGGTTCTTACAGTGAGTGAGAATATATTTGAGTAATAAAAAGGAAAGGAGTGACATTTTTACTCACTGGTTAAAATTATTGAAATTATTTTTAAGTTAGGACCAAAGAAATCTGGTTTAAATTAAATTACATTAAATTATTTATTTTTGATACAGAGTCTCACTCTATCGCCCAGGCTGGAGTGCAGAGGCACCATCTCTGCTCACTGCAACCTCTGCCTCCTGGGTTCAAGTGATTCTCGTGCCTCAGCTTCCCAAGTAACTGGGATTACAGGCGTGCACCACCACACCCAGCTAATTTTTGTATTTTAGTAGAGACGGGGTTTCACCATGTTGGCCAGGCTGGTCTCAAACTCCTGACCTCAAGTGATCCACCCACCTCAGCCTCCCAAAGTGCTGGGATTACAGGTGTGAGCCACCGTGCCTGGCCTAAATTTTATTTTTGTTGTCTAACAAGTACTGCCTGAAGTACAACATAGTCTGATTTAGTTAGTTTATTTTTATTTAAGAAAATGAGCTATCCTAGAGCCTATATAATAGTGAAGTGATGCAATCCAAAGATACAATATTCATAGCTCTTAAATTCATGTATTTATATAGCTTTTTAATTACTGTTGAAAGTTTATCTTTCTTTTTATTATTTGTTTATTTATTTTGTCTTTTTTTGAGGTGGAGTCTCACTCTGTCGCCCAGGCTGGAGTGCAGTGGCACAATCTCAGCTCACTGCAGCCTCCATCTCCCGAGTTCAAGATATTCTCCTGCCTCAGCCTCCTGAGTAGCTGGGAATACAGGTGCGCTGCCACACCTGGCTAATTTTTGTATTTTTAGTAGAGATGGGGTTTTACCATGTTGGCCAGTCTGGTCTCGAACTCCTGACCTCAGATGATCCATCTGCCTCGGCCTCCCAAACTGTTGGGATTACAGGCGTGAGCCACCATGCCCAACCTTATTATTATTATTATTATTATTATTATTATTATTATTATTATTATTTTGAGATGGAGTTTCACTCTTGTTGTCCAAGCAGGAGTGCAATGGCGCGATCTTGGTTCACTGCGACCTCTGCCTCCCTCCCGGGTTCAAGTGATTCTCCTGCCTCAGCCTCCCTAGTAGCTGGGATTACAGGTGCCTGCCATCATGCCTGGCTAATTTTTTTGTATTTTTTTTAGTAGAAATGGGGTTTCACCATGTAAGCCAGGCTGGTCTCGAATCCACCTGCCTCGGCCTCCCAAAGGGCTGGGATTACAGGTATGTGTCACCGCACCCAGCCCTATTTTTTTTTTTTTTCTTGAGATTGAGTCTAGCTCTGTCACCCAGGCTGGAGTGCAGTGGCGTGATTTGGCTCACTGCAACCTCCGCCTCCCGGATTCAAGTAATTCTCCTGCCTCAGCCTCCCAAGTAGCTGGGATTACAGGTGCCCGCCACCATGCCCAGCTAATTTTTGTATTTTTAGTAGAGACGGGTTTTCACTGTGTTGGCCAGGCTGGTCTGGAACTCCTGACCTCATGATCCGCCCTCCTTGCCCTCTCAAAGTGCTGGGATTACAAGCGTGAGTCACCATGCCTGCCCCCTGGTCCTATTTTAAATTTTTTTAAGAGACAAGGTCTCACTCTGTCACCCAGGCCTCAGTGCAGTGGCATAATCATAGCTTGCTGCAGTCTCAAACTCCTGGGTTCAGGCAATCCTCTTGACTCAAGCCTCCGGAGTAGCTGGGACTATAGGCACACACCACCATACCCAGCTAATTAAAAAAAAATTTTGTAGAGACAGGGTCTTGCTGTGTTGCCCAGGCTAGTCTTGAACACCTGACCTCAAGCAATCCTCCTGCCTTGGCCTCCCAAAGTGTTGGGATTACAGGTGTGAGCCACTATGCCTGGAGTCTTTTTATTTTCAAGGTAATGTGTACTTAACAACATTTGGAAAACATAAAATAATATAGAAAAGAAACTACTCATTCTCTTACCTTGGAATAACTTTTATTAGCATTTTAGTGTACTTGCAATCATTTTTTTTTTGGTGAATTGATGTTTCTTTTTTATATATTGTCAAGATAGATGTACAATTTCGATGCTACATTTTTTCTTTTAACACTTCATCTTAAACATTCCTCATTTCTGTAATTATATCATCTCTTAAAATAATGTTTATAATTTAAAAATTATTGTATAATGTTTCATCAAGTCAATATGCAGTAATTTACTTAGCCATTCCCCTTTGTTGGATGTTTAAATTATTTCACATTCATTATTATTAGATGTAATATCTGAACATTGTTGTGCTTAAAATTTTTCCATGTTTACATTTTTTTCCTTAGGATTAAAAACTGGAAGTATAATTAGTGAATAAGAAAAAATAAGACCAGGTGCAGTGTGGCTCATGCCTTTAATCCCAGCACTTTGGGAGGCCTAGGCAGGAGGATCACTTGAGCCCAGGAGTTCAAGACCAGCCTGGGAAACATAGTGAGACCCCATCTCTACAAAAAAATTAAAAAAAAGCCAGGCATGATGGTGCATGCTTATACGCCTAGCTACTCAGGAGGCTGAGGTGGGAGGATTGCTTGAACCCGGGAGTTTGAAGCTGCAGTGAGCTATTATCATACCACTGTACTCCAGCCTGGGTGATAGAGTGAGACCCTGTCTTTTTTTTTTTTTTTTTTTTTGAGACAGAGTCTTGCTCTGTTGCCAGCCTGGAGTGCAGTGGCACGATCTCAGTTCACTGCAACCTCGGCCTCCTGGGTTCAAGCAGTTCTCCTGTCTCAGCCTCCTGAGTAGCTGGGATTACAGGCATGCACCACCACGCCTGGGTGATTTTTGTATTTTTAGTAGAGACAGGGTTTTGCCATGTTGGTCAGGCTGGTCTCAAACTCCTGACCTCAGGAGATCCACCTGCCTCGGCCTCCCAAAGTGCTAGGATTATAGGCGTGAGCCACTGTGTCCGGCTGACCATGTCTCTTAGAAAAAAAGAAAAAAGAAAAAGATTTAAGGCTTTTGATAAACATTGCCAAATTGCTTGCCAAAGAATGTGCTATGGTCTGAATGTTTTTGTTCCCTCACCAAATTCGTATGTTGAAACCTAATCTCCAATGCAATAATATTAAATAGTGGGGCTTTGGGGAGGTGATTAGGTCATGAGGACTCTGCCCTCATGAATAGGATTGGTGCTTTTATAAAAGAGGCTTGAGGGAGCCTTTTTGCTCTTCCACTATGTGAGGACTTAGCAAGAAGACACATCTGTGAAGCAAAAAGCCATCACCAGACACTGAATCTGTCGGCATTTTGATCTTGGACTTCCCAGCTTCTAGAACTATGAGAAATAAATTTCTTTGTATATTACCCAGTCTAAGGTATTTTTAAAAATAATAGACTGAATGGACTAAGACAAATGTGCAGTAGTTTTCAAAAACGCTTTTACATATGTTATCTGATTTGATGGCATAACAAACTCTACTTAGGCAGGGCAGATATTATTAGGCTCACTTGCTAGATGAGGAAATTGAGGTACATAAAGTATGAATGTATTAAGCAGGCTTATTCACCTGACGCTTAACAGAATTTGAACTAGGCATTGTGTGAAATGCAAAATGAATAAACTCAAAGTCGAGTTGACGAGATAGATATAGACACCAGTAAGTATAAAACAAGATGGCCTAAGAGAAGGTACAGAAGAGGTAAGAAGGACAATGAATTAGTGCCCAGATTTCTCTGGGTGCTGAGATCTCTTTCAGCCAGGGCCATGTGAAAACACTCTGGGGTGGCAGATGAGGGTAAGGAGGCATATGGAAGAGGGGGTGCTTCTGAGTTGGGCTGTACAAAACTGAAAAGGATTTCCATAAGGCCTGGTATAGAGATAAGGGAGCAGTGGAGGGGTATAGCAGGTTATTGCAGATAGTGCAAGCAAATGGATGTGGGGAGAATAAAAGAGGATATATATATTTTTTTATTTTTATTTTATTTTTATTTTTGAGACGGAGTCTTGCTCTGTCGCCTAGGCTAGAGTGCAGTGGTGCCATCTCGGATCACTGCAACCTCTGCCTCCCATGTTCAAGAGATTCTCCTGCCTCAGCTTCCCGAGTAGCTAAGATTACAGGCGCCTGACACCACATCTGGCTAATTTTTGTATTTTTAGTAGAGATGGGGTTTCATCATCTTGGCCAGGCTGGTCTTGAACTCCTGACCTTGTGATCCACCTCCCTCGGCCTCCCAAAATGCTGGGATTACAGGCGTGAGCCACCAAACCCGGCCAAAGAGGTAATATTTTAAAAATAATTTTTAGTTAAACAAACAACCACTTTTGTGTTTTAGAAATACACTTATTTTTGGCTGGGCGCGGTGGCTCACCCATGTAATCCCAGCACTTTGGGAGGCCGAGACGGGTGGATCATGAGGTCAGGAGTTCAAGACCAGCCTGGCCAAAATGGTGAAACCCCGACTCTACTAAAAATACAAAAATTAGCTGGGTGTGCTGGCAGGTGCCTGTAATCCCAGCTACTCTGGAGGCTGAGGCAGAGACTTGCTTGAACCCGGGAGGCGGAGGTTGCAGTAAGCCAAAATCATGCCATTGCACTCCAGCCTGGGCGAGAGAGTGAGATTCCGTCTCCAGAAAAAAAAAAGAAAAAAAGAAATACACTTATTTTCTTGGACTGTGGTAGAAGGATTTTGCTAAAAATATTGTTTCATCCTATCCTGTTACTGGCTTTCAGTAAATCACAAAGTGTTCACTTGTAATACTTTTCTTTAAAAATAAACATCCCAGGATTGTTTTCATCCTTTTTATTAATTAACCCCTAAGCATGGTGCTAAAATACTGGGCTTGTTTTTTTTGTACTGCATGACCAAACTCCTATATTTTGAACCACTTAAACACTTCTCATGAGAGCCAGACATCCCTAGTAGTGTGTGCTCACAATAGCTAATGGCTTAACAAGCACTGTCAGGCAGCCTCACATTTCAGCTGCTCGTTTTGCTGAAGGCAGATAATTTATGCTACATCCCACAGCACAGACCAAGTACATAAAACCAGAGAGGAATGTTAATGGAAAAAATTACAAATTCTTAAAGTGACAGGGCTTTTATAGTTAACTCTTTTAATCAGTTTGCAGTGTTATCAGGTTATGTGAAAGTTTGAATGAAATATGGAAAATGATAAATGAAAGAAGTTTGTAAAAGGCAACAAATACAGTATATTTGATTTAAAACATAGGGCAGTGTTTGGCACATAGTAGGCATTCAGAAATGTTTTTTGAATGAATAAGTGAGTGGGTGTATTTTTAATTTCTGATGTACTTAATATACATTTTATTTTGTTACTACTAAATTTTACTGAACTGGCAAACTTTTTAAATATGTGGAATGAATTGTAAGACTGATAAATCTTTAAGCAAATGTAGTTTAATTTTTGCTAGAATTTTTTGAGACATTTGCCTTATTTTATGGCTATGACTTAATTATAAATATGGGCAGAATATTAATCATAGCTGTCAGACAATTCAGATTTTTCAATTACCTCAGATAAATTTTCTGCTTAGTTTAGTTAGAGCACAATAGTAAGAGCAAGATTGTAGGGTGGACCAATCTAAAAGTGTTATGATACCCTGGGTAAATTAGTTCTTCCTAGGAAAGACTGACACATTTTCTTCAAATAGAAAAGTTACTTCTGGTAAGAGCAAGAACTGATTCTCAAAAAACACTATATTTTACTTTCTCTGTTCAGAGAGTTAGGCTTTCAATTTGGTTAACAAATAGCCCTCTGATTTTTTTTTTGTAATAAAGGAAACAGTACCTACTAATTATTAAGTACTTTTCATTGGTAGTGACTGTACTAAGGCCTGTACTGAGACAGGCATTGCCTCATTTATTTTTATCCTTACTCCAACATTATGAGGTATATACTATTATCATCCTCATTTTACAAATGTGGAACAGAGGCATAAAGCCAAGGGCACAGAGCTATTAATAGATGGAGCTGGAATCCAAATAGAGCTCTGATTCTAGTATTTAGTGACTGAGTATTTAGTCATTGTCTTTCTACGTGTATGTTTAACTTATCTAAAATAGTTCATAAGGTTTCATTTGAAACTTATCTCACTTGCCAGTGAATGTGCTACTGTTTGATGCTACAGAAACATTTTCACTTTCTTTCACTTTTAACTTCCTGTTCTCTAGGCCTTAGGAACTAGGTAACCTAATAAACTTGCCTTTTGAAACAATACTGAAATAGCCAGCATTTATTGGCTGCTCACTTTGTACCAGGCACTTCCTAATTGTTTTACAAGCATCTTATTCATTACAACATTCTTCTACTATTCGCCCCTATTTTACAGATCAAAAAATGAAGCTTAGTCAGGTTAAGCAACTTTGCTACCAAAGTTAGGAAATGTTGCTACTAAAGTTAAGCAATTTAGCAAAATTAAGCAACCCTAAATCACATAGGTTAAGTAAGTAAGTAGTGGATTTGGGATTTGAACTCAGGTTGTTTGACTGACAGTTGGCTTACTTAACCACCCTGTTCTACTGCCCTTTTTTTTTTTTTTTTTGAGATGGAGTCTCACTCTGTCGCCTGGGCTGGAGTGCAGTGGCGCGACCTCAGCTCACTGCAACCTCCACCTTCTGGGTTCAAGCGATTCTCCTGCCTCAGCTGCCGAGTAGATGGGATTACAGGCGCCCACCACCATACCCAGCTAATTTTTGTGTATTTTTAGTAGAGGCGGGGTTTCACCATGTTGGCTAGGCTGGTTTTGAACTCCTGACCTCAGGTGATCCGCCCTCCTTGGCCTCCCAAAGTGCTAGGGTTACAGGCGTGAGCCACTGCGCCCGGCCTTCTACTGCCTTCTTAAATTAAGTAGTGGGCCTGTCTCTGAGCAGATTCAGACACCACTTCCCCTCCCTTGTAAAGCACGCCTCTCACTGACATTCCCAGTCCACCAAGTGAGAAGCCTGCAAAACTCAGACTCCCATAGAACATTGCTCTGAGACCTATCAGGCCTGCACATGTTGGAATGTTCCGTATAGATTTTGTGATTCCTCATGGTTAGAACATTGACAGCCTTCAAGATTCCCCTAAGGGAGGACAAACTTTTTTCTGACATGTGAGCCACTCTCTGGTTACAGATGGAGGGCGTGGACTGCATCTGTCTTGGGGCTGCTTCTCTCTCTCACTTACCAGCTGAAATGCCCCAAACACTTGCCTGCTTATTTTTGTTCTTGCACTGTTTCCCACAGTTTTTTTTTTTCCTTACGGCGAAGCACAGATCTTTCTGTTTCATGTGGCACCAGCTGTCTGGTTTGCTCCCTCTGTACCTGTTACCACCAGCTGGAGCAAATGGGAAAGAATACATTTGGTAGAATGGGGCTGACCCATGAGGCCTACCTCTGTTAGCTCAGTGGGTACCCTCCACAGGGGAAACAGTGTGAGTTTTTGTAATGTTGCTACTCTCCCTGGGAGGTCTTTTAAGGGCTGAGTACCTAAAGATGTTTTTCTATCAGACTTTTTTTCCCTCCGCCCCCCGCCTAGGTTCCATCTTGCATTCCACTGCTAAATCAGATTAACACCAAAAAAACTAATACCCGATGGGATGTTACAGTTTACAACAGATTTTATATTCATTCTCTCATTTAACCCTTACAACCACCTGGTGGTAAGTATAATACATATATTTAGGTATGAGAAAACTGGCTTAGCTGGTGGTTGAGGTGGCTCATGCTTGTAATCCCAGCATTTTGGGAGGCTGAGGCAGAGGGATCACTTGAGCCCAGGAGTTTGAAAACAGCCTGGGCAACATAGGAGATCCTATCTCTATAAAAGAAAAAGAATTTAACAAAAAAGAAGAGAAAACTGGCATAGAGTAGTTAAGTAATTTGCCCAAGATCATGCAGCCCAATATACTTTTGCCAGGGAATCCCTGTTCCTTTCTGCTATCTGATACTATAGCAGCTTTTTCTCTTTTTTTTCTTTTCTTTTCTTTTCTTTTCTCTTCTCTTCTCTTTTCTTTTCTTGTTTTTTGAGACGGAGTCTCACCCTGTCACCCAGGCTGGAGTGCAGTGGCACTATCTCGGCTCACTGCAACCTCCTCCTCCCTGGTTCTAGCAATTCTCCTGTCTCAGCCTCCTGAGTAGCTGGGATTACAGGCCTGTGCCACCACACCCGGCTAAATTTTGTATTTTTAGTAGAGACGGGGTTTTACTTGTATTAGTCAGGCTGTCTCAAACTCCTGACCTCATGATCTGCCTGCCTCGGCCTCCCAAAATGCTGGGATTACAGGCATGAGCCACTGTGCCCGGCCTATAGTGGCTTTTAGGTAGCATGATTATCAAGTTGAGTGAAGCTCTTGAGAGGTGTTTTATACCATGTAGACTCTTTGTAGCAGAGAGCATTTAGAATTTGGAGGTCAGCACAAGTGGCCAAGCTGTGGCAGGTGTTCAATAAATTGTTGTCGAACTGAGCTGGTCAGATATTGTCACCAATTTAGCCTCAGGCAACCCTTTTAATCTCATTTGCCTTGTATTCTTTTACTGCCCTAATGGTCTCAAAAGGTTGTTGTAAGGATCAAATGAGATAACCTATATCACTATATAGAGTGATATAGAAATGTAAGGAATTATCTTTATGCCAATGCTTTAAATTCTGAATTTTTCTGGCAAACACCACACTTTCTATTTCCTTTATGAATATTTTTCTTTGAGATGATCTTGTCTCAAAAATGCTGTGGGAGTATTTTAGTGACCGATTGTATCCCTCTTTAAAAAAGAAAAGTAGAAGGAAAATGGAGAAAAAAAAAGAACAAGGGTTAATGGGAAGTGGAAAGGGTAAGTTTTAGGCCTTGGAGGCTGCACTTTTAAAGAAAGACAAACAGCAAAACAGTTGAAGAGCAAGTAAAAGAGCAAACATTTACAGAGTTCTTACTGTGAGCCAGGCGCTGTTCTACATGTTTTGGTGTATTAACTTGATTAATCCTCACAGTGACTTTATGAGGTAGATACTCTTCTTATCGCCACTGTACAGGTGAAGAAACAAAGCACGATGTGGTTAAATAATGTGTACAGGCCATACAGCACCTAAGTGTTAAAGCTGGAACTGAGGCTAGTCAGCATTGCACCAGGGCTCCAGTGCTTGCCTCTTCACCATGCTGCCTTTGTAATCTGGGATGTGAGAGAAGCAGCACATGGGATATCTTTTAGAAAACTGAAGAAAATGCTTAAGGAGAGAGCATTTGATCCTGCTGTAATGTTATTTGTCTTCAAAATACTTTTTGCTCACTGTTAAAACACAGATGAATCAGCAAAGCCATAAGATTGGTAGCTAATGTTTTTGTCTTTTAGCCTGTCCTTCAACCAGAACCAGTCCTAGCTGCTTTTACTGGTGATTTTCTAAATTTTATTTTTCAGTTTCCTGATAATTTATTCTTTCCCCCAAACTATAGTGCCAATAGCCTGAGTAAGAATGAGACTTTCTTACTTAGTGTAGTTCTTCTTTCTTTTAGCCTCCTTGCACTGAATGAAGCTATTATCTCTTTCTTTTTAAATTGAATATTTTGAATAGGCAATATAGTTCAAAAATAAAAAGAATAAGAAGGCATGTCATGAAAATTCTCCTTTCCACTCCTTTCATCATGCTTAGTTCCTAAACACCCCAACCCCAATAATCAGTATTCTTAGTTTGTATTCTATCTTTTCAGAGTTTCTTTTTTTTTTTCAAGACTGAGTCTTGCTCTGTCGCTCAGGCTGGAGTGCAGTGGCGCGATCTCGGCTCACTGCAAGCTCCGCCTCTCGGGTTCAAGCGATTCTCCTGCCACAACCTCTCGAGTAGCTGGGACTATAGGCGCCCGCCACCACAACTGTCTAATTTTTTGTATTTTTAGTAGAGACGGGATTTCACCGTGTTAGCCAGGATGGTCTCGATCTGCTAACCTCGTGATCTGTCCGCCTCGGCCTCCCAAAGTGCTGGGATTACAGGCATGAGCCACTGCTCCTGGCAAGTTTCTTTATGAATATAGAAGCAATTATGATTTTTTTTAAAATACAAAAGGTAATACTATTCTGCATCTTACTTTTTTAACTTATTGTATCTTGGAAATCTTTCCATATTACTACTTAGAGAGCATTTTCATTTTTTCCTTTCTCATTTTTTACAAGGTATAGTAATTCGTTTCGTGGAGTATACTTTATTGGACCAGTCCTTTATTGATGGACATTGGAGTTTTTTAGTCTTTTTAAAGCTACCACTTAAAATGCTTCAGTGAAGGGGCAGGAAAGGTAAAATTAAGACAAGAAGCAACATCTAGAAAATCTCCAGATACGAAGTTGTGATCTAGGAGGCAGGAATGAAGAAGTTCTGGCTCTGTCTTGTGATGGGGCACATCTGGAGTGCCAGAGGCTTGCATTTTGACTACACCTGTTCTAGTTGGAGAAAGAAGGAAAACAACTAGCATGGTGAAACCTCAACACACCTGAGCTTGGTTTACTGCAAAGTCTCGGGGTGAGGACAGATTGACAGCTGGTGTATGAGCTGCCCAAAGGTAAACTCTTGTAATAAAGAAATTGATGGCATGATAGATAGAAGTGAGATAAGTGCTATTAACCACAGGTAAACTTCTTTCAACAGACTGCTACCAATTCTCATATATAACTTGCAGTACAAAAAAATTAGTTCAACAACTCTATTCCTAAACCTTTAAGTAAGCTCTGACACCTTATCAAAGAGCAAAAGAGTAGATTTGTCTTTTTACCTTGGACACATGTCAAATAAAAAACCTCAGCAAAGGGTAAAGAGTTTAAAAAAGAAATTAAATACCTTAAACATGTGATGTTTAGTACTTTATTAAATGCTTCTTTTAATGACAGTATCAAGGAACAGTTTCATCTTAGGCATTCTAAGGTTAATAATCACATATGTAGGATTTTATGTCATAGTTTTGATATGGATTCATGGTTTCATACTGTTGATAAATAAGAAATAGCTTGTAAGCTATCACAGATCATCACTGTACTTTAAAAAATGGAATATAGCTGAAAAACGCAAATATATAATTTACACCAGTGTTACACAAATGTGATTTTAGGGATTGACAGTGAAATGTAAGTTTTTTTTGTTTTGTTTTGTTTTTTGAGATGAGTAGAGTCACACTCTGTTGCCAAGGCTGGAGTGCAGTGGCATCATTATGGCTCACTGTAGCCTCAATTTCCTTGTCTCAAGCGATCCTCCCATCTCAGCGTGCTAAGTAGCTAGGACCATAGTTGCATGCCACCACACCTAGCTAATTTTTTATTTTTTGTAGAAATGGGGTCTCCCTATGTTGCCCAGGCTGGTCTTGAGCTCCTGGGCTTAAGTGATGCTCTCATCTTGGCCTCCCAAAGTGCTGGGATTACAGGCAAGAGCCTCTGTGCTCAGCCTGATATTTTAAAATGTTAATGTTGCAAAAGATTTTCTGATCTGCGTGGTTAAGAAAGAAAACTTAATATTGCTTCTGATATTCAGCTATAAACTCAGGTGTTGTTTTGGAGGGACTGGTTTTTTATATCAGAAAGACAGTTATCAATATTCAGTATCAAAACAGTTGCACTATTGATTTCTCTTTCTCCCAATCGGCCCCAAAGAGACCACATCAAAGGAGAGTACATTTCAAGCCAATAAGCTGCAGGATGTACACCTAACAGACCTCATAGAAACCTTACCAGAAAATGGGGACTGGGTAGGGAAAGAAACTTTAAAAGATCAGCAAACTGCCAGCCCACGGACTGCAGAGGCTGTCACAGCCAGATGGGGGTGGCCAGGGTGCCACAAACCCAAGGAAGCAAAGTTTCAAAATAATACAAAATTTAAAAAAATTTTGTATATAAGGTATTCAAGGTTTCTCCAGCACTGACTGATACAAAGCACAATGAGATGGCACTTTTAGAGATAGCAACTTCAAACCCAGAAAAGGCTAATGAGATGAGTTTCACATGGCTAAATCAGTGGCGAAAACATAATCTTTCTTTCTTTCAAGAAGGTAGGAAAGCAATTAAGTAGTCACCTCAACCTAAGGGGCACGTGATCCATTCTGTAAGCAGTTGGGAGGACAAAAATTTGGTCTCAGAGGTCTTACCATCTTAATTTGGTCACTTCTAATGAAAAAAATTTGAAATAACGTTGTCCAAAGATATCTTTCTTTGTTTTTTTTGAGACAGAGTCTCACTCTGTCGCCCAGGCTGGAGTACAGTACATGATCTAGGCTCACTGAAACTTCCGCCTCCTGGGTTCAAGTGATTCTCCTGCCTCAGCCTCCTGAGTAGCTGGGATTACAGGCACACGCCACCACGCCTGGCTAATTTTTGTATTTTTAGTAGAGACGAGGTTTTACCACGTTGGTCCGGCTGGTCTCAAACTCCTGACCTCGTGATCCACCTGCCTTGGCCTCCCAAACTGGTGGGAATACAGGCGTGAGCCACGGCACCCAGCCAGGTTTTCAGCTTTAAAATATCTTTTTTGTTTTTTTTTTGTTGTTGTTTGGCTAACTCCTCCTGGAATCACCTTTCTGGTTTGGCTGGTATTTTGTACAGAGCAACGAGGTTTCTCATAGTGGAGTCTTTTCCTGGGCTCTGTTTGGCTCTCAGTAAGGCAGGCCTATACTTTTTCCTCTCCTCTATGGAGAGGGCAATATGCATTTAGCTGAAAAGTCACCTTCCGAAAGTGAGAAAGGGATTAGATTGCTGCTTCAGAGCTGTGGAATTATTTGGAATGTTTTGCAAATGGTTGCTACAAAACAACAAAAAAGGTAATTACAAAATGTGCGCATCGTAACATGCTTTTAAAGACACTTGCACATCATAACATGCTTTTAAAGACACTATGCATTGTGCTCACATTCCCTTAAATGTTGTTTCCAAAGGTGCTCAGCCTTTAGCCCAGCTGGAATCTCCAGGAAGAGGCAGAGACAGTTTGGCAAAAAAGAAACAGGGAAGGAGGGGGCTGCGAAAGTAGAAAGCAGCCCCCAAATTAAAGATCAGCCCTCAGTTAAAGATCAGCTTCAGGCAGGCCGGCCTCAGGTGGAGTCAGGGACAAAGGGAGGAGCAGCAGCAGGGTAGGACTGGGGTGTTCTACATCTCATTCAGGTCAAGCAGAGTCTGGTACAGCATCCTTTGTGTACAGAGGTTCTCCTCTTTGTTGCATTTCAGTTTATATTCCAAGTCATCAGTTGTCTTTTCCAGCTTGGCTACCAATCTCTCAGTAAACTCAGCACGGGTCTCTGCCTCCTTGAGTTTGTCAGTGAGAATCTTGATCTCTTCCTCATATATGTCTTCTTTTTGAGAGTATTTTTCTTCAGCATCACTTAGACACTTCAGGTTCTGGTCCATCAGTCTGATCTGCTCATCTGTCTCTTGGCAGCGGGACTCTGCCAGCTCAGCTCGTTCCTCTGTGCATTCCAAGTCTCCTTCAATGATCACCAACTTACGAGGCACCTCTTCATATTTCCTATCTGCCTCTTCTGCAATATGCTTAGCTTCTTTGAGTTGGATTTCCTGGAGTTCCATCTTTTTGTTTGTTTGTTTAAGACAGAGTCTCACTGTCTCGCCAGGCTGGAGTGCGGTGGCGCGATCTCAGCTCACTGCAACCTCCGCCTCCTGGGTTCAAGCGATTCTCCTGCCTCAGCCTCCCGAGTAGCTGGAACTACAGGCGTGTGCCATCACGCCCAGCTAATTTTTTGTATTTTTAGTAGAGACAGGGATTCACCGTGTTGGCCAGGATAGTCTCAAACTCTTGACCTCGTGATTCGCCTGGCTTGGCCTCCCAAAGTGCTGGGATTACAGGTTTGAACCACTGCGCTGGGCCCTTTTCTTCATCTTTTAAGGCCTGGTTTTATTTGTTTGTTTTGAGACGGAGTCTCACTTTGTTGCCCAGGCTGGAGTGCAGTGGCACGATCTCGGCTCACTGCAAGCTCCGCCTCCCGGGGGTCACGCCATTCCCGGGCCTCGGCAAGGCCTGGTTTTCAATAACCTTCATATCTCTTTCACTCTCATCAGCAGCTTTCTCCTCTTCTTCCAGCTTTTGCAGGGCAGTGGTCAGGCGCTCCTGAGCATGGTCCAGCTCCTCTTCAAACCTGCTGGATCCTACGATTCAAGGAGGCCACCTCAGCCTCCTTGTTCCCGGCCCACTTTTCTTCCTCAACTTCTCACTGGAGGCGCTCAGCTCTCTCCTCTGCATCATCTGCCTGCTGCTGCAGAACCTGGATCTTGCACTTCACTTCCTCCATGGTGGCGATCCCAGCCATGGTGCCGACCCAGCTACTGCTCCAGTTCTGGTTCCTGCCTCTTCTGCTCAGCATTGCAGCTGCTTCTCCTTTCTTTTATTTTTCTGTATTAAGTTTTGTTCCCTTTTGTTTTTAAAGCAACAGATGAAAGGAGATAAAAATGTCAAGGAAATACTGACTTGAACTTTATAAATATTGGTTCTGATTGGGGATGATAAAGCAGGTAAAAGAAAGGAGCTGAAGTATGACTGAAGGAATCAGATTTCTCTAACCTTGATATTCAAATTGTATTCTATAGATATGATTATAAATAGCAAGATTCTTTAGCATTTGGAGTTAATTAAATTGTGAGGAAGTTATCAGGGCACATTTTGTGTTCTTCATTACTCTGAGAAACTTTTCTGAGGTTCATTGAGAAAAATATTTTTAAACTCTGTGAAATCCAAGTAACTCTGGAGGAAAAGCAAATTGAGCAATTTGTTCTTTCCTCTTTGAGGTTTGATAAGGTGTAAAAATGTATTTAACAAAACAACTTCTTTTTCCTTAAAAATTTTGATCAATAACCCTGAAAAAGTTTTTTTTAATTCAATTCAGTATGTTAATTTTATGCTTTCCATAAATACATTTTTTGAATATTTAAGGTAACAGTTTCAGAAACATAACTGAATAGCTTGCTTGTTCTTGAACAAAGAGTTTGAATCTATGATGAACTAAATTAAGTTATGTCTTCCCAAGTAGTCCACTTAGACACTGACTTGTTACCCTCTTTCTCAAGTCCAGTTTTTCTGAGACTGGACCAGTTACATTAGGATCACCTTGGGTCTTTAGGTGTGATTATTGTATTGTGATAATGCTAAAAATATTCATTCTTTTTAGAGATACAAACTGAAGTGTTAGTGGATAAAATGTCAAGATATTTGGGATTATTTTAAAAAGAAATTAGGATGAAGGGTAAATGAGTGGCAATGTAGATGAAACAAGACTGGCCATATGTTTATTTATGGAAGGTGAGTGAGGAGTATGCGGGTGATGTTATAGTATTCTCTCTAATTTAGTTTAGGTTTAAAATTTCTATTGCAAATAGTTAAAAGAATCATTTGTGGTCTTGTTAAAAATTCAGATTCCTGGACTCCACCACAGATCTTTTAAGTCAGAGTCTCAAGGATGAAAGATAGAAAATGGCTTTTAAAGTAGTCCACTTGTGCTCACTGAAGTTTGAGGATCACTGGTAAAAAGTTTCCTTATGTACCTCACTCATTGTGTATCCATGTCATCCGTGTGTATTTAGTGTTTTTCATCATTCACCCTATTTTCCCATTTGCGGAATGCAATAGCAAGTTAAAGCAATTATACTGAATTTGGATAATTCAAACTTTAAAATTTTGTTTCAAAGCATTCATAAAGTGAAGCCAAATAAAATTTAAAAAACCTTTATTTTTAACTGAAATAATCAAATAAATACGTTGGCTTTTTTTTCCACTTTCAGCTGGGAATGGATTACTTTTGTGAATGTCTTAAATTTCTTCTCTTACCAGGGCATCAGCATCCTATTCCAGACATCTACTTGCTTTCACCAGTAGTTCCTTGTTCTTTCTCAGATGTACCATATTACCAGGCACCTCTGAGACTTTGCTTATGGGATTCCCTCTAATTGAGACATTCATCAATCCCCTCTTTACCTGGTTAATTTCTATACCTTCTCCCCACCGCTAACACCTCTCACTTATTCAGGGAGGCCATTATTGTATTTGCAAGGTTGGATTGCATTCTATTCTTTTGTGGTTCCATAATATGCTGTAATACAATAGTGCTATAATGCTGAACATGCTATATAGCACTTTACACTTTGTCATAAGACTCTATTTTTCTGCCCTCCTCTCTCTCTTCAGCTAGACTATAAAGTCAGTTGGTTAAAGATTGTGTGTTTTATGATCGTATCTCCACTGCTGTGTACTGTGCCTGGCACATAGGAAATACTTACTGAATACATGACGAACAGCTGAATGAGTTCACAAAGTAGCTATCTAACATGCCCAAGCATCTTAGGAAGTGTTGCAGTCATTCTTTACGGCAAAAAAGAAAGAAAGAAAGAAAAAAAAGCTTCCTGGATATAAGACACACTTCTTGGTCATAAATATAGATCTTGGAAAAAAGTTCCTGAAAGGAGGACTAAACTGTAGCAAGAATTTGTCTTGGGTATAATAATGTTGATAATCACTTTGCTTCTATGCTTAGCCTTTTTCATATATCTTTATTAATTTCTCATAATTAAATTATATCTCTTGACCCGACTTTTTTCGAATATTTTATTGTGAAAAATTTCAAATGTCCAAAAGAGTCCAAAGAATTGTGTAGACTGGGCACAGTGGTTCACATTTGTAATCTCAGCACTTTGGGAGGCTGAGGCAGGCAGATCACTTGAGGCCAAGAGTTTGAAACCAGCCTGGCCAACATAGCTGTATTAGTCTGCTTTAACACTGCTGATAAAGACATACCTGGGACTGGGCAGTTTACAAAAGAAAGAGGTGTAATGGACTCACAGTTCCATGTGGCTGGGGAGGCCTCACAATCATGGCAGAAGGTGAAAGGCACGTCTCACATGGCAGCAGACAAGAGAAGAGAATGACAGCCAAGTGAAAGGGGTTTCCTCTTATAAAACCATCAGCTCTTGTGAGACTTATTTACTACCACGAGAACAGTATGGGGGAAACCACCCCCATGATTCAGTTATCTCCCACTGGGTCTGTCCCACTATACGAGAGAATTATGGGAGCTACAATTCAAGATGAGATTTGGGTGGAGACCCAGCCAAACCATATCAATAGCGAAAACCCATCTCTACTAAAAATACAAAAAAGTAGCCAGGCCTGGTGGCTCATACCTGTAATCCCAGCTACTCGGGAGACTGAGGCACAAGAATCGCTTGAACCCTGAAGGCAGAAGTTGCAGTGAGCCAAGATTGCGCCACTGCACTTCAGCCTGGGCAACTGAGCAACACTCCATCTCAAAAAAAAAAAACAAAACTGTGTAGTTATGTAGTGTACCCATACATCCATGACGGGGATTGTACAGTTAAAACACAGTGTCCCAAAAGTCTTAGTGTAGTTTTAAGTTTTAATAATTTCAGAAGCATAAATGCTACAGACTTATAAAAACACCCTTTAAATACTTATTTAAATGTATTTCATACTTACTTAATTTAGTGAAATTTTTTCCCCAGTGGATGAGATTCTTTTTTAAAAAATCCATCCCTTCAAGCATTTGTTATTTGAGTTACAAACAATACGATACACTTCATACGTTATTTTAAAATATACATTTAAGTTATTATAGACTATAGTCACCCTGTTGTCCTATCAAATAGTAGGTCTTATTCATTTGTTCCATTTTTTTGGCACTCATTAACCATCCTCATCTCCCCCGATTCCCCCACTATCTTTCCCAGCCTCTGGCAACTATTTTTCTACTCTCTGTGTCCATGAGTTCAATTGTTTTGATGTTTAGATCCCACAAGTAAGTGAGAACATACGATGTTTGTCTTTCTGTGCCTGGCTTGTTTTCCTTAACATAATGATCTCCAGTTCCATCCATGTTGCAAATGACTGGTTATCATCCTTCTTTATGGCTGAATAGTACTTCATTGTGTATAAGTATCACATTTTCTTTTTTCTTTCTTTTTTTTTGAGACAGAGTTTCACATTTGTTGCCCAGGCTGCAGTGCAATGGTGTGATCTCAGCTCACCACAACCTCTCCCTCCTGGGTTCAAGCGATTCTCCTGTCTCAGCCTCCCGAGTAGCTGGGATTACAAGCATGAGCCACCATGCCCGGCTACTAATTTTTGTATTTTTAGTAGAGATGGGGTTTCACCATGTTGACCAGGCTGGTCTCGAATTCCTGACCTCGTGATCCACCCGCCTCAGCCTCCCAAAGTGCTGGGATTACAGGTGTGAGCCACTGTTCCCGGCCAAGTACCACATTTTCTTTATCCATTCATCTGTTGATGGACACTTAGGTTGCTTCCAAATCCTAGCTATTGTAAACAGTGCTGCAGCAAACATAGGAGTGGAAATATCTCTTTGATATAATGATTTCCTTTCTTTGGGGGATATACCCAGCAGTGGAATTGCTGGATCCTATGGTAGCTCAATGATCAGTTTTTTGAGGAACCTCCAAATTCTCCCTAGTGATTGTACTAATTTACATTCCTACCAACAGAATACAAGGGTTCCCTTTTATCCACATCCTCACAAACATTTGTTATTGCCTGTCTTTTGTATATAAGCCATTTTAACAGGGGTGAGATGGTATCTCATTGTAGTTTTGATTTGCATTTCTCTGATGATCAGTAATGTTGAGCACCATTTCATATGCTTCTTTGCCATTTGTATGTCTTCTTTTGAGATATGTCTGTTCAAATGTTTTGCCCATTTTTTGATTGGGTTGTTAGATTTTTTTTCCTATAGAGTTGTATGAGTTCCTTATATATTCTGGTTGTTAATCCCCTATCAGAGGAGTATTTTGCAAAGATTTTCTCCCATTCTGTGGGTTGTCTCTTCATTTTGTTGATTGTATTCTTTGCTGTGCAGAAGCTTTTTAACTTGATGTTATCTCATTTGTCCATGTTTGTTTTGGTTGCCTGTACTTGTGGGACTCAAGAAATTTTTGCCCAGACCAATGCCCTAGAGATTTTCTCCAATTTTGACTTGAAGCAGTTTCATAGTTTCAGGTCTTAGATTTAAGTTTTTTTTTTTTTTTTTTTTTTTTTTTTTTGAGACAGAGACTCACTCTGTCACCCAGGCTGGAGTGCAGTGGCACAATCTTGGCTCACCGCAACCTCTGCCTCCTGGGTTCAAGCAATTCTCCTGCCTCAGCCTCCCAAGTAGCTGGGACTACAGGTGCCCACCACCATGCCTAGCTAATTTTTTTGGATTTTTAGTAGAGACAGAGTTTCATCATGTTGGTCAGGCTGGTCTTGAACTCCTGACCTCCAGTGACCCACCTGCCTTGGCCTCCCAAAGTGCTGGGATTATAGGTGTGAGCCACCTTGCCCAGCCAGATTTAAGTCTTTTAATCCACTCTTTTTATTTGATTTTTTTATATGGTGAGAGATAGGGGTCTAGTTTCACTCTTCTGCATATGGATATCCAGTTTTCCCAGTGCCATCTATTGAAGAGACTGTCTTTTCCCCAGTGTATGCTCTTGGTACTTTTGTCAAACATGACTTCACTCTAGGCGTGTGGATCTGTTTCTGGGTTCTCTATTCTGTTCCATAGAGCTATTGTCTTTTTTTGTGCCAGTACCATGCTGTTTTGGTTACTATAGCTCTGTAGTATAATTCAAAGTCAGGTAATGTAATTCCTCCAGTTTTGTTCCTTTTGCTTAGGATAGCTTTGGTTATTCTGGGACTTTTGTGGTTCCATATAAATTTTAGAATTTTTTTGTATTCTGGGGAAGGATATCATTAGTATTTTGATAGGGATTGCATTGAATCTGTAGATTGCTTTGGGTGGTATGGACATTGTAACAATATTGGTTCTTCCAATCCATGAACATGGAATATTTTTCCATTTTTTGGTGTCCCCTTCAATTTCTTTCAGTATTTTGTAGTTTTCATTATAGAGATCTTTCACTTCTTTGGCAAGTAAATTTCCGGGTATTTAATTTTATGTGTATAAGTGGGATTACTTTTTAAATTTCTTTTTCATATTGTTCACCTATGGCATATAGAAATGCTACTGATTTTTGTGTGTTGATTTTGTATCCTGCAAATTTACTGAATTTGTTTCTCAGTTCTAATAGTTTTCTTGTGGAGTCTTTAGTAGGTTTTTCCAATTATAAGATTATATCATCTGCAAACAAGGATAATTTGACTTCTTCCTTTCTAATTTGGGTGCCCTTTATAGCTTTCTCTTGTCTGATTGCTCTAGTTAGGATTTCCAGTACTATGTTAAATAACAGTGGTGACAGTGGGCATCCTTGCCATATTCCAGATCTTAGAGGAAAGGCTTTCAGTTTTTCCCCATTCAGTATGATACCGTGGGTCTGTCATATGTAGCTTTTATTATGTTGAGATATGTTCCTTCTATCCCCAGGTTTTTGAGGGATTTTATCATAACAGGACGTTGAACTTTATCAAATGCTTTTTCAGGATCAATTGAAATAATCCTGTGGTTTTTATCCTTCATTCTGTTGATAAGATGTATCACATTGATTGATTTGCATGTGTTGAACCATTCTTGCATCCAGGGATAAATTCCACTTAGCCATGATGAATGATCTTTCTAACGTATTGTTGAATTCGGTTTGCTAGTATTTTCTTGAGGATTTTTGCATCAATATTCATCAGTGGTTTTTCTTTTTTTGATGTGTCTTTGTCTGGTTTTGGTATCAGGGTAATATTGGCCTTGTAGAATGAATTTGGAAGTATTACTTTTTCTTCTATTTTTTGGAATAATTCGAGAAGGATTGGTATTAGTTCTTCTTTAAATGTTTGGTAGAATTCAGCAGTAAAGCCATCAGGTCCTGGGCTTTTCTTTACTGGAAGACTTTTTATTATGGCTTCGATCTCATTACTTGTTCTTGGTCTGTTTAGGTTTTGAATTTCTTTCTGATTCAGTCTTGGTTGGTTTTATGTATATAGACATTTGTCCATTTCTTCTAGATTTTCCAATTTATTGTCATATAGTTGCTTGTAGTAACCACTGATGATACTTTGAATTTCTGCAGTATCAGTTGTAAATGTCTCCTTTTTCATTTCTGATTTTATTTATTTGGATTTTCTGTCTTTTAGTTTGGCTAGAGGTTTGTCAATTTTGTTTAACTTTTTAAAAAACCAACTTTTTGTTTTATTGATCTTTTGTATTTTTTTCTTCATCTCAATTTCATTTATTTCTGTTCTGGTCCTTAGTATTTCTTTTCTTCTACTAATTTTGGGTTTGGCTTGCTCTTGCTTTTCTATTCCTTTAAGATGCATCACTAGATTGTTTATTTGAGGTTTTTACCCTTTTTTGATGTGGGCACTTACAGCTATAAACTTCCCTCTCAGTACTGCTTTTGCTGTATCCCAGAGGTTTTAGTATTTTGTTTTTCCATTATCATTTGTTTGAAGAAATTTTTCAATTTTTTAAAATGTCTTCATTGACCCACTGGTCATTCAGGAGCACTTTGTTTAATTTCCATGTATTTGTATAGTTTCCAAAATTCCTCTTGTTATTAATTTCTAGTTATATTCCACTGTGGTCAGAGAAGATGCTTGATATTATTTCAATTTTTGAATGTTTTCAGACTTGTTTTGTGACCTAACATATACTCTATCCTTGAGAATGATCCATGTGCTGAGGAAACGAATGCATATTCTACAGCTGTTGGATGAAGTGTTCTGTAAATATCTATTAGATCCACTTGGTCTCTAGTGCAGAGTAAGACTAATGGTGTCTGTTGATTTTTTGTCTGGAAGATCTATCAATGCTGAAAGTGGGGCGTTGAAGTCTCTAGCTATTATTGTGTTGGGGTGTATCTCTCTCTTTACCACTAGTAATATTTTCTTTATATATCTGGGTGCTTCACTGTTGGGTGCATATATATTTAAAATTGTTATATTATTTTGCTGAGTTGACTCCTTTCTCATTGTATAGTGGCTTTCTTTGTCTCTTCTTAGAGTTTTGGTCTTAAAATCTATTTTGTCTGATATAAGTGTAGCAACTCCTGTTCTTTTTTAGTTTCCATTGTCATGGAATATCTTTTTCCATCCCTTTATTTTCAGTCTATGTGTGTTTTTACAGGTGAAGTGTTTTTTGTTGCTGTTGTTTTGTTTTTTTGTAGGCAACAGATCGATGGGTCTTGTTTTTTCATCTAGCCAGTGTACGTATTTTCATAAGACAGTTTAGTCCATTTACATTCAATGTTATTATAATAAGTAAGGACTTACTGCTATCATTTTGCTATTTGTAGTCTGGTTGTTTTGTGGTCTTCTCTTCCTTCTTTCTTTCCTTCCTCTTTTAGTGAAGGTGATTTTCTCTGGTGATATGATTTGGACTCTTACTTTTTATATTTTGTGTATCCATTGTATGTTTTTTGGTTTGAGGTTAAAATGAGGTTTACAAATACTATCTTATAACCCATTTATTTTAGCTTGATAAAAATTTAACAGTGTTTGCATAAATAAGCAGACAAGCAAAAAGAAAACTAATAGGCTGGGTGTGGTGGCTCATGCCTATAATCCCAGCACTTTGGGAGGCTGAGGTGGGCGGATCACTTGAGGTCAGGAGTTTGAGACCAGCCTGGCCAACATGGCGAAACCCCGGCTCTACTAAAAATACAAAAATTAGCCAGGCCTGGTGGTGTGCAGCTGTAATCCCAGCTACTCGGGAGGCTGAGGCAGGAGAATCTCTTGAACCTGGGAGGCGGAGGTTGCAGTGAGCTGAGATCGTGCCACTGCATTCCAGCCTGGGTGACAGAGTGAGACTCCATTTCAAAAAAAAAAAAAAAAGAAAAGAAAAACTCTGTGGCTTAACTTCATCTCCCCACTTTTTAACTTTTTGTTGTTTCTATTTATTTATTTTTTTGAGACAGGGTCTTGCTTTGTTGCCCAGGCTAGAGTGCAATGGCGTGATCTTGACTCACTGCAACCTCTGCCTCCAAGGCTCAAGCAATCCTCCCACCTCATCCTCCCTAGTAGCTGAGACCACACAGGTGCACACCACCACACTCAGCTTATTTCTTAAAATTATTTGGAGAGACAGGGTTTTCCATGTTGCCCAAGCTGGCCTTGAACTCCTGGCCTCAAGTGATCCACCCTCCTTGACCTCCCAAAGTACTGGGATTACAGGCATGAGCCATTGTGCTGAGCCAGTTGTTTCTCTCTCTCTCTCTCTCTCTCTCTCTCTCTCTCTATATATATATATATATATATATATATAAATATATATATATATTTATATACATATATATTTACATATATATAATAGCACTATGTCTTGAAAAGTTGTTGTAGTTACTATTTTTGATTGGTTCATCGTGTAGTCTCTCTACTTAGCATAAGAGTATAACAGTTACAATGTTATAATATTCTGTGTTTTTTTGTGTACTTACTATTACCACTGAGTTTTGTACCTTCTGGTGGTTGCTTATTGTTCATTAATGTCCTTTTCTTTCTGATTTAAGTACTCCCTTTAACATTTCTTGTAGGACAGGTCTGGTGTTGATGAAATTCCTCAGCTTTTGTTTGTCTGGGTAAGTCTTATTTCTCCTTTGTGTTTGAAGGATATTTTAATCAAATATACTATTCTAGGGCAAAAGTTTTTTTTTTTTCTTCAGCACTTTAAATATGTCATGCCACTCTGTCCTGGGTTGTGAGGTTTCCACTGAAAAGTCTGATGCCAGACATATTAGAGCTCCATTTTATTCTATTTGTTTCTCTTCTCTTACTTCTTTTACAATTCTTTCTTTATCCTTGACCTTTGGGAGTTTGACTATTAAATGCCTTGAGGTAGTCTTGGGTTAAATCTGCTTGGTGTTGTATAAGCTTCTTATATGTAGATACTGATATTTTTCTCTAGGTTTGGGAAATTCTCTGTTATTATCTCCTTGAATAAACTTTCTACCCCTATCCCTTTCTCTACCTCCTCTTTAAGGCCAATAACTCATAGATTTTCCCTATTGAAGCTATTTTCTAGGTCCTGTAGGCATGCTTCATTGTTTTTTATTCTTTTTTTCTTTCGTCTCCTCTGTGCATTTTCAAATAGGCTGTCTTCAAGCTCACTAATTCTTTCTTCTGCTTGATCAGTTCTGCTATTAAAGGACTCTAGTGCATTCTTCAGTATGCCAATTGCATTTTTCAGCTCCAGAATTTCTGCTTGGTTCTTTTTTGTTATTTCAATCTCTTTATTAAATTTATCTGATAGAATTTTAAATGTCTTCTCTGTGTTAACTTGAATTTCTTTCCGTTTCCTCAACACAGCTATTTTGAATTCTCTGTCTAAAAGGTCTCATATCTCTGTTTCTCCAGGATTGGCCTCTGGTGCCTTATTTAGTTCATTTGGTGAGGTCATGTTTTCCTGGATGGTATTGATGCTAGTAGATGTTCTTTGGTGTTTGGGCATTGAAGAGTTTAAGTATTTATTGTAGTCTTCACTGTCTGGGGTTATTTGTACCAATCCTTCTTGGGAAGGCTTTCCAGATATTTTAAAGGACTTGAGTGTTGTGATCTAAGCTGTATCTGCTTTAGGGGGCACCCCAAGCCCAGTAACACTGTGGTTCTTGCAGACTTGTAGAGGTACCGCCTTGATGGTCTTGGACAAGATCAGGAGAATTCTCTGGATTACCAGGCAGAGACTCTTGATCTCTTCTCTTACTTTCTCCCAAACATACAGAGTCTCTCTCTCCCTCTCTCTCTCTTTCTCTCTCTCTGTTCTGAGCCCCCTAAAGCTATGGGTGGAGGGACACAAGCACCTCTGTGGCCACCACCATTATGACTGGGCTGGGTCAGGCTTGAAGCCAGCACAGCACTGGGTCTTGCCCAAGGCCCACCACTGTAACTACTTTCTGGAAACTGCCTGTGTTTGCTCAAGGCCCTGGGGCTCTACAATCAGCCAGTGGCAAAGCCAGCCACGCCTGTCTCCTCTCCTTCAGGGCAGCAAGGTCCCCCAAGTTCCTGTGGGTCCAGTGATGCCATCTGGGAGTTAGGGACCAGAGTAAAAAACCTTAGAAGTCTATCTAGTGTTTTATTGTACTGTGGCTGAGCTGGCACTTAAACCACAAGATGCAGTCCTTCCCACTCTTCCTTCCCCTTTCCAAAGGAGGAGCCTCACCCCATAGCCACCACCACCACAGGCCACCAGGAATACTGTCAGACTACTGCTGATGTTCCCTTAAGGACCAAAGGCTCTTAAGTCAGCTTGTGGTGAATGCTGCCTGGTGTGGGACTCACCCTTCAGGGCAATGGACTCTCCGCTGGCCCAGGGCAGATCCAGAAAAGCCATCCAATAATCAAGTCCTGGAATCGGGGACCCCAGGAGCTTCTTTGGTGCTCTACCCCTCATGTTCATGCTGTTACCTGAAGCCAGCAAGTCTCAGAGGCTCATCCAAGGCCCTTGATGTAGTACCTGAGTATCACTACTGGTTATTCAGGGCCCAAGGGTTCTTCAGTTAGCAGGGGATGAATGCTGCCAGGACTGGGTCCTTTCCTTCAAGGAAGCATGTTCCCTTCTGGCCCAGGGTGTATGTAGAAATGTCATCTGGGAGCTAGGGCCTGGAATGGGGACCTCATGACTGACCAGCGCTCTTTCCTACTGTGGCTGAGCTGGTATCCAAGATGCAAGACAAAGTCCTCCCCACTCTTCCCTCTCCTCTCCTCAAGCGGGAGAAAGAGGAGGGTCTCTTTTGAAGCTGTGAGCTGTGCAGCCTGGGGTTAGGGGATGGATGATACCAGTTAGACACTCCCTTGGCTGCCCCAATTGGTGTCTCACTATGATGCATGCCCCTCCACTTTACTATCTCTGGGCCTAGTTCAGCATTAGGACTCATCTAAAAGTTGCAGAAAGGCCTAGACTGCCTTTCAGGTTTATTTGGAGACACAGAGTACTGGTCGGCAGTGCTAAGGTTTGTGGGAACTCAAGCTCTGACCACTGGGATCAGTGATTCTCTTCTGGCTAGGGCTGGTTTAAATGCTTCCTTTGTGGGTGAGTGTCAGTTTGGTCTGGTTTTCCTTTCTGCTCTACCAGGACAGCACTTGAGTTCAGTGTGTCACAATTGCTGTGTTCTCCCTCCCCCAGTGCCCAGAAGTGCTCTCTGTACCACACCTCCATTGCCAGGACTGGAGAGGTGGCATCAGGGATTCAAGACTGTTTTTTCTGTCTCTTCAGTGCCTCTTTCAATGATATGAAGTTAAAACCAGGTACTATGAGTGCTTACCTGATTTTTGGCTTTTATGAAGGTGTTTTTTTTTTTTTTCTGTGTAGATAGTTGTTCAGTTGGTGTTCTTGTGGAGGAGATGATCTGTGGAGCCTTTTATTCCACCATCTTGCTCTACTTCCTCCCTAATTTTGTGAATTTTGAGTTATAATATTTTAATTTTAGTTTTTTGTTTTGGCATCTTCAGAAGGCTGAAAGAAAAAAATAAAATTAACAATTTACTAGTCAAAATTTACAAAACTAAACAAGCTAAACATTTAAATAAACTTTCAAATGATTTTTAAGAAGCTTGTATCATTTATATTTCTGAAATTATTAAAGCTGAAAACTATAGTTAGGATACTATCAACAGAGTGAAAAGGCAACCCACGGAATGGAAGAAAATATTTTCAAACCTTGTATCTGATAAGGGGTTAAATAGCCAGACTACATAAATAACTCCTACAGTTCAACAATTAAAAAACCAAACAACCAGATTAAAAAACGGACAAAGAACTTCAATAAACATTTTTCCAAAGAAAATATACAAATGACCAATAAGCATATGAAATGATGCTCAAAATCTTTAATCATTAGGGAAATGCAAATCAAAACTACAACGAGATACTACTTCATACCTATTAAGATGGCTATAATAATAATAATAATAACAAAATAGAAAATAACAAGTGTTGGCAAATTTGTGGAGATACCTTGGAACCCTTGTGCATTGCTGATGGGAACATAAAATGGTACAGCCACTATGGAAACCAGTATGGTGGTTCTTCAAAAAATTAGAGATAAAATGACCATATGGTCCAGCAATTCTACTTCTGGATATATACTCAAAAGAAACAAAAGCAGGGACTCAAATAGATATTTGTACACTCATGTTTATAGCAGCATTATTTGTAAGAGCTAACCTGTGGAAGCACCTGAACTGTCTATAGACAGATAAATGGATAAACAAGAGGTGGCATATACATACAATGGAATATTGCTCAGCCTTAAAATGGAAATTCTGGTGCATATTACAATATGAATGAACCTTGAAGATATTATGCTAAGTGAAATAAGCCACACAAAAGGACAAATACTGAATTATTTCACTTATACAAGATACCTAGAGTAGTCAAATTCATAGTGATAGAAAGTAGAATGGTTACCAGGGGCTGGAGGAAGGGGTCCTGGGGAGTTATTGTTTAATGGATATGGGATTTAAGTTTGGGAAGATGAAAAAGTTCTGTAGATTGATGGTGGTGATGGTTGCACACTAATATGAATTTATTTAAAACCACTGAACTGTATATCTATAAATGGTTATAAGTAAATTTTATGTATAGATTTTACTACAACTAAAAAATGCTGTTTTTGAAATGTTGAGCAAAATTTTAATAATACAGTAAAGCAAATTTTTCTGTTATAATATTAATATTGAAAAAGAGGAAAACCCTCAAAAATTACAAGGGAAATATACCCATTGGTTCCTCTTAAAGAAGATAGGGAATTGTCAAACAACTGAGTCAGACAACAGTTTAGTTTAGTTCGTGACCGTTTGCTGTGGTAAAGTGCATATGGAAAGAAAGTAATGGAGAATAATTGCTGACTCTGGTAAATTCTTTCTATATATTCCAATTAATTTACCCGTCTCTCTTTTTTATTTCTTTTTTGTCAGTTTGAATGTCTTCAGACATGAATAGCTATTCCATGGATTGCAAGTAACATAGCACTTTCACCAAAGGCAGAATTTGTACATATGGTAATTTAGAAAAGAGACAATTTAGCTTCCTAGTGTAAATTGCCATGACTACCATGGTTATACTTCTTAGAGTTGGGGGCAAATAAGATTGAGATAATTATGAAATCACTGTTTTGGCCTTATTGAGTTAGTTTTTTCTGAAAAGATTTCAAATTGAGCTTATTATTTAAAATCTCACAAAAGTCTTTATGTAGTGTGCAGTAACTGCTACAGTGATGCTGAGCTTAAAGGAAAACAAATTTGGGCATTATAAACATATGGATATATAATGTTCAACCTTTATAAAAATTAAAGATCCAGAAGACTAAAATGCAAATTATGTATATAGATAGTCTTGACGACTCTACCATGAAATAAACACTGCCTTAGAGATCACTATCATGTTTCCTTCAGCTTCAGAACAAATTGATATGATGTGTTATGCTGTCTTCCTTCTACAGGCAGCAATAGGAAATGCAGATATTTTATACTTGTAGGGCTTCCCAAAGACAAAATGAGAAGATACCAGAAGATTAACAGCCATCTCACCTGTAATCCTAGCACTTTGGGAGGCTGAGGCAGGCAGATCACTTGAGATCAGGAGTTCGAGACCAGCCTGGCCAACATGGTGAAACCCCATATCTAATAAAAATACAAAAATTAGCTGGGTGTGGTGGCATGCACCTGTAATCCTAGCTACTTGGGAGGCTGAGGCATGAGAATCACTTGAACTCCGGAGCTGGAGGTTGCAGTGAGCCAAAATCATGCCACTGCTCTCCAGCCTGGGCAACAGAGTGAGACCCTGTCTGTATTAGTTAGGATTCTCTAGAGGGACAGAACTAATGATATATATGTATATATATAAAGGGGAGTTTATTAAGTAGTATTAACTCACACGATCACAAGGTCCCCCAGTAGGCTGTCCGCAAGCTGAGGAGCAAGGAAACCAGTCCAAGTCCCAAAGCTGAACAACTTGGAGTCCGATGTTCGAGGGCAGGAAGCATCCAGCACAGGAGAAAGATGTAGGCTGGGAGGCTAGGCCAGTCCTGTGTTTTCACATTTTTCTGCCTGCTATATATTCTGGCTCTGCTGGCAGCTGAATAGATGGTGCCCAGCCAGATTAAGGGTGGGTCTTCTTTTCCCAGCCCACTGACTCAAATGTTAACCTCCTTTGGTAATACCCTCACAGACAAACCCAGGATCAATACTTTGCATCCTTCAATCCAATCAAGTTGACACTCAGTATTAACCATCACAAGTCTACCTCTTGTCAACTTGAACCCATACACATCTCCTGAGATCATACATAATCTTCAAATAAAGATAATAGTAAGGTCATAATTATGCCTAACATAATACAACTATTCTTCATACAACCGGAAATATATCAATCCCCAACCCAAATGCTATTACATAAAGTTAACAATACTTAGATGCTGATATTAAGTCAATAAATCTTATGTCACATGACAAAGGGAAAAGGAAATAAATTGGAGATATTTTCTTGGTATAAGTGTGTACATGGAGGTAAAATCGGGGTGGTTCCAAGATGGCCGAATAGGAATAGCTCCAGTCTACAGCTCCCAGCGTGAGCAACACAGAAGACAGGTGATTTCTGCATTTCCAACTGAGGTACTGGGTTCATCTCACTGGGGCTTGTTGGACAGTGGGTTCAGGACAGTGGGTGCAGCACACTGAGCGTGAGCCGAAGCAGGGCCAGGCATCACCTCATCCAGGAAGTGCAAGGGGTCAGGGAATTCCCCTTCATAGCCAAGCAAAGCTGTGGCAGATGGCACCTGAAAAATCAGGTCACTCCTACCCTAATACTGTGCTTTTCCAATGGTCTTAGCAAATGGCACACCAGGAGATTATATCCCGTGCCTAGCTCAGAGGGTCCCATGCCCACAGAGCCTTGCTCATTGCTAGCACAGCAGCCTGAGATCGAACTGCAAGGTGGCAGCAAGGCTGGGGGAAGGGTGCCCGCCATTGCTGAGGCTTGAGTAGGTAAATAAAGCAGCCAGGAAGCTTGAACTGGGTGGAGCCCACCACAGCTCAAGAAGGCCTGCTTGCCTCTGTAGACTCCACCTCTGGGAGCAGGGCATAGCCAAACAAAAGGCAGCAGAAACCTCTGTACACTTAAATGTCCCTGTCTGACAGCTTTCAAGAGAGTAGTGGTTTTCCCAGCATGGAGTTTGAGATCTGAGAATGGACAGACTGCCTCCTCAAGTGGGTCCCTGAACCCCAAGTGGCGTATCTGGGAGGCACCACCCAGTAGGGGCAGACTGACACCTCACACGGCTGGATACCCCTCTGAGATGAAACCTCCAGAGGAATGATCAGACAGCAACATTTGCTGTTCAGCAATATTCGCTGTTCTGCAGCCTCTGCTGCTGCTGATACCCAGGCAAACAGGGTCTGGAGTGGACCTCCAGCAAACTCCAACAGACCTGCAGCTGAGGGTCCTGACTGTTAAAAGTAAAACTAACAAACAGAAAGGACATCCACACCAAAACCCCATCTGTACGTCACCATCAACAAAGACCAAAGGTAGATAAAACCACAAAGATGGGGGAAAAACAGAACAGAAAAACTGAAAATTCTAAAAATCAGAGTACCTCTCCTCCTCCAAAGGAACACAGCTCCTCACCAGCAATGGAACAAAGCTGGACAGAGAACGACTTTGACGAGACGAGTTGAGAGAAGAAGGCTTCAGACAATCAAACTTCTCCGAGCTAAAGGAGAAAGTTTGAACCCATTGCAAAGAAGTTAAAAACCTTGAAAAAAGATTAGACGAATGGCTAACTAGAATAACCAATGCAGAGGAGTCCTTAAATGACCTGATGGAGCTGAAAACCAGGGCACGAGAACTACATGACAAATGCACAAGCTTCAGTAGCCGATTTGATCAACTGGAAGAAAAGGTATCAGGGATGGAAGATGAAATGAATGAAATGAAGTGAGAAGAGAAGTTTAGAGAAAAAAGAATGAAAAGAAATGAACAAAGCCTCCGAGAAATATGGGACTATGTGAAAAGACCAAATCTACGTCTGTTTGGTGTACCTGAAAGTGACGGGGAGAATGGAACCAAGTTGGAAAACACTCTGCAGGATATTATCCAGGAGAACTTCCCCAACCTAGCAAGGCAGGCCAACATTCAAATTCAGGAAATACAGAGAACGCCACGAAGATACCCCTCGAGAAGAGCAACTCCAAAACACATAATTGTCAGATTCACCGAAGTCGAAATGAAGGAAAAAATGTTAAGGGCAGCCAGGGAGAAAGGTTGGGTTACCCACAAAGGGAAGTCCATCAGACTAACAGCTGATCTCTCAGCAGAAACTCTACAAGCCAGAAGAGAGTGGGGGCCAATATTCAACATTCTTAAAGAAAGAATTTTCAACCCAGAATTTCATATGCAGCCAAACTAAGCTTCATAAGTGAAGGAGAAATAAAATCCTTTACAGACAAGCAAATGCTGAGAGATTTTGTCACCACCAGGCCTGCCCGACAAGAACTCCTGAAGGAAGCACTAAACATGGAAAGGAACAGCCGGTACCAGCCACTGCAAAAACATGCCAAATTGTAAAGACCATTGAGGCTAGGAAGAAACTGCATCAACTAACGAGCAAAATAACCAGCTAACATCATAATGACAGGGTCAAATTCATACATAACAATATTAACCTTAAATATAAATGGGCTAAATGCTCCAATTAAAAGACACAGACTGGCAAATTGGATAGAGTCAAGACCCATCAGTGTGCTGTATTCAGGAAACCCATCTCATGTGCAGAGACACACATAGGCTCAAAATAAAGGGATGGAGGAAGATCTACCAAGCAAATGGAAAACAAAAAAAGGCAAGGGTTGCAATCCTAGTCTCTGATAAAACAGACTTTAAACCAACAAAGATCAAAAGAGACAAAGAAGGTCATTACATAATGGTAAAGGGATCAATTCAACAAGAAGAGCTAACTATCCTAAATATATATGCACCCAATACAGGAGCACCCAGATTCATAAAGCAAGTCCTTAGAGACCTACAAAGAGACTTAGACTCCCACACAATAATAATGGGAGACTTTAACACCCCACCGTCAACATTAGACAGATCAACGAGACAGAAAGTTAACAAGGATATCCAGGAATTGAATTCAGCTCTGCACCAAGCTAACTTAATAGACATCTACAGAACTCTCCACCCCAAATCAACAGAATATACATTCTTTTCAGCACTACACACACCTATTCCAAAATTGACCACATAGTTGGAATAACGCAATCCTCAGCAAATATAAAAGAACAGAAATTATAACAAACTGTCTCTCAGACCACAGTGCAATCAAACTAGAACTCAGGATTAACAAACTCACTCAAAACCTCTCAATTACATGGAAATTGAACAACCTGCTCCTGAATGACTACTGGGTACATAACAAAATGAAGGTAGAAATAAAGATGTTCTTTGAAACCAATGAGAACAAAGACACAACATACCAGAATCTCTGGGACACATTCAAAGCAGTGTGTAGAGTGAAATTTATAGCACTAAATGCCCACAAGAGAAAGCAGGAAAGATCTAAAATTGACACCCTAACATCACAATTAAAAGAACTAGAGAAGCAAGAGCAAACACATTGAAAAGCTAGCAGAAGGCAAGAAATAACTAAGATCAGAGCAGAACTGAAGGAGGTAGAGACACAAAAAACCCCTTCAAAAAATCAATGAATCCAGGAGCTGCTTATTTGAAAAGATCAACAAAATTGATAGACCGCTAGCAAGACTAATAAAGAAGAAAAGAGAGAAGAATCAAATAGATGCAATAAAAACTGACAAAGGGGATATCACCACCAATCCCACAGAAATACAAACTACCATCAGAGAATACTATAAACACCTCTACGCAAATAAACCAGAAAATCTAGAAGAAATGGATAAATTCCTTGACACATACAACCTCCCAAGGCTAAACCAGGAAGAAGTTGAATCTCTGAATAGACCAATAACAGGCTCTGAAATTGAGGCAATAATTAATAGCTTATCAACCAAAAAAAGTCCAGGACCAGACGGATTCACAGCTGAATTCTACCAGAGGTACAAGGAAGAGCTGGTACCATTCCTTCTGAAACTGTTCCAATCAATAAAAAAAGAGGGAATCCTCCCTAACTCATTTTATGAGGCCAGCATCATCCTGATACCAAAGCCTGGCAGAGACACAACAAAAAGAGAGAATTTTAGACCAATATCCCTGAACATCGATACAAAAATCCTCAATAAAATACTGGCAAACCGAATCTAGCAGCACATCAAAAAGCTTATCCACCATGATCAAGTGGGCTTCATCCCTGGGATGCAAGGCTGGTTCAACATATGCAAATCAATAAATGTAATCCAGCATATAAACAGAACCAAAGACAAAAACCACATGATTATCTCAATAGATGCAGAAAAGGCCTTTGGCAAAATTCAACAGCCTTCATGCTAAAAACTCTCAATAAATTAGGTATTGATGGGACGTATCTAAAAATAATAAGAGCTGTCTATGACAAACCCACAGCCAATATCATACTGAATGGGCAAAAACTGGAAGCATTCACTTTGAAAACTGGCACAAGACATGGATGCCCTCTCTCATCACTCCTATTCAACATAGTGTTGGAAGTTCTGGCCAGGGCAATCAGGCAGGAGAAGGAAATACAGGGTATTCAATTAGGAAAAGAGGAAGTCAAATTGTCCCTGTTTGCAGATGACATGATTGTATATCTAGAAAACCCCATCATCTCAGCCCAATATCTCCTTAAGCTGATAAGCAACTTCAGCAAAGTCTCAGGATACAAAATCAATGTGCAAAAATCACAAACATTCGTATACACTGATAACAGACAGAGAGTCAAATCATGAGTGAACTCCCATTCACAATTGCTTCAAAGAGAATAAAATACCTAGGAATCCAACTTACAAGGGATGTGAAGGACCTCTTCAAGGAGAACTACAAACCACTGCTCAACGAAATAAAAGAGGACACAAACAAATGGAAGAACATTCCATGATCATGGATAAGAAGAATCAATATTGTGAAAATGGCCATATTGCCCAAGGTAATTTATAGATTCAATGCCATCCCCATCAAGCTACCAATGACTTTCTTCACACAATTGGAAAAAACTACTTTAAAGTTCATATGGAACCAAAAAAGAGTCCACATTGCCAAGTCAATCCTAAGCCAAAAGAACAAAGCTGGAGGCATCACACTACCTGACTTGAAACTATACTACAAGGCTACAGTAACCAAAACAGCATGGTACTGGTACCAAAACAGAGATATAGACCAATGGAACAGAACAGAGCCCTCAGAAATAATACCACACATCTACCACTATCTGATCTCTGACAAACCTGACAAAAACGAGAAATGGGGAAAGGATTCCCTATTTAATAAATGGTGCTGGGAAAACTGGCTAGCCATATGTAGAAAGCTGAAACTGGATCCCTTCCTTACACCTTATACAAAAATTAATTCGAGATAGATTAAAGACTTAAATATTAGACCTAAAACCATAAAAACCCTAGAAGAAAACCTAGGCAATACCATTCAGGACATAGGCATGGGCCAGGACTTCATGTCTAAAACACCAAAAGCAATGGCAACAAAAGCCAAAATTGACAAATGGGATCTAATTAAACTAAAGAGCTTCTGCACAGCAAAAGAAACTACCATCAGAGTGAGCAGGCAACCTACAGAATGGGAGAAAAAATTTGCAATCTACTCATCTGACAAAGGGCTAATATCCAGAATCTACAAAGAACTGAAACAAATTTACAAGAAAAAAACAAACAACCCCATCAAAAAGTGGGCGAAGGATATGAACAGACACTTCTCAAAAGAAGACATTTATGCAGCCAACAGTCACATGAAAAAGTGCTCATCACCACTGGCCATCAGAGAAATGCAAATCAAAACCACAATGAGATACCATCTCACACTAGTTAAAATGGCAATCATTAAAAAGTCAGGAAACAACCGGTGCTGGAGAGGATGTGGAGAAATAGGAACACTTTTACACTGTTGGTGGGACCGTAAACTAGTTCAACCATTGTGGAAGTCAGTGTGGTGATTCCTCAGGGATCTAGAACTAGAAATACCATTTGACCCAGCCATCCCATTACTGGGTATATCCCCAGAGGAATATAAATCATGCTGCTATAAAGACACATGCACACGTATGCTTATTGCAGCACGACTCACAATAGCAAAGACTTGGAACTAACCCGAATGTCCAACAATGATAGACTGGATTAAGAAAATGTGGTACATATACACCATGGAATACTATGCAGCCATAAAAAATGATGAGTTCATGTCCTTTGTAGGGACATGGATGAAGATGGAAACCATCATTCTCAGCAAACTATCACAAGGACAAAAAACCAAACACTGCATGTTCTCACTCATAGGTGGGAATTGAACAGTGAGAACACATGGACACAGGAAGGGGAACATCACACACCAGGGCCTGTTGTGGGGTGGGGGGAGTGGGGAGGGATAGCATTAGGAGATATACCTAATGTAAATGACGAGTTAATGGGTGCAGCACACCAACATGGCACACGTATACATATGTAACAAACCTGCATGTTGTGCACATGTACCCTAGAACTTAAAGTATAATAAAAAATATTAAAAAGTGTGTACATGCACAAACATGTTTTTAATAAAAGAAGGAGGAAATACTCATGACAATTACAGTACTTGTTTCTGCAACTGGTCATATGGTAGTAGCTGGTATTGATGACTGCCTTCTTCTACTACCCATTCTGTGTATCTGCTTTGCCTTCAGCAAGTACCTCAGCAGGTTGTGGTATTTTCCATGGTGGGGTGACCCATGCCTTCATTCCGGAAGGGTTTGGGGCCATTTGTTGTAGTCCTGCCTGGACTGGGCTGTTGTAGTTTCCCATTGATCTTAATCACAGGGCATGGTAATACCAAGAGACGCCCTAATGCATCTCCTGTATTCCATGCATACTCTTCTTTATCTCTGCTGTGGAGTAGTAGACTGATTTCATCTTGATAGTCGGGGTCAATCTCCCCAGCCAACACTCTAACTCCCATCTTAGCCTGTTGACTTAAAGGCAGGAGGAGCCCAAAGTGTCCAGATGCAATTGTAACTTTCCAGTTTAATAGAATTGTTATGGTGTTTCCTGGTGGTAGTGTTCCTCCCTCTGGAACTAAGACCTCTAGGCCAGCAGGATGTAATGCTGTGGGAACAGGAAGCAAAAATTTTGCTAGTGGATCACTAGGGGTGGTAGTGAGTGGTGCCACTTCCACTTCCACCCCTTGATTCCTGGACCTGTGAATCCTGGCTATGGGAGAAACAGTACCATATGTTGGACACTGACTCAGAGCATATACAGCCTTCTGGAGAACTTTACCCCAGCCCTTCCAGGTATTGTCACCTAGTTGATGTTGTAATTGTGACTTCAAAAGGCTATTCCACTGTTCTATCAATCCAGCTGCTTCAGGATGATGGGGAGCTTGGTAAGACCAGTGAATTACAGGAGCGTGAGCCCACTGCCACACTTCTTTAGCTGTAAAGTGAGTGCCTTGGTCAGAGGCAATGCTGTATAGAACACCATGATGGTGGATAAAACATTCCATGAGTCCATGGATGGTAGTCTTGGCAGAAGCATTGCATGCAGGATAGGCAAACCCATATCCAGAGTAAGTGTCTCTATTCCAGTGAGGACAAACTTCTGCCATTTCCATGGTGGAAGAGGTCCAATGTAATCAACCTGCCACCAGGTAGCTGGCTGATCACCCTGAGGAATGGTGTCATATCGAGGGCTCAGTGTTGGTCTCCGCTGCTGGCAAATTGGGCACTCAGCAGTCGCCATAGCCAGGTCAGCCTTGGTGAGTGGAAGTCCATGTTGCTGAGCCCATGCTTAACCTCCATCCCTGCCACCATGGCCACTTTGTTCATGGGCCCACTGGACGATGACAGGGTGGCTGGGGAAAGTGGCTGAGTGGTGTTCACAGAACGGGTCGTCCTATCCACTTAATTATTAAAATCCTTCTCTGCTGAGGTCACCCATTGGTGAGCACTCACATGGGATAGAAATATCTTCACAGTTTTTGACCACTCAGAGAGGTCCATACACATACCTCTTCCCCAAATTTCTTTGTCACCAGTTTTCCAATCATGCTTCTTCCAAGTCCCTGGTGATCCAGCCAAACCATTGGCTACAGCCCATGAATCAGCGTATAATCGCACATCTGGTCATTTTTTCTTCCATGCAAAGTGCACAGTCAGGTGCACTGCTCAAAGTTCTAGCCACTGGGAAGATTTCCCTTCACTGCTGTCCTTCAGGGGTGTGCTAGAAAGGGGCTGTAATGCTGCAGCTGTCCCCTTTAGGGTGGTGCCTGCATATCTTGCAGAACCATCTGTGAACCAGGCCCTAGTCTTCTCTTCCGCTGTCAACTGATCGTAGGGAACTCCCCATGAAGCCATCGGTGCAGGCTCGGGGAGAGAAGGCAGAGTGGCAGGAGTGGAGACCATGGGCATTTGAGCCACTTCCTCATGTAACTCACTTGTGCCTTCAGGACCTGCTTGAGCCTGATCCCATATATACCACTTCCATTTGATGATGGAATCCTGCTGTGCATGACCTACTTTATGGCTAGATGGGTCAGAAAGCACCCAGTTCATGATGAGCAGTTCAGGTCACATGGTGACTTGATCATTCGTAGTCAAACATTTAGTTTCCACCAAAGCCCAGTAACAGGCCAATAGCTGTGTCTCAAAAAGAGAGTATCTGCAGAAGACAGCAGGGCCTTGCTCCAAAATCCTAGAGGCCTCTGCTGTGATTCACTTGTGGGGCCTGCCAAATGCTCCAAACAGCATCCCTATCTGCCACTGACACCTCAAGCACCATTGGATCTTCTGAGTTATATGGCCTAAGTGGCAGAGCAGCTTGCACAGCAGCTTGGACCTGTTGCAGAGCCTTCTCCTTTTCTGGACGCCACTCAAAACTGGCAGCATTTCGGGTCACTCGATAAATGAGTTGGAGTAACATTCCCAAAAGAGGAATGTGTTGCTTCCAAAATCCAAATAGGCCCGCTAGGCTTTGTGCCTCTTTCTTGGTTGTAGGAGGGGCCAAATGCAGCAATTTATCCTTCACCCTAGAAAGAATATCTCAACAGGCCCCACACCACTGGACCCCTAGAAATTTTACTGAGGTAGAAGATCCTGCATTTTAGTTGGATTTATTTCCCATCCTCTGGGCACACAAATGTCTCACCAATAAGTCCAGTGTGTTTACTACTTCTTGCTCACTGGATCCAATCAGCATAATGTCATCATGTCTTCAATGTAATGGACCAGTGTGATATCTTGTGGAAGCAAAAAGCGATCAAGGTCTCTCTGAATAAGATTATGACACAAAGCTGGAGAGTTGATATACCCCTGAGGCAAGACAGTAAAGGTATATTGCTGGCCTTGCCAGCTGAAGGCAAATTGCTTCTGGTGGGCCTTATGGACAGGAATGGAGAAAAAGGCATTTGCCAAGTTAGTGGCTGCATATCAGGTACCAGGAGATGTGTTAATTTGCTCAAGCAATGAAACCACATCTGGTACAGCAGCTGCAGTTGGAGTCACCACTTGGTTAAGCTTACGATAATCCACTGTCATTCTCCAAGATCCATCTGTCTTCTGCACAGGCCAAATGGGAGAGTTGAAAGGGGATGTGGTGAGAATCACCCCCCTGCATCTTTCAAGTCCTTTATGGTGACACTAATCTCCACAATCCCTCCAGGATGTGATGTTGTTTCTGATTTACTATTTTTCTAGGTACAGGCAGCTCTAATGGCTTCCATTTGGCCTTTCCCACCATAATAGCCCTCACTCTACCAGTCAAGGAGCCAATGTGGGGGTTCTGCCAGCTGCTAAGTATGTCTATGCCAATTATGCATTCTGGCACTGGTGAAATGACCACAGGATGAGTCCGGGGACCCACTGGACCCACTGTAAGTCAGACCTGAGCTAAAACTCCATTAATTACCTGACCTCCATAAGCCCCTACTTTAACCAGAGGACTACAATGACATTTTGGGTCCCTTGGAATCAACGTCAGCTCAGAGCCAGTGTCCAGTAGTCCCCAAAAAGCCTAATTATTTTCCTTTCCAGAATGCACAGGTACTCTGGTAAAAGTCTGGAGGCCTCCATGGGGAAGGATGGGAGAAAGATTAACAGCATAAATTGTCGGTAGTGTAGTGGGATCCTTCCTCAAGAGGACCCAGCCTCCCCTTCATTCAAGGGGTTCTGGATCTGTAAACTGGGCCAAGTCTGGAAATTGATTGAGGGGCTGTGATTCTCTGTTTTTATAATTCAAATTAGTCTTTTGTCCATTCAATGTAGAAGTTTTCTGCTTATATAAATTAAGTAGGAATGCAGTAGGCTTCCTATCAATTTTACTTCTAGGAACACTGTGATTAATTAGCCGATGCCAGACCTCTACAGAAGTCAGGCTATTCTGATTGCTGCTTTGCCTCTGCTGTCCATTACAGTAGCTTGCCTTTGATGGTTGAGTGCTGCCACTTGGCCCTTGCCACCTCGGGATTTAATTATTCCCATAGTATTTAAATTTTGTAGTTGAGTGACTGTGGTTCCTACTGTTAGATCTGACATACAGAGAAGAGCAATTACAGGGCTCTTCAAAGTTGCAACTGCTGCCCTGAAAAATCTGTTTCACAAAGCATTGTTCAAGGGTATATCTTCTAGACCCTCCCAGCCGGGATGAGTAGGTCTAAAGTGACTAATCCACTCTACCTAAACTCAATCTCCCTAAACCTTTGGATCCCTTCCTCTATATTAAACCAAGGGAGATCAGGCTTTTCCACCTCACTCACAGTGGGCCATCTTTTAATCCATATTTTAGGTAACCAAGCAAATAAACTATTTTAGCCTTTTTTAACTCCATGAGCTGCAACATTAAATGCAGAATCCCTACTTAGTGGGCCCAAATCAATAAATTCAGCCTGATCTAACTCTATGTTCCTTTGACCATTATCCCACACCCTTAATATCCATTCCCATGTCTGTTCTCCAGATTTCTGCGTATATAAATTAGAAAACTCAAGCAGTTCTTTTCGAGTGTAGTGCACCTCCTCATGGGTCACACTCTGAACCTCACCTCTAGGACTTTAATTATGGGTCCAGAAATAAACAGGGGTGTTGGGGGTGGCTCCTGAAGAGAATCAACATTATCTTGCCTGGCAACTGCCTCAGGGGAGGCCATCGCAGTTGCCTCAGGCACTGCAGGGTTTATCTCCTCAGACAAAGGTGGAAAGGATGATGGCAGTGTGGGTCAGGGAGGGGATATTGTCACTACTGGGGATGGGGAAGCTGTTTCTTCTAGCAAAAAAGGTTCATCAGAATTTACAAGCGCAGTGTCCCCACCTTCATCAGGGCCACACGTCCCCATTCCAAGTTGCAGGGTCCCACTCTTTTCCAGTTAATGCCCTCACTTTAACAGTAGACACCTGGTGAGGTTATGCCTGCACCTTTCTTTGCAAGTCAGCCACTTGCTTGATAAGAGCTATCTGTTTTTCCACAATTTCTGCTCTTTCTCTACAGGAGATAAAACTCCCACTCAGGGCAATCTTAGCGGATTTGAGGCTCAGTATCTGCTTCTGAAGCCACGAGTTAGAATCTTTGAGTTCATCATTTTCTTTCATCACTGTCCAGTGATCTTAGGAGCAACCAACCAACTTCATTATGTTCACTGGTTCTCCATATATAGTCAAAGGTATTATGTACAGAGTCACTAAACTCCTTGTCTCTCATGAGTGGCAAATCAGGAGTGTCAAATGCATTTATTTTGTATAACTCTCTAAACAGTTCACACCAAAGACTATCAGTGTTTTCCATACTATTAGAAGTACAGTCCTTAGCATTTTTGGGTCTAACCATATTAAGCAGTCAACTGCAGAAACCCCAAAACCAACAAAAGAACTCCATCCTTAATATTCTGTTTCTCTAGGACCACTCCTGATACCAAAATCTGTATTAGGGTTCTCTAGAGGGACAGAACTAATAGGATATATATGTATAAAAAGGAGAGTTTATCAAGTAGTATTAACCCACATGGTCACAAGGTCCCACAATAGGCTGCAAGCTGAGGAGCAAGGAAGCCAGCCTGAGTCCCAAAGCTGAAGAACTTGGAGTCTGATGTTCAAGGGCAGGAAGCATCCTGCACAGGAGGAAGATGTAGGCTGGGGGCTAGGCCAGTCTAGCCTTTTCACATTTTTCTGCCTGCTTTATATTCTGGCTGTGCTGGCAGCTGATTAGATGGTGCCCACCCAGATTAAGGATTTAAGCATTTTCCAGCCCACTGACTCAAATGTTAATGCTTAAGGGTTAAGCATTTCCCAGCCCACTGACTCAGATGTTAATCTCCTTTGGCAACACCCTCACAGACAAACCCAGGATCAATACTTTGCATCCTTCAATCCAATCAAGTTGACACTCAGTATTAATCATCACACTGTCTCAAACAACAACAACAACAAAAACCTTAGCCATCTTGGCCTTAAGATTTGAATATTGTGTTTTTTATGGAGAAGGGAGTGAAGAAAGGGAATTGGGTGAGAATTTGAAAAAGGGGTGGAAGAGGACATGTTTTCCTGCCTGTGGAAATCCATAGATAACAAATTCATATTGTGGAAAGTTTATTTTTAAAAATACTTTGAAATTAGCTTTTAATGTATATCTGTAAACTCAAAGGTATTCACTTTGTTTTTATGTGTTTCTGAATTGATTTGCCACCTGCCTTGGGCCCAGGATACATGAGATTGTTTGAGTCATCATTTGTCCAACAGGCTGCATTCTGAATTAGGGATTCAAACCATTTTCTTGCCTCCCAGAGAAACATTTGAGATTTCATTCACGTCTTTCTTGTTACCAAAACAAAAATTTGAACTCAAAATCCTTTTGAGTGGTAAGGCTCTTTCAAATAAAAAGTATGACTATCATAATATTGTATATATACTAGCACGCACACAATATGTATACCTACACACATATATAATTTTTAAGACTCACTATTTAAAACAAAATCTGAAATAATGTGTCCCTCTAGATCCCTTTTGGAATCACTAACTATAGATTTCCTTCAGTTATGGGCTACAGTGCCTGAATGTGCTGAACCCTCTTAGGAGAGCACGGTGGTAAACTCTTCTGAGTGTCACTGTTCCTGTTATTGATGTTGATGGCAGAGCCTTCTAATTCTAACCCCTGCTGAGCCTTTAGAAACCTGGTAGATTGTTAACATGATTAGCAGGAGTTCATGAACTCTGCTCTGTATAAATGCAAAATCCTAACCTTTGATATGGAATTGGCATTAAAAGATTTCTCCTCATATTCAAAAATATTTTAATAGCTTAAATTTAAAAAGGACAAACTTATAGAAGCTTGTTGGGTTTTAATATTATGGTTTCTACTATATAAATATTGCATTTTCAAACATAATATACTAAGAGAATTGTTATAGAATTTTATTTGGCAATATGCTTATAATCCTCCCATGACCATTTACAAATAAATAACAAATGTTTTTCTATACATTAATGGAAGCAATTTAGAAATATTTATTTATTTACATAAAGGAAATGTATGGTAGCAGCACACTGGAAATCAGTCATTTGGAAATGATTAGAACTGATAGTCCTTAAAGGGTGTATTTATCACTCATTAAATTAAGGAAATGTCCAAAGGAACAATGGTTACATTCGATTTACAGTTTAGATACTCAGTTGCATATGTTGTAGTTGTAAATCAAGTGTGTTTTTAAGAGGTTATTTGGATATAGAGGCTAGAAAAATTTCCTGGTGCCACTTTAATTTTTCTCTGCTTGTTGGACATGAAGAGAGGGAGACAAAGGCTCTCAGAAAGAGAAAGACGGGCTGGTGAAGGACAAACTAAGGTGAGTGAGATGCTGAGTTCCTTATTTCTAGTACAAATTTCCCACCAACTGGAGAGCATTCACCTGTATACTTAAAGAACACTTGAATAAATAAATAAATAAATAAATAAATTCAAGTGCTCTTTAAGTATCCTCTAAATACAGAGCATTGTGGGAAGGTTCTATTTCTTTTCCAATTTTGTGATCAAGGAACAAGGTTCCTTTTTCTAGGGGGGAAAAGTGCACTGAATTATCAAAGGAGTGGTCGTCTATCTCTTCCTCCTTCCTTCTGTCTTTCTGTCTCTCTGCCCTGTTCCCATCGGTCTCTCTTTTAAGCTGAAGGAATATATTCTGCCCTTATTCTAGCTATGGGCTAAGTCACAGGGCAAGACTACATGGGCCTAAAGAGTTCTCTCTGGGAAAGGGTGGCACTTTCTGGAGGGTCCTGGGGTTCTTTCTTTGTGTGGAAAGCTGAATTCTCTTGACATCATTAACATTTCTTGAGTATTTGGTAAACAGCTGGGAACATCAAAAGGAATAAGAGCCAATGCCTATCTTTTACAAGCTCACAATGTCAGTCTCATTTGTTCAGGGAGAAAAATACATAAACCAGTACTTGCAGTGTATCTTTAAAGGTTCCCCAATAGAGGTAAGGACTAATAATCCCACAGGTAGGTATAAGTAATCTATTGGGCAGTGAGGGAAAGCTTTACAGAGGAGTGACATTGGAGCTTAATCTTAGAGTATGAAGGAGCTCACCAGGCAGGGAACAACATTTCATATAGAGGAAACAAAACGTGCAAGGAATCATGAAGAAACATGCTGTGCTTGGGGAGTGGCACATAACCGGTTGTGGCCAAACTGCAGGGTTTGAAATAAGGTTTGTGAGTGCAGAGGGGGAAATTGTAAGAGATGAGGATGTCAAGGAACACTTCATCAATGTTATAAAAAACCTTGTTTGGATTTGGATTTTTATTTTGAGAATCAGAGGGAACCCATTAAAGGTTATTAAAGTTAGTAAAAAAGAAAATATTAGATTTATGCTTTAGAAAGTTCACTTTGGTACAAAGATTGGCCAGAAAAAAAGATCAGAAATGAAAGTTAGGAATCCAGGGAGGAGATGATGAAAGCTTTGTATAAGACAGTGGCAGTAGGCCAGACATGATGGCTCATGCCTGTAATTCCAGCACTTTTGGAGTCCAAGATGGGAAGATCATTTGAGCCCAGGAGTTTGAGACCAGCCTAGACATAGCGGGACTCCATCTCTACAAAAAATTTTTTAAAAAATTAGCTGGGCATGGTGGCTCATGCCTGTAGTCCCAGCTACTTTAAAGGCTGAGGTGAGAGGATCCCTGGAGCCCAGGAATTTGAGGTGACAGTGAGCTATGATCGCCACTGCATTCCGGCCTTGGTAACAAAGTGAGACCCAGTCTCAAAAAAAAAAAAAACAAAACAAAGAAACACAAACCAAAAAATCCCAAAAAACAGTGGCAGTAGGATTGGAAGATAGGTACAGATTAGAGAGAGATTCTAGAAGTACATTCAATAGCAGTTGGTGATAGATCAGATTTGGTAGTTGTATTAGAGGAAATAATGAAGAATGACTTCAGAACTGCTTTGACTGGGAACTGGTAAAGTATGGTGGGAAGAGGTTTAGGAGGAATGGAGATAACTTTGATTTTAGATGTGATCACCAATCAGTTACTGATGGCCAATTTGGCTTGTGGGTTTTAGAAGAGAGAATGGTTTAAAAAGGTACATTTGGGAGTTGCTATCATTTAAGGGGTAGGAGAAGCCATAGAAATAAACAAACTTGTTCATCTAGAGCTTCTGGAATGAGAAGAGAAAGCTCTAAGGAGTCAGCCCTGGGAAATAATCAGGGAGGGCACAGGAGAAGGAGGACTAGAATAGAGGTGTCCAGAAACCCAAAGGGCCAAGGAGTTCCAAGGAGGGAACAGTCAGCAGCATTGCTTGCTGTAGCAAACTGCTCCTGAAGTGCTTTTCCCCAGGCTGCCCACCCAAAAGGGGTGCTCTCTTGGAGGCTAGGAAGAGAACACTTCCACTTGAGTAAATGTTTCCTTCTCTCTCTTTCTCTTACTCTCTTTCTCCTACCCTTTGATTCTTTTTTTTTTTTTTTAATCACGATTCCTTTCTGCAGTGACTTTTGGGTTCCTTCCATATCCTTAAAAAACACAGTACTTGCATTGCTAGTTCAAAAGTAACATGCTGAAACTTGAGCTAAGATTCATTTCGCTTTCAACACAGAATTTTTCTCTACAGATCTAGTTCAGACTCACTTCTCTGCTGTTGAAACTTGCTTTTAATAAGACAGTCCTCCAGAGCCCAAATCTCACTGTGAGGAGAGGATACACGACCTATACCAGGGCTCAGGCTGCACTGAAGTCTGTTCAGCCACTTGGAGTCTCTACCTAAATTCTGTATCATTGTTTCAGAGGCAACGCAAGTGTAACAATCGTTGATTAAGGACAGGGCCGGGGGGCGGTGGCTCACGCCTATAATCCCAGCACTTTGGGAGGCCGAGGCGGGCGGATCACGAGGTCAGGAGATGGAGACCATTCTGGCCTGTACGGTGAAACTCCGTCGTCTCTACTAAAAATACAAATATATAAATAAAATTAGCCGGGCATTGTGGCAGGCGCCTGTAGTCCCAGCTACTCGGGAGGCTGAGGCAGGAGAATGGCGTGAACCCGGGAGGCGGAGCTTGCAGTGAGCCGAGATCTCGGTGGCTCACGCCTGTAATCCCTGCACTTTGGGAGGCCGAGGCGGGTGGATCACCTGGGATCAGGAGTTCGAGACCAGCCTGGCCAACATGATGAAACCCCGTTTCTACTAAAAATAAAAGAAAATTAGCTGGACATGGTGGTGCATGCCTATAATCCCAGCTACTCAGGACGCTGAAGCAGGAGAATCGCTTGAACCCAGGAGGTAGAGGTTGCAGTGAGCCGAGATCGTGCCACTGTACTCCAGCCTGGGCAACAAGAGCGAAACTCCGCCTCAAAAACAAACAAACAAAAAACAAAAGGAGAAGAGCCAGGCGTTCTTTTCTAATTCCCAGGTTCCCTGAAACTTCTTGTTACGAAAATAGTTCTTCATCAGATCAAAAGGAAACTCAGTCTTTTGGGTTTCACACAAACATGAAGCCATCAGCCTTTGTGGTTGAACATCCCACACACCGAGTATTGAGAAATTTTTCTATCCAATGTCACTGATCCATAGAAAATAAGTAACAAAGAAAATGATCCAAACTTCTTTGTTTGTTGGTTTGTGGTGTCACCCAGGCTGGAGTGCAGTGGCATGATCATAGCTCACTGCAGCCTCGACCTCCTGAGCTCAAGCAATCCTCCTGCCTCAGCCTCCCAAGTACCTAGGACTACAGGCACACGCCACCACACCCTGCTAATTTTAAAAAACTTTTTGTAGAGATGGGGTCTTGTTGTGTTGCCCAGGCTGGTCTTGAACTCCTGGCCTCAAGCAGTCCTGCAGTGTTGGACTCCTAAAGGGATGGGATTACAGGCATGAGCCACCATGCCTGGCTTCAGGATCCAAAGTTCTATCAGATGTGAAAAAAGTTGCAAAGAAGAAATCAAGACTCAAAATAAAAGAAGAAGAAAAGTGCTAACATATTTTTCAGGCACCTACCATGAACCAGACACCTGCTATGTATTTAATATTATTTTATTCAATCCTTAAACTCCATGAGATACCATTCCACCCATTTTGCCACTGCACTCCAGCCTGGGCAACAGAGCAAGATCCTGTCTCAAAAAATAAATAAATAGAAACAAAAAAAGTTAAAAAGTGGGGAGATGAAGTTAAGCTATATAGTTTTTATTAGTTTTCTTTTCTTTTCTTTTCTTTTTTTTTGAGATGGAGTCTCGCTCTGTCACCCAGGCTGGAGTGCAGTGGTGTGATCTCGGCTCACTGCAAACTCTACCTCCTGGGTTCAAGAGATTCTCCTGCCTCAGCCTCCTGAGTAGCTGGGATTACAGCTGCACACCACCAGGCCTGGCTAATTTTTGTATTTTTAGTAGAGCGGGGGTTTTGCCATGTTGGCCAGGCTGGTCTCAAACTCCTGACCTCAAATGATCCACCTGCCTCGGCCTCCCAAAGTGCTGGGATTATGGGCTTGAGCCACTACACCCAGCCTATTAGTTTTCTTTTTGCTTGTCTGCTTGTTTATGCAAACACTGTTAAATTTTTATCAAGCTATAATAAATGGGTTATAAGATGGTATTTGTAAACCTCATTTTAACCTCAAACCAAAAAACATACAATGGATACACAAAATATAAAAAGAGACCAAATAATATATTAGATAAATTATCCAAATCAAACAATGAATACATAATGGACTGAGATTCAAACCCTGACAGTGGCTCCAAGGCCTATGTTCTTATAATCAAAAAAAGAAGGTGGCAGAGGAGAAAAAGATAAAAATGGACAGGAGGAATAGCAATATTTCTTGCTTTCTCAGCTTCTTTCTTGCCAGCTGTCAGAAAGTTTTCTTTCTGTTGCCCAAGAATCCCAAACAATTTGCCTTATATCTTCTCTTATGGATTCAGGCTGGAGTTTACCCTTGCCCACAATCCCCTCATCCTTCTTTGAGCCTACTGACTCAGAAGATTGTGGACATGTCTGAAAAAGAATTCCTCTAGGAAGAGCCAGGACATGCGTCTTACCACAGGAACACACATTCCTGCTGTTTGCACAGCTGTATTTGTTGCTCTTAATGGTAGAGAAGGGAGGCACAAAGCACACTTAGTTTTAGAAAACTTTTCGTGGTGTAGCTGGAAGAAATTAAACTAAGGGCCAGAGGTTTCCCACTGCTTTTTCTAGAGGCCAAGATTCTTTTATTTTTGAGTTCTCTCTCTTGTTAGTGAGGAAGCATTATGGCAACTATTATATAAATGCTACCATTTATTTTTGAAATTTGACTGAGGGATGTTCCTCCCTAAAGAAATTATTTTTCATTCTTCCTAGAAAATATTTAAGGCCTCTTTCTAAATGGAGTATTTGTGACTTTTCTTTGACTAGAACAGGGCCTTGTACTCAGTGACCACATCGCTCACCAATGCTAAACCATCCTCTTCTGCCTCCCCTAACAACTATGGATCTGTTTTTTCAATTTAAAGCAACTGTTCATGGAAATACTGCTGTGAAGGAAAATATTGTGAGTTAATAAACTTTGGGCCATGTCCAATCCTCAGATAATGAAGTCAGTAGTACTTGAGCAAGAAGGAATTTACCCTGTGATAGTAATAAGTCTGTTATTTGTATGTCATAGACATAAATGGCTAAATGTATTTCAAGGTCTTGCTTGAAATTAAATGGATTTCCCTATGCATCCGTAACTAATTTATTGGCTATTCATAAAACTATGTTTGCTTAGATCCTAATTCCTAGTGAGTAGGATTTATTTAATAACTGAAATACAGAAGAATATTTATTCGTAGTAAATATAGGGCCTCATCAGTATTGCTTTGTGTTGCTTGAGCATTTATACGTTTTGGGCAAAAGTGGTGATACCTTACCTTAGATAACTCAAGGGACAAACTGAATGATTAAGAGTGAAAATATTGGACCATGTAATAAAGGGTTAATATTGCAATAATTAGGAAATTGTTAATATCCTCATGAAATATTACTGTAAAGGTAGGTACCTGTTTTACTGTGACTGTCTCTTAACTAAATGGATCCCAAATCAGATTCTGTGAAGTATAAACTATATTAAAAATTATATTTGAGCCAAAGTCCCTTCTCCTTTCCACAGCAATTACAATTTTGATCAAATCAGTGCTGAACAATATTACTTTTTCTTCCTAGCTATGGTGGGTCTAGAAATGGTTTGTGACAGAAAAGTCTTTTTATAGCTTTGCTTTCAACATGCATTTACGTTTTAATGATACGTTCTCTGCCAGTAAAAATGTAATCGTAGTACACAGAAAATCAACATGTTTTAAGCTTTCTGAGTGTATTTAAACTGTCAACAGTGAGCTGTCTGACATACAACTTTACTCTGCTTCCGCCGTTAATGGCTAGGTTGTTTTCTAAAGACAGTCTAATGACACAAGACTCCTAAATCCTGTCGGACCGTGTGAACTAAGAATGACCTGAGTGAATAGGGATGCTTTGGCCATCTGTCATTGATAGCCATATTGATCTGGAGATGGTGGCTGAGGGCACTGTGTACTGAGGGTACGGCGGTTTGCTGAGGTGATGATAACCATCACTGATACCTTTGTTATGTACTTAATTTCTCATTGTATCTTCCCCAGCTATGGAACCCTTGGGCAGTAAGTAACCTGGTTTAAAAAGTACACTTCTAGGTCAAAAGGGGACATCAGTCCTCATACATTATTCTCCTAGGTCACCATTTAGCATGTCTAAGTAAAGTTTCCTTCCCCACCCCCAGAAAAACAGCTTTTTAAAAAGTATTTATTTTGAAAAATTTCAAGCATACAGGAAGTTATGTACACTACCTAGATTCACCAGTTGTTACTATTTTGCCTTTGTCTATCTATGTATCTGTGAACCATTTCAGATAAAGTTGCAGATATGACCGACAGTTCACCCTTAAATACTTCAGCAAAGACTTTCTAAAAATAAGGCCATTTTTCTATCTACCCACAATGCCATTATTACAACTAAGAAAATTAACATAATTCCCAAATATCATCCAATAACCTATCTATATTCAAATTTCTCCATTTGTTCCCCAAATGCTTATACTTTTTTTCCAAACTGGGATCCATTCATGGTTAATGTTTTACATCTGATTGTTATGTCTCTTAAGTCAAAAGACCTCCTTTTTTAATCTTAAAAAAGCATGGCAAAAATGAAGAGAAAAATACTGACCTAAGGCTCTATTATAGGTAGAAATAGATAATTAAAGTATTTAAAACATTTTTTTGTAGAGTTAGGGTCTCACTATATTGACCAGGCTGGTCTCAAACTCCTGGCCTCAAAGGATTCTCCTGCCTCGGCCTCCCAAAGTGTTGGGATTATAGGCATGAGCCACCATGCCCAGCCTAATTAAAGTGTTTTGTTCACACACATGTTCCACCCCACCGAAATTCTAAAGCAATTTAGATTCTAGCTGATGAAAATCTTGCCAAGTTTAAATGTTGGAGTAAGGCCCTTGTGGCTACTTTTTCAGGAGAGAATGATTTTTCTTTTTGGGATATCCCTCTTTTTCAATCTTTGCATGGTAATGAGAAGTGAAACTCTTAAAAGACTGCCTTAGATAGATATTTACATATTAGTGAGTAGTTAGGAAAAATTGAATGGTTACATTGGAACAATGAATACATTATGAACATTATGAGAAGTCATAGTTGTGAATGACAGATCATCTCAAAAGTAGTATTTAGTTCTAAAAGTTGATACATAGTGGGTTAAGTCACTGTGGTTTGATGTTGCATATAGTGGCAGCAGCTCATTTGGATTAATACAGTTAGCAAGTGATAACAAGTATAGGAGAATTAGAGCACATGGTGATAAACACAAACGTAATGAAATGCATTTTCTATATGAGAATGACTTTTGTTTTTTATATCTTCCTGCGGTCTCATAAAGACGGTTCTCATTGGCTAGCACTCCATGCTATTGTCTTATATATTAAAAGGAGTCCAGCAGAGTGCTGTGTGTTTACATAGTGGGGACTTTGTAAATGTTAATCATTGATGATATACAAGCCACCTTTCACCCTTTGATGTGATCTTAAGATCACAAAATAAGGCAATAGGATTGAAAAATTATATAATGTATAAGGGAAACAAACACTAAAGGGACCCAGGAATATAATTTAATTTCTCAATGGTTACAGTAGTCTTCATTGAAATTTAAAAATGTTTCTACTTATTAGCTTTATTTCTTTATTATTTGTTTATTGTTTCTTCTTATGCACTTTAATTCAACACACATTTGTTATGCGTTTATATGTTTCAGGCCACTAGCGTAGAGTCATTTTATTTATTTATTTATTGAAGACAGCATCTTATTCTGTTACCCAGGCTGGAGTGCAGTGGCAGCACAATCAGCTCACTGCAGCCTCAAATTCTCAGGCTCAAGCAGTCCTTTACCCTCAGCCTCCCAAGTAGCTAGGGTTACAGGTGTGAGCTACTGCACCCAGCTCAAGGCATTATTTTTTTTAAAATCTGTTTTTATTATGGAAAAATGAAAACATACACAAAAGTAGAGAGAATAGTATAATGGATTCCTATGTATCCATCATTTGGCTTTGATAAATTATAACATTTTGGGGATCTTGTTTCATCTATCCTCCCCACTATTTGGGAGAGGTGCTGGAGGAGTATTTTAAAGAAAATCCCAGATATCATGACATTCACATATAAATACTTTGTTGTGAATAGAGGCATATTTGCAAAAGTTTGGATTTCTAAAACATTTTTGACTAGCAGTACATTAGTAACCTTAAAATATTCAAACACTATAGTTAGTGTTTCATTATTGATGAATATTCATTTAATAAAGATATTTGTTCCACAGCAAAACTGAATAGTTTGGAAAAGCATTGTGTGCTTATCTGAGGTATAAAATGATGAAATGTTAATAAGTATTTTCATAGAACTTGAATTACAAAATTCTAATCAATATTGATTTGAATAATGTAGGATATGGTTTTTGTGAGGGTATTTGTGTGTGTATGCATGTGTGTGTGTGAAGATAACATCATTAAATTATATGTATACCTACATATATATATGCAATGGGAAACATGGTCTGTATGCCTTTCAATCACACACTGCTTTCTGCAAAGTCTAGGAGCAATAATTATGCAGAATTCTTATGAAACTTCATCACTTTATGATGGATTTGTAATCCAGAAGAAAAATAAAGAATGGTTTAATTGGAGGCAATGAGGAAAAGATGGAGAAGCAGAGGTTCAAGCAAGGTTCAACCTTTAAGGGTGAAGGTAGAAGAGGATTGTATGAGGAGGGCTTTGTTTGTGCTTCTGTTGTGTTCTGGGACAGGCTCATGAACTGTTTTCTTGGGTTCCTGTGCTGTCATACTTTCATTCAAAGCCTATTTCTGATTTTGCATTGCTTCTTGAATTCTAGTATTCTTATTTTATAGTAAAATCATATATTAATACTATAGTATCAAGCAGAAAAGGGCATGAGAAAACATCTGATCCAACCAACTCTCTTATTTTAGAGAAAGAAACCTGAGGCCCAAGTTTCAGTGACTTGCAAGCCTGTTAGGACTGTAATCCATGTTTCCTGATTGTTAACCTGGTGGTCTTCCTACTTCACTATGTAGCCTCTCCATAGTTCAAGCTTCAGGCATATGAAGTAACTCTCTGGGCCCTCAGATATGTAAAGGTTTCCTACTGCAAAATGAGTAGAATAAACATTCTTCCTGGCCCAACTTTAGGGACAGAACATGCCTTCATTTCAAATAAAGATGTAGTTCACTTGCAGTAATGATATCTTTATTAATGTGAATACGTTTCTAAATATTTTAGAGAGACAGTTTGACTTTAAGAATGGTTTGAGGCCAGGCGTGGTGGCTCACGCCTGTAATCCCAGCACTTTGGGAGGCCGAGGTAGGAGGATCACGAGGTCAGGCGATCGAGACCTCGTGAACTCAGTGACGATGAAACCCTGTCTCTACTAAAAATACAAAAAATTAGCTGGGCGTAGTGGCGGACGCCTGTAGTCCCAGCTACTCGGGAGGCTGAGGCAGGAGAATGGCGTGAACCCAGGAGGCAGAGCTTGCAGTGAGCCGAGATTGTGCCACTGCACTCCAGCCTGGGTGACAGAGCCAGACTCCATCTCAAAAAAAAGAATGGTTTGAACAACCTGCAGTCTTGTGCAACACTGTTGCGTGGATTAAGCAATTTATAAGTGAATTCAGCTAATCAGAATGGTGAGGGGATACACACACTTACACTCCAAATTCTATAATAGTGGTGTTAACTACTAGTAATTCTGTTTGCTTGGGAGAGTCAGAGAAGGCAGTGCTATAATCCTGATATTTGAGCTTTTTATTTTTTTAAATTTTAGATGGGGTGGAGTACAGTGGTACAGTGGCGAGATCATGGCTTACCTCAGCTTCAACCTCCTAGACTCCAGTGATCCTCCTACCTCAGCCTCCTGAATAGCTGGGACCACCCCACCTGACTAATTTTAATTTTTTTTTGTAGAGATGAGGTTTCACTTTGTTGCCCAGACTGGTCTTGAACTCCTGGCCTCTAACAATCCTTCCAGTTTGGCCTCCCAAAGTGCTGGGATTACAGGTGTGAACCACCATGCCTGGCCAATTTGAGCTTTTTGAGAGAAATATCTTACTAGGGATATGTGGGAAAGAGTGTTCCAGGGAGTGGCAACAGCATGTGCAGAGAGGCGTGGAGACATATTTTGTTCATAAAAGAGGGAATCCTTTGACCCCGAGAACCTCAGTTTGTGTTTGGGTCACTCCTGGAGTTTGGGTCTGCTCTAGGTGGAGTAGGGTGTGGCTATCATGAAAACGCCTCATCCTAATCAGATTTGCCTGCCCAGCTTTCTTTCCTCTACTAACTCAGTTCTCTGAAGAAGAAGAGTGATCTTGGCAACTCTTACTAACTTAGTCTCTCACATCCTTTCAGTTCACCGTTGGATTCAATTCAGATCCATCTTCACTGTGTAGTACCTTTGTACTCAATCTGCAGCAGTGGTTTTCATGTGTTATGAGTGGGACATAGAAGTGATCTAAATAGAATTTTCTTAACCATTTTTAAAACAATTCTTAATTCTCATACAATTCTCAAAAAAATGCCCAATAACATTATTACAGTTTTCAGTGCTATTTACAAGTTACCATATGGTGTAGTGGTTAAGAGCATTGGAATCATAAAGATTTCAGTTTGAAACTGTCCATGCTATTTAGTATGTCTGTGACTTCGTTTGGGAAACTTATTTAAACTCTCTGAGTCTCTGTTTCTTCAAGTAAAGAATTCAGTTTAGTGACTGGCATATTGTGAATACTTTTTCTCTCTCTTGGGGGAGAAGTGGCTTTCTTGATTATTTTGTTGGGATCTAAGTGAAGGATGAAGAAAGAGAAAAGCTATATGACATGGTATTCATTTGCACTTGGGCTGTTCTGTAAGTGTTCTCTGAAGACATTTTCTTGTGCCTTTTCTGCTTTTCAGTGGAGTGTGTGAGCAGTTCAAGGTTAGGGACTATGTTTTCTTCAGTTTGTTTCCCTCTCTCCCTGTGGCATTTAGGACTGACTGCACAAATGGATAAGGCAAATAAATAAGTTTGCATTCAATCTTAGCCAAAAGCCTGAGAAGTGATCACATAAATATTTTTGACTAGCTAGTGTCCTGGACTTCCTAGGGCATCCTGGGTGTGATTCTGACCTTTGCTGTCTTGCTCGAACAGTCCTGATCTGGACCTAATCCCATGGCAGCAGCTGCCTTAGAATTCAACTATGTGCAAGTCCTGGGGCCTTGAGAATGACAATTGGATATGTTTGTGTGTTTATACATCAGTACACGCATAGGTATATATATGTATATACACATACATAAATACATACATATTATATATATCCATACATACACACATACTTAGAATTTCCTACATATGTGAGTTCACCATTGCTGTTAGATTAGGGAGAAAATGCGGAAATGTTTGTCTTTTGTCTAAGCCATGGAGGCAGGGCTTTGTATCAATTAAAAGGATAGTCGGGCTCTCATGGAGGCAGCTAGCACAAGGCTGGGGAGCACTGAGCCATGCATTGTGCCCTGCGCTGCCCAGACTAGCGAACAATACAGTCAGATTGGCTAACGGTGACCCCAAGAAACCAAAGGGCAAGATGTCTGCTTATGCCTTCTATGTGCAGACGTGCAGAGAAGAACATAGGAAGAAAAACCCAGAGGTCCCTGTCAATTTTGCAGAATTTTCCAAGAAGTGCTCTGAGAGGTGGAAGACAATGTCTGGGAAAGATAAATCTAAATTTGATGAAATAACAAAGGCGGATAAAATGCGCTATGATCAGGAAATGAAGGATTATGGACCAGCTAAGGGAGCCAAGAAGAAGAAGGATCCTAATGCCTCCAAAAGGCCACTGTCTGGATTCTTCCTGTTCTGTTCAGAATTAGGCCCCAAGATCAAATCTACAAACCCCACCATCTCTATTAGAGACATGGCGAAAAAGCTGGGTGAGATGTGGAATAACTTAAATGACAGTGAAAAGCAGCCCTACATCACTAAGGCGGCAAAGCTGAAGGAGAAGTAGGAGAAGGATGTTCCTGACTATAAGTCGAAAGGAAAGTTTGATGGCGCAGAGGGTCCTGCTAATGTTGCCTGGAAAAAGGTGGAAGAGGAAGATGAAGAAGGCGAAGAAGAAGAAGAGGAGGAGGAGGAGGAGGATGAATAAAGAAACTGTTTATCTGTCTCCATGTGAATACTTAGAGTAGAGGAGCGCCATAATTGACACATCTCTTATTTGAGAAGTGTCTGTTGCCTTCATTAGGTTTAATTACAAAATTTGATCACAATCATATTGTAGTCTCTCAAAGTGCTCTAGAAATTGTCAGTGGTTTACATGAAGTGGCCATGGGTGTCTGGAGCACCCTGAAACTTTATCAAAGTTGTACATATTTCCAAACATTTTAAAAATGATAAGGCATTCTCGTGTTCTCCTCACTCTGTGCACTTTGCTGTTGGTGTGACAAGGCATTTAAAAGATGTTTCTGGCTTTTTTTTATTTGTAAGGTGGTTTTAACTATATGGTTATTGGCTAGAAATCCTGAGTTATCAACTGTATATGTCTATAGTTTGTAAAAAGAACAAAACAACCGAGACAAACTCTTAATGCTCCTTGCTCGGCGTTGAGGCTATGGGGAAGATGCCTTTTGAAGGGGCTGTAGCTCAGGATATGCACTGTGAGGCTGGACCTGTTGACTCTGCAGTGGGCATCCATTTAGCTTCAGGTTGTCTTGTTTCTGTATATAGTGACATAGCATTCTGCTGCCATCTTAGCTGTGGACAAAGGGGGGTCAGCTGGCATGAGAAGGTTTTTATTTTTGTTAAGTGTGGTAGTTTTTAAATGTTTTTTTTCTCTCTTTTTTTTTCTGAGACAGAGTCTTTCTCTGTTGCCCAGGCTGGAGTGCCATGGTGCGATCTCAACTCACTGCAACCTCCGCCTCCTGGGTTCAAGCAATTCTCCTGTGTCAGCCTCCTGAGTAGCTGGGATTACAGGCACAAACCACCATGCCCAGCTAATTTTTTTATTTTTAGTAGAGAGAGGGTTTCACCATGTTGGCCAGGCTGGTCTCGAACTCCTGATCTTGTGATTCACCCACCTCGGCCTCCCAAAGTGCTGGGATTACAGGCGTGAACCACCACGCCTGGCCTAAACTGTTTGTTTTTAAACAACAGTTTAAACAGTTCATTGTCAGCAAAGCGAAGAGCCACTGCATCAGTGAAAGTTCAAGAACTTCATCTGGATGTGGTGGCTCATGCCTGTAATACCAGCACTTTGGGACGTCAAGGTGGGTGGATCACCTGAGGTCAGGAGTTTGAGACCAGCCTGACCAACATTGAGAAACCCCGTCTCTACTAAAAACACAAAATTAGCTGGGTGTGATGGCTCATGCCTGTAATCCCAGCTACTTGGGAGGCTGAGGCAGGAGAATCGCTTGAACCCGGGAGGTGGGGGTTGCGGTGAGCTGAGATTGAGCCATTGCACTCCAGCCTGGGCAACGAGAGCGAAACGCCATCTCAAAAAAAATAAAAATAAAAATAAAATGTTGTAAGTTCAAGAACCTCCTGTACTTAAACACGATTTGCAATGTTCTGTTATTTTTTTTGTATGTTTAGAAAGCCGAAATGTTTTTGAAGTTAAATAAACAGTATTACATTAAAAAATTAAAAGGATAGTCTTTTCTGTTTAGTAAGATATCCCAAAGGTTCCACTTACTCCAATATTAAATATTCCAAATCAAATATTTTCTAAATTAAATAATTTCTTTATTTCTATAGGGCTTTGAAATTTATACACCTCTTCAATATGCATTATCTGTCATAGAATCTAATAGGCACTAAAGACGTACTAATGAATCAATGAATAAGTTCCATCTACTACTCAAAACAGACCTATAAGATAGACAGAACAAGGCTGGGTGCAGTTGCTCATGCCTGTAATCCTAGCCCTTTGCGAGGCCGAGGTGGGAGGATCACTTGAGTCCAGGAGTTTGCGACCAGCCTGTGCAACATTACAAGATCCCATCTCTACAAAAAAATAAAATAAAATAAATAAATAAATTAGCTAGGCGTGGTGATGCATGCCTGTAGTCCTAGCTACTCAGGAGGCTGAGGTGGGAGGACATTTTGAGCCTAGGAGTTGGAGGTTACAGTGAGCTATGATCACATCACTGCCCTCCACCATGGATGGCAGAGTGAGACACTGTCTCTTAGAAAAAAGATAGGCAGAACAAGTATTATTATGGAATATCATTATTCCCATTTCACAGATGTTAAAACAGAGATACTGAGTTAAAACATCTTGCTCAGACTTCTACAACTGATAAATGGCACAGCCAGGTTTCAACTTAAGTCTTCTGATTCCCAAATCAGTGCATTTTCTACTACTATCAGTCATTATAGGAAAGACAATTTTTAAAACTCTAGTACTCAGTGAGAGAAGATTTATTATTGCAATTAATTATCCTACTGTTATACCAGATAAGGACTTGATGATGCTTCCAATCATTGTTCAGTTGTGTATTTTCTCTGTATGATAAACTTTAGACTAAATCAGATCTTAACTGTGAAATACTTCATACCCCAAGAAATGTAGTAAGAATGGAGCACAGCTATTGATCAAATCCAATGCCTACAAAGCAGTATATCCAGTATGTATTAAATCTGTTATCCAGATTAGTGTATACATGCTATCTTCTTAACTAACATCTGTTTCTCATACTTCACTGAAATTACCAGTGAGACTACAACTGATAAAATTGGTTTAGAACCAAAATCCGATGAAAGCAAAGTCAATTACATGTTTGTAAGAGAATAAGCATACAGTTAGATCAATATGCAAATTGTGACCTTCAATGGTCTTTTCTTTTCTTTTTTTTTTTTTTTTTTTTTTTTGAGACGGAGTCTCGCTCTGTCGCCCAGGCTGGAGTGCAGTGGCGGGATCTCGGCTCACTGCAAGCTCCGCCTCCCGGGTTCACGCCATTCTCCTGCCTCAGCCTCCCAAGTAGCTGGGACTACAGGCGCCCGCCACTACGCCCGGCTAATTTTTTGTATTTTTAGTAGAGACGGGGTTTCACCGTTTTAGCCGGGATGGTCTCGATCTCCTGACCTCGTGATCCGCCCGCCTCGGCCTCCCAAAGTGCTGGGATTACAGGCGTGAGCCACCGCGCCCGGCCGTGGTCTTTTCTTTTAAGCCCTTAGTCTTACAAAGATTAACTTACTACCTAGAACTTCATTTTGTGAAGCCACTAAGACTTAAGATTATTAGATTGTTAATTGTTTACATATGAATGATATGTATATGTGTGTATATATATATATTTATATATACATTCTATAATCTCTATAACTTTGTGGGGGAAGCTCTGTTCTAATATCAAAAATAATGGATTAGACAAATAGATATTTTCAGTTTCATGTTAACAAAAGAGCAGACCAAGTTAAAAAATTAAGTTCAAATCAACATTGTCTAGGCATCATGATTTAGATATCATGTTTGATGCTGTGAGAAATATAAAGTTAGGTAATACTTAAAAAGTTTACAGTCTAGTGGAAGAGATAGTCATGTTAACAAATAACTAAAATACAACATAGGGTTTACTTGTTTTAAAATAGAGACACAAACAAAAAGCAATTTGATGGAAAACAGATGGAGAGATTTATTCCATACTTGGGAAGGCTTTGTTGAAGAGGTGGCATTTGATCTGATCTTGAAAAACATGTAGGATTTTTGTTTGAGGAAGTGGGAATGCAAGGCTAGGTGGAAGAAATAACAAAAGCAGGCTGGGCGTGGTGGCTCATACTTGTAATCCTAGCACTTTGGGAGGCCAAGGCAGGAGGATCGCCTGAAGCCTGGAGTTTGAGACAGCCTCTACAACAAAGCGCGACCCCATCTCTACAAAAAATAAAAAAAAAATAGTGGCCAGGCACAGTGGCTCACGCCTGTAATCTCAGCACTTTGGGAGGCTGAGGCGGGCAGATCACTGAGGTCAGGAGTTTGAGACCAACCTGGCCAACACGGTGAAACCCCATCTCTAATACAAAAATTCGCCTGGTGTGATGGCAAGCACCTGTAATCCCAGCTACTCAGAAGGCTGAGGCAGGAGAATCGCTGGAACCTGGGAGGCAGAGGTTGCAGTGAGCTGAGATCATGCCACTGCAATCCTTCCTGGGTGACAGAGACAGACTCCATCTCAAAAAAATATATAAATAAATAAATAAAATCAAAATAAAAATTAGCTAGGCATGGTGGTGCACGCCTATAGTCCCAGATATTTGGGAGGCTGAGGTGGGAGGATTGCTTGAGCCCTGGAGTTCAGGACTGTAGTAAGCTATAATTAAGCCACCGCACTCCAGCTTGAGCAACAGAGTGAGACCTTGTCAGAAAAGAAAAAAGAAAAGAGAGAGAAAGAGAGAGAGAGAGAAAGAAAAAAGAAAAGAGACAGAAAGAGAGAGAGAGAGAAAGAAAAAAGAAAGAAAGGAAGAAAGAAAGAAACAAAGAAAGAAAGAGAAGAGCAGAGGCCAAGGACGCAGTGCAAGCATAATTGAGGAACAGTGAGAAATATCTTTCATCATAGTATCAAACATATGGTGAAACAAGCTCTAGCCAGCACTGTCATATTATGGCATTGGCTTAGTTAGCACAGTGGTAGATATATCCCTGAAAGTCATTCTTAGGTTGGGAACAGCTGGTAATAACTTACTTATATGTGGAAGTAATTGCAAACCACATATACACTGTACTAAACTAAAACTAAATATACCACCAACTTAGCTTCCCCTCGAATCTCAAAATGTTTGTGGCCACTCCAGCACTCATCCACATGAGAGGAAGTATGATAGAAAGAAAGTCAGAGTGGAAGGAGTCAGTAGCCTTACTTGATTGAAGTAAAGTATCTTATTTTTGCAAATTTTACAAAATTGTATGACCATGTAAACACATTGATAGAAACTTAAACTTCCTGAGCTGGGTGTGGTGGCTCACACCTGTAAGCCCAGCACTTTGGGAGGCTGAGGTGGGTGGATCACCTGAGGTCAAGAGTTCAAGACCAGCCTGGCCAACATGGTGAAACCCCCATCTCTACTAAAACTACAAAAACTAGCTGGATATGCTGGTGGGCGCCTGTAATACCAGCTACTCGGCAGGCTGAGGAAGGAGAATCGCTTGAATCCAGGAGCCGGAGGTTGCAGTGAGCCGAGATCATGCCATTGCACTCCAGCCGGGGCAACAAGAGCGAAACTACGTCTCAAAAACAAAACAACAAAAAAAGAAACTTAAGCTTCCTTTGTTTTATGGTAAATCAGCCTGCTCATGACCCTGATGTTAACTTCCTTTCTGTAAATTCATGACGTGCTTTTTCTAGAGGTGCTCCTTAAGCATTTGTTAATAGATTAGAGCGGAATTCCCACATCTTTCTGAAGATCTTAGAGCATACTTGTAGTAAACAACAGCATCTGAGCTATAGGTGATAGGCAGTGTCAAAGTCAAATAAAATGTAGAGAAGTATCTCAAAACAAAATGTTTTATTTGGGAAAACAGATTTGCAATTCAGAGCATATACACAGACCAGGGATATGTCCGAAAAACAAAGAAAACATTGGGGGTTTTATTAGAAAAAGAAATATTATGTATTGTTTTGAAAGAAAACTCACTGGCCCTGTGGAAATTGCCAGGAGTGGGCAAGCTGATTGGTGAGTGACAGTGGTAGGTAAAACTAGTCTTAACATTATGACAGTTCATTTCAGCAGCTACTAGGTAAAACTGGTCTTACAGTTTTAGCAGGTCTTGTAGTAACTGGCTTGTGAGATAATTCCTGGGTAGGTGCTTGTACCCACCAAGTGTTTTTCTTTTCCTCCCCTTGGTCTCTCAACTTATATTTGAGTATGACAAGATAACTCCAATTTATACAATCAGTTTTCAAAGCAGCAAAGCAGGCAGCCAACTTCTAGCTCTCTGTTTTTGTTTGTTTTTTTGAGAAGTTATCTCTCTCTGTCACCTAGGCTGGATTGCAGTAGTATGATCTTAGCTCACTGCAACTTTGAACTCCTGGGCTCATGCTATCCTCAGCCTCCCAAGTATGTGGGACTACAGGCACATGCTACCCTGTCTGGTTTATTTATTTATATTCTTAGTAAGAGTGGATCACATAAGAGAAAAAAGGGGTTGTTTTTGTTACTTCTATTGCATTTTGTTCTTAGGCAGTCTGAAAAGTTGAAATCACTTATTCAATTTCAAGATAACTTGGGATACTTTTTCTTGGCTCCTTTCCTTACTTTAGTTTTCTCGTTATTTTCCTTTTATTTATTTTTATTCTTTAAATTTTTATTTATTTTATTATTTTTTTTTTAGAAGGAATCTAGCTCTGTTGCCCAGGCTGGAGTGCAGTGACACTATCTGGGCTCACTGCAACCTCTGCCTCCCAGGTTCAAGCGATTCTCCTCCCTCAGCCTCCTGAGTAGCTAGGATTACAGGCATATACCACCATGCCTGGCTAATTTTTTGTATTTTTAGTAGAGATGGGTTTTTGCCCCTATTGCCCAGGTTGGTCTCGAACTCCTGAGCTCAGGTGATTTGCCCACCTCAGCCTCCCAAAATGCTGGGATTACAGACGTGAGCCACCACCCCCAGCCTATTTTCTTTTTAAACAAAAGAAAACTTACATTTTTAAGATTAATATTCCAAGGTCATTTTTCTTTCCATGCCAATTATATAATTTGGAATAAAGAACTTATGTTTTAAAGGCTGTCAACTAACTGAGACCCTTTGTGTGACGGAGAAATGTTGCGTTTTGAAAGAAACAGTTATTTTTGTGAACTTCCTGTTCACTGGCCGAGACAGACTTCCCAATAGAGTCTGTTTGGGTCTGTTTGGCCTTCTGGGTCATTTTATACCCTCTGTCTGTAGCCATCAATTGGTTTATGCTTCCTGTGTAGACATGAGTGATCTGGGACAGTTATATGGCGTCCTGTTTTGGATGACGAGAGGGAACCATGAAAATAAATCCATTAATTCCATAAATATTTAGTGAGCACTTGTTTGAGGTAAGTGCTATAATTAGTTTCTGGAAACATGAATATGAAGAAAACACAGTATCTGCCATCAAGAAACTCAGGATCTAATAAACAGATAAACAGTAAACTCAGATGAATTAACACAATAAACTCAGATAAACACAGATAAACTCAGATAAATCCTACTGAGCAAAGTGCAAAACGTGTGGTCACTTTGCTTGGTGGAGATAGGGAAAGCTTTACTGTAGTGGTAGCATTAAAGGTAAGACTTAAGGTATCCATGGGACTTTGCTAAAAAACAATAGGGAAGGCATTCTAGGCAGAAAAACTAACATGTTCCAAGATCTGTCTTTTAGGGAAAGTGCCCAGAAAGTGGGGAATATGATATGGAAGAGCATGTGGTATATTTGGGGGAATATGATATGGAAGAGCATGTGGTATATTTGTGGTATATTTGGGGGAATGCCTGTAGACACAATGAGGCAATTCAATCAATGCCAGATTATAGCTATACAGATTTTATTCTGTATGAAGTAACACAAAGTGAAAGGCAGAGAAAAAAACTTGATAATTATTTTTAAAGATTTATTTGTAGATGATCTATTTATAACAACTAAAATTTGATCACATAAACATGGTAACCTACATGATCCTTTTGGATTATAAATAAATTACTTCATGTTTTCAGATTATCTACAATTATTACAGGGTGAAATTAATTGACTGTAGGTTTTATAGATCTTACATACAAAACACCAGATTCTCTTGTCTTCCTTTAGGTTAGATGAGTAATTATAAGTATGGATTATTATAGTAACAAGAAACAAGCTGGGTTGTTTTGAAAAAGCAGTAAGATTTTTTTCTTAAAGCAAAAAAGCCTCACTCTATGACTTAATTCAAGTTCTATATTAGATTAAGTACTACTTACTGATGGATACAGTGAAATTATACCTTAACTTAGACAAAGTAAAGGGTATGTTTTCTTTTAAACCAAAGGCAAAGACTTAGAAGGAGGAACAAATTACCAATCTGAGAATTTTAAAAACCAGCCGTCTTTTCTCCCAGGCCATACAGTGAATATGCAACGTAGAAAATAAATAAAAGGACCGGGCGCAGTGGCTCACGCCTGTAATCCCAGCACTTTGGGAGGCTGAAGCGGGTGGATCACGAGGTCAGGAGATCAAGGCTATCCTGGCTAATATGGTGAAACCCCATCTCTACCAAAAATACCAAATATTAGCTGGGCGTGGTGGTGGGCGCCTGTAGTCCCAGCTACTCGGGAGGCTGAGGCAGGAGAATGGTGTGAACCTGGGAGGTGGAGCTGCAGTGAGCCAAGATCGCACCACTGCACTTCCAGCCTGGGTGACAGAGCGAGACTCCGTTAAAAAAAAAAAAAAGAAAATAAATAAAAGACATTAAAATGTTTTTACTAAGTACTGTAAAAGGTTACTAATTATCAGTACCAGCACGCTTTCCCTAGTTATGAAACCTCCAAAGGTTATAAAATGAAAATGTCATTGTAGAGGTGGGGCCAAGATGGCTGACTAGAAGCAGCTACGGTCTGTGGCTCTCATGGACAGGTGGTTAATACAGCACCTTCAACTGAAGCATTGAAAAAGGTGAGTTAATATAGCATCTTCAACTGAAGCATCCAGGTACGCATGTTGGGACTAATCAAGGAAATAAGCTATGGAGAATGAAGAAAAGCATGATAGGATGATGACCCACCCAAGAGCAACATGGAGCCACGGGAATGTCCCCCACCCAGGAAAGCAGTGAGTGAAGGTGCAACCCCAGGAAACCATGTTTCTCCCATGGACCCTTGCAACCCTTGGGTCAGGAGACTCCCTCGTGACCACACTCCACCAGGGCCTTCAGTCTGATACACAGGGCTGCATGGAGTCTTGACAGAGCAGCTGCTCAGGCATGCATGGAAGCCCAGGAGCTTTACATACTCTGGCTCCAGGCTTCCTGGCAAGGCAGGAGGTTAGACCTTTATCCACACTCCTAGGAAGGGGGGCTGAATCCAGAGGGCTGAGCAGCAATGGTCTGTGGGCCCCATTTCTGTGGCATCTCACAGGATAAGACACAATGGCTTGGAATTCCAGCCAACCACCAGAAACAGTGTCACACCTACCTGGGATGAAATGGGCCACCATTGTTGCTCTTTGGGGAATTTGTGCAATTCAGCTGTTCCAGCCTGTGGGCTTTGGAGAGCCCAAGCTGACCAGGTGGAAGTGATACCCTAGCATGGCACAGCTGCTCTACAACAATGTGGCCAGACTGCTTCTAAAAGCAGGTCTCTAATCCCATTTCTCCTGACTGGGTGAGACCTCCCAACTGGGGTCTCTAGTCACCCACTACAGGTGCGTTTGGGCCAGCAACAAGTCCATACCTCCCTGGGAGGGAGCTTCCAGGAGAAGGGGCAGGCTGCCATCTTTGCTGTTTTGCAGCCTTCACTGGTGATACTTCCAGGTACTAGAAAATCTGAGGCAAGCAGGGCCTGGAGCAGACCCCCAGAAAACTGCAGCATTCCTACAGAAAAGGGGCTAGACTGGTAAAAGAAAAAACAAACACCTAATCCAAAGGTCAGCAGCCTCAAAGATTGAAGGTAGATAAGTCCACAAAGATGAGAAAAAAAATCAGTGCAAGAATACTGAAAACTCAAAAAGCCAGAGTGCTGTCTTTCCTCCAGATGACAACATCACATCTCCAGCAAGAGTCTGGAACTGGACTGAGGCTGAGATGGCTGAAATGGCAGAAGTGGAATTCAGAATGTGGATAAAAGTAAATTTCCTTGAGCTAAAGGAGCATGTTGTAACCCAATGCAAGGAAGCTAAAGGCCATGGTAAAACATTGCAGGAGCTGACAGACAAAATAGCTAGTATAGAGAAGAACACAACCAAACTGATAGAGCTGAAAAATACAGTACAAGAACTTCATAATGCAATCACAAGTTATAATAGCAAAATAGATCAAGCGTAGGAAAGAATCTCAGAGCTTGAAGAGTGTCTTTCTGAAATAAGACAGGCCGACAAGAATAGATAAAAAAGAATGAAGAGGAATGAACAAAACCTCTGAGAAATATGGGATTATATAAAGAGACCAAATCTACTACTGATTGGTGTGCCTGGAAGATATGGGGAAAATAGAATCAATTTGGAAAATATATTCTAGGATATCATCCATGAGAACTTCCCTAACCTTGCTAGATGGGCCAACATTCAAATTCAGAAAATGCAGAGAACCCAAGTAAGATACTCCATGAGAATATCATCCTTGAGACACATAATCATCTTCTCCAAGGTCAAAATGAAAGAAAAAGTATCAAGGGCAACTAGAGAGAAAGGCCAGGTCACCTACAAAGGGAAGCCCATCAGACTTTCAGCGGAAAGCCAAACAGCAGACCTCTCAGCAGAAACTCAACAAACCAGAAGAGATTGGGGCCCAATATTCTATATTCTTAAAGAAAAGAAATTCCAACCCAGAATTTCATATGTGGCTAAACTAACCTTCATAAGCAAAGGAGAAATAAGATCCTTTTTAGACAAGCAAATGCTGAGGGAATTCATTACCACCAGACCTGCCTTACAAGAGCTACTGAAGGAAGCACTAAATATGGAAAGGAAAGATTGTTACTAGCTACTACAAAACACACAGACCGGTGATGCTATAAAGCAACCACATAAAAATTCTGCAAAACAACCAGCTAACATCATGATGACAGGATCAAATCCAAACATATCAACACTAACTTTAAATGTAAATGGGCTCAGTGTCCCAATTAAGGACACAGAGTGGCAAGCTGGATAAAGAACCAAGACCCTTTGGTATGCTGTCTTCAAGAGACCCATCTCACATGCAGTGACACACATAAGCTCAAAATAAAGGGATGGATAAAAATCTACCAAGCAAATGGAAAACAGAAAAAAGCAGACATTGCAATCCTAACTTCTGACAAAGAGACTCTAAACCAACAAAGATCGAAGAAGACAAAGAAAGGCATTATATAGTGGTAAAGGATTCAATTCAACAAGAACTAACTATCCTAAATATATATGCATTCAACACAGGAGCACCCAGATTCTTGAAGAAAGTTCTTAGAGACCTTCAAAGAGACTTAGACTCCCACACAATAATAGTGGGAGACCTTAACACCCCACTGATGATATTAGACAGATTATCAAGACAGAAAATTAACAAAGATATTCAGGACCTGAGCTCAGCCCTAGAACAAATGGACCTGATATATATCTACAAATATCTCCACCCTAAAACAACAGAATATACATTCTTCTCATTGCCACATGGCACTTACTCTAAAATCAATCACATAATCAGAAGTAAAACACTCTCAGCAAATGCAGAAGAACTGAAATCATAACAAACAGTCTCTCGGACCACAGTGCAATCAAATTAGAACTCAAGACTAAGAAATTTACTCAAAAGCATACAATTACATGGAAATTGAATAACCTGCTCCTGAATGACTTTTGGGTAAATAATGAAATTAAGGCAGCAATCAAGAAGTTCTTTGAAACTAGTGAGAACAGAGATACAATGTATCACAATCTCTGGGACACAGATAAGGCAGTGTTAAGAGGGAAATTTATTGCACTAAATACCCAAATTAGAAATTAGAAAGATCTCTAATTATAATAACAACCTAACATCACAAATAAAAGAGTGAGAGAACTCAGAGCAAACAAATCCCAAAGCTAGCAGGAGAGAAAAAATAACCAAAAATAGAGATAAACTGAAGGAGATAGAGATACAAAAAAAAAAAAAACATTCAAGAGACCAATGAATCCAGGAGCTGATTTTCTGAAAAAATTGTAAAATAGACCACTAGCTAGACTAATAAAGAAGAAAAGAGAGAAGATTCAAATAAACACAATCAGAAATGATAAAGTGGATATTACCACTGACCCCACAGAAATACAAACAACCATCAGAGAATATTAGAAACACCCCTATGCACATAAACTAGAAAATCTAGAAGAAACGGATAAATTCCTGGACACATACACCCTTCCAAGACTGAGCCAGGAAGAAACTGAATCCCTGAACAGACCAATAACAAGTTCTAAAATTGAGGCAGTAATAAATGTCCTACCAGCCAAAAAAAGCCCAGGACTAGATGGATTCATAGCTGAATTCTACCAGATGTACAAAGAAGAGCTAGTACCATTACTACTGAAACTATTCCAAAAAATTGAAAAGGAGGTACCCCTCCCTAACTCATTCTATGAGGCCAGCATCATCCTGATACCAAAACCTGGCAGAGATATAACAAAAAAAGAAAACTTCAGGCTAATATCCTTGATGAACCTCAATGCAAAATTCCTCAACAAAATACTGGCAAACTGAATCTAGCAGCATATCAAAAAGCTTATCCACCACAATCAAATAGGCTTCATCCCCAGGATGCAAGTTTGGCTCAACATATGCAAATCAATAAATGTGATTCATCACCTAAACAGAACTAAAGACAAAAACCACGATTATCTCAATAGATGGAGAAAAGGGTTTCAATCGAATTCAACATTCATTCATGTTAAAAACTCTCAATAAACTAGGTGTTGAAGAAACATACCTCAAAATAATAAGAGCCATATATGACAAGCCCACAGCCAACATCATACTGAATGGGCAAACATTGGAAACATTCCTCTTGAAAACTGGCACAAGACAAGGATGCCCTTTCTCACCACTGCTATTCAACATAGTATTGGAACTTCTGGCCAGAGCAATCAGGTAAGAGAGAGAAATAAAGGGCATACAAATAGGAAAAGAGGAAGTCAGACTATCCCTATTAGCAGATGAAATGATCCTATATCTAGAAAACCCCATTGTCTCAGCCCAAAAGCTTCTTAAGCTGATAAGCGATTTCAGCAAAGTCTCAGGATGCAAAATCAATGTGCAAAAATCGCTAGCATTCCTATACACCAACAACAGGCAAACTGACAGCCAAATCACAAACAAACTCCCATTCACAATTGCCACGAAAAGAATAAAATACCTGAAAATACAGCTAACTAGGGAGGTGAAAGATCTCTACAAGGAGAACTACAAACCACTGCTCAAAGAAATCAGAGATGACACAAATAAAAAAAATTTCATGCTCATACATAGGAAGAATCAATATTATTAAAATGACCATACTGCCCAAAGCAATTTATAGATTCAGTGCTATTCCCATTAAACTATCACTGACATTCTTCACAGAACTATAAAAAAACTATTTTAAAATTCATATGAAACCAAAAAGAGCCAGAATAGCCAAGGCAATCCTAAATAAAAAGAACAAAGCTGGAGGCATCATGCTACCCAACTTCAAACTATACAAGGCTACAGTAACCAAAACATTATGGTACTGGTACAAGAACAGACACACAGACCAGTGGAACAGAATAGAGAACCCAGAAATAAGACCACACACCAACAACTATCTGATCTTTGACAAACCTGACAAAAACAAGCTATAAAGAAAAGATTCTCTATTCAGAAAACGGTGCTGGGATAACTGGCTAAGTCATATGCGGAAGATTGAAACTAGACCCCTTCTTTTATACAAAAATTAACTGAAGATGGATTGAAGACTTAAATGTAAAACCCAAAACTATAAAAACTCTGGAGGACAACCCGGGCAATATCATTCAGGACATAGGCATGGGCAAATATTTCTTGATGGAGACATCAAAGCAATTGCAACAAAAGCAAAAATGGACAAATACAATCTAATTAAAGAGTTTCTGCACAGCAAAAGAAACTATCAACAGAGTAAACAGACAACCTGCAGAATGGGAGAAAATTTTTGCAAACTATGCATCTGACAAAGGTCTAATATCCAGCATCTATAAGGAACTTAAATTTACAAGAAAAAAAACCAAACAGCCCCATTAAAAAGTGAACAAAGGACATAAACAGACACTTCTCAAAAGAAGACACACATGCAGCCAACAGTCATAAGAAAAAAAGCTCAGCATCAATGATCATTAGAGAAAGGCAAATCAAAACTACAGTGAGATAGTACCTCACACGAGTCATAATGACTATTATTAAAAAGTAAAAAATAACAGATGCTGGTGAGGTTGTTGAGAAAAAGGAATGCTTATATACTGTTGTTGGGACTGTAAATTAGTTCAACCATTGTGGAAGACAGCGTGGCAATTCCTCAAAGACCTAAAGACAGAAATACCATTTGACCCAGGAATCCCATTACTGGGTAAATACTCAAAGGAATATAAATTGTTCTATTATAAAGGCAAATGCATGTGTATGTTCATTGCAGCACTATTCACAATAGCAAAGACATGGAATCAACCTAAATGCTCATCAATGGTAGACTGAATAAAGAAAATGTGGTACATATACACCATAAAATACTATGAAGCCATTAAAAAGAACAAGATCATGTCCTCTGCAGGGACATTGATGGAGTTGGAGGCCATTATCCTTAGCAAACTAAAGCAGGAACAGAAAACCAAATACCGTATGTTCTCACTTATAAGTTGGCGCTAAAGGATGAGAACACATGGACACATAGAGGGGTACAACACACACTGGGGCCTACTTGAGGGTGGAGAGTGAGAGGAAGGAGAGGATCAGGAAAAATAACTTAGGGTAATAGGCTTAATATCTGGGTGATAAAATAATCTAAACAACAAACCCCCATGACACATGTTTTCCTATGTAACAAACCTGCACAGGTACCCCTGAACTTAAAAGTTTTTAAAATTTTTTTAAAAAGAAAATGTCATTGCTTTTCTCTTATTAAAAGAAGGTGAATACCATCCTGGCCAACATGGTGAAACCCTGTCTCTACTAAAAATACAAAAATTAGTCAGACATGGTGGCGCATGCCTGTAGTCCCAGCTACACGGGAGGCTGAGGCAGGAGAATCACTTGAACCCAGGAGGTGGAGGTTGCAGTGAGCAGAGAGTGAGCAGAGATCCCACCACTGCACTCCAGCTTGGGCAACAGAGTGAGACTCCATCTCAAAAAAAAAAAAAAAAAAAAAAAGGTGAATAAATATTCATACTGAACCTCACATTACTCTAAACCTGTTGAAGTAAACTTGCAAGAATTATAGCTGTCATCCTTTACCATCAATCTTAGTAGGTATAAAAGTATTTGTCTAAATTATATTGACTGAGTGCTTATTCTGTGCATACTTAATGCTATTGAGGGTTCTGTAAAGTACACTCAAAAGAAAAATTAACTAATAGTACAAGATACTAGAAAACATGTCAAAAGTGTCCATGATTATGTACCAATGATGGGGTCAAACATAGGTGCTGGGATCTACAAGAGAATTCCCAAGGATGGGTATTAATATTGTTTTATATAACTGATATATTTTATGTAAATGATATTATAAGGTATATGTCATTCTGTAATTTTTTTTGAAGAGATCTTTCCATATTAGCGCATAAAAAAATCTATGTCATTCTAAAGTTTCATACTACTTTTTGGTATGTATATACCATAGTCTATTTAGCTGTTCTTCTGTGTTGGTTGACATTTATGTAGTTTTTAATAAGTAAATGGTTTTTAAAAGGTCTGGAGCATCCAAAGGGTTGAAGTGAACTTTAACTTTATTATGTTTAACTTTTTTAAAATAAGGAGGATATATTAATATACTATTTGTGTAATTAAAACTTAAATATTTTGGTGTGGTGGCTCACGCCTGTAATCCCAGCACTTTGGGAGGTTGAGGTGGGCGGATCATTTGAGGTCAGGAGTACAAGGTCACCCTGGCCATCATGGTGAAACCCCGTCTCTACTAAAAATAAAAAAAAAATAGCTGGGCATGGTGACACGTGCCTCTAATCCCAGCTGCTGGGGAGGCTGAGGCAGGAGAATCAATTGAACACAGGAGATGGAGGTTGCAGTGAGCCGAGATCATGCCACCGCACTCCAACCTGGGAGACAGAGTGAGACTCCAACTCAAAAATAAAATAAAATAAAATAAAACTTCAATATTTTAATAACACTTATTTTGGGGCAACCATTTAACATTTGCCCCCACTCCCACCATCCTTACAGCATACTAGTCTACCCCTGATATGTACAGCCAATCAGTCAGCTTGGGTAGGTGTCTTAGTTTTCCACTGGGCTATTATCCACTGGGAATGGAGCTTTCCTTAAATCCCAGTCTGTTTGACTGAAGCTTTATTTCCTTTGGTTCCTTTCTGTTAGCTTCTGTTGCCTCCAGTAAATAGAAGGTACTGTGTATTTTAATTGTCGATGTGGTTGCTTAGTTTTCTAAACAGTAACTTTTGGTTTAATGCTGTCATGTGGTTATCTTAGCTTGGCCTTTCCATTTAATCTTTTTGATTCAAAAAAATTAAAGTAGCTGTTGTTTTATACATTTTAGTTTTCAAAACAAATTTCATCTTGGATGGTTTTCATTTAGAATAATTTGGCCTGTACGTTTTTATTTTATTGTATGAACTTTAATTGGTATCATTCTATATTTAATAACACACTAAGGAAAGAACACAACCAACATTATAAAATCTAAATAGTAATAGAGTTGCAATTAAATCTTTTGGGCCAATCTCTTTTCACACTGGACTTTCAAAGTCATTTATTTTGCTATTAAGTAAAGATATGAAGAAACTAAAAGTAGTTATTTCAAACAAATTAAGCACCCATAAATGTTTCTGGGCTTGTCTGAGATTTCTTTCAGGAAAAAAGTTAAAGGCTATTGTAATTTTTGTTAAAAAGAAATAACAGCTAGTTCATTTCATCTCCACTTCAGTAAGTTGAAGATAGTTCACAAAAGCTGAAATTTTTTTCCAAGTACAAGATAAAATTATTGGTTTCTATAAATACAATATTGGAATAATAAAATTTTAAAATTCCCTTCAGAATATAGTAGTCCCCCTTATCTACAGTTTCACTTTCTGTGGTTTCAGTTACCCAAGGTCAACCATGGTCAGAAAATATTAACTAGAGAAATCCCAAACAATTCATGTTTTAAATTGTGTACCGTTCTGAGTAGTGTGACGAACTCTGATGCCTTTCTGCCCTTTGTCCAGCATATCCATACTGTATCCACTACCTGCCTGTTAGTCACTTAGTAGCCATCTGGGCTGTCAGATAGGCTGTCGTGTATTGTAGTACTTGTGTTCAGCTAACCCTTATTTTACTTAATAATGGCCCTAAAGTGCAAGAGTGGTAGTGCTGGTATATTGTTATAATGGGTCTATTTTTATTATTAGTTATTGTTAATCTCTTACTGTGACTAATTTATAAATTAAACTTTGTCATAGGTATGTATGTACGTAAGTATGTATAGGAAAAAATATAGTATACATAAAGGGTTCGGTACTATCTGCAGTTTCAGGCATCCACTGGGGGTCTTGGAAAATATCCCCTTTGGATAAGGGAACTACTTTATTTTTAAAAACTCGACCACAACAAATATTTATATATAAGGCAGGAGTTTAGCAGAAAAATTTAAAACTAAGTGCTTCATCTTCTCTTTGCTGTCTTAGGAGTTGTTTTGTAAATGCTCAGGTCACCACATAGTGATGGAAAGTCAATCCATAGTAATCCCGACAGTTTACTCCAGAGCTTTGTTTTCAAATATGCTCTTTAAAAACTGCACTTGGCTGGGTGCGGTGGCTCACGCCTGTAATCCCAGCACTTTGCGAGGCCGAGGCGGGCGTATCACCTGAGGTCGTGAGTTTGAGACCAGCCTGACCAACATGGAGAAACCCCGTCTCTACTAAAAATACAAAATTATCCGGCCATGGTGGCATATGCCTGTAATCCCAGCTGCTCAGGAGGCAGCAGAATCACTTGCACCCAGGAGGCAGAGGTTGCGGTGAGCCGAGATCGCACCATTGCATTCCAACCTGGGCAACAAGAGCAAAACTCCATCTCAAAAAAAAAAAAAAAAAAAACTGCACTTAGTGTTTTTTTTTTATTTTTTTATTTTTTACTTTTTATTTTATTTTTTCCTAATAAGAGCATATTGTGAAAGACTTTTGAGACTTGGAAACATCCCTTCCAGTTTTTGATTGTGGGAGTTTCCAGGGAATGTGTTTATAACTTTTAATTTTTTGGCAGGATAAATTTTATTCCTTAACTTCTCATTGCTGTGTTATAGACAAGGTAAGAAGCAGGTAGAAAGAAAGAGGGCACATGCAATAATGAACCTAAGTGAAATAACATGGTAATTGAAATCTAAAAGGCAGGGAGGGTTCGATCTTTGGGCTCACCTATAATTTGTGCACCATAAATGTAGAAGGAAGTCAGCAGGGACTTCCTAATGACAGTGCTGTCTATAACAGTATCATCAAGCAAGACATTGGCATAAATCATTGGCACTTTGCAAAGTGTCACTTCTGTCAACCTTCTAGTGATGTGATCTTTCGTCTTTCAAATCCATAGACTGGCATTTGGATCAGCTAAGCCTCTTACATCCTGTCTTGCATATTAAAGCTCTTTTAGCCAATATTGTAATAGTGAAATAATGCATGTCCTAAAATATTTTTAAGCAAGTGACCTAATAACTAAGCTTTGGTCTTAGTATGGCTTGCAGAGTTTCCTGTTTGCAAATGCAGATGTGGCTGTTATTCATTTTAGGAAGTTCCTCAGGGGAAAAAATAGATTATGAAGTGTTGGTGATTTTATATCATTTCAGAGGACTTCTATTAATAAGGCTTTTAAGTTCAAAGGCAGTTTCACTTTGGGTTTAAGTTTAATTCAGGAAATAAACTGCTTGTTAAAGTGATTGATTTGCAGTTGGATTAATTGTATAAAAACAGAAATAATGACATTGATAAAAAAATTACATTTGGCTAGGTGAAATAAAATTAATCCACATCTCTACATAACAAGATGGAAAACCTGTATGCTTCACTCTAATTTAATTTGAAAGAATGCTTGCATCCAGCAGGATTGGTACTTCAATCTATGTAGCTGAAGTCCTATAGAATTTGCATTGTTTATTGGTTCTGAAGTTAAACTGAAAAATATGTCGAAAGGCATAAACCTTGTTCATATCTCCTTGTTAAGTATCATCATCATTTTTCTCTGCTAATTTTATGTTCAGAATACAGTATTTTGAGAAGACTAAATTTGGAGTAACAGCTGTAGTTATACCAGATCAGCCTTATGGTTTGGGGTTGCAATACTACTGTTAATTTTATTTTAAAAATACTTTTTTTTTTAAAGAGCAGTATTAGGTTCAAAGCAAAATTGAGAGGAAGATACAGAGATTTCCCATAAAACCATATAGCCGCTGCCTCCATCCATCCATAGCTTCCCCCATTATCAACCTTCCTGACCAGAGTGATACATTTGTTCCAACTGATGAACCTACATTGACACATTATTATCACTCAAAGTCTGTAGTTTACATTAGGGTTCTCTCTTCGTGTTGGGCATTCCATAGGTTTGGGTAAATGTATAATGACATGTATCCACCATTATAGTACCATAGAGTATTCTCACTGCCCTAAAAATCTTCAGTGCTCTTCATTCCTCCCTCTCCCCTAACTCCTGACAACCATTAATGTTTTATCTGTCTCTATTGTTTTGCTTTTTCCAGACTATCATATAGTTGGAATCATACAGTAGTTAGCCTTTTTAGATTGGCTTCTCTCAGTAATATGAATTTAAGCTTCTTCCATGTCTTTTTATCCCCTGGTAGTTTATTTCTTTTTAGTACTGAATAATATTCCATTGTCTGGATATACCTTCGTTTATTTATCCATTCACCTACTGAAGGATGTTGTGGTTGCTTCCAGGTTTTGGCAATTATGAATAAAGCTGCTATAAACATTCATGTGCAGATTTGTGTTGTGTGTGTACCATAAGTTTTTAACTCATTTGGGTAAATACCAAGGAGTATGATTGCTGGATCATAGATTATGGTTTTTTTTTTTTTTTTTTTTTTTTTTTTTTTTTTTTTTTTTAGCTGGAGTCTCACTATGTCGCCCAGGATGGAGTGCAGTGACACGATCTCAGCTCACTGCAAACTCCGCCTCCCGGGTTCAAGAGATTCTCCTGCCTCAGCCTCCTGAGTAGCTGGGATTACAGGCATGCGCCGCCACACCTGGCTAATTTTTATATTTTTAGTAGAGACGGGGTTTCACCATGTTAGTCAGGCTGGTCTCGAACTCCTGACCTTGTGATCCGCCTGCCTCGGCCTTCCAAAGTGCTGGGATTGCAGGCATGAGCCACCATGCCCGGCCTATGTTTGGTTTTATAAGAAGCTGCCAAACTGTATCACAAAGTGGCTATATCATTTTGCATTCTCATCAGCAATGAATGAGAATTCCTATTGCTCCACATCCTTGTCAGTATTTGTTGTCATTAGAATGGATTTTTGGCAATTCTAATAGGTGCATAGTGGTATCTCATTGTTGCTTTAATTTACATTTCCCTGATGATCTGCGATGTGCAGCATCTCTTTAAATGCTTATTTGCTATCTGTATATCTTCATTGGTGAGGTTTTTGTTAAGGTCTTTGGCCCATTTTTTTTTTTTTTTTTTTTTAAGACGGAGTCTTGCTCTGTCGCCAGGCTGGAGTGCAGTGGCGCAATCTCGGCTCACTGCAACCTCCACCTCCCGGGTTCAAGCAATTCTGCCGCCTCAGCCTCCTGAGTAGGTGGGACTACAGGCGCGCACCACCATGCCCGGCTAATTTTTGTACTTTTAGTAGAGACGGGGTTTCACCATTTTGGCCAGGATGGGGTCAGGATGGTCTCGATCTCTTGACCTCGTGATTTGCCTGCCTCGGCCTCCTAAAGTGCTGGGATTACAGATGTGAGCCACTGTGCCTGGCCGGCCCATTTTTAAATTGGCTTGTTTGTTTTCTTACTGTTGAATCTTTTTTTTTTTTTTTTTTGAGACCGTCTCGCTCTGTCACTCAGGGTGATGTTCACTGAACCCTTGGACTCCTGGGCTCAAGCAATCTCCTCTGCCTCAGCCTCTCAAGTAGCCAGTACTACAGGCATGCACCATCATGCCCAGATAATTTTAAAATTTTTTGTAGAGATTGGGTCTCACTATGTTTCCCAGGCTGGACTCAAACTCCTGGTCGCAAGCGGTTCTCCCACCTCAGCCTCCCAAAGTGCTGGCATTACAGGTGTGAGCCACCATGGCTGGCCTTGTTAAATCTTAAGAGTTATTTATACATTTTGGATAATAATCCCTTATCAGATATGCCTTTTGCAAATATTTTCTCATTCCCTTGATGTGTCTTTCATAGAGCAGAAAATTTTAATTTTTATAAAGTCCAGCTTATCAATTCATTCTTTCATGGATTGTGCCTTTGGTGTCATATCTTAAAAGCCATTGCCAAGCCCAAGGTTATCTAGATTTTCTCCTACATTATCTTCTAAGAGTTTTATAGTTTTGCATTTTACAGTTAGGTCTGCAATCCATTTTGAGTTAATTTTAATGAAGGATGTAAGTTCTGTATCTATATTCATTTTTTTGGATATGGATGTTCAGTTGTTCCAGCACTACTTCTTGAAAAGACTATCTTTTCTCCAGTGTATTGCACTTGCTTCTTTGTGAAAGATCTTTTGACTGTATTTATGTAGGTCTCTTTCTGGATTTTCTACTCTATTGTTTCTTCATTCACCAATACCACACTGTCTTGATTACTGTAGCTTTATAGTAAGTCTTTGAAGTCAAGCAGTGTCAGTCATTCAACTTTGTTCTTTTCCTTCAATATTATTTTTGTTATTCTGGGTCTTTTCCCTCTCCCGTTAAACTTTAGAATTAGTTTGTCAATATCCACAAAATAACTTGCCAGGATTTTGACTGAGATTGCTTTGAATCTATAGATCAAGTTTGGAAAAACTGACATCCTCACAATGTAGAGTTTTGCTATCCATGAACATAAAATATTTCTCCATTCACTTCTTCTCTGATTTACTTCATCAGAGTTTTATAGTTTTCTTCATATAGGTCTTGTATAATATATATTTCATTAGATTTATATTTAAGTATTCCATTTTTTGAACGCTAATATAAATGGTATTGTGTTTTTAATTTCTTAATTTCAAATTCCATTTGTTAATTGCTAGTATACAGGAAAGCAGTTGGCTTTTGCATATTAATCTTGCGTCCTACAACCTTGACTATAACAAGCTATAATCATTGTTAATTTCATTTAAAATTCTTTCAGACATAGATACATATTGCCTCAAGAAGAGCATTTTGGAAGCGTAAAACATGCTCCCTATCTTCCTAAGAGTTATTCTTGTTACCACCACTGTTACTCCCTACCTCCTGGTTTAGCACCCTAGGAATTTAATAGCTTTTCAAAGCTCTACCATGAATTTACAATGTCCCAATGTCCTTGAAGACAATCACATTCCCCTGTGTTTGCTGCTCTGGGTCTCGCTGCCCTGGGTCTCAAGGAGATCAGAAAGCAGGGTGGCTGCAGATAAGAATAGTAGTCTGATATCTGCTGTTTCAACCCAAATTAAAGATACTCTGGATTCTCAGAGTATCACAGAAACAAGCAGAATCTAATTGACCCAGAACACAAGACATAGAGTGAGAGGCTGTGGTGTTTCCTTGGGTCTACTCAATTTCTAGGGGCCTTTTGGTAATATAAATACCCTTTAAGATGGCATAAGACTCTCAAAAAGATAAGGCATATTCTTAAAATTGTTAAATGTTTGTTTCTTTTTTCTACTTTCCTACTCTGGTATGTTTTCATTTGAGTCTGGGCTGCCTGCCTCCAAAGTAACATAACATTAGCAGAAACTATAAAATGTTAACTACTCTGTTTGTATTTTTTATTTGTTTTCTTTGTTAGAATGTGTGGACCTATAGCTTTGTTCAGAGCAAATCTTGGCCTTATAGGAAACAATCAAACCACTCTATTCCAAAGCTAAGTTTGGTAGTTTAATTGGACAAGGTACTATGCTTCCAGTTTTAGTTTCAACTCTTTCAGTGACCCTGTGCATAATTAAAATGGAGAAAAAAAATGAAACAACAGAAAATAATGCTGCAACTTAAACAAATACTCATCCTTTCCCCAGCTCTGTCACTGACCTTTGAGATTTCATACAAACAGCTCTCCCTATTTCAACCTTCCATTTATAAGATGGGAATGAGCATTCATGTTCACCACAGAAAGTGCTTATAAAAAACATTTTGAAAATTCCAAATAAAAAGAACTAATCAATCTGCTGGCTCTGCCCAGACCTAACTGTACATCAAGCTAGAAATAGTCCTAAAGTGGTAGCTTATTGTGTAGACCTGACTGAATAGATTCATTCCCCACCTTTTCTCTGCTTGGCCTGTGTTACAGGACAGTAGATACTCTTGGTTTTTGAATGGAAGTGGTAGGCTAAAAGTCAAGAGGAAGGAAGAAGCCCTTGTATTTCTCTCAATCCCTCTCTGCCTTAGGCAACAACTCTTAAGAAGTCTGTGGCTCCTCTAGACTCTGCCTGTGGTTCTGGCTTCTATGAAGTGATGCCACTCTCCAGGCTCCAGTAACACTGCCTCTTCTCTTGGCCTTCCAGATTAGGGGGTGGCATTGCACTGGCTTTCTGCTTTTGCTTATCGCAGGCTGCCTCAATTTGCGTTTTATCCTTTTAATCACTCATATAACCAGTTTCCTCTATTTCAAATACAGTAGTCGCCTTAGTCACACTTTTGCTTTCTGCAGTTTCCGTTACCCACAGTCAATCACAGTTCTAAGATATTGAATAGAAAATACCAGAAATAAACAATTTGTTAAGTTTTAAATCTCACGCTGATCTGAGTAGCAGGGTGAAATCTCATTCCTTCCAGCTCCATCTTGCCCAGGATGTGAATCATCCCTTTGTCCAGTGTATCCACGCTGTAGAAGCTACTCGCCTGTTAGTCATTGATGTCCTTTGCTCCTTGACATCCAGCCATCAGCATCATCATGGCTTGATGAATCAGGATCGCCCAAAGCAGATGATCCTCCTTCTGACATATTGTCAGAGGGTCAATAGTATTATTGACTTAACACAGGTTAAGTACTATTTTTATCATATTATATCGAGTACATAATATCAAAATGACTAATCACTGTAGATGATAGTCATCATCCAGTTGAGGTAGTGTTCATTAGGTTTCTCTACTGTGAAGTTACTGTCTTTTCCCCCTTTTTAATACTGTACTCTTTCAAAGTAAGTCACTGTGTGCAGCTCACACTTAAAGAATGGGTAATTATGTTTACTTCTTTGAGGATGGAGTATTTACATAAATTATTGGGAATTATTCTAATTGGGAGATTAGTCTGTTCTTTTATTTGTTTATTTAATCATTTATTTATATCAGTATGGACTCAGATTTTTTTTTTTTTTTGGTTATAAGCCAATAGTATTTTACTTTGTTGTTCAAATTGTTTTATTGGGGATGACATTCCATTTACTTTCCAGATGGCCTGATATAAGAGAAATGAGAATATGCAGGGGAATGGGGAGTATACTAGGCTGGCTGGAGTGGAGAGTTTTTATAAGCAAGTGCTGAGAGATATGGTAGGAAAAGATTGGGACTATGTATGGGGGTGTGTGGAGCTGACCTTGAATATCAGGCTACATTCTATAGGCTATGGTGCCAATTTTATTTAAGAAACCAGGTTGATATGCCTGATGTTTTGTAATATATATTAGAGAAAATTTATTCAATGTGAGATTGACCATGCAGGGGTGGAGAAATAGTAATAATTTGCCATGCAGTTTGTTGACTCCACTAGGGGTCAGGGCTGGGGGCACCAATTCCTTTTCTGTTTCTTTATTGATACATACTACTCATTCTCTTTATTATATAGTGGGCATAGGTATTCAAGTAAATTATAGGAGTATTTTAAATACATTGCATGAAATTAAGTCTGAAGTGGACTGTACAGACTCATTTTCCTTCATAATATTCCGTTCCTATTAGATTTCAAGCAATGCTAGAAAGCCCTAGAGGAAGTATAAAACTGGTATATGTAACCCAATTGTCTCAGTGGATGATTGTATGTGTATATATAATCTCATTGTCTGAGGCTGGAAGATTGAAGGAGAGTGAGAACAATTTTGAAGACTTGGGCAGGAAATTTATTAATAGGTTTTAGTCTTTAAACTGGCATAATAAATATTGTCCTGCTTACCTTTTCCTTCTAAATTTGTTATTTATTAATTTTCCCTCCTTATACTCTGAACTTTGACATTTTCATATATATGAAATATGTATGTGTCCACATATATAGCATATATGTATGTGTCGACACATATAACATATATGTATGTGTCCACACATATGACATATATGTATGTGTCCACACATATGACATATATGTATGTGTACACACATATGACATATATGTATGTGTACACACATACATATATGTATGTGTACACACATATAACATATGTGTGCGTGCACATATAACATATGTGTGTACACATATGTAATAGATGTGTGTGTATGCATGTAATATAGATGTATGTGTGTATGTATGTAATAGATGTATGTGTGTATGCATGTAATAGATGTATGTGTATGCATATATAATATGCATGTGTGTATGCATATATAATATGTATGTGTGTATGCATATATAATATGTATGCATGTATGAATCTCCCCTGCTTATGATTAATCCTTTTCTGTCTGAGTTTGGGTTTATCTATTTAATAAGATAATCAGTCTCTGAAAGGATAATTTATGCAGAGGTGGTTTACCTTGCCCCAAACCTCCACTGATTGACAATCTTGAAGAGGGAACACTAATCCTCACCTTGAAAATTCTTTAGTATTTTTATGACCTGATGTCCCCATCTTTTTCTTAGCTCTGTAGCTATCTTCATTCATCTAACCCTTAATTAGAATATTTGTATCGATCATCTGCAAGTGGTAGTTGTTCAGATAATAGGGAATCATTATTTTCACTAAGAAGACCAAGTTTTAGATTTTTGATCTACTCTATAATTACTGCTTGTTAAGATGTGTGTACTTATATGTTTTCCTCAATACTAGTCAGAGGAGAAAAACATTTTAACAAGGCTAGTCTTATTTGTCAAATACTTTAGAAGCATGTTACTTTGGGGTTTTTAAAAAACCCAAACACCTCATTCTGCCTATATTGTATCTCAGATAAGAAACAAATAGCATAGAAAGCAAGAGAGAGAAGTAATGCCCCGGAGACTAACCAGAGTTACCAAAAGGACTTGGCTGCCAGAGTGATAAGGAAATAAAAATGACTTCTGAGAGAAGAGAAAAGGATTTTAGAAGAACAAGTGCAATAGATGATTCTAACTTGAGAGGTGGTTGCCTCTTCCTGCCTTTGCTGGAAAATGTCACAACGTTTTTGTTTTTTTCCAAAGACTGGTCTTGCTCTGTCACCCAGGCTGGAATGATCATGGCTCGCTGCAACCGTGAACTCTTGGGATCAAGCTACCCTCAGCCTTTTGAGTAGCTGGGACTACAGATGCACACTGCCATGCCAGGCTGATTTTTTTAAGTTTCTGTAGAGACAGGGTCTCACTATGTTGCTGAGGCTGGTTTCAAACTCCTGTTCTCAAGCTATCCTTCTCCCTTGACTTCCCCGAGTGCTGGGATTACAGGCACGAGCCACTGCACAGACCTTTCACAAGATTTTAACAAATGACTGTTGTTAATAAGGACAAAAGACTTAAAGCCAGGTGTTCAAGACCAGTCTGTGCAACACAGTAAGACTTTGTCTGTACCAAAAGAAAAAAAAATTAGCTGGGCATGGTGGCATGTGTCTATAGTCCTAGCTACTCAGGAGGCTGAGGTGGGAGGATCATGTGAGCCCAGGAGTTCAGGGCTTCGGTGAGCCATAATTGCACCACTACATTCCAGCCTAGGTAACAAAGCGAGACCCTGTCTAAAAAAAAAAAAAAAAAGGACAAGAGACTTTTTGGGGTTCATAATGGGGAGGGAAGAAGGAGAAAGTCAAGTCTATCAAGCCCAGTGATGAACATAAATTGTGTCAGGTCAGACCAAAGACTCCTTAAAGTAAATCGTTTATTATTTACCTGTTTGTTGATATAGATGCATATTTTATGCCATTTTTATTTAATAATTGTGACTACTCTTTTTTTTACAGATGGGGAAAAGGTGCTATTTAACTTTCTACAGATCGTTTAGTGGGAGAATAGGGAACAGACAGACTAATTCTTAAATTTGTCTGCAATGACTAGACTTTCCTTCAGATGATGGTTTCACCCTTTCCTTTCCTTTCCTTTCCTTTCCTTTCCTTTCCTTTCCTTTCCTTTCCTTTCCTTTCCTTTCCATTGCTTTTTCTGTCTGTCTGTCTTAGGTGGGGTCTCACTCTGTCACACAGGTTGGAGTACAATGGCACAATCACAGTTTGCAGTCTCCACCTCAAATGATCCTTCCACCTTAGCCTCCCAAGTAGCTGGGACTACAGGCACACGCTACCACACCCAGCTGAATTTTAATTTTTTTTTTTTTTTTTTTTTTTTTTTTTTTTTAGAGACAGGGTCCTGGGGTATGCTATTCTTCTACCTCAACTTCCCGAAGTGCTGGGATTACAGGCTTGAGCTTACCATGCCTGGTTTCTGTCATTTTCATTGTTGTTTCTACTAGTTCAACACACTATTGGGAAGATGGAATATTAAGAGTGTGTATGATATGACTGGAAAGAACCATGCATTTTCATTACTTTCCACCTTCCTAAGTGTCACAATTTAAGTCTTTGCCAAATGCAAATGGAAAGGAATGGGCCATGTAGACATTCCCCGGCTGGCCTCGAATAATGCTGACAGCATACATCAGCCACTCAGCACTTTTCCAAGTAGCAGTTAATGCCCGGATACTCAACTTTAACCCAGGAAAAAGAGGTCATCTTTGGAAAGAAAAGCATGTCAAAGATCGTGCTGGTGGTCTGCTGGGAGAGGTTGTCTTCTGAGATTTCCTTTAGCTCAGTGTCAGCACCCTCTTTGGGGATAGAAATGCAAGTGCTTTTCTGACAAGGAATGAACTATATGTAGATTCATCATTGCAATCGAAGAGAAAGAAAATTTTTTTAAATGTCAGAGTGTTGGAAGAAATCATAATAATTAACTTTTTTTAGCATTTACCAAGTGTTAATTAGGCACTATACTTAGTGCTTACATAATTGGTTTCATTTAATCCTTGAAATAATCAGACCTGACCAGGCATGGTGGCTCACGCCTGTAATCTCAGCACTTTAGGAGGCCAAAACAGGTGGATCACCTGAGGTCAGGAGTTCGAGACCAGCCTGGCCAACATAGTGAAACCCTGTCTCTACTACAAATACAAAAAAATTAGCCGGGCGTAGTGGCGGGCGCCTGTAGTCCCAGCTACTTGGGAGGCTGAGGCAGGAGAATGGCGTGAACCTGGGAGGCGGAGCTTGCAGTGAGCCGAGATCCCGCCACTGCACTCCAGCCTGGGTGACAGAGCGAGACTCCGTCTCAAAAAAAAAAAAAAAAATACAAAAATTAGTCGGGCATGGTGATGCACACCTGTAATCCCAGCTATTCGGTAGGCTGAGGCAGGAGAATTGCTGGAACCTGGGAGGTGGAGGTTGTGGTGAGCAGAGATCACGCCACTGAACTCTAGCCTAGGTGACAGAACGAGACTCCATCTCAAAAAAAAAAATTAGTAATAGTAATCAGAGCTACACCTCATTTTTCTCCTAAGATTTGGTTCTTTCTTTAGTAGATGTTGTGATTAAAACACCTGTAAAATTACATCCTGTCTCTGACCTATACTTTACCGTTATTTTACTACATTATAAAATATTCTGTCTGACCCGAGTTTCATGTGGGCTCAAATATGCCTTGTTTTTCTGCACAGTTCCTCTTATGCCATCATTTATTGCAATGAAATATAAAGATAGAGGCCAGACGCGGTGGCTTACGCGTGTAATCCCAGCACTTTGGGAGGCCGAGGCGGGTGGATCACCTGAGGTCGGGAGTTCAAGACCAGCCTGACCAACATGGAGAAACCCCATCTCTACTAAAAATACAAAATTAGCCAGGGTGGTGGCGTATGCCTGTAATCCCAGCTACTCGGGAGGCTGAGGCAGGAGAATTGCTTGAACCTGGGGGATGGAGGTTGCGGTGAGCCAAGATCACGCCATTGCACTCCAGCCTGGGCAACAAGAGCGAAACTCCGTCTCAAAAAAAAAAAAAAAGAAAAGAAATATAAAGATAGAAAATGCCTGTTCCAGACTCTGCCCCTTGCACACTCAGAGCTATGTAGGTGTAGTTGGTGGGACTTGAGAGCTAAGCATATGGGAAAGTCCTGCTCACTTCCGTAGAGCCTCATCATTAGGCTAGACACCCGTAGCCTAGTGTCATAGGCTTAATAATGGTCCCTAAGTATGTCCATACCCTAACCCCTCGAACCTATGACTGTTACCTTATATGACAAAAAGGACTTTGTAGATGTGATTAAATTAAGGAACTTAAGATGGGGGACATTATCCTGGATTATCACTGTGGACCCAGTGTAATCACAATAGTCCTTAAGAGGAATGCAGGAGGTAGAAAGAGAGAGGGAGAAGGCCATGTGATGCTAACAGAAGCAGAGTTGGGAATGATGCACTTTGAAGATGGGGGAAGGGGTCAGAAGCCAAATAATATAGGAACCCACTAGAAGCTGAAAAAAGGTAAGGAAGTAGATTCTTCCTCAGAGCCTCCAGAAGGAACAAGTCCTGCTGACACCTTGACTTTAACCCAGTGAAACTGGTTTAAAACATGTAACCTCCAGAACTATAAGAGAGTAAGTGAGTGTTATTGTCTTAGTTTGGGCTGCTATAACACGAATACCATAAGTTGGGTATAATGTTTATTTTTCATAGTTCTGGAGCCTGAGAAGTATAAGATCAAGGTGCCTCATGAGGGTCCAGTGTCTGATAAGGGCCCACTTTCTGGTTTGCAGACGGCTGTTTTCTCTTTGTATCTTCACATGGTAGAAAGAGAGGAAGAAGTCTCACTATCTCTTTTTACACGGGTACTAATTCCCCCAGGAGTGCTCTACCCTCATGACCTAATTGCCTCCCAAAGGCACCATCTCCAAATACTATCACACTGAGGATTAGGGTTTTAAAATATGAATTTTGGAGAGATACATTCAGTTCATAACAGTTATTTTAAGCCACTAAGTTTGTGGTAACTTGTTACAGCAGTAGTAGGAAATTAATACACCTGCAGTTAGTGTAAAATTTAAGTCTTGTGAGACAATTATGCAGAGCAACTGTCAAAATTGATATGCACACAATGCAAAATGCAGGACATGATAATTCTGAGTTCTTATGATTATATGTTGCTGGGTACCACCCCACCATAAGACCTCTTGTCTTTGTCCTATCTTACCACTACTAGCACTTCCAAACCTCATAGATGCACACACAGGAACAAAATAGCTTTTCTCCGGGTGATGGTCTTCATTCTCAGAACGAGAATAATTTAACATTGTTTTCACAGAAGGTCTTAGGGAGAAAAAACATCTTTGATTTAGTCTTATCAGCTCTTAGCTCCAAACTTTGTCTTCACTCGTGATGTGCTGAAGGATTCATGCAAAATAGAGTGCTAGGATACCAAAGGTAAACCAAAGGAAAATTTATTTGTTTTGTTCTTTGTTATCTTAGGATAGTAAAAGTAATTAATTTGCTTACTCTTTTGTGCATGTCTGTGAACCAAACTTTGGTGTGCTTGATATTTAATACTAGTGGAATCTTTGCAATCAGGAGCTGCATAAAAGGCTTTGGTAACTTCTATGGCTAAACAAAGAAGAATCCCAGGCACTGTAGTATAAGGAGAGTGATAATCTCAATTAGAAGCAGTATCTCAAGAAATACACTAAAATGATGGTGGAAAAAGAGAAATTTTAGTAGAGTATCAACTACTAAACTTTTTTTTTTTTTTTTTTTTTTTGAGGCAGAATCTTGTTCTGTTTCCCAGGCTGGAGTGCAGTGGCACGATCACGGCTCACTGCAGCCCCCATCTCCTGAGCTCAAGTGATCTTCCCACCTCAGCCTCCCGAGAAGCTGGGACCACAGGTGCATGCGCCACCATGCCTGGATAATTTTTTAACTTTTTTAGATATAGAGGTCTCCCTGTGTTGTTGCCCAGACTAGTCTCAAACTCTTGGACTCAAGCAATCCTGCTGCTTCAGCCTCCCAAAGTGCTAGAATTAAAGACGTGAGCCATGGCGCCCAGCCACAAAACTTCTAAGGAGCATTTTATTACTAACATCAACTTAAAAAGGCAGTTATGACATAGAGTGTTCTGGTAATTAAAGTATTCATATGATTGGGAGTAGCTCTGTATCAACAATTGATTTTCAAAGACTATAACATTAAAATTCAGTTAATGCTGAAACTAACTTGCACATAATTTATTCTAACTTCAGGGATTCAGATCTTATACAGGATTATGTTGTGCACCTAAAGTATCACTGAACAACTGAAATACAGGGAAGAGGGTCTTTGCATGTCTGCCCCTAGTGACCACCAGTACCTAATTTAGTGCCTGATTAGCCCTCAAGTATCCAAAATGCTGAAAAATATTTTCTTATGATCACTGTTAAAATGTAAATCACAATAGTTACCTTTTCTCAGAGAAGAGTATATGTGGGTTACAGCAAATTCTAAAATAAAAAACAAAAGTTATTAGAGTAAAATGATTAGCCTTTTCAGAGTCTGTGTATGACTTTTCCGTACCTCTTCATGCTGAGGATTAAAATAGTAAAGTTGAGCTAAGGAAATAGGCTTGAGAGTTTTCAATAGCATCTTAATTTGAAATCACAGTTGGAGATTTTACACTATTCTTAGGAAATGTTCTGTGTCTACATGCACTCAATTAAAATGCCTATATTTAGGCCAAATCACTTCATTGTGGTTATATTCCTGGAAGTGCTCTCCTTCCCCTGACTTGCATTTCCAGGAATAATGTTACCACTCAGGCCGATCAGAGAAAAACAAATGGAAATGATAAAAATATTTCTACTAATTACAATAAACAGTTAAAAAAATAAGAAAAGTAAATGACAAATGTTCACACAGAAAGTGAGCTACTAAATGAGTTCCTTTTGGACAGTTATTCCTCTTAAAAGCACAATTTAGAATTGCTCAGTCACCCACCATTTAGTCATTGAACGTTAGAAACTGAAAATCTGTAGGCATGAAATTGCACTGATTCAATCTCTTCAAGAAATGTAAAATGGGAAATGTTAGAATATGCAGTACGTATTATATATAGGAAATATTAGAAAGTAAACTAGGCAAAATTCTTTATCACTTTTTATTACCTCCTGAATAGAAGTAAATATTTCTGGGTACACTATTCTAAACAAAAACGAACAAAAAAATTTTTGCTTTTTTAAAAAAAAATTATCTATACGATTTTCTGTTTTGATAGTATTAATATATTAAATAGCTTGATCTAGAGATTTAAAAAATGGGAGAGCCATCATTATCACTGAATATTTTAAGGTGGAAGATGGTCAGTTACTGTGAAAATCCTGCCAGTTCTGAAGACTATGTGTACAGAGAATGTCATCGACAACTAGGCTCATTAGGATATAGATTATATGTGAACTGTAATACTAGACCATTAAGAAGTATGGGTTTGAGAAGTGTTCATATAATAATTTGCATATTTCATCATAAAAATGAGGTTTTAAAAAATTATTATTTATAAAATTAGCCAAAGTGATTTTTATTATTTTGTAAATGATTAATTCAGTTTTATTTTATAGAAATACAATTATATATAAAGTAATATATTAATACACATATACACTTTATAATATACTTGAACTTGTGATCTTAGGTGCTGAATAGTAGGTCTCTTTATTGAGTTGATTTAGCATCGTCTTTTCAGATGGTTTCATTGTTAATTAAGTCATCCTGAAGTAAGACAGGCAGATTAAAAAATGTGATGTATATCTCTATCTTTCAGCTCATTGCTAATTTTAGGGATATATAGTAGTCTAATCTTACATATTATTTTTCAACGGTATTAGGATGATCAAAGTAACAGCTGTTACTGAAAATTTCTTTAGGGACTTGAGTGATTTAAAATAATGTGCCTAAAATACCAGTTTCCCCACTTAGTTTGCCTTAATTATGATCCTCCAGGCAGACTCTACATCTGTCTTTCAAAGAGTGAAAACAAGTTGATGTTTTTGTATGACTTTTAGCTTTGACTAACAATTACACTTATATTTTAAGTGAGCTGGTGAGAAAAAATATTGTTAGTGTTCACCACTGAGTTTAAGAAAACTTAAAATTAACATCATGTTTTTACCCCTGTTAAAACAAACCTCTGAGATTTCACCATCAGGATTTGACAGTTAACAATTAACAAGCGTTTGAAGAATGCTCTTATCACTGTTTCCCCCTTGAGAACTTTGTAAGCTTTGCATGTAAATGCAAACAAAAATTTTAAGGCTTTTGATCTTGGGGGATTTGATGAAATCTTCACATCTCCAGACCAAATTTAAGGATTACATGCTACAACAAGTACACATATCAAAGGATGACAAGTAACAGTAAATATGTAGTATTGATCCCAAATAGAAATATAGATGGATTTTTATCTTATGATGACATTTTAGTCTGAGTAAACAACAAAAAGTCACTGGGATGGGTGGCAGTGGTAAGAAGATGGCAGATGTCTATCTATTGATTGTATTCATATTCATATTTATATTCATTTATATGCAAAAGAAAGAACACAGCTCACTCAAAGGCTTCATTTACCATAATCCTTAAAAAAAAAAAACACAAAAACTTGTTCTAAGCGGAGTAAAATTCAATTCTGATCAGACCTGGGTCACCAGGGAGTTGATATCCCAAAGGCCTTTTTGTTTCCCTTGTGTCAGGATCTGAGTGAGCTGGTATTTAGCTGTGAGAGCATAGGAAGCCTCTTGCTAAGCAAGACAATGGCCAGGGCTTATGGAATTACTATAGCTCTACATAGTAATTGTCATTCTGAGTGATGATCTATGCAGTCTCTCTCTCACTTGGTAGCAGTGGTAGCAAGTTGACCTGGTCATTTCAGGTTTAAGAGTCATTGATTGGCTGGTGATCAACAAGGCAAGACATGAATCTACTTGACATTTCACTTAACAAGCATCTTAAATGTATGCTCTAAATCAGTCTTTTTCCTTTCTTTGCTCACAGTTTAGCAATAGTAGCATGCAGGGACATATCACCTTGTTTGCATCTGGTAGTGACTGTAGGAAAAAAAAAAGGTCTCCCACAATCTTATGTAGATGTTTCACATTCCACAACTATTAGAGAAGTTGACTGAACCACAGCAGGTACGAAAATGATCAGAAATGGATGTAGTTGTCTCTAAGGAAGAGGAACAGGAAACGAACCTGATCCTGTTTCTTTTATACAAAGGGCTAAATTGTTGCTTTCTTCCCTTGTATGTTTTAAATACTGAGAAAAATGGTACTTAATAAGAAAATGGCTCCTCTTTGGAGTTCTCCATAGGGTTTACACAAATTTGTATATATGAAACTTGAGAAATTTCTTTACCTTTAATGTAAACTCCTTGTGACAAGGAGCATATTTTTGTTTACATGCTGGATACATACTTTTGTTGTCTTCTATAAGCCTTTATGTCTAAACTGAAGACTGCCCAGGCTCAGTGGTGGACATTTGGAAAATGAGATTTAAAAGGAAATGGTAAGGCAGCTAAGAATAATATCTGGGAAGAGGACAGAGTAAACAGAGGGAAATTCTCAGTGAGATGGTAATCACACTCTTTGGCTTTTGTTCATAGGAGCTGTCCATGGAACTGGAGAGATTTTGATCTTAAATTCTGTACCCACTTACTCTGGATGCTATGATTGATACATCTCACAGGGCAAAATAGATAGAGCTCACATATTATTTTATTTATCCATGCACACATATATCCTTAGTTTTCTAAAATGTACATATAAAGTCTTGCAATGTTGGTTTATATTGTAAATAGTTTCTAAAAGATAATTCCTTGTAAAAAGTGCCATCCACAGTATTCTATAGAGTATAATTTTACATGATACAAGATTGGAGAAAGGTCACAAGACAAAAAAAAACTTTCAACATACAAGTTCTCAGTTGAGAGTTGTTTTTGGTAATTTTCTTTTTCTTTCTTTTTTTTTTTTTTTTTTTTTTTGAGACGGACTTTCACTCTTGGAGTGCAATGGCACGATCTCGGCTCACCACAACCTCTGCCTACCGGTTTCAAGCAATTCTCCTGCCTCAGCCTCCTGAGTAGCTGGGATTACAGGCATGCGCCACCACGCCTGGCTAATTTTGTATTTTAGTAGAGACGGGGTTTCTCTGTGTTGGTCAGGCTGGTCTTGAACTCCCAACCTCAGACCGCCTCGGCCTCCCAAAGTGCTGGGATCACAGGCATAAGCCACAGTGCCAGGTGGTTTAATTTTCTTTTTTTACTGTGGCTAAGATCATAGTTCAAAACTTTCATCTCAAGTAGGTATTCCCAACAATATTACCAATGTAGTGCTGAAAACTGTTAGAGGAAGCTATTATAAATATGGAAATTAAACGTACACAGATACCAAAGTTGGCAGTCAAAATTGAACACATAGGTAGTTTATGACTGACTAACTTTGTGTTAAGGCATTGTTCATAGGATAAAGTTTATTACTTAAATGTCACCTGTAATCCCAGCACTTTGGGAGGCTGAGGCAGGTGGATCACTTGAGGTCAGGAGTTCGCAACCAGCCTGGCCAATGTAATGAAACCCTGTATCTACTAAAAATACAAAAAATTAGCTGGGCGTGGTGGTGGGTGCCTGTAATCCCAGCTACCTGGGAGGCTGAGGCAGGAGAATTGCGTGAACCTGGAAGGTGGAGGTTGCAGTGAGCCCAGATCACGCCGTTGTACTCCAGCGTGGGCAACAAGAGTGAAAATCTGTCTCAAAAAAAAAAAAAAGAAAAAGAAAAAAAAAAGTCACCGTAAGGATTTAGGCCAAATATAGCCTCTCTTTATCTATTCCAGTCATTTACTCTGACCGTGGAAGAACTTTTATCAGTGCCAGCTTCCTTCGATACTGGCAGAACTAAAGCCACTCAGAAGTTTCAGGCTCTTAGCTTTCTATTGTACAGATGAAGACATGTAAATACCAACAAAATATTCAGGCCAAGGAATTGCAAAGACATACTTAAGTAGGGAAACAGAAAAAAAGTACCACTCATCTACGTGTCTTAAGTTTTAGGATATGCAGAATTTCTGATATGACTCTGCAATTCAAGAAACCCAGTGAATAAAGACCAATATACACAAATATAAACACAGTTAAACTGCAAATATAAACATTAACATACAATATACATAAATATAAACAGACTACAAATTTTTAGTAACAGTTTCTGAACAATATCCTTGTGGCTGATTGTATTATTTTTCTAGAAATTTCTATTGTAAGAGAACATCTTATGAACAGAAGTGCTGTACTTCAGATCCTAGTTTAAGACACACTGTATATTTCCTACAGTCGTTGTTCTTTTCCCTCTGCCCATGAGAATGAGATGATTCAGGGAATGTCCCAGATAGGGTCCACTGCATCAACCTGGGCCAAGGAATGAAGACCACAGGGGCAAAGCTGCAGCTCACATAAAAAGTAAGCAAGAGGGCCGGGCATGGTGGCTCACGCCTGTAATCCCAGCACTTCGGGAGGCTGAGGTGGGTGGATCACCTGAGGTCAGTAGTTTGAGACCATCCTGGCCAACATGATGAAAACTTGGCTTTACTAAAAATGCAAAAAATTAGCTGGGCGTGGTGTCAGATGCCTGTAATCCCAGCTACTTGGGAGACTGAAGCAGGAGAATCACCTGAACCCAGGAGGTGGAGGTTGCAGTGAGCCACGATCACACCTTTGCACTCCAGCCTGGGCAACAAGAGCGAAACTCCGTCTCATTAAAAAAAAAAAAAAGTGAGCAAGAAACAATCTTTTTTAAGTATTGAGATTTTTGGAGTTATTATTGCTGAATAATATAGTAGAAGCTGACTGATATACTTATCAAAAATAAAATGTTTTAAATGTTTCAGTAAAGTTCCTCAGTTACCTTCAGTACTCTTTCATTGATAAATCTTTCTTGGTTATACTGTATATACACTATAGGTATACTGTGTTCGAAGTACAGGAAGCTTCCATTCTTGTGGGGCAGAGAGAGAAGAAAGGAAGTGCACAATTAAAATAATTGTGTAATAATTTCATGAAGGAGAGAAATAAAGTGCTGGGGATGGAGGTTTAGGGAATCTAGAAAGGGTGGTAATGAAAGATCTCCTTGAGAAAGTGACATTTAGACCAAGACCTGAAGTATGAGAAGCTGGCTATATGAAGAGCATTCTAGGTCAAGGAACAGAAAATGCAGAGTCTCTGTGTGTCTCCTCAGCTTCCAACTTGACTGGTGTCTAAAAGATAATTATGTTCTAAGACATTTCCTGAAAATCACTTCAGAAGTTAGACTTGATCTTAGTCCATTAGAAATGCATGGGATTGCACTGCCTTTCTTAAATAGAGCAAAATGTAAAAAGAATCTTCTCATTTGACCATAGCATACTGGGCATAGGAATATCGAGGGATAATGGTAGCAAATGCAGAAACCAAGGTGAAGGGTAATTTTACTTTCTCTGTCTGAACAATATCCCAAGGCAGCCTCCCTGCTAGTCATTTCCTAGTTAGTTAGAAATTTCTTGTCCTCCCAAGAGTACTCTGGAGCAGGTCTCACAGAGTTCAAAATCATATAAATAAATAAATAAATAAATAAATAAATAAATAAATAAATAAATAAATACTATGGAGTATCAAACAACTCTACAAAAAGTCCCATGCCACTGAGGACCTACGCTTTCTAGGATTAACTCCAAACTTGTTTGGGAGGAGTAGGGTCTGGTGTTCTGCTGGATATTAATTGTCTAATCATGTCACGCACACAAATGCTTCCAATAGAATTGTGTTCATCCTGCATCTGGAACAAAGCTGGAGAACTGCCTGGACCAGATTTCCAAATTCTCGGTTCCTCTTAATGTTGACACTGACATGGATCTGTGGAGAGAGGACTCTCATAGCCACCTGTGTAGGCAGGGAGATTAACAGGAAAAGCAATTAAATTCATCTCAATTCAGATGACTTCTCCCAAATTGCCATTCCACCACCCTTTCTCTCCCCTAAGGGAAAAGATGCAGGAAAATAATTCTTGACTTGGCTTTGTACTCTAAATTCTGCATTTCTGTGACCCCTAGCTCTACGAGTATGCAAAGCTGGGTTGGGAAGACAGCCAACTCTTTGCCTATTGCACCTGGTCCCTTAAAAGATAATTTATATATGAGGCAAAGGAAGGCATTGGGAGTGTTCTCTCTAAAAGGGGAAAAATGCTTTTAACTTTTACAGACATAATCTATAGACAGCAGCAGACAATTTATATATATAATTTCCCACTTGATGTAGTAGTTAAACTATTTTATCTGGCTTTTGCAATGATAGAAAACACTCCTATATGGCTCCAATGTATCCACAATATAAAGTAGAAATAGAATATAGACAGATAAAATTGCATAATGCTGTCATGAGGGTGATTTGAGAAACAGTTGCTACATTCCATTAAGAGCAGGGAGAGTACCTGCAGTCTTCTTAGAAGAAGCTATTATAGTCTAATTAGTGATGTAGGTAAATACACCAAGCCCTTCTGATTTTTCAAATTTATTTCATAAATGAATTTAAGGCACAATTTAAAAAATACAGTTAGTATTAAAGTAAATAGCACTTTTCTTTTCTCTTTAGCAAAATGGATGTAAAGCAACATAGTTTGTAAACCATTTCCCTGGCTAAAATGCTAATTACTACAAACAAACTAATCATCATTTGAATGAAGAGTATTCAGACTGAAAAACAGGAATACTAAGGTAATTGCTAATTATGCCAATTTAAAATTGGTTGTCAAATATCAGTGTAAAATAAATGTGAAAAATTAAATAAAAGCCCTGTATACAATTCATGTAAAATATAGGACATTTACAAAATGTGTGCTATGGTTGAGTGACTTTGAAAGATAATACTGAAAAACAAATTTGGGGATGTACTGGATGTCCAATTAAAACAATGTTTTTATTGTTATTTATTTGTAACTGTAATATTAATATGTTCATTTCATATTTATTTATATTTTTTAGCTAAAACATAGAAGTACTTAGTACATGCCTTTCTTTGGATGACCTACTTAACAAGATAGCTTATTCTTACATTAACTGTCTTACCTAATTGTCTTCCATAATATAAACACCCTTCCATTAAATCTTTTAGTTGTTTTAGCTGATCTAGTGAAGTTGAAGTGGTTAGTATTTAGATGTTATTTTCTGTAGTAATGATCTAAACAGAGTAGAACAAAATAAAGGAATTTTATGTACTTAAAAAATAATGTTTTAAAAAATCCCTTCACTTTTACTTACTAATTGCATGTTGGTATGTAAAATAAGACCTTTATTTCGTAAACAGTTCAAAATTCTCAAATCAAGTGTGTTTATAAACATTACTTGAAAAACTTACCCTGTAAAGCATGCCAAACAATCAGAAATCTATATGAGAATTCTTCATTTGGGGGGCTAATATCAAATTTAGTTTTTATTTGCTTCAAAGTTACATATACACATAGTTTAAAAAATTAAATTGTCTACAAGCCTTACTTTGATAAATAGCAGGTCTGTCCTGTTTCTCCCTTTCTTCTACCCTTACCCCATTTCCCAATCACTAAAGAAAGCACTTTTAACTGTTTAAGCTGTTTCTCTTGATATTTGGCTAAATACCACTAAATCTTAAGCTGCTGCTTCTTGACTTTTTGTTTTTAGATGCATCTCTTGACTGCAAAAGTAAGAATTTATCTGTCTTTTAATCTTGTTGCCACCAGTATTCTCAATACTGCCTGGTACATTTCTAGTTCCCCATTTTCCTTACATAATTACTTTATTATAATTTTGTTTTGTTTAATATTTAGTACTTACATTATGACTACATAAATTCTATTCACAGCTGAACCATGTAGTATACTACAATAATTTTTCTTCCTGTATCACTTTTTAAAAATAATTTAATAATGCTCTTGTTTTAAATTTAATTTTCTATGCACTGATAACCAGTTTATTTACAAATCCTTCCCAAGTTATTCAAATCTTCTTTTAGTACATTGAAACATTTCAGAAATTCCATCAGTTTTATTTTTTGGGATCTCTCTCCTATGGCTTTCTGATTTGTTCTAGTTTGGGCCAGTTGTTCTTTAGGCTTGCTGCATAGCTGTTATTCTGGGATCTTCCTCCTTTACCATCCTCTAGGGTAAGGCAACTTTCTGTAAAGTAGGCTTTTTAGACCATATAGCCTTAGGTGCATCTGCTTAACTTTGCTGTTACAGCACAAAAGCAGCCATAGATGATACATAAATCAATAAGTGTGGCTGTGATCCAGTAGAACTTTATGAACACTGAAATTTTAATTTCATATAGTTTTTAGGTGTTATGGAATATTCTTATTTTTATTTTTAGAAATCACTTAAAAGTGTAAGAACCATTCTTAATTCTTGGGCCATATAAAAACAGGTGTCATGCTGAATTAGGCCCACAGGCTATATAGTTTGCTGACCCCTGCTTCAAGGAATTCACTTTGTCTCTTTTGTGTTGGATCCCCTGGTTTTCTGGATATTATGTCTTTTTTTTTCCTACTTCACATTCTTATTTTGATTGATCATATCTTCTAACAGCTTCCTAGAAATTTTTGAGATCTTAAATGACTGAAATCCATTATTCTATCTTCACATTTAATTAATAAAATTTATTATTTTTAAGGCATTTCTCCATTACCTGCTAGCTTCCAATGTTATTACTGAGAAGTCTGATGACATTCTCATTGTCAATCTTGTATTTTTTTTTAAATCTAAGATCTGTTAAAACCCTTTTTATTTCTGGCCTAGGGCTCTGAAATTTCATATTGATCTTCTTTTATAGAGATGTAGGTCTATTTATTTTTATCCATTGTGCTTGGTACTCCATGGGTCTTTTCATTTCTGGAAACTCAAGCTCTTCAGTGGTAAGAAGTTTTCTTGAATTTTTTCTTTCTCCCTTTTTTTTTTTTTGAGATGGAGTTTCACTCTTGTTGCCCAGGCTGGAGTGCAGTGGCATGATCTTGGTTCACTGCAGCCTCCGCCTCCCTGGTTCAAGTAATTCTCCTGCCTCAGCCTCCTGAGTAGCTGGGATTACAGGCATGCACCACCACGCTTGGCTAATTTTGTATTTTTAGTAGAGACGGGGTTTCACCATGTTAGTCAGGCTGGTCTCAAACTTCTGACCTCAGGTGATCCACCCGCCTCAGCCTTACAGGCATGAGCCACTGAACCCAGTCTCCCCTCCCCTCCCCTCCCCTTCTCCTTCCTTCCTTCCTTCCTTCCTTCCTTCCTTCCTTCCTTCCTTCCATCCTTCTGAAAATCCATTTTCTTTTTCTCTTTTCTTCAAGGAAACTTCAATTCCTTTATTAATTTTCCAAGATCTCTTGGAAATTCTAAGAGAATTTTCAAGACTTCTTCCTTGTTCTCTGATTTTTTTCTTAAGCATCCTGTTCTTCTTTCATGGTTATAATAAATTCTCATATCTTTCTGGGGTATGATAAAATCCAGCTGCCAGCATTCTAAGAGTGGAATACAACAAGAGGGCTGGGGATTTTAAAGTTCATTGTGCAAACTTTCATTTAATTTCCCTATTTTTAGTATGATAACTTCTATCTCAATTGTGCCTGGGTTCCTGCAGTCATAATTCCCCATATTTTACCCTCTCCAGAGAATAAACATCTTGTCTTCTCCTGAAATTGGGGAGAGGCAGTTGTCTAGCTGCATGAAATTGAGGAAAGAATAGCTTTATGTTCACCTCTTCACTTCCAGAGTGCTTTATGATGTCACTTTCTGGGCCTTTTAGGAGTGTTTTTCTGAAGCAAATTAGGTTGCTTCTTAGCTATTCCCACTGCCCATTTAAGATTCAGCTTTTTGCAGTCTTATTGCTTATTCATCTGCTTTCCAGTTTCCAAAATTTTGTGACTTCATTCCTTCTCTCATTGTTGTTCGTCAGTGGGCTTATGTTTTAAGGACTCTCTTCCTTCATTAGTGGGGTTGAGGGAGATAATGGAGATAAATCAAAGTGTTTAATTTTTTGCCTTAAACTAGACCAATTTTATGTGAGAATTTATCCCCTTAAGAAAACTTAACTTTATATGTTTTAGTCAGATGTCACTTGGTTTATAAAATATGTTTCCATGTGAGGCATAGGCTATGAAAATTTCACTAAATCCTCAAGGGGTAGTAGTGAGTTTGGTTTCATATACTTCTGATAGGTATCTGGAGTTACGTGTCCTAAGTTTTACATATATTAAATATATAATAGTGGAAATCTATAGGAGTTGTTTTAAAGTACATTATGTGTTATTGTATTATCATGAAGATAGTCTGTATTTATTAGTACAGTAGTAGGTTTAGCTGGCATTGACAAAAATCTTCAAATAGCAATGGCTTAAATAATATACAGATGTATTTCTTTCTTATATAAATGAATTCCAGAGGGGAGTAGACCAGGGTTTGTAAAGACACCCAAGATCAACAGGAACTAGGCTCCTTCTACATTGTTGCTGTTATCCTTAAGCTGTCAGTTCCTCCTCATGGTCCAGAATGGCTACTTGTACTCCAGTCATTATATTCTAATTTCAGCCAGCAGGTAGAAGGAAGGGAGAAAGGTCACATCCCGTCTTTTTAAGAACACTTTTTTTTTTTTTTTTTTTTTCAGAAATTGCATGCATTACTTCTGTTTATATCCTACTGGCCAGAAATTCATCATATGGCTATATCTAATTGTAAAGTAGTCTGGAAATGTGATCTTTATTGTAGTTAGCCCAGCAAAAAAACTGGGTGTCCTTTTACAAGGAAGAAGGAGGGAATGAATACTGGGAGGTAAACAGTAGCTTCTACCACAGTATCTAAGATTTGGTATGTAGGAATAGGATCCCATAAGGACATATGGTTCCTGGAAGTAGAATGCACTGAAGAACAAAAAGAAGAGGCAAAGAGGAAGAGAGTTTGATGAGTAGAGGACGTAAAGAGGGCCTCTAGATAAGGGAGGAAAGGAAACTGTGTTGTGATAAAGAAAGCTCTTAATTGGCCGGGCACGATGGCTCACACCTGTAATCCCAGCACTTTGGGAGGCTGAGGCGGGCGGATCACCTGAGATCAGGAGTTCGAGACCAGCCTGGCTAACATGGAGAAAACTCATCTCTACTAAAAATACAAAAATTAGCTGGGCATGGTGGCAGGCGCCTGTAATCCCAGCTACTCGGGAGGCTGAGGCAGGAGAATTGCTTGAACCCAGGAGGTGGAGGTTGCAGTGAGCCGAGATCACGCCACTGCACTCCAGCCTGGGCGACAAGAGTGAAACTTCACCTAAAGAAAGAAAGAAAAAAAAGCCATAATGAAGGGTCTGAAGACAGGTGCTACTCTTGGTTCTTATAATTAATTCTGTGCTATTATGCAGCTCTCTTAACTCCTTTCACCTTAAAAAAAATCACTGTGTTGAGGACCATCTAGTAGTGAATGCAAAGACAGGAATGCCCTGGGAGGTGGGGTTAGTTTCATGTCCATAGGTTTGCTCTGCAGAATCAAGATCTGTGGGATCCAGTTAAATTTAAGAACATGGGCTAAATTCTCAGTATTTTAAACAGGACTTCTTGTTTTTTACTTAACCTAATTAGCTGGATAATCTTGGAAAATTTTCTTAACTATTCTTGGTCTTACTTTTCTTGTCCATGAAATAGGATATTAGATTCCCAATTCCCAAACTGTGACCAAGGTGCCTTGGGGTGCTACAGTTAACTCACAAGGGTGTTGCAGGACATTTTAAAATTTCAAGGGAAATAGAATGATACTTGATGTTTTTCAGACACCAGGCAAAACAACAGCTTGCAATAGTTCACAACATTAGCTCACACTACATGTCTTTCAATGCCATCTCTTTGTAAAGCTGGATTTTTGGTCATTGCTATGATAAAAACAAGTACTATGTAGAAATCAGTGTAGAACGAGAAAGAAGGGAGTGCAGTTTAATTCCAGCGTTTGAGATGTGAGTGCTGAAGAGGGGTACATATCTCATTAGGAAGTAATTGTGGCTGTTTAGAAGTTAAGTAAAAATATGATTTGGTTTTAATTTGTTTGTGTGGCTATGTGTGTGTGTGTGTAAGACCACCTCCTAAGTTATCAGAACCCAAATACTTACTAAGTATTTGGACCTAACTACTTAATTAATGAGACTGTTAGTTATTTCTTTTGGCCTAGGGGCACTATGAAAAATTACTTAAGACATTTATAGTGCTATGACCTGGGAAAGTTTGGGTACCTCTGGTCTAGATAATCTTTAAGATTTTCCCCAAATTGCTTTATTTTACAGCAGCTTCCAGCCCCAGAACTATCCCTAGAAAATGATTAACAGGCTAATGCTTGTTAAGATGTTACAGGAAAGAGAAAGCTAGAATGTGACTCAGAGGAGTAGTCTGGGCTGCAGTGCACACCTAAGGGTAAGGACAGTCTAGTTCTGACAACTTTTTCATGGGAGTGAGTGGAAAGTCTCTTTCTAGATCACTCTTTGGTCACAATATGTATCATTTTAGGGGAGTATGTGCCCCAAAGATTTTCCTTCCTATTTTCAAATTTAGAGTTAGGTTACTAACTATTAAGAATATCTCCCTCTTGCTGAGAGAGCTTCCCTACTGGGTCACAAGATAGATTCTCAGCCAAGGGGTTGTTCCTGGCAAGTTAAACTGGAACTTGGAATACATTTACATGTAGAACAATGTTACGAATATTTTATATAGTTCAATCAGTCCAATTTATAGCATTTATCAAATGTTCAGGAATATGTTTATGACATTTAGATTTTTGGCTTTCTATGGATGAAACATACAAGTGACTTACCAAAATCTTTTCCTGGAAATGCTTGTTAAACACACTCATTGCACCATTAGAAGCTTTCTTACAGTACCTTTTCCAAACTATTAACTTTATAAAAGAGGCCAAATTCCCCAGAGCAAACAACCAACCAGAACTCTGGAAAAACCAAACAAACTATAATGTTCAGATATGCTGACTGATTAGAAAAAGAAAATTGTGTTTATATCAAGAAAGCTTTGAATGGTTTAATGAAAATATTAATAATAATGAGTTGCTAAGTTGCTGCAGGTTTAAGAAGCATTCCTTTGAATTGGTTTCTTAATCATGTAGGAACTCATTCTGAATGCAGAAACCATTCTCTTGTATACAGCAGTTTAGTCAATGAGGAAACAAGAAAATTAGGTGTCCTTTCTCCAAATTAAACAAATAATGCCAAGCAGATTTGGATGTGCAACCCTAAGTAGACACAGATGTAGGGCAAATATTTTCACCATGACCATTCTGCTGCTTCTGATTATGGGTTGGAATTTTAGATGTCATAAATGAAGCATCTTTTTTCAACTGAATCAATGTGACTAAGAATAAACATAAATAGGGTTCATATGATAAATCCTAGGTTTCTCATTTAAAATTATTTAAATTTTTTCCTGAGATGTATATTTTTCCATTTTATTATTATTATTATTATCATTATTATTTGAGATGAAGTCTCGCTCTGTTGCCAGGCGTGATCAGTGGCGTGATCTTGGCTCACTGCAACCTCCGCCTCCTGGGTTCAAGTGATTCTCCTGCCTCGGCCTCCCGAGTAGCTGGGACTACAGGTGCGCACCACCACCCCCAGCTAATTTTTGTCTTTTTAGTAGAGATGGGGTTTCTCCATGTTGGCCAGGATGGTCTCGATCTCTTGACCTTGTGATCTGCCCACCTCGGCCTCCCAAAATGCTGGGATTACAGACGTGAGCCACCACGCCCAGCCTGTTTTTCTTATACTTACAGTAAACCTGGTACTTTCTTATGCTAAAGAGAAAGATATGAAAGTTTAACTGACATATCTATAAATATCTTATTACATGTGTAATATATTTATATACCCTATATTGAATCAACATTTTTTTAAGAGAAACATTGTGTTGCAGTCAAAATAAAAAGCACTAAATTTGGAGGATCACCTGTTTGTAGTCTATTCTGTTACATACTAGCTATGATCTTTGTCAAGTAATTTAACTTTTCTGTGCCTGTTTCCTTATCCATAAAGCACTAAAAGTGATTTTGAGGCTGGCCACAATGGCGCACGCCTGTAATTCCAGCACTTTGGGAGGCTGAGGCAGGCGCATCACTTGAGGCCAGGAGTTTGAGACCAGCCTGGCCAACATGGAGAAACCCCATCACTACTAAAAATACAAAAATTAGCTGGGCATGGTGGCAGGCGCCTGTAATCCCACCTACTCGGAAGGCTTAGGCAGCAGAATTGCTTGAACCAGGGAGGTTGCAGTGAGCCGAGATGGCACCACCGCATTCCCGCTTGGGCAACAGAGCAAGACTCCATCTCAAAAAAAAAAAAAAACATTTGGCTGTATGTAGTACATATCCCCTATACTGGTTCTTAAAATTTCACATTTAGTATTCAGGGGTTCAGTATGAAGCCAGATATTTATATATTTTGCTTGCTGGGTGTTTGCCTCCTCAACTCTTTTCTTCCAAGTTTCTTTTTTTTTTTTTTAATTATACTTTAAGTTTTAGGGTACATGTGCACAACGTGCAGGTTTGTTACATATGTATACATGTGCCATGTTGGTGTGCTGCACCCATTAACTGGTCATTTAACATTAGGTATATCTCCTAATGCTATCCCTTCCCCCTCCCCCCACCCCACAACAGGCCCCGGTGTGTGATGTTCCCCTTCCTGTGTCCATGTGTTCTCATTGTTCAATTCCCACCTATGAGTGAGAACATGCAGTGTTTGTTTTTTGTCCTTGCGATAGTTTGCTGAGAATGATGGTTTCTAGCTTTATCCATGTCCCTACAAAGGACATGAACTCATCATTTTTTATGGCTGCATGGTGTTCCATGGTGTATATGTGCCACATTTTCTAAATCCAGTCTATCATTGTTGGACATTTGGGTTGGTTCCAAGTCTTTGCTATTGTGAATAGTGCCGCAATAAGCATACGTGTGCATGTGTCTTTATAGCAGCATGTTTTATAATCCTTTGGGTATATACCCAGTAATGGGATGGCTGGGTCAAATGGTATTTCTAGTTCTAGATCCCTGAAGAATCACCACACTGACTTCCACAATGGTTGAATTAGTTTACAGTCCCACCAACAGTGTAAAAGTGTTCCTATTTCTCCACATCCTCTCCAGCACCTGTTGTTTCCTGACTTTTTAATGATTGCCATCCTAACTGGTGTGAGATGGTATCTCACTGTGGTTTTGATTTGTATTTCTCTGATGGCCAGTGATGATGAGCATTTTTTCGTGTGTGTGTTGGCTGCATAAATATCTTCTTTTGAGAAGTGTCTGTTCATACCCTTCGCCCACTTTTTGATGGGGTTGTTTGTTTTTTTTCTTGTAAATTTGTTTCAGTTCTTTGTAGATTCTGGATATTAGCCCTTTGTCAGATGAGTAGATTGCAAAAACTTTCTCCCATTCTGTAGGGTGCCTACAGAACTACCATTCTGATGGTAGTTTCTTTTGCTGTGAAGAAGCTCTTTAGTTTAATTAGATCCCATTTGTCAATTTTGTCTTCTGTTGCCATTGCTTTTGATGTTTTAGACATGAAGTCCTTGCCCATGCCTATGTCCTGAATGGTATTGCCTAGGTTTTCTTCTAGGGTTTTTATGGTTTTAGGTCTAACATTTAAGTCTTTACTCCATCTTGAATTTATTTTTGTATAAGGTGTAAGGAAGGGATCCAGTTTCAGCTTTCTACATATGGCTAGCCAGTTTTCCCAGCACCATTTATTAAATAGGGAATCCTTACCCCATTTCTTGTTTTTGTCAGGTTTGTCAAAGATCAGATGGTTGTAGATATGCAGCATTATTTCTGAGGGCTCTGTTCTGTTCCATTGGTCTATATCTCTGTTTTGGTACCAGTACCATGCTGTTTTGGTTACTGTAGCCTCGTAGTATAGTTTCAAGTCAGGTAGCGTGATGCCTCCAGCTTTGTTCTTTTGGCTTAGGATTGACTTGGCAATGCGGGCTCTTTTTTGGTTCCATATGAACTTTAAAGTAGTTTTTTCCAGTTGTGTGAAGAAAGTCATTGGTAGCTTGATGGGGATGGCATTGAATCTATAAATTACCTTGGACAGTATGGCCATTTTCATGATATTGGTTCTTCTTACCCATGAGCATGGAATGTTCTTCCATTTGTTTGTATCGTCTTTTATTTCATTGAGCAGTGGTTTGTAGTTCTCCTTGAAGAGGTCCTTCACATCCCTTGTAAGTTGGATTCCTAGGTATTTTATTCTCTTTGAAGCAATTGTGAATGGGAGTTCACTCATGATTTGACTCTCTGTTTGTCTGTTATCAGTGTATAAGAATGCTTGTGATTTTTGCACATTGATTTTGTATCCTGTGACTTTGCTGAAGTTGCCTATCAGCTTAAGGAGATATTGGGCTGAGATGATGGGGCTTTCTAGATATACAATCATGTCATCTGCAAACAGGGACAATTTGACTTCCTCTTTTCCTAATTGAATACTTTATTTCCTTCTCCTGCCTGATTGCCCTGGCCAGAACTTCCAACACTATGTTGAATAGGAGTGGTGAGAGAGGGCATCCCTGTCTTGTGCCAGTTTTCAAAGGGAATGCTTTCAGTTTTTGCCCATTCAGTATGATATTGGCTGTGGGTTTGTCATAGACAGCTCTTATTATTTTGAGATACGTCCCATCAATACCTAATTTATTGAGAGTTTTTAGCATGAAGGTTGTTGAATTTTGTCAAAGGCTTTTTCTGCATCCATTGAGATAATCATGTGGTTTTTGTCTTTAGTTCTGTTTATATGCTGGATTATGTTTATTGATTTGCATATGTTGAACCAGCCTTGCATCCCAGGGATGAAACCCACTTGATCATGGTGGATAAGCTTTTTGATGTGCTGCTGGATTCGTTTTGCCAGTATTTTATTGAGGATTTTTGCATCGATGTTCATCAGGGATATTGGTCTAAAATTCTCTTTTTTTGTTGCGTCTCTGCCAGGCTTTGGTATCAGGATGATGCTGGCCTCATAAAATGAGTTAGGGAGGATTCTCTCTTTTTCTATTGATTGGAATAGTTTCAGAAGGAATGATACCAGCTCCTCCTTGTACCTCTGATAGAATTCGGCTGTGAATCCATCTGGTCCTGGACTTTTTTTTGGTTGGTAAGCTATTAATTATTGCCTCAATTTCAGAGCCTGTTATTGATCTATTCAGAGATTCAATTTCTTCCTGGTTTAGTCTTGGGAGGGTGTGTGTGTCAAGGAATTTATCCGTTTCTTCTAGATTTTCTAGTTTATTTGCATAGAGGTGTTTATAGTATTCTCTGATGGTAGTTTGTATTTCTGTGGGATCAGTGGTGATATCCCCTTTGTCAGTTTTTATTGCATCTATTTGATTCTTCTCTCTTTTCTTCTTTATTAGTCTTGCTTGCAGTCTATCAATTTTGTTGATCTTTTCAAATAAGCAGCTCCTGGATTCATTGATTTTTTGAAGGGTTTTTTTGTGTCTCTATCTCCTTCAGTTCTGCTCTGATCTTAGTTATTTCTTGCCTTCTGCTAGCTTTTGAATTTGTTTGCTCTTGCTTCTCTAGTTCTTTTAATTGTGATGTTAGGGTGTCAATTTTAGATCTTTCCTGCTTTCTCTTGTGGGTATTTAGTGCTATAAATTTCCCTCTACACACTGCTTTGAATGTGTCCCAGAGATTCTGGTATGTTGTGTCTTTGTTCTCGTTGGTTTCAAAGAACATCTTCATTGCTGCCTTCATTTCGTTATGTACCCAGTAGTCATTCAGGAGCAGGTTGTTCAATTTCCATGTAGTTGAGCGGTTTTGAGTGAGTTTGTTAATCCTGAGTTCTAGTTTGATTGCACTGTGGTCTGAGAGACAGTTTGTTATAATTTCTGTTCTTTTATGTTTGCTGAGGATTGCTTTACTTCCAACTATGTGGTCAATTTTGGAATAGGTGTGTGTGGTGCTGAAAAGAATGTATATTCTGTTGATTTGGGGTGGAGAGTTCTGTAGATGTCTATTAAGTTAGCTTGGTGCAGAGCTGAATTCAATTCCTGGATATCCTTGTTAACTTTCTGTCTCGTTGATCTGTCTAATGTTGACAGTGGGGTGTTAAAGTCTCCCATTATTATTGTGTGGGAGTCTAAGTCTCTTTGTAGGTCTCTAAGGACTTGCTTTATGAATCTGGGTGCTCCTGTATTGGGTGCATATATATTTAGGATAGTTAGCTCTTCTTGTTGAATTGATCCCTTTACCATTATGTAATGACCTTCTTTGTCTCTTTTGATCTTTGTTGGTTTAAAGTTTGTTTTATCAGAGACTAGGATTGCAACCCTTGCCTTTTTTTGTTTTCCATTTGCTTGGTAGATCTTCCTCCATCCCTTTATTTTGAGCCTATGTGTGTCTCTGCACATGAGATGGGTTTCCTGAATACAGCACACTGATGGGTCTTGACTCTATCCAATTTGCCAGTCTGTGTCTTTTAATTGGAGCATTTAGCCCATTTATATTTAAGGTTAATATTGTTATGTATGAATTTGACCCTGTCATTATAATGTTAGCTAGTTATTTTGCTCGTTAGTTGATGCAGTTTCTTCCTAGCCTCAATGGTCTTTACAATTTGGCATGTTTTTGCAGTGGCTGGTACCGGCTGTTCCTTTCCATGTTTAGTGCTTCCTTCAGGAGTTTTTGTAGGGCAGGCCTGGTGGTGACAAAATCTCTCAGCATTTGCTTGTCTGTAAAGGATTTTATTTCTCCTTCACTTATGAAGCTTAGTTTGGCTGCATATGAAATTCTGGGTTGAAAATTCTTTCTTTAAGAATGTTGAATATTGGCCCCCACTCTCTTCTGGCTTGTAGAGTTTCTGCCGAGAGATCAGCTGTTAGTCTGATGGACTTCCCTTTGTGGGTAACCTGACCTTTCTCTCTGGCTGCCCTTAACATTTTTTCCTTCATTTCAGCTTTGGTGAATCTGACAATTACGTGTCTTGGAGTTGCTCTTCTTGAGGAGTATCTTTGTGGCGTTCTCTGTATTTCCTGAATTTGAATGTTGGCCTGCCTTGCTAGGTTGGGGAAGTTCTCCTGGATAATATCCTGCAGAGTGTTTTCCATCTTGGTTCCATTCTCCCTGTCACTTTCAGGTACACCAATCAGACGTAGATTTGGTCTTTTCACATAGTCCCATATTTCTTGGAGGCTTTTTTTTTTTTTTTTTTTTTGAGACGGAGTCTCGCACTATCACCCAGGCTGGAGTGCAGTAGCGCAATCTCGGCTCACTACAAACTCCGCCTCCCGGGTTCACGCCATTCCCCTCCCTCAGCCTCCCGAGTAGCTGGGACTACAGGCACCCGCCACCGCAACTGGCTAATATTTTTGTATTTTTAGTAGAGATGAGGTTTCACCGTGTTAGCCAGGATGGTCTCGATCTCCTGACCTCGTGATCCACCCGCCTCGGCCTCCCAAAGTTCTGGGATTACAGGCATGAGCCACTGCGCCCAGCCTTCTTGGAGGCTTTGTTCATTTTTTTTATTCTTTTCTTGCTCAGATTTAGAATGGGATCTATGGTGCTACCAGTTATATAGAGGCTGTAAACTGACATTAAAGGGTTGAGGAGGTAAAATGTATGACTAGAGGTAGCAATCCTGAATACATTCCACACATTGTCTTGCCCCATTCACTGGGAGGCCTTTAATTAAAAGACTGAGTTTTACAGAATTGCAGAAAAAATTACTTGGTCAGCAATATGCATGGGTAAATGTTCCTGATGCTGCTGCTGCCTCTGCCTCTCAACCCATTTCCCCTTATGTTTCTAACTGCCTGTTACTACTGACCTTATAATAACCTCATATTCTTGATGGTTTGGCAACATTTAAGAATGATTGTTTCTGGAGGACATCAATGGATTCCAAAAGTCAAAAAATTCCCAGACACATTACAAGCTGGAACTAGTTATACAGAGTTACTGGGTCCTTGAAAGACAGTATTGCAGAATAAGAGGTAAATCCACCCTAATCCTGGGGTGCTGTATAATGCAGAAAAATATAGGCCTCACCTTCCAACAAAGCAATAAACATATATAAGGAAATAATTATAAATATCACTCAAACATGGCATACACTACAGGAAAACACAGTGATGCCTGCTGAACCTAAAAGTGATGTTTTAAAAACCAGCTCGTTTACTACAAATACTATGAATTGGATTCTGCTAGTATGAGTAAAAACTTGCATTACACATCCTAGTCGCCCCAAACATGAAAGCTTCAGCTGTTTTGGGATTAATCAAGATCATACCAGCAAATGTGCAGTCTTTTTACTGTGTGTGTGTTTTTTTAGTGATTTGCCTTCTTGGCTTACTCACTAAGGTTTGCCTGTTTTTCCTCATTCTCTCCTGCGTCTTTACACAGTGCTCTGTCTGACAGCAAGCTGGATAAATCATCAATTGCATGCTGATGAGCTGGTTTGCCTTCTTTTGCCAGATTAAATCAGGACAGCCTTCAGTTTGAAAAAGGAGAAGATGGTCTGTGTGTTAACCTCACACCTTCCCTTCCTTTCCTTTATCTGAGGCCTTTTCCATTCCAAAACTCTCCTCTGCTGTGTCCCTAATTTAGGACATGTCCTTTTCTTCATCTTTTCTGCCAGGAACATAACTGTTTCATTGTTCTACCAACTTGTTTTCTTGATTGTTTTTACTGATCTTATTTTGTGTTCCTTTTAATAAATAAGTACAAAACTTTCTGAAAAGTGAAGTAGAAAGTCTACTCATTCACATTCTGAGGCAAAAACTCATATTTATAAATTCAATTTTTATATAAGATGGTAATAACAAGGAAAAAAAGACCTATAAACTAGCATTCCCAAAATTGTTTTGAGAAACACATTCCAGAACCTTTAATATGCTAATTGTACATTGTAAATCTCCATGAAAAGGGTATCGTATCCTATGTTTCCCAAACTTTACATGATCAATCCTTGTTTCCAAAGGATTTTCAATACATTAGTGTTTCCAGGAACAATACTCTATTAGAAATATCATATTCCATTTTCCTACAACTTATGTTATAGCTTTATATGTAATTTGGTAATTAGTCATTATTTCAAAGAACCCCAGACCTCACATCTTTTTAATAGTGATCTTTGTGGGGGAAGTTGGCCTGAGAGTTCATAAGGATTCATTGCAATTTGAATACATTAAAAAAAATTTAACATTCTAGAAACCTGTAAATATCTGTTTAGATAGGACAACTTACTTCCATTTTTATCTTCATTTCTACCTTAAAAAGTTTAGAGAGAGGTATGGATAGACTTCAGTATTTTTTCTATTCTTATTTATTTACTATTTTATGTACAATGGAAAGAAGTAGCTGAGGCCATGGATATAAATGCTGAATTTTACCTGCCAATATGAGTCTTGTGATTTGTCAATATTTCAGAACACTGCTCTTGGGGCTGAGCATGTCACATTAGTATACAATGAAGCTTCCTTTCTCTCCCAAAATATGTTCTGTATCTTGACTACGTCCCAGTCAAGGCCCCAGTCATCAACTTTAAACCTACAAGGTCACCTGGTCATCTTGTGATTACAACAGCAGCTTTACTGCTTGTAATTGTCTTACAGCTGTGGCAGGTCAAAGGAAAAATGTTCTTTAAACACCATAAGCATCTGACTGTGCAATACCTAAATGAGTGTCATTGATTATTCACACTGCTGGCTGGTCAAAGCTGGGGAAGTAATTAGGGCTTTCTGTGTGGATTATCCACTGAGAAAAGGTCAAATAACTACAAACAGTGCCAACAGAGAGGAGCCACCGAGGACTGCGGCATCCGTGATCAGTTAAGAAATGCTAAAGCAAGGCTTAATAATGATGTGCTTATGCCAAGTTCTACAGAATGTGATCATTCTGTCACAGAAATCCGATGAACCATGAGTGATGGCTACTTTTTCCCTGGAAGCACTGCTTCAGGTCCCTGATGCCTATCAAACAGGTTTGTCAGAGAAACCAGACTGAGAAGAATTTAAAAAGCATGGCTTTCCCTCTTGTCTTTTTTCTTTAAATCAAGAATAGAGGACTTTTCGGCTAACAGCCATTCTTCTTATCTCCCCTTTAAAAGCATCACAGCAATATTGTTTTTCATATTTTTTGATAAAATATCCCATCAAATGGCTTGTGTTGTGGGAACCTGAAACCACTCTTTTGCTGATTTAAATTAGGAGCTTGGAAAAAACCCTCTTTGAACTATAGTTCTATTTATAGTAGTATAATGCTGAAAACAAGTTTCAGTTTGCTGAAGGGTCTTTCATATTTTCCAAGTTTAAGATATTTCTGCTAAATCCACTTAGTCATACTTTGAGCTAACCTCCATTCTTCATAATGTTTGAAATTCTAAAGTTAAATCTTCATTGTTTTAGTTTAAATTTTGGTTTTTATCAAAATGAAGATATTCTGGGAAAGCCAGCCATTTAGCCATTTTTCATCCAAGCATAAATAAAACAATTTGAAAGTCAGTTTTGAGAAGGCATCAGGGAAATGATATTTGGGAAGTAAAGTAAGTAGTTGGAGGGACCCAAAACAAACATTTTTTGGGTTACTTCTTAACAATGCATGAATTATACTAGTATAGTGGGAAAAAAATGCCGAGAAGTAATTGAGAACACCAACTTTGTGAGGGTTCAATCACTTACTTAGTTCTATCACTTACTCTGTGATACTGGGCAAATCACTCAAACTTTCTCAGCCTTAGTAGTGGGTAGACAGAGTTTTTAAAAAACAATCTTTTATCAGAAGCCAGTGAAATAGCAGGTAGGAGATGAACAAACCAAGAAAATAGGGACTCTGAAAACAACTCTGTCCTTGTAGAATCACATCTGTCAGGGCCTTCTAAGAAATAAGAGTTGTGACCAATGATCTTCATATGGGGACAGCTCCTTGGGCCAAACTGCTGAGTTAGGCTTTGGGTTCTCTGGTCTCCATTGCCTATCCTTACCACACTTGCTTTAAATCTGAGCTTCCAGAATCTATGAGACTTCAGTCCTGTTTGATTATAGCTTAAGCCAGAGAGAAAAATCGTCAAATCCAGGGGTGGGATTTAATGGTGGGATTTCAGTTAAAATAACAAATCAAAAGAGATATTTTGATGCAGGTACCCCAACTCAATTCCCGAGTTGACTACCACCCTTTTTTCTCTTGTCTCAAACTGGAAGTCTCCTGGGTTGACAGAAAGAATTGTAATGAGAATAAAATTAGATAACATATGTGAAGTACCAGCACAGTGCCTGGCATGTAGTAAGGCTCAAGAATGGAGATATATATGTGCTAGAAGCCTAGGAGAGACAGAAAATTTTGCTGTTAAAATATTGATATATTTGTGTTTCTGAAATATTATTTTAAAAATTTTGTTAAGTTCTGAATGATAGAGTTGTGAGAGTTGTCTGCTATTCTGTATGAATTCCTTCCATTGATCATTTAAATGAGGGATTATCTTGTTTTCCCCTTTTAGACTGAGGATTAATTGTTGAAAGCAAAGATGGAATATATAGTGGTTCTGGAAGTTAGACTATCCAAGGAACATATTTTTCTATATTTTGTAACAAAGGAATTTTCATTGCTCAGCAATAAGAGGAAAAGAAAATAGAAACAATGTGGTTTAAATGGTGAGTAAGTAAAAAATTTATAATTCAGATTTCCATTATCTTTACTTTAAGAATATATTAAAGGTAAAATGAAAATGTTTTAAGTATTTTGTTTTAGTTCACAAATAGGATGAAAAAATTTATATTTTACATTTGCATTATTGTAATTTATGAGAAGAATGCTGTCCTAGACAAAGGCATTTTTTGCTTTTGGACAGCCAGGGTAGTTTGTCCCTGGCTTTAATGGGCTGCAGTAATGGGAGCATGGTAAAGTGATTTTTCTGTTGCCTCTATACCTGTTACTGTTTCTGGGGACTGATGGAGCAGGTGAGTGCCTCAGGGCAACAGTGATAGAGTGATTGGGAGGAGCAGTGGGAAGGAAGGAAGAAGAGGGAAGAAGCAGAAGACCCAGTTTTCATCTCAGCCTCATCTCATATTAGTCTTCCGGCCCCAAAAACATTGTAAAAGGAGGAGGTTTGTTGTTGTTTTGTAACAGCTTTGTTGAGATATAATTCACATACTATAAAATTAATCTTTTTAAAATGTACAATTGGCCGGGTGCGGTGGCTCACGCCTGTAATCCCAGCACTTTGGGAGGCCGAGGCAGGCAGATCACGAGGTCAGGAAATCGAGACCATCCTGGCTAACACAGTAAAACCCCGTCTCTACTAAAAAATACAAAAAATTAGCCAGTCGTGGTGACGGGCGCCTGTAGTCCCAGCTACTCTGGAGGCTGAGGCAGGAGAATGGCATGAACCTGGGAGGCAGAGCTTGCAGTAAACCAAGATTGTGCCACTGCACTCCAGCCTGGGTGGCAGAGTGAGACTCTGTCTCAAAAAAAGAAAACAAAGTACAATTGCTGGTTTTTATTATACTCAAAAAGTTGTACAACTGTTACTCTTTTCTGGTTTTAGAACATTTTTGTCACCCCCAAATAGAAATCTTGTACTCACTAGCACTCATTCCTCATTTTTCTTTCCCTCAGCCCCTGACACCCATTAATTTACTTCCTGTCTCTATGGCTTTGCCTATTCTGGACATTTCATGTGAATGGACTCATATAAGCTGTGGTCTTTTGTGTCTGGCTTTTTTTACTTGGCATAACGTTTCCAAGGTTCATCCATGTTGTGTTATTTATAACAGTACTTTATTCCTTTTTATTGCACAATATCATTTCATCTACAGATATATCACATTTTGTTTCTCATCAGTGGATGGTCATTTACTTTTTTTTTCACTTTTTGGTCATAATGAATAATGCTGCTGTGTGCATTTGCAGACAAGTTTTGCGTGGACATATGTTTTCATTTCTCTTGAGTAAATACCTAGGAGTGCATTTGCTGGGTCATGTGGTAACTCTATGTTTAACATGTTGAGGAACTGCCCAGCCATTGTCTAAAGTGGCTTCACTATTTTACATTCCCTCCAACAATGTATGAGGGTTCCAATATCTCTACCTCCTCATCAACGCTTGTTATTGGTCTTTTTAGATTATAGCCATCCTAGAGGGTGTAAAGAGGTATCTTATTTGGTCTTGATTTGCATTTCCCTGATAGCTAATATATAACAGTTGATTGTCTTTTCATCTATGTATTGGCCATCTGGAGAAATAAAAGAGACAAGGTTTATTTTCAGTGTTCTTCAACTTTTAGGGACTACCCTGTTAGGGTATTATAATCTCTCTAAAGTCTTGTTTTATCAAGGTGTATTTTAGGCAGATCCAGCTGAGAGCTTGGCATCCTGAGGCCTCATTTGCCTGGGTCAGTAGGAAAAAGGAAAGAAAGTGGAAACAGGAGGTCTGTAGTGAAGAGGTGTCTAACAGCTCATATTTGTCATTTGAAGAGGTAAGGCAGCTATGAATGGGCTTAGGTTAATGTCAGTATCCAAGGGGTTTAATCTGGTGTTTAGGACACAGTAGCAGAAACCTCTAGTGAGGAATGGTTATCAGAGTCATTCATTCATTCAACAGATATTTACCAATCACTTGCTGTGAACCAATGAGAATCTATTTTATGTGCTAGGGATAGTGCAGTAAAATAACAGCACATTCTCTGGCTTCATATTACTTACATTTTAGTAGAAGATCAATCCAGTTTAGAACAGAAATCTAGTCTGTGGGCCTAAGTGATCAGCAAAGGCTTGGCAGTGAATCAGGCCCAAGATTCGAATAGAACTCTTCTTCCAGTAAGAGATTCCAATATCACCTTAGAAAATCCTAGCAGAGGTCTGATCAGAGTGGGAAAAATACCTACACTAGGATGAAGGACCAGAGGGCCATAGGCAGGCTTGTGAATTTTTACTTTGCTATAGACAGCAAGACTAACTCCACACCCCTCTTGGTGCTGGTCATGATTAGTTTAGGAGAGGAGTGGGGTTGAACAGATAGTAGGAGGCCATTTGTGCCTGCAGCAGATCTAGACTTAGGGGAGAAGGAAAATGACATCTCTCCTCTAAAATGCGGATTCCTTCCCTCAGAGTCTCTACAGTAATCTTTTATGGGAGTGATATGACAGGTAAGTGGTAGAGTTGTGAGCCTTCAGGGAGAGAACTAACTTAAAAGCACTCTGAAATATTGCCAAACGGCATTCATATGTAAGGCATTAGAATAATAATGATAATTATTGCTTGTAGTAACTGATGTCTGAGAGGGCATCAACCTGGTATGGTAGCAGGTGACACAGAAGGAGAAGAGACCATGAACATACAATGAGCTCATTTCTCTTCTGCTCAAGGAACCCAAGTAATTACAAAACTTCAGCATATGTTTTGCATTACACATGTGGCTCTGTCAAAAATGATGGAGTGGTGTCACTTTATGTCTCTTTGAACTAAATGAGAGAGAGAGATGAGAAGTAAGTAGGCAAGAGACTGTATTTGATTTTATCTTTCTGCTTAAACTGTGTTTTCAATTTATAAACCAATTGGATACAAAATACTTATTACAGAACATGACTCTTTCCTTTTATATTAGAGGAGTTATCAACAGAGTGGTTTCTTGTGCTTATTAGAATCTTTGTTCAAATAAAGCCAAGTAAGAAAAATGGGTTGGGCCTCATCTGTCAGAGGGCAGAGGTAAGAAATAAGTAGACAAAGCACAGTATCAGAATGCATTTGACTGCAAGAAATAGAAAAGTCATCTGTACAGGCCTAAACAAATGAGCTTTGTATTTCTAACATAACAAGAAGTCTGGAGGTAGGCAGTTGCCTGAGTCAGTTCAGTAATCCAATGATTTCAGGGCCAGCTTCTTCATCATTTTCCTGGCCAGAATATAGCTACCATGGCTCCAGTCACCATGTCCATGTTCAGGACAAGAAGGAAGACTGGTAGAGACATTCTACTTGTGGAGTCTTGTCTTTTTATTAGCAAGAGAGCCTTCCCTAGTGGACTTTCCCTTTGTCTCCTTGGCCAGGATTCAGTCATGTGCCCACTTATTGGCCAATCCCTGAGGAAAGAAAAGAAAATTACTATGACTGATTTAGACCAATTTCAGCTCATTCCTTGTTGTTGAGGTAGGGGTCTACCCTTCCTGAAATCAAGGGATCTCTTTCAAAAACCTGAATACAAATTGGAGTTTTGTTACCAGGGAAGAAGAGAGAAACATTTCTTGTTTAGACTAGGCACAGTGTCTGCCTTATGTGCCAGTGGATCAAAAAGTGGCTGCACACCCAATTCAGGGTGGGGAGACTCCTGAAAACTTAGTACAAAAAGATTCACAGAACTCTGCACATTAAACTAGAAAGTTGTCCCTGGCTAATCTTGTACTCCAGTATCTCCATTGCAGAGTCTTATGTGGTTCTTTCTTTCTCACTGCAAACTAAAGATGAAGGATTCTTTTGGGAGGCTGAAGTGGGCAGATCACTTGAGGCCAGGAGTTCGAGACCAGCCTGACCAACATGGTGAAACTCCGTCACTACTAAAAATATAAAAATTAGCCGGGCATGGTGGCAGGTGCCTGTAATCCCAGCTGAGGCAGAAGAATCACTGTAATCCCAGCTGAGGCAGAAGAATCACTTGAACCCGGGGGGTAGAGTTTGCAGTGAGCTGGGATCATGCCACTGCACTCCAGCCTGGGTGACAGAGCAAGACTCCGTCTCAAAAAAAAAAAAAAAAAAAAGGATTCTTCAGCCAGTGCATAGCCCACTGCAATGGGTGGTCTCCTGCCCTTTTTCTTTTTCTTAAAATTTGTATTATTTTAATTATTTTTATGTACAGAAATCTCAACAGTGTGCATTTAACCCAGTTTGGTGGCAAGTTCTTTAGCCTTTGCCTTTTCAAGCTTGGCAATGCGAGCCACAGATTTGGGACCCAGGACATTGCCTCCCCAGTGACGGCAGATCTCATCGTATCTGTTGTTGTAGTTGGTCCTGATAGCTTCCACTAGCTTAGCCAAAGCTTCTTTGTCTTCCAAGTTCACCTGTGTGAAGGTGACAGTGATCCAGGTCTTCCTGTGGACTATATGTCCCAGTCTTGCCTTCCTCTTGATAATGCAGGGGAAGAGACCCCCATTTTATGACACAAGGCAGGTAGGAAGACAAGCTTGATGGGATCCACATCATGTACAGTCACCACCAGCTGAGCCTTCTTGTTCTCCACCAAGGTGGTGACGGTGTTAACTCCTGCTTGAAGGACAAGTGGTCTCCTAGTGGAGATGTCCCCTTTGCTGCAAGCTTTCTTCTCAGCCCGGACCAACAGCCTCTGCTTCTTCTCTTGCTTTGTCTTTCTCTTGTTTGGTCTGTAGTTGTGGGCCAGCTGAAGCAACTGAGTAGCTGTTTGGTGGTGCAGGGCCTGGGTGAACTGGTTAATTTCAGGATGCACTTTCAGCCACTTACAGAGGATGACTCTCTGCCACTGCAACCTGATATAGTGGGACCATTTCTTGAAGCAAGTGAGGTCTCTTTTGGGCTGGATGTCCTGTCCAATGCCAAAATTCTTAGGCCTTTTCTCAAGCAGGGGATTCACCACTTTCTTAACCTCCTGCTTCATCACGACAGCAGGGGCTGGAGCCACCTTATTCCCCTTGGCCTTCTTTCTTTTCGCTCCTGCCCTTTTTCATTCTTTCTCAGCTGCCAGAGCCTCTTAAGGACCTAAGGAAAAAAATAGCTAACATCTTTTGGGCTCTTACTGTGTGCTGGGCACTGTGCCGAGCACTTGGATACTATTAGTTTCATCCTTATTTTATACTTGAGAAACTGTAAGTTAACCTTCTTAGCCTGGGGCCACAATCTCTCAGGAACTGTGGACTGCTTTGTTTCCCTGGTTAGGAGCTACCAGTCTACTATTTGGTTCTTCCATTTTCAATAAGCTCAGTTTCTTCATCCCTATCACTTTATAGTGTTTCTCAGAGTATTCTGGAAAGGCTACCATGTAAGTATAAGCTGACCAGTCATACTATTAAGTGGCAAGGCCAATTCTTGACTTTCAGAGTCTGTGCTCTGAAAAACTGTGTTTAGCTATCTAATCCCTCCAAAGAGAAGGATAGTAAAATGGAGATTGAGAGGGCTAATCTAAATATCCAGCGCTTGGCGTTAAACCTTACAGACTGCAATAGACAGCAAATGTAAATTTAACAAGGCCTTTCTGAAGATATAATGCCTGAAATTTAATGCTAATAGGAGAGTTTTCATATTCTGAGGAATTTTTGTGGGGCAGCTCTCTGGGGGACAAGCATACAGCTTGTCCAATAAAAGCCTTTCAGGCGACTTCCTTCAATAAAAGCCACATTAGCTCTCAAAGAAATAATAATATAGGTGATTATTCATTTTTCAAACATGTCCTTGAACTTATCAGAACTGTACCTTTACAGAGGAATAGGAATGGGAATCTCATGTTAGATGGAAACCCTGCTTCTTACAGGTGACATAAAATGAAACACACCTATTTGAACATCATTTTTTTAAAACCTTATTTTGTTTCTTCGATGTTTTTATTGAAGCTGAAAAGCTTTTTCTGAGCAGTAAGTGACCTTGACGAAAACTGGCTTTGCTCTACAGATATTTTAAAGTTATAATGGTCAGATGGACACGCCTGATTGATACTGTTTTCACACCCAATTCTCTACTGTTTATTTTAATGTGCATAACTTGCTTGCATTAGCTTGTGCGGACTCTAACTGACAGTGGAGCATTCTGCAGTGATTTTTTTTATGGCAGTCTTCATACAAAAGTACTTTATAGTATGGTTTGAGCCAAGTTTGTACACTAAAAACTAAAAGGACAGTTAATGGGTGCAGCACACCAACATGGCACATGTGTATATATATGTAACAAACCTGCACATTGTGCACAAGTACCCTAAAACTTAAAGTATAATAATAAAAAAAACTAAAAGGACTGTTATTTTTTTCAAGATTGAACTGGAGGAAGACTCCAGGGCACTGCCCTTCCAATGCCAAGCAGTACACCCATCTACACTCTGTCATCATTATATGTAAACATCATTTAATGAGTGCTTTCATGGAAAATCGCGTGAAGAATGTGGAAGAATTCTTTTTTCCTTTTATGTTTTCACAGAATGTAAGGGCATAGGAGGTTTTGCCACCTCAAATATGGTCTTGTTTTTGCCGGCTTATTGATTTAGGAATGAAAGAATAACCTGGTTTGGGGTGTGGATTTCTAAGCATTTGATCTTTTGTTGAAATACCATTCTTATTTCATGATGTTCAAGTATTTTGACAGCTTCTTGTTAATGAGGGTACTGGAATGAGGTGGGGTGGGGATCAGGACTAAGCAGCATATCAGAGGGTATATTTGCCTTTTCTATACAATCTCAAAGTAGACTCTTGTTCTCAGATTAATTTTCTTTCTAGAGGAGGAAATACATTTGAATTTCCCACAGTATAGTTAAAGAACTTCTGTTTCATATGCAAAGTATAGCACAGAACTTAAAATAAAAATTTCCATTTGTATGCTTATGCATCGAAGTATGCAAAGACTGGTTCAATAGCTAACAGAACTAACAATAAATGCCTTTTTCAAAGGGTTACCCATTGGAGCTAGGCTATTAAAAGAATTGTGTTCTACTGCCAAGTATCTGAGCTTGCCTAAACATGCTACACTAGCTGTGAATCATTTTAGTAATAATGATGTATAGCAGAAAATTGTAATATATATAAGGAGCTTTAAGGGACTTTTTCCTCGAAATGCTCTCTAATGTAATACATTGGCCTACAGCATAGCCAGTATTATCAGAAAGGTAACAAAAGAAGAGAGGCAATGTATATTCTTTCACAGGAAGCTAGCCACTCAAAGAGTAAAACAGGCTCATGTTTTAATGTTGGTGATTGCTGGTTAGGATGTTTACTTCTGGAGAGAATCTTCAGATTGTCTCTGGTACAAGAACAGAGATCCATAAACTGGTAGCATTTAAATCACAGGTTAAAACTCCTTCATTCTCTGAAAATGTTCTAAAATTGGATTGTGGTAATAATTATACAATTCCTGTCCCATTATGTACAGAAAGAACATTTAAATCATTCATTCAAAAAATGAAATGAAAAATTGCAATCAGGAAAATTCTCTCAGTATCATGAGACATATTGTGAACCAATATCTGCCTCTTTTTTTCATGTCCAACAGTTTCTTTGTGGGAATCCAAATGAGAGAAAAGAGCATGTTGGTACCAGACACCTTGAAAGATAATTATTGGGCTATTTTGGATACTCTTACTTAGTTAAGCTCTGTTTATAACATTTTAGGAATTATCCAATAAAAATAAATACCCCCCACTTAGCAAAATACAGATTGGACATATTGGAAAGATTATCCCGTATTTAGTGCTAGGAGATGTGTGGATGGCATATTCCTCCTCTCTTCTTGAAGCCATTTCCCTCTGCTTTGTTCAGTCCGACCTCTGCCCAAGTCACATTCCCCTAACCCCTATTGCTGTCATACCATGCTTTCCCTCTCTTTTTGGCCATCTCTCTTCAGGCCAGTTTTCCCTCTAACCTTCAAGATGCCAAATATTCTTTGCTGCCTTCTCCTAGCTTGAACTATTTGCTAGGGAGTTCTCCTCCCTATGGTAAAAATAAGGACATCTCACTCTTCAGGGCCACAGTATCTCTATTTTATGAGAGGATAACTATAAGTTTGGTGGGATATAGTTTCTGGACCTGCTCCCAGCTTTGATCTTTGCCATGAATAACTTCTTTTGAACACGTGTGACAACTTGATTCTCAAAACAACAACCCTGAGAAGTGGTTATGATTGTTATTCCCATCTTAGCCCTGGGGAAACTGAGATCTAGATATATCATATAACTTTCCCGAGGCCACACAAACTAAGACGTAGCCAGGATCCAAGCCAAAAGGTTTGATACAGAATCCATTCTCCAACCTGTTATTCTATGCTACCTCTTTGAAATAACATTTATGGACTCCCTACTATGGGCTGTCATTGTACTAAGTAACTTAATACAATCTCTCATTTAATTGTTAAAACTGCCCTATAATATTAATATCAATATTTTTGGTCAGTTTTTTTTTCTGTAAAGTGAGGCTAAAATACTAGTAACCTCATGTTGCCTCAGTACTTCATCATGTCTGTATTATAACACATTATATTTAATAACATTGTATTCCTCAACTAGAAAGTAAGCTCACTGAGAATTTGTCTTACTCACCTTTGCATTCCAAGTACAAAGTATGCAGTCTGGCACCTAGTAGGCATTTATAAAATATTTGAGGAATGAATACATGCTTCCTTAATATGGTAAATGAGACAGTGTGTGATAGTGCCATCCAAACTTCATTGTTATGCAAATGCTATATATGATTAATAATAATCACCCATCTAACTATGCTTAATAGGAAGTAAGATACTCTCCTTTACTGGGTGAGATCTGCATTTTTACAGTGGTTTCTTGAATCATTGCCCTTGTCTGTGCTTCCTGGAAGACCAAAGGTAGACTGTTTTCTGAATATTTCCAGGGAAAGAGAAAACCACCTTCTTTTGAAGTTCTATACCCTATTTAAAAATCTAACCCTAATCTAAACATTAGATTATCTCTAATTTTATGTTTAAAAATTTTAAGCCTCCCAGTTACAAATGCCAGTAATGTGCTGTCTTTATCTACAGAATAAGCATCATGAATAAAGCGCAAATGTATTGTAGAGAGCTGGAAGAGCCTCAGACACCAGGCAAGTAAATCAAAACAAAGTATTGTTAATGATTACCCTGGATACTTTAAGAAGAATGTAGAAGATCAATAGATCTACAGAACATTAATCCTTCTAGAAAATGTGAGCATCCTAGATTTTATTTGTTTAAGATTGATACAATTGAGTTATATTTTTGTGAGCCTAATGGAAGAGAATCATGTCATCTCTCAGGAAAGCAATCCTCTCAGCTGTGCTGACCAAGGTTCCTCTAATTCTTTCAACCAATGAAGTAGTTGATATATTCTTGTAAACTTTCTGCGGGCAATTTGTCCATTATTGGGCCTGAACTTGAACAGTTGGAGAAAGAAAGAAAAATTAAACAACTCCTCTTACATCAAAATAATATAACTGAGTCTCGTTTTAATAAAATCCTAGAGCACATCCTAGAGTCACCTAGCAAGTAACAGGTACTCAATAAATGCTCTTCTAGTAAATGGATGAAAATCTAAATTTGTGAAAAAGATCAATAAAACTGTGATCATTTACACTCCCAAAAGACTTATCTGCTCATTTGGTTTAGAATGCCGACTTTAAATGTGGATCTTTTCACTAGTATTACGGAATAAGAATGTGAGCTTTTTCTTTTGAAGTTACTTAGTCCTTTTCCCCATCTACAGGGTTATACTTATCACCTCAGCAGCTTATCACTTTATCTATCATGCATATGAAGAGAGGGCTTCTAGTTCCTGAATTTTCATAAGTACCAATACCTAATTTAAAAAAATAAAAATCTGCTGGACCACCATGATATATAGATTTAAAATGTGCTTTAATGTATTATGACTTAGCATACGTAGCTTTCCCTCCAACATCTGTATCCTGATTTGTAGTCTAATAAACCTTCCTGCTGCAGATGGCACGTTCATAGTTGTTCTGAGGTGTAATACATCAACATAGCATTTCTAAACAGAGAGCAATAATGAATTCAATTAGGGGAGGAAATAAAACATCGAGCCTTTTCTTATAATAAATCTTTTACTAAGCTTCCCACATCACATGTTTGCTGAGGAAATAATACATGTCATTCAGATTAAGGGTTATTGTAGACTGCTGAGGGAAACATGAAATTCTGGAGGTTTCAGCAGTCCTGTGAAACCCTGAAACATGGAAAGTGTACAAATTAGAAAAGGATGTAATATGTGACTAATGATACCTCTTGGGATACCTTTGGAAACCATATTTACTGTTATGATCACTAGATTCATTTAAGCTACAGGAGTTGAAAAGCAATACCCTAGTAAGTGAAAAACACCTCTGAGTTCATTAGATGTGGTTGTAATTTAAGCTCTAAAGGCCTTTTTCCTTGCTGTCATTCTTTATATTTCTGGAAATGTGGTACTTGAACTCCTAATAAAAGTAGTCTACATCATGTTCATATAATCTACAGTTCCTGGAAAGCACATTTACACCTCCACATCTGTAGCTAAAGCTGGGACAGAACAGAAACTTAATTCACCCCAGATGTCACCCACTAGAAGTTCTGGAGTAGGGCTGCTGTTCTTAGAATTTTCTATCCACTGATTATGTCTCAAGCAATGGTTTAAATATTCAACCCAGAGTCTCCAAGCCCAAATGTTGTAAACTGTTTCCATATACTATGCCAAGTGCAAAATTAATTGAATTCCACAAAGTTAATCCCCAATCCTGTTCCTTCATTTGTGGAAGGAAATAATGGCTATTTTGACATTATTTAGACAGATAATTCCAAGTCCTTTTGTCATAAGCATCTGAAAAAGAAATTTTGTTCTTCTGGCTTGGTAAGGTATCAGTCCATACTGCTTATAAAAAGATTACATGACAATTTCTTTGGAAAAAAAAAAGGTATATGTATATCATTTGGGCTGCTGATCACCAGCATAGCATGTGATGAATCAACATAATCAGACAGTCAATTTCTGTCTAATGATATTCTTAATCTGCAATAATATTCTTCGTTCTTTAGCTTTGAATTCTTCTACTCCTCAGTTGGTATGGAATCAGTGTTCCCATCCCCAGGTCATATACTTGATTGGAGGGGCTTTAACGGACAAAATAAGATCAGTGCTTTAACCATAGGCTTCTCCACAGTGAGCAGAAATCGAGGCGGGTACACCTTCATTCACACTCTAACCTATTTATAGTTTTTAGTTTTGCCTCTTAAATTCATGTATTTCTTGGCGTCTTGCTTAGAGTCACCTTTTTGACACATGAGTCCTGCCAGGTATGTGGGTTAGTGAGTCTGTACAATTTCTCAGGAGGCCTTGGTGATGCTGCAGCTTCTTAGTTGTAGTTCCAGGAAGGCTGCTGCAAGCACATTGCGCCTTATGAATACTGGAGCTTTCTCTAGAGAGAAACCATTTGTTGCTATGTCAGGTCAGATACAGAAGCCAGATTATCTAGGCTCAGTTGGTATAACTACTCATAAGAATTACTACTTATTAAGAATATCCTCAAGATTTATTAAGGGAACAATGTAAAAATGGCCATGTGAAAATAGTTTTGCGTTTTTGCAAAATTCCTGTTAAAGGCATTGCGCATCGTGTATTTAATAATAAATCTGAGGCCAGGCGCAGTGGCTCACACCTGTAATCCCAGCACTTTGGGAGGCCGAGGCAGGTAGATCACAAGGTCAGGAGTTCAAGACCAGCCTGGCCAAGATGGTGAAACCCCCATCTCTACTAAAAATACAAAAATTAGCCAGGTGTGGTGGCGGGCGCCTGTAATCCCAGTTACTCCAGAGGCTGAGGCAGGAGAATCGCTTGAACCCAAGTGGCAGAGGTTGCAGTGAGCAGAGATCGCGCCACTGCACTCCAGCCTGGGTGACAGAGCAAGACTCTGTCTCAAAAAAAATAAAAAATAAAATAAATCCGAGACTCATCCGCCCGACAAATTCCTCTCAAAATATGTCTCCTGAAAACCTGATGTGTATTTCTCTGTTAAACATTGAGATCTGTGAAACCCTTTGAATTCTCCCTTCTGTATTGACTAAAAGTTAGAGCTAAACTTCATGCTTAATGGTACTAATAATTTTATTCTAGTTTCCTGATATACATTTTCTTTCTCCTTCCTCTGTGGTGGTCTGTGGAATGGTGTTGGTGGTCTCTGAATGCCTGAGTTAGTATACAAAAGTGTGTGTTATGTGTTTTGTTTGTTTGTATATACTTATTTGCATTTTCTGGGGAAAGAGCACAAAGTTTTCATCAGATTCTCAAAGGGATGCATTATCTCCCCAAATTTAAGGACTATAATACTATCTGGTGTTTTATATTTCTGATCTCACCTTTAACTGTTCTGTCTTTATAACAATTATGTTTGCATTATAAACAACCTAAATCCTTTTTCTTTTTTTTTCTTTTTTTTCTTTTTTTGAGACAGAGTCTTGCTCTGTCGCCCAGGCTGGAGTGCAGTGGCATGATCTCAGCTTACTGCAAGCTTGGCCTCCCAGGTTCATGCCATTCTCCTGCCTCAGCCTCCCTAGTAGCTGGGACTACAGGCACCCGCCACCACTCCTGGCTAATTTTTTGTATTTTTAGTAGAGACAGGCTTTCACTGTGTTAGCCAGGATGGTGTCGATCTCCTGACCTTGTGCTCCACCTGCCTTGGCCTCCCAAAGTGCTGGGATTACAGGCGTGAGCCACCGTGCCCGGCCCCTAAATCCTTTTTCATGGGGAGAGAGGGAAGGAAAAGCTAGATGGCAGTAAAAATTAAACAAATACAAATACAACAGCATATTTTATTGTCAAGTACTCAGTCTGTTAGTAGGTATGATTTTGGGGGGCTTTCTCCCCACTAGAAATAATGGACTACATCGGTATGGTATACATCTATATGAAAATGTAATCTGATGTCTTTTAATTTTTTTTCCTGGCTTAAGAAAAAAAAAATTATCTAGACAGGTCTATCTAGAAGGTCTCCTATATGAAGCATCTCCTAAATACTATAGGGAGATTATGTACATAGAAAATTCCTTTACCATGTGACATTGATATACATATTGACTTGGGAAGGAAAAACTCCACTGTGTTGTACTTTTTTCTTTTTTTTTTTTTGAGGCTGAGTCTCACTGTGTTGCCCAGGCTGGACTGCGGTAGCGCCATCTCCGCTTACTGCAACCTCCGCCTCCCGAGTTCAAGTGATTCCCCCACTTCAGTCTCTCAAGTAGCTGGGGTTACAGGTGCCCACCACCACCCTTGGTGATTTTTTGAATTTTTAGTAGAGTCTGGGTTTCAGCATGTTGACCAGGCTGATCTCGAACTCTTGACTTCAGGTGATCTGCCTGCCTCAGCCTCCCAAAGTGCTGGTATTACAGGTGTGAGCCACCGTGCCTGGCCTGTGTTGTACATATTAATGTGAGATTTTAAAGACAACTCCACAGGACTTGCCTTGCTAATTTGGAATCTTGTTCAGAGAAAAAGACTTGATGAGAAAGGATCTCAGGAGATCAAATAGTAACACCATACCATTGGAGGAGCAGATATATTGCCCCTTAGAATAAAATATCTTCTATCTTGATTTTTCAAAATAATTTTTTATGAACATATTGTGAATTACACAGGACACCAACTCTGCTGCTTTGGGAGCAAAAAGACAGAGCTGACAGATGTAGATATTTGCCAGGAACAACCATGTGAATTTATAAATATTTTACAAGTGCAGCTTTCAGAAGAGTGACTTTTACTGCCGTATTAATGCAACTTGCAAATTTATAGTCTGGGCACTTGTGGGTTATGAATGTCCAGTATTCAAGGCTAGTGCCAAGAACATAGTTTATGTTTTGAAATTCTTTTTTTCTCTGATTACAGACTTCTTGGCTGTTAAGATCTACATTATAATTCAGCTGCACATGAGGTGCAAGGCTACATAATACATCAGTTTCCACTCCCAATGGCTAGACTCATAAATATACTCATTACAACACACTTCATGTGACAGAATGACATACAAAGCATAAAAATATCTCTATAGAGTAGAGAACTAGTGGTAGTAGAAGCAACAGTAGCATGATTCCATGCCTCTGGCCAGACCCATAATATGTGACCTAATATTATAATTATTTGTCATAATATAAAGAAAATTTGAATCATACGTTTTTAGAAATAATATCTTAGTATATATTAGATCAACACACTCATGAGTGTTGTCATATGTATTGAAGGCTACACTACTGAAAAGAATTTAGTTACTCTAATCTTTTGGCAGGGAGATTATGGAGGAAGAAGCACCACTGCAACTCTTTCCTTGTAAGTTTCTAAGTTGCTTTTCCACTGATTGTGCCCAAAGTAAAAGAGTCTTTCTAGCATTCCAGGCTCTGGAGAAAGAGAGCAGATTTATCTGGGCTTGAGCAAAAAACAGCCTGGGGTGAAATCTTAAAGGTGACCAGACTTTGGTCACATGTCAGAGGGTTCTCCTTTTTCAAGATGTTATTATGACCTAGGCAGAATTGTTGCTGTTGAAGAAAGTTAGCACTGTTGCCCAACCTTTCTGCCTTCCATTAAGTAGCTCTGTTACCTTGTACACATCACTTCTCAGGTTCATAGTTCCTCTTCACTGAAATGTTGAAGTTGTGCCATATGATTGCAAAATTCTTTCCAGCTGTAATTTTTTTTTCTAATGCATGTGTGCCAACATATGCAGATATTGATTAACAATACATTATAATCTTCAATATTAGTTATTTTATCAGTGTGCACATTTTCATTCTCTGAAACCCATCAGTGGCAAAATGCTTCACTGTTTTACTCCCCAATGTCCACCATTTCTTGCTCTGTATTAAGATTGTGTATTATTCCTAATAATCATTGGGACCAGATGTGGTGGCTCATGCCTGTAATCTCCGTAATTTGGGAGGTCAAGGCAGGAGGATTCCTTGAGCCCAGGAGTTTGAGGCCAGCCTAGGCAACATGGCAAAACTCCATCTCTACAAAAAATACAAAAATTAGCCAGGCATGGTAATGCATGCCTGTTATCCCAGCTGAGGTGGGAGGATTGCTTGAGCCCAGGAGGTCAAGGCTGCAGTGAGCTGTGATCGAGCCATTGCACTCCAGCATGGGTGACAGAACAAGACCCTGTCTAAAAAAAAAAAAAAAGAGGTTATCAGGAGTGTAAACTTAAATAATGGGGAATCTTGTGTTCTTACAAAAAAATTTGTGATTAGTTCAGTGAGTAAAGCTTTTCCAAATTACCAAAGCTAAATAAATAAATAATCCTTGTTTATTCCAAGGCTTAATCCTACTGAGGCCCCCAACCTGATTCCTGATTAATCACGCAGCAGACAGCAGCTTCTTCTTCTTCTTCTTTTTTTTTTTTTTTGGAGACGGAGTCTTGCTGTCTTGCTGTGTCACCCAGGCTGGAGTGCAGTGGCGCGATCTCTGCTCACTGCAACCTCCGCCTCCCGGGTTCAAGTGATTCTTCTGCTTCAGCCTCCCGAGTAGCTGGGAATACAGGCATGCTCCACCATGCCCGGCTAATTTTTGTACTTTCAGTAGAGATGGGGTTTCACCATGTTGGCCAAGCTGGTCTCCAACTCCTGACCTCATGATCCACCCACCTCTGCCTCCCCAAGTGCTGGGATTACAGGCATGAACCACCATGCCTGGCCAGCAAACTGCTTCTTATTAGCTGACCTTATACATTTCAATGAAACAGACTGTGAAAAATGACACATACACACAGATCCCAGGCAGTAATTATATTAAAAAATACTTTGTTAATTGTTTTACAGGCACCATTAGCCTTAAGAATAAAATTCCGTCAACAGCAAATCCTTTTTCTTTCATTTGCTTCTAATCTAAGGGATAAACATAGTCAAATGCTGTTATTGTTACCCAGGAAAATTTCAGCTTTAAAACTGATTGAATCCATTTTTTTTTATCTTATTATCTTAGAACATAGCAATTTTAAAGAACACAGGTAGAATGATAGCAGTCCATGATCCAGACAGTGTCATATATCCCTTGTTTGTTTTCTTTCTTTTCTCTTTATCTTTATCCTGAAATTTCCTTTCTGTTCTACTGTGAAAGTAAAAATCTGAAAGGAAAATAATTACCTATTGATACTCTTCTAACACAGCCACATGTTCACGTGATAAATGAAACATTACCACACAAAACTGCTAAAATGACATTCTTATTGGAGGTCCAATTTACTTAATTTTATGTCTTCCAACTGTTAAGACAAGGGTCACTCATTCTGTAAAATTAATGGCTGAAATAAATTTAGAATTTAAAAAGCATAAGGAAAATATTTCTTTGCCCAATGTATGGCCAACCTGTGGAATTTATTAGCCTGGGAGGTCATAGATTCAGTCAAGAGATGAATTAGAAAAGCTAGATAATTGTATGACCAGTCATAATACTGTTAGTTATGAATACTAACAAAAGGTACTAATAGAATCTCATGCTTCAGGGTACAAGCTGATCTCCGCTCACTAGGAGCTTTGAAGGACTTCTCTTATTTCCTTATGATGCTCCTCTGAGCAAGTGGCTGGATTCACATTGAGGTTTTACCTCTTTTTGAAAGTAACTACTATTGGGAACAGGATACCACATTTAGGTCACATTGGGGTTTTGTTGTTGTTGTTTGTGCAACAGCATCTTGCTCTGTCACCCAGGCTGGAATGCGGTGGGGCGATCATGACTCACTGCAGCCTTGACCTCCTAGGCTGAAGTGATCTTCCTGCTTCAGCCTCCTGAAGTGCTGGGATTACAGGCATGAGCCACTATGCCTGGCCTGTGTTTTTTGTTTTTTGGCAATGAAAACCACAAATGTCTGCTAATACGATACAAAAAGAGCAATGAAATGATACGTGAGTTTAAACTTTTTAAAGAGTTTATTCATTAATTCAATAAATATTTATTGAGGGCCTATCATGAACCTATCACTGTCCTAGGTGTTTGGAATACAACAAGGAGAAAAACAGAGAAAAATCCTTGCTTTCATGAAAATCCCCCCCATTATTTTGTTCCAAGGTATCAGTATTGAAGTTTATGATCTTGTGATCTGCAGTTAGTTTAGAAGTGGATAAGGTGCAGCATTTCAGGTGCAGCTCCTCTTGAAGCTATCTGCCCCCATACCCTACTTAAAATAGAGCGACAAATACTCTCATTTAAAGAAGGGAAGAAATGAGAGATATGTAACAGTTAGTAGTCCATAAAAATTCTGAAGTCTAGCTTGTCAGATGTTGCTGGGGTCCCTCTATTCAAGAAGCAGAGAACGTTTTTTGATTAGGCTTCAGTTCTTCCAAGGCTCAATTCTATAACTTACTGTCCTCTGATGTTCTTCTCAGAGGAAGGAGGTTTGTTGTACTATGGGCTCTTTTCTCTACCCTCTGAGACACTCTTAGTTTTCAATAAAAAATAGCTCATATTTGCAGGTGGGTGGCTTTCTTAGCCTGCTCTCTGTATGTGAAAATTTGGAGGCCCAGAGAAATCTTCTCATTTTGAACTTTTTTTTTTGTCCAAGCTTGCAGGGATTTTTATCAGTCTAACTCTTTTAAAAACTTTTTGGAACTTTGTGGACCTCCTATGAATATGGTTTGGGCCTATTCCATGCCCTAAAGACCACATCACTAATTATTTTTGAGAAAGTCACTCTCATCTTTGGGCCGTATACCAGGCTGCTGTGATACATCCTTAAGATTGTAGGCACCACCGACTGGGCGTGGTGGCTCACGCCTGTAATCCCAGCACTCTGGGAGGCTGAAGTGGGCAGATCACGAAATCAAGAGATCGAGACCATTCTGGCCAACATGGTGAAACCCCATCTCTACTAAAAATACAAAAATTAGCTGGGCGTGGTGGCCTCCCAAGTAGTCCCAGCTACTTGGGAAGCTGAGGCAGGAGAATCGCTTGATCCCGAGAGGTGGAGGTTGCAATGAGCCGAGATCGCACCACTGCACTCCAGCCTGGCTACAGAGCAAGACCCCATCTCAAAAAAAAAAAAAAAAAGATTCTAGGCACCACCTTACACCATTCAGTTGTTTAACAAGGGGCCTTTCAGCCACACCCTTGATCTGGATTTTCACTGTGAAGTCATTTCCTTTCTTTTTTTTTTTTTTTTTTTTTTTTTTGAGACAGGGTCTTGCTCTGTTGCCAAGACAGGAGTGCAGTGCCATGATCATAGCTCACTGTAACCTCAAATTCCTGGCCTCAAATGATCATCTCACCTTGGCTTCCCAAAGTGCTGGGATTACAGGCATGAGCCACTACACCCAGCCAGTCATTTATTACTTTGAGAATCTTTTAATGGCTAGAGAGACCAGAAATATGAAGGGTCTTTCCCCCAGCTCTCAAGTCCTGGCTCCTTTATATTGCTTATGAACTCTGCAGGAAAACTGCACAGTTCTTTCTTTAGCTCTCTCTTGTTTTTGTATGTTATCTTATACAATTAAAAAACATCTATTCCTTCAATATTTTGCCTGGGAATCTCCTTAGCTGATTCTCTAATCCACTGGGTAAATTCCCTTCCCCTTCCCCTTCCCCTTCCCCTTCCCCTTCCCCTCCCCTCCCCTTCCCCTCCGTTCCCCTCCCTTCCCCTCCCCTTTCTTTTCTTTCTTTCTTTCTTTCTTTCTTTCTTTCTTTCTTTCTTTCTTTCTTTCTTTCTTTCTTTCTTTCTTTCTTTTTCTTTCTTTCTTTCTCTTTCTTCTTTCTTTCTCTCTTTCTCTCTTTTTATTTTTTTTTCCTTTAGAGTCTCATTCTGTTGCCCAGGCTGGGGTGCAGTGGCACGATCTCGGCTCACTGCAAACTCCACCTCTCGGGTTCAAGCGATTCTCCTGCCTCAGCCTCCTGAGGAGCTGGGATTACAGGCACCCGCCATCACGCCTGGCTAATTTTTGTATTTTTTCAGTAGAGATGGGGTTTCACCATGTTGGCTAGGTTGGTCTCCAACTCCTGACCTCAGCTGATCTGCCTGCCTCGGCCTCCCAAAGTGCTGGGATGACAGGTGTGAACCACCATACCTGGCCCATCGGGTAAATTTTCTATCTTCCATATTATCATAGGCAACAGTTTTGCTATTGTTGCACTACTATATAATACAGATTGCCATTTTTCCTGAGTGCTATAGCAGTTTCTTACCACTTTTCTTGCTCCTAACAATTTATTCTCTATTTTCTCAATTTTGGCTAACAGTTTTCCTGTCACTTGTCCAGCCTCTATCCATCACCTTGTCCCAAAGCTAATGCTACATATTTCAGGTTGCTGTAACAGCAGCACTTCAGTCCTAGTACCATTTTCTTTATCAGTTAGCTTTTGCACCATAATAAACTATCCAAAGCTTTGTGAATTATAATAATATCTATTATTTCTCACAGTTTTGTGGGTTGACTGTGTATTTCTTCCATCAAAAAAGATAGCTAGATTGTCTAGGATGGTTCCACACATGTCTGGTGATTGTTCTATGTCTGGTGAAGTGATAGCCATGTATCTATCATCATTAGTAGGGCTAGTTCAGGCTCATCCATATGGTACAAACTCATAGTGCACAAAGTCATCGTGGTACAAAGTCACATATGCAAATTTGTGGGCCACCTTTCACAGTCTACCACAATTCTTTTCTTTTCACTTCAGTTTTGCTTATCTTCTTTATTCTAGTACTGAGGGGAATTCACTTTATTAACAGCTTGATTGGTTACCTTACCAATCATTGACTTTCTTATTATGCTACCTAATCAAGACTGTGTGAAGATTTACTAATACTGTGCATTTGGCATAATAGTTGTTCATGACTTCATCAAACTATGTTTCTTTGGATCTTTATGGTGAGTTTAACTCTTCCTTTTATTTGAGAATTCCATACTCAAAATCATTGAGTATAGAATTATTAGTCTTGGAATTAAGTCTTAGTCTTAGTTCTTAGCCTTCATTATTTGAGTTCTAGTTGAGTTAAAACTGTTATACTTTGAGGGGCATGGTTTACCACTCACAAGCTTTTATACTCCTTTCTTTATTATTACAGAACTGATATTTTCCATAAGATTGATCTTGCCATTAAGATGAATACTGAATACAACTATGAACTTGAAGAATTGACTATAGTAGAGTGAATGAAATTTCAAATTATATATATATATAATGTGTGTGTGTACATATATATATGTATATGTACACACACACACACACACACACACATATATACATATATATGTTCTGTTTTCTCTGCACTGGGAGTAGCAGTTCCAGAGGAGAAGGGAGTTTGAGAGAGATCAATTTTGGGAGTGGGAAATGGAATTATATTTTGAGGAAAGTATCTCCTTAAGGCTTTTGCATTCTTAAATCTGTCAGAGGAGCCATTTATTCTCTCATAAATCTGTAATGATACACAGTTGCACATAATGGTTTGTAATTTCCTTTGGTCAGCAAAGAGAAAAATGAAAGAAGTAAACAAGTACATGAACCCAGTAATGTCCACCCAATATTTCATAATAGCCCCCGAGATGGTAAACCTAAATGATCTTGCTTGCTGAAAATCATGGCAATATTTGAGAGGATGAGTTTCCAGTCATAAATGGAACACAAATAATGAGATGATTTCTTCTGCCCTGAATAACCTGAAATATTAGCTACAATTTCCTTCAACTTGTGAGCCTTCTGCATTCATACAGCCCTGTAATAGAGTACTCAGTGTCAATGCCCATTTCCTATACTGATCATATAAAAAAACTTAACATGTTTATAAACTGAAAGCTTCAACCAAAAGTTTGACATTGTTTCACTGAACTCTCAAATTCATATCTTATCATTTCAAGATAACTTTTCTATGTTCCTCCCTCAAAAATGAAGAGTTTATGTTAGAATAAATAAATTTTATACAAAAGTGTCTGTTGAAACCAAGATGTATTTTTATATCCATGTTATTATTAAGAATGATATGTAAAAAAATCAACCTAACTACCTGAAGAAATTATTTTGTTAAGTAGTTACTAGGACTGATGTATGATAAACTCACTATCATCTGAAGGGTAAACTATTTACTCATTTTCCATGAGCAGTTTACAGCCAGTAAGAGGTTTTTTTGACTTCATATCAGATACGTGAATACTACCAACATTCCTTGAATGCCTGATGCCTCTGATCTAGAATACTTAAATTTCCTTCTTACTGATGTTTCTTTTTTTCTTTCTTTCTTTCCTTCCCTTCCTTCCTTCCTTCTTTGTTTCCCTTTTTTTTTTTTTTTTTTGGCAGAGACAGGGTTTTGTTCCATCACTCAGGCTGGAATGTAGTAGTGTGATCATAGCTCGCAGTAACCTTGAACTCCTGGGCTTAAGCATTTCTCCCACCTCAGCTTCTCAAAGTAGCTAGGACTATAGGCATGCACCACCATGCCCGGCTAATTTTTTTTTCTTTTTTTTGAGTGACACAGGTCTTGCTATGTTGCCCAGGCTGGTCTTGAACTCCTAGCTTCAAGTGATCCTTCCTCCTCAGCCTCCCAAAATTCTGGGATTACAGGCACGAGTCACAGTGTCTGGCCTTGATCTTTCTTACTTTATTTTTTGACTACCACCAAACCATTTCATGTATTGCTATCAGAATAGTTTTTCTTAAGCTGTCATTATTGCTTATGGAATAAAGCCCAAATTTCCTATTTGGCGTTCAGACTCTCTATTAGCAGGTATAAATCCATCTATTTTCACCTTTATCTTAATGTAATAATTTCAGAAATAAGGTTAACCCTAGCTCAGCTATAAAGTTTTTTTGTTTTGTCTAGAGCTGACTGATGCTTGTTTACTGAAGGTGCTGAGCACTTTACCTAACATAAGGAAAAAATAGACTCATTTTAAGTAGGCAAAGTCATGCAATCAGGTTTTTTGTTGTTTTTTTTAAATTTTTTTTTATTATTATACTTTAAGTTTTAGGGCACATGTGCACAATGTGCAGGTTAGTTACATATGTATACATGTGCCATGCTGGTGCACTGCACCCACTAACTCGTCATCTAGCATTAGGTATATCTCCCAATGCTATCCCTCCCCCCTCCCCCCACCCCACAACAGTACCCAGAGTGTGATGTTCCCCTTCCTGTGTCCATGTGTTCTCATTGTTCACTTCCCACCTATGAGTGAGAATATGTGGTGTTTGGTTTTTTGTTCTTGCGATAGTTTACTGAGAATGATGATTTCCAATTTCATCCATGTCCCTACAAAGGACATGATCTCATCATTTTTTATGGCTGCATAGTATTCCATGGTGTATATGTGCCACATTTTCTTAATCCAGTCTATCATTGTTGGACATTTGGGTTGGTTCCAAGTCTTTGCTATTGTGAATAGTGCCGCAATAAACATATGTGTGCATGTGTCTTTATAGCAGCATGATTTATAGTCCTTTGGGTATATACCCAATAATGGGATGGCTGGGTCAAATGGTATTTCTAGTTCTAGATCCCTGAGGAATCGCCACACTGACATCCACAATGGTTGAACTAGTTTACAGTCCCACCAACAGTGTAAAAGTGTTCCTATTTCTCCACATCCTCTCCAGCACCTGTTGTTTCCTGACTTTTTAATGATTGCCATTTGGTTTTGATTTGCATTTCTCTGATGGCCAGTGATGGTGAGCATTTTTTCATGTGTTTTTTGGCTGCATAAATGTCTTCTTTTGAGAAGTGTCTGTTCATGTCCTTCGCCCACTTTTTGATGGGGTTTTTTTTTCTTGTAAATTTGTTTGAGTTCATTGTAGATTCTGGATATTAGCCCTTTGTCAGATGAGTAGGTTGCAAAAATTTTCTCCCATTTTGTGGGTTGCCTGTTCACTCTGATGGTAGTTTCTTTTGCTGTGCAGAAGCTCTTTAGTTTAATTAGATCCCATTTGTCAATGTTGTCTTTTGTTGCCATTGCTTTTGGTGTTTTAGACATGAAGTCCTTGCCCATGCGTATGTCCTGAATGGTATTGCCTAGGTTTTCTTCTAGGGTTTTTATGGTTTTAGGTCTAATGTTTAAGTCTTTAATCCATCTTGAATTTATTTTTGTATAAGGTGTAAGGAAGGGATCCAGTTTCAGCTTTCTACATATGGCTAGCCAGTTTTCCCAGCACCATTTATTAAATAGGGAATCCTTTCCCCATTGCTTGTTTTTCTCAGGTTTGTCAAAGATCAGATAGTTGTAGATATGTGGTGTTATTTTGTTTTGTTTTGTTTTTGAGATGGAGTTTTGCTCTTGTCGCCCACACTGGAGTGTAGTGGCATAATCTAGGCTCACTGCAACCTCCACCTCCTGGGTTCGAGTGATTCTCCAGCCTCGGCCTCCTGAGTAGCTGAGATTACAGGCACCTGCCACCATGCCTGGTTAGTTTTTGTATTTTTAGTAGAGATGGGGTTTTTCCGTGTTGGCCAGGCTGGTCTCAAACTCCTGACCGCCCACCACAGCCTCCCAAAGTGCTAGGATCACAGGCGTGAGCCACTGAGCCCGGCTTCATCAGGCGTTTTGTTTCGTTTTGTTTTGTTTTTGTTTTTTTGAGATGGAGTTCTGCTCTTGTTGCCCAGGTTGGAGTGCAGTGGTGCCATCTTGGCTCACCACAACCTCCACCTCTCAGGTTCAAGCGATTCTCCTGCCTCAGCCTCCCAAATAGCTGGGATTACAGGCATGTGCCATCACACCTGGCTAATTTTGTATTTTTAGTAGAGATGGGATTTCTCCATGTTGGTCAGGATGGTCTCGAACTCCCAACCTCAGGTGATCCACCCATCTCGGCTTCCCAAAGTGTTGGGATTACAGGCGTGAGCCACTGTGCCCTGCTCATCAAGTTTTTAATGGGTCTGAGGATTCTGTATCATGTCAATCTGTAAGGCCTAGCACTGCTCAGGGCCTTCTCTGCAGTTTAGATTCAACAAATACCTATTAGGAGTTCATTATGTGTCAGACATTTTGCACGTAACATTATATTGTAATCCTCAAAACAGTCTTGTCAGGTTTTATCACAGTTCATATAATAGTATCACAATTTTTACATAAGGAATTTGAGCTCAGAGAAGGTAAAAAAATATACCCAAAGTTTCATGACTGCTCAGAGTGGAACCAGAATTTGAATAGCATTTTCCTGAATCTACAATCTATGTTCTTTTCCCTTTATCACAGCTGTGGCATAAATTCAACATTGTGCTGTTTTCGTTCATCCCAGAACCTTCCCATAGTTTTTTTAGGTGACCTTTGCACCAGGATGACCTTGGGAGGTAACAGCCCAATGAATGAATTTTTTAGAGTTACTGTGTTCCAGAGACTTCCTCTCATATATGGGAGGCTCTGGATTGTTCTTTCTCATGTGGTCAGGACTACATGTTGCATGATGACAAACAGATGCTTTCTTCTTGACACTATGTCTTGTCTGGGTATTTAAAGAGTGACAGTGATAATGAAGATTAACCTGCAGTAATGCTGCACATGTACTACTTTACGAGGTCAGAGTTCACAGTCTTCAGCGTATTCACTGATGTTGCTAATGATGCTGTAAGTAGAAATGAATACAGGCCATGCATTCAAAAGACATTCCTTATATTATCCTTTAAGTTAAGGATTTCTAAGACATTTGAGATATTCTACTGGGTTTTGGGTCTATAAGAATAATTGAAATAGACCTTGAAGTCTTTAGTTAATCGTAAAGGAGCCTTTTCCCACCTACCTCCCAAATAGTTGTATCTTTTCTCTTTCCTTTTCTTTTCTTTTTTTGGAGATGGAGTCTTGCACTGTAGCCCAGGCTGGAGTGCAGTGGCGCCATCTCGGCTCATGGCAACCTCCGCCTCCTGGGTTCAAGCAATTCTCCTGCTTCAGCCTTCCCAGTAGCTGGAACTACAGGTGTACGCAGCCACGCCTGGCTAATTTTTTGTATTTTTAGTAGAGATGGGGTTTCACTGTGTTGCCCAGGCTGGTCTCGAACTCCTGAGCTCCGGCAGTCCGCCTGCCTCGGCCTCCCAAAGTGCTAGGATTACAGGCGTGAACCACTGCGCCCGGCCCCAAATAGTTGTATCTTACAGGATAAAAATTTTGTGGAAGCTCTTTAAAAGTAAACAGAGAATGTTTGGTCATAGAAATATCAAATACTAATAAGGAACACCTAAGCACTTTAGGTGCATTGGAAAAATATTTAACTTGTTGAAGCCAAATTTCAAGTATATTGGACTTCTAGACTGTGGTTTGGTTTTAATTTTGTATTCCCAAGCCAAAAAAATTTTTTTTTTAAATAGGAAACTCTTTTTAATCTATATACTCCCTGAATTGTTTTTCTATATATTTTGATTATATGTCTCAAAAGCTGAAAAGGGCCTGAAATTGTATCCTATTTGCAAGCTAAGTTAGCCTGTCAGTTTCATGGGTGCTGGCAGAAGATATAATACTCCTGGGTTATATATACTCCTTGGTTATATAATAAACCAAGGACAGTTTATTACTTATAGCATTAACAGTAGACAGAATATCAGCATTTATACCAGCCCCTTAAACCTCAAATACTGCCTGGCAATGTAAAGAGGAGCAGGTGATATTTGCACATGCAACGGGGAGTATTATAAATGAAGAACCCTGAGTTCAGAGAACCCAAATCATTTATAATGGGCCATAAGCATGTCTGTCTTTTGCCCTAGGAGACACTGTCTCTATATTCCAGAGCTGAAGGCAAACTTGCCCTTTGCTTCAGAGCAAAACACTACCTGTACCACCCATAGATGATGGCTTGAAACAATAGTCTGGAACAGAGGCAGTCAATGTTTCTGCTTGTAAGACGTGCAGAAATGTGAGAGACCCATGGAGAATTATCTCCCAACATGCAATTTCTGGAGTCCCAAGAAACTTTGGGGAATGCTACCAACTTGACACGTTTAATAGAAATAGAAGACCAGTTATATCCTGTGGTTTCAGGGGTCCTGACCCTCAATTTAACTACATATCTTGTTTTACCATCATAACTTTGCTTCTTCGACTCAAGCTTTAGGTCTGCAAATGAGTCCCTTATCAAATTGCAGCTACTGCTGGAAATATTTCAAATTTATAACTTCATACTTTAGTATACAAAGGCTGGATATCATAGGAGAAGAATATTCCTGGGCTTGGAATTAGATATAGGCTGGAAGCCTAGCTCTGCCACTGACTATACTGATGTTCACTCTTTTGGATTATCAAATAATAAAAAACTAAGCCCCAGCTACTTGGGAGGCTGAGGCAGGAGGATTGTTTGATCCCAGGAGTTCGAGGCTGTCGGGAGCTGATTGCACCCCCTGCACTCCAGCCTGGGTGACAGAACAAGACCCCATCTCTAAAAACAAACAAACAAAAAATAAAAGAAAAGAAAACAAATTAACAAAAACTAGAAAACATGGAGAAATGCTATTAAATTTCTGAGAAAAAATACTTAGCAAAATAAAACTCTATACCTATCTAAATATGAGGGTAAATGTGTTTTCAGATATGTAAAGTCTCAACAAAGTTACTGCCCTTGTACCATTTTTTCAAGAAAGTGTGGGAAGATATGTTCCATTAAGATGAAGAAGTAAAATCAGAAAGAGGAAGTCATGGAATAGAAAAGACAAGGGATCTAATACAGGAGAGAGGCAAAGGATCTGGATCTTTGCCAGGATGCTGGCAAAGGAAAGCCCCATAATGGCAGATATCCAGCATCCTAGAAAACAGTCCAGAATTTAATAGAAGGACAGGAAAGTCCATATGGATGTCTCCAAGAAACAGATTAAGCTGATAGATTGCATGAAGTGTTTGACTATCTTGAGAAGAGTTTTCAGTCCAATGGAGCATTTGAGAATGAGTTTATGACAGCTATGTAGAAAATCAAGCAACCAAAAATAATAGACACAAATATAAACTCTTGGGAAATAAAGTTGTGTAAGAAATGTAATTACAATATACTCCAAAACTGAGATGTAAATAATGTTAATAGATTCATAGTTATATAAGCTTTAATTGTGGATTTAGCCCAAATGGATGCCATAATTATGTTGGAAAGATGGAGAAGGGGAAATATGTATGTGTTTTGGGTGTGTGTGTCAGGCGGGGGGTTATATTAAAAGAGGTAACCCATATTCCATAGAATGAAGTAAATTAAATAATGTTTAAAATTCAAAAATCAAGAAATAACTGTATAACCACATTATTAGAAAATGGATGTAAACATCAAAAGAAATAGCTAAAAAAAAATTAAAAGTGGTTACCATAAGGAATCAGGAATAGGAGCTGAAGGGGAGTTTGGCTTGGGGACTGCTTTTTTCTCATGTTTTATTTTTAAAATTATGTACATGTATTACTTTGATAAAAATAAAAATTAACTTTAAAATGTAATGCATTAATTGGCTCATTGCCAGTTAAATGTTTAGTAGAGATTAGTTGAAATTATAAATGGGATGATGCCTAGTGGAATGGAGGAGGCATATACCAAAGAACAGAAGGTAATGCTATTAGGAGAGGTGCAATTTATATTTCCAGCTCATTTACAATTTTTTTCTAGGTCCAACCTTAGCTACATCTTTGATCTCACATCATAAACTACGTTAGAGTATTAACCACATCTAGAAACTGTACTAAGTTGTTTGGGACACTGGAGTCTATATGGCAAGTCACTACTCCAGCACACTAAATGCTATCACCTCAGCCTCAGTGAGTTAACTCTTCTTCACTGAGTGCCTAATACAGTATCCAGGGGCTATCTTGAATTGCCGGAGGAATATTGCATTGTTTACACATAGCGGGTGGGAGATAGAGGAGAGAAAGCCGTTGCCTTCTTTCTTTCCTCCTTAAGTTTCTGTATGCCTGTAGAATTTAAATTACAAGTCTCTTGGGTAAAGATGATGCCCAATTCAACATTCTGAATTGCATCTAGCAATTGTTATTGCTCAATAAATATCGTAGTTGTAATGCTTGGAGGGCTGGGATGCTGTGGCTTAGACAAAACTTTTGCCAATGTGTGGAAATCAGCTCACACTGCCATTATATTTCTAGCTGACTCGCAAGTGTTGAGCCTGGGTTGGGCTGCTCATCATGTGATACTTTCATAGCTTCACTTCTCAGGACAGTTCAGCTAACATGGGTCTCAGAGCCCTGTTTCAGCTGCAGCTTCTTCTTTGTGGTTTATATGCAGTTTTTGTAATCTGCAGTAATGAGCTAAGGATCTGAATGCTAGGAAACAAAGGAGTAGTATAAGAAAACTATTAGACTTAAGAAAACCATATTAGAGTTCTCAAACTTCCACATCCTGTTTTCCATTTATTCATTAAAGAATATGGGCCGGGCGCGGTGGCTCACACCTGTAATCCCAGCGCTTTGGGAGGCCGAGGCGGGCGGATCATGAGGTCACGAGATCGAGACCATCCTGGCTAACACGGTGAAACCCCGTCTCTACTAAAAAAATACAAAAAAAAAAAAAAAAAAATTGCCGGCGTGATGGTGGGCGCCTGTAGTCCCAGCTACTCGGGAGGCTGAGGCAGGAGAATGGCGTGAACCCGGGAGGCGGAGCTTGCAGTTAGACACTGTGGATATGCAGAGCTACAAAGACATACTCCCACATCTCAAATATCACACTCTGGGGACTGTGGTGGGGTGGGGGCAGGGGGGAGGGATAGCACTGGGAGATATACCTAATGCTAGATGACGAGTTAGTGGGTGCAGCGCACCAGCATGGCACATGTATACATATGTAACTAACCTGCACAATGTGCACATGTACCCTAAAACATAAAGTATAATAAAAAAAAAAAGAACTTATAGTTTAGACAGAGAGTTAGAGTTCTAAATATTACCAGTATCAGGTAGAATGCTCTAAAAAGAGCATGATCTCTGGAGTCGGAGGATCTGGATTCAAATTCCCTAGTTTCTAGGGGCATGGCTTTAAATAAGTTACTTAATCTTATAGAAGCCCCTATGATACAGAATAATAATGATGATGATTCAGTGAGTTAATGCTTACTCAGCTAAGTATCTGGCACATAGTAAAGCCTTAAAAATAATAACATATTATATTTATTTTGTCATATTTGTTATACTATTGATACCACACAGAACAAATAAAATGTCATGGGAGCAAGGTGGAAAGAGTTCCTCCTGATGGTATTGGAATAAGATTAACTAAGGAAGTGGCAATTGAACTGAGCACAAGAACAGGATTTTTATCTTGTTGAAGAAGGAAGGGGATAGTAGTCCAGCGTTTTAGACTTGGAATAGTATGAACAACAACAAAAAGGCATGAATGGTTTTTACTCATTTAGGGGTCAGGTATGCTGGGGGTTTGTAGAAATAAATAATGCTGGAAAGTTAGATGAATCCAAAATAGGATACACCTTAAATGTTATAGGAAAGGAATTCAAATTTTATGCTGTTGGTAGAGAGAAGAGTTAGGAAGTTATTAGTTGTTACCTAGTCGAGAGGAAAGGAGGATGGTACTGTGGGCCCCTCCCTGGACACTGGAAATACAGGAAACACAGTAGATACCATCAAGTGACTGAGGTGGGTTGTCTTGGCATCAACTAATGTGGAACCCAAGAGGGAAGTCTGATTTACAAGGAAAATAATGATTTTTATTTTGGAATTTGGTGACTGTTTTAGCCCTTGAGTTTCTTAAAAATTTTTTCTCTCGAGAAAACATTTTAAAAAATCAATGGTTATATGAGAACTAAAGTTTTGTATCACTTCAGAGGCAATATCATGTGAATAATTTGACTTACAAGTAGCCTCCTAAGTGCCATACCAGGAAGTCATATAATATATAATAAATGTTATATGCTTTCAGCATAAGGAAACATTAGCAATATTAACATGCCAAATACTTTCTATAAACCATCAACATCCTGTCACACCTTAGCAGGAATTGTAGTATCTAAGGTATTGATTACTAATAATTTAGCAGGAAGAACATCTCTTCACATATGTGTTGATTTATCTTTGCACCTGCTTAAATTACCTCCAGTTGAAGGATTTTTACCAACTTATCTATAAGGCATGCATAAAAAGCCGTAATTGAGTATTCACATAATGCTAAATTTGGTTGAGAAGTCAGCAAATTGAATTGAAAACAAGATCTCCCTTTTGGGTAGCAGCACTTTTATTCTCCTCACCCACAGATGCTCCCTAAGATGTATCCCTGAATTCAGTAGATATTGTACGTGCCTCAAGCTAGAAGCAAGGGAAATAACAATTTGCCTACAAGTCTTTTTGACATTTATTATTACAGACCCAGTTGGGATGATTTCTGTTAACACCACCAGCTATGACCTTGAACTCAGAAGGTTATAGGAAGATTAGCTGGCCAGGAGATTGGATGAAGTGGTTTAGTGGAGCTGAGTGAAATGCATGTGCCTATTGTGAGGCATCTGCCTATAGCTTGAGTCAGTCCTCCAAGATTAAATGGGTATAAATAACAATAGAATATTTTCCCACTAGCTTGCAAAGCATCTTACTCTCCACACTCCTGATATTTCTAAGGTCAATGAGAAGACATGAGAGGCCCATGTCTAGTAATGTGAAATATCTTTTATTATAGGATTTCCCTGCTTGGGTCTTTCAAAACTAGAGTTACTGTAGAGTTGATCATTCATTCATTCATTTAATATTTTTGTCTTCTTGTGTATCAGGCACTGTGCTTCTAGAGGAATAGAGTGTGCTTGCCTCTTGCCCTTTCCCTCTTCTCACTGGCTGGAATACAAACAGGATCATGAGCCATCTGAGACCACTCAGAAGAAGGGATGGCAAAATAAAAAGATAGGAACTTGAGGTTTGACATAGTAGAACCACTGTATCAGCTCTGCATGGCTTATATATTTGGAGATATATATGAGAGAGAAATACACTGTAATCTTTTAATTTGCCAATATGTTAGATCTTATGCAGCTGAACCTATTTGCTGACCAATGTAGGTTAACATGATACATGGGCTAGCAAAAACATTGAAAGAAATTTTGAGAAAAGGAAAAAATGATCATCTGTAATCCCACTCTTCTAACACAACCATGTTAAAATTTGTATATTATCTTCTGAACCTCATCCATATACACATGTTTTTACATAATTTTAATGAGTTTACATACCATTTGACATTCTGCTTTTATAGATTTAACTTTATGTACTACCTGTTCTTTCATGTTTTAGCATAGTTGTCATAGTTATTTTTAGCAGCTGTATACCATTATAGTGTGTTGCTGCATTATGATTTATAAATCTATTCAAAGGATAAATTTTTAAAAATTAGGTTTATTACATGATCTGCTCATTGACTTTTTGATAAATCTGGTTGGGTCTGCAAGTGTTTCTTAAATGCTCAGCTTGAGCCTGGAATATATACTTGGTAGGAGATGCATGTAATAAACAATTAACAAATGCTAGCTGGAATTATTATTGTTATTAGGATTGGATTCCTCTGTCTATTCCTAGAGATGGGAAAGTTGAGAACAAGATCTTGTTTGAAATGACAGATGAGTCAAGTTGATAGACAATTATGCAAACAACCTTTACTGAGCTATAACGAACCAGTATTGATACGCCACTTGTTAGTTGTAGGGTTTGTGAGTTGTGCTTATTCTTCAGATGTTCTGGGCTAGAATACCAACTCAGCCTTCTTCTGTTTCTCACATTTAACCATGTCTCCCTCCCTTTATTTACTTTGATTATTTTTACTCTATATTGGATATTTGATGCTTTCTCTGTGGGGCTTACCGGTCATTTGTGAGCTTGCTTAATGTTTTGGATGTCCTAATAGAATGGGATCAACAAGAAGAGCAGTCCACAAAGGAAGTTTTATGTTTTAAATTTTAAATTTCTCATTTAGTATTGTTTTAGCTGAAAGTCTAATATGGCATTGACTAGAGATGATAGGGTTTCTTATGTTGGTGGGTTCTCAATGTCAGAATAATCAGTTAATTTGGGAGTACTTCTGGTAAAATGTATATTTTAGAATTTTAAGATTGAGTTTACTTTTTATTGAAGTGATGTCATGGGAGCAAGGTGGAAAGAGTTCCTCCTGACGGCATTGGAATAAGATTAACTAAGGAAGTGGCAATTGAACTGAGCACAAGAACAGGATTTTTATCTTGTTGAAGAAGGAAGGGGATAGTATTTTAGCATTTTAGACTTGGAATTGTGTGAACCACAACAAAAAGGCATAAATGGTTTTTACTCATTTAGGGATCAGGTATCAATTTTAATTTAGGATCCATTTTAATTAAAATTGTGTATAGGTAATATTATCACATTATTTCAAAGACCAGAAAGGTGTTAAAAGGTACACAGTGACATGTCTCCCCACAACATCCTCATTTACCTAGTCCCCCCACTTCTTCTAACCATTGTTAATAACTTCTTCCTTATAGAGTTTCCTGATACGTATATAATAAAATAGAAAGGTAGATTCTTACATTGCCTTTTTTTTCACACTCTTCTGTACTTCAAGAGGCATCTTTTGAAGAAATGGATTTTTTGTATATTTTCAACACACATAAAAATTAATAGATGATAGTAGTTTCTGGTAATATTACAGGTGTGATTAAATTTCAAGAGCATATTCAGAGTCTAGACCTTGGAATTATTTTCTTCTTTGAACATTCATTGAACTAACACCATAAGAAAATTCCACGTAGTATAGTTTGTGCTGCTAACAATGAAATGAAAGAACAGAGCCAAATGGTTAGAGTACAGCCTGAAAATGTGTCAGATTTCAAAGTCGAAGTTTTCACAGCTGTGCAGCATGTACAGCCCACATATCTATACTAAGACAAGAATATTGTGGCTGGATACCCTATAAAAGATGTCACATTTCACATTTTCACTTTGTCATTTCTGAAGTCTAGAATCAACAGACAAGATCTAAAACCATTTATTTCAAGTGCATAAAAGACTGATGATATAATATGATATGCTTTGGCTGTGACAGAAACTCCAACTCAAAGTGGCTTGAATGATAAGGAAATTTTTTTGGCTCTCATAACCTAAAATCCAGTGGTAGACAAGTCTTCTGGATTGATTGATGTAACAGTTTATTTCACCAAGGGACCCATGTTTTTTCTGTCTTTGCTCTCTGCTATCAGTGATGTCTACTTTATGTTCAGATTGATTTTCTCATTTTTATAGGAATTTGATTATTCACTTTTCCAAGATAAAGTGGCATGGAGTGGGGAAAGACCATTAAGGAATGCTGAACATAAAGGAATCCTGGGGACCTGACCCTCAGTTAAGACATAAGAATGACAACCAGGAGTGTGCTCGGTGAGTTTTAGAATGAATGGATAGAGAGCAACATGAACAGGAGTTCTTGTTTAGAGACTAAAATATATCTTATTCAAGGTCAGTCATTCTCAACTGAAGCTGTACCTTGAAATCACTGGGAAGATTAAAATGAAAATACTGATGCCCAAGTCCAATTCCCAGAGATTCTGATTCATTAGTTCAGATATTGTAATTTTTAAAGTGCTTTCCACGGGATTCCAATGAGTAGACAGGATTGAGAACCATCTTCTAGAAATGATAACAGTTCAGAACTTTTAGGAAGAATAAAACAGAAGTCAAACATGGAATTAGCTTTTAATTCCTAATGAAGTAATATTGGCAGATTATAAAATTGGTTATCAAACATCCCATGTTTATTAAACACTTAAATTGACATAAAGCTTAAAAATAGTCCATTATTCTAATGAAAATAAAGGCAGAATCAGAACATACATTTTTGTGGTTAAGACAAAAATAAGAAGCTAGAAATATCTATACTTTACTCTCCTTTTGTTAGTAATTAACAGCATATTTGCTAATCCTCACATACTCTGATTCCCCCAACTCTTGAATCCACTCCTTCTCCTCTAATTCTATTGCTCTTACCTCAGATCAGCACCTCATAATCTTCCACATGTATCACTATGCAATCTCCTAATTGGATTTGGTATCTCTTCCCTTCAGTCTTTCTTTCACAAAGCTTCCAGATGAATTTTCTCTCAGGAAAACTATTGCATCGATCATATCATTCCTCTGCTCAAAAGTCTCAAATGCTGCAGCTTGGCCTTTCAATGCTTCTATAGTCTGGGCCAAATCTACATTTTGTCTATCTCACTTTTCACTTCTTCATTCACTCCATGCTTTGGTTAAATTGAATTAGTATATCATATATGCAGTCTGCCTGTTTACTTATTAACACTCTGCTTAAACTTACCTTTTCCATAAAATATTTTCTATAATTCAGCTGAAAAAATATTTTCTTTCTCAAAGCTCCATAGGATGTTAACTGAATTTCTCTTGTGGCACAAATCTTGTTCTACCCTCTAATATAGTGATGTATATACATGACTTACCTCATAGTCTGGCAGCTTTGCATCCTTCTCTATGCTTACATTTGTTGAACGAATTAGTGAACTTTCCAGTTTCTTCTCTTTATAAACTTTAGACTAGTTTTACATGTTCCTATGGTTCCAGAACAGTTGGAGGAGTTTAATAAGAGGGACTGTTGATTAAAATGTCTCACATTTTAGCCGGGCACGGTGGCTCATGCCTGTAATCCCAGCACTTTTGGAGGCTGAGGCGGTTGGATCACCTGAGGTCAGAAGTTCGAGACTAGCCTGGCCAACATGGTGAAACCCCATCACTATTAAAATACAAAAAATTAGCCAGGTGTGGTGGCAGGTGCCTGTAATCCCAGCTACTCGGGAGGCTGAGGCAGGAGAATCGCTTGAACCCAGGAGGCGGAGGTTGCAGTGAGCCGAGATTGCGCCATTGCACTCCAGCCTGGACAACATGTGTGAAACTCCGTCTCAAAAATAAAATAAAAGTCTCACTCACATTTCATCTGGAAGCTTGTTAATGTTTACCATTATCTGACTAGTTCTTTAGCTACTGTCATGTGTCAGACATACAAACTCAATCTATAATCCCCACAACAGTCATCTCATCCTCATTTTTCAGATGAGTAAACTGGAATTCAGAGAGGGTAGATAACTTGCCCAAGTTCCTTCATAAATTGACAGAGCTGGAATTCCAGACCTGCTCTGTGTCACTCCAGAGCTATACAAGACAGGGTTAAATTGCAATTAAACTGAAAATAGAGATGAAGTCTAGATATTAGGCTAGTGATGTTTTAATTTTTTCCTAGCTCATCTACACAAGGTCAAGTTTCCGTCTGCTGATTCACACATCAGTCTATTCTGACTGTATTCCTAGATCTACCAGCAAAACCACTTCCTGTCCGAATTTACAGTCAAACAAAGAAAAGCCAAATCTGCATGAGATACCTTGAATCCAGCCCAATCCAATCCTGCAGAAACCATTAGGATTTAATAGTAGTGACTGAGAGGCATGAAAATGAGATAATACAGAGCTTTGGACAAGAGATGAAATTTTATGGGGTAAATAAAATTGGTATGAAAGCTCAGCCTCTATATTCAGTCTCTTTCTTGCTTTTTACATATTCATAAGATGTAGAGACTTTGCCTACATGATCTCAACTTTCAGTTTCAAAGTGAATTTTTATGACTGTTATATGTATATTCCCTAAATAACCATGTTTGTTTTTAGCCTTGTGGATGTTTACCTAACATTTTCACTTCTCATCCAAAGACAACTTTGTGGAAACTATGAACTTCAGTTGAATAAATACAATTTTGGTCCTGTAGGTTTAGACCTTGAGAATTAACTTTAATGGGAATTTGATAAGTTGGGTCTATAGCTGTTACTAGAATAGAGTTATTATTTAGTTCAACAGAGAGGAGGACATCCATTTTTCTTACTCGAAGGTGTCTCTCTACTATAAATCCCTATGCCAAGTCAGTCTCATGAAGGCCAAGTGCGAACATAAGAGGTAGTAGTAGCAGGGATGGAGATTCTTTTAAAACATTTGAGTGAGAACTGTGGGCATGATTAGATACCATAGGGACATTAGGAGAGACATTTTGGCCATCAGACTTTTATGGCATAGCAGAGCTAAAACTTTAATTCCTCATATAAGTTTCATCTAGCTTCTGGATACTCTGTAGAGTAACTGTCATTGTTGAGGTCAGGACTAAACTTTCCAGAGTCAGAACTGTCTACACCAGAGGTGCTTTTTGGTTCTTAAGTAATAATGCACAACTGGACACAATGGCTACCCAGGTACCATGAAGATTCTGTGATGAGATATGAAACTCAAGATAAAGCGTTTCCCAGAATCTCTAAAATACAGGAACTGCATTGTTTCCAGTGTGCTATGCCTTTTATTTGTCTTCCTAACTGTTGCCTAATGAGTCCCAGTTGACACATATACAGAAAGGATACCAAATTGATCATAAATGTGACTTTTATTCTAAGTCAGAGAACAAATTAGATGACCTGAATAGTAGCTGATATTTGATGCCCACCAGATTCTCAATATTCAAATCTTTTCTTTTTTTTCTTTTTTACCAATTAGCCCAGAAGTATAGGCCATTAACCAGATAATGTTACACAAGATGGGAAGTTTAATTTCAATTCCTAGCACACCATGAAATTACTGTTGAGCACCTTAAAGTCTCTTTATTTTTGTTTTTAAGTTTATAAAACTGGGAGATTAATATCTTGATCTCATAGGAGGGCTGTGAAACTAAATTAGATTAATAACCAATAAATATGGAAATGCTTTAAGCAAATGAATAACAACTTATTAAGTACATTTGTTATTAACTATGTTTAAGAACATTGAAAGGTAAATTAGTACAAACCTTTTAGAAGACACTTTGGAAATACCTATTAAAATTCAGGGTAATAATGTTAGAGAAGGGGAAAGGCAATTTTACTTTTCACTTGATACCAGTCTGATTTTTTGAGCATTTAAAATGCTCATGTCATATAGCATTTTAAATTAAATAATTAAAAATAAAGAGTACTGCACCTTTTAAAAGTAGAAATGCTCTAACAGTAAGTGAATTATTAATGTTTGTTTTTATTCCTCACAGCAACTGAAGACTGATCAGTTATATAGTTCACATTTAATTTTTTATTTTAGAATAGTAATGTATTAATGGCTCAGTGCGCCATGATAACAGTTTCAACATAAATAAGTATATTTTGTATTCTGAGCATAAGACATAATAGCTCTAATTAAAATGCTTCTAGCCATCCTAGAAGCACTTTCAAAAAACCCTCAAAAGCCTGTGTCTTTCCATCTCAGATTTTTTTTATCAAGTTGTACTCTAACTCCTGATGTCAGAGAGATGAACAAGAAGATCCAGAGCAAAAACTGCTTCAAAATCTTCATTAATGAGGTGTAAGAAACCTTCCTAAAGCTCCTACTATAACAGGAAGTGCTGGAAAAAACTTGAGGGAAGAGGAAAAAAAATTAAAAGCAGCCTAAGAAAGGATCAGACTTTGAAATATTGCAATAATAAAATATTTTACATCTCTGCTTTGATTTTGTCCTCTGAAAATACTTTACACTAGAAGATTCTGCTTTAACTTTGAGTTTACTGAAAGACTAAATCACTCTTCATTAGTGAGCACTGGTTTAATTTTTCATACAAAAACTTTATAACTTTTTCTATTTTAAAATAAGGTATTTTCACAAACAAATGCTAATTCAGCCAATTATTTTGCACAATAAATTCAAATATAAAGTTAGATTAATAATATGTAAAGGATCAATTCAATCTCATTTAAATTTAGATTCATATACTTTCTTTGGTAATTTAGTTGATCCTATAATGGCCTGCTCTTAGCTAACAGAGAGTGGATCCCAAACCTAAGGCCTTCTAAGATAATGCAATAACAATGACAGGGTTCAGAACACACTACCCCAAAATATGGCACCTTGGCATTTGAGAAAACAGCTGAAGCAGGAAGGCCTCTTTGACTGTCTCTCATCTTTCTTCCTTGAAGCAGGCCATAAAATAAATTATCTGAACTTCCTCTAAAGCAGACCATAAGACCCTCATTCCAAAAGGGTCTTCCATATATCCAGAGGAAAGGAATAAAGCTATACAGAGAAGAAAAGAATCTGAATATACAGGCTTTGCTAAGTTCCCCCCAGTTTATTACCATACCCTTTTGTCCCTTTCGTCCTCCAATCATACCTCTGCCCAACAGTCCATAAAATTACACAGATTTCCCGATTTCTTTGGGTGTTTTTTTCTTTTCTTTCTTTTTTTTTTTTTTTTTTTTGAGGCAGAGCCTCACTCTTTTGCCCAGGCTGGAGTGCAGTGGCACAATCTCAGCTTACTGCAACCTCTTCCTCCTGGGTTTAAGCAGTTCTCTGCCTCAGCCTCCCAAGTAGCTGGGACTACAGATGCATGTCACCACACCTGGCTAAATTTTTTTTTTTGTATTTTTTGTAGAGATGGGGTTTCACCATGTTGGCCAGGCTGGTCTTGAACTTCTGGCCTCAAGTGATCCACCCGCCTCAGCTTCCCAAAGTGCTGAGATTACAGGCCTGAGCCACATCACCCAGCCTGGGTGTTCATTTCTGAAGGCTCTTGTGTAATTGATGTAAAAGTTAAATACATTTATATGCTTTTCTCTTTTTAATCTGTCTTTTGTTGTAGGGGTCTCAGCCAGGAGCCTTGCAGTCAGTGAGGAAAAACTATTACATTTCTCTCTTACGACAATTACTTTTTGGTTTTTCTAATATTGCAAACTCACTTCTGAGACTCTTAGCATAGATGAAAAAACAGATGTAAATTAATTTTTCCCTTTATATGGAGCTTGAAACAGATTGCTAATCTCAATTCAGAAAATGCCACAATTAAATCTGTGAAGAAAGTTTTCATCAAGCTAAACAGAGAAACAAAGGAATAGACTTTGTAACATACAAGCTATTAACAAGGTGCAAGTAGCATGTGGCAAACAGAAGGTAGAGCTATTCCCTGAAAGTTTTCTTTTTATCTTAAATAACTATTGTAGGATTTTAGAGCTTAGTCTTGGCATAGCTCTGTTTATGTTCTGCTGTTATCCAGGAAGAAGAAACATATTAAACATCTATGGCAGACTTCTTGTCATTCCCTAAGATCTTCTTCCAGACAAATAGAATTTTTAGCTGGGCATGGGACCATACAGATAAATACCTCCCAGACCCCTTTGAGCTAGTGTTGCCATGTAGCTAGCTTCTGGCCAGAGATATAAGTGGAGGTGAGAGCCCTGGCAGCTTGAGAGCCCTCTTTTTTTTTTTTTTGAGATGGAGTTTAGCTTTTGTCACCCAGGCTGGAGTGTAATGGCGTGATCTTGGCTCATTGCAACCTCCACCTCCCGGGTTCAAGCGATTCTCTTGCCTCAGCCTCCTGAGTAGCTGGGATTACAGGCACCTACCACCACCCCAGCTACTTTTTTTGTATTTTTAGTAGAGACGGGGTTTCACCATGTTGGCCAGGCTGGTCTTGAATTCCTGGCCTCAAGTGATCTGCCCGCCTCGGCCTCCTAAATTGCTGGGACTACAGGTGTGAGCCACTGCATCCAGCCTAAATACACCAAATTTAAGGCTCATTGAGTCCACTTTGGGAACGAACCACTACTTATTTAAAATCTGATTTAAAATGCCTTGTGTCTTTTTTTGTGGACAACATAGATAAAAAGCAAAACAAAAATAAACATCATAGTAAGTAAAAAAACATATTTTACAATACAGTTAAAATGCAAAGTGAGGCCTGAGTTCTTATCCCAATTGTACTACTTGTTTTTACCATTCTATAATGAAATAAAATAAATATATGTATTGTAATAGATACAAATTAGTGCAAGTTGTCCTCAAGAGAGCGTGAGTAGGTGATGTCACTTCACTAAAATGGTGAGCAGAAGCAAGGTGACTTCACTTCCTCCTACTGAAAGCTAAAATATATAACACTGAGGCTGAGCACAGTGGCTTACGCCTGTAATCCCAGCACTTTGGGAGGCCAAGGGGGTAGATCACTTGAGGCCAGGAGTTCAAGACCAGCCTGGCCAACATGGTGAAACCCTGTACTAAAAATACAAAAAAATTAGCTGGGAGTGGTGACACATACTTGTAATCCCAGCTACTTGGAATGCTGAGGCATGAGAATTGCTTGAACCCAGGAGGCAGAGGTTGCAGTGAGACGAGATCATGACACTGCACTCCAACCTGGGTGACTGAGTGAGACTCTGTCTCCAAAAAATTAAATAAAATAAATTAAAAATAAACATATAGCACTGAGATTATTACCATCCATATTCCAGAACTGAAATATAAAGATGAGACAGTTCCTGGGGCCACACAGAAGTGAAGAACTCCATGTAGACACTAAGAGAATTTGACTTTTATATCCATGATGCCCTTCCCTCGATTTGCCAGGCACCAAGCATATGGAAAATTTCCCTCAACTCATGGTTACTACACTGGAAAACGTTAGATCAAGGTGGACAACCAGCTTTCCCACCATCTTGGGTTCCCTGTACCTGCTTCAATCCATGGAAAGCATTGCAAGTGCCTGGGGGCCGGGGGTGGCGGGGCGGGATGGGGGCGGGTGAAATTCATGAGGACAGTCGGAGACAAAGGCAGGAGGTGGGACTAGCATCCACGGACTGGGGAACTCTACTCTGTATCTTGGCCAAAAGAGACATCAAATCAGAGTGGCTGTTCAGCAGCACTAAGAGGTATGTTTCATGGATCACCTAGGCATTAACCACTGGGCAGTTTTTCCATACTGCAAGGATATCCCCTTTGAGACTCCCCCATCTGTGAAGGGCGCTGCTTCAAAGTTTGCTTGAGCCAAGGCAAACCTGGGCTTAAGAGCCATATACTGCCAAAAAGGAGGAAGTGTTGCAGCAAAAAAAGTATTCAACAGGTATATTACAAAGAATTCTCTAAGCAAACATACTCAATAAAAACCAAAACAAGCCAGACAGAGAAGACTAGAATAGATAACTAATTCTTCAGTGTGAAGACGTGGATGCACATCCACAAGAAACAATAGCAAGCAGAGAACCAGGACCTCTCCTAATGGACAAAACAAGGAGCCAGTGATCACCCCTAACAAGACAGAGATAGGTGAGCTCTCTGATCAAGAATTCAAAATAGCAGTTTTAAGGAAACTCAGTGATCTCCAAAATAACACAGAAAAGCAACTAAGAAATTTATCAGAGAAATTTAGCAAAGAGATTGAAATGATAAAAAAGGAAACAAATCCTAGAACTGAAAAAATATATTTGCTGAACTGAAAAATTCATTTGAGGCTCTCTTGGATCTCTTCATCCAGCAGAATGGATCAACCAGAGGAAAGAATTAATAAGCTCAAAGACAGGCTATTGGAAAATACACAGCCACAGGAGAAAAAAGTATGAAAAGGAATGAAGAATGCCTATAAGATATATAAAATTACCCCAATAGAGCAAATCTAAGAATTACTGGTATTCAGGAGGGAGTTGTGCAAGAGCAAGGGGTAGAAAGCTTATTTAAAGAAATAACAGGAAACTTCCCCAAACTTGGGAAAGATAAATATACAGGTATAGGAAGGTCAGAGATCACCAACCAGATAAAACTCAAAATTACCCCAAGGCAATTAATAATCAAATTCTCAAAGATCATGGACAAAGAGAGGATCCTAAAAGCAGAGAAAAGAAGCAAATAACATATAAAGTAGCTGATAAGGTTTGGCTCTGTGGCCCTACCCAAATCTCATCTTGAATTGTACTCCCATAATTTCCACATGTTATGGGAGGGACCCGGTGGGAGATAATTTGAATCATGGGGGTGGTTTCCCCCATACTGTTCTCATGGTAGTGAATACGTCTCATGAGATCTGATGGTTTTATCAGGGGTTTCCGCTTTTGCATCTTCCTCAATTTTTCTCTTGCCACCATAATGTAAGAAGGGCCTTTCGCCTCCTGCCATGAGGCCTCCCCAGCTATGTGGAACTGTAAGTCCAATTAAACCTCTTTTTCTTCTTAGTCTCTTGTATGTCTTTATCAGCAGTGTGAAAATGGACTAATACTGTAGTTCCAATTCATCTGGTAACAGACTTCTTAACAGAAACTATACAGGCCAGGAGGGAGTGAGACAACATATTCAAAGTGCTGAAAGAAAAAAACATGCCATGTAAGAATTTTGTACCCAGCAAAGCTATCCTTCAAACATAAAAGAGAAATAAAGCCTTTCCCAGACAAACAAAAGCTGAGGGAACTTATCATCCCAGACCCATCTTACATGAAATGCTAATAAAGGGAGTTCTTTAATATGAAAGAAAAAATTAATATGCAAAAAGAAAACATTTGAAGGTATAAAACCCACTGGTAAAAGAAAGTACACAGACAAACTCAGAATACTCTAACACTATAATTGTGGTATGCAATCCACTCGTAAATGTGGTATGAAGACTAAATAACAAATCTATCAAAAATAATACTAGCTACAGTAACCTGTTAAGAGAGAGACAATATAAAATACATAAATAGAGACAACAAAAAGTAAAAATGTGTCCACAGGGGAATGAAGTTAAAGTGTGGAGTTAATTAGTTTTTCCTTTATTTGTTGGTTTCTCTGTGATCAAAGATAAGTTATCATTTGTTTAAAATAACTTGTTATACGTATAAGATGTTTTTGTAAGCTTCATGGTAACCACAAAGAAAAAACCTATAATAAATATACTAAAAATAAAAAGCAATGAGTTAAAACATACTACCAGAGGCTGGATGTGGTGGCTCACACCTGTAATTTCAGCACTTTGGGAGGCCGAGGCAGGTGGATTGCTTGAGCCCAGGAGTTTGAGACCAGCCCGGGCAATATGATGAAACCCTGTCTCTACTAAAAATACAAAAATCAGCCAGGCATGGTGGCACACACCTGTGGTCCTAGCTACTTAGGAGGCTGAGGCAGGAGGATCGCCTGAGCCTGGGAGGTGAAGGCTGCAATAAGCTGAGATTGTGCCACTGCACTCCAGCCTGGGTGACAGATCAAGACCTGTCTCCAAAAAATAAATAAATAGTAAATAAAAATAAAACATGCTACCACAGAAAATTACTTAACCACTAAGAAAGACAGTAAGAAAGGAAGAGAGACATTAACAAAACAACCAGAAAACAAGTAACAAAATGTATTAGTAAGCTATTATCTATCAATAATTACATTTATGTAAATGGACTAAATTATCCGATTAAAAGACAGAGTGGCTGAATGGATAAAGAAATAAGACTCAACTATATGCTGCCTACAAGAGACCCACGTCATCTATAAAGACACGCATAGACTAAAAAATGAAAGGATGGAAAAAGATAGTCCATGCAAATGGGAACCAAAAAAAGCAGGAGTAGCTATAGTTAGATAAAATAGACTACAACTTTATAACAATTATAAACCAACACAGAAACACCCAACACAGAAACACCAAAGTATATAAAGCAGACATTAATAGACCTAAAGGGAGGAATAGACTGCTATACAATTATAGTGGTGACTTCAATAACCCACTCTCAGTAATGAACAGATTATCCAGTTGGGAAATCAACAAAGGAACATCAGAGTTAAACTATACTCTAGATCAAATGGGCCTAAATTGACATTTAAATAGTGTATAAATAGTCATTTTATTGTGTGACATCATAACAGCACTTTTGCCTTTATTTATATTGGTATAAAAATATCCCATTTCTGATTTCTTGAGTCAAATTAATTGACTGTTAGCCACAAGCTAGTTGAAGAGGAAGACATTACTACTGCTAGGCTAATCTTTATTAAACATTTAAAAAAATCAAACCTCCACTTTCCCCTCTTTCCTACCTTCTTTTTTCCCTTGACCTTAACACTTAGTGGATAATCTCATGGCCTACTTCTCAGAGTACATAGAAACCTTCTGTTGGGAGGTCTCTCAACTTTTAATACCAAATCTCCAAACCCACCTATGTCCATACTTATCCTGGTCTCCTTCCCTCAAGTTACAATAGAAGGAATATCTCTCTTCCTACCCAAGGTCAATATCTTCACCTATGCTTTGGATCCCAGCACTTCTTGTCTTCTCAGGAAATCTGTGCTATAGGTTATCCCTTCTCTCTCCTATATCTTAAATATTTTAAATGTCTTCTTCTCAATGGGGTTATTCCCATCTGCTTATAAACAAGCTTGTTTTCTTCATCAAAGGAAAGGCTCCTGGCTAACAGTCACTCCTTCTTAAATAGTGCTTGGATGAACAATGTCAGTGCTTGCCTGTGTAATTCTCTCTTTTCTGTACTTTTAGAGCTGACCCTATGGCTGAGATTATAGGTCTCCATATTTAATAAGGTTATAGCTAAGTCTTCTAAACAAAAGAGACAGGTATTCTGCCTCATTTATTTATTTATTTATTTATTTGAGACAAAGTCTCACTCTGCCGCCCAGGCTGGAGTGCAGTGGCTCAATCTTGGCTCACTGCAGCCTCCGCCTCCCGGGTTCAAGTGATTCTCCTGCCTCAGCCTCCTGAGTAGCTGGGATTACAGGCACATGCCACCATGCCCGGCTAATTTTTGTATTTTTAGTAGAGATGGGGTTTCACCATGTTGGCCAGGCTGGTCTCGAACTCCTGACCTCAGGTGATCCACCCACCTTGGCCTCCCAAAGTGCTGGGATTACAGGCATGAGCCACTGTGCCCAGCCTATTCTGCTTCTTTTACGTGGCTGCATATATCTACTGTCACCCTTTAATGTGTTGATGTCTTGTTATAATTCCCAGAGAGGAATCTTTTTTCCCCCAATTTACTTATTTCTAGAGAGGATCTCAGTGTGGCTTCAAAATACACAACACTAGTTTTTGCAGTATTTTTCTAAATAAAAATATTTCTTAGCCAGGTGTGGTGGCTCATGCCTGAAATCCCAGCACTTTGGGAGGCTCAGGTGGGAGGATCACTTGAATCCAGGAGTTTGAGATCAGCCTGGGCAACATAGTGAGATCTCATTTCTACAAAAAATAAAAATAAAAAAATAAAAAAAAACAAGTATGGTGGTGGGCACCTGTGGTCCCAACTACTGGGGAGGCTGAGGTGGGAAGATTGCTTGAGCCCAAGAGGTCAAGGCTGCAGTAAGTCATGATGGCACCACTGTACACTGCACAGGTGACAGAGTGAGACCCTGTCTAAAAAAAAAAAAAAAAAACGGCCAGGCGTGGTGGCTCATGCCTGTAATCCCAGCACTTTGGGAAGCCGAGGCGGGCGGATCATGAGGTCAGGAGATCAAGACCATCCTGGCTAACACGGTGAAACCTTGTCTCTACTAAAAATACAAAAACTAAATTAGCCAGGCGTGGTGGCGGGCACCTGTAGTCCCAGCTACTCGGGAGGCTGAGGTGGGAGAATGGCGTGAACCGGGGAGGCAGAGCTTGCAGTGAGCTGAGATCGTGCCACTGCACTCCAGCCTGGGCAACAGAGCGAGACTCCATCTCAAAACAAATAAACAAACAAAAACTTCTTACAATTAGTGTACATGTGTGCACCACCCAGATAATAGCAGCTTTGGCAGAATTTTGTCTCTAGTCTGTAGTTTTCATTTTTCATACATAAAACTCAATGAGAAGTACAATGTTAATTGAGTAGTTCCACTGGAAAAAAAGAGGTTATGGCTTACTGACTTTATTGAAATAACTTGCATTTACATCAAGAATTGACCAAAATTTCCTATTTTGAAAATTAGTACTGTACTTAGCTACTTAAATGGAGCCCATTGCTATGGAAGTTGGCAATACCGTTTTAATAAACAGGATTGAATATTTGTAGAGAAACATTAAATGCTTCATATTTTGCATGTCTTATGACCATGTGTGTCAGTAAAAAGAAGCAATTGAATATGTTTCCACAAATGGAAAAGATGTTAAAGCAATAAGAAAAAAAAATGTATTCAAGCTGATTCAAGCTGATCAGAAGATGTATTTTAGGAGCAGACCTTCATTTACATGTCTTCAAATAATTACTGAACTTGTCAGTAAGAACAGCTGCTTAATCTGAGTTTTGTAATGGCTTTATGACTTGTTGCTACTTAAAGCAATCACATAAGGGCAGCAAATCCCCACAACATCAGAAAATGTAGTATTGAAAAACTCCAGTATTAAGTTCCTATAGATGAGACTTCATGAGTAGTAGAAATAATAAAAGATGGTTCCACAAGTGTGTGATGCAATAATAGGAATTACTATGATTAAACCGGACAACTTTCATTTACTGGACAGATGGTAACTCTTAAGTAGAATTTTTCCAGAGAATCAGCACAATATAGGTACTGCATTCAAAGGCACTTGTTATTAAAAATAAACAATTGAAAATAATTTGCAATGAAAGTTCAAAGCTACTTGGCAGAATGAACGTGAGTATTCTTTAAAAAGCTAAGGCTTCTCAAAGGCTGAAGCTTGGCTTGCTGTTATGCATTTTATAAAACTATGACATAATTTTTTAAAGTTTCCCAAGCAAGCACTGTACAGTTCAGTTTTAAAAAGTATATTTTTTCGCTTGGAATGTTTCAGAATTACATCTACAGAAATTTTACTCTAAGCATAGATAAGGAAAAAATGAAACCATTTTGGCAATCAAGAAGAACTTTAGAGATTTCTAGACTAACCACAAATGAAATAATGCCCTCTGACCTCAAAGTCTCAGTGAGGGGATAAATATGAGTACTAGGTTTTAAAAAGTTTAGTGAGTGGATGGTAATCTCTGAAAAGCAGATTGGAAGGCAGATCAGCATGAATTTGAAGATATGAAGAAACTCAGGGAAGTTCATCAAGGCTGGAGTATCATAGTTACTACCTTTGTAAATATGAGGTTGTCAAGCTATATTCATTAGTCAAGCCCGGAGTTTAGGGTTGATGGTCTCAGTAATTTTGTTGATGGAATATATGTTTGATGAATAAAGAAACTGCTTAATGGTTACATACATTAATAAGCAAACTAAAGTCATAAACCTTAATATATTTTCTACAAATAGTCCTATCAACTAAAATGGTGTTTATTTGGTAGTGTAATTACATATGATGGGTCTATTGATTATTTAGAAATCTTATACAGTTTATAGATTTTGTAGATATGTACATTAGTTTCCTACTGCTGCTGTAACAAATTACCACAAACCTAGTGGACTGAAACAGCACAAACGTATTATCTTATCATTCTGGAAATCAGAAGTTCGAAATGTTTTTCACTGGGCTAAAATCAAGTTGTTATTAGGACTGCATTCCTTCTGGAGGCTCCAGGGGATAATTTGTTTTCTTGCCTTTTCTAGCTCTTAAGCCCACCTGGCTTCCTTGGCTTGTGGCCTCTTCCTCCATCTTCAGAGCCAGCAGCATAGCATCATAAACACTCTCTATGTCTCTGTCATCACATCTCTTTCTTTGACTCTGACCCTCCTTCCTCTATCTTATAAAGACCCTTGAGATTACATTGGGCCCAGCTGGATAATACAGGATAGTTTCCCTCTCTCAAAAGCCTTAATTTAATCATCTCTACAAAGTCCCTTTTGCTATGTAAGAACACATATTCACAGGTTCTGGGAATTTGGATATGGACATCTTTGTCATATTTTCCTGCCTACTGCAGTGTGACAGACTGGATTATTGTTCCAACTCTTCACTTCCTACCAAGAAATAGGATTATAGACTCATAGCCTTTCCAGCAGTTTTGCAGTGCCTTCCCAAAATGGTTAAGTTGTATCCCCATCCCTTGGCTCTGGAATTGACCCTATGTCTTGCTTTGGCCTGTGAGATGTTGGTAGTTGTGATATAATTAAAGGCTTAGAAAGTACTCGTATGATTGAGCCTGCTCTCTTGTACTTCTGTTATTGCCATGAGAAGAACATACCCAAGACAAGAGTCATGTGGAATAGAGCTGAGTTGCCTTAGCTGAGCCTGGCCTGAATCAGTTAACCCTTGGCCAATCCATGGATCTCTACAAATTAATTATTGTTCTTTTAAATCAGTGAATTTTAAGATAGTTTGTTATGCTTAATTTTTGTGGCAATCACTGATGCAGTAGAGATCTTAGATTTTCCTTTTTCATAATCTGTCTTTCACTTATAGTTTTTGTACTGCTAGATAACATTTCTTCATCATACATTTAACACTTACTTAACAACTACCATATGCCAGGTATATGCAAAGATCTAGGCAGAAAGTTGGCAGCTTAATTTTCATTCTCTGTTCATGTAGCACTCATAGACATTGCCAAAAAAAGGGAGGAAAGGGCACAAGGAAGAGATGGAACTTGAAGTCATTCTATGATTGAACTGAATGGCAAAGATTTGATTTACTTAGTCATCATGACCAATCTACATTACTGTGACATTAATTGAATACATTTTTACTGACAATTTATGAATGTGCTTGGTGTTAGGGATACATATGAGAAGAAGATGCAGACTTTGTTTTCGTATCTAGGAATTATATTACTAATCATAGCGTAAAAAAAAGTGACAATTAATTCTTTCTATTATATTCAATTTGATTTTATAGTCATAAGAGTCATTGTGTTTCTGACTTTAAAAACATAATTTAGTAGGAAAAGAGTTTAAAACTATTAGCTTAACTAAGTTTTGTTAGTATCTGTTGATTTTAGTAATTTATACCAGTGCTTCTCAAGCTATCTTTGATGAAGGACCATTTATTTTTTGTTAAGTTTCTAATCTATGCTGACTGATACATTTATAAAATACAATAAGAAATGCTGAAACTGTGTCAAGTTGTTATAAAACATTTCTGAATATTCTGGCTTTCTATACTCATCTTTTCATGTACTGGTAACAAATAGTTTGTGGATTGGCACCTGTCAGTAGACTACACTTTGGGTAACACTGCTACTGATTCTAATTATTACAAATCAAGAATGTGAATATATTTGAATGCATGAAATTTGAAGACTTATCAGTACTTCATATGTCAAATTTATTGTTTTTTAATATTAGCTTTTAATTTTTTAAGTTAAGAAATGATATATGAAAATGAAAATGGGAAATGCTTTCTATTAATTCAGGTCCATCTTCTCTCTCTTTTTTTTTTTTTTGGCAACAGTCTCGCTGTGTCTCCCAGGCTGCAGTGCAGTGGCGCAATCACAGCTCACTGCAGGCTCAACCACCTGGACTCAAGCAGTCCTCCCACCTGAGCCTCCTGAGTAGCAGGGACAACAAGCATGTGCCACCATGCTCGACTAATTTTTAAATTTTTTGTAGAGGTCTCATTGTGTTGGTCTCATTGTGTTGCCCAGGCTGGTCTTGAACTCCTGGACTCAAGTGATTACTGGTGGTTAACACCAGTAATCCCAACACTTTGGGAGGCTAAGGTAGGCGGATTGCTTGAGCTTAGGAGTTCGAGACCAGCCTGGGCAACATGGGGAAAACCTGTCTCTATTTAAAAAAAAAAAAAAAAAAAAAAAAAGCCGGGCATGGTGATGCATGCCTGTAGTCCCAGTTACTCAGGAGGCTGAGGTCGGAGGCTCCCTTGAGCCTGGAGGCAAAGGCTGCAGTGAACCGTGATTTTATGACTGTATTCCAGCCTGAGCAACAGAGCAAGATCCAAAAGAGAGAGAGAGAGAGAAAGAAAAGAAAGAAAGAAAGAGAAAGAAAGAAATAAAGAAAGAAAGCGAGAGAAATGGAAAAGAAAGAAAATCCCCTTCTAATGTGTAGCAGTCAATTACAATAAAAAGAAAGCAGATAATTTGGGGATACTTCAGGAAGTCCTCTGTGCTCTAGCAAGTTAGGTAATTTTTCTAAATTTTAAAAATTGTATGTTTTCATAGCATTGCATAAAATATAAAAATAATTTTTTACCTCTGAAAAAAATAAGGTAGCTATTTAAAAAGTAAAAGCAAATGCTTATAGAAATATAAAGCAAGCTGGCTGGAGAGGAATTGGAATTGTCTGTGATTTTTTTCTCATATATATGGGTTCCTGGGGGAGGCATCATATTTGAAGTGATAACATGGTTTTAGGGTCAAAGCAAAGAACTAAAACAAGGAGGAAGCTAGTTTCTCATTACACTGCAATGTGTCTTTAGAATGTTGAACAAATGGACTGAAGGACAGCAAAGCACATCAATGATAAATTACATAATTCTTGATGTCATCTCTTGTCCCATAGACATGTCTGTGGCAGCCCACAAATTGTAAAGACTGGGAGATGTCAACAATGCTGACTTTCTTTGTTTACCAAATTTCAGTACATAAAACCACACTAAAGTAGTCATTAAACAAAGAAGAACTGAAAGGGGAAGAGTTGATATCTGAATTATTTCAATAAAAGTATCTTAAAATTATGCTATTAGGGATGAGGGTAAAAAATTGTTTAGTATTATGAAATTAAATTAAACATGGATTTGATGGATGAATATAGGGAAAAAGTATAAAAATTAAATGGGGTTGAAATGGGGGTAGGGGTGGAATAATTTCTAAGTATTGTAATATGCCATGCAAATTGTGAGCAGATATACAAGACAGTACTTAAAGTCCTATAAAAATGTGCATATGCATGTGTGTGTTTTTCTTTTGCCTAGTAGTTGGACACTATAGAAAAAGGGAGAATTTTGAGTGCCGTTTAAATCTTTTTTTTTTTTTTTTTTGAGACAGAGTCTTGCTCTGTTGCCCAGGCTGGTGTGCAGTGGCGCAATCTTGGTTCATTGCAACCTCCACCTCCCAGGTTCAAGCAATTCTCATGCCTCAGTCTCCCAAGTAGCTGCGATTACAGGCATGTGCCACCATGCCCAGCAAATGTTTGTATTTTTAGCAGAGACGGGGTTTTGCCATGTTGGCTAGACTGGTCTCGAACTCCTGACCTCAAGTGATCTGCCCGCCTCAGCCTCCCAAAGTGCTGGGATTACAGGCATGAGCCACCGTGACCAGTATAAATCTTATTTAATCATACTCATATTGGTCTTAGTCATTTGTAAGACACTACTGTTTAATATTGACAACTTTGAAAGTCACTGAAAAAAATTAAATGGCAATTTAATGTTAACAGCTGCTTATGGTTATCAAATCCATCAAACCCCTTCATGAATATATTAAGCACAAACCCGCCGAATTACTATTGCTGAAGACAGCTTGGTATTTTAAAATTGCCTAGTGAGAATAGATGTACTATAATAATAGGAAGGACTCTGGTTACAATTTACTATTTTGTCTTTACATATAGAAAGAAATCCAGACCTGTTTTTAATTATTTAATGTTCTGGAATCTTTGCCAACCTAGTTTTTTTTTTTTTTCCAAGACGGATTCTTGCTCTGTTGCCCAGGCTGGAGTGCAGTGGCACAAGCTTGGCTCACTGCAAATGGGGGTAGTTTTTATTGTTTAGCTATAAAATGATTTATAGGAGTATATTTAGAAAATCATGTTTCATCTAAATTAATGTTGTTTAAATAGCTACAATAACAAAAACAAAATTCCTATAACAAAATAATTCATATGGGCAATGGTACAACAATTCAGTAAATAGTTCATATAGAATAAATTATGATTCAGAGGCCAAGTGCGAATCTGCCAAAGTTTAATTAGTAAGGCAGCTATGTTCTTCAGTTTCATTCTTCTAGGAGACTGTCTTTTCATTAAATGTTGATAAGGATTTTGTGGGGATCAGTGCTATCCTAAAGAGAGAGCAGGGCACACAGCATAACATATGACCATGAACATCTTGCTTGCTTTACACTGCTAGTCTTGAAACCATTATTTGGAAGGCTGATGCAGCCTGCTTTCCTTTATAATGTTTTAAATTCCAAAATACTGTCTCAATTATCTTTCATCCAAAGCCATAATATGCTTAACCTAGGTATTAAACCATTAAATCCAGGTACTAAATCATTAAACATGATTTCTCAAACCAACCTAGATCAAAGTACAAAGGAAGATAGTTACCCATCCACTCTCTCTCTAATTGGTAAAATTTCAAGGAGTGCAGGAAGAGTCATCTTTAGCAATAGGGTGGATTGGGGAAAATTAACTTGTATCAGTGGCCCTGCATTTTCCCCCTTAGGAAAGCTCAAGGACAACTTTCCCTGACTCTGTTATGAACCAAGAATAAAAATGATATATTTAGGATCACTCAATTGGGCCTCTGAGGCAGAAAGTAGAGATTTTGGTGATAAGAATTAAAGGGAGAGAATCAAAAGTTTTTATCTTTTAATGTACCTGCTCACAGTTCAAGGTAACTTCATCAAACCATCGAGGAGTAGTAAAACAATTCACATGAAGAGAAGGGATTCTGCATTAAATTTTAGGTAGTAATGAAGAATGAGAATTTTCTTGGCATGTTCCTAGTGCACATACACCTTGGGGACTAAGCCTGATAAGTAATAGAAGGCAAGAATGGGATTTGGGCCCATCTCTTCTCTGGAGATCCAGGTGGAATATAACAGCAGCCTATAAATTAAGACTAAGAGTAAGGCAGAGCCAGAGTCCAAGAGGCCTAGATGTAATAAAGACAAATATGTCTCTTTATTAAAAATAAGTACAGTAAGGACTTTGTCTCCGAACCAGGCAGGAGAAACTCAGTTACTAGAGCTAGGATGTAAGATCAGAGCCAGATTATCACGAAAGCTGACCCTTCTGATGGTTAGGTCCCTGAGCACTGAGAATCTTAGATAAAGGAAATCAATTCAGTTAAAGGGAGAAGAGGGCTGCTACCTGGGCAGGGAACCAGGTAGCCTCTGACAAGTCTGGAATGGGATGGATAGTTCTCTCACCTTATTCCTAATTTGTAGAACCCTAAAGACGTACAGCATTATGTTAATTACTCAACTCTAGTTCATATTAAATTGCTTATTCTTAAAATGATTGACCAGGGCAGCAAAGTGCCTGAGTACAGTCATGTGCCACATAATGACGCTGGTCAATGATGGACCACGTATATGACAATGGTCCCATAAGATTATAATACTGTATTTTGACTGTACCTTTTCTATGTTTAGATACACAAATACCATTGTGTTACAATGCCCATAGTATTCAGTACATTAATATGCTGTGCAGGTTTATAGCCTAGGAGCAATAAGCTATACCATCTAGCTAGATGTGTAGCAGGCTATAGATCTAGGTTTGTGTAAATACACTCTATGATGACACAGACATACACAATGACAAAATCACCTAATGACGCATTTCTCAGAATGTGTCCCTGTTGTTAAGCGATGCATGACTGTGTATGTTTGTGTGTATGGGAATGAGATGGACAGCAAATCTTGCTAACTTAGTAAATTATACTAATAAGATTAATAACAATTATGAACTAAAAACTCAAATTGTGAACTGCATCTATCAGTACCTTTGGTTCTGGTTGGGTTGTATGTCACATCTTTTCAGAGTAAATGACTTCATATGAATTCCAGTGAGAATATTTTTTCTTGTTGACTGCCACACAATGATAAACTTATACCAACTAAACATGGAAGTTTCAAATGAAAACAAGGATAATAACTTAGAAAATGAAAACAAATCTTTATTTCTAAAAATTCTTAAAAGAGCCCTTACAAGATAACTTTAGAGCCAACAGGTTTTGCATTTTGTTTAGATGGATTAGGCTGCAAAGTAAATGCAATTTCAATTGCTTAATTTATTTTATTAGTTTATTTATTTATTTTTGAGATGGAGTTTTACTCTGTCACCCAGGCTGGAGTGCAGTGGCATGATGTCAGCTCACTGCAACCTCTGCCTCCCAGGTTCAAGCAATTCTCCTGTCTCAGCCTCCCAAGTAGCTGGGACTACGGGTGCATGCCACCATGCCTGGCTAATTTTTGTATTTTTAATAGAAACGGGGTTTCAGCATATTGGTCAGGCTGGTCTCAAACTCGGCCTCAGGTGATCCACCCATCTTAGCCTCCCAAAGTGCTGGGATTACAGGCTTAAGCCACTGCGCCCAGCCTAGTTGCTTCATTTATTTAGTCCACATTTTATTTATGATAGTACAAGTGTATGGTTGGTGGCTGTCGACCTAAATTTACTAGAATCCCCTTTTCTGCATGTTTCTGGTTAGGCTAGGCCACAAAATATATTCTTTTGTAAGACTTGGAGAGCAGAAATGAAGCAGCAGTCATTTTGTAGTTCACATGTATGGTTGCTTACTGGTTGGCTCACTTCATTGGTGTAAGTCAGCAGCTGAGCCTGCAACTGCTCATTTTCTATTGGATCCTCCTTCTACTTCTCTGACTCTTGGTAAAGTGTGTGCATTTAGCTCCTTAATGAGGGACTCTGGCTTCTGAAGAACATCCATACCATCAAATGAGAGATAACTTGGGTTTCAGGTTGTGCTCATAAACTATGGCTTATACTTCTGGTTACCAGCTTGTCATGAAGTTCCTCCATCTTCCCTTTCTGATTCCCCGCTCTGTGGACTTTGAGCTCCAGCATCAGATGTAAAGATAACTGCCTTATATAAAGAGACAGTTTAACCAGCTTTCACAATTGGATAGGGTTTAATCTTTGTAACAAATTGCCATATATTATATCTCTTTCCATCTCTAGCTTCATTCTAGTAGTTTTGATTTTCTTCTTGAACTCTGACTGATAGAGAATTGGGACAGTGACAATACAAAATGAAAACAGATCTTTTGACCACCCCACCCCCCACCTCAATTGTATTGTCAGGAAGCAGGTTGAGAAAATTACACAACCGTTCATGGAAAAAGATGGGTGGCTCAGAGGGAAGAACGAAGAGCAGAGGATAAGTTATTTCCAGGTGGGAAGAGAACTGTGTCCTAATCAAATAACTTGCCACATTTTCCTGGTTGGGCTTCAGAATTGCTCTGGACCAGTGATCTTTGTATACTTCCTATTCTCCCCACCCCTTTGAACAGGAATGTCTGTAGTGGTTATCCTATGAGTGTCTCCTATCGTATGTTGAATATGTGGGGACAAGATAACTTGTCTTTGTACTACATAGATCTTTAGTTTGAGATATCTGTACTCAACGAGCTGTCTATATATATATATATATATATGTTTTTTTTTTTTTTTTTGAGACGGAGTTTTGCTCTTGTTGTCCAGGTTGGAGCGCAATGGCACGATCTAGGCTCACCACAACCTCCAGCTCCCAGATTCAGGTGATTCTCCTGCCTCAGCCTCCTGATTAGCTAGGATTACAGGCGCACGCCACCACACCCGGCTAATTTTTTGTATTTTTAATAGAGACGAGGTTTCTCCATGTTGGTCAGGCTGGTCTCGAACTCCCGACCTCAGGTAATCCGCCTGCCTCGGCTTCCCAAAGTGCTGGGATTATAAGCGTGAGCCACTGCACTGGCCTCAAAGAGCCGTATTTAAGGAATTAAACCAGAGGAGCACCATCCACACCTGAGCTTCATTTAAATGATGAGATTCTGGACTTTGAGACTATGCGACAATGGGATGAGACTTTGCAAGTGGCTTTGGGAGGGGATCGGTGTATTTTTGCATGTGGGAGGGATGTGAACCATTGGGCGTCAGAGGGATTACTATGATAGCCAGCTTCCAATGTGGCCCCCAATGATCTCTACCTCCAGTATTCACAGCCTTATGTAGTCCCTTCCCCCTTTTCAGCAGGCTTGGTCTGTGTTACCAATTAAATATGGCAGCAGTAAAGTCATGTCACTTTTGAAATTAAGTCATAAAGATATTGCAGCTTCTGTCTTGGTTGCTCTGTCTTGTGGATTAATTGCTTTGGGAAGCCAGTTGTCATATCATGAGGATACTCATGCAGCCTTATGGAGAAGTCCATGTTGTGAACAAGTGAGGCTTTTTTCTAACAGACAAAGAGGAATGGAGGACTCTAGTCAGCAGTCCTGTAGATGAGCCATCATCAAATCAGATTCTCTAGCCATGGTCAAGTCTTCAGGTGACTGCAGTTCTTATGAGAGACTCTGAGCCAGAGTCATCTAGCTAAGCTGCTCATGTATTCCTAACCACCAGAAACTGTGAGATACTGTTTGTTTTAAGCTACTCAATTTTGTTATTCAGCAATAGATAGCTAATATAATGCCTAAGTATAAATATAATCTTTCTTCCACATGCCTATGAAAGCCAAATAAAAATGAAGATGAGAGGCTGAGAAAAGTAAATTGTGTTTGGCTTACTTTCTATTTTTCTTCGGTGCTCTTTTAGCTTCTCTTAAACCTAGGCCTGTGGGAAAATACTTATTCAGTGCCCCTAAGCTAATTTTGAAGAACATAAGAAAGGCAGTTAGCTTCAGTTATAGGGATATATACATATATCTTTGAACTGGAGGATCTACTTTTGGGAAGACAAATCATAAGATTTTATCAGAGTCTAGTCTCTCCTTTGTAGAATGGTAGGGAGGCCATTACCTCTCTTAGGTTGAGATTTAAAGTTACATTTATTATTCTTTTTTTTCAACCTAATATGACTAGTTTAAAGAATGTAAAGTATGATTTGATTTACTTCTTGGTTTTTGTTATGGAAACAAGAGAAATAAGAATGTATTTCTCCTAACTTCTCTTTATTACACTTTCCATCTTATAATCAATTTCAATAACTTTAACAATAAACAGTAAAAATGATAGACTATACAAAGCATTGCCCAAGTGAATCTATCATGGACCTGTGTCTGAGAATGGCTTCCTAAATAGGGAAAATGTGTTTCACACAAAAAGTCCATTTTCTGTTATTGCCTTTTTTTATTTGGACTATGAGATGCTATATATTTTAAGGTAATCTTAATAGTTTCCTGTCTCTCACTAACAAGAATGACTTGTCATAATGAGCAGTGTAGACACTGTCCATTTGATCCACTCCAGAAAGCTGTCTATTTGATACAAGAGCAAATCACCTCAATTCCTTAGTGGAATGAGTGGAGTATAAGTAAATAAATGAGACACAGGAATTTAAAAACAGGTTCAGTTCTATCAGAAGGAAACAAAGGATTGGGACATTTGGAAACCTGGTTTAATAAAAAATGTGACAAGACAAAGAATTATGTGTGATAACTGTAGAAGGAGGAAGAATCCTCCCTAATATAAAATGTCCATGAAATAGTTGTTTTCTTCTTTAGGAAGGAAGATAATTTTGTAGCTTAAGAAAAATAGTTCTCAATTCTTTGAAGTTGGAAGACGTATATTGTAAAATGACTATTTATTTACTTTTACCTCCACCAAAAACAATTCAAATTTTCAGTGCTCTTTCTATAATTCATCACATTTTAAAATCTGGGTAGGAATTTCAGATTCCATTTTGGGGAATGGGTTTGTTTGCAGGGGTGTCTTTTTTTGTTGTTATTTTTGCATGTTTTACTTCAGCCGTAAAGTTTTTGTCTTTTATTTGTTTGTTTGTTTTGAGAGGCAAGATACAGACTCGAAAATGCTCTATTTTTTCTTTTATAACTAGTTTACTTTTATCTCAGAGAATTACACAAAAATGTCATACTGCATTTGACTTTCTAATTTTTTATTAGACTGTCTGAAGTGTTTTTGATGAACTATTAATAAAGTTGTTATTCTGTGTTAGGTTTAGGGTTCCAGCTGAGGATGAAAGATAAGTTACAACAAATTTTGTGCCCTGTAGGAGCTGGGAAGTAGCAAAGTGATTCTTAAAATGAAATTTCATGATGTCTTGCATTCACCTATGAGGACTTTTTTTTTTCAGTGCCAGGGTCTTGCTCTGTTGCCCCACGCTGGAGTGCAGTGGCGCAATCTCGGCTCACTGCAATCTCCACCTCCCAGGTTCTAGCAATTCTCTTGCTTCAGCCTCCCGAATAGCTGGGACTACAGGTGCATGCTACCACGCCCAGCTAAGTTTTTGTATTTTAGTAGAGATGGGGTTTCACCATGTTGTTCAGGCTGGTCTCAAACTTCTGAGCTCAGGCAATCCACCCACCTCAGCCTCCCAAAGTGCTAGGATTACAGGCATGAGCTACAGCTGAGGATTGTTTAACACGCAGATTCTCAGGCCCCACCCTAAAAAGACTGACTCAGAATCTCTGGGGATGGGATTTGAGAATTCACAATGTAATAGGTTCTCTCTGTGATTCTAATGAAAACTATAGTTTGATCTAGTGAAAGTTGGAGGGTAAAGGAATAAACAATTTACAATGTGACTGGAGCCCAGGAACAATGTAAGATATAATAGTAACTTCTAGGAAAGAGCCACTATCTCTACCAAGGGAAATCTAAGTGAAGGCTTAATATAGAAGCTGACATTTGCGTGGTTTTGAAAACGTGCCTTGCCAAGCAGAGATGGAGGGTGTGGCAGGGGGCATCTCAATGACTCATGTTGTCAATGATATTTTCACTAAGAGAAATACACAGTGTATACTCACTAAATGCTTTGCCTAGGAAGTTTCTGTCTGAAGCCTTCCTCCTCAGCCTCTATTCTGTGTTCTTCAGGGATTTCAGCGACTTCATTTTCGTTGATGGTTCCGCACCAGGTTTTGAGGGATTTTAATGGTTAAGAGGCACTTGAATGTAATAAATATGTATATACGTACATATATGTAATAAATACATGAGTGTATACACACACACACACACAAACAGGCATACCTCACAGATTTTCCAGGTTAGGTTCTAGACCAAACCAATAAAGCAACTATTGCAGTAAAGTGAGTCACACAAATACTTTGGTTTCCCAGTGCATATAAGCATTATGTTTACTGTAGTTTATTAAGTATGCAGTAGCATTATGTCTGGAAAAATAACTAACACACCTACTTAAAAATACTTTATTGCACCTGGGCATGTCGGTACATTCCGGTAGTCCCAAGCCACTCAGGAGGCTGAGGTGGGAGGATCCTTTGAGCCCAGGAGTTCCAGGCCAGTCTGGGCAAACATAGAGAGACCTCCATCTCTAAAAAACCCCCAAAACTTTATTGCTAAAAAATGATAATGATCATCTGAGTCTTCAGCATGTTATCTTTTTTCTGGTGGAGGGTCTTGCCTCAATGTGAATGGCTGCTGACTGATCAGGGTGGTGATTGCTGAAGGCTGGGATGGCTGTGGCAATTTCTTAAAATAAAACAAAAATGAAATTTGCTGCCTTGAGAGACTCTTCCTTTCATGAACGATTTCTCTGTGGCATGTGATGTTGTTTGCTAGCATTTTACCCACAGTAGAACTTCTTTCAATACTGGAGTCAATCCTCTCCAACCACTGCTTTATCAACTAAGTTGACGTAGTATTCTAAATCCTTTCTTATTATTTCATCAGTATTCACAGCATCTTCACTGGAGTAGATTTCATCTCAATAAACCACTCTCTTTGCTCATTCATAAGAAGCAACTCCTCATACCTCCAAGTTTTACCATGAGATTGCAGCAGTTCAGTCACATCTGCAGGCTCCACTTCTAACTGTAGTTCCCTTGCTATTTCCACCACATCCTCCACTGGTCTTGAACCCCTCAAAATCATCCCTGAGGGTTGGAATCAACTTCTTCCAAACTCCTGTTAATGTTGGACATTTTGACCTCTTCCCATGAATCATGAATATTCTTAATTGCATCTAGAATGGTGAACCTTTTTCAGAAGGTTTTCAATTTACTTTGCCCAGATATATTAGATAAATGACTATCTATGGCAACTATAGCCATATAATATATATATATATGTATATATATATGTATATATAGGTATATATATGTATATATATGTATATATATATGTGTGTATATATATATGTATATATATGTATATATATGTGTGTATATATATATATATATATTTTTTTTTTTTTTTAAGATAGGGTCTCATTTGTGGCCCAAGCTGGAGTTCACTGGCACAGTCATACCTCCCTGTAATCTTGAACTCCTGGGCCCAAGGGATCCTTACATCTCACCTTCATGAGTAGCTAGGACTACAGGCACACACCACCACACCTGGCTAATTATTCTTTTTTTTTTTTTTTTTTTTTTTTTTTTTGTAGAGATGGGGTGCCACTATGTTGCCCAGGCTGGTCTTGAACTCTTGGCCTCAAGTGATCCTCCTGCCTCAGCCTCCCAAAGTGCTGGGATTACAGGTGTAACCCACCATGGCCAGCCATGAAATGTATTTTTTAAATAAGACTTGAAAGTTGAAACTACTCTTTGATCCATGGGCAGCAGAATGGATGTGGTACTAGCAGGCATGAAAACATTAATCTTCTTGTATATCTCCATCAGAGCTCTTGGGTGACCAGGTGCATTGTCAATAAGCAGCAATATTTTGAAAGGCATCTTTTTTTCTGAGCAGTAGATCTCAACAGTGTGCTTAAAATACTCAGTAAATCATTCTGTAAACAGATGTGCTGTCATCCAGGCTTTGTTGTTCCACTTATAGAGCACAGGCAGAGTAGATTTATCATAATCCTTAAGGGCCCTAGGATTTTCAGAATGGTAAATGAGCATTGGCTTCAACTTAAAGTCAGCAGCTGAAATAGTTCCTAAGAAGAGAATCAGCCTGTCCTTTGAAGCTTTGAAGCCAGGCATTGACTTCTACTCTATAGCTACGAAAGTCCTAGATGGCATTGTTTTCCAATAAGTGTTGTTTCATCTACACTGAAACTCTTTGTTTAGTATAGCCACCTTCATCAGATATCTTAGCTAGATTTTTTTTTTTTTTTTTTTTTTTTTGAGATGGAGTCTCGCTCTGTCGCCCAGGCTGGAGTATAGTGGCGCAATCTTGGCTCACTGCAAACTCTGCCTCCTGGGTTCACGCCATTCTCCTGCCTCAGCCTCCCGAGTAGCTGGGACTACAGGCGCCTGCCACCACACCCGGCTAATTTTCTTTTTTTTTTGTATCTTTTTTTTAGTAGAGACGGGGTTTCACTGTGTTAGCCAGGATGGTCCCGATCTCCTGACCTCATGATCCGCCCGCCTCATCCTCCCAAAGTGCTAGGATTACAGGCATGAGCCACTGCACCTGGCCTTAGCTAGATCTTTTTGATAACTTGCTGCAGCTGCTTCACCAGCATTTGCTGCTTCACCTTACAATTTTATGCTCTGAAGATGGCTTATTTCCTTAAACATCATGAACCAACCTCTGCTAACTTCCAACTTTTCTTCTGCAGCTTCTTTACCTCTCAGCCTTCGTAGACTTGAAGAGAGTTAGGGCCTTGCACTCGATTAGGCGTTGGCTTAAGGGAATGTTATGTCTGGTTTGATCTTCTATCCAGAACATGAAAACGTTTCTTTACCAGCAATAAGCCTCCTTCGCTTTCTTATCATTCGTGTGTTCACTGGAGTAGCATTTTTACTTTCCTTCAAGGACTTTTCCCTTGCATTCACTACCTGGCTGTTTGGTGCAAGAGCCCTAGCTTTTGGTCTGTCTCGGCTTTCAATATGCCTTCCTCACTAAGCTTAATCATTTCTAGCTTTTGATTTAAAGTAAGCTTTTGATTTAAAGTAAAATGATTCTTTTACTGGAACACTCAGAGGCCATCGTAGGGTTATTAATTGGCTTAATGTCAATATTGTTGTGTCTCAAGGAATGGGGAGGCCCAAGAGAGGGAGAGATATGGAGGAAGGTATAGGGTTGGTAGAGCAGTCAGAACACACACATTTATGGATTACAGTCGCTGTCTTATATGGGTGCTGTTTGTGATGTCCCAAAGTAATTATAATAGTAACTTCAAAGATCACCATAACATATACAATAATAATGAAAAAGTTTGAAATATTGTTAGAATCACCAAAATGTGACAGAGACATGAACTGAGCACATGCTTTTGGAAAAATGGCGCCCACAGATTTGCTTGATGCAGGGTTGCCACAAACCTTCAATTTGTTAAAAAATGCAATATCTGGGAAGCACAAAGATGTATGCCTGTTAAAGGTTTTAAAGAAGCCATTTTTTTTAAAAGAGAAAACTTTTAAGAAGCTTTACAGATAGAAGACAGTAAGTATTTGTTGACTAAATGGTCAAGTTGGAGTGAGCAGATTTTATAATTTTATTCTACTAACCACCACCAGCAATTTTATTTTTGATGCTTGTAGATGGACAGTGGTGCCAATGTCTATTCGGCCTTCTGTTTTTTTGTTTTGTTTTGTTTGTTTTTTCCTGCCAAAGGACGGTGCTTAGAACTTCCCAGTCTTCCTTGTAGTGGGGAAAATCTGTCACCCCAAGGATACGAATTAGGTAGAAAAGTAATGTAAGAGCCAATCACAACGCGCGCTCCGGAGCGGCTCCAGACTGGCTTCGCCCGGACGACTGGCGGAAGACGAGACTTCGTTACCTCCGTTCAATCGGACAAAGAAGGCCATAATAGTTTAGGACAAGAGAAAATTCCTTGTGGGTTAAACTGCGGTGGGACTGACTGTTACGCAGAAGGCGTAATCGCAAAACTTGTATACACTCTGTATCATGGATACATTATTTTCTGGAATCCTGCAGAAACGATCAGCAGTTGTGATGGCACCAGTACCGAAAATGGCTGTAAGGCGCTCCGGACGCTGGATCAGGTGACGCAGCATCAGGTGACGCAGCCTCAGTCCGCCCCCTTCCCACCAGTGGCTCCTCCTCCTGCTTCCCGGCGTAGCGGTGGGCGTGGCTTGCCCACAGGCTCTTTCTTCTGGGGCCGGGAAAACCGAGGAATACACATGCGCAGTTGGACCCCTCAGGCCCTTCGTGTCCCTTCCCACCCATCTCCCCGCCCCGGCCCTCTGGGCGGGGCTGGGCCGACAGTCCAGCTGCAGCTCGCTGGAGATTCAGTGACTTCCTTGTTGTGAGCCCCGGCCCGGCAGTGTCCCGACTCGTAGCCCCGCTGTTCTTAATCCGGGCCGCTAGCCTGAGTCTAGGTCGCAGCCGCAGCCCCACCCCGTCGGTCACCTTTTCAGCGCAGGTCCTTTCCCCGCACGCCCTGCGCTCCCTAACATGCCCAACCCCAGCAGCACCTCCTCTCCCTACCCCCTCCCTGAGGAAATTAGGAACCTGTTGGCAGGTAAAGAGCGGGAAGGCGGCGATAATGCTGTCGGGGCGGGGGCGAGGGAACGGTGAGCCGGTGGGGACAGAAGCATTCAGAGCCCTTATCCTCCCTCCCCGCGCTTCCCACGTCTTCTAGCCAGTGGGGTCGGCACAGGGAGGAGAGGAGAGGGGTTGTTTTGTCTCAGAAAGGGAGTGGACGTGTGTGTTGAAATTTGGTGCGGGGATGGTGGCGAAGCCCTTTTTGGTGATCTACACAAATGGGATCAGGACGTTTCTATGTGCATTGTGAAGACGGTGTGTGTGTGTGTGTGTGTGTGTGTGTGACAGAAGGGCGGGGGAGGAAGAGTGGAAGAGGGAGAGAGAATGATAATGATAATGAATGCTGCGTGAGCAAGCAGAAGGGAGCAGAAGTCAAATAAGTAGTTCTTGGGTGGTCTGGCCAATGGAGGTAGAGGATGTAGAGATGCAAAGAGCTGTCAGAGCCACAGGTGTTAGGGGTTATGGGGTGAAAGAGTTTGTCATTTCTAAAACTCCCGTTTTTCTTAAACATTCAGCTCACTCACGTTTAAGACTTTTGAAGAAGGTCTGGTTCTCAAATGGCCACTTGTCCCCAGCCTCAGTAATATATTAAAGCAAAAAAGGAAGGATATGTTAAAGTTCTACTTCCTGTGTGACACGATGAAAGTACTTCATCTTTGTACCCTTATCTTCCCTTTTTCAGTTTTACATTACCATTTATAGGAACTTATTTTAGGAGCTAAAAACGTGGTTCTTCAGTAGCATTATGAATCCACTACTAGTTCATTAATTTACTGGATACGGAGGTGTGTATGTTCACTAAGAACCAATAATTTATATTTCTGTACAAGGTAGAAAATATATGTTTTTAAGGTAGCACAAATCTTACCTATCTCAATGTTCTGGAATTTCAACCATCATTTATTTTGTCTTGTGTACGTCAGAATTCTGGAAACTGAATTTTGATTTTTAGTTTTAGATGTCTATAAAATATTTATCTCTCAGTATTGCTTATGAATAACTAGATTACAGATTGCTTATTCTAGCTCTTAAAAAGCAATGTCATCTAAAATGTGACATTTGATGACACATTTTATATGTTACTCCTATAGCAATGTGAGTCCAAATCTCCTAATATTCTGTCATTCAATTTTGGTGCTTGGCATTATTAATATGGTAGTGTAATATTAAGTGTATGAATGTAGACTTATGTTTGTATGATTATGGTACAGTATGTTGAATGCATTTGTGGTGGGATAGTCTTTCACTCTAAGAAATGCTTGTTGTCATTAACGGGTACCACTAAGGGAAATAGTTAAAGAAGTCTAAAGACTGACTTCAGGCAGCTTTATTGCATCACATGACTACTGATTTTGTTTTACTACACTTAACATTTTTTGTTTTTACAATGCTGGAATTGTTTGTTCAGAATATTATTGTAATAACCAGCGCAGAAAAATGTTTATCATTATTCCAAAAATAGATGAAACCATTTTCAGGATATTCTATGTCTGTATTTTTGAATTTAAGAAATAACATATAGACCTCTGGGTGCATGTTTTAAAGCTTGGTACCTCCCATAGTACAGTTTGTTATTTGGATCCATAATCATAAATCACAGATAATATGATATGTAGGTCATGAGAACCTTTATTCTCTTATCCCCATAGATCACAAGTATTTCCTGTGGCCCTTATTTGTGTAATTTAACTAAAAACTCAAAATTACATATTTAAATTATCTGCCAATGCTAACTTCCAATATATTTCTGCCTTCTCTCTTTAGTCAGGTAATATACTAGCATAGCATCTGAAATTATTTTAAGTCATTTTATTGACATTTTCACTATTTTATATTATTAAAGCAAATCACATATTAAAACACACATGAAGTATTAAAAAATATTACAATTAAAACTTTTGGAATTGGAAATTTGGATTACACTTTATTTTCAGAGGATATTTTCAAGAAGTATGGAAGTGAGTTGGGGCGTATTTATGTTTAAAGAAATTTAACAAATCAGTGTTTTTCAGGTTTTAAAAAAACTTATTTGGAAAGTTGCTAACATTTTATGTTTGACTGTAATTAAAATCTTTTTTGAGGTAGAGAACGCTTCAAGAATAGATGCTGTCAGCAATTGTTTCATGTATTTCATCTAAAAATATTGTTAGCATTGTACATGATTCTTTTCATAATTCAAGTGTATTGGGTAATAGTATATGACTAGATTTAGAGTAACATTATAGAAGTATTTATATTGGTTTGAATATTAGAGATATTGCTGGCTTATTTAGTCTATTTCTTTGAAACTGAGGAGATATTGGTAATGGTGTTGTAGTTAACAGTTGAGTGCTCTTAGAATGCATGGTACTATGCTAGAATTCCAAGGTAGAGAAGATAAGGAACTAAACTTTTCAGGGGTTTAAAGTCCTTTGTTTTTAGAAAGAAGAATATATAATCAAAAGATAATGACTGTTAAAATAATGTTGCTTAGATGTATCTGTTTGTGTTCCATATGCCTATTAAACTAAATCATTATATGTCATATGTACTGTTTGAAATTTCACCTGCTTAAAAGGGATAGGTACTCAAGTGTATTCTTATTTATTATTTTTCTTTCTCTTTATTTTTCTGTCTGATTATGGCAGTTCTATGCTATACTTTCAACATTTGTTCCCTCTCCCTTTTTCCTTCCCCTATAAAAACCATTCCATAGAAATGTAAAAAAAAAAAAAAAAAAAAAAAGAGGTTGTTATTGTTAACTCACATGTGTTGTGTAAAGATACCATTGAAAAAGTGGCTATCTAGTTTGATTTTTAGTTATATTTTCTGTGGAGTCAGTCTTGAAGACCTATGCTTTTTATAAAATGTTGATTATTCTTTTGGTTATATGAACAGAAAAGGACTTACAGAATTTCGTTGTTGAAAGCAAATTTTGAGCTGCCATATGCATTACAGGCAACCTTTGATTTTTTTCTTTTCTACAACAATGGAAAAACAGGTTTAGCCTGGATAATTGAAATCAAAGGACAATCCCAAATCTTGTCCATTTAATCTTCTCTCACATCCAAATATTTTGACTAGGACTAGCAGCAAGAATAATCTTGATTTATGTGATTTTTTTTTTTCTCTAGACAGGCAAGAAAGTAAGAGGAACTAGAACCACTTCCCTCCAGCCTCCTTCATTTGTTTAATCACCCTTTAAATAATGGTTTGTTAGTGGCTTGCAATCAGACCTTCTCATTCATCCTCATTCATTTGTTTTAGGACAACAAATTTTAAAAGGAAAGCTCTAAGAAGATGTTATTTTCTGTTTACTAAATTAGCAAATGAAACCATTGTTAAAAGAAGAAAATAGTGATTGTTAGTGCTCTGAAAAATCAAACCAAACCAAACAAACAATAAATAAGTGATCTTGAGGTTTTGTTCACATGGCACTCTTGATTAGAAATACCACATTTTCCCTACTGGGAATTTTTAGAACATTAGAAAATTTTTTCCCACACATTGATTATAATGTGTGAATATTTTTTTCACACAATATTATTTAGGGTATGTAATCAGTCCCCTAAAGGGATTCCTGTAGGGGCACTAGGTGAAGAGTGCAATTTATTTGAAATAGAGGCAGAATTTTTTCAATGCTGAGTATATTACGGTTTAATTTCCACCTTTCCAAAGTTCCATTTATAATTTGGTCAACATTTTGGTTTTATTTTTCCTATGAGAATTATTTATGGTGTATCTAGTGTCCCATAACTTCCTTCTGGGACATTGGCTGAGTATGTAAAGGGAAGAGTGCCACCTACTGAGTCACCAATAGTCACCTACCTCCTTAGCACCTGGGTTTTCCTATGGAGCAAGAACAAGCCTGCCCCATTTGGGCAGCAATCACTAAAGAGCATAAAGTTGATATGAGAACATTTAATCTCAAAATGAAATCTATCGTACCTCCAAGATATTCTTTTCTAGAAATAGGAATATATGTAAATTAAGGGACTAGAGGTTTACAGAGTTTTTTGTATGGGCTAAATAATATAGATGAATTAAGATGTGGTGTTAGGAAAATTATTTGCCTATTTTAAGTATATAATGTCCTGCTTTTTCTTGGGAGGAGATCTTTTGGCATGGCTGTCCATTGAAAGTATTTTCATCTCATTACTATATAAGGCTCTTGATACTACGTACAGTTTTTATAGCTACCCAATCCAAATTATCATTGGTTTTCTTCAAAAAGAAGAATCTAAACATATTAAAAAATTAGCATTATATGAAAAATTTGCAAATGGGCTTATTGCTCCTGTTACCAGCATTAAAGTATTACTAGAAAGAAGGTAGACACAACAGAGTAGGAAAAGCTGCTGGTGATTTGAAACACAGTTTAGTTGTCTCATAAATTTCAGATTAAGTGTCATATATGGGTGATAAAAGTGGCATAGGCTAGATTTTATATACTCATGATTCACTTAGTTTGTCTTTTTCAATTAAAGCTAAGTCTCTTTTTCATTCCACTGAATTTACATTTCTTTTTCAATCACATTCTGAACACATTACAATAGATGCTGCCTAAAACTGAATATAGTGTAAATCTCAGACTAATGTGTTATTCACTGTGGCTTCTTTGAAAATATGTAGTAAAAAGATTTTGATTATTGTAAGGTGCTATTTATCAAGAGTCATCTTTTAGGGTTGAAAGATGTTCAGCCCTACCTTTAAACAGCCCAGCTTTCTATCAAAATACATCATTTAGCTTCCCAAAGTCAATTTTGGAAATTTTGTCCAATGATTGGATTGTAAGACTCTGGTATTTTTTACCCATTGTACCATGAGAGCTCTTGTGCCAGTTCATGTCACCTTTTCCATGTTTGAAAAGTCCACAGTTCATCTGTAACCTGTAAAAGTGCTAAGTAATCAGGGAAAGACATCAGTTAGAACAATCAATAACTTTTCAATTAGCCATTTTCCAACTTTGGGCATTTGGCTCTGTTGATTTGCATGTGCCCAGTTTAATTGATTTTTATGTTTATCAGTACCTGTTTGGTCAGAGCCATACCCTGCTTTAACAGAGAAGAGCATGTCTTTTTTTTTTTTTTTTCCTGATGGTAGCTTACATTCTAGGGTAGGATCCCTATCATATTAAGTTTGGTGACAGCACATCTCAATGAAAGCAGAGAGAAATCTGGCCCAATTCACAATGTAGAGAGAGATGTGGAATTAAGTTAGAAAGGCCATGGGGGTGCTGTGTGATTGGTTTTACCTTTATTTTATTGATCTGCGGCTAAGCATATGGTGGTAGATTCAGCCCAATTCTTGCGCCCTCCCCCTCCCCCATACAATTCAGGCCATCACAGAGGCTGAGTGTGTGTATATGCATGGGCCAGGAGGTATTGGGTGGTTGGAGGACTAGGCAGGAAGAGGAGGTGTTACCTTTGTGACTTGTTTTTAACCTCCAGTATGCAAGCCCTATTCTAGGCTGTTTGATAGTCGGGGGTGGTGAGGACAAGTGGCCAAACTGCTTTTCAAGAGTGGGAATCTGTGCTAGATACTACATCCAGAAGCTGAGAGTTACTTTATCATTTGCAAAAAAATTTAAACTGTTCTGACCTGGTGTAGTTCCACCTTTTCACTATGTGATCTGTGTAGAAGTTGGCAGAAAGCAGTTAGTGTGTGTGTGTTAGATACTTGTCCCAACCACTTGCGACTCCAGGGAAAGGTGGGGTGGCTGTTTTTTAGGAGGTCTATATGTTAAAAGGGGGGAAAAAGGAAGATTGGAGTACTATTCAGTGATTTGGTGTGTTTGCCTCTTAGGGGTCTCCATGGCAATTGAGAGATTTCTAACTTAAACTGCTCAAGATTGCTGAGCCAGTATACGTCAACTTTTAATTTTGTTTTCAGACCTTAACATTTATCGACAGAGCAGTTGTAAATCTGATCTTTTCAGAGGCCTTCTCCCCCAGATCCTTACAGCTGTACCGTGAGATAAGGTTTACTCTTGACAGTGTTAAGGTGTATTAGGAGCTAAAATCCCATCACGTTTACTTTCACCAGGATAACTTTTTCCTGCTGATGACTTGGGCTGGGGTGGAGGCTGATGGAGATAGGGGTAATTCTGGGGTTAAATGCAAGCAGTGTAGACTCTGCAGTCTATTTGGCTGCCGGCCCGGAGGCAGGAGATGGGGGTGGGTGGGGGTAGTTAGACCTGGTAGTTAAACCCTTTCCCGCGGGCGCAGAGTGGGCCTCCCACGCTTCTCTCCCGTGGCCAGTATGCGTGAGAGTGTGAGTTGAGCCCCTGCCTCCGAGGAAGAATTCTAAAAACCGGGCTAAGGGTCGAGCGAGGGAGGCTGACCTTTTCTTGTTATCAAATTACTGCGTTTCCCTGAATTACGGGCACTCAGGAATGGTGAAATCTACATATTAACCGAGGAACACGACCCTCAAAGGAAGGTAGAAGAAGGCTAACGCTCTTGCTAGTTTACTGTGCTTGCTAGTTTACCGTTTGCAGGGCTATTTAGAGCACAATAAGAAGCTTCAAATCTCTTCTCCAACCAGCCAGAGGAACACTTGATTCGCCCAAGACTCTTATTGCTTGCTTTTGAAATATTACCCTGGCTCTGAGCTACAAAGCCACAGATCCAGCCCCATTTGTCTAGTGAGGGCTCTGCCCCAGACCCGGCTCTCCATGCTCACTGCTCCGCCTGAGAGGAACCCTGGGGTTTAACGCTGAAGTGCGTTTCTCAGAGGGCAGAGCTGGAGCATCTCGCAGCCCTACAACTTCTTTGCGGCGCTTGGTCTGTCTTTGCGTTGCGAGATCAGGATCGGTGTGTTGCTCAGACACCGGCCGAACGCCACCGGCACGTCTAGGAGTCTCCTGTGCCTGGAAGAGGCTGGTTTCATTCGATTCTAAAAGAAACGGGTAAAGTGTAGATTTTAAGAAATAACCTAGATTTCAAAAGCTTAAAAACCAACCAAGTTTGGTTGTGGACAGTCAACAAACTAAAATTATTTCGGGAACTGCTTCCAGTTTAAAGTTTTTTTTTTTTTTTTTTTTTTTTTAAGCAAAGCAGTTTCTACTCTCTCCACATCACCTTTGAGAAATAATCACGAAAAAGTCACTGTTTATTAAATAATTTTAGTTGCTTTAAACCTTTTCTGGGAAAAGCTTAGGAATAAGTATATTAAAAAAGGCTACTCTAAAAAAAAAAAAAAAAAGACCATACCCAATCTCTGAATTTCTGGCATCCTTGAAAAATACCGATTCTTCCTACAGTCCCACACTCTTTCAAAAAAAACTTTGTCATAAAATAGTAACATGGATCAGTATTTTAAAAACATGTTTGGGGGCGTTAGAGGGCACTATGTAGAGTGTTTATTGCAGCCTTTTTTTTTTTTTTCTGAATTTTTATAAAACTGAAATGACCTTTTAAAGAAAAAAACTCTTGGGGGCAATTCATTGTTATTACTTCCAGTGATAGAAAATAGATTGTTTGTTTAAACTTGGATTGTATAATGAAAATATAAAATAGGCAATTAAATACTCATGGAAGAGGAAATCAAAGGCAAACATTGAGTGAAAATAACATTAAGCAGACTATTCCCCAGTCATTGGGCCAGTGATTCTTCCTATTGAGTCTGGTTGGAAGACGAATCAGCAGTAGGGATGTTGCTTCTTCCCTTATTCCACTTTCTTGCAAAAGTTACTGTAATGATCTCAGGGGAGCCAGTGATCTTTTCCATTTCAGCTAATATCGAAATATCCAAAGGTTGCTTGCTGTTCTGGGCACAAAATTTAAAGCTTTTAGAGCAACATGCTTCTTCATAAGTTTTGTTATTTTGAATTCACTTTAGAAGTCTGTGTCTAATTTGCACTGGTACTAGATTATGTCTCTATGTCCCCCACATCAAAATATAACTCAAAGAAAGAGAAGCTGTGACATTTGCTTTCATTTCATTTTCATACTTTTTTTTAACACATTAGTTGTTAATATAACTCAAGGAAAGGGAAGCTGTGACATTTGCTTTCATTTCATTTTGATACTTATTTTTTAATACATCAGTTGTTAATATAACTCAAGGAAAGAGAAGCTGTGACATTTGCTTTCATTTCATTTTGATACTTAAATTTTTAACACATTAGTCGTTAATAGACTTCAAACCATAAGCTATTTTTTTTAAATTATTACAGTATTCTTAATTATTTTACTTGTCATATTGACTTAGTGAAAAATTACCTGTACACATTTATTATGAATGTATAAAAGTTTAATTGGCTTTCCTCATTGGATCAAGATACTTTTGTAATCAAGAATTACAAACATTCTATCACATATACTAGGTTTTAAATGGTTAATTGTAAGTACAGTTGAAAGATTATTAGATTATTATACTACTTTGAACTATTTATACGTAATATTGTTTTGATGCTATACAAAGTAGTTAAGGAAAAAGAAAGTAAAACACAAATCCCTTCCATATGAAATAATCAATGATTTATAGCCATGCCTACTTAAACATCTTTAATGATATCCTCCATATTAGATATTTCAAAATGAGGTGTGAAATTCTGAAAATAAAATTAAAATTGCACAGTATTTCATGAATAATAAGAATGGAACTAGTATAAAAATTAAACCTGTAAGGACTTGTTGGAATTTTACACTAGAGAGACCCAGACAGCACCGTAATTTAGAAGTTTACTAAAATTAAAAAAAGAGGCTATGAGGGAATGTTACATGAAGCCACAGAAATCTTGTTTCTTGGTGACTATATTTTTATATAGTGGAAGAACTTATGTTTGTACTTCTTCCTTAAGAAATATTTCAGGTGGTAATACCAAGGCAAGAAGCAAGAGCTCACAAAACTACACAGCTGGTTATCTTTTTTATTTGAGGGTAGTCAGAATGAGTGTGTAGGTAGGAAGAAGGAGGGCTTGATTTGGGAATCTTGGCTAGAAAAGTGGATTTACTTTTTCCTTTAAAGCATTACATGTTGGATATACCTGAAAATTGATTATACTAGGGAAAACAGACCCTTGCCAGAGACATTAGCTTGTATTGACATAATAATATGAATGACATTTTCACACAGGAACTTACAAAATACTAGAAAATGATATTAACACATGCTTAAAAGCTTGGTGCTTGCTTCCATATAAAGAATTTGTTTTATGGGGCACCATAGTTTATTAAAACTTGGTGTGTGCTTCTTCCTTGTTTAATGATGCCAAACATCCAAATAGTATTTGCTGTGGTAAGCATAAGTAGAACTTACAAATTTTATTAGCTAAGTGGTGATCAGATTTGTTCAACTTAGTATTTGAAACACACTTCAACTGTTATGCTTTGGAATGATAAATAACTATAACAAATTGTACAGGTATTAACACTTATATGTAGAAACAATCATTGTCCTATTTATCTTCACAAAACCTTTATTTCTTATAATTTGTATCCTGTTTCTTATATTGCATGGTTTAGATGTTGAAACATTTGTAGCAGATATACTGAAAGGAGAAAATTTATCCAAGAAAGCAAAGGAAAAGAGAGAATCCCTTATTAAGAAGATAAAAGATGTAAAGTCTATGTAAGTCACTTACCTTTTGTTTACTGATTTCTTACATAGAAGCAGTTTTGTAACTAACATTTTAATAAGAAATCGATTATTATGGAGTTAAATTTTTCATGTTCCAGTTTAACTGATGTTAAGTATTTTTGAAGGGCAAAAAATATATTTCCACTATATAGTTTTTAAACACAGATATGCTTATCATAGTACCCTTCTTGATTATGTATTTTTCTGAGCATTCTAGCAGAGTTCAGCTGTTTATTTTGATTATCTGAGGGTATATTTGGTTTAAATGATAAGACAAAGGTGGATTGAGGACTTTAATATACAGAAAATACCTGACACTGAAGAAAGAGAATTCTTTTGTTACTACTTTAAATGAATAAATGTAATATATTTACATGTCATAAGTATTAAAGATATATCCTCATTTTACTACTGTACTTAGATCCTTAAAAATTATTTTATTTAAAATTTTTAAGCATTTTGGAATTGTCATTTCAGGACAGGAATTAGTTTTTTTCTAATGTATATCTAGGTGTGTATTTTTAATATAGATTTTGGATTTTAATTATTGTTACTGATTAGACCTTGTTTTGATTTTTCAACCTCATTTAAAAATATGTTCTTTGTTTTGTAGCTATCTTCAGGAATTTCAAGACAAAGGTAAGTTTTCATGTTTGGCAAACTTGAAAATTTTTTTCCTCTGTGGAAATTTTCAATAGGATAATCTAACACATACTGAAATTTGATAGTTGGAATTAAAATTTAGATTTCCGTAATGTGTACTTAGACCTTCAAGATGAGAGTGCTAGCTCCCCCTGCTGAGAAGAAAATTAAAAAGTATATCCAGAATTTACTCTGCACAGTCTTCTGATGCGGAAATCTTAGGCATTTAACATTCTTAGGTTTTGTGTTTCTTAGAGTACATTGTGGCAGAAATTTGTTAGGAAAGGTAAAAACGTGCAATTACACGTGGAATAACTTGGTGAAGCAGAGGTGAGATACTAACCCACTGCCATTTAACACTGCAGAGATTATTTTATAGTGGTGGTGGGAGAAGGTCCTGTGGCTGAGTGCTCACAGGTAATGTTTTTGAAGGATATTTTGAAAACAGTGTAAATTTTTGTTTGAGAACAAACAATAAAATCTTTTTCAAGTGAAAGTTTTTATTTTCCTTGTGGTTATTTTGATATGAATACATAGGGGCCATAGACATTTTTTAAAGAAGGGAATTCAGTTTCATTTTTTTTTGAAATATGTGAGAATGCTGATAACCTGATTGTCTCCCTCTAGATTTGAGAGACAGCTGCTTAGCAGACTGAAAACCAGATCAGGAAAGGTATAGGAACTTCCTACTACTTTATATATTCAATTCTTTAGGGGAAACTGGGTGTGGCCCTTACTTCCATGATACTTATTCATAGGTTATGATGTACAGCTTGTGGATGCTGGTGTGAGGGTTACAATATGAGGTTAGTTAACCTCCATGGAGCTAGGTTCTGGGTTTGAGGAAGACACACAGTATGGCATCTTCTAACTGAAGCTAGCAGATCCCAGAGTAAATCATATTTGTGCCAACTGGTAAGTGAGAAGGTGGTAACAGTTTCAATAAACAAAGAACTTAACCAGACAAACCTAAAATCAATTAAAAGGAAGTCACAGTTTATTTTCCCATTAGATCATCAAGATTGGTATGATTGAAGGGAATGAGAAGAGATTTTTTTTTCATATTAAGATTTTTAACACTTAAATAAAGAAATGAGCAGGAAACTATTCCCTGTAAGTACCCAGTTTTTTTTGTGCTCTACAAGAAATCCTAAACTATGGGTTTAATTATGCTACATTTTGTTTAGACGAATGTATAAATGAATTTATGCATTTTAATTACGATAACTTTTATTATGTAGTATACTTTATGGAAGAATATTAGATATCAGATTCTGCCTCTCTTAAAAGGCATATTATTTCCAGTGATTATCGAACTTGCATTGTGCTTTGTGGCTTAATTATTTGTACATTTAAAATTTTTAAGCTAAAAAAGCATGATATGAAGTAATTGTGTAATTGCATATGGATCAGTAATAGTTGGGAAGCTTTCCCTTTGGTATTTTGTTTTAGAATTCGTTCAGGTGTGTGGATATTAAAATTACATTACTGAGATACATTCTTTGTCTCTAAAGAGAATGGAAATTTATATGGTATTTGATAGAAATTGAAAAATGAGCATAAAATGGAGTTCAAATAGCATAGAATTTAGAGATTGCTCATAATCATTTTCCTCTGAATAAGTCATTTGTAGTTCAATACTGCTGTATTGAGTTAACTAATCACAAAGAGTGCCTGTTCAGAAGTAAGCCTGTAGATGAATTAGATGTATACCTTGGAGAAATATGAGCTGAGTACTTTTATGCCATTGTGTACTCAAAGTATATTCAGCTTTGTTCTAAAAAGACTATTCCTGTACTTTGTTAGGCATAGTAAAGGGTACAGACCTAATAGTTGCAAAGTAATTATTCAATATATAGTACATCTTTTTTAAAAATAGGAATTTATTTTCAGGTCTCTACATTGAGTAAATTCAATTCTAAGTACGTTTTGGTGGTGCTGCCTTTTCTCCACCTTACATTTTCCCTTTGAGGTTTTGGATTATCTTTATCCAAGAAGGTCTGGGCAGAAGTCCTTTTGGCTGCTTTCCCGTCCTTTCTCTTCCCTCTTGTCTCTCTCTCTAGTCAATGTAGGGTCACATTGTGAACATAACCTTTTTCCTCCTTTCTACCTTTACACCCTTATTTTATTTACATATATGCATATATGTATTTTAAATGACAGTTAAGTATCATTTTGATGTCACTATTGGGGGGGTAAAAAGGACCAGGTAGAGAGTTCTTAAATAAAAAGAGTTAATTCAGATTTATTCATATCTAATAAGTCGGTTATTAATTTCTCTAAGGCACACAGATGTGTATCATCCTTCCTTACTTCCCTCACAAATCCTTCCCTTCTACTCTAGATAATCTCCCATCCTGAGATTTAACAATACAGATTTTACAGTTTGAGGTATTTCTTTTTTTTTTTTTTTTAATTATTATACTTTAAGTTCTAGGGTACATGTGCACAACATGCAGGTTTGTTACATATGTATACATGTGCCATGTTGGTGTGCTGCACCCATTAACTCGTCATTTACATTAGGTATATCTCCTAATGCTATCCCTCCCCACCCCCACCACCCCTCAACAGGCACCGGTGTGTGATGTCCGCCTTCCTGTATCCAAGTGTTCTCATTGTTCAGTTCCCACCTATGAGTGAGAACACGCGGTGTTTGGTTTTTTGTCCTTGCAATAGTTTGCTGAGAAGACAGGGTCTCTCACTCTGCGTCTCAGGCTGGAGTGTAGCGGCACCATCTTGGCTCAGTGCAACCTCCGCCTTCCATGCTCAAATGATCCTTCCACCTCAGCCTCTGGAGTAGATGGAACTATATAGTAGATGGAACTATAGGTGCTTGCCTCCATGCCCAGCTAATTTTTTTTTTTTTTTTTTTTTTGGTAAAAACGGGGTTTCGCCACGTGTCACAGACTGGTCTCGAGTTCCTGGGCTAAAGAGATCAGCTGCCTCAGCCTCCCAAAGTGATGGATCACAGGCATGAGCCACCCTGCCTGGCTGTCAATTCCTAAAATTTAAAATTAATTGAGTTGATATGGTAGTTGAAACACTAGGCTGCATAGATCTTAGGAGATTTTTTTGGTATTTCCATTTTTTTGGGTGAGAATAGTTTACACTGGTAGAAACTCGTTTTATTACAGTGGCTTCTAGATACTGAAGCTTGTGTATTAGGCTAATTTTTCACTTGTTTATATTCATTTCCATAGAAAGCTATTGTTTTAAAACTTTCTTTTTCATTTATTAAAATTCTTCTTTTATCTTTACATGTGCAAGTCTTGATTCCCCTATTGAAGAGATCTGACAAATTGCCGCTTTAGAATAATTATCAGCTGATTTTCTAAATTCCTTAATTTTACTTGTACTTAGGAAAGATTTGAATCTAATCAGCTAGAACACTTCTTGCTTAGTCTAGTCCTTGTTATTCATTTGAAATATTGCTTGTTTTATCTGGAACAGATAGTTCCTTCTTATATCCTTCAAAGTATTGTACGTGACAGAATAACCTAGTTTCTTTTTTTCTTTTCTTTTTCCTTTTTTTTTCTTTTTTTTTTGAGATAGGATCTCACTCTGTCATCCAGGCTGGAGTGGAGTGGTGTGATCATGACTCACTGCAGCCTCAGCCTCCCCCAGCTCCTTTGGGAGGCTAAGGTGATCCTTTTTCCATTTAGCCTCCTGAGTAGCTGGGACTATAGGTACGCTGCCTGTGTATTGTATTTTTTTGTAGAGATGGGTTTTCGCCATGTTGCCCAGGCTGGTCTTGAACTCCTGGGCTCAAGAGACCACCCGCCTTGGCCTCCCAAAGTGCTGGGACTTACAGGCATGAGTCACCATGCTCGGCCGACAGAATAACCTAGTTTCTAACCGTAGATTTTTACTTGCAATATTGCCTCATATTATAAAGTATCCTCCCGAATTTAGGCTTCATGCACTGGAATTATGCTATGTGATTATTTCAGCATTGTTCTCTATCACATAACAAGGTCATAGGTCTCTTAGTTGACTTGAAATAATTATTTTTGCAATGAGAATATGTTACTATTTAGTAAATACTGTTATTGACTAATAAGAATTTTCTAATACTGTATATATTAAGTACATGATAAAAAAATTTGGGCTATAGTTGTGTCTTGATCATGTATTAGTCTCAGTTTTCTCCAGAGATGATTTAGGTGTGATTACTTTCTTTATAGAATGATGTACTGAAATAAGATAATGTGAAAGTACATAGTAGGTGTTTAATAAATATTAATGCATATTCTCAGATTCAACTTCATTTGTCAAGAAGATTTAAGTTAATCTTGATTCATAAATTCAGTTTTCAAACAATTTGGGGGAAAATGATCAATTATTAAAAGAAGGGCATATTTATTAGCATTAGTCAAATGTTTCATGAGATTTTTTTTTCAAATTTGTAAAATGTTAGTGTCTACAGCTTTTTTTTTTTTTTTTTGAGATGGAGTCTCACTCTGTCGCACCCAGGCTGGAGTGCAGTGGCGTGGTCTCTGCTCACTACAACCTCTACCTCCTGGGTTCAAGCGATTCTCCTTCCTCAGCCTCCCGAGTAGCTGGGATTACAGGCATCCACCACCACGCCTGGCTAATTTTTTGTATTTTTAGGAGAGACGGGGTTTCACCATGTTGGTCAGGCTGGTCTCGAACTCCTGACCTCAGGTAATCTGCCCACCTTGGCCTCCCAAAGTGCCGGGCAGGTGTGGACCACTGTGCCCGGCCTAGTGTCTACAGTTTTGAAAAAGGGGAATATACTGCTTCAGGTGCTAGAGATAGATAAAAGTCTCATTTTCTCCTTTAAAATCTTTTTGCTCTAATTGTAAAAAAAAATAGATTTTGCCTTAATATTTTATTGATATTGTTAAATATGCATAGATTTACTTAGAAAGCAGTTTCCTTTGACCTTCTCACTCATGCTGTTTCTTAAGTTTATTAATGGACTAAGAATAGCAGAATAAGAATAGCAGAAAAGTCTGAAGTTTGGATGATGTTTAATTTCCTTTTTTAACCCTTCCTAACATAGTGTGTTTTCTGTTGAACGATAACTCCACAGTGAAATCTGAGGAAATAATTCACAGCTTTTTCCTTCGACCACCTACCCCCACCATTGGCCTTGTAAAAATGTCTTAAGCATGTTTGAAATGATGGGACCTGTAGTAGTAGAAGTATATTTCACAGGCAGTGCTTGAAAAATGGTTTTTTCTTATTTTAAAGCTCTGCCCCAGTTTTGTGCCAGAAGTTGTCTTTAGTATTTGCATGCCCTCCTATTGTAGAAGAATTATGAGGAGAATCTTCCTTTCATTGACCTAGATTCTTCAGAGCCTTAAGAATGAAACTTTTCCTGAAGAAATGACAAGTTAAATGCTTAATTATGTATATTTAGCTATATATTATTACTTGAAAAATTAGACAAGTGAACTATGTAGAGAATTAGAAATTAATTTATTTTCATTAGAGTAATTTTTCCCCATTTGTCTTCCAGTAAGAAGGAATGGTTATCACTCAGATTTTAGGTACAGGTTTAGTAGTATCCCTTATCCAAAGTTCTTGGGACCAGAAGTGTTTCAGATTTTGGATTTTGGGACATTTGCATATATATAATGAGCTATCTTGGGGGACGGAACCTAAGTGTGACACTAAATTCATTTATGTTTCATATACACCTTGTAATTTTGTGCATGAACTAAAGTTTGCGTACATTGAACCATCAGAAAGCAAAGATGTTAGGCATGGAATTTTCCATTTGTGTTGTCATACTGACACTCAAAAAGTTTTGGATTTTGGAACATTTTGGAGTTCTGTTGATTTAGGGATGTTCAACCTGTATATTACTTCATTTCCTGTTTACCTGATTGTGTTTAAAATAGGACTGTTTTGAAAAAACAAGCAACAAATTGGGTAAATCAGCTTCAGTGGTTGTAGAGATTATGACTGTTCAGTTGTTGTTGGGCTACATCTCTAGGCATTTGGGAAAATGTTAATTGATAATGAACCATATCAGAAAGAATGGCTAATAGTAATTTGATCCCAGCTAGTATAAATTTAAAAATGTTTTTCAGAAAAATATGCTGCTGTAGTATGATTAAACCTTGAGTTTGTTGCAATGTTTGTTACTACTGAAATTATAGGAAGGTAAGTCTTGGATCATTGTCTTTTATTCTGTTAACTTTGTATCGTTAATTAAACTTTTGAAAGTTGTGGGATAAATCAAATGCTTTTCTAGGGAAACAAGAAACAGTATTAATGAGCAACAACCCCATCATTATCCTTGTGAGTACATAACAGGGACACATTCATGTCTTTTCTTTGTGCAATAACTTTTACAAAGAAGTATTTTTAAACTGATCATTAATTTTATGACCACAGAAATGAGATGCAAAATTTATGCTATTGTCAGTGGCACAGGCTCACAGCACCACTGACATTTTGTGTGATTGTAATAGAATGGCTGCCAACTAATGATTCTGTAGACATTTCATTTGAGTGTGCTTTTCTTTAGATGTGTGATTAGCTGTAATGCTTTCACTTATGTCTGTAAATTATATTGGATATGTTTACCTGATGCCTATTGTTGATTTGGAGTTCAGTTTTGTATTACATAAATGCAAGTTGAACTTTTTTTTTTTTAATTTATCGAAGTCTTTGCAGGTATAACTACAAATACTCAGCCCCTGGGGAGGAAAAATGCTTTGCACTACTCAACAGTAACCCCTGCGTTCAGTTAAAACTCCTTATAAGACAGCAGCTTTTACTCTTTATTGGGTCGAAAAAAAAATTAGGGGGGAGGAAAAGGGATGGACCATCACTGGAACAATGGTAAGATGAAGAAGACCATCTTGAAAAATGATGTGTCCTTTCCACTTAATGCAGGTTAAAAAGGGGCTATCCCTGTATATATAGCATATAGATTCTTTGCTCTCTGAGTTAATTCAAAGGATTATGGGGAGAAAAAAATAAGGAAGAAGTGAAGCCAGTAGCAGTACTTAATTCATTTTGTCTTAGGTAAATGTAAACATCACACTGATTTAAAAAAAAAAATACTTGCAGTGAGCTGCAATTCTTAGAATGGGTAAGTTGAAGACAATTTCATTTTAATATATAACCCAAAAGCGTTTTATTTTTATTTTGATTTTTTGAGACAGAGTCTCTGTTGCCCAGGCTGGAGTGCAGTGGCATAATCTTGGCCCACTGCAGTGGCATGATCTTGGCTCACCGCCTCCCAGGTTCAAGCAGTTCTCCCTGCCTCAGCCTCCCGAGTAGCTGGGATTACAGGTGCCTGCCATCATGCCCGGCTAACTTTTGTATATTTAGTGGAGACGGGGTTTTGCCATGTTGGCCAGGCTGGTCTCAAACTCCTGAGCTCAGGTGATCCACCTGCCTTGGCCTCCCACAGTGCTGGGATTACAGGCGTGAGCCACCGCACCCGGTCTATTTTTTAAAATAAAAACCGAAACCATGACTTTCTATAAAAGTCAAAACCATGACTTTCATAAAAACCAAACCATGAAAGCCTCTCAGGTCTTTCACCTGTTAGTGATCAGTTTGTGTAGAATAAATACTCTTTACTTTGAGTTTATAGCTTTAGTAATGAACTGTTGATATGTATGTATATATTTATACATATTCGTTGAATATAGAATCGTGTTTGCATTTGTGTGTATGTGTATATAAATGCATATATACACATATATATATGCACACATAATAATGGATGTTATCAAAGGATAATAAACTACTTCTAATTTTAAAAACTAAGTTTTAATTTTTTCTGTTTACTTCCACCTAGAATTTAATATAATTTAAGCCTGAATATCTGAATTTTTTTCAAAATCTTTGCTATATATTATTTGGTTTCACTGTTGGTTTTAAATAGTTATAATAGCAAAATATGCCACATGCTAAGTTCTAGTAATGTTTTTGAAGTATCCTAATACTTTTTTTTGCAGCAAGATTTTTTTTGTGTGAGATATGAAATATTCTTGGAAAATTCATACCACAAAAATTCTTAATTTCATTAAGAATGTAAAGATACTCTAACAACTAAGAGTAACTGAGAATTTCTTGATCCCTACTGGTACATATTCCATGAACTGTTGTAACATGATCAAAATATGTTTACTAGCACTTTATGAAGTTCCTTCCTACCTTATATTTGAAATCAGAGCACTCTTCTTTTGTTAAAAAAATTTTTTTTTAGAGATGGGGTCTTGGTCTGTTGCCCAGGCTGGAATGCAGTGGTGCAGTTATAGCTCACTGCAGCCTCAAACTCCTGGGCTCAAGCGGTCCTCTTACCTCAGCCTCCCACAGATGTGACTATAGGTGCAGGCCACCACACCCGGCTAATTGTTTTTATTTTTATTTAGAGATGTGGTCTTGCTATGTTGCCCAGCCTGGTGTCTAATTCCTGGCCACAAGCGATCTTCTGGCCTCAAGCATGCTGAGTAGCTGAGATTACAGGCGTGAGCACTGCCACCAGCCTAGCACTCTTCTTTTCATAAGAGAAATATTGTAAGGGATCATTGAGTGTTCTGAAAAGGACTTTGAACATCTGAAAAGAAAGAGAAATTAAGTTCCAAAGAATGAGTAGTATTTATGTGTTCCTTAGAATTTTAACTGTGGGAGTAACATCACCATATTTACTGTACCTAGTAGTAGAATCCCTAAGGATGACAATATAGCCATCTCTATGTTCTGCCCTTATCATCTTAATGAGAGATGTCTCTGATGACAGTTGCTCACAAAGTGGCAAAATTATAAGGAAATAGGAATATGTATTTTTAAAAAATTATTTGGACAGTGTTGTCTTGAGAGAGGCTATTTTCTCTACCAAAAATGTGGTAACAAATAGGGTGACACCCATCAAATGGGTGTCAGAGGACAAAGATACCCTTTTGGAGAGACAAGTAGCATTAATCTGAATCTGCCAGGAACTGTGGTTCAAAAGTAATACTATAGGCACTCTGCGGTTCCTATGGGGATTTTCCTTGTGCTTTAAGGGTAATCCCTGAGGTGGCTGTTTTTCTGTCAGGTAACTTGAATTCAACAGTCAAATACTTAATGTAGAATTAAGCATACTTTTTTCTTTGTTGTGAAATCCGGGTGACAAATGAATGCTTATGTGTAACTGGGCTAGCAAATATTTGTGTTTTTTTAAAAAAATTATTTTAAATGATTATATGGAAAAAATTGAAACCACAAGATCTTGTGGAGATTAATTAGCCTAAAATAGAAAAGTCAATCAAAAAATCGACCAACGAACCTAGGATTTGAAAATCAAGTTGGAAACTGGCCAGAACATTAAAAAGTAATAACATACCATTGAATGAAACTGAAAGTGTCTAGTTTGTAAATTACCCTTACTTGAATTTAAAAAGATTATGAAAATTTTAAAGCAGTTTTTTCTATAAAAGATTTTAAAAGATTTGTGCTCTGGAAAATGCAACAGATTATTTTTAATCCTCTCTAAAAATGTATAAAATGTATAAAAATGTATAAAATGATTTTATACAAAATATTCATACAGCTTCAAATTATTAGTTTCTCATCATAATTTTTCAAATTATTGAATAGGTAAATGGAATTACTTGTATTATGTTTTCTGTTGTGCTTCCTGGGTTTTGTTGTTGTTGTTGTTACTGTTATCTTGGTTTTGTTCGTTTGGATATACACTCTGTTTTACCCTGCTTCTACTTTTTGGATTCTTCTTTGTAGAGATCATCATAATTTTGGACTATATCCTTTTGTGTCATAAATAAGCAATTGTATAATGACCTTCAAAAATTCTTACTATATCTAAGTTACAATGGCTATAAAATAAAATAAGACCTGTTTTTACCTAGTTTTAAAAGTTTTCTTTGTTTTTCCATGACAATGACTCAATTTACTAGTAGAATTTACCTCTTCTAACAAAGTAACATTAACATTAAGTAACATTACTTTAAATGGCTAAAGTATAAAAGGCAGTTCTCTGATTTTTTTTTTTTTTAACAGGTGATGCAGAAGATGGGGAAGAATATGATGACCCTTTTGCTGGGCCTCCAGACACTATTTCATTAGCCTCAGAACGATATGATAAAGACGATGAAGCCCCCTCTGATGGTATGTGACATTTTCCCACGTAACTCTGACACTCACACAAAACAATGCTATATATATGGGTGGTAGTTTTATGAGAAAGCAGATGAACATAGAGGCTTCGGTTAACTTACCTTTACCAAAACCTTTTAAGGAACAGAAGAGCTCTCTCTAGTGGTTCTGGTGAGGTTTTCCTAAGTATGTAGTTGGTTCTTTTTCTTGGAAATTTTCTTTACTAAAATTTTTGAGAGAGTGCCTGTATCATCATATGAATATTATTAGTAACAGTTTGATAGTTAATTTAATATTATCAGATTCTTGCTTAATTTTATTATGCTACTTGAAGGCTTACTGTATTATTTATTTTATAAATAATAAAAAAGATTTTTGATCTATTTTTTTCTGAAAACTTTATACAAAATGAGTTAATAAAATATTAAGTTAATTTTCCGACATTGCCTCTTCACACTGAGACAGGTTTTTATCAAATGCTTCTTTTAATGCGCATTTTCATTTTTATATTGTCACTTAAAAGTGGACCATATTATGCAGTAATATTGCAGTGTTTGTATTAACTGAATTAGTAATAAATTTATCTCTTAGTAATTTCTAAAAGCTATTGAATGTTGCCAAAGTTATGAAACTTGTTTTTAGTGTAGTATGTACTTTCTCTGTTATAGCCATTGAGTACATCTGCATTATAGAAACCTTATAAGGGTAATATATAGTTATAAATTAAGAATGTGTATCAATAAATTAGTCATGCATATTAATTTGTAGCACTCAAAGTTTCACATAGACATAGAAATGAATAATACCTTCTGCCACTATGTGATGATCAAACTGTGCAGTTCCATCTCTAAATACAATTGCTGAATGAAAATATGCTTCCTGCAACAGAGCACTCCACATTTTATGTTATCCAGATTATTCCCTTTGGAAACATAAATTGCTTTTATGAGGTATAAAATTATGTCTGTTGCAGAACGGGGATAAGTCAAGTACATGCATAAGTGATAAACATTCTAACCAGTGATTCAGTACAAAACAATCTTTTTTTATATCCAGAACTTTGTACAAAGTGTAGCAATAATAGTCATATCTATTTTATGTTGAATTTTATGCTTCGGCAAACATTTAATTTCTATTTTTAAAGGGAGGGTTTTTTTTTGCTGTTATATTCACTTTCTATCTTTTAAAGAGATAAGCATTTCTTTTCTCTTCACCAAAACAGAGCATTACCCTTTCCAACCTCATCTTCAAAAGCATTTCTACTAGAAAATGTTTTATAATCAAAGAAATAATATTTTCAGGCAAAACAATGAATTATTATTTAAGTGGTACTATTTTTCAGACACATTACAATTGCTTTATTTCTCTGTAAAATGTTGGTATATATGAATGTATGTGTGTATACACATACACAGACAGAATATTTATACTAAGAGAGACATACGGAGAATATATTCATAGACTATATAGACATAGTTTCTTAAAATAGCATAAACATTTTGATATACAGGGGAGTGCTATGTGTATTCTTGAAAAATTTGCAACCTAAAAAGAAATTCAACAATTAAATATCTATGAGAGCCAGAAATCTTCCAGTAGCTTGTTAGAAAAAGTAAATTATTATTAAATTATAGTGCATTTACATTATTGTTTTCTTTTTAATAGTAAATAATTTATCATATATTTTTATAACAAAATATTCAGGAAATACACTAAAAGATTGTTGTTAAAAGGTTATTTTATTGATTTTAAATATTATTTAATAACATTTATATGTAACATCAAGTTTTTTTGTTAATAGTGCCTATTCATTAGTGTTTAAGCAATTCTTGAGCAGATTAAAACTTTTACCTGTAGTATTACTCATTTTTGATATATAAATAATACTGTTTTTGATACTTTCACATTTTCTTCTAAGAATATCATTATTAAAATTAATTTTTAAACTACCACTTGGACATTTAATATTCACTCTAAAATATCATCTCAATGTATCAGTTTTTCTCTCTTCAACTTAGATTTTGTGTGTGTTCTCTTTCCTTTGATGAATAAATTTGCTTCATTATGTGACCTCAGTCCAATAATATATTAATTATAAAAAAGATAATGCATTTAACAATAAGCATAACCGAATTAGCACAGGTCACCAAAAGGCCTTTTGTCAAATCAGATTGTTGTTTTGTCCTTTTGACTTTTACCTTATGGAAGGCACTAAGAAAGTATCTAAACTTCAATGGGTTATAAACTCTAAACATGATATGTATTTTTCATAATGCTAATGTAATTTTCAAGGTACTGAAAAGGTCAAACCTGCACATCTCTATGTGCATTCTAAGTCTGTCTTTTGCTTTAATATTTATTTTTCTCTATTCCTCTGGTTCAAAAGTTCACTCAGTTCCCAAATGGCCACCTAATTTTCCAGTTATTCCCCCAAGCCATATGTGTTTTGGTTTCTTTATGGTTTATTAGGTACTGTAGGAAAGCAGCATAAGTTATATCTTCTAATGAAATTCAAGCACACTTCAGTGATGCTTCGACTTGATTGCTGGTAGCAATTAAATCATAGCCAAGGAGAATAATGCATAATCTTACAAGGTCCAGGCACCGTATAGAAATTGAATGGGGATGAAAACAACAAAAAGAAAGTTTCCAAACCCTGCCAGGTACGTTGTTTTCAGCCTGCCTTTTTTTTTTTATTGGCCAACTGCCTGATTGATAGCAAAATCATAACTTGCTGCATGCTAACAGGCAGAGTTCACTTGTAGGTTATTGTGAGCTGATAAAGGGTTAGATGCAGTTTTGATTTTCGCATTGGACCTTGGTACACCAGATTAATGGAATTTCAATGAGAGACTAGAGTAGCCACAGCTTTGTCAGAGAAACAGATGGAGATTCTATAGTCATGTCTACTCATTAATACTAGTTGCCTGAAAGGTGTGCTGCTTCTCTATACAAAAGAGTTGATATAATTGATTTTTGAGTTGTACATTGGAAAAAAGTACCTTATTGATTACTAGAATTGTAACATAGATGGTGACAGATTTTTGTATAGCTTGTAGCTTAAAAATATTGTACTTTGTAAATTTTTCTTTTCCCTCTTTGGAAATGCTTCTTATGTTTTATATTTTTTGAGAAGAACTACATTTTGAGACCAATAGCAAAAAAAGAGAGAATGACATGCCAAATACCTTTTTAGGAAAAAGAATAAGAGTCTGTATTTTATTTATAAATGATTGCATGACTGCTGTTAGAGTTTCATTTTGATATTCTATTTAGAAGAAAGTATACTTATTAGAAGTTTCATTTTATTAGCTTTATGCTTGATTTTTTTCTGGAAAACAAAAAAATCGTAATAGTTTCTAGACTATTGTAGATCACTGTTAGAAGTTTTATGCTATCATGTGGCTGGATATATTGGAGTTTCAGTATAAATGGTGCATGTCAGTAATCAGATAAAGTTAGAGATAATGAGATTTACAACCTTAAAGAATATCCCTTTCTGTACACTTTAAAATGTTTAGGCACTAAGGTGGGTAGATATAGAGTAGACTTTAGACACCATATAATTACTTGGGTTTCCATTTTTCTATTCTGAAATCATTTTTCATTCATTTTTGTCATTTGTGAAAGAAAGCTTCTAACTATATAGCACTATGGAAAGTCTCTAAGGTAAGGTGAAAGGATTCAGTGAGCTAGAAGACATATATTGGCTCTGCCCCTCGACGATAGGTCGAAGGATCCCAGTAGATGTATGTTACAAATCTGATTCAGTCCTAGACCATAATCACTTTGTGGATAAAAATCTGAAACCTCTAGGGTGTGAATACAGGAAGGCTAAAATGAAGCTGAAAATATAGAACAGTCATTTATTGTCCTGGTGTCTTTCTAACTAAAAATTTCTGAATAACCTAGGTTACTGAAAGGCTGTGGGCATTGCGAGACACAGGTTTGTGTGAAGAAATTTTTTTTTAGGAATGGAACTATTTTTTAAATCTCAGGGATTAAGAAAAAGGCTGAACTATTATCATAATTTATAATATTAAAAATTTTTTTTGGTATACTTTTCTTTACAAAAATCCAATGTACAAAAATTTGGATTAATAAAGCATGTAAATCATTTTTTCCAACAGATTTCTTTAGAGAGATTGTCTCCAGGATGCCTATAAATAATTAGCTCTTAGAAAGTGTCTAAAACAGGCTTAGATATAAACCTGTCCGTGTGCACAACATAAATTTAATGTACCAAATTTTTGAGGAAGACTTTTTTTGTGTAAAATTAGGTGTAGCACTAATCAGTTCTTACAAAAGCCACGAAATAGATGTTTTACTTTTCTCTCATATCAGTAGAGTATGAAACAATGTTTAAAACTGGAAAAAAAGGTTTTTTTCAATAACTTAGCATTTAGGATAACTATGAAACAATGTTTAAAACTAGAAAAAAAATTTTTCAATAACTTAGCATTTAGGGTGTTTTTAACCCACTATCATATTTTTGACACCTAAAATTATCTTTTGTATTTTGTTCTAAAAAATTCAATTAATTTGCAATTTGCACATATTTTTGCATATATAACATGTATCAACATTTCACTTTTGTTTTTAAAATTTTTGGGTTGTCTTAATATGCCAAATTGCTAGCTTATATATGTTTTAGCAGTTTAATAACAATGATTATTTTAGTCATTGTGCTATGTGTATAGCACAGTTTCAAGTATTTTGGTGGAAGAGAAGGGATTATAGTTGAGGAAATGACAGAAAGTAGAGGACATATTTTTAATCCTCAAGGTATATATTGTGCAATTGGGGATATAAAGTACACAGATGTAAAATATTTTTGTGATACAAAGGTATATATTAGTAAATAAAACACATAGCCATTGAGAATTATCTTTCTAAGTTTTTATGCTATTGATCAGGAAAATTCATCAGAATAAAACAGAGTGGACGGATGATACTATAACAAAGTGGACTAGATACGAAAGACTGCAAAGGTTAAGTAAAACTCAACATTATGAAAAATAATGCATCTTTAATTCAGCAAATTAGCAGTTATTTACACAGTACATGAAGAGGAGAACAAGATACTTGGACAGGGCAATTGGGGGTGAATAAGATAAAGTTCCTATTTTTAAGAAAAATGTAATCTAGATGGCAGGAGAAGATAATCACCTAGAATAAGGTAACTAGCAATCTAGGTTATATTAAACCAGATTCCAAAAATAATAAATACTACGTGCTACAATATTCAATTGATTTAGTCTATACCAAGGCAAGTAGTTGGTTTCATTGATTTTACTTCCTGATGTATTGGCTGAATCAGCCATATGTTTTAGCATCCTGTCAAAAAAACCACAGCATAAACTTTATGCCTAAATTCTAAGAGATTGTGGAGGGAGGGCCTTTTATTTAAGTGAGTTTTATGTGGGTCTTGAGGTTTGTTGCAGAGAATGGGAAAACAAACTGAAAAGAACTTTTGGAGTTCAAGCTCAGAAACCAGGTTTTCATTATAATTGATGATAACTTTTTTGTCAAGGACAAGTTGCTTAGGCCTTTTTGGATTTTTATTTTCTGGTATGTGAAATGAAGAGTTTGAACCGGGTAATTGCTTAGACGTTCCCTAGAGCACTAAATGCTTGTGTCCCCACATTTCAGAATTAGTAAATTGAATGGTGGCAGTGAGGTGAGGTGATCTGCATGGGGAAGATATGGGTGACGACCAGAGGTGGTATTGAATAGGAAGGAGTGGAGGGGGTCTTGGAGGTAGGTGCATGATTTATAGTAGGAGCTGAATGCCAAATTAAGGAATTTACCTTTGATTTGGTAGTCATTAAGAGATCCCTGAAGGAGTATACTGAAGTGAGGGATGCAGATTTGAGGGATATTGTCCTGGAAGTTAAATGTAGGTTAAATGAAGGCGTAGAGACCATCTAGTGGAGGTAGCAAGCTAAATGCTTTGCTACATTACTTATTTTTAATCATGACAGTATCTCTATGAAGTAGAGTACTATCACTATTTGACAAATGAGGAAACCTAAAATAGAGAGGTTAAGTGATATGCCCAATGGCATATAGCTACATAGTGGCAGAACTGGAATTTGAATTCATGTCTGTCAACTGTAAGGATTATGCTCTGCTCTTAAAAGAGTTACTTTTTCCCTCTTCCCCAGCTAGCATACTGCTCTGCTGCTTTTGATTAAGGGAGTGTTGATAAGACTCTGGGCTAGAGAGGTGGATATTGTACTGAAAAGGAAGTGATTTTCTAGCCCTTTCCTACTCAAAGTATGGTCAGTAGACCAACAGTATCAGCATCATCTGGGAGCTTGTTAGAAACGCTAAATCTGTCTCCACCTAATATAGTTTGGATATTTATCTCCGCCCAAATCACATGTTGAATTGTAATTCCCAGTGCTGGAGGTGGGGCCTGTTGGGGGGTGTTTGGATCATGGGGCAAATCCCTCATGGCCTCGTGCTATCTTCGTGACAGTGAGTTCTTGTGAAATCTGGTCATTTAAAAGTATGTGGCACCTCCCAACCCCACTCTCTGTCTCTTGTTCTTTTACCGTGTGTTGTGCCTGCTCCCGCTTTGCCTTCCACCATGATTGTAAGCTTCCTGAGGCTTTCTCAGAAGCCAAGCAGATGTCCAGTGCCATGCTTCCTGTACAGCCTTCAGAACCATAAGCCAATTAAACCTCTTTCTTTTTCTTATTATTATACTTTAAGTTCTGGGGTACATGTGCAGAGCGTGCAGGTTTGTTACATAGGTATACATGTGCCATGGTGGTTTGCTGCACCCATCAACCCATCATCTACATTAGGTATTTCTCCTAATGCTATCCCTCCCCTAGCCCCCAACCCCCTGACAGGCCATGGTGTGTGATGTTCCCCTCCCTGCGTCCATGTGTTCTCATTGTTCAACTCCCACTTATGAGTGAGAACATGCAATGTGTGGTTTTCTGTTCTTGTGTTAGTTTGCTGAGAATGATGGTTTCCAGCTTCATCTGTGACCCTGCAAAGGACACGAACTCATCCTTTTTTATGGCTGCATAGTATTCCATGGTGTATATGTGCCACATTTTCTTTACCCAGTCTATCATTGATGCATTTGGGTTGGCTCCAAGTCTTTGCTATTGTGAACAGTGCTGTGATAAACATACGTGTTCATGTATCTTTATAGTAGAATGATTTATAATCCTTTGGGTATACACCCAGTATTGGGATTGCTGGGTCAAATGGTATTTCTAGTTCTAGATCCTTGAGGAATCGTCACACTGTCTTCCACAATGGTTGAACTAATTTACACTCCCACCAACAGTGTAAAAGCATTCCTATTTCTCCACATCCTCTCCAGCATCTGTTGTTTCCTGACTTTTTAATGATCACTGTTCTAACTGGTGTAAGATGGTATCTCATGGTGGTTTGATTTTCATTTCTCTCATGTCCAGTGATGATGAGCTTTTCTTCTTATGTTTTTGGCCGCATAAATGTCTTCTTTTGAGAAGTGTCTGTTCATATCCTTCGCCCACTTTTTGGTGGGGTTGTTTGTTTTTTTCTTGTAATTTAAGTTCTTTGTAGATTCTGCATATTAGCCCTTTGTCAGATGGATAGATTGCAAAATTTTTCTCCCATTCTGTAGGTTGCCTGTTCACTCTGATGATAGTTTCTTTTGCTGTGCAGAAGCTCTTTAGTTTAATTAGGTTGCATTTGTCAATTCTGGCTTTTGTTGCCATTGCTTTTGGTGTTTTAGTCATGAAGTCTTTGCCCATGCCTATGTACTGAATGGTATAGCCTAGGTTTTCTTCTAGGGTTTTTATGGTTTTATGTCTTGCATTTAAGGCTTTAATCCAACTTGAGTTAATTTTTGTATAAGATGTAAGGAAGGGGTCCAGTTTCAGTTTTCTGCATATGGCTGGCCAGTTTTCCCAACAGCATTTATTAAATAGGGAATCATTTCCCCATTGCTTGTTTTTGTCAGGTTTGTCAAAGATCAGATGGTTGTAGATGTGTGGCATTATTTCTGTGGCCTCTTTTCTGTTCCGTTGGTCTATGTATCTGTTTTGGTACCAGTGCCATGCTGTTTTGATTACTGTAACCTTGTAATATAGTTTGAAGTCAGATAGCGTGATGCCTCCAGCTTTGTTCTTTTTTGTTTAGGATTGTCTTGGCTATACGGGCTCTTTTTTGGTTCCGTATGAAATTTAAAGTAGTTTTTTCTAATTCTGTGAAGAAAGTCAGTGGTAGCTTGATGGGGATAGCATTGAGTCTATAAATTACTTTGGGTAGTATGGCCATTTTTCATGATATTGATTCTTCCTATCCATAAGCATGGAATATTTTTCCATTTGTATGTGTTCTCTCTTATTTCCTTGAGCAGTGGTTTGTAGTTCTCCTTGAAGAGGTCCTTCACATCTTCTGTAAGTTGTATTCCTAGGTATTTTATTCTTCTTGTTGCAATTGTGAATGGGAGTTCACTCATGATTTGGCTGTTTGTCTATTATTGGTGTATAGGAATGCTTGTGATTTTTGCACATTGATTTTGTATCCTGAGTCTTTGCTGAGGTTGCTTATCAGCTTAAGGAGATTTTGGGCAGAGATGATGGGGTTTTCTAAATATACAATCATGTCATCTGCAAACAGACAATTTGTCTCCCTCTCTTCCTGTTTGAATACCCTTATTTCTTTCTCTTGCCTGATTGCCCTGACCAGAACTTCCAATACTGTGTTGAGTAGGAGTGGTGAGAGAGGGCATCCTTGTCTTGTGCCACTTTTCAAAGGGAATGCTTCCAGCTTTTGCCCATTCAGTATGATATTGGCTGTGGGTTTGTCAAAAATAGGCTCTTATTATTTTGAGATACATTCCATCAATACCTACTTTATTGAGAGTTTTTTGCATGAAGGGCTGCTGAATTTTATCGAAGGCCTTTTCTGCATCTTTTGAGATAATCATGTGGTTTTTGTCATTAGTTCTGTTTATGTGATGGATTATGTTTATTGATTTGCATATGTCAAACCAGCCTTGCATCCTAGGGACGAAGCCAACTTGATTGTGGTGGATAAGCTTTTTGATGTGCTGCTGGATTTTGTTTGCCAGTATTTCATTGAGGATTTTTACATCAATGTTCATCAGGGATATTGGCCTGAAATTTTCTTTTTTTGTTGTGTCCCTGCCAGGTTTTGGTATCAGGATGATGCTGGCCTCATAAAATGTGTTAGGGAGGAGTCCCTCTTTTTCTGTTGTTTGGAATAGTTTCAGAAGGAATGGTACCAGATCCTCTTTGTACCTCTGGTAGAATTCGGCTGTGAATCCGTCTGGTCCTGGGCCTTTTTTGGTTGGTAGGCTGTTAATTACTGCCTCAATTTCAGAACTTGTTATGGGTCTATTCAGAGATTTGACTTCTTCCTGGTTTAGCCTTGGGAGGGTGTATGCGTCCAGGAATTCATCCATTTCTTTTAGATTTTCTAGTTTATTTGCATAGAGGTGTTTATAGTATTTTCTGATGGTAGTTTGTATTTCTGTGGGATCAGTTGTGATATCCCCTTCATCATTTTTTATTGAGTCTATTTGATTCTTCTCTCTTTTCTTCTTTATTAGTCTGGTTAGTGGTCTATCTATTTTCTTGATCTTTTCAAAACACCAGCTCCTGAATTCATTGATTTTTTGAAGGGTTTTTTTGTGTCTCTATCTCCTTCAGTTCTGCTCTGATCTTAGTTATTTCTTGTCTTCTGCTAGCTTTTGAATTTGTTTGCTCTTGCTTCTCTAGTTCTTTTAGATGTGATGTTAGGTTGTCAATTTTAGATCTTTTCTGCTTTCTCTTATGGTGATTTAGTGCTATAAATTTCCTCTAAACACTGCTTTAGCTGTGTCCCAGAGATTCTGGTACATTGTGTCTTTGTTCTCATTGGTTTCAAAGAACTTATTTATTTCTGCCTTAATTTCGTTATTTACCCAGTAGTGATTCAGGAGCAGGTTGTTCAGTTTCCATGTAGTTGTGCGGTGTTGAGTGAGTTTCTTAATCCTGAGTTCTAATTTACTTGCACTGTGGTCTGAGATACTGTTATGATTTCTGTTCTTTTGCATTTGCTGAGGAGTGTTTTACTTCCAATTATGTGGTCAATTTTAGAATAAGTGCAATGTGGTGCTGAGAAGAATGTATATTCTGTTGATTTGGGGTGGAGAGTTCTGTAGATGTCTGTTAGGTCTGCTTGGTCCAGTGCTGAGCTCAAGTCCTGAATATCCTTGTTAATTTTCTGTCTCGTTGATCTAATATTGACCGGTATCATTGTGTGGGAGTCTAAGTCTCTTTGTGGGTCTCTGAGAACCTGCTTTATGAATCTGGGTGCTCCTGTATTGGGTGCATATATATTTAGGATAGTTAGCTCTTCTTGTTGCATTGATGTCTTTACCATTATGTAATGCCCTTCTTTGTCTCTTTTGATCTTTGTTGTTTTAATGTCTGTTTTATCAGAGACTAGGATTGCAACCCCTGCTTTTTATTGCTTTCCATTTGCTTGGTAAATATTCCTCCATCCCTTTATTTTGACCCTTTGTATGTCTTTGCACGTCAGATGGGTCTCCTGAATACAGCACACCTATGGGTGTTGACTCTTTATCCAATCTGCCAGTCTGTGTCTTTTTTTTTTTTTTTTGAGACGGAGTCTTGCTCTTTGTCACCCAGGCTGGGGTGCAGTGGCGCGATCTCAGCTCACTGCAAGCTCTGCCTCCTGGGTTCACTCCATTCTCCTGCCTCAGCCTCCTGAGTAGCTGGGACTACAGGTGCCTGCCACCACTCCTGGCTAATTTTTTTTTGTGTTTTTAGTAGAGATGGGTTTCACCGTGTTAGCCAGGATGGTCTCGATCCCCTGACCTTGTGATCCGCCCGCCTCACAGTTTGTGTCTTTTAATTCCTAGTTACAGATTTTTGACCCTCTGCATACTTTTTTGGTGCTGGGGTGGTAGGGAGTCTAGAGTTATCTGACACACTGCTCAGCTTCTCTCTTGGTTGCAATGCTCATGGAGAAGGCTTCTTTGGGAGCTAGTTCGCTTGCTTAGAGAATGAGAGAGTGGAGTTTGGGATTTAGCCCGAATACACAAGCCTTTACTGCCAGCTGCTTTTGAGGATGGACCCAAGGGTTCTAGCTGCTTTGATTACAGTTCTTTAATGAGTTCTTCATCATCCTGTATCTTTGCTTGTAGCATCTCTGAGTCTTCTCTTTGTGAAAACTAGCACTTATTCTCCTTGGTATCCTCCTGGGCTTAGGTGTCCTCTGCTGTGTCTTCATTACTCCAGTCTCATCTGCTTTCCAGTTGCAAGGAATTACTCAAAAATTTTGGTCCACTTTCTTTACCTTTTCTTGATTACCAGTTTTATTAAAGCTTTCTTCTTTTTTTCTTTTTTAGAGATGGGGTCTTGCTGTGTTGCTCAGGCTGGCCTTGAACTCCTAGGCTCAAGTGATCCTCCTGCCTCAGCTGAGACTACAGGCATGCACCAGCATGCCTGGCTCAAGGCTTTATTCTTTAAAAACAAACAAAAGGAATTTCAAGGAAACTTTAGGAGGAAAGGTTGATGCTTAGTCTATGCTTCCTTTTTAATGACACCAAGAGGCTGCTGTATCCTAAAACTTTTTCATAACTAGTCTATTAGAATCATTGGAAGAAGTAGCTCCCTGGCTACCAGTCAAAGGTAGTCCAAATAAGTATGTCAGTCAAGCCTTAGATATAGTCACTTAGAGTGAATACTAGATTTCTAGAAGAACCAAGATGCTATAAGCAATAGAAAGGAACTGTTCTTTCCTGTAAAAGGACTACAGTGTTGTTTTGGGTAAAAGGTATGCATATCTAATAGTTGGAAACCTTACCAACTTTATTCAGTTGCAGAAATGTGTGGCATTGACCATAAATACTCTAAGAGGTTAAAGAAGGAAGAAGCTATTGCCAACTGGTGTCAGTGGTTAGATGTTTTATGGAAGAAGTTGGAGTTTGAACTAGAATTTAGTAAGGGTGGATAGAAATTTAATTAGTAGAGAATGGAAGGAAGAATACTTTCTACATAAGTTAAGGGAATGAGGGACAAGGGGAAACGGAGCTGGAAATGACCATAGTTTGATGAACTGTGGAAAGACTAACATGACTGAGAAAGGTTGGAGAATGGGAGATGAGGATTGACAAGGGTGGCATGTGAAAAGTTTTGGCTCTGGCTTCAGGTATTTATTTTAGAGTGACTAAGGTATGGGATAGGACATACCTTAGTCACTCTAAAAATGAAACATAGTAGTTAAGAACATACTGCCTGGGTTCAAATACTTCATTGCCTGTCTCTGTGACCTCCAGCAAATTTCTTAACTTTTCAGAGTCTTCTCATCTGTCAAATTAAGGATAATAATAGTATCTATAACCTATGGTTATTCTTAGGATTGAGTAGGATAAGGTATATAAAAAGTTTAGAATACTTCCTGACCCATAGTAAAGACATATTAAATGTGAGTTACTATTGTTATCCAGTCAATTTTAGGGATTATCTTAAATAAATTTTCCTTTTTGTGTTAGACACAACTGTTTGTGAGTGTTGTCTAACTTCTATACTATATAGCTCATATGTTTTACTGGCTAAGATGAATTTTGTAGGATTTGCAGTTGGAAGTTTTAGGGATTCCATATACACAATCATTTTTTCAACAGGGTATTCTGTGTTGAAAACTGTTAGTGGTTAAATTTGCTATAGCAAATATATCATGCCTTTTTCTTGAACCCTTGTACTTCTTTGTGCCTTGGCTTCTTTCTTTTGAGTAATGAGCATGTAAGAATAAAGAAATTTTATACCTGGAAAAATTTTATACATAGGCATCATGAGCCTTGGGAAGGAGTCACTGTGTTTGATACATGAGCTTGATAGCTAGTGACTAAAAATTTACAAACTTTTAAGAACATTTGAATGAGTTTGGACTGCATTAGAAGATCACTTATGAAGCTATATATGAAAATAAGTGGGGAAAAAATGGTCCCAAATTATTAGGAAACAAGGCTGCCAATCAAAACCTCATAATTCTCATTCAAGAACTGAATGGTATAATGCTAAAGACAATAACAAATCCAAACAGAAAAAGTAGTACACATAACTAAAATGCAGGGCTGCAAAGTCATTAGTAGCAAATAAATGCCCTGTTAATAAATAAGCCCAGAGAGGATTAGGGCAAAACTGTATATTATTTTTACAAAAATTAAACACAGAGAAGGTACCATTCTCCAGCTTTCACATGTGCTTATCAAAGTATTTCTTTTTCAAAACTCAGAGTCGATATCAGGGTCCTTGCTTCACACTTGAGGAAAAATTAAGTATGCTATAGATTTAAAAATAACATAAATACTATTGAAGAAAATATCTCTGCAAGGAAGTTATAAGAATTAGCTCAGGTAAATTATTTTCTTGAGCTCGTTATATATGAATAGCACATTGATTTACAGAATTGAGGGTAAGACTTAAGCAATTTTAAAATTAAACCTTCTAAAATTATGGCTTGAGAAGACATGCATTTATTGAGTTAAAAGAGATCATTTTGATTTTACATAGTTTACCAACAGTTTAGGGGTAGGGTCTAGGATTCTTAAAGTATTTTTTTTTACTCACTTTATTGAGATATATTTAACCATAGAATATACTAATTTAAAGTATACAATTCAGGTGGTTTTTAATATGGTCACAGAATTATGTAAGTATAATCCCAGTCAATTTTAGAACATTTTCATCTCCACGAAAAAGAAACTCCATGCCATGAGTAGTCACTCTCAGTTTTCTCCTAACCCTTCTCCTCCATCTCTCTCAAAGGCCTAGGCAACTATGAATCTAATTTCTGTTTCTACAGATTTATATAATGTGGATATTTCATATAAATGGAATCATATATCAGAACTTTGTATGTCTGGCTTTTTTTACTTAGCATAATGTTTTCAAGGTTCATCCAGCATATTACCAGTTCTTTATTCCCTTTTATGGCCCGATAATGCTTCCTGTGTGGATGTGCCACCTTTTGTTCATCCATCCTCAATTGATGGACATTTGTGTTGTTTACTCTTTTTGACTATTATGAATAATGCACATTTGTGTAAAACTTTTTGTGTTAATATATTTTTTCATTTTTCTTGAGTATATACCTAGGAACGAAATTACTGTATCATATGGTATATTTTGGTTTCATTTTTTGAGGAATTGCCAAACTTTTTCCAAATGACTGCACCATTTTATGTTCCAGCCAGCGATATGTGGGGGTTCTGATTTGTCCACAATTCTCTTCAACACTTACTGTCTTTTTTATTTCGGCCATCCTAGTGAATGTGAAGTGGTATCTTACTGTAGTTTTGATTTGCACTTCTGTAATGACTAATAATGTTAATCACCTTTTTATGTGCTTATTGGCCATTTGTATGTTTTTAGAGAATGCCCACTTCAAATTCTTTTCTTATTTTTCATTTGGGTTGGCTTTTTATTGTTTTTTGTTTGTTTGTTTTGAGCCAGAGTCTTGCTTTGTCACCCAAGCTGTAGTGCAGTGTGGTATGATCAGGGCCCTCTGTAGCCTCTACCTCCTGGGCTCAACGAATCCTCTCAACTCAGCCTCTCAAGTAGCTGAGATTACAGGCGCATACGACTACACCCAACTAATTATAAATTAATTTAATTTTTTTGTAGAGACAGGGTTTCACTTTTGTTGCCCAGGCTAGTCTTGAACTCCTGGGCTCAAGCGATCCTTTCACCTTGGCTTCCTGAAGTGTTGAGCCTCCCAAAGTGTTGAGCACAGGCATGAGCCACTGCACCTGGCCTATTTATTGTTAAGTTCTGAGTTATTTATATATTCTGGATACTAGTTGCTTATCAGATATATGATTGGTAAATATTTTCTCAGTATCTACAGGTTTTCATTTCACTTTCTTGATGGTATCCTTGAAGCACAAAAGTTTTGCATTTTGACGAAGTTTAATTTATCTGTGTTTTCTTTTATTACTTGTACTTTATTTATTTATTTTTTTGAGACAGAGTCTCGCTCTGTCGCCCAGGCTGGAGTGCAATGGCGCGATCTTAGCTCACCGCAACCTCTGCCCCCACTGGGTTCCAGTGATTCTCGTGCCTCAGCCTCCCAAGTAGCTGGGATTACAAGCGCACACCACCACACCTGGCTAATTTTTGTATTTTTAGTAGAGACGGGGTTTCATCATGTTGGCCAGGCTGGTCTTGAACTCCTGATCTCAGGTGATCTGCCCACCCCGGCCTCCTAAAGTGCTGGGATTACAGGTGTGAGCCACCGCTCCCGGCCATCACTTGTTCTTTTGTGACGTGTCTAAGATGTCTGCCTAACTGAAGATTCTATTTTTTTTTTTTTTTGAGACAGAGTCTCACTCTGTCGCCCAGGCTAGAGTGCAGTGGCTCAATCTTGGCTCACTGCAAGCTCTGCCTCCCAGGTTCACGCCATTCTCCTGCCTCAGCCTCCCGAGTAGCTGGGACTACAGGCGCCCACCACCACGCCCGGCTAATTTTTTGTATTTTTAGTAGAGACGGGGTTTCACCGTGTTAGCCAGGATGGTCTTGATCTCCTGACCTGGTGATCTGCCTGCCTCGGCCTCCCAAAGTGCTGGGATTACAGGTGTTAGCCACCGCGCCCGGCCTTGCTATACCTTTTAAGCTCAGTGAACTCTTGAATTCTCTAGCCTTTAACATCGTTCGTTAAAAAGAATTCTTATTTTGTTTATATACCGCTATCATTTCTAGCAACATAATACACAGATTTGAAATGTAAATGAAATGTTTGTTGCATTGCAAATACAAACCTATAATCACATGACTCTTCTTTCATATCAGTTTTCCTTAAGTTATTTCAGAGAACACATAGTCTAATAGATCATTTTGTTGACTTTCTGGGTTCTCCGGGGCCAGGCTTTGTCAATACATAGTTATAGCGGTGGGATCTAAGGGGTGCTGTGATCATGGTCTTAGAAAAATGGTTACTGTTGTTAGCTTAACAAAAGAAAGTTAGTTTGTTTATTTGAATTGATCTCTTCTCTCTTGTTAAGATATGTATGTATGTATGAATGTATTTATTTATTTATTTTTTCCCTGTGTCAGTCACATAGGGGACTGAGACACAAAGAGGCCATGTGAATTTTCTAAGCAGCACTTGCTATCAGTGTGTGGCCTAAAGACTGGTCCTGATTTGTGATCTATTTGTTACTGGTCAACGACAACATAAGTACAAAAATTAAGAATAAGCATTTAGAAATGTTTATAGCAATTTGATATTTCTGCCTTATCTAAGTACGTGATCTTTTTTCTAGTAATTTATGTTTTTGTTGTTGTTGTTATTTTTACAAAAATAGTGGGGTTTGTGATGTCTTGGGAAAAACTGGTTCTTTACCACAGATTGAACCATTGATCTAGGTTCAGAGAGAATTATTTACAGTAGTGCCAGAACTATTTTGATTGCTGGACTTTTTATTTTGAATTCCTATATCTTTCTCTGTATCTTCCTCCATAGCCATAGTCGTATTTTAATTTAAATGTTTAGGTTTATTTTCACTATGGAGAAACTTTAGGCCTTCTAATCCCACATTTCTCATCAAATATACTTTCAGATTCCAATGTCATAATCAGATATTAATTATATTTTTGTATGAGAGTCAAGCAATGGAGCGTGCTGAAAGTTTTTCATTTGGAATATCTAGAGAAAAGGGTAATTGAATTTGAATATCAACTAATTCTTTTTCATACCTAAAAAGCGGAAACATATAATGCCATATTTAAAGACTATGTCAGAAAGTAATTTCATGCCAGAGATGCTTTTGTGTTGTTTTGTATAAATGCCTCCAGAAGCTCCTCCTTGCTTTTTAATACCACCTGTGAGCTTTTCTATTTTGAACATGCTCATGTCTTTCTTTAACACTAAAGGAGTTTAATAAGAATTATATTTTAATATCAAAAATAGTAAAATTTCTTACCACGGGGAAAAGAAATACACATATATTTCTTTCACTGAATAGGACTTATTTTGGTGTTGGTGTCCTGGGATCTATGTATGTTATAATCCCCTAATACGCTTAAAATAGGATTTCTTTTCTAAAAGAAAATATGTCTTATAAGATGTAATTGATTTTTAAAATAAAAGTAGTAAGAAAGGGTAATAGTGTACGTTTTAGGCAAAGTGCTAGATGGAATAAAAGTTTATTTCAATAGATTTTACTTTTAGCTATTTTAGACTTGGGAGAATAAAATGATTAATAAGGTATGTCACTGTCTTTAAGGACCTTATTTATAGATTAGTAGAGACAGGAGAGATATAAATATCAACTAATTCAAGGCAGATTGGTTTAATCACTATTACAAGAAATATAGAAGGAGAAAGAAGACGGTAATTATGGTGGGAATAAAGACAGACTTGATAACATTAATGGCATTTGAACCAGGTCTAGGAGAATAAGATTTTTGATATGTAGAACATGGAGGTAATAGTTTTTCACATTTGTGAAACAGCCTGGTAAAGGGATATATTGGTCAGAACTCTTTGAATGGACAGGACAGAAAAAGAAACCCAACTCAAACTGGCTTAAGCACAAAGCAGAAAGGGAAGTTTATTGGTTCACTTGTGAAAAATGAATAGAATTGGAATCTTGCCTCTTGCCCACCTAGATCCAGGTAGGTGTTCAAACTGTAATGAGTATTCCCACTCACATACTGCTTTCCTATGTGTAGCTTCTTCTTAGAGACACTGTACCCATAGGATGGCTGTGGCAAAGATGACCACCCACCAGCAGCTTCTTAGATATTTCTACCAGGTTAGCAACCCCATTGAAATAGAGATCTCTCAAGAATTGCAGCAGGAATCCTTGGCTTGGGTTATGTGCTTATTCTAAATCAATCACTGTGGCGTGTGTGTGTGTGTGTGTGTGTGTATTGCACGAATTGGCTAGGTCTGGATCGTGTGCCCAAAAAAGAGTTTGTGGAGAGGGGTAAGGCCAGCTTCACCTGATCCCCATGGAGATTTGGGGAGGTACCATTCTCCAAAGGAAAACTGAGGTAGTCTTAAAGAAATAAGCAATTCAAAAGCAAAGAGCAGGCAAAAACAGCCACTAAAGGTAGGATATGTGAAAGTATGACTAAACTTAGGTGTTGTAAAAATGTGTATAGAGAGAATAAAAGGCTGGGATAGATAATAGTTATAGATATACATTCAGTAGTGGATATTTCAAGTTCATTAGAGGAGAGTATAATGTTTATGCAGTAGGTTAAAATAATTATTTAGCATGCTAAATTTTGAATTGATTTATAGAGAGAAGAGCTGGAGGCAAAAATAAATGTTAAAACTGTCTAGACTGGTTAATTTTTAAATTCTTATTATTTTTCACTTATTTATTTTCATTAATTCTTCAAACCTTTCATAAGAGCTGATGTTCCAGTTAGTGAAAGTTCTCCTTTTTTTTTTTTTTTTTTAACTGTTTGCTGTTTGGCCATTATATTCTTTCTCTTTTTAGCAATGTATGAGAAGAGAGGATTAACTAGATAAAATAAACCAATCACTTTTACTTGTTAGCACCTATATGAAAAGGTACAATTGTATAGATTAGAACTAAACAAAAATTAGATTTTTAGATTGTTTGAATTTAATTTGTCTTGGATAGACATGCTTTTTATTTATTTTTTCCTAATTTCTATTCTTTAGTAAAAAACAATTGAGGCAGTTAGCGAAGATACATATATTATACCAAGGTTAAAAAAAAGAGGAAATCAAAGGTGGGGAAAAGGAGGATACATAGGAAAATTAAAGTAAGGCTAGTATTAATATCTGTATCTCAAATGCATACCATAAGTACTGTAGCTTTTGCTGGAGATTACTTACTTATTTGACCCTCGGCTTGCTTGCTTTCTTTGCCAATGCAAAGAAGGAAAACTGATTAGGTGCAAGATTTATAGTGTTCTTGCTATAAAAATAAATCAAGTACTCAAGAGAAATACAGTTCTTAGTACCTGTAGCACTAGGACCTGGTGAAATTTCTTTCAAGGGGGCTTTAAAAAGAACGTCATATAATGTGGTAAATAAAAACCACAAGAGTATATTTAATAATGCTCTGGAGTTCTTTCTGAAAACATCCACCAACATAGGTATGTAGCATAATGCCAAAATACAGCTTAGGACAAGTCATTTTTGTGTGGGGCCAAAATAACAGTCTAGATCAGGGGTTGGCAATCTACAGCCCATGGAGCAAATTTGGCTTGTTGCTATATTTTATAGATAATTATACATCACAGCCATACGTATTTGTTTACATATTGTCTATGGCTGTGTTCATGCTACAACAGCAGCAGTATGTAGTTGTTACACAGACCATAGTCCCACAAAGCCTGGAATATTTCTAGTCTGACACTTTACTAAAAAAGTTTGTCCATCCTTGGTCTAGATACACAACTCACTGATGGATTGGTTTAAAATTGAGACAGTATACAAAGTGTCTAGAACAAGGGTCTCAAACTGATAGGCCAAGTTACAAATTTGGCCTATAGGTATATTTTGTTTAGCCAAACCAGTATTTGACTTTTGAAAATTTCTGCCAACCCAGAAAAATTCAGATTTATGCCTTCTCTGGGAAAATTGGATAGTCTGGCAATACTGAGCTTACGTTGTGTTTGTCATCCTTTAAAAAGGATGCACCCTCTTTTTCCAATTTGTATTCCTTACTACTATATTACCTCCCAGCACACTATTGTGTGCATTATGTCTACAAAACCCCACACATACTGTAATTTTAAAATGCTTTATTGTTAATAAATGTCAGCAATCATCTTAGCCCTCAGAGAATTATAACCTTTTTGCTGGTCGAGGGTCTCGTCTCAATGTGGATGGCTGCTGAAGGTTGGGGGGCTGTGGCAGTTTCTTAAATAAAGACAGCAATGAATTGATTGATTCATTGATTGATTCTTCTTTCCATGAAAGATTTCCCTCTGGCATGTAATGTTGTTTGCTACCATTTTACCCATGGTAGAATTTCTTTAAGAATTGGAGTCAATCCTCTCAAACCCTGCCACTGCTTTATCAACTACGATTATGTTATATTCCAAATTAATTGTTGTCATTTCAACAGTGTTGTTAGCATCTTCATCAGGAGTAGATCCCATCACAAGAAACTACTTTCTTTGCTCACCCTGAGAAGCAACTCCTCATCCCTTCAAGTTTTATCATGAGATTGCAACAATTCAGTCATATCTGCAGGGTCCACTTCTAATTGTAGGTCTCTTGCCATTTCCACCACATCTGCAGTGTCTTCTTCCATTGATGTCCTGCACCCCTCAAAGTCATCCATGAGGGTTGGAATTAACTTCTTCCAAACTCCTTGCACTTTTTTGTTATGAAGATGGCTTCTTTCCTTAAACCTCATGAACCAACCTCTGCTAGATTCTAACTTTTCTTCTGCAGCTCTCATCTCTGTTAGCCTTCATAGAATTGAAGAGAGTTAGGGCCTTGATCTGGGTTAGGCTTTGGCTTAAGGGAGTGTTGTAGCTGGTTTAATCTTCTAGCCAGACCACTCAAAGTTTCTCCATATCAGTAATTAGGCTGTTTTGCTTTTTGCTTGTTTTTTTTTTTTTTTTTTTTGAGACAAAGTCTCACTCTGTTGCCGAGGCTGGAGTGCAGTGGCATGATCTCGGCTCACTGCGACCCCCACCTCCCAGGTTCAAGCAATTCTCGTGCCTCAGCCTCCTGAGTAGCTAGGATTACAGGCGCCCACCACCACACCCAGCTAATTTTTGTATTTTCAGTAGAGACGAGGTTTCACCATGTTGGACAGGCTGGTCTCAAACTCCTGACTGCAGGTAATCCTCCTGCCTCGGCCTTCCAAAGTGCTGGGATTACAGGCGTGAGCCACCACACCTGGCCAGGCTATTTTGCTTTCTTATCATTTGTGTGTTCACTGGAGTAGCACTTTTGTTTTCCTTCAAGGACTTTTCATTTGCATTCACAACTTGGCTGTTTGGCACAAGAGGCCTTCCTTTTGGCCTATCTCGACTTTCTACGTGCCTTCCTCCCTAAGCTTAATCATTTCTACCTTTTGTACCTTTTGATTTACAGTGAGAGATGTGGAACTCTTTCTTTCACTTGAACACTTAGAGCCTTTGTTGGGTAATTTTTTTTTTTTTTGAGACGGAGTCTCGCTGTGTCGCCCAGGCTGGAGTGCAGTGGTGCATTCTCGGCTCACTGCAAGCCCCGCCTCCTGGGTTCACGCCATTCTCCTGCCTCAGCCTCCCTAGTAGCTGGGACTGCAGGCGCCCGCCACCACGCCTGGCTAATTTTTTTTTTTTTTGTATTTTTAGTAGAGACGGGGTTTCACCGTGTTAGCCAGGATGGTCTCGATCTCCTGACCTCGTGATCCACCCGCCTTGGCCTCCCAAAGTGCTGGGATTACAGGCTTGAGCCACCACGCCCAGCCCATTGTAGGGTTATTAATTGGCTTAATTTCAGTGTTGTTATGTTTCAGGGAATAAGGAAGCCCAAGGAGAGGCAGAGAGATAGGGGAAGGTTGAGTTGTGGAGCAGTCAGAGGACATACATTTATTATTAAAGTTTGCTGTCTTATATGAGTGCAGATCATAGTGCCCCAAAACAATTAGATGGCAACATCAAAGATCACTGATTATAGATCACCATAACAGATATAATAATAATGAAAAAATTTGAAATATTGTAAGAATTACCAAAATGTGACACAGAGATACAAAGTGAGCATGTGCAATTGAAAAAATGGTGCTGATAGACTTGTTCCACAAGGGTTGTCACAAACCTGCAATTTGTAAAAAATGCAGTATCTGTAAAGTGCATTAAAGCAAAGCACAGTAATATGAGGTATGTTTGTATAAATACAGATGGGTAATTGAAGACCAAATGACATATCTGTTACGTTTACTACTTTGGCTCATCAGTTGTCATACTTAACAGAGGTGATAATGGATGAAGCTATCACCACAGAAATAAAGAATAAAGATTGGATTTGGCAAATAAAATACTTACATTAATAATTATTATTAATTATCTGACAAATGCTAATGTATCAGATTAAGCAGGCAGAGATAAGAGTTGTAAGGAATGGATCAAATGACAAATAAATTTTAGTTTGTTATGGGAGGGAGCTGGAAGTGTAGAAGAAAGGAAGGGCTTGGTATACTTCTGGGGAACTCAGGCCTGGGAAGAACCGGAGTGTAGGATCAACTTGATGGGTGGGACAAAGGGGAGTAAATAGCCAGGGGTAGAACCAATGGTAGACTTCATGATTATGCTTAACGTGAATCTTGATACTTAGATTCTTTTCTCAGGGAGGTGATATTATCTATAAAGAAAGTGGAAAGGCAGATAAGAAAGATCAAGTTTGTTGAGCTTGAAGGAGTATTGAGAATCCAGTCAAAGATATTTAAGAGGGAGTCTGAGATATGGAATAGAGATGTGGCAAATCATTGATTTATTCGCCTAAACATGTTTAATATCATGAGAAAGAGAAGACTTTCCAGAGACAGTAGAATGAGATAGATGAGAAGATTTAGAATAGAGACATTTTCTCCAACTTTCCTCACAGGTAAACCAGGAGAATTGCTGCTTTTGTTTCTAAACCTGTGATTCTATTTTACAGAATTTTAGAAGCCATTAATTACTTTCATTCCTTAGTATGATTATAGTCCTGGTGATACATTTTATCTTGGTCATTTTCTTTGGCGTTCATTTGAATGTTGATGTGATCTTAGGCTTTTTTTCCTCCCTCTTTGTTTTATCTAATTATTTTTCTCCATGTAATTCAGGCATCATGTTATGTTACTATGTCTTGTCCTGGCAACTTATATAATATTAAGCAATATTCAAGGCAGATCAGATGTACTTTTAGTATCTGCATACTAAATTTTCAAGGACTTTAAAAAAGATAAACTCTTATGTTTCATCATGTCATGAGTAAATAGTACTGTTGTCGTCAAATGCACAGATTATTGTATCCTATATACCTGGGTTTAATCCTGGTTTGACACTCTGACTTTGAACAAATTATTTTCTGTTTAAGCCTTAGTTTCTTAATTTGTAAAATTAGGGATAATTAATAGTATTTCAAAAGATTGTAGTAGGGATAGGTACATAGGACATGCCAATGTTAGCTCTTGGTTACTGTAATGTCACAAGATGACCAAGGGATGGAATAATTGACTTGATTTTAGTACATATTTTCTTTGGAATTTTTATCCATGTTTGAACATAAGTAGTTTAATTTGTGTTGGACAATATTTTATTTAATCATATCATATTGTGAGTAGCTAAAAGATAACTGATTATTTTTATGATTTAATATTCAACTTTTTGCTAATAAATATGGCAGGCATTTTTACGTGGTGGTTCATAAATGTCATGACCTGTGTGTTGACCTATGTTAAATTTCTGTGATCTTTTTTATTTGGGTGAATCGTATTTAGCTTCCTGTCTGTTAGATAGTAGGAAAGTAATGAAACAATAGCATATGAGAATTTGATCAAAATGAACCTTAATCCTGAGAAGCATTAACTGGATTATTTTGTTAGAAATATGCCAATGGATTTAAAATGTAGATAATCTTGAAATTTCAAATGATTTCATTCTTTGGTTGGTTGTTTACCTACTTGATGACCAAAAAAGCCAAGATATGTAGTTACTGTCACATTAAATTCAGAAAATATTTTATAAATAAAGCTTCATTTTAAATGTACTAGGAGGTAACTTTTGAGAAAACTTATTAGTAGATACTGTTTTACAAGTGGAAGGATTATGTTTTGTGACAATTATTAACAGTTTTAAAAATCAAGTTCTTAAATATTTGATTTTTTAAGAGATAAGATCTCACAATATTGCCCAGGCTGGAATAGTGGCTATTCACAGGTACAATCATAGTGCACTACAGCCTTGAGTTCTTGGGCTCAAGCAATATTCCTGCCTCAGCCACCCAAGTAGCTGGGACTATAGGCATGTGCCAGTGCGCCAGGCTTATATTTGATTTTTTTAAATTTTCTGAGCACTTTTATTTTAACTTTTATGAATAATTTCAAACATACAGACATAGAATATTATAAGAAAACTTACATGTATCCATATCTCAGCTTGAACAGTTATCACCTCGTAGACAGTAGTCTTTTGTTTGTACTTGCTCTACTTGCTCCTTCTAGATTATTTTGAATCAAATTCCACATGCCATTCCTAAATATTCCCAGATATATAATATAGATAGTGATTATTTTAAAAACAACCTTAATACTCTTATCACACCTTAAAAAGTAGCAGCAATTACCTAATATTATCAAACATACAGATATAAGGCATGTAAAGATGCTGTCTTTTAACAACTGAAGGCATTGAAAAATTAACATTTCAGAACGTGATTAGTGTTAAAGTGGTTTTTGTCTTGTGAACACTGAGAAGGGGAGAAAGCATGGGAAAGTTCTTTTTTTTTTTTAAGTATACTTTAAGTTCTGGGATACATGTGCAGAATGCGCAGCTTTGTTACATAGGTATACATGTGTCATGGTGGTTTCCTGCACCCATCAACCCGTCATCTACATTAGGTATTTCTCCTAATGTTATCTATCCCTCCCCTAGCCCCCACCCCCCGACAGGTGCAGGTGTGTGATGTTCCCTTCCTTGTGTCCATGTGTTCTCATTGTTCAACTCCTACTTATGAGTGAGAACATGCGGTGTTTGGTTTTCTGTTCCTCTGTTTGCTGAGAGTGATGGTTTCCAGCTTCATCCATGTCCGTGCAAAGGACATGAACTCATCCTTTTTTTGGCTGCATAGTATTGCATGGTGTATATGCGCCACATTTTCTTTATCCAGTCTATCATTGATGGGCATTTGGGTTGGTTCCAAGTCTTTGCTGTTGTGAACAGTGCTGTGATAAACATATGTGTGCATGTGTCTTTATAGTAGAATGATTTATAAGCCTTTGGGTATATACCCAGTAATGGGATTACTGGGTCAAATGGTATTTCTGGTTCCAGATCCTTGAGGAATTGCCATACTGTCTTCCACAATGGTTGAACTAATTTACACTCCCACGAACAGTGTAAAAGCATTTGTATTTCTCCATATCCTCTCCAGCATCTGTCGTTTCCTGACTTTTTAATTATCACCATTCTAACTGGCATGAAATGGTATCTCATCGTGGTTTTGATTTTCATTTCTCTAATGACCAGTGATGATGAGCTTTCCTTCATATGTTTGTTGGCCACATAAATGTCTTCTTTTGGGAAATGTCTGTTCATATCCTTTACCCCCTTTTTGATGGGGTTGTTTTTTTCTTGTAAATTTGTTTAAGTTCCTTGTAGATTCTGGATATTAGCCCTTTGTCAGATGGATAGATTGCAAAAATTTTCTCCCATTCTGTAGGTTGCCTGTTCACTCTGATGACAGTTTCTTCTGCTGTCCAGAAGCTCTTTAATTAGATCTCATTTGTCAATTTTGGCTTTTGTTGCCATTGCTTTTGGTGTTTTAGTCATGAACTTTGCCCATGCCTGTGTCCTGAATGGTATTGCCTAGGTTTTCTTCTAGGGTTTTTATGGTTTTAGGTTTTAAGTCTTTAATCCACCTTGAGTTAATTTTTGTATAAGGTGTAAGGAAGGGGTCCAGTTTCAGTTTTCTGCATATGGCTAGCCAGTTTTCCCAACACCATTTATTAAATAGGGAATCCTTTCCCCATTGCTTGTTTTTGTCAGGTTTGTCAAAGATCAGATGGTTGTAGATGTGTGGCATTACTTCTGAGGCCTCTTTTCTGTTCCGTTGGTCTATGTATCTGTTTTGGTACCAGTGCCATGCTGTTTCGGTTACTGTAGCCTTGTAGTATAGTTTGAAGTCAGGTAGCGTCATGCCTCCAGGTTTGTTCTTTTTGCTTAGGGTCATCTTGGCTATACGGGTTCTTTTTTGGTTCCATATGAAATTTAAAGTAGTTTTTTCTAATTCTGTGAAGAAAGTCAGTGGTAGCTTGATGGGGATAGCATTGAATCTATAAATTACTTTGGGTAGTATGGCCATTTTCATGATATTGATTCTTCCTATCCATGAGCATGGAATGTTTTTCCATCTGTTTGTGTTCTCTCTTATTTCCTTGAGCAGTGGTTTGTAGTTCTCCTTGAAGAAGTCCTTCATATCTTCTGTAAGTTGTATTCCTAGGTATTTTATTCTTCTTGTTGCAATTGTGAATGGGAGTTCACTCATGATTTGGCTCTCTGTTTGTCTATTATTGGTGTATAGGAATGCTTGTGATTTTTGCACATTGATTTTGTATCCTGAGACTTTGCTGAAGTTGCTTATCAGCTTGAGATTTTGGGCTGAGATGATGGGGTTTTCTAAATATACAATAATGTCATCTGCAAACAGAGACAATTTGATTTTTTAAAAAGAAATAAACCTGTGTCATGTGTCTATCTATATGTTTTATAATTAAATAAATTTAAAGTCTTAATGTTGTTGTCTGCAATTGTATCAACTGGAATTCTAATCCTTTGGATGGTAAAAATGCATGAGACATAGGTGTTGTTCTTTATATACATGATATTTGGATTTTATATAATAATAACTCCTTTAGTTGACAATTGTTCCCCAATTTTTTTTCTTGCTCTGTTTTACTATCCACTGAGTTTTAATAGTGTCCGTTATCATGAAATATTTCCTCTCTGCTGACATTCTTTTAAATCCCCTGTCTTTCTGTTCTGATTTTCATCTAAAGATGTATTTCAATGTATTTTTATAAATCTTGATGGATATATAAACCTATAGACCTGTGTGAATGTATACACTCCTGTGAACTAGCTGTACTCCTCTGAGACTATAAACACATTGCTGGTCTGTTATTTAGTCCAGATATATAAAGATTGAACAGCTTTTTATCCCAAAATCATGGTGGGGGAATGTGTAATAAGGTGTTGAAATGCTGATGTCCATTTAAAATGTTATAAATGTTTTAAACAAGCTATTTGAAGTATGCATACACAATTTTTGTTTGATGAGGAAAAGTGAGTTAGGTGTGGTTTAGGTAAAGCATATCCTCTCAGATTAATTTTTCCATCACTGTGACTGTGCCCACAACAGGGGTTCAGATAGTGCACTGAGCAAACCATGTTAGCAATTAATTTCCTATCCTTTTGTAACATGTTAGAAAATGTGTCAGAAAGGTTTCAGTGAACTTTGATCAAATTAGTTTATGCCTGTGATTTGACTAATACTTTTCTAGAATCCTTGTGAATTTAGTCTTGCTTTCATACTTAGCAACTAATTAATCAGAACATTTTTTTTGCCTTATCAAATTTCTTTGCTAGAGAAATCTAATTGATCTGTTACTGATTGTTGTTTGAGACAAAATCCAAAGGCCATCTCTTAGTGTAATTACTAATATATTAAGTGCATCAACACATACTTATATTGTAAAAATTGACAGTCTGAATTTTCTTATTTTTAATATCTTAGTATTCTTAATTTTCTTAATATCTGACTTACTACAACTAGAGTAATATAAAACAGCTGTAAAAATTGACTGTATTTTAAAAATTGATAGCCTAAATTTTCTTATCTTTAATATCTTAGTATTCCTAATATTCTTATCTTAATATCTGGCCTACTAAAACTAGAGTAATACAAAACAGCTGTATGTATTCATAAGTGATAGGAGGCCAAAGAAACAAAAATTTTTTCTCAGCATAAGCTCTGCCAGTTAATGCTGAATATGTAACTATTTTTCATTTCAAAAGTATGAGTAAAATTGATATTTTTTCATAATTGCATAAATTAACAATGCACTTATCTTTTATCTACCGTGTGGTTGGATTTTGAACGTGTCTTGCGATGTTGCTACTTCTTTAGCATTCTTTATATAGCACAAAGTGGGAAATGCTTCTTTTTATAAGCAAAAACATGAACAAAACATTTGTTAGAAAACGTGTTAAGTCAGTTATTTAGCCATGAGATCATCATATGCAACCATTATCTATTTATAATTCTCCTTTTGGAAAGTAAATAGAATTTTAACAAATGCTGTCATTTAATGTCAAGCAAAATTTCAAAAATTTTTTAAAAGCCTGATTTTTAAGTAATGGAGCTATACTAAAATGCTTTAGTGTTTATTGTATGTGGATTTTATGCAGTTGGGTCAGGTTATCAATATAATTGACTAGGGCTTAAGATGAAAAACTGAGATTATATTCTACTTTTTACTATATACTGTTTTATCATTCCCAACTAAGTTTGGGGCTACTTAAACCTTGAAAAATTTACTGATGTGGTATTTAGAATCTGTTATTTGGGTATCATAGGAAGAATGTAGTGAGTTGGTGGTAATTGATTTATCCTCCATCATACTGAACCTCCCACTCGTCTTCCACTTTGTCCTCCCTTGGGCAATAATCACAGGGTCGAACTGCCAATCTGTAGACTTAATTTTTTCCAGCAGTACCATCTGGCTCCTTGGCACCATAAGTTATATTGGTTCTTTGTGGCTGTTACTGAGTTTGTCATATTGTTAGACAGCTGATGGGATGTTTTTTGCTATTCGACCCTTTTAAAACTAATTATTGATTTTTATTTAGAGAATCTTCTTTGGCCATTTATGATAGCATGGCAGGATTTTATTGTGAAAAAAGTAGAATGCACCTAAACAAATCCTATATTATGTGTCAACCTTGAGATTCTATTCTCTGTATTGTATTCTGTCTAGTTCTTTAGTAGCTCTCCCTTTCAAGAGAGATTAAAATTAATTGTACAGGTTTTCTGTTTCATTCAAACCTGTATGTGTTTTTAAATTATTTGAATTTGCATTTAAAATCCTGTTATTACTGCAGTCATTTCCTAGTCACGAATGTTTAGAAGTCCCTATTAGTGGCACAGATAAACTTCTAATACCCAGTAATACTTTATCCCCTTAAAAAAAAAAAGACCATTTGTATATTATCTTGTGTTTTATTTTGTAGATAGGTGGTTTTACTGTTATGTCTAATGACATTCATAACAATTTAAAAGAGTAATTTTGAAAGGTAGTTCTGAGTTTCAGTAATTAAAAAGAATAGCCTAAGCACATTTCTATTTTTCATATTACACTTAACTAGATATTTTTGATGAAGGCAAAAATTATTTGACCTATTTGTTTCTAAAGTAAGGATCATAAACAAAAATAAATAATTTTTTTAAACTCTTGAATCTGCATATGAAGCAGTTCATTTTGCAAGTATTTATCATATTTGATTGCATTTATTTTTAATGGTACATGATAAACGTCTTTTAGAAAGTTTTAAAGTAGTTATTTTAGAACACAATAAACATCTTTTACAAGGCCCTTTAGAGGTTTTCATTCATATAAAAGTGTTTCTCTTGAGTTTAAATATTTAATTAGAATCTGTTAATCTATGTTGCATTATAATAATGGCAGGATACTGATGTGTTGGAAATATTTACACTGAATCTTTTTTTTTTTTTTTTTTTGCTGGTGTAAGGGTGTTTGAAGTTCCTAAAGAGTGATTTCGCTGGGATTATTTTAATACCACCATATTAGAAGCCTGCTAACTACAAACTGGACTTTACAGAATATTAGATAAAATATACAGCTAAATTGCTGTGATTTGGTTGTGATGTGATTTCATTTAAAGTATGTAAAGAAGAGGAGCAGTAAATATCTCTCTGTAAGAGGAGCTAAATCAGATGTCAGTGAAATGATTCATGTGCCAACTGGAATAGTTAACATGCATTTTATTCTACTGTCTAGCAGGAGGAGGTGGGCTATAGAAAATGAATTCTCCACTAAATAATTTACAACAATTATATCAAATTTTAATAATGAGCTAAGAAGGCATACATATGATTCATGTTCTCACAGTTTCCTACATTAGAGATTAATTGTGCTTTTGTTAAACAAAAATGTACTCTTATAAATATTTTTAATTAGTAAATCATGATTAGTTTTATATTTATAGAGTAGCATCGTTTGATCAATTTTTAGCTGTAGCTTCATATGAAGCTAAAATATCACAGCTAAATCTGTTGTCTCAAATGCCAGCTCATGAGAATTTGCTCCTAATATCAAGAAACGCCCTGAATTGTTTGTTGGCTTTATCTTAACTCAAATATGTAAAGGGGACAGTAGAACATTTTTCTTTCGAATCACAGAGAGTTCAGTGACCTTTCTGTGGCAAATTACATAGAAAGAAAATATTTATATTCATTTAAAATAACCTCTGTGAAGAAATAGTCTCATTACCCTGTTTGATCAATTTCTTGTAGCCTGAGCTGTAGCATGCTGCTATTGCCATTGGTTGATGGAATACACTGAGTAGTGGCTAATGGTGATGGTGCTCATCAGGAAGGGTTCAGCCAGCGGTCAGCAACAAATAATTCAAGACTGTTTCTAAGTTTGTGGCTGGTGGAATTTGCTTTTTGCCCCAAGCCAGCGGCATTGCTGAGCTGGGCTATTTGATTAGAAGAGAGGCATATTTGCTTCTTAGCAACTGCACATTTGCACAACCCATAGTCCTTTACTGCCTCCAAAGGTTTTCCTTTTGTGGTGGTAGAATAATACTTTATTGTTGATTGACAGACAAAAGAAGTTCTAATACAAGGCAAGCTTATAACCATTTTTGTTGTTGTTGGCTTTAAAAAATTTCAGCTACATACGCCATTTTTTGAAAAAGTATAGACAAAAGGTATGTATAGTGTAAATCAGTATGGAAACCCCAATATGCTAGATTTTTAATATATTATCAAGGAGGTTTGCACAGCATGAATACAATTGCATACTGTTACTTTTGTGCCTAGCAGGTTCAATGATAGAAAATCAATTCTGACTCCAGTGTATGTACCTATATCAATATTCTGGGTGTTTGCAGTCTCCAACTAGAATTAATGCTAGAGAAAATTTAACTAATAATTTTTAAAAAAATTGAAGTTAGTAGAACATCTATATAGCTTTGTCACATTTAAGAACTAGTTTTTATATAAGATTAGAAGTCAAATTTTGAATTCTGAATACAGCGTGAGTATAGAATTTGGAATATAGTTCTCACAGGAATGAACTTACCTTTAATAGAAGACAGAGGTATTTATAACTCAACAGTTAAGAAACAAGTGAGAAAAGATAAATTTGGGGAGGACAGTTTGAGTTTTATGATCCTGGGAAACCAGGACCGGAAAAAAACAGGCTTTTTTTTTTCTTTTTTAAAAAAGCATGGTTTTATGGCTTTTCTCACTGAAACTGTATGGTTAGGACTTGAATCTCAAGATTTTAAGGAAGATGGTATAAAAAGTGATACGACCATAGATGATAATTTTATTCTTGCATTATTTTTGGTAATAGTTTTTTAACATACCTATTATACCTTAAAGAAATAATGCGAAACTATTTGAGTCAATACATTTTGATATACATCATTTAAACCCATTGTTTAACATATTTTGTCGACGTAATTCATGGTAAAATGAAATGGCATCTGTAAGATTAATTGCCATTGGTTGATTTTTTTATATTCTATGAAGTTATGTTTAGAACATATGGTGCTTTTTTAAGGGATTTTTTTTTGTATTTTTGTCTCCTAAGGTTTAGAACAGATATGAGAATTTCCGTAATTTAAGATGAACAACAGAAAAGTGCACTGGTGTGAATTATCCAGTTCACAAATCTTGAAACATGTTTTGGGATTTAGGGAAGTTAAAGCAAGTGCAGACATTAACATAGACATAAAGTGTATATGGGCAAATACTCTCATTTCCCAGTAAAAGGACCTTAGGATATATCAGTATGCATAATATGACCATCACTCTATTTACTTACTAAGACATAGCCATTTTAGTGGCAACCTAGAGCCCAAAAGAGGGAAAAGAAGTGAGGTTGAGTGATTTGATATTGCAAGGCAGTAATATGCCCCTTTGTATCAAGCAGCTGTCCCTTTGCAATTTCGGTTAACATCTTTGAAACAGTTCCCTTAAAAACAAATCAGGGCCCTAGGAGGAAATAGAAAATACTTTTAAGAGTGGTTTTAAATTGTTTAAAAATTAACATGCCTGCAAATAAATTCCCAAAGTTAGGATGTGACTTTAATGTTATATAAATTAAGGTTATAGCTTTTGCTAGCATTTTACTTATAAGGTAAATTATGGGAATTTGATGTAATAAGGAAAATGTTCTTTAAATTACTAAACTCTCTTGCAAATAGTTGCAAAATGGCATTTTAAAACTCTAATCTACTACATTAAAATTACTTGTATTTATTAGTCTGTATCATTAGATGGCATTTACTACTAAGTGCCCTTTTCTTCTCTTTTAATAGCTTAACAGTTTCTTATTTTGGGATACATAACAAAAGACAGTTTTCTTAGTGGGGCTTTATGACAATTATCACCTGCAGGTGGAGGGGGGATCTGTTTTATTACTGACTAGTTTCTTCCCTCCATCTCCCATTGCAAATATAAAAAGTACAAAGTAATGTACAAAATGGTGTTCTTTTGGACTTAAGTTTTTACATATAGGTCCATTTGTTGAGAGAGAAGAGGAACAGAGACAAATAGAGGTTTCTGGTGCTTTTCTACTAGGTAAAGAGGGTGTAGGGACAGGGAAAGAGAAAGATGGTGTGGTTTGGGGATATGGATGGGATTTTTTAATTTGTTCAACAGAAATTTTCAGTGCTCCAGTGGCTTCCTGAAGCCTTTAAGGTAAAATCAATAGAGAAATATATCAGAATAATTTTCAGTGGCATGCATGATGAATTATTGTTTTATTATTGAAGAAACTATGGCCCAGAGAGATTAGGTGATTTGCCCAAAGCTACACAGCAAATAATGGTGGAGCTGAGGTAGAAATTTAGGTCTTTTTTTTCTCCAAAGCCTACAATCTTTTTCTGGTGGAACACGAATACCTGCTCTTCAGGCTTGTTGTGTTTAGGGACATGAGCTTTGGATGCTAACAAATAAGAGATGAAAGCTCTGAGACTTGCTTTGTGACTGGTCAAACTACTTGACTTCATTTTATTTTTATTTTTTAATTTAAAAAACTTTAAATTGACAATTAAAATTATATATAGGGCTGGGGGTGGTGGCTCATGCCTGTATTCCCAGCACTTTGGGAGGCCGAGGTGCGCGGATCATGAGGTCAAGAGATCGAGACCATCTTGTGCAACATGGTGAAACCCCGTCTCTACTAAAAATACAAAAATTAGCCAGGCATGGTGGCGTGTGCCTGTAGTCCCAGCTACGCGGGAGGCTGAGGCAGGAGAATCGCTTGAACCTGGGAAGTGGAGGTTGCAGTGAGCTGAGATCGCACCACTGGACTCCAGCCTGGTGACAGAGTGAGACTGTGTCTCAAAGAAAAAAACAAACAAAAACATGTATATATATATATGGTACACAGCATGATGTTTTGATATGTGTATACATTTTAGAATGGCTAAATCAAGTTATTTAGCTCAAGTGTTACCTCATGTACTTATATTTTTGTGGTGAGAACCTTTGAAATCCACTGTTAGCAATTTTCAAGTATAAGTAGGTTAAGCAGTCACCGTGATGTACAATAGATTTCTGAACTTACTCCTCCTATCTAACTGAAATTTTGTATCCTTGGACTAGCATCTCCCCATTCCTCCTATTCCTCAGTGTCTGGTAACCACCATTTTGCTCTCTGTTTCTGTGAGTTTGACTTTTTTGTTTTTCTTGTTTTCTTTTTTTTTCTTTCTTTTTCTTTCCTTTTTTTTCTTTTAGAGACATGGTCCAGGCTGGAGTGCAGTGGTGCAATCTCAGTTTACTGTAACCTCAAGCCATCTTCATGCCTTAGCCTCCTGAGTGGTTAGGACTACAAGGGTGTACCACAATGACTGGCTAATTTTTTTATTTTTGTGGAGATGGAGACTTGCCAGGTTGGCTAGTCTGGTCTTGAACTCCTGGCCTCAAGTGATCCTCCTGCTTCAGCCTTCCAAAACACTGAGATTACGGGTGCGAACCACTGTGCCCAGCCCAACTTTTTAACACTACATATAAATTAAGATCATGCAGCATTTGTCTTACTGTGCCTGGCTTTTTTACTTAACTTAATGCCCTCCAGGTTCATCCATATTGGCACAAATGACAAGATTTCCTTCTTTTGAAAGGCTAAATGGTATTCCATTTTATACATATACTACATTTTCTTCATCTATTCATCTTCATGGACACTTAGGCTGATTCCGTATCTTGGCTATTGTGAATAATGCTACAGTGAAGATGGGAGTGCAGATATCCCCTTGACATACTGATTTTGTATCTTTTGGATATATTCCCAGAAGTGGGATTACTGGATCATATGGTAGCTCTATTTTTAATTTTTTGGGGGAAGCTCCATACTGTTTTCCATAATGGTTGTTCTAATTTACATTCCCACAAACAGTATACAAGGCTTTCCATTTCTTCACATCCTCACAAACACTGGTTATCTTTTGTCTTTTTGATAATAGCTGTTCTGACAGGTGTGAGGTGTTATCTCATTGTGGTTTTAATTTGCATTTCCCTGATGTCTAGTGGTATTGAACATTTTTTTTGTATACCTGTTGGACATTTGTAGGTCTTCTTTTGAGAAAAGTTTATTCAGGTCCTTTGCCCACTTTTTTTTTTTTTCTTGTGAAACGAAGTTTTGCTCTTGTTGCCCAGGCTGGAGTGCAATGGTGCGATCTTGGCTCACTGCAACCTCTGCCTCCCGGGTTCAAATGATTCTCCTTTCTCAGCCTCCCAAGTTGCGGGATTACAGGCACATGCCACCACACCCGGCCAATTTTTGTATGTTTAGTAGAGATGAGGTTTCATCATATTGGTCAGGCTGGTCTCAAACTCCTGACCTCAGGTGATCTGCCCACCTTGGCCTCCCAAAGTGCTGGGATTACAGGCGTGAGCCACCGCGCCCGGCCAGACCACTTTTTTATTGAGTTTTGTTTTCCTACTATTGAGTCTGTTGAGTTCCTTATGTATTTTGGATCTTAACCCCTTACCAGATGTGTGGTTTGCAAATATTTTCTCCTATTCCATAGGCTGTCTCTTCACTCTGTTGATTGTTTCCTTTGCCGTACAGAAACTTTTTAGTTTGATGTAACCCCATTTACCAACTTTTGCTTTTGTTACCTGTGCTTTGGGGGTCATATCTAAAAATTCTTTGCCAAGACCAACATCATGGAGCTTCTCTTCTGTTTTCTTCTAATATTTTTAGTTTCAGGTATTCCACTTAAGTCTTTAATTCACTTTGAGTTGATTTTTGCCGTAGGCATTGTTGTTATACCCATTTTGTACATGAAGAAATTAAGGTATAGAGAGACTAGGTTACATGCCTAGTAAGTATCGGAACCAAGGTTGAGACCCAAGCCATCTTATTCCAAGGCTTGTCCCTTCCTTTTTTTTTATTATGGTAAAAGACACATATTATGAAATTTACAATTTTAACCACTTTTAAGTATACATTTCAGTGGCATTAAGTATATTCACAATGTTGAGTAACCACCAATCACCGTTTTCATAATGTTTTCATCATTGTAAACGGAAACTCTGTATCCATTAAACAGTAACTCCCCATTCACCCACCTCCCTACCCTCTGCTCCCACAACCTCTATTCTATTTTTAGTCTCTGAATTGGCCTGTTCTAGGTACTTCATGTGAGTAAAGTCATACTGTATTTGTACATTTGTGTCTGGCTTATTTTACTTAGCATAATGTCTTTAAGGGTCATCATGTTGTAGCATGTATCAGAATTTCATTCTTTTTTTAAAGCTAATAATATTCTATTATGTATGTATACCAAAATTTATCCATTCATCTGTTCATGGACATTTATTTGGGTTATTTCCATCTTTTGGTTATTATGAATACTGCAGAGCCTACACTTTTGACCACAGCCCTATACAGATGTATTAATTATTTATTGCTGTATAGCAGATTACCCCTAAACCTGTGTATTATTTTATTATCACAGCCATACCTCAGAGATATTGTGGGTTTGGTTTCAGACCACTGCAATAAAATGAATATTGCAATAAAGCAATTCATGAGTTTTTTGATTTATATGCATAAAAGTTATGTTTACACTATACTGTAGTCTATTAAGTGTGCAATTAGTATTATGTCTAAAAAACAATGTGCATACCTTAATTTAAAAATACTTTATTGCTAAAAAAAGTGCTAACAATCATCTTACCCTTCAGCAAGTTGTAATCTTTTTGCTGGTGGAGCGTCTTGCGTCAATGTGGATCACTGCTGACTAATCAGGACAGTGGTTGCTGAAGGTTTGGGATGGCTGTGGCAATTTTTAAAAGTAAGATAACAGTGAGTTTTGCCACATTGATTGACTCTTCCTTCCATGAAAGATTTCTCTGAGGCATGTGATGACATTTGCTAGCATTTTACCCAAAGTAGAACTCCCTTTCAAAATTGGAGACTGTATTAGTCCATTTTCACACTGCTATAAAGAACTACCTGAGACAGGGTAATTTATAAAGGAGGTTTAATTGACTTGCATTTCCACATGGCTGGGGGCGCCTCAGGAAACTTAAAATCATGGCAGAAAGTTAAAGAGACACAAGCAGCTTCTTCACAAGGTGGAAGGAGAGACAGAGAGCAAGGAGGGAACTGCCAAACACTTTTAAACTATCAGATCTTGTGGGAACTCACTCACTATCACAAGAACAACATGGGGAACCCCCACTTCCCCGATGATCCAATCACTTCCCACCAGGTCCTTCCCTGGACACGTGAGGATTATAATTCGAGATGAGATTTGGGTGGAGACACAGAGCCAAACCATATCAGAGGCAATCCTCTCAAATCCTGCCACTGCTGTATCGCCTAAATTTATGTAATATACTGATCCTTCCATTATTGTCATTTCATCAATGTTCACAGTGTCTTTACTGGTAGTAGATTCCATCGCAAGAAACCACTTTTTTTGCTCATCCTAAGAAGCAACTTTGCATCCCTTCAAGTTTTATCATGAGATTTCAACAATTCAGTCACGTCTTCAGGGCCTACTTCTAATTGTAGTTCTCTTGCTATTTCCATCATATCTGCAGCGACTTTCTCCACTGAAGTCCTGAACCTCTAAGTCATCCATAAGAGTTGGAATCAGCTTCTTCCAAACTCCTTGCACTTTTATGTTATGAAGATGGCTTCTTTCCTTAAACCTCATGAACCAACCTCTGCTAGATTTCAACTTTTCTTCTGTGGCTTCCTTACCTCTCAGTCTTCATAGAATTGAGCAGAGTTAGGGCCTTGAGCTGCATTAGATTTCACCTTAAGGGAGTGTTGTAACTGATTTAATCTTCTATCCAGACCACTGACACTTCATATCAGCAAAAAGGCTTTTTTGCTTTCTTACCATTTGTGTATTCACTAGAGCAGCACTTGTATTTACCTTCAATGACTTTACCTTTGCATTCACAACTTGGCTGTTTGGTGCAAGAGGCCAGCTTTCAGTCTGTCTTGGCTTTCAACATGAATTTCTTACCAAGCTTAATCATTTCTAGCTTTGTTTGTTTGCTTTGCAGCCTCAAATTCCCAGGCTCAAGGGCTTCTCCTACCTGTTTCCTGAGTAGCTGGGACCACAGGCATATAACGCCATACCTGGCTTATTTATATTTTTTATATTGATTTGTTTATTTATTGATTGATTGAGATGAGGTCTCACTATATTGCCCAGGCTAGTCTCAAACTCCTGGGCTCAAGTGATCCTCCCACTTTGGCCTCCCAAAGTGCTGGGATTACAAAAGTGAGTCTAGCTTTTGATTTAAAGTGAGAGGTGTGTGATTCTTCCTTTTATTTGAAAACTTAGAAGTCATTGTAGGGTTATTAATTGGCCTAATTTCAATATTGTTATGTCTCAGGGAATAGGGAAGCCCAAGGAGAGGGAGAGAGACAAGGGGAAGAGTCAGTCAGTGGAACAATCAAAACATACACAATATTTATCAATGAAATATGCTATCCTATATGGGTGTGGCTCATGGTTCCCAAAACAATTACAATGGTAACTATAGATCACCGTAACAGATATAATAATAATGAAAAAGTTTCAGATGTGAAAATTACCAAAAGGTGACACAGAGACACAAAGCCAACACATGCTGTTGGAAAAATGGTGCCGATAGACTTTCTCGACAGAGTTGCCACAGACCGTCAACTTGTAGAAGGTGCGATGTCTGCAATGTGCAATAAAGTGAAATGCAATAAAATGAAGTGTACATATATTTATTATTAAGTAATAAACCTTTTATTCTCACATTTCTGTGAGTCAAGCATTGGGGAATGGCTTAGCAGTCTCTGGCTTAGAACTATTCATGAAATTGCAGTCAGAATTTTAGCTGAGGCTGCAGTGATCCGAAAGTTTGAATCCACTTTCAGGGAGGCTCACTCACATGGCTGCAAGTTGGTGCTGACTGTTGTCAGGAGGCCTTGGTCCCTTTTCACATGAGTTTTTCCACTGTCTACTTGAGTGCCCTCATGACTTTGTAGCTGGCTTCCCCCGAAGAAAGAGCCGAGTAGAAGCTATATATTTTTTTATGACCTAGTCTCAGATGTCACATAGCATCACTTTAGCCACATTCTGTCCTTTAGAATCAAATGGGTGAAGTTGACCCCCATTCAAGGGGAAAGGGATTAGGCTCTGCCTTTCGAAGGAGGAGTGTTAAGGAATTTGTGAACTCATTTTAAAATCAGCATACCTGATTAGAATAATGAAGAAAGTAATCACTGGTAACAGAAATAATTCCTACAAAAATTATGGTATACAACTGTCTAGAGACATTTTCTGTACATATATGACATCATAGTCTGTTGATTGTTTCATAATCTGATTAAAAATTTTTTATTTTAAAGAGACAGGGTGTCACTATGTTGCCCAGGCTGGTCTCAAGCTCAAGGGAACCTCCCACATCAGCCTCTAAAGTAGGTGGGAATATAATTGCTCACCACCATGCCCAGCTTTATAATCTGATTTCAAAACTAACCCCTGTTAAAATTGTAGTATATTATCTGTCTAGAGACATTTTCTGTGCATATTAGACATCATATTCTGGATACTGTGTTTTATACTTTAATTTTTTCATACTATAGGAAACATCTTTCCATGATAGTAAGCATTTTTTATACATTGGCTGTTAATCTTTTAAGGATTTCCCAATAATGGTATTTCACTGTTAACTGGCTTTTCTTTTTACTAGTTGATGGTGAATTTAAAAAATATTTTATTCATTATTTGCATTTTTAATAAATTGCCTTTTTATTTATTCCTGCATTAAAAATTGGCACTTTTTTTTTTTTTTTTTGAGACGGGGTCTCACTCTGTCACCCAGGCTGGAGTGCAGTGGTGCTATTTCGGCTCACTGCAACCTCCGCCTCCCGGGTTCAAGTGATTCTCCTGCCTCAGCCTCCTGAGTAGCTGGGACTACAGGTGCGTGCCACCATGCCTGGCTAATTTTTGTAATTTTAATAGAGACAGCGTTTCACCACATTAGCCAGGATGGTCTCAATCTCCTGACCTTGTGATCTGCCCGCCTTGGCCTCCCAAAGTGCTGGGATTACGGGCCTGAACCACCAGGCCCGGCCCGGCACATTCTTTTTATTAAACATTATGTGTTAAGGATTCTAAAACATTATCATGTAAGGTATAAATATTTCTTCTTTGCTTATAATTTGTGGTATTGATTAAAACAAATTGTAGAAGTATAGAGTTAGAAAGGATAACAGAGGAAATTTAGTCCAACACTTCTTTTTAAAATTTTTTTAAAATTATTTTTTAAAAAATTTTGTGGGTATATAGTAGATGTATACATTTATGGGGTACATAAGACATTTTGATACGGGCATGCAGTGTGACATAGGCACATCATGGAGCATGGGCCATCCATCCCCTCAAGCATTTATCCTTTGAGTTCCAAATAATCCAATTACATTCTTTAAGTTATTTTAAAATATACAATTAAGTTACTGTTGACTATAATCACCCTATTGTGCTATTCAATAGTAGGTCTTATTCATTCTTTCTATTTTTTTCATACCCATTAACCTCCCCCTCCAATCCTCCACTACTCTTCCTCGCCTCTGATAACCATCCTCTACACTCCGTGTCTATGAGTTCAGTTGATTTGATTTTTAGATCCCACAAGTAAGTGAGAACATGCAGTGTTTGTCTTTCAGTGCCTGGCTTATTTCACTTAACATAATGATTTCCAGTTCCATCCATGTTGTTGCAAATGACTGGATCTCATTCTTTTTTATGGCTGAATAGTACTCCATTGTGTATATGTACCACATTTTCTTTATCCAGTCATCTGTTTATGGACACTTAGTTGCTTTGAAATCTTAGCTATCATAAATAATGCTGCAACAAACGTAGGAGTGCAGATATCTCTTCAGTATACTGATTTCCTTTCTTTTGGGCATATATCCAGCAGTGGGATTGCTGGATCCTATGGTACCTCAATTTTTTGTTTTTTTGAGGAACCTCCAAACTGTTTTCCATGGTAGTTGTACTAATTTACATTCCCACCAATAGCATACAAGGGCTGTCTGTCATTCACATGCTCGTCAGCATTTGCTATTGCCTGTCTTTTGGATATAAGCCATTTTAACTGGGGTGAGATGATGTCTCATTGTAGTTTTGATTTGCATTTCTCTGATGATCAGTGATGTTGAGCACCTTGTCATATGTCTGCCATTTGCATGTCTTCTTTTGAGAAATGTCTGTTCAAAGGTTTTGCCTATTTTTTGATTGGATTGTTAGGCTTTTTTCCTGTAGACTTGTTTGAGCTCCTTATGTAGTCTGGTTACTAATCCCTTGTCAGAGGGGTATTTTGCAAATATTTTCTCCCATTCTGTGTGTTCTCTCTTCATTTTGTTGATTGTATTCTTTGCTGTGAAGAAGCTTTTTAACTTGATGTGATCCCATTTGTCCATGTTTGCTTTGGTTGCCTGTGCTTGCGGGGTTTTGCTCAAGAAGTCTTTACCCAGACTAATGTCCTGGAAATTTTCTCCAATGTTTTCTTGTAGTAGTTTCATAGTTTGAGGCTTTAGATTTAAGTCTTTAATCCATTTTGATTTGATTTTTGTATATGGTGAGAGATAGGGGTCTAGTTTCATTCTTTCCCATATGGATTTCCAGTTTTCCAAGCAGCATTTATTTATTTATTTATTGAGACAGAGTCTTGCTCTGTCACCAGGCTGGAGTGCGATCTTGACTCACTGCAACCTCTGTCTTCTGGGTTCAAGCGATTCTCCTGCCTCACCCTCCCGAGTAGCTGGGACTACAGGCACGTGCTACCATGTCTGGCTAATTTTTGTATTTTTAGTAGAGACTGGGTTTCACCATGTTGGCCAGGATGGTCTCAATCTCTTGACCTCGTGATCCACCTGCCTCTGCCTCCCAAAGTGCCAGGATTACAGGCGTGTGCTACTGCACCCAGCCCCAAGCAGCATTTATTAAAGAGACTGTCTTGGCTGGGTGTGGTGGCTCATGCCTATAATCCCAACACTTTGGGAGGCTGAGGCGGGCAGATCACCTGAGGTCGGGAGCTCGAGACCAGCCTGACCAACATGGAGAAACCCTGTCTCTACTAAAAATATAAAATTAGCCAGGCATGGTGGTGCATGTCTGTAGCCCTAGCTACTTGGGAGGCTGAGGCAGGAGAATCGCTTGAACTCGGGAGGCGGAGGTTGCAGTGAGCTGAGATCATGCCATTACACTCCAGCCTGGGCAAGAGTGAAACTCCGTCTCAAAAAAAAAAAAAACCAAAAAAAAAAAAAAACTGTCTTTTCTCCAGTCTATGTTCTTAGTACCTTTGTCAAAAATGATTTCACTCTAAGTGTGTGGATTTGCTTCTGTGTTCTTTAATCTGTTCCATTGGTCTATGTGTCTGTTTTTGTGCCAGTACCATGCTGTTTTGATAACTATAACTCTGTAGTATGATTTGAAGTTAGATATGCGATTCCTCCAGCTTTGTTCTTTTTGCTTAGGGTAACATTGGCTGTTCTGAGTCTTTTGTGGTTCCATGTAAATTTGAGGATTTTTTTTTCTGTTTTGGGGAAGAATGTCATTGGTATTTTGATAGGGATTGCATTGAATCTGTAGATTGCTTTGGGTAATATGGACATTGTAACAATATTGATTCTTCCAACCCATGAACATGAAATATTTTTTGATTTTTAGGTGTCATCTTCAATTTTCTTTATAAGTATTTTATAGTTTTCATTATAGAGATCTTTCACCTCTTTAAGTTAATTTCTAGGTATTTAATTTTATGTGTGGCTATTGTAAATGGGATTACTTTTTAAATTTCTTTTTCACATTGTTCACTGTTGACATATAGAAATACTGCTGATTTTTGTGTGTTGATTTTGTATCCTGCAGCTTTACTGAATTTGTTTCTCAGTTCTAGTAGTTTCTTTGTGGAGTCTTTAGGTTTTTCCAAATATAAGATCATATTATTGGCAAACAAGGATAGTTTGACTTCCTCCTTTCCAATTTGGATGCCTTTATTTCTTTCTGTTGTCTGATTGCTCTAGCTAGGACTTCCAGTACTGTGTTGAATAACAGCAGTGACAATGGGCATCTTTGTCGTGTTCCAGATTTTAGAGGAAAGGCTTTCAGTTTTTCCTCATTCAGTATGATACTAGCTGTAGGTTTGTCATGTATGGCTTTTATTATGTTGAGATATGTTCCTTCTATACCCAGTTTTTTAAAGCGTTTTTGTCATGAAGGGATGTTGAATTTTATCAAATGCCTTTTCAGCATCAGTTGAAATGATCATATGGTTTTCATCCTTCATTCTATTGATATGATGTATCATGTTGATTGATTTGTATATGTTGAGCCATCCTTGCATCCCAGAGATAAATCCCACTTGGTCATGATGAATGATCTGTCTAATGCATTGTTGAATTCAGATTGCTTGTATTTTGTTGATGATTTTTGCATCAATTATTCATCAAATATATTGGCCTATATTTTTTTTTCTTTCTTTCTTTCTTGGATGCGTCTTTTTCTCGTTTTGGTATCAGTAATACTGGCCTTGTAGAATGAATTTGGAAGTATTCTGTTCTGCTCTATTTTTTTGGACTAGTTTGATTAGGATTGGTGTTAGTTCTTTAAATGTTTGGTAGAATTCAGCAGTGAAGCCATCAGGTCCTGGGCTTTTCTTTACTGGGAGATGTTTTATTACAGCTTCAATCTTGTTGCTTCTTATTGGTCTGTTCCAGTTTTGGATTTCTTCCTGGTTCATCTTGGTCAGTTGTATGTATCTAGGAATTTGTCCATTTCTTCCAGATTTTCCAATTTATTGGCATGTACTTGCTCATAGTGTAGACACTGACAATCCTTTGAATTTCTGCAGTATCACTTGTAATGTCTCTCTTTTCATTTCTGATTTTATTTATTTGGATCTTCTCTTTTTCTTAGTGTGGCTAAAGGTTTGTCAATTTTGTTTAACATTTCAAAAAACCAACTTTTTGGTTGATCTTTTGTATTTTTTTAAAATTTCAATTTCATTTATTTCTGCTCTGGTCTTTATTTATTTATTTTTTCTTCTACTAATTTTGGGTTTGGTTTGCTCTTGCTTTTCAAGTTCTTGAAGATGCATTGAAAATTTTCCTCTTTTTCAATATAGGCACTTATAGCTATAAATGTCCTTCTGAGTACTGCTTTTGCTGTATCACATAGGTTTTGGTGTGTTCTGTTTTCATTATCATTTGTTTGAAGAAATTTTTCAATTTCCTTCTTCATGTCTTCACCGACCCGCTGGTTATTCAAGAGTATACTGTTTAATTTCCATGCATTTGTGTAGTTTCCAAAATTCCTCTTGTTATTAATTTTGAATTTTATTCCATTGTGGTCAGAGAAGATGCTTGGTAGTTTTTCAGTTTTTATTTTATTTTATTTATTTTTTTGAGACAGAGTTTCGCTCTGTCGCCCAGGCTGGAGTGCAGTGGCGCAATCTTGGCTCACTGCAAGCTCCACCTCCTGGGTTCATGCCATTCTCCTGCCTCAGCCTCCTAAGTAGCTGGGACTACAGACACCCCCCACCACAAATGGCTAATTTTTTTTTTTTGTATTTTTAGTAGAGACAGGGTTTCACCGTATTAGCCAGGATGGTCTCTATCTCCTGACCTCGTGATCCACCTGCCTCAGCCTCCCAAAGTGCTGGGATTACAGGCGTGAGCCACCGCCTGTTTTTTTGAATGTTTTAAGACTTGTTTTGTGACCTGACATATGGTCTATTCTTGAGAATGATCCATGTGCTGAAGAAAAGAATGCGTATTCTGCAGCTCTTGGATGAAATGTTTTGTAGATATCTGTTAGATCCATTTGGTCTATAGTGCAGATTAAGCCTGATGTTTCTTTGTTGATTTTCTGTCTGGAAGATGTGAGTGATGCTGAAAGTGGGGTATTGAAGTCTCCAGCTATTATTGTATCAGGGCCTATCTCTTTCTTTAGCTCTGATAATATTTTCCTTATATATCTGGGTGTTCTAGTGTTGGGTGCATATATATTTAAAATTGCTAAATCCTCTTGCTGAATTGACTCCTTTATCATTATATAGTGACCTTCTTTATCTCTTCTTATTGTTTTTGTCTTGAAATCTATTTTGTCTAAGTATAGCAATTCCTGCTCTTTTTTGGTTTCCATTGGCATGAAATATCTTTTTTTATCACTTTGATTTTAGTCTATGTGTGCTTATAGGTGAAATGTGTTTCCTGTAAGGCAACAGATCAATGGGGTTTTTTTTTTCTTCCATTCAGCCCGTCTGTGTCTTTTGATTGAAGAGTTTAATCCATTTACATTCAATGGTATTATTGATAAGTAAGGACTAATACCTGCCATTTTGTTACTTATTTTCTGGTTGTTTTGTGGTCTGGTGTTGTCTTGCCTTGCCTTGCCTTGCCTTGCCTTGCCTTGTCTTGCCTTGCCTTGCCTTGCCCTGCCCTGCCTTGCCTTGCCCTGTCCCTGCCCCTGTCCCGCCCCTCCCCTCCTCTTTTCCCCTCCCCTTTTTCCTTCCCTTCCTTTCTTCCTTTGTTTCCTTTCTTGTCTTCCTCTAGTGAAGGTAATTTTCTCTGGTGTTATGATTTAGTCTCTTGCTTTTTATGTCTTGTGTGTCCGTTGTATGTTTTTTGGTTTGAAGTTACTGTGAGGCTTGCAAATACTATCTTATAACCCATTATTTTAACCTAATAAAAACAACACTATTTGAATAAGCAAACAACCAAGCAAAAAGCAAACTGTTAAACACTCTACAGCTTAACTTCATCAAAAACATGTTTTAAGTTTTTGTTGTTTTTATTTATATCTTATTGTATTGACTGTGTCTTGAAAAGTAGTTATTTTTGATTGGTTCATCATTTAGTCTTTTTACTTAGGATAAGAGTAGTTTATACACCACAGTTACAGTGTGATACTATTCTGTGTTTTTCTGTGTACTTACTGTGACTAGTGAGTTTTGTACCTTCAGGTGATTACTTATTGCTCATTAATGTCCTTTTCTTTCTGATTGAAGTACTTCCGGTTGCATTTCTTGTAGGACAGGTCTGGTATTGATGAAATTCCTCAGCTTTCTTCTGCTTGACCAATTCTCCTATTTAAAGGACTCTGATGCCTTCTTCAGTATGCCAATTGCATTTTTCAGCTCCAGAACTTCTGCTTGGTTCTTTTTTGGTTTCTCCTTCATATTTGAAGTTTATTTCCACCAAATCTAGTATTCTAGGTTAGTTTTTTTCCTTTGGTACTTTAAACATGTCATGCCACTCTCTCCTGGCCTATAAGGTTTCCACTGAAAAGTCTGCTGCCAGATGTATTGGAGCTTCATTGTATGCTATTTGTTTCTTTTTTCTTGCTGTTTTTAAAGTCCTTTCTTTATCCTTGGTCTTTGGGAGTTTGACTATTAAATGCTTTAACCTTTGGGTTAAATCTGCTTAGTGTTCTATAACCTTCTTGTACTTGGATATTGATATCTTTCTTTAGGAGTTGGAAGTTCTCTGTTATTATTATTATTCTTTTTTCTTTTGTCTCCTCTGACTGTATATTTTCAAATAGCCTGTCTTCAAGCTCACTAATTCTTTCTTCTGCTTGATCAATTCTGCTGTTAAAGGACTCTGATGCATTCTTCAGTATGCCAATTGCATTCTTCAGTATGCCAGTTGCATTTTTCAGCTCCAGAACTTCTGCTTGGTTCTTTTTCATTATTTCAATCTTTTTGTTAAATTTATATAATAGAATTCAGAATTCCTTCTCTGTGTTATCTTGAATTTCTTTGAGTGTTTTCAACACAGCTATTTTGAATTTTCTGTCTGAAAGGTCACATAACTGTGTTTCTCCAGGATTGGTCCCTGGCACCTTATTTAATTCATTTGGTGAAGTCATGTTTTCCTGGATGGTGTTGGTGCTAGTAGATGTTCTTCAGTATCTGGCCATTTGTTGTAGTCTTCACTGTTTGGGCTTATTTATACCCATCCTTCTTGGGAAGACTTTCAGATATTTTAAAGGACTTGAGTGTTGTGATCTAAGCTGTATCTGCTTTAGGGAGCACCCCTAGCCAAGTAATGCTATAGAGGTGCCACCTTGACAGTCTTGGACAAGATCCGGGAGAATTCTCTGGATTACCAGGCAGAGACTCCTGTTTCCTTCCCTTAATTTCTCCCAAACTTAGAGTCTCTCTTTCTGTTCTGAGCCCCCTAAAGCTGGGGGGTGGAGTAACACAGGCACCCCCGTGGCGGCCACCACTATGACTGCACGGGGTAAGACCTGAAGCCAGCACAGCACTGGGTCTTGCCCAAGATCTGCTGTAACCACCCCATGGCTACTGCCTATTTTAGCTCGAGGCCCTGGGGCTCTACAATTAGCCAGTGGCAAAGCAGCCAGGACTGTGTCCTTTCCTTCAAGGCAGCGAGGTCCCCTAATCCCCGGTGGGTCCAGAAGTACCATCCAGGAATTAGGGACTAGAGTCAAGTCCAACACTTCTGATTCATGGATGAAGATGCCCTATTTTCTTTATCTCCTCCAGATTTCTCCTCTACTTTTCTCCCACCAAATCTTAACCTATTATGACCATTTGCCCAAATGTTTTGTGCTCTGCTCATGGTAAAGGAGTAAGGGATATACAGTTGACTCATGAACAATGTGAGGGTTTAGGGATGTCAACCCCCTGTGCTTTTGAAAATCCACATATAACTTTTGACTCCCCCAAAACTAACTACTAATAGCCTGTTGTTGACCATAAGTCTTACCAACAACATAAACAGTTGATTAACACATATTTTGTATATGTATTATATACTGCATTCTTATAATAGAATAAGCTAGAGAAATGTTATTAAGAAAATTAATGAGAAAATACATTTACAGTACTGTATTTATTGGTGCCACAAGTTGATATCATCTATTTATGCAATCGATTATCTGTCCGAAATGGCAGGCAGCCACAGCTGCAGAACTCAATCTATGGTACATATCAAGCAACCCAACTTTTCCTTGTAATGTCATGAATTTTCTCTGCTTTTCAGAGGTACTGTTAGCATCACCAGTGGCACTTTGTATGGGTCCCATGGTGTTATTCAAGGTTTTCAGTATTGCACTAAACATGGTAAAAAATATGTGAGACCCACAAGAGATCACTTTTTACTGCGATATGCAATTTACTGGAGAGGTGAACTACTCACATGGAGATGATTAGTGTCAATTAGTGTCACATAGCGTTTTAAGCAGATTTTCGTAACACTCAAGCTCACCCCAACAGCAACAGGAGATGGCTATGATGTTATTACCAAAGGACAGGATATACTACAGTTAATTTTATGCAGTTATGATTTAATACTACATTATCATTTGTTTACATTTGTGTTGACTTTTCGTAGCATCATGTATGATCTGTGGTGCGTAAGTTTGGATAAATACTAACTTTTTATAATAGATATTTGTATGTTTTATGGTGGTAAATGATAAAATAGACTAGTATTTACATATATTTTATGCATTAATGACATACCTTTTTCTTGTTTCCATATTTCTAGGCCATGCAGGTCATCTCTGAGTTTTTTCAAATTGTCACAGATCTCTAAAAAATTTTCCAATATATTTGTTGAAAAAATCCATGGATAAGTGGACTCGTGCAGTTCAAACCTGTGTTGTTCAGGGGTCCACTGTAATTGATGCACTGCTATTTGCACTTATCAAGGAGCCATTCCTAAATAACCCCTAACAACCACTAATGATGTATTAAGTATGAATCACCAGGTAGTGGGAGAGATTTTATTTTTTCAAGAGTTAAGTGACTTACTAAGTTTCTCAAACAGTACTCTTCATAGGTGCCTGCTTCCCTTATCATTTTATAAGACTGTATCTGGATCATGAGGTTGTTGCCCAGTAAATCTAAATATAACATAGGGGCTTAAATGATGCTATTGTTTATATTATACCTCATATTTTTCCAAAATGGATTTGAGGTGGCTAAAATTTTGTTCCACTTACAGTGCTGAGAATCGTATCTTGCTAATAAATGTTGATTACATTTAATTAACTGCTTCTAAAGTTATCAAAATGAGGTTCTTACTAATAAGAAGAAAAATTCAAAAATCCACTTAGAAGTTTATTCATCCTATGATCTACGATAAGATTAAAATAAGTAGTATTTAGATAATTTGATCTTATTCAAAAGCTTGGAGCTTTCTGGTAGGAAAAAGTGATAACACTTAGTATGTTCATCCAGATGAATAAATTATTTACTGGAAAGGACCAACATCTGGATCTTTCACATTCTTCCTCTTTGGTTGTATATAACTACTGAAGTTTACCTATTGCAAGTGATAAGGAACTTGGCTAGAATTTCAAAGAATGAGGAATTTGATGGCATAAACTGAAGCAAATACTGTGTAGCAAGAGTAACAGTGAATTTCTGTGACTCTTCTCTTTTGAACTTTTAGGACATTTTCTGTTTATTAGTAAAATCTCTTTAATTGGTTCTCAAACATGTGTCCACTTATGATCAACATTGTTTTGTCTGTGTTGTGCCAAACCTCTATTAACCTCAATAGGGAAGGCACCAGGTTCAAGAGGCTGAAGAAGAGACCCAGAGCCAGCAAACGAGACATGGGGTTTTATTAGGAACTTATATACGTACAGGGGAGAGAATCCAGTGGTGGCTGGCTGGACAAGATATCCACCTTCCTTGCAGTCCAGTGGTGGTGGGCTGGACAAGATATCCACCTTCCTACAGTCCAGTGCTGCGGGCTGTACAAGATATCCAACTTCCTGTAGTCCAGTGGTGGTGGGCTGGACAAGATATCTGCCTTCTTACAGTCCAGTGGCAGGGGGTTGGACAAGATATCCACCTTTTTACAATCTAATGGTGGTGGGCTAGACAAGATATCCACCTTCCTACAGTCCAGTGGCAGCAGGCTGGACAAGATAATTGCATGGCCCAGTGATGGTGGGCTGGGCAGGAAAACTGCAACCACTTGCAAACAGCATGCAGTTTATATAGCATTTTTATTTAACAACCTCCCCTGAATGACCTCCACCTGGCAACTTTTATCCAACCCAAAACTCAGGGCCTCAATCCATGTTCCATGGGATGGGCCAGGGGCTCAGATGTTCCTTATAGACAAGGAAGAAATCTTTGGATTGGTCACTCCCAGATTCCCTAGCTTGGAACACACATTCAGGTATATCTGCCATACGGGGTCATTCTCAGCGTATGCTCAGGGCATGCTTAAGTTATTGCTATCAGGGTGTCTACCCTAGTCTATTCCTTTAGCCACTTTTTCCTCCCCCTAGGATTACTGAGACAAATTATTATAGGTGAAATATATTGGCTTTGTAATTTTTATAAATGAAAATTCGAATGTTACTAACATCTCATATTTAAAAATATAAAAGAAGATACACTATTTCCTGAGAAAAAGTATCAACTTAAAAAAAATTGGGCTCCTGCTGGGGATAGCAGCTCAATTTTCTTGTTTGCTTTTAATTTGTTATGACCATTTCCAAATAGAAGGATTGGATGAAGCAGCTTTAGCTAATATATCAGAATTTCTGTAGATACTTAACCAACTCCTTACTCTGGCTTTGATTTCTTTTGGGCTTTAATTTCCTAGGTAGGCACATTTCCTGACAGCCCAGGCTAATTAATTGTATTTTAAGCCTGAATCTTGCAGCTTTACAGAGGCTGTCAATATTAGCAAGTGTAAAACTTGAGTCATTTGTAATCGCTCTATATTTCATTCATCTGCTTTTATAAATGCAGTTTTTCTGATATATGAGAGGATCATCGACTGTGAGAGTTTAAAGTGGTTTCAGAGATTATTTTACAGATGAGGAAACTGTAGTACTGATATGTTAATTGACTTGTCCAAAGTCATACAGCCTGTTGGTGGTGCTTTTATAACTTAGATTATGTACCTCTTATTTGGGATTAAGACTTTCCATGTCTTGCCCTTACTGGTCTAACTTCCTTGCCAGGTCACACAAAATACTAATTACTATTTATATTGTTTAATAGAAAAAAATTTTAAAACTTAGACTTATGAAAAGGCAACCTTTCCTAGAGAATTTGGTGTGGTTTAATCTACTGTACAATTTGAGTTATCAGTCCTTCCACAAACTGTGGTGGTGAAGTGGCTTCTCTTGTATGGATATTGAGCTGTGAGGAATTCTTCTGTAAGGATACTTCAGTTAAGATTTTCAATTTCTGATTCTAGAGCATAGGGTTAAGGAAAGGGCCCCCTGGAGGATTCCTGAACCTTTTCTCATTTTGGAGAATTAGCAGTATAATTTCTGGTCAACATAGTTTGGTAAAGGATAGTTGGCAATTGTGCTTTTGCCTGTTTCACTTGCAGAAGGGTCAAGTCAGGTAAAAGTAAGTCTGTCAGACTAGGGAAGCATTAGCCTAGAAACAGCAGGTAGGTAAGGAAGTTTAGCACTTCAGAAATAAGGCCCTGATTTCTAGCAAACACTATGTCACTGCTAGTCTGGAGTAGCCTAATTGCCATTAGAAAAGAATTCGTTTCTTAAAGGGAAAAATCATGAAGAAAACTTCCTGAGAGCTTTATTACATTCTTTTTATGAAATTATTTCTGCAATGTATTGATTAATATCTAACTTTAAGAATTTTATGTAGGCCTTTCACCATTATAATTTTGAAATATGAAAAGTCCTTGCAAACATTCTTAGATTGCCTTCTGTCTGTCTGCCTTGTAAAAGATCCTTTTAGTTAAATGGACCATCCTCCTTATAAATGATGTCATTAGCTCAGATTGAAAAGACATTGCCTGCAGGGAAATCATTTAATTGAACTAAAGTGCCTTTATTTCTGTAGATCTTGGAACAGCTCACTCACTCTTATTTTCAGATTAGATAATTTATATCAGATAATTTTTTCAGCTCTATAAATGATAAAATATTAAGAAAAGTAATCTTCTTTTTAAGATATTTTGATGTTTCATAGTTTTCCATTTATATCTGAGTTAGAATTTATGGTTCTTAAAATGCAAAATCTTATTTTTCAAATAAAAGTTTTTTTGTTCATTAGACTAAATTATTAATGTGTTTGGGATACACAGGTCAGTGGCTCCAAAATAAATGTATGTGAGATATATAGAAATGAGTCAACTTCTTTTACTCAAGATCTTTTCTCACTGTCCTTTTTGTTTTTAGATCAGGTTTATCAGGTATAATTTACATACAATAAAATTCATCCTTTAAAAGTGAACAATGTGATGAGTTTTGGTAGCTATATGCAGCTGGGTAACCACTTGCACAGTCATGATAAGATATAGAACATTTCCAGCACCCCAAAAAGTTCCCTTGTGCTCCTTTGCCATCAGTACCCTGCCTCCACACCCAGCCCCTGGCAACCACTTATCTGATTTCTGCTCCTGTAGTTTTGCCTTTTCCAGAAGGTCATATCAATAGTATTATACAATATGTAGCCAGAGAAATCTGGCTTCTTATACTTAGCATGATGCTTTTACAATTCATCCATGTTGTTTCATACCTCTGTAGTTCCTTCCTTTATTGTTGAGTAGTGTTCTGTTGTATGGATGTATCACAACATATTTTTCTACTCACTAATGATGGATGTTTTAATTCTTTTCAGTTTTGACTAATAGGAATAAAACTACTGTAAGTGTTGGTGTACAAGACTTTTTGAAGGCCATGTTTTCAAATCTCTATGGAGTGGAATTGCTGTATCCTATGATACATGTTTTTATCAGAAACTCCCAAAATGTTTTCCGCAATAGCTATACCATTTTGCATGCCCACCAGCAATGAAAATAACAGTTGCTTTGCATTTTCACCTTTCTTCATTTGTATTGTCCCTTTCTTCATTTTAGTCCTTCTAGTTAGGTGTTTTAATGGCTATATTGCCTTTTAATTCTACTGCTACCTATTTTAATCCTAGAATTCTAATAATTTAGAAATACAAATAACCAAAATAGATAGTTACCTAATTGTTAGTCAAGTCTGCTTTAAAGATACTAGATTGGTTTGGTTTATGGTTCTAAAACCAAGTATAAGCATAACCAGCTTTTAAAAAATTGTGTATTGAGGCTGGTTGTGGTGGTTCACACCTATAATCCCTGAACTTTGGGAGGCCAAGGCAGGAGGATCGCTTGAGCCCAGGAGTACAAGACCAGCCTGGGCAAAAAAGTGAGAACCCTGTCTTAAAAAAAAATAGAAAAAATTAGCCAGCAGTGAGCCGTGATCACACCACTGCACTCCAGCCTGGGTGACAGAGTGAGACCCCATATCAAAAAAAGAAAAAAAGAAAATTTTTATATTGAACTAGGTACAGGCTAATAATCACTTTTGGTATTACAGAAATAAAACCATTATTATTTCTTTTTGTCATGTTCCTAAATATGTGATATGATAATGCTGGCTGAAGCAACACATGTCTCCTCACCTCTTGGAGCGTGCCCTGTTAAGAAATGTATTGAATTTACTTGGCAACTGTACATCCTGGATTTTTTTTAAATTAAAACAAGTTTTACAATCTCAATGTGATGTTCAAGAGTTATACCATTGTACTGGTTCTATATATATTTCTTTAAGGAAGACATTTCTCCATATTTGACTATTAAAAATATCGACAGTTTTTTGCTATGAAGTCCTCTGGTGTCTTAGGCATAATAGAAAATGTTGCTATATTCAAGACTTTTTATATAGTATGAGTATTTAGTAATAATTTTAAGGTCCTCTTGATATATGGTTCCTGCTTTTCTGTTTGGATTAGCATTGTTTTGAAAGTGAGAAAATTATTTTACATATAAATTTAAAGCTAATCCAAATATTTGTTTAGAATCTCCAAAGTCTTCACTCTTTTATCCCGGATACTTTAAAAAACTTAGAAATGTTAGGATATTAGTTTCAAAAGCAAGTATGAAATATAAAATGTTTTATTAAAATGACCAACATATGAATGTTCTTACTGAGGTAGAAAGTTGTACCAAATAGGACAGTATATTAAATCCCAACAGTAATTGAATTATAACTGGTAAAACCTTTTGTTAGTATTTCTTCTGAAAACTGGTTTGTTCTTAAATAACTGTACCTCACAGTTACCTGTACCAATGTTTTATGACTCATATTGTAAAATTCACATGTAAGATTTCTAAAAGTTCACCTTACTAATTTAGATGATTTCATGTTGTGTAGCTCTTCTGTCAGTCATTTGATGTGAACGACACCAAAATCAGCCACAACATCCAATTTTCTCTTGGTCTCTAGTTCACTGCTAGGTCAGCAAACTTTTATGGAGAAGAGAATGAAAGGGTAGATTGGGTCTGAAACAGGTAATAGGCAGGTTTTGTATCCAGGTGAGAAGGTTCCTTGCTTCCAGACCTAAGTAATTAGGGGGCTAAGAATCCTCCTATAATTCAGCTCATAAAGGTGTTTAACTATAGAATGAACAGTTAGAGGTGATGATTAATTAGCCTGGGCACTTTGGGCTGGCCAGTGTGCAAGCGGTAGTACATACTGGCCATCAGCTGGTAGGCATGCAGTCTTGTAAAGGGCTTTCTGCTCTGACACTGGTAATATATCATTGCAGCTGTGCCCTTTGATTACTGGGAGGGCTTGCAGAGTGATTAATAGCCAGGATCAATGTTTCTGCCCAGCACATGACATTTGGTCACAGAGCAACCATATACTTATTCCCCTTTGGCACAACGCTTAGGAGGAATGAAGGATGAGACCTGCCAATTTATAGCTGAGGAGATTCCAGTTTATAAAATGAGTCAACTTTGACTGTACAAAATTATTCCCCATTGAAATAATTAGTGCGGCATTAAACACAATTAGAACCAAAACTACAGGAGCATGCCTGCTGAATTCAAGCCAGTTGACAGATGGTTAAGGCTTGATATTTGGCGGCCTATGATGACCAAGAGTTATTATTTTGCGAGAAAATGAAAAAGCTTGAAAGTAAACAGTGGCTACTTAAAAAAATTAGGTAATATGATGCAAAATACACATTTAAAAAACACTGGAATAGTAGAATATTCAGTGTAATAACTCTATAACTGTAACACAAACAATTGAATATCTCTGTGTGAGTGATGCTTAATGCATTGTACGTCAACTTAAAGCAGATCCTGTTTAAAACAAAATTGGTTACATGAAGGCCACCTGAATATGATATGGTCTTAGTTAATGATACATGTTGGGCCTCAACTTCCTTTAAGTGGCACTTATAAATCCTACTAGAATAGAAGGTTTTTGGACATCAGATATTATTGTGAACTTAACTATGTAATAAAAATGTTTGAGCTAAAAATTTTTTTAACCTAAAAATCTTTACCTTGAAATTTTTAGATACGTAAATTAAGCTTTCTTATGTTCATTATGTCAGAATATATTACTATAATGGAAAAAGAATGTTTTCCTACTTTCCAAATTAAACTTTAATAAATGAAAAGTCTATATACTCTAACAGAGTAGAACAAATACATTGTGGTCTTGGATTTTGCTAGTGATACTTAACTAATGGTTCATACTGTATTTGAAGTGTCTGCTGCCATTTTGTGGCATTAGCTCACAGAGTATTATACTGTTTCTACATCAATGGTAGATGTGCTTCTTAGTGCGGAGTCATTTTACATTCTGTTTATAATTATTCCGAAGAGACTATGTTCAGAAAATTGTCAGTCTATTTTGTATACCATAGAACTTTGCGATTAATTTGTGTGTGTGTGTGTGCGCACGTGTGTATCTGTGTATACATGTATATGGTATTAAGCATATAATTAGGGGGGAGTGGGATTTAGGATTTGGAAAAAATTACAAGAAATTTACATGAATAGAATTTCAGTTTTTCAACTTACACACTTGATTAGTGCTAGAGTTGCATTTTGTGCTCATAGTAACAAAAAGTCAGCTTTCTTACCTGATTTTTCTTTTGAGCTATTATAAAGGGGTATAAGATTAATACATTGTTTGGTGTTTATATGCTCCTTTATTTTCAGTTAGAACAGAGCCAATTTAAATTCTGACAGTTTTGGGTTATTTAATTTATGACATATTTACATTTCTTAATTTGTAATGTAAGAAAAATAAGCTAATTATTACTTGGATTTATATACTAGTTTTTTTTTTCCTTCAGAATGCTAAGTGCTTTCTGATTTCTCTTATAACATTTTTTTCTTTTTCTTTTTTTTCTTAACCACTGCGAAGATGAAGGGATAGAAAGGTTCTTTGGCTTAAGATCACAGCCAGTGGCACAGCTGTTGTAAGAAACCAGGACTTGCTTCTAATTATCTACTGATTGTTCTGGTACTGTAACTTCATAACAATATGAAATGATCGCAGTCAGCTTTCATTAAGTCTAATAAAACATCTTCAATGTATTTTATAACTATTCAAACCCATTTTCTTTTTTGTTCTTAGAAGCTATAGTGATTTTGTTCTTATTTGTCCACACATTCCTTAATACCTTCTTCTGACCAATAACAAATTTGTGGGTTGTGGGAGTTTGAAAAGAGGTGGTGATATGATTTGAATATTTGCCCCTGCCTACATCCCATGTTGATAATCCCAGCTATTCAGGGGGCTGAGGCATGAGAATCACTTACAGTTGGGAGGTGGAGGTGGCAGTGAGCCAAGATTGAGCCACTGCACTCCAGTCTGGGCGACAGAGCGAGACTCGGTTAAAAAGAAAAAGAAAAAGAAATGTAATCCCCGCTGTTAGAGGTGGGGCCTGATGGGAGGTGTTTGGGTCATGCGGGCAGATCCCTCATGGCTTGGTGCTGTCCCTGCAATAGTATGCGACAATGAGTGAGTACTTGTGAGATCTAGTTGTTTATAAGTGTGTGGCACCTCCCCCTCCCTCTTGCTCCTGCTCTGCCATATGAAACACCAGGTCACCCTTTGCCTTTCACCATGAGTAAAAAAGCTTCCTGGCCAGGTGTGGTGGCTCACGCCTGTAATCCCAACGCTTTGGGAGGCAGAGGCAGGTGGATCACTTGAGGTCAGGAGTTCAATACCAGCCTGGCCACTAACATGGTGAAACCCCATCTCCACTAAAAATACAAAAATTAGCCAGGCGTGGGTGGTGCACGCCTGTAGTCTCAGCTACTCAGGAGGTTAAGGTAGGAGAATTGCTTGAGCCCAGGAGGCAGAGGTTGCAGTGAGCCAAGATTGTGCTACCGCACTCCAGCCTAGGTGGCAGAGGAAGACTCTGTCTCAAAAAGGAAAAAAAAAAAACCATCTTGAGGCCTCCCAGAAGCCAATCAGATGCTGACACCATACTTGCACAGCCTGCGGAACCGTAAGCCAACGAAACCTCTTTTCTTTATAAATTACCCAGTCCAAGATATTTTTTATAGCAGTGCAAAAACAGCCTAATACTGGTGGTTAAAAGTCATTTGTGGCTGTGAATAAGAGCAAAATTCTGAAGTCAAACGAAGACCTTAGCTTCATTCTTACCTACATTCTAATATGAGATAGCTGGATCTTGAGTGCATGAAAACTAAAAATGAGTTTACTTGAGAACTTCAAGGCTTTAGATTTCTACTTTAACTTTATTTTTTTGTCCCATGTGGATATATAATGTGTTCAAATGATTAAAAATTAATTAGCTATGGGAAACAGAGATGCAAAATGTTGAGTTAATTACAGATTAGATAATTGCTGTCTAAAAAAGAATGATCTGTAGAAGGAGGAGAGTTAAGTTAACCTTAAAAAAAACTGGGCAATTTTATAGGTAGAATAAAGTCAAATAATTATATGTTCAGAAAAAAAAGATATTCTAGAACTGTCAGTTTGTACAGAATGTATGTGTTTAGATACAGACTGAGATAATTTGCATACTAAAAGAGCTCATGACCCTGCTCTTGCTAGGGCACGTGTTTATTATAATTAAGAATGTTTTCCTTTATGGAGCACATGCACACAGGCACCCGTTGAAAGTGCCAGGCTCGCCACTGCCTTAGGTCCCCTATTACTCTGCCTGGAGTGCTCTTCCTCACTCCCTCCCACCTTCCCCCATCTTGACCTGACTGATACTTTTATATTCCTCAGTTCAGCTCATTGGTCACCTCTTCAGAGAGGTCATCCCAGACAACCCTTCCTAAAATAGTTCTCCAAGCTCTGTCATCATTCTCCATCCCATTAGCCTGTTTTACATTTGCCATTATCTGAAATAATCTTACTTATATGTTTTTTACTTGTTTCTCCTCACTAGAATGTAATTTCTGTGAGGTTAGAGACCTTGTCTGTCTTGTTCAACACTGTATCCCTAATTGTAGAATGGCGGATCTTTAATGAATATTGGTTTAATGAATTAATTTAACTTTTTTACATTAAATGTTAATCTTAGTTAAAAAGAAAAAATTCCCCTGGGTCCTAATTTCCCCCATCTTGATTACCAAATAGTTTGTATAGAATTGCCGGTACAGCCCTTAGACCCAGACAAGAGGAGCCCCTGTACTTTGGAGGGCCCTAATTGGGCCCTTTTCCAGTTGTGCCCTGTCCCACAGGTTCAGTTCTTGGGGTGAAGGGGAGGTGCCCAACTCATGTCTGCATCTCATTTCCCCTCACCTCATCTTCTAGACTATATTCCAGTTCCCAGGGTCCCTGAAATCCCTACTGAGATGGCCCCAAGCTTGCTCCCAGGGCCTGTATGGGCCTCTTCAATGGCTCTGTCTTATGGTAGATGGAGCATATTACTGCTGTGTATGTCTATAGGCATGGGGGTAACTATGGATTGTGTGCAGGGGACTGTGGACAGGGCATGGAAGGGTGGGCATCTCCACAAGCCTCCTTTGGGTATCAGATGGAGCCAGGGTAGGGAAAAAAGAAATGGGGATTTCTTAGGAGTCCAACATTCTAAATTTGAGCCCAGTCTTCCTTATTATTATAATGGTGTATATTTGTCAAGTTTGGAGGATAGACCATGTTTTGGTTAACAGATTCATTAGCTTGATATAAAACTTCTTAATATTTAGACATATGCTCTGTGGGCCTCCATTTATATTCTTGTGATATGCCCTTTGATGTCAAGGGAAGGTTTGAGTGTTGTATTTAAAACTTTGTTTCCTCGGCCGGGCGCGATGGCTCATGCCTGTAATCCCAGCACTTTGGGAGGCCGAGGCAGGTGGATCACGAGGTCAGGAGATCGAGACCATCCTGGCTAACATGGTGAAACCCCATCTCTACTAAAAATACAAAAAATTAGCCCGGTGTGGTGGCGGGCGCCTGTAGTCCCAGCTACTCGGGAGGCTGAGGCAGGAGAATGGTGTGAACCCAGGAGGTGGAGCTTGCAGTGAGCCGAGATCGCGCCACTGCACTCCAGCCTGGACAACAGAGTGAGTCTTAAAAAAAAACAAACAAAAAAACACTCTGTTTCCTCACAGGATCCTAAAGGCATGATCTTTTTTCCAGAACTTGGGTATATTGAAAGAGTTTAGTAGGTTTTTAATGAAGGTAAAAACTATTTGCACACCTCATGAGCAAAAAAATGACAGTTCAGTTTTGCCCCAACATTTTATTATGAAAATTTCCAGATGTGCCTCAAAGAATTGGAAGAATTTTACAGAAAATACCTATTTATCCACCACTTAGATCTTATTTTCCTGTCCTTGCTTTATCACATATCAGCTTCCCACCCCTCTGTATATTCATTAGCTCATTCTTATTTACAGTTTTTTGATGCATTTCAAGGTAAATTGCAGACATCAGTATACTTCCCCCTACACATTTAGGCATGGGAATTAATTTTTAACAGGAGAGGGAAAAACTTTACTGTAGATGCTTAATGTTTTAAAAATAATTTTTCTGTATAATTTGTTAAACTTTCTTATGTTCACTCTTCAATAATGACTTTGAACTCCCACTGTGTGTCAGCCTTCTACAGAAGATGCCTGTGTTGATCATTATTTGTTAGGACTTGATGCAGCACATGTTGATTTATATCCAGTTTTGTTTAGGTAAATCAGGCTTTGAGAATACAGAGATAAATATGAATGATTCATCACCTTTAGAGACAAATTCTGGTTGAAGAGCCACAGACAGCAACATGGAGAGTTAGAGTGCAGGATGAGAAGCAGTGATATTCTGGTAGATATTTTATCGCTGGCTTTCACAGAAGAAGAAAGCCTAATTTGTAGCTTGTGGCCTTTACAGCTTTCCATTGTGTAAATACTCTCACCGTGGAGGAAAAACTTTTGCTCCATCAACTTAGGTCTGAATGATTGGGGATCTTCAAATTAACTGACAATAGGTAGATTAACAGGAGAAAAGACAAGGTTTATTCACACATATGTGGTAACTCAACAATAGGTAACTCCCTGAACAGCCAGAGGTAAAGGTTTGTATACCAGCTTAACAAAAGGAAGATGTTTAGGGCTTTAAAGGATGGAAAGTTCTGATGAGACTCGTTTACATAATTTTTTTTTTTTTTGGAATGTCCCTGTGCCCAAGGTTAGTGCCTCCCTAACTGGAGATGGGGGTAGTGGGGTGAAAAAGTGAGGGTGGAATTGTGGCAGCTGACTATTTTAATGCTCTACTTTAGTCAGATAAGGGCAGTTCAGATAAGATTTCTTTTTTTTTTTTCTAAGACTTATAATTATTTTATTTCATTATTATTATACTTTAAGTTTCAGGGTACATGTGCATAATGTGCAGGTTAGTTACGTATGTATACATGTGCCATGCTGGTGTGCTGCACCCCTTAACTCGTCATTTAGCGTTAGGTATATCTCCTAAAGCTATCCCTCCCCGCTCCCCCCACCTCACAACAGGCCCCAGAGTGTGATGTTCCCCTTCCTGTGTCCATGTGTTCTTTTTGCATCTGCTTTTAGGTTTCTGGTCCCTTTAGCAACCAACATGATGTCACTGTGGAGGTGGGAAGAGATGCTAACAGTTGGCTTATGATCCAGCTCCAGGTGGTTTCAGCACATTACTGGAAGCATTATGATAGAGGAGAGCCTATAGGTGGGATTTCCAATCCAGAGGGAGGCATCCTGGAAGATATGGTACTTAAGCTCACTCTTAAAGGATGAGTATGAGTTAAATAAGAAAGGGTGGGAGAGTGGGTCAATTAATGTTGGATTTGTAGTTGGTTTGTTCTGGTCTTGGTGGGTCTTGTATATATTGCTAAAGAGTTCAGAGATAATCAGAGAAATATTGGTGGGGGAAACGGGTAGGGGAGTCACATTTTTCTCCCCAAAACATCAACCTAGTAACGGTATGGATTGGAGGAAGACCAGAATAAAGGCAGGAGGGAAGAAGGAGAGAACAAACAAGATATTCTTAGGAACACAAGTCAACAGACCTTGGTGATTGACTTGGAGAGGAGACAGTCAACAACAACGTCTGGATACCTGCTTTAGGCAAATTCATGGGGAATGATACATTCCACCAGGGTAATGCAAAAAGGAAGAATGACTTGGGGGAATTTAAAAATACCAAGTTGTAACTGCTTTGGGGACATGCGAGTGACAGTGTGGGCAGTTAGATACTGGTCTGGAGCTCAGGAGAGTGATCTGAGTTAATCATATGTATTTCAGGAGAGGCAGAAAGAATCTGGTACATTCTGGTGTTCTTTTTTATACATGTGTCTTAGTCCATTCAGGCTGCTGTAACAAAATACCTTAGCCTGGGTAACTTATAATCAACAGATATTTATCGCTCACAGTTCTGGAGGTTGGGAAGTTCAAATCAAGATGTCTGGTGAGGGCTTATTTCTCATAAATGGTGCCTTCTATGTGCCCTCACATGGTGGAAGAGCAGGCAGCTCTCTAGGGCCTCTTTTATGAGGGCTTTAATCCCATTCGCAGTGATTCTGCTTTTATGACTAATCACCTCCCAAAGGCTCCACCTCTTTTTCTGTTTTAGAGACACAGCCTCAGTCTGTTGCCCAGGCTAGAGTGCAATGGCATGATCATAGCTCACTGAAGCCTCAAATTCCTAGACTCAAGTGATCTACCCACCTCAGCCTCCTGAGTAGCTGTGACTATAGGCATGAGCCATAGTGTCCAATTCCCAAAGGCTCCACCTCTTAATACTATCAACCTTGGGGGTTAGGTTTTAATATATGAATTTGGGGGGGACACATATTTAGACCATAGCAGCATGTTTCTAAGATGTGTTATTTAATACAACTCTTTTTTCAGTTAACTTTTTAAAGGTAAAAACAAACTTTTAACCAATCTGTTCACAAGATGCCTAAGATAATATTTACGTATTATAAATTGATGTAGCTTTACATCTGATTTTATTCTGGTAAATCAGGCTTTTTGGCTAATTGAGGTTTATCACTACCTTATATTAATTATCAGTTAAATAATTACCAGGTGACTTTTCAGTGGCAACAAGAATTTTCTCAACATATACCCAAATGATGTTATAATGGCTTATAGCATATTTAGTGGTCAGCAAAGTCATCAGACTCCTGCTATATGCCAGGATTGTGCCAAGTATTGGGAATCCATCAATCCTGCCCCTGTGAAACTTAAAGTCTAGTGGAGAAAATAGATACTAATCACAGAAGCATAGAAGCAAATAAAATCAGTATTATCTACAAGTTCTAATAAGCTCATCCTATAAAGGAGAGGTACATGATGCTAACAGGGAAACTTGATCTATTCAGGGAGGTCAGGGAAGGCTTCCTTGAAGAAGAAACAGGATGAGGTTTGAAGAGTGTCTATAGTGTGAGGAACAGTGTGGAGGAGAGTGATCAGAGTAGATGCTGCTAGGAGGCTATTTCAGTCCAGGAGAGATGACAATGGCTGGTCTAGAAAAGTGGTGGAGGTGCTAACCAAGACAGAAGTGATGGCAATCCTTAGGAGGTCAGATCGTAGGTCTTGGTGATGGTTTAGCAAAGGGAGGTATCAAAAATTGTCCTAGCTGTTGATTTAAAGTCTTGTGTTTTATTTAGGAGTTAGCGCTGATTCACTGTTTAAATGAAACTTAAAATGGCAATTTCACAAAGCCTAGGGAGAATGCCTAGTTTCTTTGTAAAGGTGTCCATTAATAAGTCTCCTTGGAACTAAGGATTTGTTGCAAAGTTGACTCATCAGCTGTTTTAGTAGCAGATAAATATGCAAATATCTCTGAAAAGGCGCAGTAGCACCCTGGTTGGTATTTGCACTTCCATCTTCTTTTAACAGATTTATGGATTTTTTAACTGTTATAAATTGAAGTCATATGAAAGGTGGGCTAATATGCCTTTATTTTTTTTTCCAGAAAGACTTCATTTTTTTAAATGAAGGAAATAGGGAAAAACCCCACAAAAGATTATTTTTCTGTTGTGTTTTAGATGCACCCTGCTCTGTTCAAAGCTACTGTCATGCAATATGCACTGTTTTACATAGTGTAAGAGGGTCACATTTATATTGATTCTGTGTTGATGAGGGATAAGCTTCCATCTTTGTCATCTTTTATAACAAGTATGTCTGTTGGCAGGGATTTAGTAAGATTGGATAAATGTCTTCTTTTGTGTTAATGACAAAAAGGCAACAGCTCTAGTTATCTTATAAAATAAACATTGGTAAATAAAGTTAACATTATAATAGGAATTTGTATATTATAGTGATCTCTGAAAGTGAAACTTTGAAATTTATAAACATATCCTTAATACACTATGGCCTGAGACTCAGATGATACGTAGTACAATAGCCTTTTTGCACTGGTTTAGCCATGATTTTTTATGTAGTATGTTGGACTGGAGCAAGTTAGGGAAAAGATTGGGCCCATGAATTAGACATTACTCCTCATGTGAAAATAAATTTTGCTTTTTGAACATCTAAAAGTTGGGAAAGCTGATCACAATTACTTTGGTTTTATATATGGAGGAATTATGACCAAGAGGGTTCTGTGTTTATCTATGTGTATATATGGGCAAACTAGCTTACCACCTGTTTTTGTACAGCCTGTAAGCTAAGAGTGGTTTTTATATTTTTAATGATTGAAAAAAATAAAAGCAATATTTCATGAGATGAAAATAATATGAAATTCAAATTTCAGTGCCCATAAGTTAAGTTTTATTGGGACACAATCATGCTCATTCATTACGTATTATCTGTGACTGCTTTCAAGCTACTTCAAAAGAAGTAAGTAGTTGTAACAGAATCTGTCTGGCCACTAAAGCTGAAAAAATGTATTATCCATCCCCAGTCTAGATAGCCCCTATGCAACAATGGAAATTATTTAGGTCATTCAAAACCAAATGAATGCTTCTGAGAGACAGATGACAGAAGCATGAGTTGAACTAAGCAGAATAAAACAACTTTACCACAATAATAATTGCAACAGCTACCATTTATTGAGCATTTGCTAATGTGCCAGATACTCTTCAGGGCACTTTTCACACATTAACTCATTTAATCCATACAACTCTATGAGCCACTAACATATCTCATTTTACAGGAATCAGCACAGAGAGGTTAAGCAACTTCTCCAAAGTCAGTCAGGGATGAAACAGGCCAGTTTGGCTGTCTTTCACACTTACCTCAGTGATTTTCTCACATGTACATACCTTACAAGTACTTTCTATTGAATATATTATATTTCTTGAGTCAGAGATAACAGTGTTTTCCTTTGGTTGACCCTAATTGCTTGTTCTCACTTCAGGCACTCCTGGTTTGTAATGTTTGTACATAAGAGCTTAGTCAGTGCAGGTCATCTAATTTCAAATAGAAATTATTTAAACCTGTTTTTAATGATGACTTTAGCAGATTGGATTATTGTATAACAGGCTCTCCTGTCTTAAAACACAAATTACTTGTTTTTTAAAAGCAGACTCTAGGCATATTTTCTGTTGTTTATATCTAATTTATGACCAATTCAATAATTTTTCCCTCTACATTTTTTTAACATGTTATGTTACCTCCCTGACCAAAATCCTCCAGTAATTTCTCATTGCCTTGAAATCAAGTCGTGCATGAACATTTTCCCTCAGAATCCCAATAAGAAGCTAATCTTAATTTAAACAGTATATTTTATAGAATGATATGAATTGAAATGCTTTGTCATGTGGTTGTCAATTTTGAGATTAGGGAAAGATTAAAATGTATTCCATTTCTGTCTTAGATATTAATTGGGATATTTGATGTCAACGAACAAAGTTGCATTTTATCTTTATTAAATTTCATTGAGTATTGTTAGGCTTCAGATTTTTCCCATCTGTAACATAGAGACCTACTTATAAAATGAATGGAATTATTTCCATTAGTTCAGAATTTGTGGTAATAAGGGCAGGTAATTGTATTCTGTCTGTAAGTAAAAGTAGAATTCACTGTGTAAAAATGATTGTAGAGGAAATATCTTATTACAATCATTCTTTTATTTTATAAACAGCTATTTAATGGTAGCAATTACAAGTAATCCTTAATAAGTTTTTAAAAGCAGGATGCCCCCATCAGACATTTTTATGGAATTATTGATAACATATTTGAATTCACATTTCTATTCACAAATTAAGAACAGTTATTACTGTTTTATGAAAAATATCTTTAAAAATTAAATCTTGTCACTCATTCAAACTTACTGCCTCCTAGTTCATTTCAACTAGTGGGCTTAACTTACTGAGTCCTTTGAAATTCTAGACTTAAGTTTAGAATGTCTTGGCTATTAAAGCAGACATTACATAGTCTGAAAAATAGTCTTTATAGCTGCTTTTGATGTTGACAGTGAAGATCATTGTAATTCATTTATTTACTTCAAAAGTTATATCAAATATTGGAGAGGAAATAAATTTATTTTGCTTTAAATTTATTTTATATATTATATACATGTATACAATATGTATGTAATTTGTATTACATGTTTACATTACTTGATCCCAAAATGTATTTCTTTTAGACACAGAAGAAACATATATGTTTGATGTAAGGTGTTACCTGCTTTCCCAGATAAGTAACTTATCTGAGGTCATGCAGTTTTTAGTGGCTGAATTTGAACTGGGAAACCTGGACCTGACTCCTGAACTAATGACTTTGACCAATGTGCTGTACTCTTCACAGACATAAACAGATTAATATAGTGAAGAATAATGGATGCAGTGATAGAAATATGTCCATCAGTTCAAAGTTCTTTGCTGTTCTTTATGTCCTTTATATGAATTTAAAAATATGAGAATGTGTGCAGCACTGATTGTTAGCGGAATCATAGTATGGAACTAGAAGGGCCTAGAACACTGTCAAATTTTGCTCTAAGTACTTTATATAAATTATTTCATTTAGTCATCAAATTGAGATTGGTGCTTTTATTGTTCCCTTCTGCAGCTGAGGAAACTGAGATTAAATGTCGTATTTCCCCAAGGGAGCCTAGGCTAAACCCAGCCGTGTTCTTTTAAGTACTGTGAATTTTGCCTCCCTGAAATGCTTTTCCCCCATCCCTTAAAAATAAGTGCTTTCGTATATACCAATAATGATTTTCCTAGAACAAACAACTTTTAGACTTGTCATTACAATTCTTATAGCCTGGCAGTGTTCTGACTTAGGTCTCAGTGGTTAGGAATCAATTTAGGGTCATCAAAAGGGTTCTGTGCTACCTTTTGCTATAGAACTAACAAAATATAATTAATAGGATTGGCATTTCAAAATTTATAGCTTATAAAATTATATATTCTCAGGATTTAAATACCTATAATCAGTTCATTTATAGGTGTTGAGTTGTTAAAAAAAAATGAGTATGTAGTATGTTACCAGGATTTTACCAGGTATGTAGTATTTACCAGAACTTGGTCTGTTTTCCTGTTTTTACCTTGAAATACCATTCATGCCTGTCTTTGACATGTTTCTTATTACTCCTCCCTAGAAGTATCTTGTTTGTCTTGACAGAACACTCTGGACTTTTGTGATATATTGTTACCATCATTATTTGGTATTCTTCTGTTTATGTATGTAAAACAAGGAGCAGCTGCTTTCTGCCAGCATTTTGGGTACTCATTTATATTCCCACATTGGTGACCTTAATTTGAAACACACTGCTACCATGTGGATAAGCAGAAGAATACACTGCCTAGGGGTGTAGATTGATCAGTCTGTTATCACTGGTTAAAGGCATAGCAAGAAAATTGACAGAAGATTAAAACTAAATAATTGAGGATCCTACACATCTGAGAAAATAATATCAAATATTCAAAGAACTATTAATGTGTACTTTTTTAATAGCAAATTTTATCAAAAGCAAATCTTATTTCCTCTTTTTTGTCCCCATTTATTCTCTTAGGGGAGAAAAAGATCTTATGTCTGAAAAAAATCCATAACTTAGACTTTATTTTGTGTTTTATTCAAGCATCTAGAAAGCTTATATCAACTACTTCATGTCTTTTTCTGTCGTATTCAGGAGGGTATTTGAGTGTCATCCTCTGGAGTTGAAGAAACCAGATGGCTGCTGTACAGGCAAATGTATTTCATGTTAAAATATTTTTTAAATTTTTTTCTTTAAGTTTATAATATTTTCAGACATTTAACATTTTTTCCTCTGAATATTAAACCAATTAATGATTTCAACTCTTTTGACCTCCTGGAAGTCCCAGCTACATTTTGGTTTCCTGAGAAAGCACTCCAGATTCCTCATTTGGAGACCTGAATCACTGGTTTGTGAGACAGAACATTTGGGAATGGCATGTAGTTTGGAATGATGACAGCACAGGATGTAGATGTGCCAGAGGTGAGAGAAGGTGGAGAGGTAGACAAGAGATAGATTTTGAAGGGCTTTGTATGTTGTGCTAAAAAGTCAGGCTCTATCACATAGACAGTGAGGAGCCATTGTAAGATCTTAATGCAGGAATGACATATCAGATTTGTGATAGGTGTCTAAGTAAGAGGACCTTGGCAGAAGTATGGAGAATGGCCTTGAAATACCAGAAGTAGGGACAAGCTGTTGTTGTTGATCCAAAAGAAATGATAAATTATAAGAGCTTAAAGAAATGGTAGTGAGGAGTAAGAGGAGGGCATAAACTCAGATATTTCGGAGATAGAGTTGATGGGACTTAGAGACTGATTAGCTATGGAGGGTGAAGGAAAAGAAGTAGAGATGAGTCTGAAGTTTTGAGATGACTAAATAGATGTGATGCCATTCATAGAGATAGAGATTATAGGAAGGAAAGGAGGTGGTTGGAATTAGGTCAGTCATACAGAGGAAGGAGGTAATGAGTTCAGTCTTAGACATTAAATTTAGAAGATAAAACATTTAGGCATTTGAAAATATCCATATGGAATTTAAGAGAAAGATCTTGGCCAGAGTCTTCAGCATACAGGGGGCAATAGAAGTTATAAGTGTGGGTAAAATTACACTGGGAGGGTGTGTAGAATTTTAGAAGTGAAAACACTGAAGATAGAATGCTGGGAGGATTTCACCATTAAGGACGGGGATAAGGGGCATAAGAGTCTACAAAAGTAGACTGAAAAACTGTATAAAACGACCAGGAGAGAATGGTTTGACTAGAAGCCAAAGGAGAAGAGCGTTTTAGGGGAGAGATGAGTCAGTAGTGTCAGCTACTTGAGAAAGGTAAGTACTAAAAATTGTCCATTGAATATGCAATCAGCATATGAGATATCCATGGAGCAGTATGTGCAGAAGTCAAATTGTAGTGGATTGAGGAATGAAACATGAAAAGTAGAGAAGCAAACTACTCTTCTAAAAAGCCAGGTAGAAACAAACTATGCTATATGCATACCTTGGAATACCAGTCAACAATAAAAAAGAACAAACTATTGATACACATGACAACTTGAATGAAACTTTGGGCAGTTACGCTGAGTGAAGAAAAGTCAATCCCTAAAGGTTACATACTGTATAATTCCATTTATATGACATTCTTGAAATGACAAAATTATGGAAATGGAGGACACAGAGTGGTTGCCAGAATTTAGGGAAGGGGGCGTGGGAGGGAGGTGGTTGTAGTTATAAAAGGGCAACAGGAGGGATCCTTGTGGTGTTGGAACTTTTCAGGATCTTGACTGGGTGCATACATTAACCTACACAGGTGATGAGATTCCATAGAAAACACACACACACACACACACACACACACACACACACACACGTACAAGTAAAACTGGGAAATCTAAATAATATTGGTGAATTGTGTCAATGTCAGTATCCTGGTTGTGTAATTATACTATAGTTTTGTAAAATGTTACCACTGAGGAAAACTGAGCAAAGTGTATAAGGGATTCTGTATTATTTCTGAGAAATGCATGTGAATCTAAAAGTATCTCAATAAAAATTTCAAAAAAATTTAAAAGTCAGGTAGTGAAGGGGAGAAAAGAAGGGACAATAGCCAGGGAGTTGCAAAGTTAAAAGGGGAACTTGATCATGTTTTTATGTTGTGGAGGAGGCAGCACTGGAGAAGGAGAGATTGAGATGCCAGGGAGAAAGAACTTTCTCTGAATCAGGAGGAAAAGTATAAGGTTGGGTGTGAATATGAATGTGTGTGTATATGTTTATGAGAAAAGCGAAGAGAGTTGCCTCTTGATAGTGTTTGTGTGCATGTAAATCTCTTAAGATTCACAAAAAAGGACCCTAATAATTGCAGATTAATTTTGTAATCAATGGCTGTGACAGACTTTGGTATTGTGAATTTAAAAGATCCCTTTAGAATAAGAATTAGCAACTCTTTAGTCCAAATCAACATGTGTGATGTGATACCATTTACCTACCACAGACAGTAACAAATCAGGTGCTTGTTAACTTACATCAGTTACCGGGCTGTTCCTTTTATTGCAGTTGTAGTCTGATAACTCAAAATATTTTCAACAGGGTTAAAAAAAGTCTATCTAGATTATTGGTGTTATCCACATCTCTCTGACCTAGAATTTGAATCAGCACCATGAAACACTTTACTATTTATAGTGTATCTTGAAATCCAAAGTTTTAGAATGGTATTGCTGGCTTCTTAGGCTTTGGCAAAAGAAGTGGTGGCATGATTCATATTCATTCTGGGAAAGAGTGAGTGAGGATAGTCACCTGGAACTGAGGGGTTGGCTATTCACAGGAGAGATGATTTTGACTGGTAGCATATACACATAGGTGTGTATGTATATATATATATACATACACACACACACACACACAACTTGATCTTGTTCTTTCTTCCACTGACACTTCGCATTTCAGTAAGGTAAAGAAGCGGGGATCATTTTTTCCCTCCTTTCTGCCTTTTGCATATTATGTGGGGTGTGTGTATGTGTGTGTGTGTGAGAAGACTTTCTGTCTTCAAAGTGGCCTTTGATATGCTTTTATTTTTATTTTTTATTTTTTTGAGACGGAGTCTCACTCTGTCACCCAGGCTGGAGTGCAATGGCACAGTCTTGGCTCACTGCAACTTCTGCCTCTCGGGTTCAAGGGATTCTCCTGCCTCAGCCTCCTGAGTAGCTGGGACTACAGGCATGCACCACCACTACCAGCTAATTTTTGTAATTTTAGTAGAGACAGGGTTTCACCATGTTGGCCAGGCTGATCTCGAACTCCTGACTTCAAGTGATCCACCCACCTCGGCCTCCAGAAGTACTGGTATTATGGGCATGAGCCACCATGTCCTGCCAATAGGCTTTTAAAATCTGATTTTACCTGTAAAAAAGTTGGAGTGTAGGAGAAAGAGGAGACATGTACCAAGTGATAATTCTTCAACCCTGCCTCTCCCCACAGCACTGGGCTTTCATACCTTATTGTCATACCTTACAGTAGCCTTACCCCAGGTATTGATGTTTTAGTTGCAATTTGATTCTGTTTATGTGTTAAGCTTCTATAATATTTATGGTTATTGTTTTGTCATATCTTGCTGCTTTTCAGTACAAGATATAAACTGAGATGTGAGATAACTGCAAAACCTGTATTGTCTTTGTTTTTGTGCCTCCCTAGGGATTCTTGACATATATGTGGTTCATTATAAATGTTTATTGTTCATTGAATAATGACTCATGCCTTGTGGATGTGAGATGGAGACCGTGTGAAAATACATATTATTCTGAAATAAAGTTATCAGAAATTGAAGTTAGGAGGTTTAGTTGGAGAAGAAAAAGGGAGAAATTGTGGGAAGGTGCCTAGCACTTTATCCTGCTATCCAGTTGTAGAATCGCTTTATTAAACTGGCATTTGTTGATGTTCCTTTGGAAATGTATTAGCTGGAAGATGCAGAATGAATGTAACTGAGAAAAGCCTGTAACATACCAAGAAATACCTAAGGCAAATGCTAACTTAATACAAATTATCTTGCCTTCATCCTCAGAAGGGCAATAAATCTCAATTCCGATAACCAGCAATGGGAAAAAAGAAGGTTTTCACCTTTATATCCTCAATGGAGAGATAGGAAGAGAAAAATGTAAAATGGCATCTCATTCTAGTCTTCTGATATCCTCAGCCAATCTGTAAGTAACAGCCACAGTAAGGGTGCATGCAGTAATGTTGTGTGGCTGCTAGTTGTAGACCTACATAATTACATGCCTGAATTAGCTCATTTGTTTCAGGGAGTTTAAAATGAGTTTCAGTGCCAAACCATGCAGAGTGTATTTCTGGAAAATATCATCTTCATCTTATGTGGGAATGTATTTTATAGATAACAGACTGGATCTTCAAGACCATCACTGGATTTATCTAATAAAACTACATAAAGGCAGGTATAACAGAGTTAGCGATCTCACTGGACTCAGCCTTATTGTAAGAATGTAAAATTTCCCATTAGTGCTAAAAGTTTATTAATTAAATATTCCAGATTCTATGAACAGCAGAATGAACATGTATAACTCTAAAGTGATATTTTATAACTTCCACCAATTAAAGTTACAGGCCATAAAAATACTTGGTTCCCACAAAACAAACACACACGTGGATTGAGTTTCACTTGGAATTTTTTGTGACCATTTGAATGTTTGCCAAATGCTTTGTAAAGTGCTGCATACAAGCACTATTCACAATAGCAACTACATTGAATTAATCTAGATGCCCCTCAACAGTGGACTGGATAAAGAAAAGGTGGTACGTATATATCAGAATACTATGCAGCCATAAAAAATGATATCATGTCCTTTGCAGCAACTTGGATGCAGCTGGAGGCCATTATCCTAAGCAAATTAACACAGGAACAGAAAACCACATACCCTATGTTCTCACTTGTAAGTGGGAGCTAAACATTGAGTACACATGAACACAGAGATGAGAACAGGAGACAGTGGGGCCTACTTGACTGGGGATAGTAGGAGGAGGGTGAGGGTCAAAAAACTACCTATTGGGTACTATGCTCACTACGTGGGTGAGGAAATCATTTGTACACCAAACCCCAGTGACACACAACTTACCCTTGTAACAAACCTACACATGTACCCCCGAACCTAAAATAAAAGGTGAAAAAACAAAGTGCTGCACACCAAAAAATTCAATATGCTTTGGTTTTTCTGATATTTATATAGTGTTTATTGACTTAAATGAAAGTTTTATTTCCTTCTGAGGGAAAAATTTGCCTTTATAGCTCACCATAGTTATTACAATTTGGCATAAAAATTAAAATTAATCTTTTGGTATAAAGTATAATCCCCATAGTACATGTCTGTATTTAATAACCATTATTTATTTAACATGCATTTATTAAATAATGATCTTCCAGGCGATAGGAATAGGAAGATGAATAAAACTTTAGTGGTCCTGCCCTCAGATAGTTTGTGCCCATACCTGCCTATGTCCAAACCCGTTTGTTATTCAGTATAACTTTCTCTTGGCTGGTTTTCTGGTATCATCTTTTAGCTACATATTCAAAGAATAACCTGCATAAAAGTGCATCAGCTTTTACTTTGACCATTTTATTTTCTATAAAAATATTGATTTTTGCTTTATACACAATAGTTATTGTTTTCAAAATCTACTAAATCAGTGGTACTTTTGTCAGGTTCATACATTTATTAACCAACAGCTTGTAAATTCCTGTTTTATAGGTAAAGAAAGTAAATATTAAATTGCAGACATAAAGACAGCTATATAAATATGAATATTTTATTAAATTATGTAAGTATATACTCTTCTACTTATTACACAAGCATGCATATTCCTATAACATACTATATAAAATATACATATGCAGCTGACTCCGGCCTAGATTTTGTGCCTATCCACTGGTATCACAAGTTCACTATAACTTTGTGAATATCAGTTACATCCCCTACGTATCATTAGATGTACAGTAGATAGGTCTTATTGGATTCAACTTGTTGACTTCTCTTCCCTTTAAACCAAGGCTAAATTTGGACAACAGTTCAAATTTGTTTTTGTTGTCAAGTCTGGAAGAAAAGTTTTAGAAACCAGGCTCTTTGATTACAATAGGCGAGTGTACCTTTAGGTTTGAGTCCTAGACTGATTATCATCTAAAACCTTTATTATCACTAGCTACACCTAGGGAAAGGTGGCATATTAACAAGTTGTAACACTTATCTCACAGGAACAATACTTGCTTTGCTTTTGTTGGATGAAATTTATACCATACCGTCTAATATAAACAATAAGATAAAATGACTGCTGTGTTATAGATCATAACTAGAAGGTTCCTGAGAGGAGTTATAATTTTATTTCCTTTGAAATATTATTAAGTAAGACTTATCTAAACAGTTGTTATACTTGTCTCCACTTTTAGTTTTTTTTTTCTCAGACATGTATAAAAGTTATGTAGTAGGATTCCCAGGCAAGATGGCCAAATAGGAACAGCTCCGGTCTGCAGCTCCCAGTGAGACCAATGCAGAAGGCAGGTGATTACTGCATTTCCAACTGAAGTACCCAGCTTATCTCATTGGGACTGGTTAGACAGTGGATGCAGCCCAAGGAGGGTGAGCAGAAGCAGGGTGGAGCATCATCTCACCGGGGAAGTGCAAGAGGTCAGGGAACTCCCTACCCTAGCCAAGGGAAGCCGTGAGGGACTGTGCCATGAGGAATGGTACACTCTGGCCCAGATACTATACTTTTCCCACAGTCTTTGCAACCTGCAGACCAGGAGATTCCCTTGGGTGCCTATGCCACCAGGGCCCTGGGTTTCAAGCACAAAACTGGGTGGCCATTTGCGCAGACACCGAGCTAGCTGTGGGAGTTTTTTTTCATACTCCAGTGGCACCTGGAACACCAGCGAAACAGAACTGTTCATTCCCCTGGAAAAGGGACTGAAGCCAGGGAGCCAAGTAGTCTTGCTCAGCAGATCCCACCCCCACAGAGCCCAGCAAGCTAAGATCCATTGGCTTGAAATTCTCACTGCCAGTGTAGCAGTCTGAAGTTGACCTGGGACACTTGAGCTTGGTGGGGGAAGGGGTGTCCACCATTACTGAGGCTTGAATAGGCAGTTTTCCCCTCATAGTGTAAACAAAGCCACCCAGAAGTTCAAACTGGGTGGAGCCTACCACGGCTTGGCAAAGCCACTGTAACCAGACTGCCTCTCTAGATTCCTCCTCTCTGGGCAGGGCATCTCTGGAAGAAAGGCAGCAGCCTCAGTCAGGGGCTTATAGATAAAACTCTCCCATCTCCCTGGGATAGAGCACCTGGGGGAATGGGTGGCTGTGGGCACAGCTTCAGCAGACTTAAATGTTCCTGCCTGCTGGCTCTGAAGAGCGCAGCAGATCTCCCAGCACAGCTCTCAAGCTCTGCTAAGGGTCAGACTGCCTCCTCAAGTGGGTCTCTGACCCTGTGCCTCCTGACTGGGAGACACCTCCCAGCAGGGGTCGACAGACACCTCATATGGGACAGCTCTGGCTGGCATCTGGCGGGTGCCCTCTGGGACAAAGCTTCCAGAGGAAGGAGCAGGCAGCAATCTTTGCTGTCCTGCAGCCTCCGTTGGTGATACCCAGGCAAACAGGGTCTGGAGTAGACCCCCAGCAAACTCCGGCAGACCTGCAGAAGAGAGGCCTATTAGAAGGAAAACTAACAAACAGAAAGCAATGGCTTCAACATCAACAAAAAGGACGACCACTCAAAAACTCCATCTGAAGGTCACCAACAGCAAAACCAAAGGTAGATAAATCCATGAAGATGAGGAAAAACCAGCACAAAAAGGCTGAAAATTCCAAAAACCAGAATGCCTCTTCTCCTCCAAAGGATCACAACTCCTTGCCAGCAAGGGAACAAAACTGGATGGAGAGTGAGTTTGATGAATTGACAGAAATAGGCTTCAGAAGGTGGGTAATAACAAACTCCTCCAACCTAAAGGAGCATGCTCTAACCCAATTCAGGGAAGCTGAGAACCTTGATAAAAGGTTAGAGGAACTGCTAACTAGAATAACCAGTTTGGAGAAGAACATAAATGACCTGATGGAGCTGAAAAACACAGCATGAGAACTTCATGAAGCATACCCAAGTATCAATAGCCAAATCGATTAAGCAGAAGAAAGTATATCAGAGATTGAAGATGAACTTAACAAAATAAAGCGTGAAGACAAGATTAGAGAAAAAAAGAATGAAAAGGAACAAAGCCTCCAAGAAATATGGGACTGTGTGAATACACCAAACCTACGTTTGATTAGTGTACCTGAAAGTGACAGGGAGAATGGAACCAAGTTGGAAAATACTCTTCAGGATATTATCCAGGAGAACTTCCCCAGCCTAGAAAGACAGGCCTACATTCAAATTCAGGAAACACATAGAACACCACAAAGATACTCCTCGAGAAGAGCAACCCCAAGACCCATAATCATCAGATTCACCAAGGTTGAAATGAAGGAAAAAATGTTAAGGGCAGCCAGAGAGAAAGGTTGGGTTACCCACAAAGGGAAGCCCATCAGACTAACAGCGGATCTATCTGCAGAAACCCTGTAAGCCAGAAGAGAGTGGGGGCCAATATTCAACATTCTTAAAGAAAAGAATTTTCAACCCAGAATTTCATATCTAGCCAAAGAGCTTCACAAGCCAAGGAGAAATAAAATCCTTTACAGACAAGCAAATGCTGAGAGATTTTGTCACCACCGGGCCTGCCTTACAAGAGCTCCTGAAGGAAGCATTAAACATGGAAAGGAAAAACCAGTACCAGCCACTGCAAAAAACATAGCAAATTGTAAAGACCATCGACACTATGAAGAAACTGCATCAACTAATGGGCAAAATAACCAGCTAGCATCATAATGACAGGATCAAATTCATACATAATACTAACCTTAAATGTAAATGGGCCAAATGCCCCAAATAAAAGACACAGACCTGCAAATTGTATAAAGAGTCAAGACCCATTGGTGTGCTGTATTCAGGAGACTCATCTCACATGTAAAGACACAAATAGAGTCAAAATAAAGGGATGGAGGAATATTTATCAAGCAAATGGAAAGCAAAAAAAAAAAAAAGCAGGGGTTGCAATCTTAGTCTCTGATAATACAGACATTAAATCAACAAAGATCAAAAAAGACAAGGGCATTACATAATGGTAAAGGGATCCATGCAACAGGAAGAGCTAACTATCCTAAATATATATGCATCCAATACAGGAGCACCCAGATTCATAAACAAGTTTTTAGAGACCTACAAAGAGACTTAGACTCCCACACAGTGACACTGGGAGACTTTAACACTCCACTGTCAATATTAGATCAACAAGACAGAAAATTAACAAGGATATTCAGAACTTGAACTCAGCTCTGAACCAAGTGGACCTAATAAGACATCTATAGAACTCTCCACCCCAAATCAATAGAATATACATTCTTCTCAGCACCACATTGCACTTATTCTAAAATTGACCACATAATTGGAAGTAAAACACTCCTCAGTAAATGCAAAAGAACAGAAATCATAATAAACCATCACTCAGACCACAGTGCAAGCAAATTAGAACTCAGGATTAAGAAACTCACTCAATACTGCACAACTACATGGAAACTGAACAGCCTGCTCCTGAATGACTACTGGGTAAATAACGAAATTAAGGCAGAAATAAATAAGTTCTTTGAAACCAATGAGAACAAGGAGACAACATACCAGAATCTCTGGGACACAGCTAAAGCAGTGTTTAGAGGGAAATTTATAGCATTAAATGCCCACAAGAGAAAGTAGAAAAGATCTAAAATCGACAACCTAACATCACATTTAAAAGAACTAGAGAAGCAAGAACAAATTCAAAAGCTAGCAGAAGACAAGAAATAACAAAGACCAGAGCAGAACGGAAGGAGATAGAGACACAAAAAACCCTTCAAAAAATCAATGAATTCAGGAACTGGTTTTTTGAAAAGATTAACAAAACAGACCACTTGCCAGACAAATCAAGAAGAAAAGAGAAGAGAATCGAATAGACACAATAAAAAATGATAATGGGGCGATCACCACTGATCCCACAGAAATACAGACTACTGTCAGAGAATACTATAAACACCTCCTTGCAAATAAACTAGAAAATGTAGAAGAAATTGACAAATTCCTGGACACATACACCCTGCCAAGTCTGAAACAGGAAGAAGTCAAATTCATGAATAGGCCAATAACAGATTCTGAAATTGAGGCAGTAATTAATAGCCTACCAGCCAAAAAAATCCCAGGACCAAATGGATTCACAGGCGAATTGTACCAGAGATACAAAAAGGAGCTGGTACTATTCCTTCTGAAACTATTCCAAACAGTAGAAAAAGAGGGACTCCTCCCTAACTCATTTTATGAGGCCAGCATCATCTTGATACCAAAACCTGACAGAGACACAACAAAAAAAGAAAATTTCAGGCCAATATCCCTGATGAACATCGATGTGAAAATCATCAATAAAATACTGGCAAACTGAATCCAGCAGCACATCAAAAAGCTTATCCACCATGATCAAGTCGGCTTCATCCCTGGGATGCAAGGCTGGTTTGACATATGCAAATCAATAAACATAATCCATCACATAAACAGAACCAATGACAAAAACCACATGATTATCTCAATAGATGCAGAAAAGGCCTTCAATAAAAACAGCCCTTCATGCTAAAAACTCTCAATAAAATAGGTACTGATGGAATGTATCTCAAAATAGTAAGAGCTATTTATGACAAACCCACAGCCGATATCATACTGAATGGGCAAAAGCTGGAAGCATTCCCTTTGAAAACCGGCTCAAGACAAGGATGCCCTCTTTCACCACTTTCATTCAACATAGTATTCAAAGTTCTGGCTAGGGCAGTCAGGCAAGAGAAAGAAATAAAGGGTATTCAAATAGGAAGAGAGGAAGTAAAATTGTCTCTGTTTGTAGATGACATGATTGTATATTTAGAAAACCCCATCGTCTGAGCCTAAAATCTCCTTAAGCTGATAAGCAACTTCAACAAAGTCTCAGGATACAAAATCAATGTGCAAAAATCACAAGCATTCCTATACACCAATAATAGACAAACAGAGAGCCAAATCATGAGTGAACTTCCATTCACAATTGTTACAAAGATAGTAAAATACCTAGGAATACAACTTACAAGGCATGTGAAGGACCTCTTCAAGGAGAACTACAAACCACTGCTCAAGGAAATAAGACAGGACACAAACAAATGGAAAAACATTCCATGCTCATGGATAGGAAGAATCAATATAGTGAAAATTGTCATACTGCCCAAAGTAATTTATAGATTCAATGCTATCCCCATCAAGCTACCATTGACTTTCTTCACTGAATTAGAAAAAAACTACTGTAAATTTCATATGGAACCAAAAAAGGGCCCGCATAGCTAAGACAATCCTAAACAAAAAAGAACAAAGCTGGAGACATCACGCTACCTGACTTCAAACTATACTACAAGGCTATGGTAACCCAAACAGCATGGTACTGGTACCAAAACAGATATATGGAGCAATGGAACAGAACAGGGGCCTCAGAAATAACACCACACATCTACAACCATCTGCTCTTTGACAAACCTGACAAAAACAAGCAATGGGGAAAGGATTCCCTATTTAATAAATGGTGTTGGGAAAACTGCCTAGTCATATGCAGAAAACTGAAACCGGACCCCTTCCTTACACATTATACAAAAATTAACCCAAGGTGGATTAAAGACTTAAATGTAAAACCTAACACCATAAAAACCCTCGAAGAAAACCTAGGCAACACCATTTAGGACATAGGCATGGGCAAAGACTTTATGACTTAAACATCAAAAGCAATGGCAACAAAAGCCAAAGTTGACAAATGGGATCTAATTAAACTGAAGACCTTCTGCACAGCAAAAGAAACTATCATCAGAATGAGGAGACAACCTACAGAATGGGAGAAAATTTTTGCAATCCATCTGACAGGGGGCTAATATCCGGAATCCACAAGGAACTTAAACAAATTTACAAGAAAAAAAAACATCAAAAAGTGGGTGAAGGATATGAACAGACACTTCTCAAAAGAAGACATATATGTGGCCAAAAAACATATGAAGGAAAGCTCATCATCACTGGTCATTAGAGAAATGCAAATCAAAACCACAATGAGATACCATTTCACGTCAGTTAGAATGGCAATCATTAAAAAGTCAGGAAACAACAGATGCTGGAGAGGATGTGGAGAAATAGGAACGCTTTTATACTGTTGGTGGGAGTGTAAATTAGTTCAACCATTGTGGAAGACAGTGTGGTGATTTCTCAAGGATCTAGAACCAGAAATACCATTTGACCCATTAATCCCATTACTGGGTGTATACTCAAAGGATTATAATCATTCTACTATAAAGACACATGCACATGTATGTTTATTGCACCACTATTCACAATAGGGAAGAGCTGTAACCAACCCAAATGCCCATCAATGTTAGACTGGATAAAGAAAATGTGGCACAGCCAGGCGCCGTGGCTCACGCCTGTAATCCCAGCACTTTGGGAGGCCGAGGTGGGCGGATCACGAGGTCAGGAGATCGAGACCCTCCTGGCTAACACAGTGAAACCCCGTGTTAGATAATATTAGGAGAAATACTTACTGTAGATGATGGGTTGATGGGTGCAGCAAATCACCATGGCACATGGATACCTATGTAACAAACCTGCACATTCTGTACATGTAACCCAGAACTTAAAGTATGATAAAAATAAAAATAAAAAAAGATAAAAGAAAAAAAGAAGAGATTATGAAAAAAAGTTATATAGTAAAGGTAAAATTTTTAAAAACATCTGTGTATAAATCAATATATTTTAAAAATTATTAAAATGAATAATAGAATTGGAAAGAAGGTTGTAAATTATCTAGTCTATGCCTCTCATTTTATAAGTGAAGTCTAGAAAGATTGAATCGTCTAGGAACGCACACGAAGTTTACGGTTCAACAGGAGTAGTCTTCTGATTCCTGATCTATGTTTTCTTCTTCTTCTATAGAGAATGACTATGCTATTCCTATTTTTTATTGCATAGTTTTTCTCAATATATGCACTACTAGGTACTGTACCTAGTTGCTGGATGGTTACAAAAATATTAATGTAGACACATATATACCCACACCTTCCTATACACATACATATCAAGTCACGTTTGCAGACTACCTGGGAAAGAATCACCTATTTCTCTTGAAATTATTGAATTTCCAAACTGCTATCTTTTGTCTAGCTTTCATCTTTGTCATATAAAGAGTATTTGACATCTTCATTTATTTTTTTAAAAAAGGCTGGAAACATCATTTGAGATGATGATAGAAGAACAGTCATGTGCTGCCTAACAACCTTTCAGTCAACAACGAATTGTATAGTTGATGATGGTCTTATAAGTTTATAATAGTGTATTTTTACTGTGCCTTTTCCATGTTTAGATACACAAGTAGTTACCATTGTGTTACAGCTGCCTACAGTATTCAGTAGAGTAACATGCTATAGGGGGTTTGTAGCCTAGGAGCAATAGGCTATATATAATATTGCCTAGGTGTGTAGTAGGCTGTACCATCTAAGTTTGTGTAAGTACGTGTCATGATGTTTATACAATGACAAAATCACCTAATGATGTATTTCTTAGAATGTATCCCTGTTGTTAAGTGATGCATGACTGTAATTAACTCCAGCAAGAATCTTTGAATTCTAAATCTATAGATGTTAAAACTAGTGAATGAAAGTTTGAAGAATGGGATATTTTACGTCATCTCAAAGTATCTCTCTGTGAGATACTTATTATCTATAAAGTGAAAAACAGTCATGTGACAGTGGAGAAATATGGCAGATAACACCTTAAATAAGTGATGAAAATTAACATCATCAGGGATGGATAGATTGGTATCATGTTAACTCCTGACATGGTGCACTGAGCCATAATAATGGGATGAGTTTCATAAATTTTTTTTGCCTTTGTAAATTTTTGGAATCCCTTGGAATAAAAAATTCAGACTTTGTATCTTTTATGTCTGAGTCTACAAAGAAATTTATGGTGCTACTAGATCATTTTCAATGTGAGCACTTATTTTCCTTTGTAAATATTTTCTTATGTGGAAAATCTTGGTAACTTTGGTTTTATCCATGTAACTAAAAACACAAGAAAAATGTTTTTATTTATATTCAAGCAAGTAAATATTTGGTATTATTAAAATATAATTGAAAATATTTATAGAAACCTGAGATCTCAGACTTGAAGACAACATTTTCTTCAGAACAAGTAAACTTCAATTGGTCAGTGAGATGCACAATGCTGTTTTCTCATTATATCCTAAAGAAGAAACTAATGCCTGACTAGCAAGTTTGTTCAGTTAAAATATATTGTTAATGAGGCCAATGTTGTTACATACTGGAACTTGTAAGGGCATTATTTTGTTCTCTGGCTATACATGTAACATTGGCAAATTGGGTTGCAAATTTATGATTTTGGTTACTTGGGTGTCTAAGGAAGAGTCTGAAAGGTTTTTGAAAGAGGTTATAAATTTCTTTCCTTTGAATCATTCAGTTACCTTCACCTTAAAAACTTTTTTACTATTTCTTAGAAAATTATTTTAGTTGTATTGAAAAACATAAGCTGTTTATGGGCATCAATTTTTTTTTTTGTATTTTTAGTAGAGATGGGGTTTCATCATCTTAGCCAGGATGGTCTCGATCTCCTGACTTCGTGATCTGCCCGCCTCAGCCTCTCAAAGTGCTGGGATTACAGGCATGAGCCACCGCGCCTAGCTGGGCATCACTATTTTTTTTTAAAGGCAAGCATTAGCGTCTTTAGGATATATTGGGCAGTATTGCATGTGTGTGTGGATGATACATGTACATATGCATACATTTTACATACACGTGTATGTGTTTATATGGGAGAGAACATTAATTGTATGTCTAGAGTCTTAAGATTCAAAGGCAGTTCAAAGACAGCTAGCAATAGAACAAAAAGATTTCCATATGAGTAAGTATATAGTTTGTATAACAGATGTGTGGATTTTTTTAATTTTTAATTTTAATTTTAATTTTTTTAGAGACAGGGTCTCACTCTGTCACCCAGGCTGGAGTGCAGTGGTACGTTCACAACTCACTAGAGCCTTGACCTCCTAGGCTCAAGCAGTCCTCCTACCTCAGCCTCCCGAGTAGCTGCAATAGATGTTTTTTTAAAAAGCTATGAATAAATTGAACTTTGCAATATCATAATTTAAATGTACCAGGGAAATGTCACTGTTTCAAGATAGTATGAAATAGCATTGGTGACTGTGGCCTGTAAGTTATTTTTATGGTTCAAAAGAGTTTTGAAATTTACTTTTCTTAGCTGCTGGCAAACTTCTCTACTTATCTAATCTTCTACATATTCTTGACATGGAAAGGTCACCCTATTATATATATGTATATTTTGGAGACAAAGTCTCACTCTGTCGCCCTGGCTAGAGCGCAATGGCACAATCTCAGCTCACTGCAACCTCCGCCTCCTGGCTTCAACCAATTCTTGTGCCTCAGACTCCCGAGTTGCCGGGATTACAGATGTGTGCCACCATGCCTGGCTAATTTTTTCTATTTTTAGTAGAGACAGGGTTTCCCCATGTTGCCCAGGCCGGTCTCAAACGCCTGAGCTCAGGCAGTCCGACCACCTCGGCCTCCCAAAGTGCTATTACAGGTGTGAGCCACCATGCCTGGCCTCGCCTATAATATTGCCCTAGTATTGCTGTCTTTTTATTCATTCTGTGCCTCAGCTTCCTTCAGTAAAGCGAATTAGAGCCAGTTGTCTTGTAGGATTTGGTGATATATATAATTCTCTTTATAGCAAATTCCACTGACTAGAAAATTATTTTGCTTAGTATCTGAAAAAGACATTGAATTATAAGATTACATTTTAAAAATATGCAACATACTATATGAGATATCTATGCATTACATTGGAGATGTCAGCCTAAATTTTCAAATGCTAGTTATCATTTTTAAGCTCTTATTCATTTTTGACATTACAGATTTATTATTCCTAAATAAGGTTAAAATTATTAAATTTTTTAATTGCAGTATTGGCTTTTAGTTATTTTGAAGACTGTGTTGCATTAAAGTGTAACTTGATATGGAAGAGGGACTATTGCTACAAATAATTGAATTAGAAAGAAAACTGGAAATGCTTTCCTCTCTGGTTTTTCTTTCCTCTCTTTTCTTCACTACAGATTTATTTTTAAAGACCAGTTGCGTTTTCCCTGTTCCACTTTCGCGCATTTCATTCCTTCATTACTACAGACTATCTTCTGCCCATACTACCTCTTCCCTGATATCCCAACAAGATCACTATATCCTCTTAATTTCCATATTCAGTGAACAGTTTCCAGTAGTTCTCTTTCTTGGCCTTTCGGAAGCAACTTATACTACTGACTATTGATTCATTTCTTTTCTAAAATTCTATATGCTTTTGGCTTCTGGTCAGACAGTTCTTTCATGTTGTTTCTTTTTGGCCTTCCTTTGGCCTCCTCTTTCTCTTGAGGAGGAATGAAAACTATAAGATGTAATCGCTTGGTTGATATTCCACCTAAATTTGACACAACTACAGTAGTCACCCCTTATCTGAGGTTTTGCTTCTGTGGTTTCAGTTGCCCACAGTCAACCAGGGTCCAAAAATAGGTTAGTTACAGTATAATAAGATATTTTGAGAGAGGCCACATTCACTTAACTTTTATTACAGTATTTATTATTAATATAATTGTTTTATTGTATTATTAATTGTTGTTATTCTTTTGCAGTGCCTAAATTATAAATCAGACCTTATCATAGGTGTATTTGTATGGGAAAAAACATAGTATATGTAGGATTCGGTACTATCTGTAGTTTCAGGCATCCACTGGGGGCCTTGGAACATATTTCCCATCGATAGATAAGGGAGCGTGACTATAACCAGAAGTTATATATATAAAGTAGTTTTGTTGTCTTTATAAAAAAATCAATTCCTTTAAAAAGATTTCATTTACTCTCTTGGGTTAGGAAATAATTTTTCTTTCTAGGCCTATTTTCTACTATTACTTTGACATGAATTTGCATTTTCTTTCCTTTTGAGTAGTTTCAGTTAGTTTAGAATTTCAAGTAGTTTGAATTCCAAGGATTCGTGGAATATGTGAACTGAAATAACTCTGTTAAGGAAATTTATGTTGGATCTTTAAGTAAAATTTAGTGTAATTCCTAAAAAAAGATCTGTCATTTTATCTAATTGTTAGGGATGATTAAACTTGTTATTTTATATCTTTAACATATGTTTCTTTTAGCACAGAGCACTTTACTTAAAGTATTGTTCATCACTTTTCAGTGTGGAAATGCATCTTTTTTTCACTCAAAGCTTTGTTTTAAGCATTAAGATGCTTTTTTGAGATTTTCTTCAAATGTAGAACTTTGAAGTAGCTGAGTACTGTCACTTTTACTTCACACACAGGAATTCTTTAAATGGTTCTCTACAAATGGGCCTCTTTTCTTGGCCAGAAAACTTGTATTTACCTTTATTTTAAAGATGGGGATAACAGGAAATGCTTTATGAATAAGCATTCTACAATAATCAACAAAACTTGTTCAAACCAAAAATAGTGATCTATTTCCCAAGGAGGGTGAGCTTAATAAATCAGATAACTGGAGTTGAGAAGGGATAGTGGTGAGTCTGTTTGTAAACTTTGGGTTTCTGAATGTTAATTTTAAGCTTCCCTTTTAAAAGGCCAGGGTTTGTAGAGCTTATCCTGTCAGCAATATCCTGTGTCAATTGTCAGGTCATGTTTAGCATGTGGAGATGTATTAATCTGCCATAGCTAGCATTGTAAGAGGCTGGGATAAAGAGAGGGCTCAAGCAGATGAAGAGGGATTAACTGTGTGGATTGAGCAAACTCCTCAATCACTGAACCAGTGATTTTACAAAGGATTAGCTGCTGCTTTTACAAATATTGATTACTGATTTGCTACTCAGAATGGAGATGACATAACTTGTGCGGTTGCTGTGTAGTGCGCTATGTGAAGTGTACATCATTCATATTAATGGATTTGTCATAGCTATTATAGAAACTGACAGATTGATTATAGCAGCAGTTGCTAGAGCTGTTATGGTTAAGGTTGTGTCAGTATATCTATTAAAACTTCAGGATTTTAGAAGTTTATAGTATAGCCATAAAATTCATTTCCCCAGGTGGAATTTGGAATACTAGTTATTACCTGGCACAGTTATTTTTATGCATATTTTTACATCAGTTTGAAGACATTTAAGTTGACATAGAGCAAAAATACATTATTGTGTTATTTTTGTAATATCAACAAATTTAGATTCATTTCATTTCGGAAAATTTGTCATAAATGCCAGCTTTCTAAACAAGAACATGTCTAGTTCATGTGGACGTCCAAAAATCCGTTTGTATTTTTCCCAGATCAGGAATTGTTTTGAAGCCTTTGGCTATGTTTCTGTAAGCACATGGAGATTTTTGGAAAAGGTAGAAATATCTGGGTAATTAAAAGTTAATGGCTATTTTATTTTCACTTAGGTAACTTTTTATTACTCTAAAAATTTAGTAGCAAGAATTAGAATTATCTATATCAGAGAAAATATGTTCCTTTAATTTTTTTAAGAAATCATCTGTCTTGCAAATGTTTTCTTTATGTCACAACAGGAAAGCTTTTCAGTGAGTTGAGTTGTATCTTAAAGGGTAAGCTGAAAGCTTTCTAGGCAATGATAGTGGTGAGGAGTGGGTAAGTGGAGAAAGGTGAGGGAATAGCACATTTCAAGCAGAGTGAAAACTTGTGTGGGTACATGAGACTTGGACTATTTGAAGAATAGCCAGGTAGGTGAACATTCTCAAAGTAGTACCTTCATATATATTGGGAATATTGTTTTCAAATTGTATCATTGTACTATAAAACTATACTTGTATTGATTAAATTAAATTTTATAGATGAATGGGTGGCATTTTTCTGGCTATGATTTTAATAATATAAATCGACTTAAATTACTTAAAAGCCTATTTTTTGTTTTACAGTTTTAAAAATTGTATTATATAAAATTTTAAATGTATAGTACATGCTTATAACGAAGTTGTTCCCTCTCTGCAAAAGGAAAAAAAAAATTCCCTACACTCCCTAGAAGTAAGAACTGCTAACAGTTCTATGTGCCCTTCCAGACTTTTTTCCTGAGTTTTAAGAATACATATATGTGCTAGAAAAAACATGGAACCAGATATTTCTTAAATTTTAAAAAATAGTGTATCATGCTGGATGCAGTGGCTTACGCCCGTAATCCCAGCACTTTGGGAGGCCGAGGTGGGTGGATCATGAGGTCAGGAGATCGAGACCATCCTGGCTAACACGGTGAAACCCTGTCTCTATTAAAAATACAAAAAATTAGCCAGGCGTGGTGGCACGTGCCTGTAGTCCCAGCTACTTGGGAAGCTGAAGCAGGAGAATCACTTGAACCTGGGAGGCAGAGGTTGCAGTGAGCCAAGATTGCACCACTGCACTCCAGCCTGGGTGACAGAGCAAGACTCCATCTCAAAAAATGGCCATACTGGCATTTTTAAAAATAGATTCAATGCCATCCCCATCAAGCTACCAATGACTTTCTTCACAGAATTGGAAAAAACTACTTTAAAGTTCATATGGAACCAAAAAAGAGCCCGCATTGCCAAGTCAATCCTAAGCCAAAAGAACAAAGCTGGAGGCATCACGCTACCTGACTTCAAACTATACTACAAGGCTACAGTAACCAAAACAGCATGGTACTGGTACCAAAAACAGAGATATAGACCAATGGAACAGAACAGAGCGCTCAGAAATAATACCACACATCTGCAACCGTCTGATCTTTGACAAACCTGACAAAAACAAGAAATGGGGAAAGGATTCCCTATTTAATAAATGGTGCTGGGAAAACTGGCCAGCCATATGTAGAAAGCTGAAACTGGATCCCTTCCTTACACCTTGTACAAAAATTAATTCAAGATGGAGTAAAGACTTAAATGTTAGACCTAAAACCATAAAAACCCTAGAAGAAAACCTAGGCAATACCATTCAGGACATAGGCATGGGCAAGGACTTCATGTCTAAAACACCAAAAGCAATGGCAACAAAAGACAAAATTGACAAATGGGATCTAATTAAACTCAAGAGCTTCTGCACAGCAAAAGAAACTACCATCAGAGTGAACAGGCAACCTACAGAATGGGAGAAAATTTTTGCAATCTGCTCATCCGACAAAGGGCTAATATCCAGAATTTACAAAGAACTCAAATTCACAAGAAAAAAACAACCCCATCAAAAAGTGGGTGAAGGGTATGAACAGACACTTCTCAAAAGAAGACATTTATGCAGCCAGCACACACGTGAAAAAATGCTCATCATCACTGGCCATCAGAGAAATGCAAATCGAAACCACAATGAGATACCATCTCACACCAGTTAGAATGGTGATCATTAAAAAGTCAGGAAACTACAGGTGCTGGAGAGGATATGGAGAAATAGGAACACTTTTACACTGTTGGTGGGACTGTAAACTAGTTCAACCATTGTGGAAGACAGTGTGGTGATTCCTCAAGGATCTAGAACTAGAAATACCATTTGACTCAGCCATCCCATTACTGGGTATATACCCAAAGGATTATAAATCATGCTGCTATAAAGACACATGCACGTGTATGTTTATTGCGGCACTACTCACAATAGCAAAGACTTGGAACCAATGCAAATGTCCATCGATGATAGACTGGATTAAGAAAATGTGGCACATATATATACCATGGAATACTATGCAGCCATAAAAAAGGATGAGTTCATGTCCTTTGTAGGGACATGGATGAAGCTGGAAACCATCATTCTCAGCAAACTATCACAAGGACAAAAAACCAAACACCACATGTTCTCACTCATAGGTGAGAATTGAACAATGAGAACACTTGGACACAGGAAGGGGAACATCACACACCGGGACCTGTTGTGGGGCGGGAGGAGGTGGGAGGGATAGCATTAGGAGATATACCTAATGTAAATGATGAGTTAATGGGTGCAGCACACCAGCATGGCAGATGTTTACATATGTAACAAACCTGCACGTTGTGCACCTGTACCCGAACTTAAAGTATAATAAAAAAAATTAACAAAAAGTATTAAAAAAGTATATCACTATATATTAGTATACCACTTGTGTTTTTCAACCAAGTATCGTGGACATCTTTCTACATTAGTATATATCTTTCCATATTAATACACACAGATCTATAGCATTATTTAGAATGGCTTCATAATGTTCCTCTTGCTGGGCATTTTCCATCTTTCTGTTGTCACAAATGGTATATCAGTGAATATTCTGGCTTATACACCATCATGTAACAGCATTTTAATTTGTAGGGTAGATTCTTAGGAGTTGAATTATCAGGGTATTGTCAAATTTTCATCCACAAAGCTGTATTAAGCTATACTCCCCAAAACGGGGTGAGTGGAGATGCGAGTATCTCTTCTTGCCCTCCTCCCTGTTTGATATTCTTAATCTTTGCAGTTTTTGCCAGTCCTATAAGTTAAAAAGTAGTTTTTAGTGAGGTTTATTCATTTGTTTGTTCATTCAGCAAATTTAACAAACACTTCCTGTGTCCCAGGCACTAATCTAGGCCCTAGGGATACAGCAGTGAAGAGAAGACAGTTATGGTCTCTGGGCTGTTGGAACTTATATTCTAATGGAGGTGGGGAGAGCTCAGGAAACACTACAAATCAATAAACACTCATCTCTTTTCATGTTTATTAACCTTTGTACTTATTCCATAAATTACTGGGTTCATATCCTTTACCTGTTTTTCTATTGACCTGTTCACTTTTTTCTTATTAATTTGTAGTTCATTATCTATTGTGACATCCATGCAAATGTTTTCTCCTATAAATACACCTTGAATAAGTCATCATTTGACAAGTTAATGACTGTACCAGTTCTTATCCATGTATGGAATTATAACAGTATACCTGACTTCTTTGGTTGGTGAGAAAGAATTGGACTAAGTCTTAAATTTCCATATTTCAGCATCCTCTGAGGAATTCTTAAAAATTATTTTTGTATTTGTAAAAGTACATTAGAACCATGAGTCTTGTGTGAGACTTGAAGCTATCCAGGTGAAGGGGACTTAATTGAATTAATTTAATTGATAACTTGTTATCAATATTAAGGTAGATAAAACATATTTGTAAATTTTGTTTTTCAGTGAGAATGTACATCATGGTCTATTCAGACATGATTTAATTACAGCTGAATTCTTAGAGAAACATGTAATAGGATATCTTATTATAAGATCTTACCATATCTAAATTGACTAGGAATAACTTGTGTTATGCCATTTATTCATATGGAATTTTAGCGGGATGTGTATCTTTTGGATTTTAAGTCTTTTTCATATTTTCAAGAGGTCATTGTATATTTCACATATTTATGAGCAAACTACAGATTCAGAGTTCAGACCATTTTATTGCCCTAGCCTCCTCTGAGGTAACTTCCAGTGCCTTACAGGGCAAATGAGGGAGCACTGAACTGCTCTTGATGTGATGTTTAAGTGTGGCTGAACAGCACTGGTTGTTTACATGAAGTTACATCAGTTGTTGTGTGTTGTTAGCAATCGTTTTGTTCTGCTCAATATTCCATCAGTTTCTTTTTCAAAGTTTAATTTTGACGTTTCTAATTTGAACTAAATCATTAAAATTTCTTGGTGAAATTGTTCTGGTAATGACAACTCTTAGTTGGGAGAAAAAGAGACCATGTACGATTGGGCTATGTCAGCTCTGGCAGATCCTGCAGTGAGATAGCCCACACAGTGAACATATTAATGAATTGCCTTTTGATGTCTTGCTTATAGTAAATATCAGTTTCTATATTTGTCAGTTGGGTTTTTTTTTTTTTTTCACATCTTGAATACTTTTTGTGTGTGTGTGTGTGTGTGTGACGGAGTCTCACTGTGTTGCCCAGACTGGAGTTCTGTGGTGTGATCTTGGCTTGCTGCAACGTCTGCCTCCTGTATTCAAGCAATTCTCCCACCTCAGCCTCCAGAGTGGCTGGGATTGCAGGTGTACGCCACCACGCCCTGCTAATTTTTGTATTTTCAGTGGAGAAGGGGTTTCACCATCTTGGCTGGGTTGGTCTCAAACTCTTGACCTCAAGTGATCCACTCGCCTCAGCCTCCCAAAGTGCTGGAATGACAGACATGAGCCACCGTGCCCGGCTTACTTTTTTAAAAATATGCTAAAATCACATAGCTAAATAGGCACTTTTTATATTATACGTTCTGTCCCAATTTTCTTCCTTTTTATTATGTTTCTTCATGTTGGTGGTTATAAAGTTTAGAACTGAATGGGAGTGTTAGTAATTGTGAAAGTAGATATTAAGGTGGGATATAAATATAAGGATGACCTCTTTGTTCTTCATGTCTTACGGCTATCTTGCTTCTCATTCTTCTGTCTCCTCATTGGTTTCTTGAATCTCTTTATTAGTGGGGAATTGCACCTAATCATGAGCTTCTCAAAGGCAAGGACTGTAGCTGTACCTCTTGCTCCATCACAGTGCCTGGCACATAGTGGATGCTCGGTAACTGCCTGATGAATGAACCAACACATGCAGGCAACTGGCTGCTCAGTACTGCTTTTTATTATGACAGCCTCTCTTTCTCTCTCAAGACTACTGTGAAAGGTGTATTAAATGTTTACAAAATTGTTTTAATGACCCCAAAATTAGGTAGTTATAAATAAAAATCATTAGTTGCACTATCATTTATATTTTGGGGATTTTCCTTCTGTTTTCAGTGTGTACTGATTGCAGAACTGTGTTTTATCTGTATATTGATTTTTTTATTTTGCAGTGAACGTTAGCTTAGACCATATTTTACAAATCCTGTACACAAAACAAGGTTTTTAAATATACCATTCTGAGCCATATAGATGATTTTGTTTAAAATTATACTTCTACATTTGAAAGAAGTACCCTTGGTGATTTCCATGTGCACTCAAATTTCAGAACACTGCCTTATGATCCCCTTGCTCAAATTCCAGTGAAAAAGACACTCTTGTGACACACTATTTTAGCCTGATACTGTAAATACCACATGAATGTCTATGTCTGTCTCCCTGGCCAGTCTCACAAATGGCTGTTTACAGTTATTCCCCTTTGAAACTAGGTATCAGAAAAAGGATTAAGCATGTGGTATGCTTTTATTTCCATAGTAAGAAGAAAAACTGCTACACATTAACTGTTCTAATATTGAAATTGTAGTATGAATTCTCTAGTAATTTACTCAGTTATATGGATAACAATGCTTTATAATCCTTTCAGTTACCCAGGTGTACATATGATTACCAGTTCATACTGAAGAGTAGACTCAGGCATTTTATCATTCTCAGTAACATGTTGTTCTGTGGATATTTGGTGGATACAAAGTAGGTATATGCTTAAAATTTCACAGGCTGGAATTGTCCTGGCACTGAGTTAGAGCTTTATAGGCCAGTTGCTGATTTGTTTTTGTGTTAAGATGATCTTCATCCAGGTTTATGTCCCTGCAAAGTCATTAAACTTTGTAAATTGATAAATAAGTGTATTAATTTTACCCCCAGCCTGGCTGCTTGTTAAAGGATATGGCTCTTGACTTAAGCAGCAACATAAAAAGAGTTGTGTTACCTTCTTGCAGAGAATGGAGTTTTTCTTGAGATTTAATATTTACCAGAAGTCTGATCAAGGCAAACAGGATTTTGGAATGATTGTCTGAAAATTGTGCAGGGTGTCTGTTCCTATAGATACTCTATGATCTTATCCTTGAGTTTAACAAAGCTTTTGGGAGTTAGCTGTATACTTGGGCCTCCTCGTTTTGTATTCTGTAGAATTGCTTTTACTGAATTTCACTTTGGCATTAAGCTTTTGGCTCAATATGAATGATGTTATACAAAACAGCCCTATGAAACTTTTATTTTATATACTGTAAAAATGTTATTGAGGACATTGAGAACCATGGGAGAAATTTCTTTCCCATTTCAGTACCAGGAGCCAGAAATAGTTGTGTTTTCTTCCCTGAACAATGATATGTATTTATCTTATGGGCAATGGCTCATATAATTTATTGTATTTCTTGCTTCATGTTGGTTGTTATAAAGCTTATAAGTGAATTTTTGGCCCACTCCTCACAAGTGTAAATGACTTTGTAGTTCCAAGTTGTCTTCTGTTCCACCCTGACTTCTAATTTTGCCTTGATTTTAAAAAATATTGAAATAGTGACACAGAAAAGTTGCGAGAATAACACAAAGAGTTCCCATATACCTTTCACCCCAATTCTCCTAACATTAACATTTTTCTATACAGGTATTTGCTTTGTCACTCTGCCTCCTCCCTTTCCTTACCCTTCCTTTCTTCTCCATCTTCCATCCTCCCCCTCCCTCCCACCCTGTGTGTATACACACTGATAGCTCCTGTTTGCTTTTAATTTGCCTCTCCAAATGTATCTGTACAAATGCCTGGGAAATGCTTTTTGGGGGGAGAAGGAGGCAGTATATTACTAAATTAACAATAATAATAGATAAGAATGTATGAATTTCATATCTATATTGAAAAAAGAGTTATGGAAAAACCTCTTGTTTTAGGTGGAAGGAAAACAAATGGTGTGTGTGTCTGTAAGAGAGAGGGGAGAAAGATTGCATACACATGTGTTTTTAGGAAGATGCTTATAATACTTTAAACCAGAGTAGGTACTTTGAATGACAGAAGAGGGAAAATGCCAAGACTTCTTGATTTAAATAAAAAATTAGATAGTTTCCTTCTTAAATAGAAACAGGTATACTATTTACCTATGAAGACTAAAGCATTAAGAATGTTTGGGAACGTATTTGCGTTAGTAATCAAGCTCAATTTAGTAATCAAATAATCAGAGTAGGACTGTGAAATAGAGTGAGAGCCTTAATTCAGCAATTTACCTTCTGTTAATAAGTTAGTCATAAAATAATTTCATGTCTGATAGTTTTCAAACTACACATTTGTCACTTATTTTTCTTGTTTATTTATTCATATTAACCACCCCTCAATAATAAGGTTGTTTTGGGAGATGGGAATAGAATGACAACTGTTTATGTACCTGTTATTTTTCTTAAGACAAAAACAAAAACGTGTTTTATTATACTGTACAATGTAGAAGACATTATAACTCTGCATATTCCTATTTCAGATACTTAAGATATAATCTTATGTTATTAATGACTCTAAACTTTTTGTATACAGAATAGGAAAAATAAATTAATAAAAATGAGTTTAAAGAATATCACAAATTATAAAAATGTTACTTATAATCTGAAAATAATTTTAAAAATTTATACCTCAAAATCCACAACATAAAGCTGTTGCAAAAGTAAGTAAATCAATGAAAGAATTGTCCTATGGCCTATGTAAAGATAAAGCATAGTTGAGTGGAAAGAAGCTAAAGAATTCAATCTAAATTATATTCATTTCTTATTTCTATGCAGTTTGCTAGAGGAATCTGCATACAAAAGGAACCTCCTTTTCCTTCCATAAACATCATTTTCCCCATTACTAATTTGTTCCATGTTTGTGTATATGTGTTTTTAAACCAAAATGGAAGTATTTCAAATACATTCTTAAGAAGCAAAATTGACCCAAAATCTTACAGATGAAACAACACCCCACAATTTAAATGTATGGTATATTGGCCGTGTGCAGTGGCTCACACCTATAATCCTAGCACTTTGGGAGGCCAAGGTGGGTGGATCAGCTGAGGTCAGGAGTTTGAGACCAGCCTGGCCAACATGGTGAAACCCCATCTCTACTACAGATACAAAAATTAGTTGGGCATGGTAGCGCATGCCTGTAATCCCAGCTACTTGGGAGACTGAGACAGGGAAATCGTTGAACCTGGTGGTTGGAGGTTGCAGCGAGCCAAGATCACGCCACTGCACTCCATCCTGGGTGAAAGAGCAAGACTCCATCTCAAAAAAAAAAAAAAAAGTATGGTATATTAGGTATATCTATTAGGTATATTAGGTATATGGTATATATGGTATATTAAAATATATCATGTTACACTTAGGGAACTAACCTTAAATAATGGTAATTGCTTTAATGCCATAGAAAAGTAATTCAGTGATGTTGTCTGACACGGTTTCTATAGATGGCATTCATTTATTCCATCAGCAGTGGAACATAGCATTTCAGAAAATGGGCTTCTGGGCAAGTAGACTTAAGGTCCTTGCTCCACTTATTGTGTGTTATCTTGATTTCTGATTGGTAATATAGAGTTAGTAATACTTAACCTCTTAGGGTTATGTGATGATGACATGAGATGATGACTGGTGTCATCATCTTTACCTAACTCATGGTAAAGGCTCAATAAATGTTAACTGTTGCAGTGCTGTTATTTGTAATCATGCCACTGATAGTGCTTAAAAAACATATTTAAGCTTATAGTATGGAGATAATAGAAACAGTTGTGTTTGATACAGAGATAGCATAGGTAAGGAAGAAAGAAGTAGGACCTATTATTATTATTATTATTATTATTATTATTATTATTATTGTTATTATTTGAGACAGGGTCTCACTCTGTCACCCAGGCTGGAGTGCAGTGGCACTATCATATGCAGCCTTGAACTCCTGGACTCAAACTATCCTCCTGCCTTCTGAGTAGCTAGGACTACAGGTGTGAGTTACCATGCCTGGGTAATTAATACATTTTTTATAGAGATGGGGTGTTGCTGTGTTACCTAGGCTGTCTCGAACACCTGGCCTCAAGTGATCCTTCTGCCTCAGCCTCCCAAAGTGCTAGAATTACAGGTGTGAATCACTACCCCCAGCCGAGGACCTATTATTGTTATTGTTTAAATTTTATACATAATTGTTTGACTTTTAAGATGCCTTCAACAAATTTTCAGTGAAGTTGAGTTTATGTTTCCTAGTTTTCTATTTTGGGTAATATTTAGAAAAGAGCCTGGCGCATAATATAGACTAGTAAAATATTGTTTAATATATGAGTTAAGAACGTTCCTTTTCATTTATGCTAATCTTTATTATGTATAATCTTGTCAAATATGTGTTTATGCATCAGATTTGTTTTTGGCCAAATATCTGTAACCAGAAAGAAAGTCGTATGGTTAAAAGGTGTTTAACATTCATGTTTTTATTCTAGTGGTTTATATTTTCAGCCTCCTTTTTTTGTATGTGTATGGAACAATGGACTTGTGGCAAATTTGAGTTGCCTTTTAAAAATACTAGTAGTAATAAGAGACAACATTTCTTAAAGAGTTATCTTAAGTGCTATCCTACTACATCCCCACCATAGCTCTCCATAGTATGCCCTCCTATTATCTACATTGAAAGATTTGAAAACTAAAGCTTAATGAAATCAAGTGACTTGCTAAGTCACAGAGCTGGTAGCTATCCTGCAATCTGAATGTAAATCCAGGGTTTTGAACGTGATTCTAAAATGCAGTATCAGTTTGGGGGCACTTTTGTTGTGGAAAGAGATGCATTAAATTAAAACCCAGTTCATAATTGTATATATTTAATTTTATAATATTTAGAGTCTGAACATTTTGATATATTTAGAATTATATTTTTAACTTAAGGAGAATGTATTCCATTTTAAGCTTGCATCTCATTTTCTCAAAGTATGTATTATAGACTTTTTAAAAAGGCTATTATTTTTCAGAATTTAATGTTTTACTTGCTACAGAGCAGATGACTAAGATATAGGCAGATAAAGAGTTGCTGAGGAGTTACTTTATGTGGCAGGCAAAATTTGATTTAAATTTTTTATGTGGAATCTAAAGATCCCTTTACTAAAATAGAAAAACACAGAGGGTGCCCTATATTATAAATATATAAACTAGTAGTCTTGTCTCTAAAGTAAAACCTTACTTTTAAATGATTGATTCAGTATATTGATATGCTATCTTCCCCGGAAATAATTGAGAGATTCTTATAAGGTTTTCCACAAATTAATAACTCTAGAATTTTTAGATAAAAACCATATTTTAAAATTCTATAAGGAACAAGTTTAATATATTTTAACAATGTGATAACTAGTGGTTTATTGTTAGACCAACGAATCAGAAATCTTAAAGAGATTTTTTTCACATCTACTTTTATGAGAAAGGGACAGCAGTTCTATATTAAAGATTTATCTAAAGAAGCAGTCTTCAGATATGTAATAAGATAGTTCAGTTTCTGGTCGTATACTTAAATGTATGTTAAAGTAAAAGAAGCAGTTTTAAATGAGTGGAGAAGGATAATTGGACTCCGTGTCATATAATTCACATATACTATTCATCTGTGACTTTTTGAGCATTATTTTAATGGATGTTGGTGAACACAATTGATTTCAGATTTCATTATTCTGGAATCTTGCCATTAGAATTTTTCATAGTTTGGTAGATTTCTATGGAAATTAGTAGCAGCAAGAAAGAAAGGAAGGAAGAAAAAAAGGGAAAGGAGAGGAGAAGAGAGGAGAGGGAGGAGAAAGGGGAGCGGAGGGGAGGGAAGAGGGGGAAAAGGAAGGTGAGAAGAAGAGAAGGGAGGAGCAGGAGAGGAGAGGAGGAAGGAAGAGATGTAAAATAGAAGCTTTTGATTGGACTCTGAACAAATGCTTAATCTTTTGGATTATATTCATGAGCATATCTTACATGCATGTAGCTATGATATTAATAGTTACTGTCTTCTTTTGTTCTAAATAGACCTATTGAAGGCATAGTGAAAATTTCCACCCTAACTCCTTTAGAGTTAATAAAGGCAAATTTGAATTATCCTCATGGTTATTCCGTTTTTGCTTGGTAGCCTTCAAAATGGCCACTTTACAGAGGAGGGAGGAGATTAGCAGATGTTAAACCCTTGAGTTGTAACCTCTGCTTTTTCCCCAGTGTAGTCACATAGGCTGCTATATCAGTTTTTAAAGCCTTTTCCCCAAAGCATAACCCTCCTGAGAATTCTATGGTTCTACTAATTGAAAGTTGACCATCTTTATGTCAAAGCATGGTGTGAGCTTTTTTGTTTTTGTTTTTCTTAAAAGAAATATCATAATAGGCTTAGAGATCGCCAGTACTAGTATATTCATTGGTGAATCTCTTCTGAAGAAAGTAATAGTGCTACGATGAGAAAACAAGCTTTTTGAAAAGACTATGCTAAAGTAACACAATTAGTCCTCTTTTAGAGTTACGGCAGTGATTATTGTTTGAGGTGCCTGTTGAATATATAATATCTTCCTTTTGCTACTAAAAATACTGATAAACAGATTTGAAATTCCAAATTTCCCACATGGAGGGAAGAATTATTCAAATATGAAAAATATTTAATTTATGTATTTATTTCTCTCATACATATTCCAGGCCAAGGTTCTAGCTGAATATTAAACCTTTTAAATGACATAAAATAGTTCTATGCTAGATGTAAAAGAAGTTACTAGTTGTTCTACAAAAAATATGTTGTGAGCAATTTCCACATTTGATATAATTGAAACTTCAATCTAATCTTGGACCTTGGCCATTTGCTACTGAAAGTACAAGAAAAATAGTAGTGTGGATATATTTCATGAAGTCCTGGAATTAGGAGGGCTTTGGAGATGATTGAACCTATTTTTTTCAGGTTTTAAAAGAAGAAATTGAGTCCAGAGAGGCTCAGTGACATGTTTAAGGTAAAAAAAAAAAAAAAAAAAGGTATGGAACTGAGATCACATTACAGACTTCTTTAACCTGTGCCATGGATTTCGAAGTCAGTATCAATGTACAGCTAAGCTTCTGGATATGTGCCACACCACTAAAATATTTTATTTAATATTTATATCCAAGTTAAGTGTAGGTTTCTCTCCTTTGTTGGTGCATAGTCTTATTTTGTTTTGGTTCTTTGTTTACTTTGCAGATATGCTAGTGAATTTTTATACTTAAAACCTATTAGAATAAGAAACAAAGTGTCTGCATCCCTGCATCTTTGTATCTATTACATAATTTCTAGAAACAGGGAAAATAGCTTCTAAGTTTATGTGTGCAATTATAAAGTAAAGTGTAATTAAACTGCACTTGTGGAATGATGAGTTCTGAGTCAGTCACAGCTCTGGGAACAGAGGCTTTTTAATGGACTATTTCCTAAAGCTAAGTACTAAATGTACCCTTCAACCAAAAATGTCACTAAGATAGTGGACCTCAACTGGAAGGATAGTGGAAGCAAAACAGAAAGCATTTCTCCACCTTTATACAAAATTACAGTGCATTGGGATTATATCGGTATTATGACATACTGGCACCTGAAAATGTATGTTCATTCTGTTTATCACTTCTTAAGAAAAATGAACTAGAACTGGAGAAGCTAATCTAGATAATAAAATAACCACTAGTGGATAGGTGAGAGTATCACCTTCATGAAATGAGATAATATTTTTGGAGAATCAAAGCCTAATATATGTTTCAAATATAAAGCAATCATTAAGTGGGTAAATACTTTTTTTAAAAAATGGGTCTATTATCCAGGCATGGTGGCTCATGCCTATAATACCAGCACTTTGGGAGGCCAAGGCAGGCAGATCACTTGATCCCAGTAATTTGAGATCAGCCTGGGCAACATGGCGAAACCTTGCCTCTACAGAACATACAAAAATTAGCCAGGCATGGTGTTGTGTACCTATAATCCCAGCTACTCAGGAGGCTGAGGTGGGAGGATCGCTTGAGCCCAGAAGGCAGAGGCTGCAGTAACAAAATCATGCCACTGCACTCCAGCCTGGGCTGCATTTTTGGTAGTTTACTACATGAGTTTAGAAGAGATAAAACGAAGCTCTATCTCCCCCCAGGAGGTGGCCAATTTATGGAACTCAGTATCCCAACTATTAGGTGAAAATGAATAATTTTAAAAGGTTTAGATAAACTTGTAGATGCTTTATTTATTTGAATTGTCAGGAAAAAAGATATGGTTGTATGGTTGAGAAGTTTATTCTTTACTTTTTGGAGTTCAGGGAAAACTCACATCATGTGGTGACACAGAATATTTGACTAAATGGACCAACATCTTGACTCAGAGTGAAAATTCTTAGGAATAACAACAGTCTTTTAAAAAGTATCTTTCCTTTCTTTTCCAATATAAGGGAAAAGGAAACTTTAGTCGGGTAGGTGGTAGGAAAAATTACCCTATGTGAAAGCTTGGTGTTCATGTTGAAAACTATATAAATGCCAACTAGAAAAGGGAAAATTGAAGGGGGCAAAAGGTGAAGCTCAGAAACCTAGTCGTAATTTTGCATAAAGTCTAGATTAAACAACCAAAAAAGTGTGAACATATTAGTGTAATGAAGCCAATAATATGATGAATTATTGATGATAAAATAGTAAAAATAAGGCTTTGGATTCCTTAGAAGTCTAGCATTTAAATTGATCACCAAAGTTGCATATCAAAAAATAAAAATGATAATAAAAACATGTCTATTTTGAAAATGTCTCTGAGTCATTGCACTTTGGTAATGATGTCTTATATTGTCTTAGAAAAATTAATGCATTTAAAGAGGTATCAGACTGGGATATAGTGTGTGTGTGTGTTTGTGTGTGTGTGTGTATGTGTAACATGTATCAGGGAGGAGTCTATTAGGAGACACATCAATGTTAGGGAAGACCCTGGAATATAGTGTATTGAGGCACCCAATACTGGACAAAATTGTGAATCAACATTTGTTCATTTAGATTTGAGAAATCTAAATAAAAAAGAAAGGACCATTAGATCTCCCATTCTCCTCAACTCTAGCTCTTTCTCTCTCTCCCCCAACTCTAACTCTCTCTCACCCCCATTCCCTTGCCTACTCAAGGGACTTGCGTGCTGTTCTAGGCCTTGTCTTCTGAGTGAAGCTTCTGTGATCTAGACACATTTTTCTACTTTTCTTTGTCCTAAATACAGTAATGCAATTGTCTACCCTGTTAATGCCAAGACTGGGTTTAGACCTGACCAACCTAACACCTGAAATGTCACTAAGTGATACTTCCTACCACAGACTTCATATTTTTCTCTGAAATTGAAGTAACTACTATTTTTCATTTTGAAATAATTATTTTTAATTGTTAACACTTTTTAAAAGATAAAACTTATTTCTTAAGTATATTACAGGCATTTAAACATTCCAGTGTTTTTCATCCTAGATTCAAGAAAAAAAAAGATAAAGTAATAGTTTAATAAAATCACCAGGAGTGGGTAATACCTTAGTTTTAAGGTAATTTGTTATCAATTTGTATACTTTGTATCTCTTCTCTGCTTTTGAAATTCTAGTATCCATACTTGAAGCTTGCTGTACTATGTCTACAATATACACCATTTGTTTTTAAAGCAAAAGCTTTAAGGCACATTCTAGAATTCTTGAGTTATCTTTTAGAATCAGTTACCTTATGAATAAAATATCAACCTAACTATAGGGAAATTTGGATTTCACTATTGCCTTTTTCCCTGAATTGCTGGGAATATAGGCACTTGATACTTGTTTATTTGAATTCATTGTGACCTTGTTACCATTTTGAATGCTTCAGATTCTCAAATTGCATGCTGGAAGAAGACCCATTCCTTGCTTAGTTGTCCTTGTAGGGTGTCGATTTTAATGTCTAATATTTTGAGCTGCTTTAGAAAAGTAGGTTTATCATATAAGAAATACGTACTCATTTTATAAAAAGAAAACTAGTCTTTCTCAGTATATACCTTACTTTTTCGGGCACTGAAAGTTTGTGGCCACTTAAGCAAGCCCATATAATAAATTCCTGTAGCATAGTCTAGTCCCTAACATATGGGTTAATTTTTGTTCTCCCCTTAGGATATACTTTTTTCATTAACCACTTTCATTTAAGTAAAGGGAAATCTTTTAACTGCTTTAGAAGTAGCTACAATGCTTAACTTGTATAGTTGCTGAATCATGCTTTTTCCTGTATTTCATTTCTGATTAACTTTCTCTGAGCAACATAGTCTTACGTTTACATTAGCATCCATTCACTTGAACTAGTAGTTACAGTTATAGTAACATATAACAATATTTAACTGTAATAGGTAATGAAAGCTAACGTTTACTGAATGCCTACTATGTGCAAAGGACTAAGACCCAGTGCAAAACTTTTTTTTAGGACAAGGTTTGAATTTTAATAGTGAAGCTGAGAATGTGATTGTGAATTCACCAGAATGTTGTATAATTGACTGTTCCATAGTGAGATAACGTAATTGCGGTGTATGGCAAACATGTGGCAGCTCTTTGTTGTTGCCTGGCAGATAGGCTTACATTAGCCTTAATTTCCTTTTCTTCATGTATCATTATGCATGTATTTTTATAGTCTTGTTTCTTTGTACCAATCTAAATCTTCCTAAATGTCAATAGCGTTAATCGTTGTAGGTATAGTGATATGAGGTCTAAATGATATGAGAATTCATATTTTTTTAAAAGGAAATTACTACTTTTTTATATATTATAACAGATTTTCCATCCCTGCCATCAGAAAGTATTGTCCATATGCTCATGATGATATACAAACCAAATGGTTCTTCTGAAAATTTAAAAATCTAAAGTGTTTACAGGGATTGCTATTAGTGTACTTTTGTGTTTTAAAGAATTCATATGGCTATTAAGCAAATCCTGGATATTGGACAAACAGCAATAAAGGTTTAGAAAAATGAAATTTCAGTTAAAAAAAATGTACTCCCCCACTCCCCAGGGAAGAAATCAAAGATTTTATATTAGAAACATGAATTTAGAATTCAGAACAAGTATTGCTTATGACATCAAATTTTATTGTGATGTATCAGGTGGAAATTTAGTCAACACTTTTCTTAAAGCAAAAGACTCAGGCTATGTGTATATTGAACGCTAGTAAATTCTAATTTCCCTTCTCCTTTTCCTTTTCCCCCACTTCCTCTCCCCTCTCCCTTCTTCCCATCTCTCTCTGTCTCCTTTTTGACCAGTAACATTTTAGAGTTGAAAGCTATGCTAAAGGTACCCATTTCTTTTCAGAATAATTTAACTTTTCTTAAGATTTTGTGAGCATCCATTCCTTATGTAAAGAGCATTTATTATGCCCAATGGAAGTGAGAGGGTTGTGGGACTACCCCTTAATGAGACCAGATCATTCCACAATTATCCACTTTAGATTAGTGGTTCACCAGGACTTGTTTACAGAGATAAGATTTCTGTTTGTAATTTTTGTTTTATGTACAAAATCCTATAATAAATAATTTATACCTTTATATGTACCAAGTTTATTTTGAAAAAAACTGGATACATTTATTGAACAGCTATTAAAATATGTACACTGACTTTCCCTAAAATTTCATATACATTTCAAAATCAGGGCTCTATTTTAAATATGTTTTAATGATACTGTGTGGTGTTTACTGGGTGAAGTTGATCCACCAAGGAGCTGAAATTAGTGCTCTAATTTTAAGCTTTATTTCTTAAGAAAAAATATCCATGACTTTATCACTACTGTGATCCCCATGGTATTAAAAAAAAAAACTGGTAAAATTAGGTGATGAGTTTGTAAATAATAAACTTCCTATCAAACCCATTCTTTTTTTTAATTTTTAATTTTTGTGGGTACACAATAGGCAAATTTATGGGCATATTGTATGTTTTGATACAGGCATACAATGCATGATAATCACATCAGGATAAATGAGGTATCCATCACCTCAACCATTTATTCTTTCTCTGTTACAAAGAATCCAATTATATTTGTTTAGTTATTTCATTTTATTAATTTATTTATTTATTTATTTATTTATTTATTTATTTATTTAGAGACAGGGTCTCACTCTATTACCCAGGCTGGAGCGCAGTGGCACAATCATGGCTCACTGCAGCCTTGACCTCTTGGGGGATCCTCCCACCTCAGACCCCCTTCCCCCCACCTCTACCCTCCTCCTCCACTGGCTGGGACTGCAGGCGCGTATACCACTACACCCAGTTATTTTTAAATTTTTCGTAGAGATGGGGGTCTCACTGTGTTACCCAAGCTGGTGTCAAACTCCTGGGCTCAAGCGACCCTCCTTCCTTAGCCTCCCAAAGTGCTGGGATTGTAGGCATGAGCCATTGCACCCGGCCACTTAGTTATTTTTAAATGTACAATAAATTATTGTTGACTATAGTCACTCTGTTGTGCTATCAAATACTAGATCTTATTCATTCTAATTACATGTTTGTACTCAAACACATTTTCTATCCTAAGTTGTACTGAAACTATTTCCACTGGATGTATTCCATACAAACTTTCTTTTGATTGGTTGTTTTCACTTGCTAGAGTTCTAGTAAAATGCTGAGGATAACTATTATATTTCTTTTCTTTTCTGTTTTCGTTTTTTTCTCTTTTTTTTCCCAGGCTGGATTGCAATGGCGTGATCTTGGCTCACTGCAACCTCTGCCTCCTGGGTTCGAGTGATTCTCCTGCGTCAGCTCCCAAGTAGCTGGGATTACAGGCACCCGCCACCATGCCTGGCTAATTTCTTTTGTAGTTTTAGTAGAGACCAGGTTTCACTGTGTTGGCCAGGCTGGTCTCGAACTCCTGTCCTCAAGTGATCCACCCGCCTCGGCCTCCAAAAGTGCTGGGATTACAAGCGTGAGCCACTGCGCCCGGCAGATAACTATTATATTTCTAATGAAGTTTATAAAAATATTGAACACTTGTAAAATTGAGTAACCTATAATCCATGACCGTGAATATACAATTTCTAATCAACTTAACTTTTGCTTGATTTAAAAACTTTTTTTAGGGATCCAGTATTTGTTTATAATAGTTTTATCAGATCTGTCTAGTTTTAGACTCTTAAATGCCCTATAAAAACCTAAAGCATACTCACTCAGTGGAATGTCCATAACATTTCTCTGAATACAAACACAGAGAATATTTGCTGTGGGCTCAGAGAAACAAGTTTCAGCATTTGATTCGGAAAAGCATTTTATGTTTTACTTGGTAGGAATAGGGATTATGCAGGAAAGAGTCAATATGTATTGAAATTTTTAAAGAGTTAATTCAATATAAATATAACGAAGCTATGATTTATTTGAAATTCTTAACCTCTCTTTCAGGGATTTATTGCATTTATTTATAATAGTTTCTCAGTCCTGTATTTTGGGAGGCTATAATAACATATAGGAGTACAGAACTTTTTTTTTTTTTTTTTTTTTTTTACTTTTGAGACTTTTAGGAGGAATAGAGGGGATTAATCTAGGGAATGGATCTGAAACAAAGCTAATAGACTTAGATTTAAACAATTTCAGTAATTAAAAGCACACTGAATCTAATGAGATCTGGCACTTGTTTATTCTGAAATGGATTACCCACTGCTTTTTTTTTTCTCTCCCCAACTTCTCATAGGAGCCCAGTTTCCTCCAATTGCAGCACAAGACCTTCCTTTTGTTCTAAAGGCTGGCTACCTTGAAAAACGCAGAAAAGGTAAACTGAAGGTTCTAATGAAAAATGTAAAAATAATTTCATCCTTAGATAGAACATGTTTGTAGTATACATGTGGAGGCAGTATTCGTTTTAGGTGATTAAAGAGTTTAAAGATTGTAAGAAAATCTGGATGACATTATCCAAACCACAAAATATAGCTCTTAGCTTTAAATAATTTTTAATAAGAAAACATTAGGTTAGGTTTTTAGTTGTCAACCTTGGTTATTTGTAAATGATTCAGGAGCTGTTTCCTGCCTCTCAAAGGAAAGCTGCAGGCCATGACTGTATTCTCAAAGGTGGGATTTCTCACCAGTATCTCAATGGGCTGAGCAGCAGGTTCTCCTATGCCCAAACTGGCATGCACCATGGTTCAGATCAAGCCTGGAGTTTTGTCTGCCATTGTCTATTATTCATTTCAGTGTTCCTCTCCATTGGCTATGATAATTGGGAGTTGACCATATGGTCTCACTCTTTCAACACCAATATTTAATGGAAATGAAATATGGAGGTGGTTTTATAATATGAGAAATGAAAAGCAGACAGTCTTTTCATTACCATTCTGCTTATCTCTCTTGTAGTCCCTTTAGGCCTTTCTATTTATATTTCATTTTGCTTTTCTTAGCTTTCTTAGCTGAATTTTAAAACTGAAAGAGATAACAGAAATAATCTAGGTTAGCTCCTCCCCTTCTTTTTATAACAGATGAGAAAATGAGACCCAGATGGATCAATTATCTCAAGACTGTATAGTCAGATACCTTTTTGACTGTCCCTGTCAGAAAACTTTGTTAGCCATGCTGTTGATCCCATAAGTATGGCAGCCCCATAGCTACTTTACTTTATTCCCTTTAGCTGTGTTGGTTTGTTGTTGTTTGGTTTTTTGTCTCTTGGAAAAGAAGATACAAATTAGTCACACAATGTTAGAGCTCAGAGGAATCTTAGAAATCATATTAATTAACTTTTTCTTTTACAGTAAGGAAATGGCCTTACATTTTCCCCTCTTTATTGCAGATCACAGCTTTCTGGGATTTGAATGGCAGAAACGGTGGTGTGCTCTCAGTAAAACGGTATTCTATTATTATGGAAGTGATAAAGGTAATGTTGGTGTTCAATTATATCAACTACTATTGCAAAAGAATTTTTGGCCATCCCTTCCCCCTCTTTTGAGTACAGAGTAAACTGAAGACAAACTAATAATAACTGAGAATTATAACAATTATAATCTGACTAATTTATGATTCATTTCATTATTTGACAAATGCTCCAAATACCAGAATACCCTCAGAGCTAAAACAATTGTGTTGTATTGAATTAGAAAAGAGAGTAAAATAACTTTAATCTGTGTGGCCTTTCACCTTAGGGAATATTTATTATCCAGCCTACTGTTGTAGAATTTCTGGAAAAGTTAAGAACATAGGGTTGTGAGAGTTTCAATGGCAGAAAATAGATTATTTTTCTTAAATATTTTAAAATAAAATTAGATAAAATTAAATACGAACAGCACCTTTCTGAGCTCCCTTTACAGATTTAAGGAATAACAGCAAACGTGTACATAGAATTTACTATATACTGGGCACCGTTCTAAGCACTTTGTCTAAGTACGTTAGCTATGTTAACTTGTTTAGCTCACAACAACTCTGTAAGTACTATTATTAGCACCATTAATTTGACTTTTAGGAAAACTGAGAACAGAGAGGTTAAGTGACTTGTTCAAGGTCACAGAGTTGGAAAATGGCAGATCTAGGAATTTGTTTTTCCTTTGTTTTTAGAAACAGGGTCTTGTCTCGGTGCCTAGGCTGGAGAGCTGTGACTGTTCACAGGTGTAGTCATCACACCCTGCAGCCTCAAACTCCTGGGCTCAAGTGATCTTCCTGTCTCAGTCTCCCAGGTAGCTGGGATTACAGGTGCACACCGCTGTACCCAGCTCAAATTTGGGATTTTAACCTAGAGAATATGGTTAGAGTCCATGTTCTCAACCACTATTGTCACTACATTAATTTAGAAATAATAGGATACATTTTATAACTTCATTGTTAATTAATAAATCTCTCAGTTGTAGTTCACATAATTTTAAGATTGTTATTTGAACAAATAAAGCCACCAAATAATGAAATTTAAAGATTGTAAGCTTTCTGAGTTTTGTTTTATTCTGGGGAAAACAGGCTAGGAGTTGAATATTATAAAGTAAAGGTTGTATCAAAATAGATAATGTTCATTTCCAGAAAGGACACTTTAAGAAGAAAAAGGCAAAAGTATCACTGAATGTAAGCTTTCCTATGGAATTGTTATCAGTGTTGTTTGGAAATTTATGTTTTATTTGACATTATTTATAGTTTTTAGAGTTTTTTCCCCCATTCTAAAAACATACAGGTAAGATTGTCATATTTCAGATAAGTCTGAAATACTTACATAATGCTGGAAGTTGTTCTTACCTTTTGGCTAATGAGATTAACAAATTAATTAATTTAGTAGCTAGTTTGCATTCCATCACTAATTTACAGTATGTTCAGATGTAGTAATGGCATCAGTGAAGTGTAAACTGTAAACAGCTATAAACAAGCATCTTTCTTCTGCTAAGGGTCAGTAGTGAAGTAGGTCAGAAAATTTAGAGTCCAAGTTCAGTTACGATTATCACAGATCATAGAAATATAGTTTTGTATGATATTGTGAATTTAGATCGAGATACTACCTTCCACAAAATATCCTCTTTTTCACCAGACCAGGGGAGGGAGGTTTCAGATCCTTGTGACTTTGATTCAATTAGGCTTCTCATTTCTAATTTCTTTAAGAATCAATGAATACTAATGTCAGTGTTTCCTCCATTTCTAGTCCTGACTGGCATATAACAATGGTTAGGTCAAAGATTAGCAAGAGTTTCCCCAAAACCCAAAGCGTGTTAATATTTACTTCAAACACTAATATATTCAATGAAAACATTTTAGTTAGAGTTATTTAGATATTAGTTACATTCCTTTTTTTTTTTTTCTTTTTAGAGATGCGGGGGCCTCACTCTGTCACCCAAGCTGGAGTGCAGTGGTGCCATCATAGCTTACTGCAATCTTGAATTCCTGAGTTCATTTTTATTCTTATTTGATGAGACCTAATGGTAGTAACATTGTTTGTAATTTGCATTTTAACTACTTTGTGATCCATTTAGCCCTTTCTGTCATTTCTGTTACTGGAAGGGGGTCTTGATCCAGACCCCAGGAGAGGGTTCTTGGATCTCATGCAAGAAAGAATTTGAGGCCAATCCGTAGAGGGAAGTGAAAGCAAGTTTATTAAGAAAGTAAAGAAACAAAAGAATCACTACTCCATAGGCAAAGCAGAGCATAGGCTGCTCAGCTGCTTACACTTATTGTTACTTCTTGATTATATGCTAAACAGGCAGTGGATTATTCATGAGTTTTCCTGAACTGGGGTTGGCAATTCTCAGAACTGAGGGTTTCTCCCCCTTTTTAAGCCATATAGGGTAACTTCCTGATGTTGCCATGGCATTTGTAAACTATCATGGCACTGGTAGGAGTGTCTTTTAGCATGCTAATGCGTTATAATTAGCATATAATGAGCAGTGAGGAAAACCAAAGGTCATTTTCATCACCATCTTGATTTTGGTGGGTTTTGGCCAGTTGCTTTCCTGCATCCTTTTATCAGCAAGGTCTTTGTGATCTGTACCTTGTGCCAACCTCCTATCTCATCATGTGACTAAGAATGCCTAACCTCCTGGGAATGCAGCCCCCATAGGTCAAAGCCTTATTTTACTCAGCCCCTATTCAAGACGGAGTTGCTCTGGTTTAAAAGCCTCTGACACTTCCACTTTAAAAAAATTACCATTTTAGCATTCCTTTTTCATGTTGATGTCTGAAGATGTGGCTTGTGTTTCCTTAAATTTTTCCCTTTTACTTTGCAGCCTCCTGTTTCCAGTGAAATTTTAGATTTGTTTCTTGTGGTTCTTTTTTCTATTGGCGGTTTCATTCGAAATTTTTAGCCAGTTCCTCTCTTTTAAGGGACTCCAAAAAAAGATCTGTCTTTAGACAGTTTTTAATTACTTGTTTGGCATGATCCCGATTTCCTTCCTTTATATCTTTTTCTTACCAGGAAAATATGTCAAATAATTTTTTTCTTTTGTGAAATTAGATATGATTTTTTATAGCCTTGTTTACTGTATGTGTGAACCATTTACCTAATGGGAAGAACTCATATCTAGCTATATGAGAACTATAATCCTCCAACTAAGTAGGATTTAGATAAATGGATTATAGAGGCACAGAAGGAGTTGACACCACTTACTAGGTTAAACTGTGCTTTGTTACTGTTTGACAGATACATAGTTCACATTTTCTACCATATTGCGTGTGCCAAAAAACATATTGACCTATCAAGATAGGAGTGGCTTAGAAAGAGTAGTTCCAACCTGTTGGGTAAATAATGCACTTACCATTGTACCAATAAATATTGTCTGTATTTATTATTTATAGCCATTTGGGACCCTTAAGTAACAAATACATATAGTATGTATTTTAACACCTTATGAAATCTTATTCATCCTTTCATATCCTTCCTTTTCCTTTGATTGTCGTGAGTCTTATTCATCAAAATTCTTAGGTCCTAGATGTTCAGATGTCCTTCAAGTCATTCATTCATTCATTCACTTACTCATTCTTTTTCTAAATTTGATAAATATTTTTTCAGGCACTTGTTAGCTAGTAGGCACTGAGGATCCAAAGATCCTTAGAGGTGCTCACAGTTTGGGTTTTGTGGATATCAGTGAGAGAGGGAAGGATGCTGTGGGGTTGGAGGAGGGAGCTGGGCAGGTAAACTGACCATTTCAATGCAGTACAGTAAGTAATTTAAATAAGGTATCTTTGGATCACAAAGGAGGGAAACTAATTGCCTAGGGAAGTTAGGGAAGATGTCCTGGTGGAGAGAACACTTCATTGGGCCTGAAAGAATGAGTAGGAGTTTGTTGGTTGAATGCTATGGTGTGAATGTATGTGTACCTCCAAAATTCATATGTTGGAAATTAACTCCCAAGGATATTGTATTAAGAGCTGGGGCTTTTGGGAGGTGATTAAGGCATGAGGGCTTTACCCTCAAGAATGGGATATGTCTCTATAAAAAAGGCTAGAGAGAGCTGTGGAACCCCTCTCTTGCCTTTCCGCCATGTGACGGTACAGCATTCAACTCTTCTGGGGGATGCAGCAACAAGGTGGCATCTTGAAGCAGAGAGCAGCCCTCACTAGGCACTGACCCTGCTGGTGCCTTGATCTTGGACTTCCCAGCTCCCAGAACTGTGAGAAATAAATTTCTATTGTTTATAAATTTCCCAGTTTTGGGTATTATAGCAGCATAAACAGACTAAGACAGGGAAGAAGGGTAAAATGGGCTTTCCAGGTAAGGGAATAGCAGAGATTCTGAGTTGTGAAAGACTGTGGATGGGATCAAAAATGGAATGAAGGCTGGAGCTTAGAATGAGTGAGGGGAGGGAGCACGTAAGGCTAAATAAGTGGATTAGACCAGGTTGGTAAGAACCTTCTGAGAATAAGGGCCTTGCTAAAGATTTTATTTTGAATATGACCTTTAAGCAGAGGATTGTATGACCAGATTTGGTTTTTAGGAAGTAATTGTAATAGGATGATGGAGAATGGATTGGGATGGATAGAGTCTGGGTCAACAGGACCATTTAGCAGGACTTCGAAGTAGTCTAAACAAGAGAGGTCAACACAGGGCTGTTGAGAGGCAGAGCGAGGATTTAATGCAGATCTCTCTGCCTCCAAAGTTATGCTTTTTCTACAACTTGATGATTATTACCAACCCCTCCAAGGTGCCCATAAGTGGTGGACCATTTAGGAACCTGTTCTAAACTATTGTGTGTTTTTTCCCTTTTTTCTGTTTATCTTCTATATGATCTTGAATCAACATTATGATATGAACCTAGTCTCTCCCCATTTTTAAGGAGGGGATTGTCAGTTCTTAGTACCTCCTCTCAGGGCTTTTGCTGAAACCTGATTAAAGAATACACTAGCACCGTCTAGTAAATGGGAGCTACAAGTAGCCCTGATCTACAAAGTCATTCAAAGGTTATTTCTTACATCATATGGTTTTAATTTTTTCATTGTAATATCTTTTCAATATATAATAAAAGTCCGTAGAAAATTGGGCTTAATATGGAGAATTTAAGATAACAAAATTTCAGAACTTGGCAGAGAAATAAAATTTTTCATTGAAATTTACCTCCCTGCTCTCCCCTTCTCCACAACTTCACCGTTGATAGGAAAAAAAGAGGACATATATGTTCTCTTTGAAGTTTGAAAATTATAAAATATATTTTGATGTTGAAAAAGCATCATATTTCTCTTTTAATATTGTTTTGAATATGTTAAAGTGACAGTACTTATATTTGTATAATTAAAAGTTCTGTTGTTTTGTAACAACAACTTAATAGAAAGCCATAAAAGCTTACCTTTTTTCTTCTGATTCATTTGACAGAAACAAATTCTGTCATTTTATAATTGTAATTATATAATTTTATAATTATATCAAGATGATATATATTAAATGTGTAAGTGAATTCTGATATTTAAAAAATTTAAATTGCAATTCTGTTTCCATCTGGTATGTGAAGGATATCTTTATTCCTTAAGAAATAGGAACCATTAATTCTACTTTTATCAGAAATTATTACAATTTTATAGACTTTTGGGTCTTTGATATGAAAGTATTAACTTTAAAACTTATCACAATAAACTTTTTTTTTTTTTTGAGACGGGGTCTCGCTCTGTTGCCCAGGCCAGAGTGCAGTGGCATGATCTCAGCACACTGCAACCTCCGCCTCCCGGGTTCAAGCGATTCTTCTGCCTCAGCCTCCTGAGTAGCTGGGATTACAAACATTAAATTAAAGCTATGCCTTTATTTTCTGCCTTTATGGCTAAGAGACTCTCTAACAGTATATAGAAGTTAAAATGTACATCTGATGTTTAGTAGGATTTCATCAACATGCAGAAATAGTCAGGTACAAACCAAGTTTTACTAAGGGTCTGATGACCACGAATGTTGTTGGTTTGATATCTAGTCTCACTTCTACACAAAACCCCAGAGATATATTTCAAGTGGCTGATTTAGCATTGGCATCTGCAAGCTGTATAAACCAAAGGAGAATGTTCATATATCTTTAACTGAGGAGCTGGAACATCTTGCTAGTCAGTTTGATAAAATTTAGTGGCAAGGTCTAGTATTGATGGGCATATTTTTCTTTTCCCTACTAATGAGTACTAATACTTGTGGAAATAACGTAAGTTATTCACTGAAGGGAAAAGGCCTTCTTAAATATAAGTAGTAGATATTGCTGAACACATTTCATATTTTTGTTTGCTAGCCATTTGTGCCAAGTTAGTGTTCTTGGTATAAGCATCGGAAACCAACTTTGTTTATGCAGAAAGGGAAATTATTAGGAAAATATCAGCTCTCAGAATTGCTAAGAATGCTACACACAGGCTCAGCAAGCAAGCAAGAACTAAGGTAGGTAAGGGGGCTGGATCTTGAGCATAATCCATGAAAAATCTTATTGGGACACACTGCTGGCTTGGGCCTTGCCAAGCCAGGACATGTGATGTTGCCACTGTGCACTGCCATCAATCAGTGAGTGCCATTGCCACCAGAATGGATTCTGAACCCTCTCTTGATCCTTTTGTTACTTACTGGAGATTTAGGTTCCAGTCTGGAGCATCCACTTTGATTAAGTTGGAACAGGGAAAATCCATCTCTCTCCAGCTTCTGTGATGGAAAACTAAGCCCTATCCCTGACAATCTTGGAATTAAAATAGGAAAGATGCATGGATGCTGGGGAGCCCCAAATAATAAATGTCCATAACTTGTAGGGATGCTAAAGGATTTGGAATTATTTGGTTGCAATATTTATGCTGTATTTAAAATGGTATGAGAGTGGTTGGTGTTTTAAGCATATTTTTCTGAGAGCCAATGAAGAAGAGAAAAAACAAGTATATTTGCCAGAAAAATAGAAGGTCTGTTTAGATTTTGGTAGGTGGCATTGGAGTGTAGGGGGTAACGTCGGGGCAGTTGGTGAAGGTAAGGGCAAAATAAAAAATGGTGCCCAGTTTTCTGGTTTGGGAGCTTGAATTAATGGAGGTGCCATTTATTGAGATGGGGGATACAACAAGAAATATCACAGTTGTTGGCATCACAAGTGTTGGGAGTGGGGATAAGATGATCTCCATTGTGGGCACTTTCTATTCAATGAGCCTATAGGACATTTGAGAAATGAAACATATTTAGTGAGCAGATGAAGATTTGGATAAACAGTTTTGAAAATGAACTAAAAGTAGAGAATCATGAGTCACAAGTATATTGATAGGAATTTAATTCTTGGAATTAGATGAGATTGCCCAGGGAGAGTGTAATGTAAGAAGAGAGCAAGACTTAGAACAACGCATCATAGCTTTTTAAGAGATAGGCAGAGGTAGAGGAACCCATAAAGAAAGCTGAGAAAGTTTGACCTAAGTTGTAGGACGAAATGCAAAATAACATTTATCTTCTCTACCGTGATTTTGTATATTTCACATTGTATTGAGGACAGTGGTTGTAGTGTGTATCAAAATCACCTGGGGTGCTTGCTAAAAATTTGGTTTCCTAGACTCACCCACAGAGATTCCTATATAGCAAGTGCAGAGTGGTAGCCAATTCTGTGTTAACAGGCGTCCAAGTTGATTCTAACATAGGTGATTCTTAAAATATACTTTGAGAAACACCTTTTTAGAAAACAGTGTGAAATGGCTGAAAAAGCAAGGCTTTAGAACCAGACTTTCCTAGGGTCCTGGCTTTTACTGTTTACTATTTGTGTGACCGTGAGCAAATTGGTTAAAGTTTGTTTTCCCATCAGTGCTGGGAATATAATATGTCTCCTCTATTGCTTAGAATTATTACCAGGTGTATATGAGATATGTTCTATTAAGTTCTTGACATGTAGAAGCTCAGTAAATGTGAGTTGTCTTTTTGACAGCTTAAAAAACCCCCAGAACACAGCTGTAAACCTAAAAGCCAGTGAAAAAGTAGAAGGAAATTGCTCTTATTAGCCTTATGCATTTTGTTTTGTAGGAAATCAGAGCCAACTGCTTTTTACCTTGAACCTGCTGAATTAGGATTGTGTAAAATTAAGTTACTGATATAATAGATTTCATTATCTAGTTTTTCCTGGCAGCCTTCAGTTCTGTAGACATTACATTCAAACAGCATGATAGAGGTTAGGTTAAAGTGTGAAACAGAAGCTGAGAGAAATGTAATAGAGGAACAAACACCTCAAAAATTCTGAAGGCATCAATGTGTTATAAAAACTAATACTCAAAATGATACTATGTTAAGAAAAAAATGTTATGTTTAAAAGATTTGTTTGAGAAGTTAGGCAAGTATATATTTTAGAAAGCTTTCCATCACAATGATTAACATTTTTAAAAGTTTTGGCACTTAAAGGAATAAGCTTTTGCTATTTGTGAAGTTCACCTAGATAAAATATTAGTCTTTCACAGTGCTGGGTAAATGGACTTTATAGCTTTATTTCCTATTTGATTGGCATTTTACTATTTTTGATAATTTTGTTAACAGGTATCCTTGAAACTATCCCAAAAAGCAATTGTGGAACTAATCTATATGTAAATTCTTATGACTTACCACATAATGGTGAAGTTTCTCTCTCCAGAAGAGAAACTAATGTGAAAGGAGGAGAACAGTGTTGTCTTATAGCCATGTCTGCCCATTTCACGTCTTGAACTTCCTGTCCTGTATTGGCTAATTGGAGATATGGCTACTTCATGGTTATGGTTCTGCAAAAGCTATTAGAAAGAGTTGTGAGTTTCCTCTGTTCAACCTTTCTGGGCCCATATCCCTACCCGACTTGGATGTTTATATAATTGTTTATCCTCAAATACAAACAATCAGTTGGATAGGTCTAGATATTAGTTTCTTTTTATTATTTTTACTTGGTTAAACAACAGCACATTTTGTTCTGCAAAGTTAGGTCTTTCTTTGATGGAATGAAGTTTTCTTTTGCTATATTATGTCTTTGGTTATTGGCATTTATTTATTACTCTTCTTCCAGAAAACCCATTTTTCTTATGTTGTATTTTTGTCAGCCCTCCATATTTATCATACTCCCTTTTGTCCCTTCCCCATCCCCTTATTCTTATTTTCTATCTGCTGAGTGAGCTTTTCAAGGTATATCTGATCTGATTTTCCACAATGTTAGTTCTACTTTTTATCACTTCTAATACATCATTTGTTTTGCTGCTGCATTTTCCACTTCCTTATACAGCATATTTGTTCCTTATTTTGCCAGTTTCATTTTAATTTCTACTTGTCTCAGCCTTTCCTCTTTTTATTTTATATTACATTGTTTCATCTTTCATCTCTTTCAGAATCTGTTTACTTTTATAAAATATGCAAAGCAGTTGGCTAAAGTTTACCTTCATTTCTCCTACTTCGCTTGTGCTTTCTACTTCTCAAGTGCTATGTTATGTTTCTGTTTTACATAATATTTTTATGGCATCTGTATTTGCTGTTCCTCTTTTCTTATCCTCGAACAAGTACATGTCTATGAAATCTGAGATGCTTACCTATAAATTGGATTTGTGGCTTCTCTCTGGTTCATCTCAGTAGAGGCTGATACTGTCCTCCTCTTGGACTGTATCAGAAGTTCTGATACATAGCCCCATAGCATATTTCTAGGGGGTTTGGCTAAAATGAATCTGCTAGTCTGAGTTGGGGTTGCCTAATTTTGCTGCCTAATTGTCTTATTTCTAGATTATTAGATAATCTGGCCCAGAAAGATCTGTTCCCCTCAGCTCTTCCAAACTAAATCTTTATAGTGCTGATTTTATATCTCCAGGTGTAGACTCCCACTCCTCATGCATTTCCACCTGCATTCAAGTTACATTGATGAGAATTTTAGACCGAAATTGGAGGTAGAAGGCATAGGTTTTAGGTCAGATGGACCTGGTGAGTGGAGCGATTGAACCCTTGCGCAGCAAGGGAGCAGCTTTCCTCTAAATCTGGTCCCTGAAATTTCTCTTTCTTCTGGAGAGTTTAAGGAACTCTCTCAAAATTGTCCAATATGGCTTTGATATTTTGCCTCACATTACTTCCACTTTTCGTAGTGAACATTAAGTTCCTTTTGCAATTTAGTAGATCATTGGGAAGGTGGCGCGAAAGATCTGATAAGGTGTTCTAGCTTTTATCTCGGCAAACCTATAATGCTGCGTGCTGGTTTTAAGTGCTTGGTATCAATTTGTCAAATGAGTGAGTGAATGATTTAGTCTTTTTTTGAGAATTTACAAGAACCAACCATGCTTAACCATTTATCATTTTAATACTTTTTTCCCAATAGTTTCCTAGTTAGGTGTCTTACGAAATATATCCTGGGAGTACCATAAAATATTCTGTGAAAAATGATTCCGCGGACAAATAATTTTTGGAAATGCTGCATACTAAATTTTTCTTATAGAAGTTTAATTACTATGTAAATGTACTAAGGGCTCCAAGAAGGCCTGAACTAACAAAACTGCTTAACTCTTGTTTAATTCGGCAAAACGTTTCCCAAATTGATTTGATCACAGAAACCTATTAATATCTTTGGGAAATGCTTCTCTAATCTTTAAAGTACTGTATCGTTTTTGTGAAAAACATAGAGTTTATTGTAGAATTTTTTCATGAAATAAACTTTGATTGTTTCTTTAGACATTCAGAGAGATGTAAATTATGACTAAATGTGATTAGAGTTTCCCAGGAACTGAGATTTTTTTTCTCATTTGATATTTTGAACAAGATATAATCTCTATGACCTAACATATGTTAGTTACTTTAGGCATTTAACTTGTGTATTTAAGAAAAGGAGATGTATCTTTTATTGGTACACTGAACTGAGAAAGCACACCCCACAACACGAAAGCATTTCTGTATTTGCCCCGAGCTCAGTAAAAGAGTTTGTCCCTACTCATGGTTTTAATATTGTTTGTTAATCTAGGAAATAAACCTATAGCTGTATAGTTTTTCTATCAAAATGGTGTAACTGGGTGAAGTAGGAAGGTTGACTAATTTTATTTTCAGTTTCAGAATATTAAGTCCTTTGTTATATTCGCACTTTACTTGTCTTTAAAATAATATCTGACCAAAGCTGTAATCATCTTTTGCCTCTTTATCATGTGAGATTCAAATGTGCTTTACTAGTTTAACTGTTCACTGACTGGATAAGAAACTTTCCCTCTATTTTTGGTAACTAATGCTTCTGTACTTGCTTTACCACTCTTCTTTATCCACATAGTTTTTTTTTCCTTCACATCTTTTTCGTCATGAGTAGTTTAGTTTAGTTTTGGTTTGCTTTGTAAGGTTAGAGATAAATTTGTACCAAGTTAGGAGACCTTTTTTAAAGAAAACTTTTGTTTTAGAAGCTTCTTTTTGGTGGTGGTGCTGGGGAGGGATAGGTGAAAGGAGATAACAGTAGATAAAGCCCGACAAGTTTTCAGCTGGACAGATCTTCCCACTGGCCTACTAAATCTGAAAGAGCCAAAGGTTTGTGGTGGGTTTGTCTAGCAAGTTCTATGTTCTAGTTCCTGAATTTTCCCTACCCTAGAGTGTCATGTTTCCATACTTCCTTCCAAATAAGACCATGATCTGCAGACCTCCTTGTAAGTCCAATCATCCCTAATACTTCCATGTTTCAGAATTAAAAATGATTTCTAAAAACATTACCTAAGCATTATATTACTAAAGCAATATGACCAAAAAATGTTATTTCCAAGAATTGATGAAGAAATTTTACATAAAAGATAATTGAGCATTAATACTTAGTAAATGAAATTCTAACTGGTTTTATCTTCAACAGACAAACAACAGAAAGGTGAATTTGCAATAGATGGCTACAGTGTCAGAATGAATAACACTCTAAGAAAGGATGGAAAGAAAGATTGCTGTTTTGAAATCTCTGCTCCTGATAAACGTATATATCAGGTTGTAGTTTTTATGTTGCCTTGAAATTAAGTTGATAAAATGTTTTGATTTCATTTATAGAGACATTAACATTTGATTAATACTTTCCTTGACATGTTAACAATAATAAAAATACTGATGTTTAAATATATTATGCATTGAACATTCATATAAGAGGAAATTTTTAAAAATTTCAGATTAATTCACACACTATCTTCTTGAAAAAGATAAAGAGAATATATAATTTATCAATTACTTCACATGTTGCACACATGTTGCATAGAACATAGGTGATCACATGTTGCATAGCACTAGGTGATCTTCCAAAAGAATTACATAGCAGAAAGAGTAAAATTATTAAAACAAAAATATCAGAGTGATAATACATATTGTATTGCTTAGGAGTGTGGGAGAAAATGAAGGTAAAAGTACACATCAGCTCTGCAATTCAATAGCTATCAGCTAGGCATCAATATGGAATGTATGTTTAATAAGTTTTAAATATCTGAGATTGCAGTTGAAAGCCAGTTAATTAAGTTGTCAGGTAGTGTGTTGGAATCTGACAAGAACATTTTTAAGAAAACTGTGTGCAGCAGTCTAAAGAAATTCATGGGTGTCTTCTAATTGTCAAGGGCAAATTTTGTTCATCAGTTCTGTCTTTGACATTGATGAAAGAGAAGCAGCTTTTTTTCCTGCACAGCTGCCAGCTGCTGATCAGCGTTTGAAATTCATCATCCTCTGCTTCAATTGCATAAATTTGTCAAAATTAACTGTACATTATAAGAAGCATCCTTGCAAGAAAAGTTCCACTAGACATGAAAAGAATTACTAATAGTCTTAAAGAAATGGTAAGAATACAACATACCTTTCATTCCTACTATGGTGATTTTCGTTCTTACTGTTTGTTTTATATTAGTTTACAGCAGCTTCTCCCAAAGATGCTGAAGAATGGGTACAGCAGCTGAAATTTGTATTGCAAGGTAAGATAAATCAATCGAACAAGTTATCACAGTCTTTAAATACTAAATAACAGAGTAGTTTGGGTTTTCATATACAAAAGCTTATTGACTTCTGTGAGAATGACCAACTTGAATGTGACTGTTATTAATACAGACCACTCACTTCAGATTTTAAACAGCATCTTTTCTATAAGTACCAATTGGCTTACTTTAAAATTCACATATTTACAAAACAATTTTTAAACATGTTTTTAGTTAAGGACATAACATATAACAATATTGTTGTTGCTTTGTAGGGCTGCATTTATTTATAAAGTATAGTTTTAAAAATATCTTCTGCATTCTTTTAAAATTTACTTCATGAAATGTGTTTTATAGATATGGAATCTGATATTATTCCTGAGGATTATGATGAGAGAGGAGAATTATATGATGATGTTGATCATCCTCTACCAATAAGCAATCCACTAACAAGCAGTCAACCAATAGATGATGAAATTTATGAAGAACTTCCAGGTATTTACTTTCTGGTGATTCATTTAAAGATTTTAGGGCTGTGTGTGTGTGTGTGAGTGTGTGTGTGTGTTTGTGTGTGTGATTTGTCCTCGACAGCTTGAGTAGAAAATGGTGACCTATTGAGAACAAGGACAAAGAATATCTTCAAAACTCTATTTTACAAAAAGGGTTCTGCTTGAGATATTTCAAGTGAGTAGATGTAACTTACGAAAAGTGAATGAAACATTAAAATGAAGCAGATACAATACTAATCTCTTGGGACTTGTGGCTCATTAGCATTGTTTATGCTACATAATTTTTTAATTAAAAAATTGACTTGCCTTACAGTTTTTTCCACCAACTCACACATCGTTTTTTATTTATACATCTTGGAACTTCCATTAACCAGAAGTTCTATGCACACCCCAGATGTTACCAACTTCTGCCTCGTATTTCTCCTTGCTTGTAGTATATTGCACTGTCTCAGAGGAATGTTGTTGAACTATAAACAAAGGCCTTTTGAGGCTTCAAGTCTTCCTGTTGATATTTTAGCATCAATATGGAATAAAAAAGTTTTCTTATTCCAAATGCTCAGACCTAGTTTAGTGTTTACATGCCTGTCTGTTATGTAACATAAAATTAATTATCTATTAGCTACTTGACTTGCGGCCATGAGGATCAATCTAAAATAAAAAGACATCTGAAATTTAGGAAACATATGAAAACATTTAGGAAATTGTATTACTAATACTCTAGGCTGAAATGAGCTTTTTTGGCTATTAAAAAATCAGTAGTTAGAGAAGAAAAAGGTATCATAAGCAATATAAGCAAGATTTAACTAGTACATCTCATGTAGAGAGGCCATTTTGCTCTGAATATAACAATTTAATGATGTAATGTTAAACCTTTAAAATTGATTTCAAAAATACTTAAAATGTTCCAAATTAATGTACAAATGTCATTTTCAAGACAATACAGCATAATACCAAGAGTATGGACTTTAGAAGAAAAAAATTTAAATTCTGGCTGTACCATTGACTAGCTTAGTGACTTTATAAGTTAATTTCTTCATTTATAAAATGGAAATAATGTCATTGGGAGGGGTAGGTGAAGTGATTTATGGAAGGCTTTCAGCATAGTGCTTGATCCCACAATTAATTGTAACATCACCATCATTTTTGTTTTATTATTGTATCTGGTGAATTCTTGCAAGTGCTTATGTGGTGGTACAGTAATGGTTTTCTAACCAAGTAAAAAGTAATAATTTTAACAATATTATAAATTTAAGGTATAAAAACTATGTATGCATCTACATATTGTATTTTACTACCCCAGAAGATTAGTATAAAAGTATAATTTTATGGGGAATAGTGATCTGTGTATTTCAGTTGTTTAGTGGAGCTACATGTTTATTAACCCCTTCCTTTCTGGTTTACCCTAAGGAAATGGCATCTGCTGTAGCATCAGTTATCCTCAAGTAGGGAAGAATATTCCCTGGCTGCTTGTTTTTGGTCACACCATATCATTAATACAATTATTTTAGTATTTAAAAATGTTTAAAAGAACTTGTGAGAATGTATACTCATAAAATGGAAGAGTGGAATACATTTAAACACGATATTACTGCCATTACATCCTTTTAAAACCCTGCAATGAATGTGTTACATTACAATTGTTGAAATAACTGTTAAGTTCTGTATTTTTTCAACTTGGCTGTTCTCTCCCCACCCCTAAAGAAAAAAAAAATTGATCAGGAATAAAGACCAGATATTCATAGTTATTTTCATAACAAAGACCTAAGGAAGGTCTGAGTAGCTTGAAATTTTAAAAATATGAAACATCTTTTATTTTTTCTTACTGGAGATATTATTCTTCATTCTTCCTTGCCCCCCTCCTCACCCACCCTCACACATAATTGTTGGAAGTAACTGGTTACTTTTTAAGTAGTGTTACTTCTTGCTGTGGTACTGGGAGAAATTTAAGCTGCCCTGGAATTTCTTTTCCCCTGCTTGGGATCCCCAGTTGCTCTGCAAAGTGATCGAGCTTGATGGAGCCTGCACCTGTGCCCCGGGAAGGAAGCCGTTGTAGGCAGCTGTGGAATGTCTAGTTCCCTTCTTCCCCAATGTAACTGAGAGCTGCTTCAACATCTGCACGGTTCAGCAAGTTTGTCAAGTTTGTGCCAACGGCTACAGAGGGGATTTTTCTAGTAAAGGCCCTAAAGGTGTCTCAGAGTTAGAGGTTTTGTTTGATTAAATGTCTGAAACTAGGAAGGTAACTTTTTTAATTAAAACAATTGTCTCTCTTTCAGGACAAGAATTAAGCTTATTGCTTTCACTTCTGTGAAATTTGAATATAATTTTGATAGAGGAGTTAGAACAATGGAAGAGCAGTAAGCACATTTACATACTGTTGATATTTTTCCAGTTCTGTGCAAAGAACTATGTATCTCTGATATCTGACTGGCTAAATTCCCAGAATTAAATAATACTACAATTTCAACACAATTTTCTGTCAATTATGCATTGTTGAAAACTAATCCTCTTAGTTGAAAGATGAGGTATACAAATGTATTTGAAGAGAAATCTAAGCATTTATTATGCTACTTTAAATCACAAAGCTCTTTTTCTGAGAAACGAAAGCTCTTACTCTAATAAGTGTATTTTTTAAAAACTATGAAATAAACCTGCAGTGTTTTGAGTTTCAAGAGTAAGAAGAAAACGTGGTTTTAAAAATTGCAATGGGCTGGGCGCAGTGGCTCACGCCTGTAATCCTAGCACTTTGGGAGGCCGAGTTAGGTGGATCACTTGAGGTCAGGAGTTCGAAGCGAGCCTGGCCAACATGGTGAAACCCCGTCTCTACTAAAAATAAAAAAATAAAAATAAATAAAAAATTAGCCGGGCATGGTGGCAGGTGCCTGTAATCCAAGCTATTCAGGAGGCTGAGGCAGGAGAATCACTTGAATCCGGGAGGCGGAGGCTGCAGTGAGCCAAGATTGAGGCACTACACTCCAGCCTGGGCAACAGAGTGAGACTGTGTCTCAAAAAAAAAAAAAAAAAAAAAAAATTGCATTGCATAATATCCCTTGAAAAATGTTTATAATTCTACAGGAATCTAAATTGTTTCATTGTAATTGTTTTTCAGTTAGAATATTCTAACTTCATTACAGTACCTTCTGTTTAATTTCTTGTTCATTTATTTTTAACTAACTTCGTAAAGGAATAGGAATAAATTTGTAAGACTTCTTTGTGTTTAAGGGATTTATACATATGTACAAAAGAGTTGCGAGAATGCCATTTCTGGGGAGTATTAAAGGTATTTGGCTTTTCTTCAAATATCCTAATCCTTTTACATCTTTTATGTCTTATTGCTTATTAGCATAGGCCAGTCAGGTTTGTTTACATTGTAATAATACTATAGCATATTTGTGTTTGTGCAGCTAATATATTGATCAAAATGTGTTAAACTGTTTAACATGGTAATGAGTTCATTTGGCTCAGCACAGGTTTGTAAATTTATTGCTCACTTTTTCATTAGAAATACAGAGGAGTGTCTTTGTCTCATTTTGAATCTCAAAAGGGGAAAATAATACTCGTGAAATTGCTGCAGAAACCAACCCTGTTTGCTCTTCTCTTCTATTCACTATGTCACTTGATTTTTTTTCTTTAATGGCAGGAAATTGTACAGAAACAACAACAACAAAAAGATTTTTCTAGATCTAAACTGAATAGAATCAGCCTAGTAATGAGAATGGTAACCATCCATTAACTTATTAAATCTGTAGCTTTCAGAGGGATTGCACTTGAAATGTCTTCTGGCAAGTGGACTGGAGGAGAGAGGGCAACATAAAACAGGAAGACAAATTTCTATTCCATTAACCTATTTTTTTTAAGTGTGAATTCATTTTTTTTTAAATTACAATGACAGATTGAACTATTCTGAGTCAGAAAAGGATATTTTTATCCTTTGGCCATTCAATTACATTTTAAATGTATTCAGTCCAACTATCTGCATCTAAAATAGAACATAAAGTAAAATGCAGCTATAATTTTTTTCCATGAGACTATTATATATACATAAAAAAGAACAGTGTTTGGGTACTTTAATTTGAAGTAGTTTACAGCAAATGGACACAAATGCTAATTTAGTCAATAAGTGGTTATAGGCCCCCAAAATACATTTTGGCTTTATTTTCCTCCTGAATAATTATCACTCATATTACTAAGTTAATATCAGGGTTACAGGGGACCCTGCAGTCTGTGGTATTAACATTGTTTTAAGTGATAGTAGATCCTGACTTCACCAAACAATTTTTCTCCTTTCTTCTTTGGAATGCAATGGAAAGATGTCAATTAATTTTCATAGAACCACATATATTCAGTATTTTAATATTGTTAGTCTAGGCAGCCTGCTAACATTATTTTTTCTTAAACTAGGTACTGAATGGTGAAGTTATCAATGTGGTGATATTGTGGGAATAGTTTTTCCCAAGTAGATAACTAGATTAGGGTTGAATTTTTGGATGGTGATATGGTTTGGCTGTGTCCCCACCCAAATTTCATCTTGAATTGTAGTACCCATAAAATCCCCATGTGTCCTGGGAGGGACCAGGTGGAGATAATTGAATGATGGGGGCAGTGTCCCCTATCCAGTTCTCGTGATAGTGAGTGAGTTCTCATGAGATCTGATGGTTTTATAAGGGGCTCACCCCTTTGCTGGGCACTCATTCTTCTCGATGCTGCCATGTGAAGAAGGACATGTTTGCTTCCCCTTCCGCCATGATTGTAAGTTTCCTCAGGCCTCCCTAACCATGCTAAACTGTGAGTCAATTAAACCTCTTTCCTTTATAAATTTGCCAGTCTTGGGTATGTCTTTATTAGCAGAGTCAGAACAGACTAATACAGATGGTTTCAGCTCTAAAATCTGCTTAGAGGGTTATCCGAAGTTATAAAAAAAAATGAAATCATTCATAAAATAGGGTCACTACACACATATAATATTTATTATTTTTATCTTTGCTGAATATAAATGTGTCTTTGCTGAATATTTGTTCATAGTATTCTTTATGTTGTTTCATAATATAGTATGAAGCTTTGGAATACAGTTCTGCCTGTCTTGTAGCTTTTCTCTATGTTGCCATTGGCATTGCAAATTCCTTTCATTACAAGGGATGGCTTAACACATACTAAACCGAAAATATCTGTGTGCACACAAAACATATATTTCCACTGGTGGTGAGATAAAATGACTCATTTTTGCAAATTGGAGCTACATCAGTGGTTCCCAGCCAGGGAAGATATTGACCCCAGAGTATGTTTGGCAATGCCTGGAGACACTTTTGGTTATCATAACTGGGATGTGTGTGTGTGTGTGTGTGTGTGTGTGTGTGTGTGTGTGTGTTACAGATATGTGGTGGGTAAGGGCCAAGGATGCTGTTAAACGACCTACAATGCACAGGGCAACCCCCACAACAAAGAATTGTCTGGCCCAAACGTCAATAGTGCTGAGGTTGAAAAACCCTGGCCACAGGGATGTAATAGACAACTTTTGGTTTATCACCTTTTTATTCTTATCACTTGAATTAATAAAGATTCATAACCTAAGCTCCATATGAGTTAATTCATTTTTATGGACACAGGTTTTCTTACATACATGAAACTAGGATTACATAGAATGTTTCTAGGTTTTAAGAGATCAGCTGGACTTGCCTATCACGTTTCCTTCAAGGAGTAGTATTGAAATTCTATCCATCTTGTAGAAATGAGCAAGCCAGGAAGATAAAAAATGAAGGAAGCATTTTCTCTATTTTCATGAGCTACTATCTTGGAAGGAAGAGGTTTCTAAAAATACCTTGTAGATGTGTGAATACTTGATTTATCCTATTCTGATAGGGTTGTTCTTTTGAGGCTGAAGGAAAAGACCGGTGGGTGTGGGATTGGACTGTCTGTAAAGGGAGTCAGGCATCCTGGGGGAATGCAAGGCTGAGCAATTCCAGGGCTGTCTGGAATTTGACGAGTGGCTTTAGGAGAAGTGGAAACCCTTTTATGTGACTTCTCTATCTTTTTGGACCTGGACTTTGAAGAGGCTAGTAGGATTGAGATGATCTCTGCCCCTGGAGTTAGACGGGAAGTCTTGGAGGCAGCCCTCCAAGGGGATCCGTGAAGAGGAGCTCACTTTAATGTACTTCACAACAAGCCATACTGTGTGATTATTTTATATTATTTGTTCACTTCCCTTTCATTATTGCTAAATCTTAGATTTCTTTTTTTTCTTTTTAAAGATAGGGTCTTGCTCTGTTGCCCAGGCTGGAGTGCAGTGGTGCATTCATGGCTCACTGCAGCTTCAAACTCCTCAAGTGTTTCTCCTGCCTTAGCCTCTTAAGTAGCTGGGACTACAGGCATGCGCTGCCATGCCTAATTTTTTAGTTTTTAATTTTGTAGAAATGGAGTCTTACTATGCTGACCAGGCTGGTTTTGAACTCCCAGCTTCAAGTGATCCTTCTGCCTCATCCTCCCAAAGTGCTGGGATTACAGGCATGAGCCATTTCACTAGCTACTAAGTCTTAATTTTTAAATCCTTATTTACAAACAATACATGCTTGCTGGAATAAGCTTAAATATTCCTGATGTGCATAAAATAAAAAAGTGGGGCTGGGTGCAGTGGCGCATGCCTGTAATCCCAGCACTTTGGGAGGCCGAGGTGGGCAGATCACAAGGTCAAGAGATTGACATCATCCTGGCCAACGTGGTGAAACCCCGTCTCTACTAAAAATACAAAAATTAGCTGGGCGTGGTGGCACGTGCCTGTAGTCCCGGCTACTCGGGGTGCTGAGGCAGGAGAATTGCTTGAATCTGGGAGGTGGAGGTGAGATCGAGATCTCACCACTGCACTCCAGCCTGGTGACAGAGCGAGACTTCATCTTAAAAATAAAATAAAATAAAATAAAATAAATTAAAATAAAATAAAAAAGTGGAAGTCACTCCCTACCCTACGTAAACTTTGTTAACAGTTTGATGTGAATCTTTTTGTTCCTTTTTTGCCTATTTTTAAATATACATATACATATAAAAGTTTTAAAACAAAAAAGAGATCCTTTTTATTTACTTTCTTCTGGCCTTTTGTAAAATTTTCTTCCTTTCATTTTCTTCCTATTTCATTTTTACCTTCCTCCTTTCTCATGCTTTTATTTTCTCATTCCTCTCCCCTATTTTCATTTCCATCCTTTCTCTTCTTCCTTGCTTTCATTTCTTTCATTTCATAAGTATTCTTGAGTACCTGTTATGTGCCAGGCACTGTGCCTAAGTGTTGGGAATCCCCCAGCATCCTTACACAGGCCTCAAAGGAGTGCCCTTTTTGGCCTAAGCCTAGACTTACTACCATACCTCCATGTTTATTTATGTCTTATGTATGTATGTATGTATGTATGTATATATATATAATATCCTCATCGCATGAGTTTTCTGTTTTTGCTTTTCTGATATAGAAATTCTGTCTCCAATGGGCAGAGTCTTCCAGCAGATAGTGTCAAAAGTAGCTTTGTGTCTTTATATCTTGACACTTTTAAAAAAATATTTTTTAATTTTTTAAAAATTTAATTATTTTTATTTTTTTATTTTTTTTGAGACAGGGTCTTGCTCTGTCACCCATTCTGGAGTGCAGCGGCATGATCTCAACTCCCTGCAACCTCTACCCCCGAGGTTCAAGTGATTTTCCTGCCTCAGCCTCCCAAGTACCTGGATTACAGGCATGCGCCACCACGCCCAGCTAATTTTTTGTATTTTTTTTTTTAGTAGAGACAGGGTTTTGCCATGTTGGCCAGGCTGGTCTTGAACTTTTGACCTCAGGTGATTCGCCCACCTTGGCCTCTCAAAGTGCTGGGATTATAGGTATGAGCCACAGCATCTGGCCCTTTTTTTTTTTTTTTTTTTTTTTTTTTTTTTTTGAGATGGGGTCTTGCTCTGTCACCCAGGCTAGAATGCAATGATGTGATCTTGGCTCACTGCAACCTCCACCTCCTGGGTTCAAGCTGTCCTCTCACCTCAGCCTCCTAAGTAGCTGGAACTACAGGTGCATGCCACCACGCCTGGCTAATTTTTAATTTTTTTGTAGAGACGGTGTTTTGCCATGTCGTCAAGATGGTCTCCAACTTCTGAGTTCAAGCGATCTGCCCACTTCAGCCTCCCAAACTGTTGGGATTACAGACATGAGCCACTGTGCCAGGCCAATGCCTGCTTAGAAGCCATCCTCCACTTCCCCTGTTTCTCTCCATCTGTCTCTTGTCTGGCTCTACGCCTTGCTGCAGACACCCAGAGTACCTTCCTCTGTATCTGTGACTAGTAGATTGTTGTGGTTGTGAGAAGGGGCTCTGGAAGGAAACACACATCACTTTGAATCCCAGCTCTGCCCGTTATATGTGCTTCAGCCAGAAAAGGAGTGAACACAGGAAAGATGGAGAATACACAGGAAAGATGGAGCATGGAAATGGGCAAAATGTGTCAGTAACTTTATTGATTATTTTAAAATAAGCTTTGTTTTAATCTAAAAAAGAGGCAAAACTAAATTTAGGCAATAATTTAAAAGTTAGCTGGGGCAAGATGGAGATGGGGGGTAGTGAAAGCATGCCAGATGTTGTCCTGTTCAGAAGGACGGAGGAGAGGAATACTAATTTTAATTTTTGTTAGGAAATGTATGTTAAAATTTTAGAGTTAAGTACTAAGGAAATAGAATGCAATCTTGCGTTGCTCAAAGAAGCAGAGGGTAAATAAAAGGTGACCACGTAAAACAATGTAAACACAAAAGAAGGCAACAAACAAGAAATCAAAGAGAAAATATGGTAAAATTAAGCCATAATATAAAAGTAAGAATGATAAATATAACTTAGTCTATTAAAATAAATGTTTGCATTAGACATTTTTAAAAGTCTAGCACTATTCTTCTTGGAGATACACCTGAAACAAAACCACATAGAAAGTTTCAAAGTAAGGAAATGGAAATAAATACACCATGCATTTCTATCCAAAGAAAGCTACTATAGCTATGTTAACATCAGATAATATGGAATTTAAGGCATAAAGCAATAATAGGACTACAGATGACACTACATAACAAAAATGAAAGAAGATAAAGCTCAAATTCATCTAACTATATAACCCTAATATCTATAACACGAAAACATATAAGACTAATTTGACAAGTTCTTAATCATAGTGGGAAATTTTAAGATACCCCTTTCAAAAACTGATAGACCAAGGAGGCAAAAAATAAGTAAGGATATAAAGATTTAACCACAAAATTAATAATCTATCAAAAAGATATAAAGTAACATTGCATAGTAGAGAATATTTGTTCATTCAGTACACATAGAATAATCATAGAAATTGACTACATATGTGTTCACAGTTAAACTCTCAACAAATTACACTGAATCTGTGTTATACAGACTATGGTCTTTAACTACAATTAAATTTAATTAAGAGCCAACTCTGAAAAGGTAGTTGAAAATACCCAAACCCATGTGTTTGGAAGCTGAAAAAATAATAGTTCATGAGTTAAAAGAGGAAATTACAATGGAAATGACAAAATATGTAGTTTTCCATATGAAATACACTGAAATTAGTACAAATAACAACTTGTAGCATTGTAGCATTGTTGTTAACTCTTTTTTTGGGGGAGGGAACAGAGTTTTGTTCTTGTCACCCAGGCTGGAGTGCAATGGCATGATCTCGGCTCACTGCACTCTCCACCTCCTGGGTTCAAGTGATTTTCCTGCCTTAGCCTTCCGAATAGCTGGGATTATAGGTGTGCACCACCATGCCTGGCCAATATTTTAGTATTTTTAGTAGAGACGGGGTTTCACCATGTTAGCCAGGCTGGTCTTGAACTCCTGACGTCAGGTGATCCACCCGCCTCGGCTTTCCAAAGTGCTGCGATTACAGGCTTGAGCCACTGTGCTTGGCCATGTTATTAATTCTTTGGGGAGAATTAATCCCCAAAGAACTGGAGATGACAGAACTATAAAGGCTATAAAATCAACATTATTTACAATGATTCAAGGATAAAATAAGGAAAAGAAACTTTAACAAGAGAAAAAGATCCTGTAAAAAAAAGATCAGATTTTTTTAAAGAACCAAATAGAATCACTAGAAATTATTGATGGTTTGGATCACTTAGCCATTGAATTCAAAACTTTTAGAGTCACATACATATGTTTACATTGCTGAGGGAACCAATAGAATACATATTAAAATTCTGAACCAGAAGATAAGCAAATGTCAACCACTTTAATCAAATTAAAATGCTAATATTTGTAAAGAAAAAAGAAAAATTATGTTAATGGGGCTAGGCTTTTATGTTTTTTCTGTGAATCCTGGATGAAAAATCCTAACACTGTACCAGAAGGTCAGATATTCACACGATAGGATTTGTATCTGAACATAATCAAGTGTTTTATCCTTTGCCACCAAGAAATCTCAACAAGTAAAGACATAGCTTCTAACAGTCTTCATATCAGACTTTTAAACTGGAGTCTTCATTCTTCAGATATGATTTGTCTCCCATATAGAATATAAACAGATCACAGCCTGCTTTTGTTTTTAATTCATCCATTCTTTCAGAAGATAGAATATGATAAAGTTTGTAGTAGCTTCACGAAAATGTATTTGCTTCTTTAATCCCAGAAAAAAAAATACACACATATGTACACATAGCCACACGAACACATACATCTATAGAGACAGACTGCAGCAAGAGAGTATCAAGCTTCACTATTTTTGCAGATAGGTCAGCTGGGAATATCAACTTCCTAAGAGTACTCAGCTGCTTACTTTAAAGCAGTGATTAATAAGAATGAACAAGTTCAACAAAATGTCAGTGATAAATATAAGCACTCTTCATATCTGGCCTCGGCAAGTGCTACAGCTGAGTAATGTAAAACTTTCAACAAAATGGGAAAAAATCCAATTTAACTTAATCAAGCTTAAGTGAAATTTTACCTTAATTTTGTTTCAAATAAAACATTCGTTTATAGATGTTTTCCTCTTTATTAGAACTTCATTAGAATTTTTACGAAGAAATAACAACTGCTTATAGCCACTTATCCATTAGCCCCTTTGTTCCTTATTAAAGAAGTTAAGATGGGGCAGTTTTTTTAATATATATAATAAGGACATTCAGTTGCAAGGTCTGAGTTTTTTGGACTAGATCCCAAATCTGCCTCCTGCATGGGCCTCTTTTCACATCCTGGTTCAAGGAACTACAACCTAATCGTGCTTCTCTTAAGCACACAAATTCTTGGAAGAGCTCCCTTTGTTCCTGTTGTCTCTTCACCTGCTTACTCTTTATCCTCAGGCAGTTTGGTTTTCTATCCTCATTCCTTAACTAAACCAGCTTCTTCAGAGTCACCAGTACTCTCCTAATCATCAGTCTTGGTCCTCAAATTCATCTCTAGAAATTTGATTTTACTTACCACCGCTTTTGTCTTGAAACTGTCTCCACCTTTGCCCTTCTCCAGTTTGTTTTCTTGTTTACATATTATATTTACAAATAAGCATCTTAGGTCGGGCGCGATGGCTCATGCCTGTAATCCCAGCACTTTGGGAGGCCGAGGCAGGTGGATCACGAGGTCAGGAGATAGAGACCATCCTGGCTAACACAGTGAAACCCCGTCTCTACTAAAAATACAAAAAATGAGCTGGGCGTGGTGGCGGGCACCTGTAGTCCCAGCTACTCGGGAGGCTGAGGCAGGAGAATGGTGTGAACCCAGGAGGCGGAGCTTGCAGTGAGCCGAGATCGCGCCACTGCACTCCAGCCTGGGCGACAGAGCGAGACTCCATCTAAAAACAAAAAAAAAAACAAAAAAGAACAAATAAGCATCTTAGCACTGTATTACATTTCCACATTTCCTGTTGCTTTTTACTGATTGTTTCAAATTATTTTCCAGTCTATCCTTTCCTAATACTGAAGCTTTTTGTTTTTATCTTGTCTTACCTTCTCCTCATGTCATCTTATTATTATTCACTTAATTAACTCATCCAGCAAATATTTATTGAAAGCCCATTGCATGTCAGATTCTGTTCTAGGTGCTGGGAGTTTAGGCATGAAAAAGGCAGACCTAGTCCCTATTAAGATAGTTACAGATTGTAGTAGGTGACACAAGATAAGAGGATAATGTGAGAGGGAGTAAATGATGTGTATTCTATGGTTAAAGAAGAGATGACATTTAAACTGAAGCCTTTTGGATAAATGCAAAAAGCCAAACGAAGCACTTTCCAGGCACAGTGAACACCAAATTCAAAGGCTCTGAGCATGGACAATCCTGGGGTGTTCAAGAACCAGAAAGGAGGGCCATATGTAGCCAGGCAGAGAGGTTAAAATGAGATTGGAGAGAAGGGCAACAGCCAGGTTAAGCAGGGCCTTCCTAGAACAGAATCACAGCCCCATGTGCATAAATGACACTTGAAAAATGTGTCCTGAATTACTTTAGTGAGGCTGACATGTATAATTATATAAGATTGCCCACACAAATCAGATGCTGTTTATGAGATGAACAATTTGGATTGGAAGAGACCTTTTTCTCTTTACTCCTTCTCCCTGGACAACTTTATACCTTCCACATCACTACACAGAGGTGCATATGGTCAGAGCAAAGTAAAACATCTTCACTGGGTAGCTAGCTCATCAAAAGAATGTAGAAGATATGATGATAATTATACTAATAATGGTTAACACTTAGCATATGCCAGGTACTTTCCTAAGTATTATTTAATAAGCATAAGTGGTTGATGGTATAGGTATTATTACTATCTCTGTTTTATAGACAAGGAAACTAAGGCACAGAAAGATTCAGTAACTTGTTTAGAGGCACAAGCTAGGAGATAGCAGAGTTGGGATTTGAACCTAGGCATTCTGACTCTGGAGGTTAAGCTTTTAGCCAATAACTGTACTGTCTCTCAACAAAAATATGTTAAGAATTGCCTTGTCCTTAGTTATCAGATAAGCATTTACTGCACACATATAAAAAAGACACCAGAAGAGAGAACGTACCAACCAAATCTCATCTTCATAAATGTTCTCTCCTCTGAGCTCTGGCTTTATTTCAGATAATTTTTGGCCATCATATCAAACTTGTATTTAAGATCAAATTACAGATTGAATATTCCTAATTTGAAATCTGAAATGTTCCAAAATCTGAAACTTTTTGACACTCAAAGGAAATGCTCATTGGAGTATTTCAGATTTCAGATTTTCAGATTAGGGATGCTCAACCAGTATAATGCAAGTGTTCCAAAATTCAAAAAAATCTGAAATTTGAAACGCTTCTAGTCCCAAGCATTTCAGATGAGGAATATTCAACCTATACTGCTCTACCTCCTTTCTTTTCTATTTCTACTAACGGTATCAATTGTTACTCAAGTTTAAAAAAAGAACCCTCAAACCCATCATTGACTTCTTTCTTGGTCTCCCCACCTCTCCTAATTTGGTCAGTTGCCAGTTACTCCTGATTCTGCCACTAAAACATCATCCATCCCTGGCTCTCTGCTCACTCAGGCTTTAATAATTTCTCACCTGGATCATTACAAAAGCTCCTAAGTGGTCTCCCCACTTCCTGTGTGTGTATCTCTTTCTCTAACCAGCCTGATATAGCCTATTCTACGTGGTGCCAACAGATTGATTTCCTAAAATATAACATGGTCAAATTAATCCCTTGCTCATTAACCTTTATGAGTTCCCAACCCCTAGTAAACCAAGTTCAAACTAACTGGCCAGGCCCTGAGCCATGGTCCCACACAAATCCACCTTTCCAATCCCATTTCTGCTGCTCAGACTTATGCTCCAGACAGACTGAACTCTTCACTAACCCTTAGCCCTTCCCTGGACTGCCTTCATCAACTGTGTAGCTCTAGATGCCTTAAACAAAATCAATATATTGAGTTAATTAATTCAGTGACAAAAATCCAGCCAAATAGCACACAGATCAAACTTTAGTTGATGTGGCTTTTCATTTTTTTGTCCACAAAGTCGCTGATGAACTCTACCATATTTTCTAACATATCTCACTATCTGCAAGGTATAGGGTGGGTACTCAGATGATCAATAAATAGCCCCTGTTCTCAAATATACCATAATTTAATAAGAGGAACAGATATATGAAATCTAACTATAGAAAAAAAACAATTAAAAGACATATGCTCTCACCAATTCCAAAGCCTGGTATGTATTACTATATATCTTGGCCATTATTTCCTCTATCCACACCTTTGTGGAACCTTTATAGTCACTGCTTCAGAAACAATGAAAATACCCTTGTTGATTCTATATATTTATTACACCATTATATAGCATTGGTATAAATATAGTATTTTCGTTAAACCTGCTCAGGTGGAACCTTCGTGGTCATTCCACTAGAAACAAAATACCCTTGAAATTCTCTATATTTATTGGGCATAATACAGTATTTTTATAAGTATAGGGTGAGTTAATAAACACAGTATAGTATCATGGTATAATAGTAAATATAGTATTATAATATCATTATCCTCCAGCATTCTGGAAATTAACACATATTCAGAACATCTCATCTGATGCTGAGACAACGTATATAAAAGAATTCAAAACCTCCTTTATAAACCGGTTAATAATTTTTCATTTAGTGGGGAAAATGTTTTCAAGAAAAAAAGACTTCAGAAGTTTCTTAAGTCCTATCTTTCTGCTGCTCCAAAGTGTTGAATGGCTCACCACAGACCATAGGATAAAATGCGTATTTGTTACCTTGGCATTCAAAGGTCTTCCACAGTCTTGCTGAAATCTCACAGTCTAGCCTAATCACTGCTATAATGCAACACTTCTCCAATTTTAACAAGCTGACTTGCTCTTTATTTTCCCCACGCATATCCCATACATTTCCAACCTCACATTTGTGTTCTTACACTTCTGTCTTTATAGAATGCTGTCCCGTTTGTTCAGTTTCTAACCATATCCTCCCTGCTCTCTAGGCCCAGATCAAATCCCATCTCCCCAAAAGAGCCATCCCAGCATGAAGTGACCTCTGCTTCTCTGAGCTTCTCTAAACTTTTCTAACACCATTCATTTGAATATTAATTACAACTTCGTGACATTTTAAATGTTGATATGTGCTATTCTGTAAATCTTAACACTTTTCATGTGATTATTTGGCAAACAAGCAAATGGATGGTTCCTTATAGCTTTATTATATTTGCAAACTCCTCTAGTGCAAGGATCAAACCTTATATTTCCTGGCACCCCCAGAGTACTTGACCAAGTGCCTTCCTCATAAGAATTCAATAAATAATACCTGAATAGTGCAAAGTCTTTAGTTAAAGGGGTCTATTAGGTAAATTAAGAGAAACTTTCTCTTTATGATGATTATTTTCCTGACATGAATTACTGCAGAATCCTAAAAGAATGATTACCAAACAGTATACTATCAGTGGTATATTGAAGCATGGCTGATCCCCCATAACTTCATTAAAATCTAACATTACTATTCCAATGGGCAGAGTCTCAAATAAACTTAGGAAATGTAATACATTGAGTGATGAAAAGCTCTTATATCATCAATCCTTTGGGCCATTAAAGATAAATCATCTACTATGAGCAACAGAACCAACTTGAGTTACCAGTTCCCTATGGCAGGCTAGTCATCTCGAGCAAGACATTTCCCAGGAAATGACATTCTCCTTTGCTTCCACTCATTCATTAACACAGGTAAAGTAGATCTAAAGAGCACAGGATCATAGTTAGGATTTTTAAAACCTGCCTTCTCTAAGGACTTAATGTGACTAGTAAGCAAATGGTACATTTTATATTTAAAAGTAAACTCAGATATGGAAATCTGCACAAGCAACTTAAAGGATGGTGAAACAAGGTTTAAGAATCAATGATTAGATAAGTCCTTGGGGAAAATGTTTAAACATTATCTTTCAGGCAATTACTTTGATTCAGTGGGCAGAGAGGAATCATTGGAGGGCCTCAAAAAGAGGAAGGCTGAGGTTAAGATTCAGGCTGCTCACTCCTAGTACTAGCTCTGACATACTTTAAGCCCTTTGTTTCCCTTTTCCACTCCACACCCTTTGCTTCTATTAAGCTAGTTCCTTTTCTCAGACCACTGCTTATGAGTCCTGCTCCCAATTTCACATTGCCTATTACACTCTCTCATATACCAGATAGCCTCATTTCACTTCTGTTAGCAGCCTGTGTTTTCTTTCAGAAACTACCTTACTTCTCAGTTCTTCCTGGAAACCTAGCCTGATAAGGTGAAGGTCATCTGTACCCATAATAAAATATCCCATCTCCCTATGTTTTATACTTATAAGTATAAAAGACAGTAACCCAACACATGTAGATATACATGTCTAGACACTTTGTGAATTTGAGCCTAGGTTTTTATTTTATACTTTCTAAGAGCTCAGCATTAATTTAAAAGTATTCTGCAGAGATCATCTAATATTCTAATAAATCAACTGAAAAAGAATACTAAAGAAAATGAAACATGAAATGAGAAAAGCAAAAAGAAAACACCCAATTTTTATGTAAGCAATTCAATTATTCATGCAACAAATATTTATTAGGCAGCTATTACATGTCAGGCACTGTGCTAGACACTGGAGATACAGTGTTGACCAATATGACTCAGAATTTATTAATTAGAAATAAATATAACAAATGATAAGAAATGGTTATGAAAAGAGGCCGAAGAGAGACTGATAAAGAACAAAGATCCAAGCCAAGTCTATGGCAGTAAATGAGATACCTAAAAGGGCTTGTCTGTTCAGTGCTACTCATACCCAGTAAGAAATATGTGGTTCTGAACACCACCTATAGAACATACTGAAGATGAAAGTAAAAGGATTAAGGTTGGGGAGTTTACTAAATGGAGATCCTTTTGAAAAATGTTTAGGTGGGGTAACTATTGGTATATACGGAAGAGACCAGATTATAGCACATTCAATGTTATAGGGAAACGGGAGTTCATATTCATGAAGAGATTTAAGAAAGAGTTAATAAGAAAAAGACTTTGAAAAACACCCCCCAAATCCCTTCAACATTTAAACCCATTTTTTTTGCCCCTACAATAATAAAAAAAGACTTTCCAAAGGAAGTGGTGGAAGAAACCCCATTGCTCAAGACATTAAAAACCAGATGGTCCAAAGCCCCAGCAAACATTCACGTGGGATCAATCCTTCACCCAGTGAAAGCAAAGAGATGGGACCAGTGTAATAATGTGTTTTGAATCTCTAGCTTAGAAATGCTATGAAAATAACAATTCACATTGCCTTGGACTTTTCCTTAATGTCTTAGCTCTTCTCTGTGCTCCTTCAGCTTTCAGGGTTGACTTCTGTTAGAGCTGGCCACACAGGAATTTGCCTGTTTACTTGGAAGTCTCTTCTGCTAGGTCCATGTATTGTGAGCTTATCAGGTTTTCTCCTTACCTCTATGAGAGTGCTGTATGCCCTGGGTTCTGGAAGTGTTTTTCTTAAGTGCTTCTCCTAAGGATGGTTTTATGTTTGCTTCTGCTAGAACCCCAGGAGTTTTGAAATTTTTATGTTAAATTTCTTGGCTTGGGAATACCATGCTTGAGGATGGTATAAACTTGGATCTCACATTGGACAGGCTTGGGGGTTTGATTTCTCACAGGAAGCCCCATGACCTCCAGCCCTGGAAAAACAGAAAGCTTCCTTGTTTCTTCCCTGGGCTGTTGGGGGTCTCATTTGTATCTCTGTGCTTCTCACAGGCCCAAAGCCTTGTCTCCTGTGTCCATGAAGATGTTAAAACTCCAGCCTCAACCCCACCATGCAAATGATCAGTATGTTGCTTTGAGCAAGTGGGGAAGGACAGGTCTGTTTCAGCTTGGTTGACCATATTGCTAGAGGTTGAATTCCTAAGCCATAAGTTATGAATTAACACTGCAGTGAAGACTTAATTATAAGTGCTTGATTTAGAAACTTTATTTCAAGTCAAACAAAATTTTGTGTATGTGCTATAGGCAAGGTTCTGTGCTAGGTGTCTAATATCCTGTCTCCTATGTACTAAGGGGCTTTATAATTATAATATTAATTACTTCTTTTTTTTTTTCTGAAATGGTATCTCACTCTGTCACCCAGGCTGGAGTGCAGTGGTGTGATCTTGGCTCACTGCAGCGTCGACTTCCTGGGCTCAAGCAGTCCTCCCACCTAAGCCTACCGAATAGCTGGGACTACAGGTGTGCACCACCATGCCCAGCTAATTTTTGTATTTTTAGTAGAGACAAGATTTCACTATGTTGCCCAGGCTGGTCTCAAACTCCTGGGCTCAAGCAATCCACCTGCCTTGGCCTCTCAAAGTGCTAAGATTACAGGTGTGACCCACTGTGCCTGGCTTTAATTACTTCTTGACAAGAAGAAATTTTTGTTAAATTTATGAAGGAAGAGATTTTAAATGGCCGCTGAATTTATGAAGCAAATTATCCCAATTAGCTGCTTAATGCTATTTAGGATAAAAATTACATTTGTATATACAAAGAATTACTCAAAAATTAAATCAAATAGAGATCCATCCAGACCCAAATGTACACTTTGGTTTTATAAGCTAAGACTAATACATATTTGCATTTGAAGTCATGTTAAATTAGGTTAATGTGGTTACTTTAGAATATATCTTTAAAATGGGGCTGGCATTTCAATCAGCTGAAGTCCTAATTTAAATAACCTATTTTATTCTGTGTGCTGATCAATCATTTTCTCCCCTAGAAAGTCAAACCAGTTTTTGCACTTTTCATTTGTAGAACTTACATGACATAAACATTATGTGACAGAAGTTGCTTGTTATTAAGAGAGAGAATATCATCTCAAAGAAACTTGTCATCTGGAAACAGGAAAAATCACATGAAGTAATTTTATTTGTATCATGGCTTTTTCACTGTTCGCTACATTTGTGACAGCTGATTTTATATTAAATATTAACAATATTCTGTTTATACTTGAATCTGCTGCAGTAGGATATAGATTTTACTCAGAATATTCCTGGTTGGAAAGAAGACTGTTCAGTTAAATGAGACACGTGAGGGCTAGTTATAAAAAAAACATAGATATTATATAACTAAGAAAATAAAGCTACCACTTTGATGTCAAAATTTGGTGCCAAAAGTTTGAAGTTTTACTTTACCCTTGACTCTTATAAAATTTTGTTTTGGGAGGTCAAAATTAGGAAAATATTGGCAATTTCATTTTATTCAAACTAATAAAAACACTTGTTAGCTATGGGTACATGTGTTAGAGAGTCATGGATATTAATATAAATAGTATGATTATAATGAATGAGTTATGGAGACAGTTAATCTATTTGTTAGAAAGAGTTATTGTTGGACTTTGGTAACCAAATAGGGTTATATTTCTCACTTTTAATAACACTTATACAATAAAAAACATTGATATATTTTGAGTTTCTAGCAGCAGAATGTCTTATTTGTTAATTTTAAAATAATTTTGGCAACATCTACTTTAAAAAAAGCCTAACTGAATTGTGTTGAATCTTTTGTGAAGTGTGTATGTATGTCCCTATGATTTGTTTTGTTTTGATTTTAACTTTTCAATATATGAAAATACCCATGAGACAGGCTCCTGCTAAATTTTTGGCCACTTTGTCATCAGAGCTATGAGTGTACGTTGTCAGTTGTTTAAACATTGTTGAATCCACTGTGGGTTGGCAAGAAGCATCTGGGAGCCAGACTTTTCCTGTGGACACATGCCAAGTAGTGTATTGTATTTCCTCACTAAATTGAACTATACTGAGATAATTTTTCTAGTTGAGTTTTTTTAATCCAGAAATTATTTTCCAAAGCTAAGTAAAGGGTCATATGATAAAGTTGTTTATAATAAAACCGCCTGAATTCTTTAATCACTGCTTGATAACTACTTTTATTTAGCTAGAATAGGTGTAAATAAGTCATGCAGTTAAACTACATTCAGATAGTTAACATTATGCTCTTAAGTAGACTGTTCAGGAAAGTGCATATGTCATTTTGTGTATTCTCTTTAAATCAATGATTTACTCTAAGCAAGGACAATAAACATTGAATGATCCCTTAATTAAGTACTATGGTTGGGCTTGCCATTAAATTTACATGTTTGATTGCATTATTTAATTAGATGGAAATAAAATCCCAAATTGCATTTTAATATACATAATTATGGCATAACATTTATTTTAACTAAAAGTGCTAGGAAAAGTTTATAAAATCTCATATTTAACTTTAAAAAAAATCAGTTGTTATTTGGGGATGAGAAAACAAGAAAGTTTCGTCATACTGGAAAATAGGCTAGAGGCTAGTTTTGGAGCTCTGGCACTGCCTAGACCCTAGGCCCCTAAGGTGGCAGGGATTTGTCCTCCCAGAGTGGATAAATTTACTTCATCTGCTACTCTGGGACACTGTGGGTGAGACCTTAAAAAAGTAAGATCTGGTTTGCCTGCCATGTACATTAAAAATATTCTGGCTCTTTTACATAAGAGCAGACATTTTGTTGATGTTGGCTTTATTTCTGGAATCCAAGTAAGAGAAACTTTGTAAATGAGAGTTCAACCTATCCCTTTAGGGGGCCAAAACTGAGCAAGTGTGTTGGTTTTTGAGCTCAAATTTTTATTCTTACGTACTTTGAAGGACAGCAAATGCTATTTTGCAAGAATGAGCATCAAGACCTCCATCAGATGAGTTTTACATGCCTAACCTCCCCTTCTTCCCCCTGCAGGTTCTACCTTGCTTCTTTTGGCAGCCCCTTTCTACAGAAATATACTAGTTCTAGCACATCTTTTCTCTTCAGCCATTATAACCTATTTTATCATAAATTAGTCTGTATGTCAAGAAGATATCTCTTACATTAGAATTGAAAACTTCTTAAAAACAATTCTGAAAGTCTGTGCACAGCCACTCATAGGTACGTGGAAATTCATATTTTGAGAGTGCCATTCTTTCGTATTACGAAAAGTGCTTTAATTTGCTGTATTTTTCATGTCTTACTGCAGTCATATCTGGTAAGAAACTATAGCTATCTTATTCAGGATTAATCAATCTTCTTAGGCTCCTGGCTAGGATTGAAGCTGCTCTCAGCCCTGCTTGCTTCAGGGCTTAGCCTAACTCTGTTTTTTCATCACATTTAGTCTCTGGGAGGGAGGTGATGGGAGATGATTTTTCCATTTGCAAGCTGCCTTTCAACTGGAAGAAAAATGGAAGGGGCAAATGCCAAGTTTTTCACTTTCTGTGGCCATTACAAACATGACTTGTCTCCTGTTTTTTCAGCAGTGTACACTATTTTTCAAAGGAGCATTTTTTTAAACGATTGTCAGTTAGCCAAATTATTTTATCATTGAAGAGTGTTAAAAATAAGAATATATGTCAATATGACATCATGATATTAACTTTCTCATAAGTTGCATGTTGTGACAATAGGTTAAAATGCTGTTTAATTAATTAACAAACAGGAGCAAGTAATATATGCAAGGTTTTACACCCAAAGGGAAGAAAAACTGTAGTGCTTCAGAACCTGGGCTCTGGAGGCAGACTGCCTGGGTGTAAATCCTGACACTAATTATTATTATAGCTGTGTTATGCTGAACAAGTTACTTAAGTGTTTCTATGCCTTCGTTTCATTATCTGTAAAATGTTAATGATGGGTTTTGAATGAGATTTATGTATATAGTACCTAGTGGTGTTTAGTACACAGTAAACAGATTATTATAATCACTGTTACAAATCTGCTATGCAGATTTGTGTTGACCACTTTACCTTATTTCATCCTCATAATAATTATCTAAAGCAGATTTTATAGTTCTGTTGTCCAGATGAAAAAACTGAGGTTCAGAGAGTTTAATTAACTTGTCTAAGTTTGTATAGCTAGTGAAAGAGGGTAATATAAACTTCTGGACTACAAATTATATTGCATTTATATAGTTATGTTGTATCTTTCAAATGCATATATGGGATTAACTCCTGTTTTGCTAATTCCATTATATAATTAATTTTACTTTGGTATTATTTAGTGACATATATCTGTATTTTGAAGCTTAAAATGTACTTACCTTCAAATAATGATAGAACACTGAAACCTTAGAGACCTTATGCAAAAGAAAGCCTTAGGACAACCATGTCCAATCCTTTGAATGCAGGGAGTTTTTTGCTTATTTGTGGTGGTGGATATCATGAAAATTATGCATGGAATTTTTTTTTTTAAAGCTCATCAGGTATTGTTAGTGTTAGTTTATCTTATGTGTGGCCCAAGACAATTCTTCTTCTTCTGGGGTGGCCCAGAGAAGCCAAAAGGTTGGACACCTGTGCCTTCGAAGATACGGCTCTGAGCCATGGTTCTCAAAAGTACTGTCCTGGGACCAGCAGCATGGGCTGGAAACTTGTTAGAAATGCACCTTCTCCAGCTCAGCCAAAATATACTGAATCAGAAACTCTGTGCATGGGGCACAGCAATCTGGGTTTTAAAAAGCCCACCAGGTGATTCTGATGCTGCTGAAGTTTGATAACCACTGCTCAAGATAAATACCACATCGTGGTGGTATGCCGAGATGTTGATGTGTCTCATAATCTCTATTCGCAAATTAGAAGTTACCTCATATTGCAGAGGGGAAATGTGGTGATAGTAGAAAAATACAAGTGAGGCTATTATTTGATAATTGCCCTATAAATATTAAATATTCAACACTATGTGCTTGATCCCTTTCATTCCTTGGATTGAGGCCTTCTAAGCAGGTAGAAGCTATTACTGTAGGGCACAGCAAACTAAGCACAAGGGAGTAAGACTGAGTGTGACTCTCTCCCCACCCTCAGTTTCTTACTGACTGGGACACACAGAACCAGGGATCAGGATGGTTAGTTTTTCTAGTATGCAGCAACTAGGAATCTTCAAACAAGAAGAACTGACAAACTGTCACTAAGAATATAGAGAAGGGGAGAGAGAGCAATAAACAATCATTATCATCATATCTTTTTCTTTCTTGAGATACGGTTCAAACATGGCTGGGCGCAGTGGCTCATGCCTGTAACCCCAAGCACTTTGGGAAGCCGAGGCAGGTGGATTGCTTGAGCCCAGGAGTTCAAGACCAGCCTGGGCAACATGGCAAAACCCTGTCTCTACAAAAAATACAAAAATCAGCCGGATGTAGTAGTGTGCGCCTGCAGTCTCAGCTACTTGGGAGGATCACATGAGCCTGGGAGGTAGAGGTTTCAGTGTGCTGAGATCATGCCACTGCACTCCAACTTGGGTGACAGTGTGAGACCCTGCCTCAAAAAAACAAAAAACAAAAAATATAGTTCAAACATGGAAGTGGCATATTTTAAAATGAGTGAGACAGAAGGATGTAGGAAATAAATAAGGAAACTGATACGGTGTCCACTTTTAATTGTGGAAAAAATTGGACAAAAGCAGATATCATCTTAGAATCCATGATAGCCACCGAAGAAAAGGCTGCCCATTACCCACACACATTTGCTAAGACTGTAGGAAGGCAGATTTCAGAAAATTCAGGGAAAGAATAAGCAAAAATATTGTGGTATTTTGTGGTATTAATGACAAACAAGTATTTTTAAATGCCATTTGAATTTTAATTGTAAATGATCTTAATGAGGGAAAAAAAGAGAAGTTAAAATAATATCCTTGTGCTAGAATCTATTCAATGATGCAAGTTTTATTTATTTATTTGTTTATTTATTTATTTATTTATTTATTTATTTTTGAGACGAAGTCTTGTTCTGTCGCCCAGGCCAGAGTGCAGTGGGGCAATCTCAGCTCACTGCAACCTCCACCTCCCGGGTTCAAGCAGTCCTCCTGCCTCAGCCTCCTGGGTTTACAGGTGCCCACCACCACACCTGGCTAATTTTTGTATTTTTAGTAGAGATGGGGTTTCACCATATTGGTCAGGCTGGTTTCAAACTCCTGACTGCAGGTGATCTACCTGCCTTGGCCTCCCAAAGTGCTGGGATTACAGGTGTGAGCCACTGCGCCCAGCCTGAATGCGAATTTTAAAGGGGGTATCCATCAACAATTGAAATAGCTGAATAACCAAAGAAAATATGAAAATAGCTTACATTTATAAATTATGATAAGCACAACCAAAAATGTATGACAGTTGTGTGTTTTTGTTTTCAAAACTTATTAGAGACAGTGGTTCAGAGAAAACAGCTCAGTTTCTATTTGCTCCTTTTCTGTTAAGAATCTTCCTCCAAGTAATAAGATTGGTAAGAGGGAACAGAAGCCCAGGATTGACAAAGATTCAAATAAAATACCTAGCTAGCCAAAACAAACTCCTTCTTTGTTCCAGGCTTGTTTAGGTAATATAAATAAGTCACTGGGGAGTCCACACCTGGAGTAAAAGTGGACAGTAGAGGAATGTTTGCAGTACCTTATGAGTGGAATAATAGAGGCCTGGACCAAGTCTGTGAGAACACAAAGGGGAGAGAGGCCAGCTGCTTCCCAGAGTGGGGATTGAGCTTTGCTTTAAAGATAAGTAGGACTTGGGTTTGTCTTCTGGCCCAGGTAAAACTGTCATACATTACAAGAGAAATTGTAAATGAAGTCATTGAGCTGCTGTCACTCATTTTGAGGGAAACATGAAGGATGAGAAAGACTTTAGAGGTCTGGAGTCTAGCAATTGTATTATAAACTTCAAAAACAGTAGAAAGTGTCTCAAGTTGGGTTCCCTGAAACAGACTCTAAGACAGTTTTATGTAGAAGGTTTATGGATGAGTGATCTTAGGACATACGCCGGATGAAAGTGAAGAAGGCCAGACTAGGCTAGGCGGACTCTTCAGGATTGTGCCAAATTGAGGCATAGGGGCTTGTCTTTGTATTCCTGCATTAGCTATTCATTGGCTCCAAGCCATTCTCTGGGAGGCCCTATAACCTTGAGTGAAGCAATTCCCTGCAGTTGAGGGCAATTTCTAGTGAGAGACGCAGTTATGAACCAACTGCAGCTTGAGTCCCAGCAGTTGGGGATGGCTGTGTTGGTTCTGAAAAGCGTATCTGGTATCCCTTTTCAGATGAATTCTGAAAATTCTAGATAGTTAATGGGCTATAAAGAGGACTCCAGAAACTGCTAACATAGAGTATCAAAGAGAGTCTTTTATGTTAACTAGAAGATGAAACACTAATTACTGGAACCCAGTATGAGTTCCAGGAATTGGTGGACATATAACTGGACTTCAGTAAGACATGTGGTCAGGATTCTCATGAAATCTTTATAGATATAGAGACCACCAGATAACTGACTCTACAGCTGTGTCCAAAGAGTGCTAATTAATTGATTTTATGAATACCTTAGGGCTTTATTTTCAATATTATCATATCCAACCTATTCATCATTGTTTTGGATACAGGCTTGCTCTCAATAGAACAAAATCATGGGTCAAATCCAACAAGATGAAATATGATAGAATATTCCACTTGCTCCAAAAATCTAGTTGCACAAGTACAAGAAAGGAAAGACTTGGCTTCACAGAAAATGGGAAAAACACATACGGACTTTGGTCAATAGCTCAATATGAGTCAACAGTTTAATGTGATTCAATCCTGAGATTGTGTGCTTTGGGAACATAAAATAATTATCAAATAGTGTTCTAGGTTAGCAGGATATCATTTTTTTTCATGTGGTGGATGAACAATGTTTAGATATTTAACTAAAACTACCCTAGAAAGTACAGGGTAGCCATTCTTAAACTTATTGATCTCAGGATCCCTTTACAATCTTAAAAATTATCAAGGACCCTTAAAAGCTTTTGTTTATGTTTTGAATTTTTTTCTAGAAAGTAAAGTATTTCATCTCAATGTAGATTTTTTTGGTTTGTTTTAAATTTTATTAGATTAAAAAATACTATCTAATGATAAATAGGTTGGTAAATAGTTAAATCTCAATATTTACCCTATTGGAAATTAAAACAGATCTTTAAAGAATGTTGATTTATTAATGAATTTAAAAGTCATGATGATAAACCTGTTACATCTGTACATAACCTATTTTTAGGAAAAATAACTATATTTCCCCCTAAAATTAGAAGAATATGGCATTGTTTACATTTTTACAGCTTTCTTGAATGTCTGTCTTGGTAGAAGACAATAGAGTTTCATATCTGCTTCTACATTCAGTTTATTGTGATATATTGTTTAAGTACAGTTAACTTATAAAGAAAATCCACCTCATACAGATATGTAGGAAGGAAAAGGGAGGTACTTTACTTGCAGGTAATTGTAGGTATTCTTTTTTGATATTGTACCCAGACGCGACAAGTAGTAGTTAAAAGCTGGTACAATGTGGAATCTGAAACCATACCAATGAACTTTTCATACTCTTTTACATTAAAATTCATAGGCCTGTCTTGCACTTTGTTGAATGGATCTTTTACCCATGCTTGATTTTGTAACATGCTTTGGTCAGTTGGAAAATACTAGTTCATTACATTATGCAGAACCTACAAATATTGACACAACTATGACACAACCTAAGAAAAACCCACATTTTGTTTATATCACCATCCATCTCATTGGAAAAGTCTTTAAATAGTGGGGAGCTGTCAAGCTAACAGTGGCAGATACAAGTTTCTAAAATCCTAATTTTTGCTTGAAAGCTCAAATTTTATCATTGGCAATAAATACCGTCAGTTGTTTCCCTTGAAATGACAAGCTTATTTCATTTACTTTTGAGAAAATGTCTGCCAGATTCCCAAGTCTAAATAACCAGTTTGTCAGTCATTCAAGTAAAAATGGTGTTCCATGAATAAAAAAATGGCTAATTCAGCTCAACACTCAGATTCTTACGCATCTGGTGGTGTAGCAGAAATGCTTTATACATTCTTCTGATTTTGTCACATAGAATATTAAAGTTACGTACTCAAGGTTGATATTAGGTGAAAATAATTATTACTGCTTCATCAAGGACATTCTTTAGTGCAACTGACTTCTTTCATTTTTTTACTTTTATGCCAGTGCAGGGCAGTCTAAGTTGATTTATGCTAAGGTGTCAGCAGTTTTACCCATCATTGCTCTGCAACATCAGTGCAAATGTTAACATAGTGAAAAAGACACATAATGTCTTAGTATTATTATGAAAATAGCTTTGACCCCACAGACCCTCCACCCTGCAAACAGATCTTGGAAAGCACTGCTGGTATAAGGGATGTGGAGCCAGTAAGTCTAATGGTGATGGTTCTTTCTATGAAACTGTGCTTTTTCTTTCTTGGGCTCTTGAAAATGAGGTTAAGATGCACTGCATATGATGAGAAAGGGTATATTTGCATAGGCAAGCAGAGGAAACAGAGCAAAAGCCTATAACAAATGAGCTCTGCATCCATATATCAGCTGTTTTTCCAGAGGTTATAGTAGGCAGTTGTAGACCCTGATAAGACAGCCACATTACAATCAAATAATCATAACATCAGCCTATTTGTCACTAGATAGTATTTTTTAATCTAATAAAATTTAAAGCAAGCCAAAAAAATCTAAATTGAGTTGATGTATTTTACTTTCTAAAAAAGGATTCAAAACAGTTTACAATGAAATGCATATATACTTTTGGGATAAGAAATGTATGGGGACAATGAATACATATGCATTTGGGGTATTTTATTTAAAATAAGAATTAAGAAAAACCAGTAGCTGAATAAAGGTAGCCTAGAAGAAGGTGTTAATAGTGGTTATGCTTGGATCATGGATGATTTATTTATTTATTTTGCTTATCTCTATTTTCTGACTTTCAGCAATGAGTAGATACTGCTTTTGTAACAAGAATAATAAGAAAAAGGTTACTTTAAATGAAAAAAAAAATGAGCTGTAATTGTATCAGAAATCCAGAGCCAGATAGAGGTTACTGTAAGTGAAAAATAAATGAATTCAGACTTTCCTGGACTAAAAGAATTTTAGAATTACACAATTTGTTATAAACTTTAATAAAAAGCCAAGAATTTGGGTTGTAAAGGAGAATTTTTATCATACAGTGAATAATTCAATGGGACAAGAAGGAGCTCCATTTCATAACTTCCTAATACCTAGTACTCTTTAGGAGTAGGATCATTTTCTAATTCACAGTCGCTTCTGACCAACCGAATCTGACCTATGAAAACTTTGTTTTTAACCTATATACATTCCCTTTTGCCATAATTGCCTAATTGCCTGTAGGTGATCGAGTGTATACAAGACTGCTCCTGAAACAAAGGAGTGCTTCTCGAGCAGCAGATAACTTTTCAGAAATGTCTGCGGTGCACAGAAGGCAGTTTCAGGGAGAAGGGTACAGTGTGCAAGCTGTGTGCCCTCGGTCCAGTCATTCAGCACCCACAGTTTACCTCATCTTCTGTGAAATGAGGAAACTGAACAAGATTCTATCTAAGGTTTCTTTCCCTTCTAAGATTTTTTTTCCTGACTCTATCAAATGAGATCTTTGCTTGAGTTCAAGTTTTTTCCTCAACATCCCAATCATGATATTAACAAATATGTCTATGTGAAAAATTATTTTCACATTTTCTGATTTGTGTGTGTATGGGTATTTTTTTGTTTTTGTTTTTGTTAGAGACAGCGTCTTGCTCTGTCACCCAGGCCAGGATGCAGTGGCATGATCTTTGCTCACTATAAACTCAAACTGTTAAGCGATCCTCCTGCCTTGGCCTCCCAAAGCAGATTTGTGTTTAAATTATTAATTTTAATGTCATAGTACAGAAATTTACTACAATCCAATGGTATTTCCTTTTGCTTTTGAAGGGTAGTGATAACCTTTTCATATTAAACCTTAGAATAATAGAATGTCAAAGGTGAAAATTAGATTTTGTGGTTGAACAACTATTGCTTATTTTCTTGCCTTTATATCACATTAACCTTTCTGGTTGCTTAATTAATAAATTGTTGCAAAACTCCCAGTTCCTAAGGTAATAAACTTGATACAGCATACTAATTTTTCATTTTTTCCCCTGAGAAATCTGGTTATCTCATTGTCTTCCCCAAATCCTTCTTCAAAGTGCTATGGGATAGACTTACTCTTCCTACTTTGAAATACAGAGATGACACTAAGAATTAGAAGCAGTGTCCAGTTTATGTGAGTAACAGAGCTGTAACAATAGGCCCCACTTTGCCAAATTTCCATAAGAGTAAACATGACTCTAACTATGCTATTTCAGTCATCTTTATCCTTCCATTCATTCTGAAGTTTGTATAATGCTAAAAGGCACATGCTTATATCTTTTTAAAAATATGTATTTTATTGCTGTAAAATAATAGTCTATTGAATAGACAGAACAGTCCTTTAGAAGTATAATAAAATATAGTAATATAAAAATCCTTCATATTACCAGTAGTTCTAGATTTATAGGCCCCTGGGGAGCTCACTTTCCCTTGCTGTCATAATTGTGAATCTTTTGCCCATACCCCTTAGATTCGACTCTAACTTTTCCAACCCTTCTTCCAGCCTTTGTGACTTGCCACAGGTCATGGGAGAGAAGAGCGGGTGGGGTTCCATTTGTATGTATCCTCCCAGTACTTCTATCTTTTACATTTTACCACTAGGACTAGCCGGTGGTGTCCTCTGTTCCCCCATGTCACCTCTTCCATCTCCCACTCGGGCATCTTGTGTGCAATGCCCAAATAGTGTGTAACTTTAGGAACAGAGGAGTGTGTTAAAAGCTAGAGGTGAGGAAGGGGAACTGGGAGAGGAGAAAGAAGACCATATATTTTGGGCAGCCCTGGTTGCAATTGTTTCTAAATCAGCACTAAAAAGTTTGCTTAAGATGTTCTTCAGATACGATGCTATGATAGTGTAGAACCTACTATTCTATGTGAAAATGTTTTCAAAGTCCACAAACAGACAGTATTTTAAGTAAAATTTTAGAAAGCAATCCACCTGTAAATTGAAGATTTTAATGAAAATAAAGGAGGAGACACTGTGGCTTAGAGTTAAGGCATATGCCTAAAGTTAAAATCCCAGCTTATGTACTAACTGGATGTATGAACCTTGACAAGTTATTCAAGCTCCATAAATTCATTTTTCATATTCATAAAATGGTGATGATAAAAGTACTTATAATTACCTCATAGAATTGTTGGAGGATTTAGTTACATAATGGATATAAATGCATATAATGTGAACATTTAAGCAATAAATATTCACATTTCCTGAGAAAAATATATAATATTAAATAATGCCTGGACAGGTGGAGATCTAAATCCAAACTTTATTTCAGAGCTTAACTTTTGATTCTGTGTTTTATGTTTTAAAGTACATTATAATTTAGTAAAGCTGTTTTCTGAGGGTATTTAGTGAGAAAGGTGATCATTATGTAAGTGAAAGATTTTTTATATCATCTTCCTCTTCTCCCTGGAAGAGATGATAAAATCAGTCCTCGGCCTTGATGTGAACATCGCATACCTTGAGTTGGTGTTAACAAATTTTCTTCAACCTTTTTTCAAGCAGTGTCAGCTAAATGGTGCCATTTGCTTATCACTCTTCTTTTTGGTTATTTATCCTAAAGATAAGAACATTAGTAAGCCGTAAATGCCCATTTTGTAAAAACTGCATAGCTAGACAGATTTGCAATCCCTATTAGGGTAATAATCCATCTGTTATGGAACTGGATCAATTTTGTAAATTAAATAGATTAAAAAGGGGGAAAAAGGGCCATGACTTTTCCCACAGTAAGCCTTTTCTCAAATGCTAAAAAGATTTGGGAAGACTCAAACTATTTGCCATTCTTCCTCTCTTTGCTTAACTCAGAGAGAAGGCCAAATATCTATTAAAAAGAGGGGTGGGTGCAGTTGTTTTTTTTTTTAATTCTTCAGGGTCTGATTGCTCCTGGAAGTTTCATATTTTTGACAGAGTTTATTGTTAAAACCTTTTGATGACTACCAGAACATTTCTGCTGTTCTCACTGATCAGTTTAGTAAATGTGTGACTATGTTTGAATTTTCTTCTGCACTTAGCTCACTTTACTGTTACTTTCATCCTGTCTGTTCAAAAAAAAAAAAAAAAATCTCCTGATGATTCTTCTAACAATGTGTGATTGGAATAATAACTTCACATGTTGAAGAGTTTTGTGCTGCAGCTGAGAGGCATGTAAATACAAGCTGCTTATTTGCAAGAAGCTTCCAGGTTTGCAATATGATTGCTATGGAAACCACATAATGAAAACCTTATAACCATCTGTGTGGTTTGATGGATTTTACTGCATAGCTGAGCTGTTTTTGTTTACTGTTATTAAAATGTTGAATGGAATATATTAACTCACAAACATTGACTACTTGAGGTATTAATTAGTATTGTACAATGACATTGTGCCTCAACACCAAAATAATACATATTTAATAATAAACCTAAATAAAAAAATATGTGAATGTATATATTTCTAATATATTGTGAAGGTGATTATTGCCTAGAATTTTGGTCACTTGTTCTTACATATTTTTAAGAGCTTTATTCTATTAATAAATGAATATGTTAAGATTTATTTGTATGATTTTTTTAATCCATTTGTTTATTCTGTATTTATCGAACATCTCCTTTGTGCCAAGTTCTATTCAAGGTTCAGTCTGAGGTTTTTTTCCCTGCCTAAGATTCAAAAACATACACCATATTTGATTTTGTTATCTTTTATATGGAAGCTATTTGTATTGTTAGCCAAGATAAAATGAGTTGTTTAAATATTGTTAAGAAAAATTGATATATTAAATGCATAAAGCTTTGGTTTAAAAATATCGCTACCAGGTTTAAAATGGAAAAAGGAAGTGTCCTTAATGAGCATCTCATCCTCTAAAATCTGCTTATTAAATGGCATCTTACATGGATTTCAATTTGGATATTTTATAGTAAACATTAATTCTTAAGTAAATACTTTTAATATCATTATTCTGATAATTTAAGAGTGCATATTTCTAAGAACAAAGCTCTCTGACACCAATATACAATCCAGAGCACATGTTACTGGCACTTAAGTTTTAATAAAATAAAAAATTCATAGTAACAAATACTTCTAAATTCATTGTTAACTTTGTCAAAGAGCAGAGTTTTTTCATTAAGTCTTGTAATGAATTTTTATATGTTCATGCTGATTTGGGTGGTGAAATCTAAATCCCACAGTCTCTTTTTTTTTTTTTTTTTTTTTGAGATGGAGCTTCACTCTTGTCGCCCAGACTGGAGTGCAGTGGCGCGATCTCAGCTCATTGCAACCTCCGCCTCCCAGGTTCAAGCGATTCTCCTTCCTCAGTCTCCTGAGTAGCTGAGATTACAAGCGCCTGCCACCATGCCATGCTAATTTTTGTATTTTTAGTAGAGACGTGGTTTTGCCATGTTGGCCAGGCTTGTCTCGAACTCCTGATCTCAGGTGATCCACCCGCCTGGGCCTCTCAAAGTGCTGGGATTACAGGCGTGACCGACCATGCCCAGCCCCCACAGTCTCTTCTTAAAAGCCACTAATAATACTTATTGTATTGATGCGGTTATAGCTTTTGACTGAGGACGAGTGCCTTTATCCATTTTTTAATTTATTTCTTACTATTGAATTTGTGACTAAATTAAAAGGGGAGTGGGTGCTATGGAAAGAAAGTGTGAAAAGTAAGGAAAGCTTTCTCCTTCACCTTTTACCAAATTATCTGTCAATAAAATGAGTAGGTTGGAATAATGACTGTAAACGTTCCTTCTACCTTTAAAAATTTATATGGAAACACCCTATTAACCCATTTATTAAAGCTAGCCTTTAAGGTTTGGCATAAGTGAGATAACTATTGTTAAAAAGAAAAGAGACAGGATACTTTTTAAAAGAGTGGTATACTTTTATTAGGTCTTCTATATATTTGACTGAACCATATTAAATTGTCAGTGTTATGTTTAACAATATGAATAAAATGCCAGATATTTTCAGGTGTCCCTTATATTGGAGTTGTCATTATTTTGTTTGAATTGAGTTACAGAAATTCAGAACAGTTCTATTTGTCGTGTAAGTACAGCTACCCTCTCAAGCTTGGTTGAAATGCTGATTTTGATTCATCCCCATTTAACATTTTCAGGAGACTCCTAAATTTCCACCTGTAGTCCTGACTGCTCTACCATACTTTGCAGTTGCCCAGACATGTTCTCTGGGTTGCCTCACCAATACATTAAATTCCTCCTGTTGAAAACACAACTCTTTGTGTTCCCCAGTAAGATAGATTATTTTGGCTATCCTCCTTTTAGTAATAATATGTCCATTTCTCAGTTAACTAAGCTCAAAACCTTAGCCATCCTTTGTTGCTCTTTTCCCCCCCCTCATTCCTCCACATTCAGGCACAAAGCTTATCCATTCTAGTTCCTTTACCTCTTATAACCATCTCCTTTCCATTTCCTTTGCCCCTTCAGTTCAGGACTTCCTTCCCCTTTATCCACAGTAGTCTCTCTCCCGCCCCTTTTTTAGGCTGTCTGAGACAATGGGATCAGATGTCCATTCCTGAAGCATAGCTTCAGTCCTGCCCTTTCTCTGCTCAAAAAACCTTCGAAGGCTCTTATTGCCCACCAAATAAAAGCCTGCAGTCCATAACAAGATGTTCATGGCCCCTCAACAGCTGGTCCAAACTATGAGCGTAACTCCTACCCAGCTCTTCCCCTATGTGTACCAGATTCTTTAGTCAAAATGAATATGAACATGCCTTTTTCTTTTAAAGATCATACCTATCCCTCCGGAAATATCCTTCTTATCCTCTCTCCTTATTTAAACTCTCTCCATCCCTTGGAGCCTCCGTGGTACTCCCTAGTTGGGGGGTTTCTCTGCTGCACTTCTTCAGTGCTTTGTGCATCACTTGTCAGGTTTAGGCCCCTTCAGCCTGTTTTCCTTTAGAGCTTGTCTTCTGTCCCATCTGTGCTGTCAGCTTCCTGTGAGCAGAGGCTTCCTGTTACTTTTACCTCCTTGGTAGATCTCTTCTGTCTCACAGTTAGTTAATATCCAATGAAGATTGATTGACTGATTGATTGAATAGTTACAATGACTACATTTATATATTTTGCATATTTTTCTTTAAAGTTTTAGGAGTTTTCTTGAAATTATGATTCTCTTTGAATCCAGTTTTTCTTTGGCATGCCATTTGTTTATATGTCCTGCCTTAAGTATTTCTAGGTTTGTATGCAAATCCTTAGGTGAGGAAAAATCATGTAATAAATATTTTTCTTGGTGTAAATGAATTAGTTTATTAAGTCTATTTAAAGCTCTTCTCATTTAATTTTATCTTATTTCTTTGCATAATTTGGGGAAGGAATGGTATAGGTGAGTGTGGAACAAATGTAAATGGAGCACTGATTATATGTAGGATAAAGAACATTGACTTTATAATCACAAACTTAAGTTCGAATGACACACTTTGGAAGTTACTTCACCTTTTTGAGTCTCTAAAGATAAACTTGTCTGTAGAATGAGGATTAAAAATTATTTGTCTATGAGATTTTAACATCCAGCATTGTATATGACACATAATAGGTCCTTGGTATAATTTTGGGGGAATTACCTCAAAGGATGAAGATCATTATAGTATCTTCCTGTGAAGATTGAGAAAACGTATGAAATTATGTGATACTCAAAAAAATGATTTATAGGTTAACTGCATTTTTAATCACACATTTCTCCTTGCTATATGATGTTTTAGGGACCATGATTTTATATATGATACTCCTGCCACACAGTACAATGTGGTGTATCAGTATAACGCTGGGTGTTACTTTACTGGATTTAAGGGTTTTCCTGAAATTAAGATTGTTCCAGATGAGTTTCTAAAAGTATTTAAAACAAAACATGCAGTGCATTAGTACATATCTTAAATTTTGCCAAGCCAGTTGGAAAGGTTGCTATTTGGAAGTAGCTAGTATTTTATTGGAAAGTTGGAAAGTTTGCTATGTGGAAAGTTGGAAAGGTTGCTATTTGGCAGTAGCTAGTATTTTATTTATTCAGTGTTAGATTGTCGAAAAAGGACTGTGAATCTTGAGTTATTTTATTCTTTGAAAAATAATGTTTATGTGTTATAAACTTTTAGTTTTGCTTTTAAAATTGAGTGAGTACTGTAGTGTTATCCCTGAGAAAACCCTTCAATGTGCCATTGATAATGTTTATTTACAGAAGAAGAAGAGGACAGTGCTCCAGTGAAAGTGGAAGAACAAAGGAAGATGAGTCAGGATAGTGTCCATCACACCTCAGGTAATGACTTGTGTAGCTTCTTGGCAAACCTTATTTTGCTTTTGTTCACTTTCATTTTATCCATGTTCTTACTGTTCTAAAGATGTTTACACAGCTCCCCAAAGTTGGCATTTTTGGCTTGGATATCTTATGGCTGATAAGCTGCTTAGTCCCATTTAGGATGCATGAAAACCACTTGAGAAGGATTTATAAAGTAAGCCAATTTATACAAGGTATTCCTTCCTGAATTACTTTGTAATGACTCAATTAGCTTTCATTTCTGCACAAAGGAGATTTAGTTGCATAAATTAGCTTATCATCATTGAGGAAGTGTCACTGCTAAAGGACAGTTTATAGATACAACATGCAGTTGCTGTCAAACCTATAAGAATGTAATATAGACATCTGTGTATACTTTGTGCTTGAGCAGAACAGACTTCTGCCATTCAGAGACTAACAGGGGACAACAAGTTGCCCAGGGGACTGGCAATGTAGACATCTCTGAAAAGGTCAACTTGACACAGGCTCTGACAGTCGACCCACAGCTCTGTCTTCTTTGATAAAAATCAGATAAACTTAAGACTGCTAATTGATCTGCAGCCTGTTTAAATGTTGGCCATGCATATCTTCATTGCATATGATTAACACAGAAAGCAAATGAATTGGGTAAGAAATGCCAGAGTCCAGTGACAGCAGCTTAAAAATTGGAAAAGGACACTAGTGGCCTAAAAGGCTAGGAAGGATGTTCCCCTTATCCATTTCCACTTGGCACATATCCCCAAGTACTAATTATGAATGAGACTGGAAAAATAATTGCACACACTCTGTACAAAATCACATGATACGGACAACTTTTCTTGCTTGTTGTTATTTCCAAATAGCAGGAGATAAACCATATCTGTAGTGCAAGCATGAGGTTAGTTTTGATAAACCAGCAATTATTTTACACGGAAAGAAGAGAAAGACTGCCTTCTTATCAGGACTTTACACCTCTTCATAGCCACATGTCAGCTGGGGCAAGGTCTGCCATATCATCTCTGTGTCTTGCAAAAAGCTAGAGTTAGGGTCACCTTCCCCTCTCTGATATGTCCATACATCACTCTTTCAAGCTGTCAAGGCCGGGTGGACAAGAAGTGTGTGTTCAGGAAGTAGCTTTCCAGAGTCCTTCCTACTGTGACATGTGGAAAGGAAACAGAGGCCTGATTCTAGACCTGGACAGGAAAGCAGAAGTAGGTTGCTACAAAAGGTTTTGGTTAGTGTTTTTTCAGAAAGGAAGCGAGAACAAAATCTTTACATGTTAGCACTCTAGTCCTATAAAATGAAGCTATAAAACACTGAGGCTTAGTGAAACCTTGAGGACTATGTTCAATAGTAGTTTAAGTATATATGTTTTCGGTTTATGTATCATGAAACTTCTGCCAAAAATATGTAGTTTTCTTTTTAAGAAAATTTCAGTGCAGGTATAGAAAGTGGATACATACAGATGGTTCTTCCACAGATACAAATATTTTGGCTTAAAGCAATTGTATTTTTCAAAAGCCCTTTTAAAGTAAACATCTCCCAAATTTTTGCCTTTGAGGGTAGGAAAAAAAATCAGTTTTCCTCAAAGGAATGCATCAAATAGATCTAGCCTTTCATGCAATGGCTATAAAACACTACAATAATTCTTATCTTTAGTGACATGAAATTCTTTTCAAGCAACAGTTTTAATGCTTTTGCATAGAAGTGACCTTTGCTCTTCCCTAGGCTGTCAAAGATGTAACACTAGAAGTTTGTTTGCCATGCAGGGCAGTGAGTTGACAAGGGTATTACTATCTTGCTGAGCATCACATGACATGAACTTCTAACCTTACTCAAGAATGTTATATATATTTCACATTGACTGATTTTACTAAACCCCCCACCACAGACTTTTCTAATGTAAAGTATGTAAGCAAAAACAAAATTAATCTTGTGTTTCTTACAAGTTCCTTCATGTTCAAACTTATATATCTTGCAGATATGTGGATGAGTATATATATAAAATAAAGATTCCATTTGATTTTTTTTGAACATTATAGAATATATTTACCTTTCTAAAATAGTTTTTAAACCTTTTAACACCAAAGGAGAGATTCTCCACTATCTTATTCTCATATGTTTCACCCGTGGTCATCATGTTTTTCATCTTTGCAAAGTATCTCCTCTGTCTACATGTTTCATAACAATTCTGTTAGCTTTGCCCAATGATCTCTTCTTGTATGTTTTTAAAAGCAGGAGTAAAAACATTGTTTTAATCTTTCACAGGCTGGCTAATTAATTTTTTTCTTTCTTACCTTTTTTTAATCATTCATGCTTCTCAGGACAAGAAACATAATGTAGTTTTTTTTTGTAATTTTTAAAATATAGATCATGATGTGGATAGAATAGGAAAATTAATCCATGTAGTAAAGCCAACTAAACATACTTAATTTGTGCTTTAAAATGTATGTTTATGATATTTGCCTCATCCCATCTTTAAAAATACATATCTCAACTGGATTATTTTTCAGTGTTTAGGGGTGAACAGTGTTAACTTTTGCAAACCTGCGCTTTTGAGGCTGTCGGTGCTTAATTTTTTGTGTATGTTTAGCTACACTTTAAATTTTAAAAAGTAAGCTAGAGGAGATTGCTGCCCTTTAAGGAACAAGACTCTTCCTGATTTTTGTGTCCAGATTTCATATCAAGAATTCAAACATTACTTCCCTGAGACTAAGGCTAATAAACATATACTGCCAGGGTTTTTTTTCCCCCTACTTACGATTTTTTCTGCTTTATAGCTAGTATTGCATGCTGAAATAGATAGACTAGTAAATCATACATGTATGTAGCTGTGTGACATAAACAAATTATTCTTTAACAGAGCTCTCATACGGGACACAAAAATGAGGTTGGTCTTTGGGTAACATCATCATCAAGATTATAGAAAGCACAGTTGAAAATGCATCTTTTTCCCATATTGCCAAATCACTAGCTCTGTTGCCTCTTTACAGCAGTGAGATTTAATGAAATGCTCATGATGCACATCTAGGGAGAGATGCATCTTGCACACGGTGGGGGTCTCTCTTCCCCTCATGTGCTCCTGTAACTCCCATTAGTGTTAATGGGAGTTTCAGCAAGCGTATCGAGGGGAAGAGAGACCCCAAAGTGATAAGGATTATGTGTTAGAAATCACCATATACTTTTCTTTTCCTTCTTTCTCTCCCCTCCCCTTTGAGAATCTATTGAATAAAAACTATTGTAAGAGAATCTGAAAAAAAGGAAGAGCAGCCTGGACAGCTGGGGAACGCAATGGGACAACATAGCTAAGCCAAAACCTCTACTCTAGTTTTTAGTCCAAGTTTTGTTTCTTCCACTTTTTTGGAGCAAGCCTAAGGCTGAGCAGCATGGGGAACGCAGACTAAAGAAACCAGCCATTTAGATCCTTTTACCTCCTGGCCAGTTACTGTGGGGGAGGGCCTCGCATGTTACTGTGGGGGAAGGCCTTGCATGTGAAATGATGTCATCCTCTCTTTGCTCTAATTCCCTGACTTTTAAACTGACACTGACAGACTGCAAGGGGCACAACATTTGACCCATTTACCAATTGATTTAATCTGACTAGAATGTTTCAACTTCTAAATCTCTATTTGTCTAAATAAGTGGTTTTTAAAGGAAATCAGTCACTTTATTATTAAGTGATTTTTTTCTTTTAAAATTGACAATGTTTGAAGTGATCTGGCCAGCTGCAGTGCCCTCTAGTGTCCATTTTTATAATTTACTTAATATATGCTTTGGGGAAAAAAATGTAATGAAGAGTGGCCACAAGCATTGTTAGTTCTTGGTTGGATTCCCAACCTTGTGTACATCCCTGCAGGTACGTGATGAGTGCTCAGATGCTAGTGTGGAGAAGTCAATAAGGTATCTGTCTCTCCCACTGCCTCCTCCTTTCTCTTCCTCCTTCTCTCTCCACTCCCATTGTCCCTTGTTTTTTTAATTCTTAGAAAACAAGAGACAAAATTTAATAGAGGGATTTTACTAGGTTGTATATTTTCTAGTCCATCTTTATTTTCTTATAAGCAAAAAGTAGCATTCTATTTGCTAAATATTCAGACTCCATATTATTCAGATTCTCTTTTTTTTGGCTTTAAAATATTTCTTATATTAAAGAGAATTTTAAAATTTTCTAGTAAACCTAACACTTTGTATAAATCACAAAAAATGTGTAATAAGATGAACACCCTAATGACATGCTAATCTGACTAGTTGTGTTGGAATCACCAAAAAGCCTGCTGTTTGAGAGCCATGTAACAATACTGAGATGACAACCCTGGTCCAGCCTGTGTCTCCACAGTTATCCCCTCAGAATTCAAAGATGACATTCCAGTGATGGAAGTTGTTAGCACGTATATATTCTGCCTGGCTAGTGAACACACGGACATCTTATTGATATTACTTGCATTCTTTTTGTGTTAACTCATCAAAACTCAATTATCATGAAATTGAAAACAGGAAACAGTTCTTAGTGTAACAAAAGCGTCTAGTGTGTTTAGCTGTGTTCCGTGTTTCAGGAGATCTGCACTGTATAAGTGACAAAGCATTTATTACCCATTTATTGTGGTCTTACAGAGTGGAAAGTGCTAAATAATCAATCAGTTAATGGTCTGTATGGCAGTTTGAGCACATCACATCCATTGTGCTTATGCTGTTAGAAGGATGAGCTGATACTCCAGTGTATGTTGCATGTTTATTTAGAGCCTAATGTCCTAAACCGGGGCTGACAAAAATCGGTTGAAAAATGCAGCTTCAACACTGGCAATTTCAAAGTTGCTAAAAATTTTCAAAGATAACTTTGGCTTTGGGTACAAATGTCCCTAAAGAAAATTGCTGCAATTACTCTTTATACCGTTTCCACGTTGTTGTCTTTCATTAACCAGCTCTAGGGTTTAGTATTTTTTTTTTAATTTTGGTTCCTTAGTTTTGGTTTTATATTTGTACATTAGCTCCTTTACTATTATTATTTTCATGAAGTGTCCCAAATTCTGTGAGATGGTTATTTCACAAAGTGTGTGTCACATCTCATGGATATTGCTCATTGTGAAGTGTGGCAGACACATCTTCAAAACATGTTGCAAGTGGGCTTAGGTTTGTTATTTAAAATAAGTGGGAAGCAACTTTTAGGTGCTGGTTTGATGACAGCATATAGCAATTACAGATTTTAGATGAAAGGCAGAAAAAGAAAAGCAGAAATTCAAAATCAGATCTTTTTGAAAGCGGTCTTAAGAGGATAGTGAGACGTAGGATTCATGTGAATGTAATAAAGTATTCGTTTACTCAGGACATAATTTTTTTAGACTATTTTAGTGATCTAGGGCATCATTTAATTTCTACTGGTTAATTTTGAAATGAGGGGTTATTACATGAAGGCCCTAATTCATGCTTTCTCTTTCTTCTTCCTAGGGGATAAGAGCACTGATTATGCTAATTTTTACCAGGGATTGTGGGATTGTACTGGAGCTTTTTCTGATGAGTTGTCATTTAAGCGTGGTGATGTGATTTACATTCTTAGCAAGGTAAGAAGATACCCCAAAATGACGTTTGTAAAGAGGGAATACAAAGCTCGATTTTTAATGCATTTGGATTTACAGAGCTAGGGAAGAATGCCAATTGGAATTCTTCTAGGTCCTTGTTAACAATTGGGAGTTCACAATAATTAATTATTTTGTCAAGTGAAATGTAATCAAATTTTAAACACAATCAGATAACAGGATTCAACTTAACAGTGTGTTTACCTATCACTTCAGCCCTTGGCTGACATCCACCTACTGCCTTCTCCAGAAACAATATACTTATGTGAAAGTTAACATTGTAAGGTATTAGATTATTTATTATGCTTTTCTTTCCTCTTCCTTTTTATTCTTCTGTGTGCTTATTCTGATTTTGTCTGCCATTCACTACTGGAAACACTATGTTTATAGAACAAGTTTTTCATCTTTATGTAAATATGTTGGGTGTTCCGGCAATTTAAAAGCAATGCTTTTCTATTCAGACAGGCTTAGGTAATTTTTTAAGTTGTTTAGCATACTATATTTGTAAACAAAATGGCAAAGTATAATTCTATAAACCCATCTTCATATATATATATGTATATGTGTGTGTGTATATACATAAATTCTTGTGTCTGCTTCTTAAAATACTGGATTATTCAGAATCTTTTTGTCCTTAGATCTAAAAGTCAAGTTTCTTATTGTGATTATACTTTTGGTAATGTATGTGAGCTCCCTTAATTTTCATATTTTAATTTCCCCTATCGTAATATGGGGATTTAAAAATTTCCCTCTGTCTACTTACAAGACTACTTTAGAAACAAATGATGTAGGAAAACAGTTGAAATATAAGTAGAAAAATGTTAAATCATAAGTCTAGGAGGTTGATGTGGTTTCTTTCTTGATTAGAGAAATATTTTGGACTTTTCAGAGAGATAGTATGACTTGTTAGAGGCAGAAGACAATTTGGAAAGAAGGCCACATACTGAATTTTAACAGTAGATGGCTGGTGCATAAAATCATAACACAGAGAATCATCGAACATTAGAGTGATGAGTCTCAATGATGATAATCTAATTCTTGGTTTTATAGATAAAGGAACTTGGGTCAAGAAAATGCCAGAGTCATGATTTGAGCTGTGTCTTGACTCCCAGACCAGTGCTTTTCCCTTTGTTTTCTTTCCTGTGCTCCTTCTTTCCTTCCTTCCTTCCTTCCTTCCTTCCTTCCATCCATCCATCATAAAGCACCTGCAGTGTGCCAGGACCCACTCTGACAACTGTGATAAAATAAATAAAGCCAACTGTGATAATTGCTAGTTAGGGTGCCCAAAGCTAAGGCTGGTCACTTATTTCTCTCAGTCTTCTGCTCATTAGCATGGGTTTTTGTTACTGTTGTTCCCAGAAAGATGTTTTAAGTTCTTGGACGCTATAGATAGTCACATCACAACTCTTGATTAAGCCTGTTATTAAGCATTAAATTGTCCTGAGTTAAGATAACAGCTTTTTGGTTAACTACTTAATAAAGAAATCAAACTGATTAGTTTCAGCTCCTGTCAAGAAACTTTCTTGGAATCATTCCTAAATTTATATAGCTCACAGTCTTTTTAAAACCAATTTAGCTGCAATTGTGTATAAAACTAAAACGTTGATTAGATTTCACTTGCAAGTTCAGATTATAGGAGTGAGTGGCATATAGCTATTATACTCCTTTTGTAAATATGAAATTTATAAAGCCCATGTGGATCTATTTGTAAAACCCTCTTTATGAATCAGGTTGTCTTTGTTGCTGAAAGCCTGGGTAGAGCACCGGCTTCCAGAACTGGCTGTGAAACAAGCCACCATAGGCATCTCTTGTTTCTACTGTTGCCTCAGGAAATAATTTTCAGTTAACATGAAATTAAAAGTATAATCATAGGTGTGTATCATACTTTTAGGATTCCGAAGGAGGCAGTTCCTGTTTTGTGGAGACTAATTTTATTTGTGAAGCCTGATTAGAGAACAAAGGTTAAAGGTGTTCCAGCCCATGGGAAGCACATACTTCCATCTAACATTTTTAAATGCTATTATTTGGGAGAGAGCTGATCGAAAGTACTTCCTCTGCCAGTGTTTTGCAAGGCTTGAAGTTTCACCATCATGATCATATTTATTAAGGGCCTTCTAGAGATGTGTAATTTACCTGGGGTTCATTTTGGAGTTTGAAAAAAGAGCCAAGAAAGAAGACCCTGTTCGCCAGCATGTTATTACCTTTGGCTGAATAAGGTTCAGTGTTCATCGTTACTCAGCTGTGGACCTAGTGGAATCAACCTGGTAAATCTTGGTGAGGATAAAAAGGAGAAGACATTTAGCTTTCCTTGATGAGATTTGGACATATTCTGGGCTATTGATGGGTGTCTTGGCTGCGAGTAGACAGGTTGCTTTGGGTTGAGTATATGTTTGTCTTTGAAGACTTACTTCCTTACCTTCCTTCAGACAAATTCAGCTAGGAATCTCTTGAGACTTTCTAGTAGTCTTTATTGACTTGGCCTTCCAGTTTTATTGAAACTTTGGCAAACTCAGACTGTAAGTTAATACCATAAATTCATTTAATATGTGAATAACTGCAATTTTGAATGCTTGATATTATTACAAATTAAGTACAATTAGTATAGAAACCACTAGCATTTTTAGGTGCCTCGCAGTGTGTTTAATTGAGTTTCTCAGAGTTATATTAAGATTTTGTGGTGATGGGATGAAATTTTACCTTTCTGTTTTTTTTTACGCCATCTAGTGGCTCAGAATGAGTGGTGCAGGTAATTGCAGCTGTTGTACACAATCAAAATGGTGTCATAAATTCAACTTTAAATCCAGCTATGGGTTATTACTTTCCTATTCCATGTCAATAAAATATTAGCATTAATCATGAAAAACTTTGTTCATCATTCTGAATTAAATATAGAAATTGTATATATAAGGAAGAATACATTTTAAGGATTCTAAAATAGTATTTGTAGAGATACAGGAAATGTGTACTTTGTAAAGAAATTAATGCCATGACTTGTCTGTTAATAATAAATAAGACCATTTAAAAGATTTTAAAGATATGCAGCTTTCTTTTAGTAATGGACTCATTTATAATTTGAAATACCAAATTATCACTGTTTGATTTACCTTCTAAAAGTGTGTCAGTTCTGAAAATATTCTTTAAAAAGGCAACATAAAATAGTTTAAGAAAAGATGCATACTTTCAATATAAATAAACATTTAGGCAAAACAAGAAATAAAATCCCATGCATTATAATGAAGAGTGTTTTAATTTTGTTTTTTGTTTGTTTGTTTGTTTTGAGATGGAGTCTCACTCTGTTGCCCAGGCTGGAGTGCAATGGCACGATCTCGGCTCACCGCAACCGCTGCCTCCCAGGTTTAAGCGATTCTCCTGCCTCAGCCTCCCAAGTAGCTGAGAGTGTGCCACCACACCCAGCTAATTTTTGCATTTTTAGTAGAGATGGGGTTTCACTGTTCTCTGGTCAGGCTGGTCTCGAACTCCTGACCTCAGGTGATCTGCCCGCCTCGGCCTCCCAAAGTGCTGGGATTAGAGGCATGAGCCACTGCACCCGGCAAGTGTTTTAATTTTGTAAATGTAATGGCAGAAAAACATTTAACTAGCTTGGGGATTAGGTTGTTTTCATTTAAAAATCACTACAGAAATATAGTTTTATTTAAAAATTCAATATATTATTTTCTGTTTTGCAAGAAAGCCTTGATGGAATGTTAGCTGTGCTCAGTCAACCTGGGGGTGATTTATTTATTTTAGGCCTCTTTTGAAAGTTATACAAATCTAAGCCTTTATTTTTTTTTTTCTTCTGGTGCAAATCAAATGTTGCAATAAAGAAAGAAGAGTAGGCAGATACTGTGCCCTTCCTCCTTCCCTTTTTAACATTTTCCAATTAGCAGCTATCATGTGACCCCTGGCTGAGATAGCCCCTCCTTCAAAGTGTCCAGCATTTCCTTAGGTTTCACCTTTGAACCTCACTAATAATAAATCTAAACACCGCCTGCCTTAAAAGGCAAGCCAGTACTTTTTGCTTTATACTTCTATTCACATAGGGTTGCTGCTGTTTTTTTATGTGTTAAAATTAAAAGCTTCAGTAGTTCAGTGGAGATTTGGAAATCTCTTTTTTCTCTTAAAAAATGGATCAAATTTATAATGACTGATGAAAGCAGAATTTGTGATTTTAATGACAGTTGTATTGTTAGTGAATTAACAATTGGTTTCAGATTCATTTGATGGGGGAAAATCATATTTGAGATAGAAAACCTGTATTTCCTTAAGAAATTGGGTTGTTTAAAATAATGCTAAATATTTTTGTTAGTTTTCATTTCATTTTTATTACCACTAAATAAAACAGGAACATAATATTATAGCTAACAGTATTTTCCTAGAACCATGTTTTTGAAATTTTATCATTTTAATAGCAGGATCCAGATTATATAGCAATAGGTATATTCTGAGGTCCCAAATGCCTTTTTGGTTATGTTATTCTATCTTGCTCTTCTGGATTTCTATCCTCTATTAGTTTATCTTTCAATCTGTACTCATCATTAATTTGCAAACCACATTGCTATACTTACTTTTAAAGCAATAAACTATTTTTAGAGATTTAATAACAGACAAGCTATACTTCAGAAAAGAGGCACAGTACTTTGATATTAAAAGAAAAATGAGAGTTAAGAATTCTGGAATATTTTATCTAGTCTAGGGCATATGCGACTAGCTTTGCAGCCTTTGAGAAACTTTTTATTAAGTCAAACACAGGAAATGTAGGTTAAGACTGTGGTCACCAATATAAAATAAAAGGGTACTTTTTGGTGTATATTGGTTGGAGTTTCAAGCAGTACCTCCCTTTATATCTGTTTGGTTGACTTTTTCCAGTGATTGGTGAATTGTGACTGTCATTGACCATTTGCTTCTCATTGTAAGAATGTAAAGGTTAAGTTACTATGGCTTTTTTTGGCTTCAAACCTATGTTAATAAATGAAATGAAAGTCTTGTTGAGCTTTATTGGCAGAGGGAAATAAGTTACTTTTTAGCTGTCTTAGTTTTTCATTTGTAACCGTATGACCCAGTATGCCACAAATAGCGTGGCCAACTGCTGCAGAGTAACTAGGATATCTGAATGTGGGACATGCATTGTTGACACTAAGCTAGCTCCAAAATGTTATATTTTATAGCCTTTTGATAAGAAGAAGTGTTTGTATTTGTGCTTGCATTTGTTTGCTCCGATGACATTTAGTTTGTATGCTGTCAGTATGGATGTATGGTCTAGAGTACACTGGAAGCATTAACCAGGCCAACCTCCTATTTAGTACCCATCTCCTCCTAGGAGTGAAAAGCAGTTTATGGACACAACACCATGTCAGAAAATGTTCTAGTTCTACTCATAGGACTCCTCTTGTTATCTGTTTGTGAACAATATGCTTAAGTACTTCCCTACTTTCTCTTACATAAATTGGAGGAAACATTCCAGAAAAATGTTGGCAGATGAAAGCAAAAGGTGCTTATAGGAGGCAGGCTGGCAGCTGCAGCCCTTGCAATGGCCTGACAGGTAGAGGAAAAGCCAGAAGGCAGTGTCAGAGAGGCAAGGTGAGCAGAGGTGGCAGTGGAGGGGGCTGCTTTGGAAAGGAGCCCACCTGTAAGGCCTATGTGATTTACTTCAGCATGAATAACTAAGAGTTTGGCAGCAGCAAAACAAAACCTTAAAGAAAAGCACTACGTTGATATTTTTTTTAATTCTCAGTTGAACAATTCATGATTTCAGCCTTGAAAATGAGGAACTCCCTCAGTGTGTATAGCATACTTTCACTCTTTTGAGATGTCTTCTTCCTCATCCCTTTAGAACATGGAGCTAGATATTCCAGGGAAATCATTAGGCATAGAGACTAGAGATAGACTACTGATTAAGAAAAGTTTTAGAGTCGATATTTAGTAAATTATAGATAAGTGACAGATGTTCATTGAGTATTCAGCTATCAAGGAACAACCAGCATGCCAGGTATTGTGGCTCACTCCTGTAATCCCAGCACTTTGGGAGGCCGAGGCAGGAGGATCACTTGAAGTCAGGAGTTCGAGACCAACCTGGCCAACATGGTGAAACCCCGTCTCTACTAAAAATAGAAAAATTACCTGGGCGTGGTGGTGCGCACCTGTAGTCCCAGCTACTTGGGAAGCTGAGGCAGGAGAATCACTTGAACCCGGGAAGTAGAGGTTGCAGTGAGCTGAGATTGTACCACTGCACTCCAGCCTGGTGACAGAGCATGACTCCATCTCAAAAAAAAAAAAAAAAAGAACAACCAGTTAAAATTGTAATAAAATGTTATATTCCTCAAATACTTGTTCTCTTTGGGAGAAGATAAGATTCTCTTTGGAAGAGCAGGGTGGAGACCTGCTCATAATAATCAGATTGCCTTATAGTGCGTCCCAAAGTACTCTGTTTTTTTGTTGTTGCCATAATACTTTGCTATACCAATTAGTGGGCAGGGAGTGGGGGAGGGAATGAAAAAGTGTTTATTGAGCATTTACAATGTCCTGTTCTAGGTACTTAATATGCTTTCACACATATAATTAATATAATAACCCTGTGAAGTAGATGATGTTATAATTTTACAGATTAGGAAACTGATGTGCAGTAAGGTTATTATGGAAATTATCTGAGGATACGCAGCTATTAAGTGCCTTCTCCAGGTATCAATACAGGTCTGACCCTAAAGCCTTTTCTCTTTCTACTTTGCTACGGTTAAGTGGGACTTGATTAGGACTTTAACTTTTCTTCTATATCAGAGGTTAATTGTAATTATCACATCCCAGTTCTAAACAACAGCGAACCATGTTATTGACAGTATCTTTTACATAATTAAATCTTGTATAGATGGTCAAAATTATTTCATTTTCTAATCAACAAATATTTGGTGAACACTCATGCAAAGTACTATTTTGAGCAGGATCCAGAAAAGCCACAAACTGTTATTCAAGGAGACTGCAATTAAGTCGAAGAGAAGACCAATGCATAAAATAGATAATAGCAATAAAACACAATGTAGGGTATCAGTGTTGTAGTCCTGGAGAATCCCAGAAGAAAGGGAAGTCAGTAAATACTGGAGTAAGTAAGTAATGAAAGATTCATAGGAAATGGAACTTGAACTGGAACTTTATGTATAAATGGAGTTTATTCATTTAACAAATATGAATGCTTATTTTCTGTGTCTATTACATATAAAACCTAGAAGAACGGCTGTGCTATGGAAAGGGGTGGATGGCTATATTGATGAAAGGGGAGCATAGAGCCAATAGACATCAGTCATTCAGGATCACTTCTTTTTTTTTTTTTTTTTTTTTATTGAGACAGAGTCTTGCTCTGTCACCCAGGCTGGGGTGCAGTGATGCAATTTCAGCTCACTGCAACCTCTGCCTCCCGGGTTCAAGCATTTCTCCTGCCTCAGCCTCCCAAGTAGCTGGGATTACAGGCTCCTGCCACCATGCCCGGCTAATTTTTTGTATTTTTAGTAGACATAGGGTTTCACCATGTTGGCCAGGCTGGTCTTGAACTCCTGACTTCAGGTGATCCTCCCGCCTCGGCCTCCCAAAGTGCTGGGATTACAGGCATGAGCCATCACTTCTCTTTCCTTACCTTGGAGAATGGTAGGCAGCCAGAGAAACCCTGTGAGAAACCAAATCAACCTGATGTTTCCAAGCTAGTTTTTCTACAGCAGCTTACACCACTTTTCCCTTATCTTCGCCTGTACCTTGTGTGTTAACCACACTCTCAACTACTTACTCTTCACTGAACACAGCACATTCTTTTATCTCTGCAGGCCTTCACGCCTGCCATGTATTGCTCCTTTCATTATTCCTTCTGGAGTCTCAGCCCAGCTGTCACTTTCTATGTAAAGTCTCTCAGATCCTGCTGTAGGATTAGTTGCTTCTCTTTTTACAAACTTTTTCCCTCTCTTACCTAACATTCAATATAATGATTACCTGTTTCTCTGGCTTTCTGTCTAAACTTTGAACTTCTTGAGGTAGACACTGTGTCTTAAATATTTTTGTATCCCAATATGTTAACAGTATGGCAGATAGATGTTTACTATGCTTTTACCAAAATACAGTTAACAACAGGAAATAATCCTGACTTCTTAAAAGAACTTAGAATGATAGGATCATAGAGTGAGGGGGACCTTAGTGCTAGCCCTTCACTTTATAGGTAAAGAAATCGAGGCTCAACATAATAAGGGAAAAAGAAATAAAAGCCCAAAGGAAAAATGGACCACTCCTACAGAGACCTCCAAAGACAATGGTGTTTCTGAGGTTGTACTTCCACCTTGGCCCTGAACTTCTTGGCAGCCAAACCAAAAAAGGGAGAGATGGGAGCTAGTAATTTCTTTTAATCATAAAGGAAGGATCTTGGCTTTTCCCAGCACTGGCTACTTAAATATTCTTACATGAATTTCTAGACTCTGCCCTGAATATCTGGCCTCAACAACTTTACATAAATAAGTGCATAAGTGGCAGGTATTGGCCTCAACAAAAACTTTTCATAGTAAATATAATAAAAGATTTTATAAAGGGAATTCTGTGAGGGTCCAAATGTATAATAATTAGACTTATTGATATATATTAAGTACCTAAGTGCACTATTGTAGAGTCTCAATGAAGAATATAAATATAAACAAAAAAGATAAGGAGCTGAAAAAACCAGGAGATTTTCCATTCTACCTGTCATACTATTTTTTGCCTTTGCAAAATTCTGTCTTAACTTCTTTCAGTGCTTACAAGTAAGTTAAACTGAATTCATTTTTTCCAAGAACTGGAATTAGTTGGTCCCTGTTCCAATGTGGACAAATACCTTCTTTCTGCACATGGGATTTAAGCTTTTTAGACAAGGCACATCCCATGTAGTACATTTGAAAACATGGTGGCAACAGCCTGCCACAGGTGGGAACAGCATGCTCCTTCAGATCGCCCACTCAGCTACATGTGAATGCTTCAGAACAAATGCTTGTTTCGTCACTACTACAATTCTTTAACTATGCCTAATATACACAAAAGAAAATACATTACTATTGGAAATTACATTTCTTAAGAAAATATTTAGGATAGTCAACTGGTGCATCATCCAAAATGAAGACTTAGTCTATTTAATCATCTAGTACCTACTTATGGAACATCTTTTATATCTCCTGCAGTGGGAGGCATACAGATTAAGTGTAAGTCCTTCCTCTGATCTTAATGAGTTTGTACTTTATTTTAGTTGAAGGAATAAAACTAATGTACGTAAAATCTACTGAGGAATAAATGCTTAGCTTGAAATGAGAGATATAAATATGGATTAGCTAATTCAGAGAAAAAATCATGACAGCTGAGTCAGGTCTTAGTCATTGGACAGGATTTGGCTGAGGGAGAGGAGATGTCTCTGGGAAGGAAGCACTACATACAGAGGTAGAATGAGTGTAGTGCGGCAGGTTGTATTGTGCCAGCTAGAACAGTGACAGGAAAAGGTTGCCAGCAGGGTGGGAACAAGCTAAAGTCTACAGTTAATGCAGTGGAGAGTTAGTGTAAGTTTTTGAGCAGCAGGGTAAACTGATGAAAAGAGTTCCCGGGAAGAACAGAGAGGCACCATTGATAATGCAGTAATCCAGGGCAAGGTGATGAAGGCCTGAATTAGTGGTGCCAGTGAGAATAAAGTGGAATGGGTGAACCTGAGAACAGTTAATAGAGTCATGTAGGTAAAATACCATACACTGAATACCAAAGTCACTCTCTACTGAGCATGACATGATCTTCTTTGCCTAACATTATCTGCGAATCACCAGTCTGAATGTCAGGTTTTACTCTATGGTATTGTAACTGTCAACTTTGTAGAAATTGGAATTAACTATAGCATGACTCAGGGATATAAACTAAAATTTCTTATGAGAATTCTTACTGTCAGCTTCCTTGTTTTTGTCTCTCTTGCTTTAAAAATGGAGTATACAATGCAAGGAGGAAAAACAGTAATTCTTTGAATTAGAGGAACTCAAAGTCACACCTGCAAAGTAAATTGCAAAGTAATGAGATTGATCTCCGTACACCACTAGAGAACTTAGTGTCTTCAATCAGGTTCCTGAATGGTGGTGCTCAAACATCATGGAGGTCCTTAGAGATTGTGTCAGTTTCCTCATTTAACAGGTTAGGAATCTAAGATTCAAGTAGTTAATGTATAGATAGTAATAGTAAAACGCCGAGGTTGTACAGTTCCTGTTGTGCATTTATAAAGATAACCTTTTGAAACAATGAATGTATGAGAAATGAGAGGATTCTTACAAAGTTTCTAATCGGAGTTAATAAAAAAGAGACTAAAGAGGTAGCCTTGATGAAAGTATTTATACACTTTAAATAGGTATCTAGTTTTCATAGTATTACAGTGTTTATGAATAAAGATATCACAATGAAGAATACTTGGAAAACAACAGTCAAGTCCATTGGTTCTTAAACTTGCTGTATTTTATGTTTTGTGAATAAAATTACTTTCATTTTCACAAAAGGCTGGTGTGTTTTGAAGCACAGATATATGTTTGGAAAAGGACACAAATTTTTTTTAACATTGCAAACACCTGTTGCTTTCAAACACATCGGTAACTAATTTCTGAAAGGGTTAGTACATTATTAAATCTTTTAATGTTTCAGGTTTCTGTTAAGTCAGCATTCTTTTACCATATCATTCGCAGAAAGCGGATTAACATACTCGATAAATGACAGTCATGGTGCTGAAAAAGATTTAAGTAAATGTTGGGGCCTTATTTAAGTGTAAAATAATATTCCAGCAGAGAAAGAAGATTTAGTTAATGAGTAAATATTACTATTATGTTGGATAAAGTCTCTGTTTCACTTTATCATAACTAGTCCTTTTTCCTGCCTTCTTACCCAGTCACTCTTACTGCTCAATAAATATTAATTGGGGACTAAAATTTCAACTACAAAATAAAACAAATAAAATGACTATAATGGTATGAAAATTGAAAACATGGGAGTTAGATCACAAGCATTCACTACCGCCTTACTATTATTTTCTCGGATTACTGGGCAAGTTTGGCTTTTTTTTGCTTCTTTGATTGCCACACTACATTTTGCCTTGAAGCCATCCATTTTGCAGATATTGAATTTCTTTTGAGTACTATTTTTATACAATAAGCATCACTACACCTCTGGATCTTGATAGCATTACTGCAGGAGGAGAAAGCAGCTTTGTGTTAGTAATTACCTAACATTGTCAGAAGCTGACTGCAGGCCTCTTTCTAGTGATAACAGAATAACCGCATAATGTAGCTTTATAGCACATGATTAATAGAAAATAATTACACGTCCTACAAAGGGATGCAATATTTCTTATAAATTGACTAGAATGGTTTCCTGTAGATTAAAGGACTCTTCATTATTTTATCAGTCCTCCTGAAGTACAGTCACTTGCCTATGTTAGCATTTCAGCTGATGTTAAGAGCTGAATAGGTGAAGGATACCAGATGGCAGACCTCCTTGTACCTGAAACCTTGTGTTCCATAAAGATTACATGATGCTTCCTAACATTTCAAAGATTTAGACAACAGCCTGGTATGGATTGTCTATTTTTTGTTTGCTAAGAAGATAAAGTTTGAGAGTTTTCCTTTTTGTTTTTTAAATGATCCACTTGTGACTTTATAGAACAATACTATAATTAGTTTGTGGACTGCAAAACAACATTGTATCAGTTGCATTATTTTCCACTGTAAGTAATATATCATTCATAATCACATTTGTTTGGGGGTGGAAAAGAGGAAAGGCATAGACAGGCAGATTTTCTTTTTCAGAAGGAAACCTTGTACAATATTGAATGTTCAGGCCAAAGTTTAGAATACTGTACTCCAAGAAGCATTTTCATTCCAATTTATAGGCTGCAAATGGTTTAATTGGGATTCATGTTGCTCAGGAGGCTCATACAGAGAATAGTAATGATAAAAGTAAAAAGCTCCTGTATTTGCAGTCTTGTCAACACTCTAATGGCTGCAGTGTAAATCCATAAATTTGCCTCCTGTATTTTTACCTCACTATATTTGATCATAATGCATTAATTTCAAACAGGAATATAATTTGCAATTCTTTACAAATATAAGGTAATATTCTGGTTTTTAGTTTTACCTTTTCTGATTTAAATCTGATATTTTAGAGTATTTTTATCAAGTGTATGTTTCCTATGTTTTTCAATTATTTTAAATTAAGTGAAGCATTTAAGATTATTTTAGTCTAAACCTTTTTTCTCCCTAGAGTATAACTTTTAAGGGATTTGTTTATAGTTGATTAAGCTCCTCCCTGCTGTTTACCACTATGCTTTCTAGTTAATAAATCTTCCTGTTCTACCATAGCACAGAATTCTCTCAACTGTGAAGTCTGCCCTTGTTGATGTGATTTCTTGGGAACTAATTTCTTAAATTTGGGTGTGAGTAACTTTTTGAAAATGATAACATGCCTTTAGTTGATAGCATAGACTATGACCAAAGTAGAATATTATAAAGTAATAACTTTCTGTCTTGTAATTTGAATCTAAGCATTGACCCCCAGATTGAGGGCCATTCTCTGGAAGCAAGTTTATGCCAATAATATGTCTTCTCACTGAATGTTTTCTATGTCTGTCACTGGGGAGCAGGGGGCTAGTTCCTTTTCTCATTCCAAATAATCAGTTTCAAAAATCTTATATTGGCATTGAATAAGAGCTTTAACACTCAGACCTACCCTGTTAATTATCCACTTTGAAATCTTACAGTAGTCTGTGGAACGTTAAGTACGTGTGTTTTTTTAAGCATTAGGCTTTAATTGTATTCATTGCCTTAAAAATAGAAAAGGGTAGTTTTATTAGGTACCTATTAAGATATAATCGTTGCTAATCATGACTTTCAGTAAGTTAGTATTTTCTTCTGATAAATATGTCCTACATAGATTATAGCCATCATTGGGTTCTGGGCATCAGAGTATCCTCGTTCCTTATACAGCTTCGTCCACTAAGTTCACACTATCAATGAACTTTAAAAGTTTAAAACTTAAAATCTTGAGTTTACTGCCTCACAAGCCAGAGCTGTGCCCTCAATAGAATAACAATAGCAGGAGTGGTCTTTTCTCCCCTCTCCCCCTCCACTTTGTTCTTCCAATAAACCTAATCCTGATACTGCCCACTGTTTGAAAAAGTGCCTATGGATTTTATCCTATAATCTCTCTATTGATAGACTACATATCAATACATACACGCTAATGTAATGCTACATTTGTATTAAAGAATTGCATAATTTTCCTTTCTGATGGTCAATAGCATACTAATCAATACAAATATTAAGTCTGTACTAGTATTAACATTCCCTCCCCACATATAACTCAATATACATATGCACATTTATCTATGACTCAGATGCTGGAAAATCATAACCTATTAAATTACTTTTGGGATTGATTTTGAAAATTTATCTTATATGAAAAATTAAATTTGAGCACTACAATGCTTGTGAAGAGTATTGCTTTTGGAAGATATTATTCTTGAAACTTGAAATTCATTTTACTTTGTTTGTATCTCACTACACATAAATAAATTTGAGATAAAAATACATTAGTCAATCTGGCAGACATATGAGACCGGTTATGGAGTATTCACAATGCCTAAAGCAGTGGTGTATCTGTCAAAGGAGGAAAAAGTGGGAGAAAAGGAGGTATAGGTTTGTTTATCTCAAGTTGCAAAGTAAATGCAAAAGTGACTCATCGACCACTCTGTTTTAGAGGTAGATTAATATTTTGCCTTTATACCTTGAGATACTTTTATTTCCTATTGATCTTCCACTATAAGGGTGACTCTAACAGCACCTTTAAATTCCTTCTACCTATTCTTTATCTAAGGTAGTTTATGGTCAATAATAAAGGAATAATAAATGCCTTAGGGAAACTATTTTAAAGGAACCTATTTGTGAATTATTTTTTAAGCAGTTTTTTGGTATTATTAGTGTTTCCGTATTCTCTAATTTATCTGTTAAAGTGTGTATATTAGATTTTCTTAAGAAGGGGCACACATCTATCAACATTCTAAATCATTTTAGGTCATATAAGTTTAAGAAATAAGTAGTTTATTGTAAAAAAAATTATTTTATCCTTGCTAGATGATAAGCTTCTTGAAGGCAAATATAATAGCTTAAGGATCCTGGCTTTAACCTTCTATAGCCTCTTACACATGAAAGGTATCCCCAGGCTCTGTGGAGAGAGAGAGTGTCCCCGAGAGAAGGCTTCCTGAGGTAGTTTCATTTTCTAGGTTTTCATCATGAGTGATTGTTTCTGTGTTCTGTGCCCAATAATAAACAGGCTTTGTGTTATACCTTAATTTAAATCGTTGCCTAACAGCATTTTAAAGTGTCCAGAAACAAAAAGATGAAAATGTTTACATTTGCAGCTCAAGCTCTTTTAACTTTATAAATAGAAATAACATTTCTAAGAAGTTGCATACAAACGACATTGTACTTACACCAGTCTAAAGGTTAATATTGCATATTGTTTTCAATTAGGAATACAATAGATATGGCTGGTGGGTAGGAGAAATGAAGGGAGCCATTGGCTTGGTGCCTAAAGCCTACATAATGGAGATGTATGATATTTGAGAGTCCTGGGTAAGTACATTTTAATCCAATATTCTGTAATAGCTCATATGTTCTCTTGGTCTCTTCGTTATGAGTCTTTGCCTTTTTAAAAGTCTTTAGAGTTTTCTGATAACACAAAGATTGTGCCCCGAAATCTTTTTTGTTTTGTTTGATCTGGTTTAATTTTTAAAATAAGAATTTTTAAAATAAAAACTTTATGGAATTTACTTTGGAAATGAATAGATTATTTAGAGAAAGTTCTTTTGATAGTAACCAGCTGTTTTCCCAAACTTCCTCCTTTTCAGTAAAATACCACTTTTTATGGCCTTTCTGAAGAGTTGAATTGACAAAATGTTGAGTAAAAATACATTTTTCCTTGGCTAAAAGTGTAATTTTTTTAAGCAGGAAAAATCAAGTTTCAGCTGAATCAAAAATTAAAATGCAGCTTTCCCTTTCTCCTGCAGAAAAGGAAAATTCTTCTGCTTGTCTGCAAATGCTTTGGATTTAGAAGCGTCATGAAAGCACGAGTGACAGCTCCTAACCTCTCCTTGTTTTATTAAACATTACTTATCTTTGACTGTTATTTTATGCAGTCGCTCATTAAAATATTCCTCTGATGTGAAATTAAATGAAGGATATTAATGTAAATTAGATGCAACCAGTTAAGTTATACCTGTTGCTATTTTGCAAAGAAATAATTATAGTTTTTATTTACCCATTTGATTTGTGTGAAGAATTCATCACTATTTTATACGTAACATATAGTCTACTATAGCATAGTATGCTACTATTGCTACTTCTGGTGTGATTTGTAATGTTTCTTAATCATTGGACATCAATTATTTTTAGAGAGTAATGTATAATTTCATAGCATTTTAAATTTAGTGTATCATGCGAGTTTTTTTTGGTAGATGCTGAAGAATGTGGTTGCTAAACAAAGAATGCTAAAGAATGTTCAAACTTTATAGATAACTTTATTGTTATTATTTATTTTCACACATTTAATTCCTATTAAGTACAGCCGCAAGAAAGAAAAAATGATGAAGTTGCAAATGGCAGTGTGCTGTCACCTGCAACAGAAGTGCGTACCAGAAGTATGACTCATGCAAAGCATTTTACCGTACAAATATCCTGGTGCGATGATGGGCCTGGCAACATTTTCTACTGTACTTTTGTTTAAATTTAATGAAACAAAAAATTCCTAAGAAATACCACCCTACCACTAACAAAATGGTATAAAGAATCTCCCAGCCAGGCCAACATGGTGAAACCCTGTCTCTACTAAAAATTAGCCAAGTGTGGTAATGTTCACCTGCAGTCCCAGCTACTTGGGAGGCCAAGGCACGAGAATTGCTTGAACAAGGTAGGCAGAGGTTGCAGTGAGCCAAGATCGCGCCACTGCACTCCAGCCTGGGCGACAGAGTGAGACTCCATCTCAGAAAAAAAAAAAAAAAAAAACAGAATCTCAGTGTATTCTCAAAGTAAAAAGGCATAACCAAGCACTCTCTTATCTTGCCTTATTGCTATACTATTTACATCCCACTGCAGAACAGCAGATTTGAGGCTTTTCTATATACTTCTCAGAGCACTGAAAAGAAAGGAAGGGTTTGCAGAGGAGAGTGTAGAAATCCCAGTGGTAGCATGTACCAACAGGTGAGTAGAAAGGTAGTGTTAGCCTGACATTTGAGTTATACTCTGTGCTGCCTGAGCAAGATTTGTAGAATCATATAATTACCTTTTCATGTATATTTGAAATCAGAGGTGTTTAAAATACCTATGAGATACCAATGTAGCCTTAACATATGTCAAAATGCATTGCTGGTTAGATAATTATTTGGACTACACATAAACTCCTAATATTGAATCATTACCTATCAGGTATTATCTTTATGGAACTTTTCAATATCTTTGCTTTATAAAGATTCTAAACATGTATCTGAGCTGGTAATATTTTAAAATCTCCATTATTTGTGTAAAACTGTTTATAAGCAGTGTTTGAGAGGGTCTGCTTTACCATTACCCCCTCAATATCATGATCATCCAATCTCAAATGTGAAAAAAAAAAAGAAATTTGATTTTAGGGATTGTGAGTAAACAAGTTTATATAGAGAGACATTGTGAAGTTAAAGTTTTCAGAAGTTACATTTGTGCAGTTCTTACCTTTTCCTCATATAGTGCCATTGAAATAGACTGAAATTATCTTGGCAAAAGTTAGACAACCAAAGACGACTTTAGTGGACTGGTTTTCAAAACTTGAGCAGCTGAAAAGCAAAAGCCGTTGTTTCCCATGACAATGTAGCCTTTGTGGATTTGGGTTTGTGCTTTGGGTTGAAAAGAAGTTTTTAGTCCTAGGCCAGTAGATGGCAGCAGCTTTTCATTGCAGACAAAACCTCTTGAAACCCTTCCCCCATGGCACAAACTCGCCCATGATGGAAAGCATCTAGATTTCTGCCTCCTTTTACAGTTAATCCAGGAGAGGGAGTCCTTTGCCAACTGATGACCAACAGTTCCAAGCCAGATAGTCTCGTGAACAGTGACAATACAGAAATAAGGTGTTATTTCTGTTCAGATCTCCACCGGCCTTTGTTCTTTTAAAACTTGAATATAGGTGGGAGACATAAGAAAGGAAAGAAAAGACTTAAAACTGGAGTGACAGGACAAATAATCATTACTTTCAATTCATGACTGCTTTATATTCATTTGATGAAATCATTTGTATACAAACCAGGGAGAGTTTTCTTTACACCCTTGACAATATATCACATACTCTTCAAGATCATAATAATATCATTAATATAAATTTAAACAACATGGCTTGTTAGAAAATATGCTAATTGCTATGGTCTCATTATGTTTGCTTAGCTTTTATTTGTTTTTCTGTGAACAGTTAGAGAGCTAATTTTTTTCAAAGGTGATTGTAAGTCATATTTTATATAGCATTTTGCTTGATTATTTGCTCTGTACTGAATTTGTACTCTATTGCCATTAGATCTTACAATAATGTTCCACTCTGCAAATTTTTAAGGTTCAAATAAAGTTTAATTGTTTGCAAACTGTTATGATGCTAATAATTCAACAGCCTGCTGTGTTACTAATGAAATTACTTTGTTATGATTAATTTGGAAAATAGTGTGTTGATTGTAGTAATTAAGCACAACAAGGTGAAGTAAATGATTCTAATGCCATCTGGCCGCCAAACTGAATGAAGAAATGAAATAGGGCTGTCATCTGAATTTATTCAAAGAAGTAAGGATAATACAAATGACTTTCATTGCTTTAGGATTTACACTTAACACAGCTCACTCCGTTCTATTTTTGCCACTTTGCTGCATATGACACTTTCTTTCATAGAAAAAGAATGTCATTTAGTCCAGCAATTGTTTTGAATACTTTATTTTATTGGAAGCTGATTATTTTTACTGTGTGCTAATTTAATTACAGATAATTACATAAAGTATTATAGGACCATGGGAAAAAGAAATCACTTTTCAACCATGTGTAGGTGAAATCCATATATATGGGGTTTCGTTTTTGTTTCATGTTTTGTTTTGTTTCACTTTTTGCTATCATTACACAACCACTTTGAATATAGCCTTGCACAAAGAGTAGGGCATCCATTCAACTGTTTCTTAAATGTGTACAAAGGCTCACTCTTAGTTCTTATGATTTCTACTTTTTATATAATTTCATGTAATTTCTGCACTCTACTACTTGCTACTTATTCATAGACTGGTACTATCCAGGGTCATAATTTAAAATAGAACTGAGTTAGATATTATGAATTCAGATTTGCAGTTCAGCCATTAGAAGAAAATTAACCCTAATATACATGTTGTTTAAGAGCTTGAACTTCATCAGTGAGACTGAGTGAAGCATTGTGAGAATTTTTAAAGTTCTAAATTTCAGATAAATCAGTCATTTGTATTTCATTTGTTGGAGTTATAGACACACACCATATAGAGATCACTTTTGCTTCTCTTGAGTTCAGTAGGTTCATGACTATTGAAAGCAATCCACATGGTAAAGAAAGAGGTGGTGAAGAGTGGAGATCAAAACATGATCAAGCCATGGAAAACACAGCTTCACTCAAAGGTTGAAAGAATACTTTGTGTGTGTGTGTGTGTGTGTACACTGTATATATATATAAAATAAAAACATTTGATGAATATGATCTTATTTATAGTAATATACTTAGTATTCAAAAATACAGAGAAACAATAAGTACTACATTGTTAAAATATTATTATACAAGTTTAATATATACTCAAATGCACAACAGTTTATACTCTGGATTGGGAACAAGAGATTTCTAGACATCTCAGCTTTAGCCAGTTTATTATACGCCTACTGCTTTATAGTTGAGTTCTTCCAGAATATCTGTTAGAACCTCTGATAGCATACTATTTTATGATGAGATAAATACTTTAAAAATCATATGATCACAGTAGCATGGAATGACATTTCATTAATGCTATGTTTGAGGGGCTTTTTCTTGTTTCTGCTAGTAGAATCTGTTCTACCATTACTTATACACAAACATATTATTTATTGCCAGCATGGTACACATTATATGGTGTGGATCCAGTAAATATTTGTTAATTAACTGATTTGGCACCCCACAATATCTCAAGACATGAGATTTAAGAAGAAAAGAGCTTGACTAGTAAACCTGGTAGAGAAAATGCCTTTATACAGTTAGTATATCCCATAATACTATCAACAAGTAGATTGGATTTTATTGTTATAACAGAATTGAGTGAGATTGTGAATAATAAGAAAGTTGAGTTGTGGTACATTGTCCTTAGATGTTTCCTTCCTTTCTTCCCTTGTGTTCAGTGTTGTGACCTCAAATAAGAGGCACAGGTGCCTCCTCGGGCAGCTTGGGGCAAGTGATCTACTTTCACTTTCCAGTGAAACATCTCAAATCACTGCTGCCCTGCATTCCACTTGCGTAATATCAGAGAAGCCTTTCCTGCATCTGATCTTGAAAGCATTCTAGCTGTCGCCTTGGGCAGATCAAAAATTTGTGCAAGTAAGTGGGAAGTTTCACAGTTGCTGCCAAATCTAATCATAATTTAGCTTTTGTCCTTTTTGTTAACTTTTACTCCCTGTTTATTTAAAGTTGTATGATTATGTTAACTTGAGTGCTTTGAGTCCCCAAAATGAAAGGAACTGTAAATGCAGAAAGTCGCCTTAGTCATACCACTGCTCAGTTTAGGTCTTCAGTGTTGAGAGAGGGGCTGGAAGTTGAGCAAGCCAAAACACTTGACTATGTGCAAAGGCGTGAATATAGAAACTGCTCCCAAAGCCCATCTCTTAAGTACCTTTCTTAATGCTGGAACTTTGGAAGGTGTTTCCCTAGGTTTCTCTCCTCTTTTTTTTTTTTTTTTTTCTTTTCAGTTTTCTTTTTTGTTATCCATTACTCGGAGAGGCAATATAGCACAGCCCTTGTCTGTTTTCTGTTTATTGGCCTCAACTTTCTAATATAAAAATATCACTCCTGCTAGAGTAAAAGCAGGTGCCATTTTGTAGCTTGAACTGCAATTTACTTCTTGTTTGAGGAAAGTGTCACACAGGTACTCTCAAAGGAGAAAATTAATGACACTAGTGTATGCTGGTTAAAGACAGCTGCTTTCGTGGAGGAGAAAATTCCAACAAATAAGCAGATTCTCATCTACTACCCTCCCCTCCCAGCTCCCATGGGAGTCTATTTAGAAAACCTTGTGTTCTTTATCACATCAAATGTGATGATAACAGTTTAAGTCAGACTAGTAATAGTAATAGCTAACATTTACTGAGTGTTTACTATTTGTCATGCTGTGCACTTTTCATTCAATTCTTATAACAACCCTATGAAGTAAGTTCTGTTATTCATTACCATTTTCCCGATTAGGAAACAGGCTGAATAATTTGTCCCCAAAGCCTTAGGGTAGTGAGTTACCTAACCAAGCCTCACACCAGCCTCCTTGCCCTGAATTGAACACTGTTCTGCTGCGCAGTACTGTGATGAATTAAAACCAAATGCTTATTTGGATTCTTTGCATATAATAGGCACACAACAAATGCTTGTTGACCACTGATGAGGTCACCATTTCTAGAAAATAATCTGAAGCATGTGAAAAGAATCATCCAATAATTGACAATTGGATAGCTGAATTTGGCTCACTAGTCAGGAAAGCATACCATGGTTATCATATCAGATCCAAAGCAGCTGATCCGCAATGGAGACGAAACTTTTATGCAGGAACACTTGACGTTCCAGTCCAGATGAAAATAGGAAGTCAATCAAAGCAGCAGAGTCCAGAGAGGACACCAAGCCAAACTGACCCTTTTCTAAGGACCTTTTCCCATCCTTCCCACCTCCTCCAATGTGAAGCCCAGTAAAGGGACCAGCCAGGGGAGCCTTGAAGAGGACTGCAAATCCAGCTGCTTCTGTCTCAAATAGTTGTTTTTTAGGAGATGGGTTTTAATTGATTGGTTTAAACACATAAAGGATTGTTAACAAACTGTACCATCAGTAAACTTCATTGTAAAACATGTATAATTTTGTAACTGAGTGATGGCAATGTCTGACCTGACTTTTGCTTGTTGAGATATGAATTTGTTTAAGAAGAATTTTTATTGGAATATCTGATACATAAGTACGTACAAGGTCTTATTCCGTGGACACCCAAGCAGTGCCTTGTACTGGACCTCATAAAGACTTCTGTTGTGTTTTTTGAACAAGTCCTTTTTAAATAATTTTGTACTTCAGTGATTGGAGGCTGAGGGTTGGGGAGAGTGAAAAGATTAAGAGATAAGTAAGGACTAACATTCACTATTATGGCTCTGGAATTTAACCAGAGAGGTGGTAAAATTGAGCCCTCTCATAGTCTAAAATACACCCTATAGTACTGACTGTCTTATAGCCCAAGAGAAAGGGGTGTACCAAAGTTCTATTTTCAAAGGGTATTTGATTCTGTAGAGTTCTTTGAAATGTTTCCATGCCTACTATTCAGAACATCATGCTTCTGAAGGACAAGGAGTGAATGACTGCATTACCCTGATCTCCAGCTGCCCAAGTAGATCTCAGTGGTGTAAAATAACCTGTCCCATCTAGGATACCCTACTAATTCCTAATTCCCAGGTCAAGCGCTTGTGGTCCGTAGAGTCTCTGTTGCTCCCTGCTTTCATCTCCTTGCGCCACTTTCCTCCTCCTCCTCAGGCTATTCCAAGGAGCTGGAGTCATATGAGGCATGAGATGTTACAATTCTTATCGCTCTACATAGTTCACAACGTCAAGTGTGCCCTCTGCTTTCTGGGAACCCAGCAGAAAAACAAGTTGTGTAACTGTGTGTTTATCCTGTTATAAGCATCCTGAATTGAAAAACCTGAAATGTAGCAATCTTGTGAATGTGTGTTATTATCTCTCTGTTGCTTTGCTTCAGTTGGTCAGCATATTTGCTTTATTCTTTATTATCGTCTCAGGGCTTGCTATTTTTCTTCCTATCTAATTAAATGATTCCATTTTGAATAAATTACATTTAAGTGCCATCCTGTGCAAGGGGTATTTCAAACATAGAATTTGACATAGTCTTTCCCAAGTAGATTCATAGTCTGAATAAGATAGGGCATAAACACAGGGAAGGATAAGGACAGCCCCACATAACCTTACCTTGGTACAGTTCTTAGCAGGTTAAGCCACTAGCAGTGTCCTAAGACATAAAAGGTTCTCTGATTTTGTGATATCTGAACCTTAGGGATTATCTGGGAAACAAACTGGGAATCTTTCCTTATGTATGTATTTTTAAAAATAAACGGGGAGGGAAACGCAAGGGTTTCAGTATTGTTTCAGATGAAAATATTTTTAAAAAAATTCCAAAATGCTTGTAGCTCCTGAATTAAGTGTGAGGGGAAGCAAAGAGCTGTGTATATGAATAATGTGAACGTCTTTTACAGAGTTGCTACCAGTTATGGTAACATAACTCTGGAAGCTGAGAGTGACCCTACCCCTTTAGGAGTAAGGACTCTTTTCCTTCAGTTGGAGACAGAGTTGTACCAGCAGTATTCAGCTGAAAGTGAGTAGTAGTAAGAACACTGGAATTGGAGTCAACCAAAATTCTAGTTTCACTCTCTAGTGCCTTGTGCCCTAGAATAAGTTTCCTTCCCTGCGGAATACCAGTGGTGCCTGTTCTCTCTGCCCTGTCAGGATTGTGGTTAGGCTCAAGTGAGATTATGTTTAGAAGTGACTTGAAAAATCAACAATAGCGTCAAACATGGCTTTCCTGCATTTAAAGATATGAGAACTGAAATGAAACAATGATCAAATAATTTCTCCTTCACACCGAAATCTAGCAAGGGAAAAAAATGTTGATACTCAGCATTGGCTGTAATACTACTTGAAATAATTTTAGTGAGCCCTTGGTATTATTATTTATAACAGAAATTGATGCAAATAATCCTAGAGGAGTTTGAGATTTGATTCTCCTTTAATTTTCAATGCATTTTTTGATCAAGTCATTGACTTCCAAGCTATGGTCAATTTCTGTTAATGGTGATTTTAATCACAGAGATGTTACTTCTGTCTATAAAGTTTCTAAATAAACTTTTCTCATGATATTTAAAACCACCAATCTGCTAATAATAGTCTTTAGGTATATGTTGTAATATTTTTTTAAACTGACATTCTAAGGAAAATTTTTGTGCTGACTTCCTTTGCCCATTGTCTAATCCTTTTATGAACTGTTTCTTCCAGATGTCTATCTATGAATGTTTGTGTGTGAATACACACTTTCTAGTTAAAAAACATCAGATGCATATCTAGGAGTGACACAATTTTATTTTCTCTAATTAGCCTTGTAATATAGCACTAATCTTGGTTTGTAGTTTGTGAAAATATGGGGCTAGAAATGAGGGCAAACCAGAACCTCGTTACATGTAACCTTAATGCTTTAATGTTATAACTTTAGGCAAAGCTAATAAAAGATGCAAAGGACTCTTAAATAATTTAAATTATCTAAAAAATTGAGCATATTCCTTCAAATAATAATGGCTTTCATGAACTGATTTTTTAAAAATTCATTTTTCATGTGAATTACTTAGAAGATATCAAAGTAAGTTTGAGTTTATTTAAGATTATTAAGTATATTTGTTATGCAGAGTCGCTGAAGATTCCATTTTCTAGTCTAGCAATTGTAATCTATAGCGTGATGTAGTACATAATTCTGGTAACATCGGATGATGTCATGGTAGTATAGAGTTAATTCTTAGCACTTCTCTTTAAAACGGTGCTTTGTGATGTGATTCCTTGATTATTTTGAACCATTAATCAATTCTATCAGCTTAAAAAATAGACACATTGTGTACCTGTTACCACTGGTTTCTAAAATCAAAGTTTCTCTTACCATCTTAACCTTACCAGTTTAAGCTGGGAAACTATTACTTTTATAATGTGTTTATATTATTATCATTACATACTCTTTGATAAAGGAAAACAATGGGACTATACTAAATTGTGGCAACTGTGATTAAAGATAAGTCTGTTTTCTAAACTTTTCCTAAGTGATTATAGTAGAGAATTTCAAGCTATAAGTATACCATCCTTTGCTTCTCCTAAAGCTATGATCTATAGCAATAAATACTCTGTATTGATACTACTTAATTTTAATGGATGTATACTGAGGCTGGAAACATATTGTAGCTTAGCATTTAGTGCCTTAATTTTTAAACAGTTTTGAAATTTTAAAAATTGATATAATTGCCTGAATATTTTGTTATTGGACCCGTTTCATGCTAGAAGATTATTCTCATTTCACATCTTTCCTAAAAATTATGTTGTTCACAATGTATTTCTACTGACACTTCATTGCTATTTTTGCATAACTGAAAATCTGTCATTTTCATTTTAGCTCAGTTTGGAAACATGAAAACCATATCAGAGCAGCATATTAAAGATTAGTATAGAAACACACAAAAAATGAAAGAGCCACATAGAGATAAATTTAGTCACATTATTCAAGTGTGCCATTTTAATCCATTAATCTGGTTTGAGGCTGCTTAAGAGAAATATTTCTCTCTGAATGAGTTTTTTCTCTTAAAAAAATGTTGAGAAGAGAAGCATCTCATCTAAAACAATTACCATGGGTTTTTTTGTTTTTTGAAGAAAAGGGTAAAGCAAGAGCCGCCCTAAACTCTGCCATAATTTATTCTTAGTCAAAAACAGATTACCATTTACACATTAGGTATTAAAAGCTAGTTATAGTGATTAAAGGTTGTCTTTCTAATGCTATGTATTAAGATACCAATACGACATTTATTTTCAAGCTATTTTGGGGCCACAGGGGAAGTTGTTTTTCTTATGAAGGGAATTCTGTATTTTACTTCATTATTTATAAGTATATATATATTTAAAACTATACACACACACATATAACTGGGAAGGGGAGAATGGGAGCTGGTTGTTTCTTTGAATCCTAATACTGTATGTCTTCTTAATGAACCTGCCGCATTGCCCAGAAAACAGCTCCCTGCAAATAAACATGCTAGAAGTGATTTAGCCACAATGTCCAGACTGTGTAAACATCTCATTATTACAATAAAATTGTCAATAAATTTACATTACTGCTCCCTTTTCAAACGTTAACCAACTTTTTCTTCACTTGATAAAAGGGCATAAATTGTATTTTTATGTGTTGGTGTTTTTGTTTTCATTACACCTCTTGCTGCACTCTAGACAAAAGACCTCAAGCCTTAATGCCCTGAGTTATTCCTGGATGAAGAAAACTCCTACAGTTGTTTATTAATGTAATGTGCTGTGTTCCTTTCACAGTGAGATGGACATGGAGCCCTCACAATCTGATCTTTAGTCACGGCATTTTTTAAAAAGCCATAAAGCCAGTAGTATTGTAGTCACTGCAGCTTTAAGAGAGACACAAAGAATTAAGGCCCTTATAATCCACTATTAGAATGGGAATTTAAGTTACATTAGAAGCAAAAGATAAAACGGCAAAATGCAATAATTTCCTTTAATAAAGATTATGTCCAGTTTTCAGAATTATGATATCACGTCGAACATAATTGTGGAATAAGCCCCCGCCCCACCAACACACGTATTTCTTATATAACTGGTACATTAACATTAGAAAAGCAGAGTGATATTGAATTCTAATGAGGTCTGGCCTATATGCTCTGCTAGGAGAAGAATGAGGATAATTCATTTGTATTCTACAAAGCACTTGGAAATCCACGGGCATCCCTGTGGCTTCAGCACGTGGTGCTGATCATCTGTTCCTACTTGGAGTTGGTGGGGGGGTGGGGGGTGGGTATTCATTGCTTTGAACAGCATCTGAGCTGGGGAAAATAGTTAACCACTTTCTTGCTAGCTGTTGTTTCCTAATGACTATTTAATATGGTTGCTCTATGCATTTGCATTACCTATTCTCTTCAAGGATCTTAAAAATTGTGATGCCTGTGTTGGTGACAGTGCACCTCTGTAGAAGCCAAACAAAGAAAACGAAGTGAAATTCAGTAGGATAAATGTGTTTTCACCATCCTCAGTAAACATGTCAGTTTTAAGTAAACAATCAGATGACAGTGAGGTATTTGTTCATTAAAAAAAAAATCTGAAAAATGCTCCATTTGATCTGATACTGGCTGTTCAGGAAAAACTGCATTCATTTGTGAGTCTTGCTGACATTCTGAGAAAACAGCCCATTTTGGAAACTTATATTTAGTAAAACCAAGGAATGAAAGATTTTAGCAAATTGCCACGTAAAATGATCTGCACAAAAAGGCATTGGGGAAGTGAGCTAAGGCCTGTGCCAAACAGATGGCACCCCCTGCTGTGTTTTTGATTGAAAAAGAAAGGTAACATTTGCAGCCACGTCAAAGAGACAGTGATCAGCTAAACAAATTGGTCTCCAAAGTACCCCATCGCTAGAGCAAACCCCGCTGCAGGGTACAAGCGAGGCTGTATTTCAAAATAATGCTATGTTTGCGTCTTTCCTAAGTGAGGGGATATGTCCCCTTTTCATGCGGCAAAGAGAAGATGAGGTCTTTGTTGAAGTCGACTGCAGTACTATCTGCAGAATAAGCAACAGACCTCAGTAGCACAATTACCCGTTTTCTCTGATCACCGCCAAATGCCTACAAATAATATTTGGGAAGACCGCAATAGCTTCTTATATATTGTTCACTTTCCTGTGTCAGGTCTCCAGAGCTTACAGAGAGGAAATTGGTATGCAGCATACAAACAAAAACAACACCAAATCATGACAAAGGCACAGTCTGAGGAGGAGAAAGAAAGAGGAGATCAGGAAAAACTCTCCTTGCACTTGAATTCAATTGCAAAATACAAACATCAAAAATGGCAAAGTGTGTGTCAGTGCGTAAGTTGGGGCGGGGGGGGCGGGGATTTTTTTTTTCTTTGGCTCATCTCAGCTGGCAGCCTTATTCCGCTTCAGTAAAGACAAGGTACAGAAATGTCCTTTGGGTGACATTCAAAACTCGATATAAATCCTCTGCTTTATGAGACTGCAGTGCAATAAATTACTTAGCCTAATTGTAGATGTAATGAATTACCATAATTAGTCATGGGCTACATTAAATTAATCAGCATGGTACATTATTTTGCTAAATTACATCTTTGCCTTCCAAAGCCACCAGTGCAGCAATCAGTGTTTTTTGCAAGAGGGGAATGATGCTATAATGAGAAGCCTTTCTGCTCCTAGAACAGTGACAGGATATGAATTTTGATGGGAAGCAGGAAGGTTTGGAAACACTGGAGTTCCAACTTGTGCCTTAAGTGTCTTTGGTTGTTAATGATACCCCAGTCCTCCTGCAGGGGAGCAGTGGGCTGTAGCTTGCGAAGGCTGTGGAAGATTCCCCTCACAGGGGAAGAAAAACACTTAGATGGTGCTTTAAGGCAAATAATATAGCTGATACAACAAGTCACAAAGCAGTGGGGTGGCAGAAAGATAATGTCTTTGAAAATATTAATAGATTTAGAATGTTCTTTTACATTGGTTGATGAGATTTATAGTTACCAGGTATTTCTTTATGATTATTATTATTATTCAGACCGTTTGGATCCAAGATAAAGCCTGTAGCTATTCTTGTTTTTTACTTAAACCTCCAGCTGTTCAAAATCTTGCTTCTGCTTCTCAGTGGGTGATCTGGAGGCAACCCACATATGATCTAAATATTATTCACTCTTCAGGAAAATCTCGGGCAGCCGTGGGGTTCATAGACTCATAATCTGGGAGTATAGGTGCTTGCTTTTGTAGAAGGTCTTTTTTTTTTGCACTGGGGCCGGAGACACATCCTGGTAGATGAACCATAGAAAGTAAGAGGTACTTCACCCATATTAACTCTTTGTATGAAATATCTTTGTAAGTTCCACTCTTTCAAAAAGCAGTGCTCATTCTCAAACCCAGTTACCTGCTCTTTACTGTCCTGTGTTGTTATGAAAGAGTTTCTGCAATAAGATTCATTGTCTTGATTCCAGAATAAGCTCTTTGGGGTTTGTATAATATTTTTGATAGTTTCTTGGTTTATTTTAAGAGAAGAGCTGTAACTGATCTGCACATCTGTATAACGGAGATTCAAGAAAGGCTTTCAGAACATATCTGTGTTTTTGTTTGTACACTTGTCTGCTCATACCAGAGGAAACCAAGTTATTATCAACTTGTTTGGAAACAGTATAACAGTGGAATGACACAGTGAACGACTATGATATGAACACAATCTTTAAAGAGTGGAAGTGAATTAAAACCTAATATCCAAAAGAAAAATACAAATAAAGCTTGGTCACAGCTGTAGAAAAATGCATAGGGATGCAGAAAAGTCCTGTATTGTAATTTGTGTTTTTGTCCTGGTGGGAAGCCATTTAATTAGTGCAAGAAGGTATTGAATTTTAGCTTATCATGCATATTGTTTTCCAGCTGTACTGAGGATTGCCAAGTTTCTAATGGCCTGACCCTGTTCTGTAAATCAGCAGTAAATTGCGGCATTTACACTGAGCAAAGGCAAAGGGCTCATTCTGTTGGGTTTGTGCTGTCACAGGAACCTGGGCTAAGGGATTAATAGGCTGATGTTAAACATCTGTCCCCTGTCTTTGGGGGGACGTAAACACACAAAGAGGGAATCTAATGCCATCTACTAAAAGATCTTCAATGAGAGGAAGCCCTTGCTAACATTTCCATCCAGTGGCACCTTAGACACATTGCCTCTTTATGCTAAAACCCCACAGCACTAAGGGCCCTATAAATAGTCTCCATGTGACAGCTCAGAGAAGAAGAGAGGTTTCCTCCAGACATTAGTTGTGCTAAAAGATTCATCATTACCTGCAGTCATGAAATAAATCTTTGATACTTACAACTATAATATCCATGCTCTACGTTTTATTGCAGATATAGGTAGACAGTCATTATTTCTGACACTTTCTCAGCATTACAAGGAGTACTCTAGGGGGAAAACTAGTGTACGGTGTTACAGAAATAGATTGATATAACCACATAGAAACCAGTTACTTTACTGAGCCATTGTAACCAATACAATATTCCCTTAATGACATTAAACAGTCACCTAGATTCCAAATTCAGTGTAGGACTCCTATCTAAAAACAACCTCAGTTATCTACAAATTAAGTTGCCAAGAGGGAAATTTATTTTTTTCATCATACAATGGTTTACAAGAAATATATTCCTGAATGACAATAATTTTTTTTAGCATTCAAGTTTATTATTATTTAGGGGACATTAAAACAAGACAATGGTCAACAGCAATCACTTTATGGCACTTGTGGGGCATTAGAAATCAGTATATTGAGAAGCCTCCGCTTAAGAGGACTTGGAGTGGTTACTGTACAGTAGATACTAGTGTCACATAAATTGCAATAACATGATTTATCATACAGAAGAGGTGTTAAAGTTGTCTCTGGCCATGAGCTATTTAAGAGAGAGGCTTTTGCACAATGTTTTTGAGCCCAGCAAGTGAGTTATGGAATCCTGTAAGAGTTCCTTCTTACCTGTAAGTCACTGCTTTTAGCAGTGGTGATCTCCTCAAAACCCCTGAGCAATAGTAGGCACAGGATTTCAACCTTTAGTTACATCACTTGTAACTGACTGCCACATGCTTTACCACAGCAGCTCTAAGAGGCCATCTGATACACCTGGGGACCACCTGATATCACCAACGGGTCCCTGGATCACTGAATTCAACTAGTAGTCGCCACTTCTGAAAAGAGTTATCAATTCAAAAGGAATCTTTGTGTTTGCATATTTAAAGCCAAGATAATTATTGGTAGTGTCTGCATAACAAATGTAATTTCAATTAGACTGTTTTTCTCAATTAAAAACTATTGCTTGTGTGTAATGAGTATTCCTATTTTTTTAAGTGCATTTTTAATGTTTTTATTCTAAGAACATTAAGAGCATTGAACAAAAGATTGTCCGATTACTGTATAATGGTAACAAATATGCCAAGTCTTTCATTTCTGTGGGAACAAGTGGGGGCCAGTGGAGCAGGGCTGTGAAGGCTGATTGTTGCAGAGATCTTCAACACCAGACTAGAGGGGACAACATTTACAGTTGTACGGTTATAGAAGAGTAGGTTTTTTAAAATTTAATTTTCAAGAAAAGTTGCAAGAGGTTATCCAAACACTTCTTTGTGGCTTAATATCCATAACATTTGATAATGCTGTATTTCTTGTGTTGAAATGTAATAGCATAATGTTGAGACTTCTACCCATATTTAGGCTACTGAATAAAATTAAAAACAATATGACCTTCTGATAGCATATAAAAAGATTGATTGTGCAAGAAAAACATTTGCCATGGTACATAGGATCATTTTACCATTCTCAGGCAGATTTGAGAATTATGCAATTGAATGGAAAAATCAAACCAGAGATCCTTCCTTCCTGTGCAAACTGGTTTCCATGGCTTTCATAGTCTGGCAGTTGGGGCTACCGCTGTTGTTGATTACAAGACATTTGCTTTTGTTGTTGGTTTTTGCTGGCATCGTGTCTGAAACAGCTTAGGAAAAGTGAATATTCATATGTGTTCTCCCCATCTGACATCATTTCACCACTCTCAGGCCTCTCCATAGTGTTGCTTCTTTGTATCTGGAGAGAAGCAAGTTTTTAAAAATCACTTGTTAAAATGGATCTTGGATGTTTGTTTCCTATTTTCTAAAAGCAGGTTGGCTATTTTGCCCTTGAGCCTTAAGAAATGTGGCTCATTGGCTGTTTGTTATTTTTAAGTAATATATGGCATGTATCCAAGTAAGCATTCCAATGACCTCGACAATAAAATGTGATTCTTGGCTGCAAGGTCTGTTGGGGGATGGCAGGCTGCCAGCCACTCATACATCATTTACAGGTGGCTGTTTCTGACAGGCCAGTGTTAGTTATTGTAAATGAGTGACAGTCCCTATAACTCACCTGTAAGCCCCACTCCACTGGCCCAAAGCATCCAAGATCCCTGACCTCTTTGGCACACGTGCTTGTCTATCGTGAAGACCCCCACACCCATATCCTCACATGCACGCTGCTGCCTGCACAGGCTCATCAGTACGTGGAGCTACCTTGTATGTGATTGACGATAATTAGGTTTCAACTGCCTTCTGATGCAGAAATACACACCATTACTGCATGGCCAATTCAGCTCCTGCAGTCTTGCCTCTGAAAGGGTATTGATTCACTCTTTCACATTTTTAAAAGGTCATGGCAATAATTCCATCTGAACTGTGCTAAGTGAAAATGGTTTGTAGAAATAATATGGTTGCTTCTTAGTACCATTGTAATTGAAAACCACAATGACTTGTTTTTTTAGTATACTTTAATTACATATGTCACTTTGCTCCATCTTACCCTGATGAAGTGTTTGTAAAGTTATAACCAGCCGACCTTTTCTGTTAATGCTTTCTGACTTTTTGGCCAAGAAGACTTTTTTGTTTTCCTACCGTGTAAGGTGAAGCCTAACCAAACACTTGGGTCACACTGCCTTATTAATTTATGAATTGAAAAGAGAAGACACGAACCTTTTCCTGGGGTCTGTCATCTGCCTGCCTGTTTTAATAAGATTAGAATATATTGGCTCTGGTGAACAGGATGCTAAATTTGCTTACTTTCTGAAAAATTGTATTGTAAACAGCCTCTTCTGGGTTGGCTGAAAAATATTATCCTCGATCGTTATCAGAACATAATAAAATGAGTTTGTTATGAGAACACATAGCTCCTGTAGTGTAACCACCCTAGCAAGTGACAGGAACCTATGAATGATATAGCATAAATTGCCAGAATACTCAGACCGCAGTTTGAGGCTTTTTCCTACATCTTCAGTGTTTCTGAGGTGAAGGAGTTTTAAAGTGCTTGAATTGCATGTTTTGGGAAAGTGGGTGATCAGATTTTATGCTCTGAGCCACCCCGTATCTTTCTCCCAGTTAGAGGGGGTAAAGTATCAGCTGTTTCTAGCCTCAGAAATGAGCCAGTCATTGCACTTGCAAACTAAGGGGCATATTCTCATTGAGAGCATGGGGATTTACGCACATAATTACCATTAATGCTAATGGCATTTATGTCTGTACAGCCCCACACATCAAGATGAGAATATATTTCCACGTCTTCACGCTGTGAAAGTCCATTTAATATTATTCATTTTACAACTTATTTTTAAAGATGATGTCCATATTCTGTCATGGCATACGTATGCCTAGTTAAAAGTAAATGTGGGAAATATTGGGAAGAGATGTGATAGCTAAACTTGTTCATGTAGATGAAATATTGCTGAACTCAGATCCATTCATACTCTTTAAACACAACGCTCTATTCGGCTTTGAAACTGCTGGCACACTTTTCATACTGCTATAAATTTGTCAGCCTAATGGGACATTTTGTAGATGTTTTCCTTTTTAAGTGCTTTAACAGGAGTAGGTATTCCATTGATCCAAAAATCCAGCTCAGCGTTTCATTTCTTAGAGATGAGAATCATACATTTAATGTCTTATCAGAAATTAAGTGGTGGATGGTACCCTTCATCTCTTCAAGGAAAGAAAATGTGCTCCCCACCGAACTCTGTTCTCATCTGGCCTCTGGGAACATCTCGAGAGTGCGGCATGGTTTGCAGTTGGAAACATCAGTGGTCATCAGAATCTGAGGCTGTTCCCTCTCTTCATTGATTGTGTAGTTGTCTTTATGCATCAGGCCCAGTAGCCTATTGAAAGGTGTCTTCATGTCTATGCTGGCCAAGCAAATTCAGATCCAGGTCTTGATTTATCTTTCCAAGGACTTTGGCCATTAAAAGAAAATAATGGATCTATCCCGACTGTCCAGTCTCTGAAGCCCTGATCTTGCAAAGGGGCTATGCATTTATTTATTTTATTTTATTTTTTTGAGATGGAGTTTTTCTCTTGTTACCCAGGCTGGAGTGCAATGGCACAATCTTGGCTCACCGCAACCTCCGCCTCCCAGGTTCAAGCGATTCTCCTGCCTCAGCCTCCTGAGTAGCTGGGATTACAGGCATGCACCACCACGCCCAGCTAATTTTGTATTTTTAGTAGAGACAGGGTTTCTCCATGTTAGTCAGGCTGGTCTCGAACTCCCGATCTCAGGTGATCCGCCCACCTCGGCCTCCCAAAGTGCTGGGATTACAGGTGTGAGCCACCGCGCCCAGCTGGGGGGTTCTGCATTTAAAGCACAGACATAAGAAGGGGACAGGAGTGCTGAGGTCTTTCCTGAGGGCACCCTTCAGGTCTCCTCCATAGGTATACACAATCTCCTCTTGGGGAAAGAGAAGAGCTTTACATCTCAGAAGGCTAAATGAACTAAAGATGCCCAATAGTGCCCAGCTGGGTGACCTCAGGGAGGCCACTGGACCTCTCTGAGCCTGTTTTCTCACTGATAAAATTGAGCAGAATGAATACTGAGTGTTTTACCTGATTAAAACTTTATAACCAGTGCCATGTTGTGTTTGGCTTTTATAAGTATTGGGATTACGGGGAATTATAATGAATGACCAGAAGGAAATACTGGTTTCCAAGGGTTTAAGCAGATGAGGAGAGACTGCTTTAACACAACACATTTGTAGTGCAGATAAGATATAGTCTCACAGCCTAATTCCCATGCCCACTCCGCATCCTCATACATGATTACATTGCATTCAACTTGGTGACTTGTCTATTCGCAGCTTGGCTGCAGAAGCTGCTGTCAGTGGTGTTGACATTAAATTCCATGGGGCAGAAGGCAGTGGGCCCTTTGGGATGGAAACTGTCCCAACTGTACCATCTTTCCTGGCATGACCAAACTGGCAGGCAGGGATTGCTTTACCTTTCTTGCCCAATCACCAGCATTCTCTGGGCTTTTTCCTCTTAAGCTTACCATTTTCAAAATCGTGTTGATCACGTAATTCTTTTTAGCCCAAAGGCATTGCCCTCCAGATTTCCCTGATTCTAGTAATACGTTGTTTTTACCCAGTGCCCTAGATGCTTGTTTTGTAAGTTCATGGCTCCACATATAGTACAAGTGTTTTGTAAAAGACCATTACTTCATTGTAATAATGTGAGTTATCTTATTCTCATTTTTAGAAGTAGGGCTACTCTAGCATTAATTCAACAATAATATGCATCAGCATTGGGCAAGGACTTGGGGATAGAGTTGAATGAAACACTTCCCATGACTTCTAGGTCTAAAATAGTTAACACTCGTATAATGTTTACCAATTTCAAAGGACTTCTCTCCACATTTTCTCATGTGCTTTCCACAATAATTTGGCAAGGGAAGCAGAGCAGATGATATTATTTCCATTTGAGAGAAAAACTAGGCAATTGTTCAGACTCCCATGGGTTAGCAGTGTTGAGTGCCACCTCAAATTCTTCTGGCCACAGACCTCTTGCTCCTACCTCTCCACCATGTGCCTACCCAGAGCCATAGCCAAGACAAAGTATTCTTAGTAAACCCTTCCCAATGTGTTCTGCTTCTGAGATGCATCTAATACTGTGAGAGACTAAAACGGTGGTGAGTGGAGGAGCTGGTTAAGGTGTTTAACCCAAGTCTCCCTATGCCATGCCTGTTGGATTGGTGCCTCCTTTGGGTGATGAGGCAAGGGCGGCCCGTCCACTGCCTGAAGTTTCTAATCCAGTTGTATACTTTCTTGAACTTACACCATTGAAAAATATCAAGGTCAGAACATGATTGAAGAACCTTTTTCCTCTCTTTTAAGTTACCACATTTATATATTGTTTTGCACTGAAGAAGGTTCTCTTAAAAATGAGGTTGAGATCCCTAAAGAAATTGCTTCAATCAGCAGCAGGGCTTAATGACTGTTAATGGGAAGTGGAGATAGGATAGTAAGTGTTACTTTGATTAATAAGAGAACGGCAGAGAATTTAAATTGTGCCACTGATGGATTATTTTCTTCAAGCTTGATAAGCACTTCTCATTTGTTCTTAAATTTGGTCAATACTGTTAAAGGCAGCAAAATGAAGTATAATTAATTCTATTACGGCTACTCAGACCAAGTGTTACTAAGAAACAGATTATGATGCCAACAACAGTGGGAGTCACAGTGCTGACAGTTTGATTCTTTGAATACCTGTCATCGCTTATTAGCCTGAAAGAATGAACAAAATAATTCTGTATTCTGATTTTGAGATACCTAAAACCATTTTTTTCCATCTGTGTGTGTTCCACTGACCATAGTACAGGAAATATCAGTAAGATGATCAACTGACACTAAAATTATCCTGTATTGGAAGTATAGAGAGTAAATAAAAGATTGAGCTAATATATCAGTGAAAACATTAAGAGCTGATGCTCATTTTGAATTAATCACTAAGAAAATGGGATATTGATTTGATGTTGAATGGCTGTTGAAAGCTTTACATATTTCCTCTTTTCCAAAGATTCTGCCCCATATTAATAAGCCATGCTTTTTACTTTTCCTATTAAATTTATTCGGAACTGTTGATATGCAGATGACATTTAGAGCAAAGATACTTTATTTTAGTAGACAATTTTATTTGCTATGAATGCTAATGCCTAGGACACTAGACAGACCCTTTCCCTTGTTTTCTGCAAACAGCAGGATGCATCAATATTTTCAGAATAGGCTTTTTTTCTTGACCCCTTTAAAATCTATCCCTATCTATTTATTTAAGAGATACAAATCACTCTATAAGTTATGCTAAAAGTCATGGCTGAATGTGGGCTGATACATACAAGGTCTTACCTACTAGTTTTTAGCTTCTTAATTCAGTGACTCTTAGCCTGGCAGTTCATACTCTGAGTCATCTCTACGTAATTCAAGGAGTGCTTGCATGCCTTAAAATGAAAGAGATTAATTCCACTTTATTTTTTGAAAGAAAATATGCAATACATCAGTTCTGTTTCACAGAAACCACTAAATAACAGCAGGATTTTACAACTTCAGAAAAACTGGGCCTCAGACTGAACATGTGTCCTTCTGTTCACTGTTTCTAATTCCAAGTGTTGCGTTTCTTCCAAGTGTATAAAGTTACTAGGTGAGTAATCTAGGGTTAATATAAAATCTAAGTATGGTTGGTTAGTAGTGCAGTTATAAAGTTTCTCTGAAGTTCTAATTCCATTAATAAAAAATGTAAACCTTATCTGTTATGAATTGAGAACCAATTCTTTTGCCCAGATGTCCCATAAACATAATTTCCAAAGATGGGAAAATTATAGGAAAAACACTTCAGACCAGAATGTGAAAGTCAAGCCATGCTAGAAGAGCTTGTCTGCAGAGCATGTCTTTGGAGACAGAATCCAGGGTATGAGAAGGTGCCCTGAGCCATCAGACTGCCAGTAGCCCTAGTTCCGGGGGTACTTCTGCTACTGCACAGCGCAGAACGACCTTGGGCCAGCCTCTTGATCCCCGTGAGACTAAGTTTCCTCCTCTGTAAGGTTAAGGGTTGGCGCAACTGATCTCCCAGGTTCTTTCACCCCTAAAAACACTGGTCTTTGAGTAAAGCTCGTGCATAAGATATTCAGATGATCCTTTTAAAGCTGTTTGCTCAAAACGATGTGGTCTGTGGTCTGTATAGACACTAGAAAGGCCTGCTATGCTTCAAGCTCGTGTTCTCCCAGTGTGGATAATAATTCATTCTTCAGATGTTAAGTGGCCCCCACCACATACCAGGCCTGTGCTCCATGCAGGACATGAGGAACCCAGGCTTGTTTCTGCCCCCAGGGAGCTTCCTCACTGAGGGTGGGGGAGGCAAATGACAAGTGCACACACCAGCATGTAACAGAAAAGATTCCTTCAGATAAGTCCACTGAAGAAATGCAAGCCAAGAAATGTGATCAAATATGGTCAGAGAAGGGCTCTCTGACAATGGGAAACTGAGAGAGAAAAAACTAACCAGCAGAGGCAGGTGAGGGGAGATGGAAAGGGTAATTCAGCCTTCCTTGCCTGAGTGCAGAAAGAAGCATGACATGCATCTGCATTGTCTTAACACCTGGTCAGTTTTTCTTTCTTTCTTTCTTTTTTTTTTTTTTTGAGACAGAGTTTTGCTCTTGTCACCCAGGCTGGAGTTGCAGTGGCACGATCTCGGCTCACTGCAACCTCGGCCTATCGGGTTCAAGCGATTTTCCTGCCTCAGCCTCCTGAGTAACTGGCATTACAGGCACCTGCTACCACACCCGACTAATTTTTGGTTTTTTTAGTAGAGATGGGGTTTCACCATGTTGGCCAGGCTGGTCTTGAACTCCTGACTTCAGGTGATCCATCCACCTCGGCTTCTTAAAGTGCTGGGATTACAGGCATGAGCCACGGCGCCTGGCCCAGTTTTTCTTTTCTATTAAATATACTTGAAATGTGCTCCTGCTAATTCAAGAAAAACCAAGCCGAGAAACGATTGTTTCCATTGCTTTTAATCCAGTCATTCCCAGCCATAGCAATTCGAGTCATTTTGACTTTGGTTTTCCAGATTACTGCAGACAATTCAAGTTTTAAAAACTTCAACTTGGATTCTTTCCATTCATACTGTATCTCTGTGTTTGCCCAGAGAATTTGGTACAACGTATGACTTTAGAATTACTGTATAATGCTCAGAGGTGTGAAATGCCATTTCGAGTAATGCCTTTCTTCAGTTAATATAGATAAATATTGATGGCAGACAGCAGTAAAACAAGTCATTAAATTCTTCAGTGCAAGTGTGTCCCACATATTGCTGCAAGCTACAGAAATCACACCAGACTCCAAGAAAACCACTGCCTGTGATTACAGAGCACTTGTATTTCCAGCTTTCGCATTCCAGATAGGAATATAAGGGAGTTTGGATGAGTCACGGGGACCAAGAACCAATGTAAAGAGACAGGGAATGGGGCTTAGATTGCCCTGCTGGTCTATTCTATCCACTGTTCTTTTCTCGTCCACCCTAATGAATTCCTGGGTGAGCCAGAAACCTTTGAAAAATGGCTATCAGCTACAAATGGGAGGTCTGATGCTCTGAAAACAAAGAAACTTTAAACTGGTAACCCTATAAAACCAGCTGAAGATTTGGAGGAGGAATAAACCCCTTCCTCTGCTGCTGTTTTGATGATTTGACATCCGCGGCTGTCGTGGTGATGCAGAACTTGCTTGGGTTTCACAGAAGCATCGGGGTGCTTATAGGGCCAGATAACATGTTTGCTGTCTGAGTCTTCAGATGAAAAATGAAAGGAACCATTTCCTCATTTGATAATGCCACCCTCAAGGATTCCAGCCTGGTATAGACTGTGAAGCTCCACAGCATGGTGAATGCTTTCTTCAAGGTGTTTTTAATGGGCCCTGGATTGTCAAAGATGCCACTCATAATGAGGCCGAGAGTCCCACATGCGGAGAAAGCTCTGTAATGAGGGAGGAGGACGATTTGTTACAGTTATGTGGTTACTTGGCCATAATATCTTTTTGAGGCTTATTAAATCATATAAAATTTCAATTCACACTGTAATATTCTATAAAAGATGGAGCGCACAGAAGTAATAAGTATGACAACATTTCTTTCTTTATGAATCATCCTGTTGATTGCGTTAACACTGTCACATCCAGCGGCAGGGTTATTTATGTCGGGACAGTAATTTTCCATCTCCAACTTAATTTTGTAAAAGTTAATTACAAATTAGAATAAAATAAATGCAGTTATGGAAGGCAAAGAAGTGCTGAAATAGATGTTATTGGGGAAAATATTTACGCAGGCTGCTGCTCGTGGAGATCATTGTGCTGTACCTGGTGGCTGTCAGGGCACCCCGCACCACCCATTTGTTGGGTAAAGAGAAGCTCTTGGCTTTCTCTACCAGAAAATGAACTGTTCTTGGAAGAACATAGGGTCTCAGCTGTCATCCTAGTGAAACTCCTCCCTTTCCTAGTCTGGCCATTGGGCCCAGACAGGTCACAAAACTTGCCACAGTCACCAGCAAGATCATTACAGCACAAGGATGAGAATTCAGGGCTCTTGACACTAGGTCAGTCAACTTTCACTTCACTTAAATGTGGATGTATTTTCGTTTCTGCCTTAAAAGTGCGGGAAGAGGAGGCTTAAAGGAGGAGGAAAGTTTCTCCAAATTTCCTCTCAAGACAACCGTGCCTAGGGAGATGGAAAATCGAAATACACGTATCCCTTAGGTGGGGACCTTCTCAGATGAATTCCTCTTCCGTCTTGCCACTGCCATTGGTAGCAGCAAAGTTTCTTGGACAGAATTCCTGCCAAAGCAACCTGGCAGAAGGGTGGGTTACACTGCGGCAGGCTTCACACCAGCCAGCCCTGACCCCAGAGAGAAAGAAGCACCAGAGAGGAGAACCAAAGCAGAAGTGGTAAGCGCTCCGGGCCCCTGGATAGGAAACCCTGGCCCTTCATTTACTTCCCCAGTCGTTTCTCCAGTGTTCAGTTCACTTTCCCCTGGGTCTCAAGTGTGTCTGTGCCTGCTCAATGACACCTGCTTACTTTCCTCCACATCCACTTTGCTCTTTCCAATCAAATGTGCTCTCTCTTTTCCTTCCCGTCCTCACCATCACACTTGACCCATTCTGGGGGTCTTTTGAAGTATCATGATTGACTCACTAGGTGAAAGACTTTTATATTTCTTTTTTAATAGAGCAAAAGTGACTCTAAATTTGTTAATATTCTTTAGGTTACATAGGACAAATTACAGATAAGTGAATCAGTAATGAAATTTGTAATGAGAATTTCTCAAGTATGAAATGTTGGCACAAGGAAAGTTAATTGCGGGATTTTACAGCCATTATAGTTTATATCATAAATGCAAAAATGACTAGGCCCATTTAATTACAGTAGGAACACACTAAATTTTTATGGAGTGCCATTTTGTTAAAGAGATACTCGGAGCATTAAGAGCCAATACCTCCTAACAGTGGGTCCAGGTAGCTTTCGAAACATCAAATAAATATGCTATTGCTACAAAATTGTTCCTTAGATACTATAATTGACACAATGACTAATGAGATGGGTTTATTCTCACAGCTTCACGCACTCAATTTACAGTGTCTGAAAGTTATTTTTTTCTGCCATCCATAGACCTGGAAGGAACTAGAAAAATCCCTCTTGGAAAACACTATCTCTGCTGCTTCTCTAATTAACCTTCAAAAATGCATTTTGAAATATAGAAGTTGGTGCCTGGCATAGAAATTGGATTGTCTCAGAAAAAAAAAGACCCAAGTGCTAATTTGTTCCTTATTAAATATCTGACATGTCAAAATTACAGGCAGTTAATGTTTTGGAGCCTTTCAACAGGGCTCAGGGACAGCTCTTCTTGCAGGCGAGGCTTAGTAGAGCAGTTGTGGGTACCAGTTCTCCCAGGAATTAGTGCCCAGGCTGCCTCTTCACACCCCCACCTCCCATCCAGCCTGGGTTCTGTAGGCATCAAGCCCCCTTTTCTCTAGGGGAAGGAGGCTGTCTAAGGGGACAGACATGGGATTCTGTGCCTCCCCATCATTGTGAGCTTGGGGGATGCATCCCCTCCTTACCTTCTTACCCCAGGCCTTAGGAGCGCCCAGAATGGAAAGATTTCATGGGGATTAGCGTTGTATTCACTCAGGACCCCTGAGAATATTTCAGATTATTCTGGAAACCAAGGGTGTCATCCCCACCTTCCATTATTCAGTGAAGTCCTGGGGAGGATACTTTTCTAAACAGTATTCCTTTCCCCATCAAAAACAACTGAAGGATATGTGTGGTCCCCATGTTTAACCAACGGAGCTGAAATTCAAGTACTCTTGATTTGGGAAAACCTGCATTCAAACCCTGCTTGATCATACAGTAACTGTGAACTTCGAGCTTCTGTGTCTGAGTAGGAAAAAACACAATGATTTTTCCTCTTCCCTCACACCACAACGATCCACACAGAAGACTTCTCGACCAAACGTGGGGATTTCTCCCCACCAACAAGCAGTCAGTTCTGCAGCAGACACCAGCTGAGGGGCCTCCAAATCAGTTCTGGCGCGACACACCTGGAGACCACAGAAGACCCCCCCCCCCCCCCCGCCGCCACTGAGACCAAGGGCTCAGTCCCACAAGACTCACCTCACTCCCGGTGCTGATCCCCAGGCCCCAGGTTCTCACCTGTGCTTCTGACTGACCGGCCGTAAGTTGGGGATCCCATGATCCCCTCCTTGGGTTTGATTAATTTGCTAGAGTGGCTCATGGAACTCAGGGAGACACTTATATTGACCGGTTTATCATATAGAACAGTAGGAAAGATACAGGTGAAGACGCATAGGAGAAGGCACGTGAGGGGCGCAGAGCTCCCAGTCCTCCCTGGCGCGCCACCCTCCACATCTCCACATGCTCAGCCATCCCGAAGCTCATCCTCTCCCATCCTGTTTGGCCTTTACGGAGACATCACTGGACAGGCATGATGGAGGCACGGACAACCATGTGGAAAGGTGATTGGACACAAAGGGTACCATCCAGCAGGAACAGACGGAGTGGGGAACCCAGCAGGGCCTGTCTGTCCAGATCCTTCTTGGCCTGTCTGTGTGGCTTTCCTTCCCCAGGGATGGGGCGGGACCCCTTCTGAAATGGGGGTCTTATGACCTACGGTCAGGCAAGGTAGGTCAGAAATTTTCTTTAGGGTCAGCTCCAAGAAAGAAAGGTGGGGGAATATTCCTGCCTTGGGGAGAAAAAGGAGGGCAGGAGAAGGTCAGAGAGAAGGGTTCTGTTTTCTGAGGCCTAAAGCACCCAACATGGTAACAAAAGGGCTATGGGAGTTATGGGCCAGGAACCATGGACAAAACTATGTATTCTATTAATATTTCTATACCTATGTCTATACCTAGCTATATATACACACAGTATATATACACATACACTCATACACATCACACACATGCATACAACCCACATTCACACACATCACACACTCACATACACATCACACACACACCACACACACACACAGCACACACATACACTCACACATCACACACACACTGCACACACCACACACAAAACACATACTCACACATCACATGCACACACACATACACATCATGCACATTCATATACACCACACACACACCACACACATACACTCACACACCACACACACACCACACACATACACTCACACCACACACACATATGCATCACACACACCACACACTCATCATCCACCGCACACATCCACCACACACACAACACACACACACACACACACACACAGACATACACTCACATACGCATCACACATTGCACTCACATACACACATATACCGCACACACACATACACATACGTATACACACATATGTGTGCCCACACTTGGAGTGAATCCCTGGCATTGTGAGGCATGCTCCCCAAACCCTTCATTAATTCCCCAAATTGCAATATTAACAATGGAAACATGGCCATATAAAGTCACAGTGTCCTCATCTGAAAAATGAGAAAGTAATCATGATACGTACTTCACAAAGTCATTGTGAGAATCTGATAATTTAGTGAAGAGTTTGTAAATATAAAAGCAGGATAGCACATGTCCATACCAGCGTTATTCACAGTAGGCAAGGGATGGAGACTGCTGCAGTGTCCACCCACCGATGAATGAATACGCAACATGTGACATGTACAGGTGCTCCTCGGTACCCACAGGGAATTGGTTCCAAGAATTCCCACAAACACCAAAATCTGTGGATATGAAATGTACCATTTGCATGTAACCTATGTACATCCTCCCAAATACTTTAAATCATTTCTATATTACTTATAATGCCTCATACAATGTAAATGCTATGTAAACAATTGTTATATGGTATTGTTTAGGGAATAATAAGAAAAAAGTCTGCACGTGTTCAGCACAGATGCAATTTATATGTGTGTATATATATGTAAATATATATATTTTATATATATATATTATATATATATATTTTATATATATATATTATATATATATTTTATATATATATATTTTATATATATATTTTATATATATATATTTTATATATATATTTTATATATATTTTTTTGAGACAGAGTCTTGCTGTGTCACCCAGGCTGGAGTGCAGTGGCACAATCTCAGCTCACTGCAACCTCTGCCTGCCGGATTCAAGCAATTCTCCTGCCTCAGCCTCCCGAGTAGGTGGAAGTACAGGTGTGCACCACCACGACTGGCTAATTTTTGTATTTTTAGTAGAGATGGGGTTTCACCATGTTGACCAGGCTAGTCTCCTGACCTCAAGTGATCCACTCGCCTCAGCCTTCCAAAGTGCTGGGCTTACAGGCGTGAGCCACTGTGCCCGGCCTTTTTAATATTCTTGATCTGCATTTGGTTGAATCCATGGATACAGAACCCACAGATATCCAGAGGCTGACTGTACCTACAATGGAATATGATTCAGCCTTCAGAAGGAGGGAATTTGAACCCATGCTACACCATGGATGACCTTGAAGACATTATACTAAGTGAAATAAGCCACTCACAAAAGGACAAATACTGCATGACTCCATGTACACGACATCCTGCAGTAGTTAAATTCATGAAGACAGAAAGTAGAATAGTGATTGGCAGGGGCTGTGGGAGGGAGGAATGGGGAGTTGTTTAATGGGGACGGAGTTTCAGTTTTTCATGTTAGAAGTGTTCTGGGGATGGATGGTGGTGATGGTTGCACAACAATATGAATGTACCTAATGCTGCTGACTGTACTTAACAGTGGTTAAGATGGTAAACTTGATGTTATGTGTATTTTACCACAATTAAAAATAATTTTTATAAAGCACAGGATACCAGGGGTTCCTAATCTGGAGTTTGTGCACCTAGAATGAACTCACCTGGGTTCATGAATTTCCTAAAATTGCATGAAAAAACATGTTTGAGATATTTCTTCTCCTTAATAGTATCTACATGAAAAACTGTCCAGAAAATAACTTACCTTTTCATCATAGGAATAATTGAACTGTATCCTAGCTCATGATTTATACCCATTTCACTCAGATTCTGGCTGTGGAAACAACACAAATGAGAATCAACAGTACTTAGGGAACAACTGGGTACTGGATGGGACAGTGCGGAGCGGTGAGAGAGGGGCAGGAGGCAGCTATCTTAACCAGCCCAGGAGAGTGGGGAGATGACAGGACCGGGAACAGAAAATATATCTAATGTACATTGCATACATGGAACTTGTAGATGTAGCATTCGTGGTGGCCTTGACTATTTGGGGTGACCTCAAATGTCACAGCATGGGTCCTTTTTTAAAGTGGAAAACAATGCCTTCCTAACACTCTTGGGAGGCTGAAACAAGCTATGGCGTGCAGAGCACTATGTGCATGTGACCTGTGGTGCCGGCAGGCCACTGGGCAGCCCGTGTGCCTGCTGTGGATGGGTCTGTAGACGGCCCTCAAAAGCCATGTTTCCACTGTTACTATTGCGATTTGGGGAATTAATGAAGGTCTTGGGAAGCGTGCCTCACGACGCCAAGGACTCACTCCAAGCGCGAACACACACGTGTGTGTGTGTGTATGTGAATATGTATGTGTGTGTGGTGTATGAGTGTGGTGTGTGTATATGCATGCAATGTGGTGTGTATGTGTGTGGTGTGTGTGGGGTGTGAATATGCTTCTATGTGTGTGTATGTTTTGTGCGATGTGTGTGGTGGGTGCCTATGTGTGATATGTATGTGTTGTGTGTGTGATATGTATGTGTGTGGATGTATGTGTGTGGTGTATACTTGTGTGTGGTGTGTATTTGTGGTGTGTGTATATGTGTGTGGTGTGTGTATATGTGTGTATGTGTATGTGTGTAGTGTGTGTATATGTGTGTATGTGTATGTGTGGTGTGTATGTGTGTACGTATGTGTGGCAGGTGTGTGTGTGCTTGTGTATGAAGCGTGTGTGGTAGGTGTGTGTGTTTGTGTATGATATGTGCATGTGGTGTGTCTGTGTATGACGTGTGTGGTCTGTGTGTGTCTGTGTTTGTGTATGATGTGCGCATGTGTCTGTTTGTGGTGGGTGTGTGTGGGTGTGTGCTTATGTCTGTGTGTGTCTGTGTTTGTGGTGTGTGTGGGGGGGGATGTATGTGCACATGTGTGTTTGTGTCAGCCAGCCCTGGCTCGCACAGGCAGAGCAGACCACCTCCACAGTGTGACCTGAGGAGCAGTGGCCCTCAAACACCTTTCCCACCATGTGTCATGACACTGCCAACTCCTCCATTAATTTCTCTAAATCAAGGCAGTGATTCCATTTCCTAGGAACTCTCTCAATTACATTTCAAATACCCCTGTATCCATTTGCTAGGGCTGCCATAACAAAATACCACGGACCAGGGCCTTAAACAACAGGCATTTATTGTCTTACAGTTCTGGAGGCTGGAAGTCCAAGATCAAGGCGTAGGCAGGGTTGGCTTCCCCGAGGCCCCTCTCCCTGGCTTGCAGGTAGCCGCCTTGTCTCTGTGTCCTCATGTGTCTTGTCTCTGAGTGTGCACATCTCTGGTGTCTCTTCCTCTTCTTAAAAGGACACCAGTCAGATTGGGTTAGGGCCCATCCACAGGACCCCATTTTAACTTAATCACTTATTCACAGGTCCTATCCAGAGTTAGATTCTGAGGCGCTGGGGGTTAGGGAAGCAGCATAGAAATTTTGGGGAAAAGCAATTCAGCCCATAGCAGCCCTGAGAGAGGTAACACACTAGACTGCTTCGGGGTCACAGGAATGACATTTGCGGCTCCCTTGCTGCACATCTGCTGCTTGAGGGTGGGTCTTTAGGGGATAGTGGGGCTTTTGATAGATGGCCGACCTGGGGCAGGGCAATTCCGGAGCAGAGGGCTCTGACTCCCTGTGAAGGAAGGACCCTGGCTGGAGGATCCCCACCTATGCTCCAAGGTGGTAGCCCTGGGCCTATGAGGGGACCATCACGATGTGGGAATGGGATGCAGGGAGTGGAGCTGAAAGCCCACCAGAGACAAACCCGACTAACTACCCTTCAGTTTTGCCCAAGACGCTGTTCACTTCAACTCATCCATTCATGGAAGTAACTTTCCTGCCAAGCTCTCTTCCTCTGGTGATGGTGGAGATTCTATACACTTTCTTCATGGTCTCTCAGCCAGCGGCAGCTTCTGGGCCCACCTTGCTTCACTCCCCATCCATACCCAGCAGGGGCTTCCTAAGGAACTGTATTAGTCGGTTCTCACACTGCTATAAGGACATACCTACGATTGGGTAATTTATAAAGAAAAAGATTTAATTGACTCACAGTTCCGCAGGGCTGGGGAGGCCTCAGGAAATTTATAATCATGGCGGAAGGAGAAGAAAACACTTCCTTTGCGACGTGGCAGCAGCGAGAAGTGCAGAGGGAAGGAGGGGAAAGCCTCTATAAAACCATCAGATCTCGTGAGAACTCACTTGCTATCACGAGAACCGCATGAGGGTAACCGCCCCCTTGATTCAACTACCTCCCTCCGGGTCCTTCCCAGGACACATAGGGATAATGGGAACTGCAATTCAGCATGAGATTTGAGTGCGGACACAGCCAAACCGTATCAGGAACTTATGTGATTAAGCAGTACATTTGAAGAGGAAATGGTTGAGCCGTTGTTATAAGATGCTTCCCAGAGCTTTGCGGTGTCCAGCATTCTGACATCAACGTAGGGTTTCTATCAAGTAGTTGGGCTGTCAGTCTACCACCAGCAAATAAACCTGACCCTCTAAAGGCTGATAGAAAGAAACATCCCATAAGGGGTAGCTCTTCCCTTTACATTACCACCTACCTCAACAATGAGGTCAGCGGGATAGAGCAGAAATTGCACTGGGCTGGAAACCGAGATCCTACTGCTGATTTTGTCTCCAAGTGACTTTGTGACCTCATATAAGTCATTTAACCTTCGTGGGCCTCTTTCCTCGTGAAGGAAATGATGAAAGTGAGTGTTGGAACAATCTGTGATACTCAGCGGCAGGAAAGCTCACCCAGAAGGCTGAAATCTGCATACATAAATAACTCGAAAACAAAGCCATGCTTGGTCCTTTTTTATTTAGTTCAATCAACATATCTCATCTAATGTTAAAAGAAAGGACATAGGATTTTTTTAAAGAAATTTTTGTTTTGAACTAATTTTAGACTTACAGAAAAGTGGCAAAAGTAATATATACTTTCCTTATATCTCTTCTATCATTTCCCCTGATATCACCATCTTATATAACCATAGTACAACTATTAAGAACTGGAAATTAACATCGGCACAATGTAACTAACTGAACTACAGTCCTATTTGAAACTCACAATTTTTTTCCACTAATGTCCTTTTTTTCTGCTCAGGATCTAATCTAAGATCCTAAATTGCATTTAGCTGTATTTCTCCTTCTTCTCCTCCACTGGGTAACGGTTCCATGGTCTCTCCTTTACTTTCATGACCCTGACACTTTGGAAGAAAATGGATCGGTTCCACAGGAGAATATCCCTCAGTTTGGGTTTGTTTGTGCATTCTCATGAGTGGGGTAAGGTTATGCCTTTTTGGTGAGAATACACAAAAATCATGGCACATCTTCCTCAGTGCATCATTCAAGGGGTTCATGAGAGCCACATCTTATAACTGGTGACATTGATCTTGGTCACTTGATTAAGGTGGTGTCTGCTGGGTTTCTCACTGTCAAGTTATTATCTTTCCCTTTGCAGTGGATAAGTATCTAGGCTGACGCTTTGAGACTAGGCATGGCCTGTTTGTCCTCCAGCTTTCACTCACCAGTGCTAGCATCCCTCAGCAGATCTTGTCTGCAGTGCTCACTCTGTGGAGTCCTGTCCTCTTCCCTTCTACATGTATTCATTGGCGTTCCACTGTGCAGAAGCGCTGTCTTTTCTCCTTCATTATTTATGTGGTTTTTGTTTGTTTATTCATATCAGTGTGGATGTTTAATTATTGTATTTGTGGATGTTTTTAGTCTAGCTTAAAATGTAACGCTATCTTTATCTTGCTGCTCAGATCGTCTCAGCTCTTCGCTCTTTCACATTGGTTCCCGAGCTCTTTTGACAGACTCTTATCTTTATTTTGAGCATTTTCTTATTTTCTGGCACCACAAGATGTTTCAGACTGACCTTGTGTTTTCCATGTCCTGGCTTGGGAATCAGCCACTTCTTCACGATTCCTGGTTCCTTTTACAGGAGAATGGTGTGGAGAGACCAAGATCTATGTTGTAGATGGGTCCATTGTTATTGGAATGGTATTGCTTTTAAGCCCTCAAAACAGAGGGCTAGGTATATATGTGTGCATGCTAAGCTGCACAAACATACCCATCTACCTCTGTCTTCTTCTCTCCTGCCCTCTTTAAAGATCTTGAGTTCATAGTGATACCCATGATTCTAAGCTATACCACAGGAAATCATTTTATACTTGTTTCTTCTCTTATTTGTGACATCTTTCTCCAACAGTGAAAACCCTGGCTCTCATCATATACAATATATTTACTTATTTGTTCAATTCCACTACCGTTGTCCCTTGGTATACACAGGGGTTTGGTTCCAGGACCCCCTCACCCATGCCAAAGTTCGTGCATACTCAAGTTCCGAAGTCAGACCTGGGCAACATGAGTAGAGGAAAAGTCTGCCCTCCGCCTCTGCAGGTTTCAAATCCCTCGAATACCGTAAACCACGCCTGGTTGAAAAAAGCCCATGTATAAGTGGACCCTCGCAGTTCAAACCTGCATTGTTCAAGGGTCAACTGTATCTATATAAAGTAGTTTTGAACGGCTAGCTCATACTGCCATGAGAAATGCTTTTACTAACTGATCACAGCGTTTATGCACAGTTCCATGCCCTTGGCTTTTCAGCATCCAGCGGAATACTGTTTTCCACAGTGGTTTAGATTAGTTATTTTCTTCCCTGTTCCTTGAATGTGGTTACCTTATTTATTTGCAGTAGAGTTAGACTCCTTTATTAGTGTTTATTATATTCCATTTTGGGTTCCCTCCACATCCCAGTTGCTTTTAATTATTTGTTTAGTTTGGGTGTTATGTAAATAATTACTATGGTCAAAGAGTCAGATCTGTACAAAAAGCTGTATACAGAGAAGGATCTTTCCCTCCTCAACCCTCCCCTTTCCCACTCACCCCCTGTAGGTAGCCAACATCTTTAGTTTCTGGTTTATGTTCCTGTATTTGTTTTTCCTTTCTTTTCTCTTTTTTTTTTTTTTTTTTTTTTTTGTTTTTTGAGGTGGAGTCTCACTCTGTCACCAGGCTGGAATGCAATGATGGGATCTTGGCTTGCTGCAGCCTCAACCTCCTGGGCTCAAGTGATCCTCCTACCTCAGCCTCCCGAGTAGCTGGGACTACAGGCATGCACCACCATGCCCATGCCCAGCTAAATTTTTTTTTTTAATAGACTGGGTCTCACTATGTTGCCCAGGCTGGTCCTGAACTCCTGGACTCAAGTGATCCGCCCACCTCGGCCTCCAAAACTGTTGAGATTTCAGGCATGAACCCTGCGCCCAGCCACTTATATTTCTTTATACAAGGGAGCAGATAGCTGGGTATTTTCTTATTTCCCCTTCTTTATTACATGAAGAGTAGCATGCTATAAATACTGTTTTGGATTTTGCTTTTTTTCACTGAACAATAGGATATGAGATCTTTTTTTTTTTTTCAAAATAAGTCATGAATTTCAAAAGTCTGAGGAATGCTATGCAAACTGGATCATCTCTAACCATTTAAAAGTAGAAGATTCTAAATGGGGCACTAGAATGGTCTACTAGTTTAGAAAACTAGTCTAGAAAGACTGAAGGGTCCTTGCTTTCCAAGATCTTCCAAGGAAACTAAAGAGACAAAATGGGCATGCATAGAAAAAATTATGTCAATCTTCCGAGAAGAATCGCATCTTCCTGATAGGCAGGAAAAAAGATATCAGACAGTGACAACTTTGTCAAAGAAATGCCAGGTGGAAAGAGAGCAAAGCAATAATGATATGAGGCAGTGCAAAGCTCTTGAATTTCAAGAGACCCATAAGTTCAGCTGAGCTTCTGGCTTGTTGCAGGTCATATTGTCACGTAACTTTCTTTAGTGCACTTTCTGTATGGGTCCCTTTTGTCAATGTCTCCCAGACTTCAGCGTACACACAAATTACCTGCAGGCAGGCAGATCTTGTTTTTTGTTTTTTCAAATATGAGTATGAAATGTCCCATTTTCTTCCGCCTTTATTTATCAGTCACTCTCCTCTCGGCTGTGATTTTTTTCTAAAAATGAATGAACTGCCCATCACCGGAGCCTGAGCTCTGTTGGTGACACAGAAGTCAAGAAGGCATGGTCCTTGCCTTCGGGAAGGAATAGTATGAGACAGTAGTACAAGGGAGAGAAGACGATGCACAAACATGGACACTCAGACGTGGGAGAGTCTGTCTGGCCATGGGGGATAGCAGACAGCTGTAACTTGTTCCAAAAAAGAATAATTAATAATGATACAGTTCTAGGGAGACTAAAGGAATTGTTTCATTCTTCAAGATGAAAAATCGATTTCTTAACAAAGACTGAATTTGGTTGTGAACTGGAGAAATGTTCTCTCACTTTAAACTCTCTCTTGTCTTGGTTTCGTTCTATATTTTTAAGTCCTCTATTAGTTTAGTCACATGCAATTAACGTGTTCCATTTGACATTGGGATTAGTAATCCTCATGAACACATTAGTTCTTTTTTCTTTATTTCTATAGGTTTTTGGGCAACAGGTGGTGTGTGGTTACATGCGTAAGTTCTTTAGTGGCGATTGTGAGATTTTGGTGCACCCATCACCCAGCAGTATACACTGAACCCAATTTGTAGTCTTTTATCCGTCACCCCCTTCCCAGCCTTTCCTCCAGAGTCCCCAAAGTCCACTGTGTCATGACCCACTGCCGCAGTAGGTCTGAGGTGGGGCCCAAAATTCTGCATTCCTAAGGAGCTCTGAGGCATGCTGATGCTGTTGGTTCATGGACCACACCCTAAGCAGCAAGACCTTATATGGCGCCTGTGGCTTGAGTTCCAAGAACCACTTCCTTAGGTAGAGAATCAATATGCTTGTTTGCCATATGTAAAAAAGAAAAAAAATCCCAAGAGAAAGCTGATGCATAACTCTAGCATTCTCCTGTTTACTAAACTCTCTGAAATTCTTGATCTAACAATAAGATAAACAACATAAAAGCATTAAAATATGTTTACTGATGCATATAACTAACAGAACCTTTATATTCAATGAAAAGCAGATCCTATGTGGAGAAATAGGAACACTTTTACACTGTTGGTGGGACTGTAAACTAGTTCAACCATTGTGGAAGACAGTGTGGCGATTCCTCAGGGATCTAGAACTAGAAATACCATTTGACCCAGCCATCCCATTACTGGATATATACCCAAAGGACTATAAATCATGCTGCTATAAAGACACATGCACACGTATGTTTATTGCGGCACTATTCACAATAGCAAAGACTTGGAACCGACCCAAATGTCCATCAATGATAGACTGGATTAAGAAAATGTGGCACATATACACCATGGAATGCTATGCAGCCATAAAAAAGGATGAGTTCATGTCCTTTTTAGGGACATGGATGAAGCTGGAAACCATCATTCTCAGCAAACTATCGCAAGGACAAAAAACCAAACACCGCATGTTCTCACTCATAGGTGGGAATTGAACAATGAGAACACTTGGACACGGGAAGGGGAACACCACACACTGGGGCCTGTTGTGGGGTGGGAGGAGGGGGAAGGGATAGCATTAGGAGATATACCTAATGTAAATGATGAGTTAATGGGTGCAGCACACCAACATGGCACATGTATACATTTGTAACAAACCTGCACGTTGTGCACATGTACCCTAGAACTTAAAGTATAATAAAAATATATATATATTTTTAAAAAAGCAGATCCTAAACATTTATAGATACACCTGCTATGCAGGCAGATTAGATGCAGGTATTTGCTGAGCTTCTCTGATGTGTGCATGCCATATAAAAATTAAAATAACCTTAGCTCTGGTGGATTTTGATTTTAGTTACATGTGGGAAGGGTTAATTAGACCTTGGACTTCATGATGGTGACCAGTGTATAACATGGTACAGACGCTGCAGAACACTCTATTACCTATTGCAAGTTTCCTGAATTGAATTCTTGCTTGTGCATGTAGAATAAACTTGCCAACATGTTGTAGCTCCTTAAAGTCTCTAAGAATACATTTTTAAAAATAAGTATGTTTCTAAGTCCAAGGCATACAGGAAGCATATTTTTATCAGCTTCAGGCCCCTATGCTTAGGGGCCTGAAGAAAGTATAGGTTGTAAAAGAATTTTTCATGGTCAGTGTCAATGTCCCAGTGTTACCACACATATTCTACAGCACATTTAGTAAATAAATAGTGAATTAACTCAAATGCTCCTTGGAGAGGAAAATATTTGACAGGTTTGGCAGAAAGCTCTTGCCCGAATAGGACATCTCTGGGACCAGGGGCCTGTTGTCATCTACCAAAGTGAGACTTGGCTTGACCCTGCTGGGGATGTCACTCGTGGCTTCTCGGAGAGAATCATGGATGTCATCCAAGTACTTCGTGTAGGCTTGGAATCGGGGCATTTTCTTTCCTTCACCCACATGCCCCAATAACATTAAGTTATCTAACATTCTAGCATCTCTGATTCTGGGGTTCTCTGGGTTTTCTTTCCACGTCATGTCTCAGACCCTTCCCCTACTTTCCATCCTCATCAGCACCCCTAACCTAGGCCCTCCTCTCCCACCCGAGATACTGTGACAGCCTCCCACCTGCCCCTGCAACCACAACCTCCAACTCCTGTCCGAGCCACTGTCTGAAGAAACTCCCTAAGTGCACTTCTGATCATGTCACAGCTGCCACCTCCAGCACCTCCCAAAGACCATGAAATTGGGAGCAGTTTTCTCCGTGCAGGCTCAGCCCAGCCATCCTCCTTCTTTTTCTGTGCCCACCTGGTCTCCGCTCCAGATCACCTCCCCGCTCCTGTCTTTGGGCCGCTCCTCTTACTAGTCTCTGACCCTAGGTTCTCATCCCACCTCACACCCTCATCTTTGCCTACTGCAATTTCACTTATCTCCCAAAATCTGTCCTTTCTCCCCAAAGCCTCTCCTGATCTCACCAAGGGAAATTATTTTCTATTCCTGCAAACCTTTTCGACCTGCGGCTCATATCTTGTGAGGCACTGCATTCTGCCTTATGTCACAGTGACTAGTGTGCTTGTCTTAGCCTTGGGACTAATCCATATGGTGGTCATCATAGAAGGATTCACTTCTAAGCCCCTCCAGGTCGGGGGACCGGACTTGTCCTAGACAGTGTGCGGGAGTGGGAGCGGTGCGTGTCCTTTCTGGGATGAACGTTCAACTCCTGAAGTGAGCAATCTATATCTCTCTCTTCCCCTCTCCACAGAGGCCTTCAGTGTTTGCACTGGTGGCTGTTTTGTCGGCCTGGTCCTTGTGTGACAATCGTGCACAGTCCCCAGCTGATATAACGCACATGTAGCATGGATGAGAGACACATTTTTGCTATTTTAAGTCATTGAGGGTTTGCGGTTGTTGCCACAGCAAAACCTAGTTCCGTGGGTTGTTAAGATCCATGCAGGTAGGAGTTTTGCCTTTTGACTTGAAACATCTGTGACATTTAACACAGTGCCTGATATGTGATGAGAATCCAGAAGTTATTTGTGCAATTAAATTTAACCAAACCATGTCCAGTGTAAAATGAGACGGCAGGAAAATCAACCAGCAGGCACTGTGAAGTCAGCAGGCACTTCTCAGCTTCATGGTTTAGGCAAGTGACCCCCTCCCTCAGCTTCCTTCCCCTGTTCATAAGGGGAATAACAGTACGGCCTCCATTACAGGATTTCTGCAAGGATGCCATGACATAACGCACACACACACTCCAAACAGCCAGTGCATGGCGGCTGTCATTATTACTGTTATTATGATCGATCTCCCAGTATGAAAGTGGCATTTACTGCCGATTAGAAGGGGGGCAAAGAAAATATATCTAGAAATCAAGTAACATTAGGATTCATGTCCCAGTGGACAGGGGTGAGATGACTGGCATGGCAGCACCTCACACTGAGTCCTGTTGGGGAGGCAATGCTCAAGGAGAGACTCCCTGGCCTGCGGCCCCGGCTGCTGGCTTCCCCTGGCCCACTGGCTTCAGGCAGCCCGGGTGCCCAGCTCTTCACAGAGGAAGGCAGCAGAATCCAGAAAGCTGACAGTGGCCTTCTGGAATGAGGACCCAGAGTGGCATGGTGGGCTCTTTCAGCAATCTACTCTCCAGGACCCCAAATGTAACAATGTGTGCATTGCTACCAAAGGTAGAACACAGCTAATGTCACCAGCAGGGAAGAATAACAAGTAAGCATGCTCATTAAGGCTAATTCATCTTCTATTTTCATCTATAATCATTTCTTGAAACCAAAGAGGTCATTATCGTCAACTACATCTTCAGTGAAAAGTGCATTTGAATTTCCATATGTGGGCCACATCTTACATGCCATGCATTCATCAGGATCCTAGACATATTTCTATGTGGTTACCTGGAATCACACCTAAGTCTTACCTAAACTGTGGTTATATCTTTTAATTAAAAAATAAGCGAACTCAAATTTCCTCCTTTGAATTTATTCCACTAATATTTGTTAGGTGCCCACCATATGCTTGTCATGGTCCCTCCCACAAAAATTCAGGCAGATGGCTGACTCGGTAACTTAGGAGAGTTCTGAGAAACGGAAGAAGCTTCTAGAGGCTATGTGGGGCTCGTGCTTGGCTCTGTTGAGTATTTTTATTGTTGATTTAGCTGAGTACAGAGAAGACATGTTTATCAAGTTTGTAGACATAGTACATCTGTTATCTAGGAGAAACAGCTCCTTTACAGATGACACAATCAGGATTCAAAATGTTCTCAATAGGCTGACACACAGCTGAAACCATGATGAGGAAACTAATAAAAGTAAATGCAAAGTCCTGCATTTAGGTTCATAGAGTAAACTACACAAACACAATCCCAGTGGTTCATGTGAAAAAGAGTTGTGGGTTTTGGTTGGCTATGACCTCAAAGGGTGCCAACCATGTGAGCATCTGCTACTCATTTGAGATCAGCATTGGGCCACAATGACCCTGTGTTGTATGGGAATATTGATTCAAATGGATGCCTTGGTCAAAGAGAGAAATTGAGGGGAATTAAGATGGTGAAGTGTCTGTAAACAGTTTAAAATAAATATTGAAAACAGAAAAATATTATAGATGTGTTCAAAAATGTCAAGCACTGTGACATTAAAAATGGAGAACACAGGCCGGGCGTGGTGGCTCACGCCTGTAATCCCAGCACTTTGGGAGGCTGAGGCAGGCAGATCATGTTGTCAAGAGATTGTGACCATCCTGGCCAACATGGTGAAACCCTGTCTCTACTAAAAATACAAAAATTAGCTGGGTGTGGTGGCGCACACCTGTAGTGCCAGCTACTCAGGAGGCTAAGGCAGGAGAATTGCTTGAACTGGGAGGTGGAGGTTGTAGTGAGTCAAGATCGCACCGCTGCACCCCAGCCTGGCGACAGAGAGAGACTCCGTCTCAAAAAAAAAAAAAAAAAAAAAGGAGAACACAGGTTCTGTCTGTTGCAGAGGCTTGATGTCAATTTAGCAGGAAGCCCACCTTACAACAGATGCTCCAGTGGATAACAGAAGCCTCATAACAGATGGCTCCAGCCACAGGGCACCTGAGCAGGACTGAGCTTCTCCTCTTCTTGTGGTGGCAGCTTTCATGGCCGAGCATGTCAGCATCCCCCAGAAATCTGCGTGAGACACGTAGGCTTTCACCTTGCCCTCTGCCCTCACTGGCTCTCAGAGTCTTGAATAGGGTAGACTGTCATGAGATTTTCAGTTTTCTTCTAAGAACACACTTCTAATTTTATAATGGAAGGCAGTGGGAAAAATAGAATTTGCCTCAAATGCATATGCCCTACAACCACACTGGATACAAAACACAGATTGACACAACCCAAAAGGGTAATCATATACAAGAGCCTTTAGCTCTCTTGCCAATTTGGCAACCAGACCTTGCCATGGTACGTTATAAGCACAAGATGCCACAACTGGATCATCTGATGCTGTTGGGGAAATAGGGACGGATGGGTGACCATTTCCCGTAGCCTTCTCCAAGCTTCCACATCCCAGCCCGCTGGACAACAAATTAGTTGAAATTCCAGCGGGAAGGAAGTTTATGTGGCTCTTTTCCCCATATAATAGATGCTCTGTCGAGTCGTGTGTGTCGTGCTGTGACAATTCATTCCTGCACTTGTGACAGGACCGCCGGCTGATTTCACTATGCTCAATTAGGAGAAAATGCATATTTTAATCTGCCCCGTGGTGAAGTACCACTTTGCTTGGTGGCCTTGGCAGACCAGCCATTTAACCATTTAGGAGGTAGAAGCTTCTACTCCAGCCCGTCATGTCCCTGCCAGCAGCCTCTCTAGTCTCATTTTGTTGCCAACACTTCCCGGGTTTCAAAGGACAAACAATTAAAGGCCACTCCATCACTCTCCCAGCCACCGTGCTGCAGCCCAGCCCCTTCGGCAGTGGCCGCCACCCTGGCTGCTGGCAGTGGCTTTAGTGCGGTGTCTGGAGGAGCAAGTGCCTCCCTCCCTCCCCGGCCTGGGGGTGGAGAGCCCAGCATGGAAGCCTGCATGCAGCCTTTCTGCTCCTCTCTCTCCGGCCTCAGGGCCTGCCTTCATTAGAAGCGGAGGGGTCGTGCCAGCTGCCAGCTCAGCTCTGGCATTGGAGACCGGGCCCATCCTGGGATGCCCATGAAGGCAGCTTCTTAAACTGGCCGTGCCCACACCATCTCCTTACTGCGGCCTCCACCGCTGTGGAGAGCGAGATTCTGCTTTTCGTTTGTGTGTTTTCTGATGCATGAGCTGATCCCTTGAGACACTTCTTCCTTTCCTTCTATTCCACCTTCCTTCTCCCTTGGGCCAGTGCAGACACTCCATGGTGCTTCCAACGCTCAGACAGACCTGGAATTTGGTCTTGGAGCTTCCACTAACCGACTTCAGTTATCTGACCTCTCTAAAGCCATAAATGTTCTCATTTTCTGAGGGGAAGAATAACAGTCCTCGCCTCATCGGTGTCTGAGGATGACACACGCAGACGCCTAAAGGGCGGATGACGACTGAGCCCTTTCCTGTGCTCCCAGAAGGCACTGGGACAGGCGCATGGTCTCATTTAATTCATGCAAACATCCCATAATGATCCCCATCTTACAAAGGTGGAAAGTGACCCTCAGAGGAGTCAACAACCCCACTGGGGGCAGGGGTGAGGGCTGCATAAAGGTTAGCTCCATTGTCTCCCAGATCTCAAGGAGGTCAGGACTGGAGATGAAGCCGGACCCCCAGGAGGGTGGAATCCCACAGCGACCAAGCCCAGAGCTCACGGGTGGGTAAAATGTCCACAGAGTCTTCTTAGAGCCAAGCACTTTGCTCTTCCCATTTAAAAACTAGAAGAATCCCCTGATTTGTAATTGTCCCTGATTTTTTTGTTAACCAGTTCTTCTCAGATGGTTTCCTCTAACTGCAGCTGACAGCCCAGGGTCAGGCTCAAGCCGACAGCCAAGCCCAGACCCAGATTCTCTGGGTTTCTGTTTATGGAGCTGCAGTCATTGAACCCTCACTGTGAACCTAAGGACCAAGACCAGACAGTGGGGTGGGGACCAGACAGTCGTCAATTCTGTGCTAGATTCTCCCACTTCTGATGCTTTTACAGAGCCTGTGACTTGTTGCTTCAAGGCCCCTCCACTAAATCACAGCTGCTTGGGGGCAGGGGAGGCACTGGCCACAGGACCCAGGGCTGTTTTTCCAAGAGGGGATCACAGGCACGCACCAGCCTTCCTTTCCTCCTCTGTCCCCTCCCTACTATACCTCTCCCTTGTTCCAGCAAAGCAGCATTAAAGGATCAAGCATCCCTAGAGGAGTCCTGGGGTCCCATTGATAAGGCTGAAAAGGAGAAACCAGCATCAGACCCACCCGCACCCGCCCTGTAATGGCAAAGCCTTCCCACAGGGCCTGGGCCAATGGGCTGAGCCCTGTAGGTCATCATTTTCTCCTGGCTCCACAAAGCTTCTCTCTAGAGATGAGTGTGTTCCATTCTTCCTGGCTGCAAGGTGAATTTTCATAGCTGCACGGCCTTTCCTGTAAGACCTGAAACTGTCTCCCACTTGTAACACTTTTCCCAGCTCTGGAGCTGTGGCATGTATGTCACACATGTCCACGTGCAGATGTATGAACTGGCATGGGGGCGAGAGGAGTTCTGCACCCGGCCTCTAGAAGGCCTCTCAGCACCACCCCAGAGCCTCACAACCCAAGGCATGTTCTCCTGCGGAAGTCCCAGGCTTCTTGAGGAAACATTGCTGTAGCCCCAGCTAGCATGACACCCCTCAAGAGCTACTTTGGATCGCCTCATTTCTTGTTCCCTTTGTCCATTGTGTGATTTCTTTTCTTTTAAAAGTTGGCCGGGCTCGGTGGCTCATGCCTGTAATTCCAGCACTTTGGGAGGCCAAGGTAGGTGGATCACTTGAGGTCAAGAGTTTGAAACCAGCCTGGCCAACATGGTGTAACCCCGTCGCTACAAAAAATACAAAAAAATTTAGCTGGGTGTGGTGGCACGTACCTGTAGTCCCAGCTACTCAGGAAGCTGAGGCAGGAGAATCGCTTGTACCCAGGAGGCAGAGGTTGCAGTGAGCTGAGATCGCACCACTGCACTTAAGCCTGTGTGATAGAGTGAGACTCTGTTTCAAAAAATATAAAATTAAATTTTTTAAAAAAGTTAATGTGAGGCATTGCTCTGCTAGAAAGGGGAGGAAGGGAGAAAAACGCAGACTGGCGTCATGGACGCTTGAGCCAAGCCATCCCGTGCAGCCTGCGCCCAGAATGCCCAGAGCTGGATTAATGTGCTGCTTTCGCCACTTAAAGTTCTGAAAACTTTGTAAACAAGGGGTCCCACAAATTGTAGCTGGTCCTGGAGAGAACAAACATTTGTTGAGTGCATTCTACTTTCTAGGCCAATGGCTAGCAAACTTTGCTGCATGTTGGAATCACCCGGGGACACCTTAAAAATCTTACTGTCCGGGCCACACTCCAGACAATGAAGTGGAATGTCTGGTGGTGGAAGACAGGCCTCAGGATTTTCCAAAGATCCCAGGTGTTAGGGTTCCCAGGCAGCACCAATGGGAGTCACTGCTGTAGGCGCCCTGTGATAAGAGGTGTTAGGACTCATACTGCCCAGATGAGGACACTGATGTCCAGGGAGGTAGAGCAGCGTGCCCAAACCCACTCCCTACCATGGGAGGTGTCAGGGTACCTGACTTGACACCCCAGTTCTTTCCACTTAACCCCACAACTTAAGCCAGCCTGCTCTGCAGTTAGTTAAATTTGGCCATTCTTAAATTCTGCTAGTTTCTAAGTAAAATGGCAAGGTATCCATGCCTTTCCACTCTACTTCTAAGCATTTCTTTGGATCTTGCCCATAAAAGGGGGACTTTTGCATGCACTCTGTCCACACACACGCAGAATTCTGTGTGGGACGTGCAGGCAGACATCCGGAAACTTCCCACTGCCAGCCAAGCCGCAACGACCTGGGCTGTTTCTGTGTTGTAGAGACATTTTCAAGTGCTTCCCCGGCCGAAGCCTGTCACCCTCTCAAGGGAGGGCACCTCCTTTCAGCGAAAGTCATCTGGCCTGTTGGAGAGCTCCCGGCATTTGCCTTTCATGGGGCACCACCTTCCACCTCCCTGCGTCTGTGCGTTCAGAACCCCTGAGTCTGTAGACACGGGAGGGTTGATGCTGCTCCCAAGCCAGCACCACCCACAGATGCTGTTTTCATTTTTGTCTTTTTCCCAAACAAAGACTTTTCTCCAAGCGTGCAGGGTTTCCTTTCCTCCATGTTCACCTCCTCTGTGCCCAGGTCCTATCTCAAGCCCTGGCTGGCTTGCTGCAGGGGCTGCGGGTGGGGTTGAATTTGGAAAGAGAAGGGGATATTTGCTTGCAAATCCTGGAAATATCAGCTGGAGGCTCCTGGTGTTTGGGGAGTTCTCAGCTGCTCCTGCCAGGATAAGCCACGGTCTCCTGGCCAGCAGAGAGCCAACTTTGGGGAGAACATGAATGTGGCCACTCTGCTTCCCCATTCTCTGCCTGCAAAGAGGTCCATGGCCTCTGGTAGATGGAGGCCCTCAAGCGCCTGTAGAGGTTATGTGCTTTTCGTTTGTTTGTTTGTTTGTTTGTTTGTTTGTTGAGATAGAGTCTCACTCTGTCACCCAGGCTGGAGTGCAGTGGCGGGATCTCGGCTCATCGCAACCTCCACCTCCTGGGTTCAAGCGATTCTCCTGCCTCAGCCTCCCAAGTAGCTGGGACCACAGGTGCCTATCACCACGCCCAGCTAACTTTTTGTATTTTTAGTAGAGATGGGGTTTCACCGTGTTAACCGGGATTATCTCGATCTCCTGACCTCGTGATCCATCCACCTTGGCCTCCCAAAGTGCTAGGATTACAGGCGTGAGTCACCATGCCTGGCCAGTTTAGGTGTTTTTTTAAAAATCAGTTTTAAAGGCCACATGACAACTTTCTTCCCACAAGGCTATAAGCGGCCATGTTTCCCCAAAGGGCTGCTTAGTTGTTAAAAATCACATTTGCTATTTCTCAGATAGAATTGTCCTCAACTAAATATTTCTGACTGTCCAAGTGACAGTGCAAGGACTCAACCGACCTCTCCTGGTCCAGGCTGAGGCCAGAGCATGGAAGGCCTCCTTGCACCCTGGCGGGCCAGTGCACGCATCTTTTACTCTTTGTGTTAAGAAAAACAGACGCTTCTTTAGGAGTTGTATGCGTGTGCCTCTCTCTGGGTTGGTATGTGCTCTCGCTTTTCACCTGACTGAGGGAGATTGACAGTGTGATGGGTGGAGCTCCTGTCTAGAATGTTCTAGGTTTCTGGCCAGGTGCAGTGGCTCACACCTGGGGGAGGCTGAAGCGGGAGGATCACTTAGAGGTCAGGAGTTTGAAACCTGCCTGGGCAACACGGCAAGACCTTATCTTTACAAAAAATTTTAAAAATTACCCAAGTGTGGTGACCCATGCCTGTAGTCTCAGCTACTTGGGAGACTGAGGCAGGAGGATTGCTGGAGCCCTGGAGGTCTAGGCTACAGTGAGCCGTGATCATGCCACTGTACTCCAGCCTGGGCGACAGAGGGAGACCCTGTCTCAAAAAAAAAAAAAAACAGATTTCTAAAACCTTTGTCACCTTGTCTTTGTTACGATGCAGGTTACACACCTTTGTGTCCCATCACAATTTAACCAAACTATGCCCTGTGGAAGATTCTACAAGGCCACATCTAATGGAAGCAATGAGCACAGCGGTATTAAACTCAAAGGTGTCTGACACATTTGTTAACAAATGTCCTCCACTGAGTCCATGGGGAGAGGTGTGTGGATGGAGGTCTCGGGTGTTATTATTCCCACAGGTAGCTTTAATAGTCAGAATCGGCCATCAGATGTTTTTCCCAGACAGGCTGGTATCTTATTAGAAATGCAGTAAGTAGAATTTAATGCAATTGAAAAGAAATCCAACAGACTCCAATCTAAAGAATGTCATTTTAGGAAAATAGCAGCGACTTACAGTTTACTGCCCCTAAATTGGAAAATCAGTTTTAGAACATTGTAAACTTTTAATTGCATGCAGCCTGAAAACAGGTTTAAAACAGAAAGAAGGGGAAGGAGAGCTCACAGTCACTGAACACCTTCGATTCTGTGCCAGGCTCAGTCTTATGATTTCATTTCACCCTCGCCACAGCCAGATGAGATTGGAGTTCCTTCCTCTGAGTTATAAATGAGGACACCAAGGCTCAGCAAGGAAAGCATCTTGCTCAAGGTCACTGGGGAGAAAGTTGCAAGGTTTGGACTTCAAGTCAGGTCCATCTGGCTACAAAACCTGTAATCTTTGTTTTGTTTTGTTTTTCAAGACAGGGTCTCACTCTGTCTTCCAGGCTGGAGAGCAGTGGTGCGACCTTGGCTCACTGCAACCTCCGCCTTCTGGTTTCAGGCAATTCTCCTGCCTCAGCCTCCTGAGTAGCTGGGATTACAGGCGCACACCACCACACCCAGCTAATTTTTGTAATAGAGACAGGGTTTCACCACGTTGGCCAGGCTGGTCTCGAACTCCTGACCTCAGGTGATCCACCCGCCTTGACCTCCCTAAGTGCTGGGATTACAGGCGTGAGTCACTATGCCTGGCCAAAACCTGTAATCTTTGAATCCACCATGAAATGTCTGCCTGGAAACATTTCCTTTCTTCCACAAATGGACCCCCATGACTGCCACTCAGGTGGTTCCAGAAAACGGTGGCTGCTTCTGCCTCCCTGCGCTTCAGATCCACTCATGGCATGTGAAACATGCTCACTGCCGTGGGAGTGGGACAAAGGAAGCCTTGGGAAGGTGCAGGTCACTTCTTTCCAAATTGCATCCTAAGAGATGTCATTTTCATCAGCTCTTCCAGAGCATATTTAGAAAGCCAGTTTTATTTATTTATTCTTTTTTCTTTTTAATTTTAGGTTCAGGGGTCAATGTGCAGGTTTGTTATATAAGTATATTGTGTGATGCTGAGGTTTGGGCTTCTAATGATTCTGTCTCACAAGTAGTGCACAGAGGACCTGATAGGTAGTTTTTCAACCCTTCCCTCTGCCTGCTCCCTTTGTGGAATCCCCAGTGTTTATTGCTCCCATCTTTGTGCCTGTGTGCACCCAATATTTAGCTTCTGCTTACAAATAAGAACATGTGATATTTAGTTTTCTGTTTCTGCATTAATTCACTTAGCATAATGGCCTCCAGCTGTATCCATGTTGTTGCAAAGGTCATGATTTCTTTCCTCTTTACAGCTGCGTAGTATTCCATGGTAGCATATGTACTACATTTTCTTTATCCAGTTCACCGTTGATGGGCACCTGGGTTTACTCCATGTCTTTGCTATTGTGAATAGTGCTGCGATAAACATAGGAGTACAGGTGTCTTTTTGATAGAACAATTTGTTTTCCTTTGAGTATATACCTAGTAATGGGATTGCTGGGATGAATGGTAGTTCTATTTTTAGTTCTTTGAGAAATCTCCAAACTGCTGGAAAACAAGTTTTAATACACAAGCACCCTCTTTCCCCACCTACAGAACCTTGACCTCCTTTCTAGATTGATCTCTGCTAATCACCCTCCCACTCCCCCAACCCTGGCTTGCACTAGACTTGTTTGCTATTCCCTGGTAAATCTCATGAGCATTGGCTGAAGCAGTTTCTCTTTTCTGAAATACCCTGACCCTCCGTACCTAGCTAGGCTTTTCTCCAGGCAGCATTTATGAGGCCGGTGTTGTCTGAGTGTCCTTTGTGGCCAGGCAGGACAGAGCAAGGGCAAGATGCTGATATATGCTGAACAAGACACCATTCTAGCCGCACAGATATTCCAGCAAATTGGAAGACCAGCGTCGTCCATTCTTGCACCTTGCACCTTTTTGGTACCTTTGTCCCTTGTGTCTGGCTTTGGAGTTAGGATGGGTCTGTCTGTCCTCCACGTAGGGAGTTAGAGCGAGTTTCATGTTGCACCCCACAGAGCCCTGCACGGGGATTTGAGAATGGTAGGCCTCCAGGGAATGTTTTGTATCCAACTACATGATTTAGGGGGCACAAAAATTTCTCCCTGGCCCTGTGAGAGTCAGAGCTGAGAAGCATCGAGAAAGTGTAGCTCTGGGCGTGGATAACTAATCAGACTGCATAAATGACAAAAGCCCTCTCATCCCACAGCAGGTTATTGGGAGTCGTACCTTGACTTCAGTTCATTTTGCTCACATAGACCAAAAAGTAAAGCCCAAGAAAGGACAATTTGCAAAACGGTGGTGCCAAGGTCATTTGTTTGCAACATGATGCTCGGTAGGAAGTGAGAGGACGAGCAGCACCAGCAAACACAGGACCTTCCCTCCCCTCTGCAGGTGTGCCCAGCAGCACGGGAACATGTCTCTGGGAACGGCCGTAACCCTGGGTCTGGAAGGCTTTGAGGGAGGTGTCCATTCAGCCCGGGCTCTGAGAAAAAGGGTGTCATTGGCGCCACCTGGCACCCAGCCACTGAACTTCATAGCGCCTATGCCCCCAAGTGAGTCATGTTAAATCACCGCCCACAGCTTCCCGGACACAAGCGGAAGGGACTGGGCCAGAGGGAGAGAGGGAGCCGCCATGTTTCTTTCTTTTCATCCTCTTTTACCTTCTGATTATTGTTTCTAATGGCTCCTTGATGAAATAAACCGTTCATCACACACATCCTCTTCTTAGGCTTTCCTCCTTCCAAGTGAGGAACATGGACAGGGCTTTCCCAGGAAGCTTTCTAGGACCCCGCTGCCTGCTGTTCTTGGGAGAACACACTGGTTCTGTGCATGGCACTCTGTGGTATGGGCACAGATAGCATTCCTTGCCAGGCTGCTGTGGTACTTTTCATCCAGAAATGACACTGAAAGGAGAATGAGTGAGGAAACAGACCCCCATCTTTTGAGGATCTGTGGACCCAGCCAGCTCTAGAAGATCAATTGCTCAGCCAATGCACAGCTAAAAACACCCTGCCACATGGGGCAGGGACTGAAGAGGGAGGGGTGAGTTCATTAAGGGAGGGGTGAGTTCATTAAGGGAGGGGTTGAGTTCATTAAGGGAGGGGTTGAGTTCATTAAGGGAGGGATGAGTTCATTAAGGGAGGGATGAGTTCATTAAGGGAGGGATGAGTTCATTAAGGGAGGGGATGAGTTCATTAAGGGAGGGGTGAGTTCATTAAGGGAGGGGATGCCAAAGGAGATGGAATCCCAGAGGGCCTGGAAATGACCTTTTCACTTCAGTTTACTCTGATCTGGGCTTCTTGTGATTTCTGTAAACACTGCTTGGAAAAAACTCAGTTGCAACACAAAGTTCTCCTTTCCACACCTAATACTATTGGTGGCTCTGACTCTGAAGTGTTTATGGCGGGTTAAGTATTGTACATATGCCATCTCATCAGTCCTCACAGCAGCACAGTTGGGGAAACTTCATCCTTGTGTTCCAGAGGGGACTTGCCCTAGGCCACATAGCTAGAAAGTAGGAAACTTGGGACCCGAACCTGGGCCTCCCTGCCTCCAAAACCTAGCAGGACATTCTTGCGCTAGACACACAAATCAGTTATGCCTTTCGGGCTCTGGCCTTTATGATAAAATTCTAAACCTAGTCTCAGGTGAAGCAAACATTTGGTCTGCTGTGTTTCCTGCCTAACCTAAAAAGGTGCCTGCCATGAAAGCTAGATTTACCAGAGCCCTTGCTATGGCAGTCTTGCTGTACTGGCAGATTCACACCTTGTTGAGATTACTGTCTATGGTGAAAGTTGATTCAAGGTCTTGGGATTGCTTTTTGCACACTACCCAGGTATACTAGCAGGGAGTGTTGTCAGGACACGTGGCCTGTTCTTCATATGACCTAGTAACACAGAAGGAGGGAGCCCCTTAACCAATCCCCCTGAGCGAGCCCGCCTCCTGCAGGGACACTGATGTGTGTCTCATAAATTCAGCCATTGTGTCTGCGAGCGCCTTGGCTGTAGCTGGTTTTATGAGATATCACGGTGCTGTGTCATGCACCTGTGTAGCTGAGAGCAGAATGTTCGCTGCGGAGATGGAAAAAAAAAAAACAGGCACTGGAAGGGATATAAGCACAGTCCCCTTTTGTTAGCAATGAAAGTGGAGCACATGGCCTGGAGTAACTTTCTGAAAGATCATTGAAAGAAACTCACGAGTTTCTACTTTATACCCGTATCCTTTAATCTTTTAGCTAAAATTTCATGTACCCAACGAAGTAACCGGATTTATTTTGCTTCCCACCAGCCAAGATGTTAACCGGACCCTTCAGCTTTCCCTCTGCTCTCTGCCTTTAACCTGGGCCAATTAGGTTGGGAACTACACTGCAGCATGGCCTCGAAACAACACGCTTGCTCAGAATTGTCCTTCGAATGCTGCTGTTCTCCCACGGGAATCGGAAATCCCAGGGCCTGCATGCTTAACCCTTTCCACACCATGGACACGCCTCAGGTTCTAAAGAGCAAAGCATGTCACTCAGGCAGACCATGACCTTGGCTCCTAATCCGGAAGGCCAGTTTCAGGGATGCCCACGTGGAGAAGAGAAAATGACCAGAGAACAAGTGTGCTCACAGCCCTTGTGGGAATAATCGTGCCCACCTGGGGGGCTTTTCTGAAGACACTCAGAGCCGACTAAGATAGGGGAGCGGTCTTGTTTTCTTTGGTGGCTCATCTCTGCCTCTGTTTCTCCATCAGATCACAGTGAAAGCTGTAGCCCACAGTGTTGCTCACGATTTCAGAGGAGAATTGAAAATGAGGAGGAATGGAATATTCGCAAGTGTCTACTTGTCAACAAAGCGTGCCAGGTGTGTTCTCTCATCTCCGGGGATCAGCAGCTTCCTGTAATCTCCCTTTATGCCTTTCATTCACTCTAATCACAAGGATTTTACAAGAGGCCCTCCTTGACCCCAGGCATGAGCTCGGCCCTTTATTTGTAAGTGAACTCAGCAGTGTTCACTTAACACTTTTAAGGATCTGCGCCCAGGGAAGGGGAAGCGTGGTCAGACAGCAGGCTCTCTGAACTCACCTTTCTGGACAAAGATCTCCCTAGGCATTGTACACGCCTCCTTCTTTTCTTTCCCCTTGAGCTGTCCGGGTTTCACAGCAAGTTATAAAGCGAAGAGCCTCACCTGCCTTTGAGACCACCTCCCCTTGGCCCAGCTCAGTAGCTGGTCCTCAGGTAAGTGCATGTTAAGTTCCCAGACTGTTCCAGAGAGGGTGACCGACTGTCCTGGTTTGCCAGGACTCTCCTGCCTGGGAGACCTCCCAGTGTGGGGCAGACTGGGACCATCAGTCACCCTAGCAGGGGACAGTAGGGATCCCCTGGCTGTTTCTTTAGCAACCTGAGCGGCTCACTTGGGAGGCTGCATGGCCGAGCAGGCGAAGCACTTACAGTGGAAGCGAGGCCTGTGATGCTGTCAACTTGCTTCTTAACCCTAGGTCAGTCAATTACTTTCTCTGTGTTTCAATTCTTTTTGCCACCTGTACGGTGGGAATAATACCTATTTGTTCAATTCCTAGGATGCTGTGAGAATTAAATTACATAGTAGCTGCAAAATAATTTGGCTTTCTTGGAGTTGGACACCACCTGAACCTGAGTGAAATGATTGTGCACTTCTTAATGGCCTCCATCTCTGGCCAAGCTGCCTTGGGACCAGAACAATCATCTAAGTCCCAGTTTCCAGCCTAAAACAGCATGAGGACAAGGCCAGGAGGCCACAGCAAGGCTGTAATCAGAACCCACAAGGATTGCATGGAGATGCTGCAGTGCCGCCACCACCCAACGGCCGGAGCCCCCAGCAAAGGTACCACGGGGCTCCAGCGGGTGTTGGTGGGGAGAGGGAACAAAGGTCCGAGTCACAGAAATCTTTACTACAATGATAGTCATGACAGGTGGATGACAGTGCTGTCCCTGACTCTCTACTCTGTTCATCTGTTTGGTACCCTATATCTGGAATGTTTGGAACACATGAACACACCTGAGCGAGACTGAGGCCTCTGTCTGTCGCTTCCTACACACACGCACACACACACATACGCACACTCACACATGCATGTCTCTAAGGAGGAGCACTAATAAGCCCCACCCATGCTCCTGCCTTCCTGGACCCCCCAGGACATGGCTTTGCGGCTGTTCCTCCCCGTGCACAGCGGTGACGGCCTTTCAATCCTAAGTCCGGTTTGCTCCTGCCTCGGGGCTTCCACACTACTTCTTTTCTGCCTGGAACGTTCTTCCTCCAGATCTTTCTGTGGCTGGCTCCTTCTTGTTGTTCAGGTCTCAGCTAAAATCTCACCTCAGTGGAGAAGCTGTTCCCAACCACTCGCTCCATCTGGAGGAGCTGCATCTTATGTTACTTTCTTTCACATTGGAGTTTATTCAGCAAACCACTTATTACTCCATGCCACTTTCTTTTGCTTATTTTCTGACTTCTTCCTGTGGTGAGACAGCCCGGTGTCTCCTGCTAGCCATCCTCTCCTTCTTCCCTGGTCGCAGAGCCCTGGATTTTGGCCAGGCATGTGTTCACCCAGAACAAGACAGCATGTCCCAGCCTCCCTGACCTGAGGTGTGGCCACATGACTCAGCTCTGGCTTATCGGATATAAGTGGAAGCATGCTTGGAAGGAGGAGGCACGCTCATTCTATCCCCTTCGCTCCTCCCTGTCAGCTGGAACATGAATGTGATTGCTGGAACTGAAGCAGCCATGTTGGACTCTGAGGTGAAAGCCTCATGCGCAGGAGAGCAGGGCACAGACAGTAAGGATCCTGAAAGCCCTGGCTCACGTCTTTCTGGACTTCTTTTATGGTAGAAAGAGATGAGAGTCTAACTTGTTTAAGCTGTTGTTATGTTGGGTCTTTTATCATTTGCAACTAAACCAACTCTTACTAATGCCTGTCCCTCCCTCTGCCCGTCCTTGGCCGTGCCTCCCACCTCACAGAGCATGAGCTCTGTAAAGTCAGGGTCCCACCTGCCTTGTTGACTGCTGTAGCCCCAGCACTAGAGCAACACCTGCAATAATAGTCATTGGGTAAATGCTTATTCAATAGATAACTTGCTCATCTCTCTTCATATTTAATTTCTTCCCTCTACTGTCTCCTTTCCCTCTCAGCATCGTGTTATTTTAGTTCTCTTTTGACCTCCCTCAAATCCTCTCTTGCCTATGTGTCCCTGAAAAGTAGACATTTCCCACATTTGTGTCCTTGGCTGAGGTGGAAAGAACTAGGCATTTCCATGATGATGTCTACATTCCTAAAAACCCTTCCAAGAGAAGCTGCCCTTACCACAGCCCACTTCCAGCCTCGTTTAGTTCCATATGCTCCTGTCCCACCCTGATTGGAAGGGGGTATCACATGACCCAGCGATGGCCGTGACAGCCAATCAGTAGGCTTGTCAGGAGCCTATGTCATTGCCTGGTCTAGAAGAATGAACTGCACCAAAGAGATTCCCTCTATCAGGAATATTTCGTTATTTTGATTTTAAGTTTATTTTATATGAAAAATACTCATAAACATCTAAAAGAAAAATCACTCCCCCAGTTATACCAGTTTTTAAAAACATACATGGACATGAAATTCTTACCCCTTCCCCTTTCCAGGCCTAAGAAATCTTGTCCCCTTGACATAGCCTTAGAAGTTACTATGTTATTTTCCTGATTTTATTCTTTTATTAAAGAGGCATCTAAATATACACACATGTTTACACACATACCCCCACAAACACACACTTATCTTCTATATATTGGTCTGCAGTGTAGAATCTCTCTAGGCTCAGAACTGCAGCTCTACCAGGGACTGCTTCTAGGCTTTGAGTGAATGTCTGCTGACATACTCCATAACCTCCCCATTGATGCAATACTCAGTACGTCGCGGCAAACATTCTTAGATATGCAGATTTACAAACTTGAAGACAGTTACTGAAAAGCAGGATTGCTAAGTCAAAGTGTGCATTTAAAAAATTTTAAATAAATGTTACCAAATTAATATCCAAAATGGTTATAGCGGGTTTAAATTTCCACTCCCAAATATAAAGATTTCTATTCTCTTACACTCTCTTTAGCACTAGCCATTGCCATACTTTTAAATTTTGGGCAGTGAGCTAAAAAAAGAATAGAATCACATGACATTTTAATTTGTACATTCTCATTTGCTGGCAAAGTTGCCTCCGAGACTCAAGTGCTGAGCTGGTGTTGAAAGATATGGAGAGAGAGGCCGTGAGATGTGATGCGCATTTTGAGGGAGAGGCCAATTGAGAGGGAGAAGGGTCGTGGCGCAGTGAAGTCACCGGGAGGGAGAAGCTATGGGAAGAGAAGAGGTGGGAGGAGAGGGAAGAATGTCAGTGGTAGGGCCAGGGGACCTGAGCAGCGTGGGTGGAGGCTGAGGCATGCTGTTGGTGGAGCTCGGGATGAGGCTGTGCCACATCGGCTGGTGGCTCTGGTGAGGCCTGGGAGGCCAAGTAACCTTCCAGCTCATCCTCGTCCTTGTGTCACCTCCCGGCTTCCTGTTTCACATTGCTCTTGGCAGGGAGGACATCTTCAACAGAGTCCAGCAGGCACTTCAATCCTAATGTGTCCAAAGGAACCTGGCTTTCCATCTATCCCCAAATGGAATCCTCTAGATTTTCCTGTTTCTCTGAATGACTCCCACCGTGCTCCTGGTCACAGGGACCTGGAACTGTGGAGCCATTTTCCTCTCTCCTTTTAAATCTGCTCTTATTGAATATTTGTATTTTATTTTAAATTATGACTCAAATAGACATAGAATCACCATGATGACCATTTCTAATGCACAGCTGGGCAGTGTTAAGGACGCCTTGCTGCTGTGCAGCCCATCTCCAGCACGCCTTTCTTGTGGCACGACTGAATGCTGTGCCCACTGTGCAACTTCCCCTTCCCTCTCTGGAAAGACACCTTCAACCCCCCAGCCACTCTGTCCAGTCACCAAGGATGAGGGTCAAATACATCTGTACCTGCCGGACCTGGTACTGGACCTGCCATGTGCTTGAACCCATGCTGTTTATTCCTACTTCTCAAACAACCGCCTGGTCGTTCCTCTGAGGAGACTGAAGCCCATGGCAACCTCTGGGAGAGGCAGGCCCTGGGAGTCTAAGGGCGCCTGTGTCCTGACCTTGGATCCTTGCTTTCTCGGGTCCACCTCGTCCCCTGTTGTGACCCTCCAGGCCCACCCCCTGCTGCCTGCCTGCACAGTGGGGGACCTGGGGTGCTGTTCTCCTACTGCGCTCCCCCTCGTGCTCCCTGTAGCTGCTGCCATCAGCCTTGCTGTCCCTGCTCTGGCCACATAAGCGCTCCTTCTTCCCATGTTTCTCCGTTTCTCCACACAGGCCTTGCATTGCACACTCCCGGTGGAGTTCGAGCCCTCGGCCTGGCCTTTGAATCCTCCCAGCCATAGCTCTAACGGCCTTGCCAGCTGCCCCCTTCTCTGCTGTTGCCTCCAGCTCTGCCTTCATTTCTTGCCTCTGTACCTTTGCTTTTCCTGCTTCTTTTGTCCCAAATGTTCTTCTCCACTCCATTCCCCAAAAGCTGTGTCTGTTTTTCTTTGCCATTGCCTCTCCAGGAGGCACAGGCCTAAGATGCAGTAGCTGCTCAATACATTTTTATGGAACGAGTGAGTGAATGAACGGTGCGATCCTTCCTCTCCTGCAAGGCTCCGTCTGAGCTCTCTCCTTCTTGGGGAAACCTTGCATAGCCCCTGCAGCTTGGATGTCCTCATTTGTGCTTCATTTGTTCCTACCTTTTCACGTGCCATGTTCTGAATTGAATTAATTTTAGCTACTTGTCTGAGCTTCTCAGTTGGATTGTGAGTTCCTTGGGGTAGAAACAATGTTTTTAGTTTTCAATAAGTATATCCCTCTCCTTGCATACACACACACAGACACAAGCACACACAGGCACACACACACACACACACACACATGATGCTGCACACGAGCCTGTGTGCACAGCAGTGGACACTCCGTATGTGTCAGTTGGCGTGGCCTGAGCTAGCCGACAGTAGTCTTCCAACCCTCTGCTCTTTCTGCAGGCACTGGGGCTCCTTCCCTCCTCTCTACCTTGTCCCAGCTTTGGCTCCCATTTCTGCATCATGCGGCCGGGGTAGCATTGCCAACTGGCATCCACGGGCAGGAGGATGATTCACGCTGACTGTCGTGCTATCAGCCTTCCCCATACTGCACAACACATACAGGATGAAAATGGGTCCCTGCAGGAACCCTACATTTATATGTCAGAGAAAGAGAGTCAGCCAAGAATACGCTAAGATGTCCAATGCGAACCTGGCTTCCACTGGAGTAATGATGGCAAGTATTTAGGGTGCTTTCCTGAGACACCAGGCACTGGGTTAGGCACCTGCATTCCCCCGTTTAAACGCCACTCCCCCACTGGCCCTGGGTGAGGGCCAGTGTGGTCTCCAGTTTACAGCTGAGGAGTGAGGCAGAGCAGGGCAGGGAGTGCACCCAGATTGCACAGCTGCTGAGCAGCAGCACCGAATTCAAACCCAGGACTGTGCGCTTGGGCTCTACCCTCTGTTCCAAAGCATCCTGGCTGGTGGCAGAGAAAGCTGTCGTGGGAAGCATATCGTCCTGACCATGGGTTTTACAATGAGAAAGCTGAGACCCCAGGGGAGATGGGGAGTCACTTGAGAAGCCTCACCTGTCCCTGTAGAGCAGGCACCAAACCCAGGTGTGTTAGGCCATTTTTGCATTGCTATAAAGAAATACCAGAGACTGGGTAATTTCTAAGAAAAGAGGTTTAATTGGCTCATGGTTCTTCAGGCTGTACAGGAGGCATGGTGGCATCTGCTTCTAGGGGGGCCTCAGGGACCTTTTAGTCATGGCGGAAGGCGAAGTGGGAGCAGGCAGTTCACATAGCAGAGCAGGAGCGGGGTAGGGGGAAGGTGCCACACTCTTAAACAACCATATCTCACGAGAACTCACTCACTATCATGAAGACAGCACCAAGCCATGAGAGATCCGCCCCCATGACCAAACACCTCCCACCAGGCCCCACATACACACTGGGGATTACTCAACCTGAGATTTGGGTGGGGACAAATATCCAAATGACATCACCAGCATTCTCAATTCCCAACTCCATGCCCTTTCCAGTCTTGTACAGCAAAGAGCAGAATGTCCCTCCCTTTCTTCTTTAATGAGCTACTTATTGAGGGTGTCTAATGGCAAACTCGATTTGGGAGAAGTGTTGGGGTTTTTTTTCCTTTAAGGCAAGGAGTAAATGCATGGAGCTGAGAACAGTTCAGGGCAACAGTTTAGGATGAAGAGAGTAGAGTTGGGGGAAAGGGACTGGACTGATTGTGTAGAGGGAGCAGGAGCCACAGGGGCGCCCTTTGGGGTGGCCAAGCTTGTCAGAGGAAGAGAGATGTCCCACTGAGGGCTTCTGATGGGGAGACAGGCATTTCCTCAGAATTTGGGGTAAGATGGTAATTGATGGGGACCCTGATTATTATGTCAAAGCAGAGGCCAACAGGGGTGATTGGGGGTAGAGCTGGGGGCCGCTGTGACTTAAGGTTTGTAATTTCTCAGCAGGCAGCCTGTGTGGTGGGAGAAATGGTGCCTGTGATGCTGAAACTGGGATTTCAATCCCACCCTCGTATCTGTTGGCTTTGGGCAAATCACATCACTTTCCTAAAGTTCTGTAACTCTCTGTGGAGTTGGTTTTGGGAGCAAAAGAGATTGTAGAAGTAACATCACTTTGCAATGTACAAGGTGCTTTCCAAGGCCTGTGTTCTTATCAGGAAAAATAGTAACATTGCTCAGATGTGGACAGGGTGGATGGGGACTGATTCCTTCATTGAAAACATGCATATTGATTGAAGCATACAGTGTGCCAAGCCTGTGTTAGATGTTATGGGAACATACAAAATAATCCCACAGTTTGCCGAGGTGTGGCTGTGGGATTCACACAGGACAACACCCAGGAGGCCACAATGAGGAGGAGAAGAGGGGTCAGGTAAGGGGAGAGGAGTGAGCCCAGGAGTGCTTGACCAAGGCAGCCTCCAGCAAAGATAACATCACACCGGGCTGCACTTGACAGCAAGGAGACCAGGTAACGCCAGGAGGGCAGCGAGCATTCCTGGTGATGGAACGGGGGGCAACAGAGGACCTAGGAGAGTTCTTCTGAGAGTAGAACCCCCAGTTCTTGAGAGCTCACTGACCATGGGATGTAAGGGAGACTCAAAGAAGAGGCTGTGTCCAAGTGAATGAGGTCATGGTGGTCTGGATATTAGAGGCGGTGGCATCAGAGGAAGGTCACATTTAAGAGCATCTGTGCCAATACCTTCTGTTCTCAGGGAAGAGGGGCCATGTGGCCATGTCCTCCAGCTGCCATGTGCCTAGCACATCCCAGATGTGCCTGGTTGGCCCCCTCCCTCCAGCTGGCTCCTACATGTGGCTGCTCGCAACTCTTTCCCCTGGCAATTACATCCCCACCCCACCCAAACACCTTGGCCCCCACAGTCCTACTTATCCCCATCTCCATGCCTTCCTGACACCTCGAAGGACCTTGCTCCCAAGCAGACTTTTACTGAGTGCTGGTATCAGCGATTAGTTGGGTATTTCCAGATGCATTTTCCCATGGAGTCTTCACCACAACCCTGAGAGATGGGCATTACAATCCTATTTTGCACAAGGGAAAAATGACCCAGTTTACCAGTACGGGGAACAGTCTATTCAGTCATTCATTCAACAGATATTTAATAAATACCTACAACTTGCCAGGCTGTATGAGAAACTCGACACAGTGACGGAGCTGGGTTTTGAACTCCAAACCCAGTGCTTTGCCTGTCATATCTGGCCCCAGTCTCAGGTATTCCTTTCTCTCACACACAACTCTACAACTGAGTCACTGTCCAGCACAAACCCTGTTGAGCACACTTAGTTCAATCAGCCCATGGCCACTTCCCCATCAGATTGCCAGATGTTTGAGGACAGGAACTGTTTTTGTCTTCGCATCTCCAAATTCGTCTGACAGCAAGTCCCTCAATAAAGGAGCATTGAGGGAAATTGAGCTGGCTTGCTGGATATACAGATCCTTCCTTGGGAAGCCAGGCACCGAAACCATGCCCTGGTTCTTTAGCGGCACTTAAAGCGGAACATTGCATTTGAAACCCCTCCTTTCTATGAGGCACTTAGAGTACTTTCTAGATCATGGGTAATTAATCCATGACACACCCTGGGAGGAGTGGGAACAGGAGCAAGAAATGCTGCTCTCATTTTGCTGATAGAGAAATTCAGCACAGAGCCTGTCCTGGTGTCGTACAGGAAGCCAGCAGAAGACCAAGGAGGTGGATTCTCCTCCTCCCTCTGTGTCCCATCCATCCTGTCCTCCGGATCCTGCTGTGCCTCCAGGGCGGAAAGAGCCGCTCTGACCGACAGGGACTGCTGTGCACAGCCCTGATGCCTGGATGCAGAGCTCTGACCCAGATTTCCCAAGGCCCGAAACAGTTATTTTATCTAATATACAAATGGAAAATTTGGGTTATAAGATTAAAAATTGATAACTGCAATCATAGCTTTTAAGTTAACCTAAGATGAAAATTTTTTATTCATTCTTTCAGGGCAGGAATTTACATTTGTTCCCTAGGACAGTGACAGGCACATAGTAGCTGCTTAATAAATATTTATTAAATAAATGAGTTTATTTGTTCTCTTATTTGACTTTGGTGAGATTCAAAGGCTGGACAGGTTGGAGTCCTGTTTTAATGACTAAGTAAGCCTCATTTTAAAAGGCCAGCTGTATGTTTGCACATCAGTGATGATGACGATGATCAATCATGACTGATTGCTTGTAAAGCGAAAGCTCCTGCTTTTCCTCATATAAGTCATGTGTGCTGAGTCTTGTTTCCTGATGTTTTTTTTACCTGTATCTCTTAAAGGACCCTCTTTTTTTTGATCAGCCCATTACTCTCTCAGAAGGCCACCTAGAATTAAGGGTGTAATTTTGGCCATGGAATACTGTGGAATGAACTAATTCATGAGGGGTTCAACTGTGCTCTGCTAGCACAAGGTTCAGTTTGGCCAATGGGCACTGACCATTTTTCTAAAGAACTCACAAGTCTTATTTGAAACTTTCACTAAATTACATTTTGAATACTAATTTGCATTATCTATAATTTTCTAAACCAAGGCAAGCTTTGGCCTAGCCCCTATTTCAGCTGTGCCCAAGGAAATAGAATATCAATTCAATTTCATTGTATTTGCCCTTCTTCCTCCACTTCATCCCCCAACAAAATCCATTTTGTGTAACATCAAAAAAGAGCTTTGATAAAGGTATCTAAAGAGTAGTCATGAGTGCCACTCACGGGTCCCTCCCTTCCCCTTCTCCTACGCACATGGTAGGATTTTGCTTCCCCATCCCCTCAAGTCAGACATGCCATGAGGTTGCTTTGGCCAATGGCATGTGAGCATGTGGCATGGATCCATGTGGCATGGATGACGAGGGCCACCTCCCTGTGGAAGTCTTTGAGAGCAGGTGCATGATTCACACCTTCCGTTTCTCTGCTCTGGTGACTGGCGACATTCCAAACGGTGGGGCTCCATCATGCTGGAATAAAATGGAGTGGAATCCTCCCCTCCCATGAGAATACCATATAGGGTGAGGGGGAAGCAAATCTTTACTATTTTTCACTCCTGAAATTTTTATTTATTGTTGCAGCACAAGCTGACCCATCCTGACTGATAGAAGATTTAAAATCAGCAGCTCTGGTTTAGAAAACGTGCATCCTTCCTCCCTGTCTCTCTTTGACTGTGCCCACACTCACATCTCTTTCTCTCTCTCTCTTTCTCTGTCTCTAGATATAAAGAGAGAGAAATTGTACTTTTTCTTTGAGTACTGCTATGATTTGAATAAATCCAATAGTCTTTTGATTCATAAAAGAATGATAGCCCCAAAGGACTAGAGGCTTTTCATACCAGGTATGCACCTTCCTCAAGGTAAGGTCCTTCACCTGTGACTGAGTTGTTTGTGGGACCGGGTGTGACTGAGGCAGTGGCCCACGAGATAAGTTCATCAGCCTTTCCAGTGATTCCAGAGACAGCATGAGTTGCCCAAGTGGCAGAACCGGCAGCTACAGTCCTCTTTTAATATGTAGTCATATCTCTGTTCATATTTCTAAAATGACTGTCCCCTCATGCGTGTCAGAACCATCGAATCAATTAAGTATTGTAGTTCCAGTGATCAGGAGGCCCGAACTCTAGCCACTGCTTTATGTCTCATCTTTCTTTGTAAACTTAATTTTTTCATCCATAGATTAGGCATCACAGTATTGATTGTCTACTATTTAAAACTATCGTGTGTGCATTGTTCAGACCCAATGGAAGACCAATAAATCACTTCTTATGGGAAACTTGCCACTGACCAATATCTATAGAACAAGGCAAAATGAATTGCTTTGAATAATTGGAATCATCTGATCAAACAAGTCTTCACCAAGTCAATTTTCTTAAAAAAAAAATACTGTTTATTTTTAAGAGCAGTTTTAGGTTTACAGAAAAATTGACAATAAAGCATAGAATACCTTGATACTCCATCTCCCCTTGCACACAGTTTATCCTATTATTAATATCTTGCACTCGTGTGGTATTTTGTTATAAGTGATAAACCAATATTGATACCTCATTGTTAAGTCCGTAGTTTGTGTTAAGGTTCACTCTTGGTTTTGCACATTCTCTGAGCTCTGACAAATGCATAATGTCATGTATCCACCATTACAGTGTTACACAGAATAGTTTTGCTGTCTTCAGTATCTACCTCGTGTGCTTCACATGCTCACTCCTTCCCTGCCCCTCCAACCCCTGGCAACCACTGATCTTTGTTGGCTCATAGTTTTGCCTTTTCCAGAATGTCATATAATTAAATTATATAGTGGGCAGCCTTTTTGAACTGGCTTCTTTCATTTAGCCATATACATTTAAGGTCCCTCCATATCTTTTCATGGCTTGATAGCTCATTTCTTTTAATAGCTGATAATATTCCATTATCTAGGTGTACCAGTTTATTTATTCATTTACCTACTAAGGGACATCTTGGTTGCTTCTAATTTCTGGCAATTATGAATAAAGCTCTATAAATGCCATGTTTAGTTTTTTAAAAAAATTTCCAACTTTTAAGTTTGGGGGTACATAAGCAGGATGTGCAGGTTTGTTACACAGGTAAACGTGTGCCATGGTGGTTTGCTTCACAGATCATCCCATCACCTAGGTATCAAGCCTGCATCCATTAGCTCTTCTCCCTGATGCTCTCCCTCCTCCCACCCCCACCCTCCAACAGGCCCAGTGTGTTGTTCCCCGCTCCATGTGTCCCTGTGTTCTCTCATCATTCAGCTCCCACTTACAAGTGAGAACGTACAGTATTTGGCCTTCTGTTCCCCATGTGCAGGTTTTTGTGTAGACATAAGTTTTCAACTCACATGAGTAAATGCCAAGGGGTGCCATTGCTGGATCATATAGTTAAGACTATATTTCGCTTTGTAAAAAACTGCCAAACTCTCCTAAGTGGCTGTACCATTTTTCATTCCCCTCAGCAGTGAATAAGAGTACTCACTGTTCCACATCCTTGCCAGCATTTGGTGTTGCCAGTGTTTGGTTTCCAGTAGATGTGTAATGTATCTCATTGTTGTTGTAATTTGCAGTTTTCTAATGACATGTGATAGTGAGCATCTCTTCATATGCTTACTTGACACCCGTGTATCTTCTTTGGTGAGGTATCTGTTCAGATCTTTTTCCCACTTTTTAATTGAAGTGTTTGTTTTCTTATTGTTGAGCTTTAAGTATTCTTTGTATATATTTTGGATATAAGCCTTTTATTAGACGTGTATTTTGTAAAGATTTTCTCCCAGTCTGTGGCTTGTCTTTTCATTCTCTTTACAGTGTCTTTCAAAAAGCAGAACTTTTAAATTTTTGATGAAGTCCAGCTCATCAAGTTTTTCTTTCATGGATCATGCTTTTAGTATCGTATCTAAAACTCACTGCTAAACCTAAGGTCACCTAGATTTTTTCTTCTATGTTATCTTCTAGAAATTTTATAGTTTTGCATTTTACATTTAGGTCTGTGATCCATTTAGGTTTATGAGTTAATTTTTTGCAAAGAGTGTAAGGTTTGTGCCTAGATTCATTTTTTCTGCATGTCCATGTCCAGTTGTTCCTGCACAATTTGTTGTAAAGACTGTCTTGGCTCCATCGTATTGCCTTTGGTCCTTTGTTAAAAGGAGCAATTGACTATATTTGTGTGGGTTTATTTCTGGGCTTGCTATTCTGTTCTTTTCATTTACTTGTCTGTTCTTTCATCAATACCACACTGTCTTGATTATTGTAGCTTTTTAGTAAGTCCTGAAATCAGGGAGTGTCTGTCCTCTGTGTATTAGTAAATACACTAGAAAGTAAAAGTTCTAGAAAATAACAGGAGAAAAAAATCTGGGTGACCTTAGGTTTGGCAGTGAGTTTTTAGATACGATACTAAAAACATGAAAGGAAAACTTGATGAGCTGGACTTCATCAAAAATTTAAAGTTCTGCCCTTTGAAAGACACTATAAAGAGAATGAAAAGACAAGCCACAGGCTGGGAGAAAACCTTTACAAAATACACATCTGACAAAGGGCTTATATCCAAAATATATACAAAGAATACTTAAAGCTCAACAATAAGAAAACAAACAATTCAAGTTGTCTATGTTTAGCTTTGTTTAGCTTATTCAATTATGAATAAACCTGCACATGGATGTTTATAGCAGCTTTATTCATAACTGCCAGAATTATGAATTTTAATACTGTATTGGCTATTCTGAGTCTTTTGCTCCTCCATTTAAAGTTTAGAATCATCTTGTCAATATTCACAAGTAATTTGCTGAAATTTTGATTGGAATCGAGTTTAATCTAAAGATTCAGCTGGGAAGAACGTAAATCTTAAGAATACTGAGTCATCCTACCCATGAACATAAAATACCTCTCCATTTATTTAGACCTTCTTCGGTATCTTTCATCAGTTTTCTAGTTCCTCGCATGTAGATCTTGCACATACTTGGTTAGAGTTATATCTAAGTATTTCAAAATTTTGGGGGACTAATGTAAATGAAATCAATTTTTTAAAAAATAAGTTGAACTGAGTTGTTGTTTTTAAACAGTTTGGCTCTTTCTTCTACTAATTTTGCAAATTAAGCCAAAAGGTTTGCAGAAGTGGAAATACACTCAGGTTTTCAACTCTTCTTATTTGTACCAAATGCGTCTGTTCCTGTAGAGTAATTATCAACTAGACTCTACTTTTGGTTATTTGCATACTCATGAGGTTAGAGATCTCTGAAATTGAAGATGATGTTAGAATTTACATTTATTATAGAAAATAAAATGCATTGTTCTGGTCAGAATATTTCACTGGGTACTGGGTCTGGTACCTTCCACTGATGGAGTTCATAAGAAGAATGAGGAAATGCTTATTTCTTCTTGAGCAACCCCTCCCTTTCTAGCCAAGTAAAAGCCCTGGATCTTAGAAGGGAAAACTAGTCTGTGTGGCTCAAATTTCTAAATTTCATTTGAAATTAGGACAGTGACCAGCCACACATCTCAGCCTCAATTTCTCTCCCTGGTGACTAGAACATCACCATTCTCATACCTCAGTGCTAAAATGCCAAGGAGATGGGACGCTGAGGTACTGACATCCCCAAATCCACATGCTGTGGACCAGGCTTGTGTAACATCAATCAGAAAAACACTTCCTAGATTCCAGGAGGCAAATGTTTATGCTTTGATCCATATGGGTAGTTTTAAAAATAAGCTATTTGAAGCACTCCCTTCCAGAGTGTTCCATTTAAAATGACAGCAGATTTAAGAAATGAGTCCCCAGGAATGGCCCTGTCAGGACTGTGATATCAGCTGTGCTTTTCCTCCTGGAAGGTACTCAGCTCATAGGTAACAAGGCTACCTGGAGAGGCTCTCTCGTTTCCATCAATATCATGAATATCTCTCCTTCAAAAGGCCAGATTCCTGCTCCTTGCTCTTCATTCCATGAGGGCCTGCCTACTTTGCTTCTGTGCTCTCTGAGGAGCTAGCCTTGGAAAACCACTGATGCTGTGTGTCATGTGTACCCACAGGCTCATTTGCTCAAGCTCTTAGTCTTCCTGGCCATTTAACACACAAGCAATGAAGTCTAGTGACCCACTTCTGGGTGTCAGGTTTCAACTTGGACTCATCCTCAGGCCTCTCACCAGGTGTTCTCCCTTGGAATTCCCTCTGCCCATGACTAATGCAGCCACAAGGTCAAAACTCCTCATCTCAAGGGGCTGGCCTGGAAACCATTGCCTATCCACACTTCACACTTCATAGGATAGGACTAATGAATGTCAGCTCAGAAGGCTGACAATGGCAAAGCATTTGGAGTTCTTCAGAGGGAAAAGGATATTTAGGGGCTAACTTGCATTATAGTCAATAGAATAAGAACGCCGTTTTTTCAACTGCAGGACCTGGTGACAATTTCTCCAGTAAAACTCTCTATTAGAACATGTGAATTTCAATTTGCAGGTGGAACCCACCCACGCTGTTTGCAACAGTATATGGGACCTTCCCATGTAAGTTCTGTGATTTGAGATTATTAGTTTCTGGCACTGTCTTGAATTTTGAGCACTTCCTGTCAAATGTACTTGGGAGTTATTTTCCCTTAAAGAATGTGACACTAAAACAAGTTCTTAATAAAGTGTTTTGAAAAGGCAAGAGGGTGAGAAAAAGCTGGGCAAAAACTCAAGCTAGTAATGAACTGAGTAAGTCTCTAATTATATTGAATTTACAAATAATAGGATAAGGCAGGCTTAGCAATTATTTTGTGTGCCTAAAGGAAGAGCAAGCTCCCCTTAAACTTAGGGAAAATGGATAAACATTTTGTATCATCACATTTGATTTTAAATATCTCTCCCTCTAGACTTTGAAAGGTCTAACTGGTCCAAAAACACAGGTTCTTCAATAAGCATTTTGTAGAAACTGATGGTTTTTTTCTCAAAACTAAGTTTGGTTTTGGTTTTTTTCCTGTACGAAGCCTTGAGTATGGACATCTTGACATGTAGTCCTAATGGCCATTAATTTTCAAGGTGAGACCCCAAAGTAAAATGTAGAAAGTGCTCAGTGGAATTTCTACACACCAAGCTGGAAATGCAAGAGTTAACCAGGGTTGAGTCCTCCAGTAAAACAATTTAATCAGATGTATAAATAATTCATTTGATGACCATAGAACTGCCTCAGCATCATTTGTCTCCAATAAGCCAAATCCACAAATAAATAGGGTGTTGGCTGGCATTGAGGCTCTTGTCTCTCACAATGTGAGCCTGAATGGAGCCCCATCTTGACCAGAGGAGCCACCCATCATTTGGGCGGATTGCTAACGGACAACAGACTAGGGTAGAAAAGCCCTACACTGTAATGTGGTCTGCACTCCCCAGATCATGCCACTCAGCCCCACACTCATGGTGAATGCAGGTCTGGTGTCTGCAGGTGAAGGCTGAGGCTCTTGGTGACAGGATCATGGTGGGCAGGGCCCCTGAGGCTCTGCTTTGAGGGACTTTGGGGCCTCTGTTTGATAAATGCACACTTTGTGCCCCCCCCCATCCTATGCCTGGCACTGTGCTGAGAGCTTTCCGTTGCATCCCCACAACACCAAGCCAGATAAGAATTATTACTACTATCCCTGCTGTGTAGAGACGGAAACCCAGAAACCAGGATTTAGAAAGTCATAGCATCTTGTGGTGAATATATGGCAGAGCCGGACTTAAACTTAGTCTGATTTCTTAACCACTGGCTTATATAGGGCTATTCTTATGGAGTCTTCTTCTAAGATACCCAAGTCTTATAGAGATATTCTGAAAGGTTTATGGGAGCAGAGATCAACCAGCTTCATGGGGAAACTGAAGTGCAGAGAATTCAGGGACTTCCTAGGAGTCACACACATGCCAAGTCAAGGGCAGGTTGGAAATGATTTCCAGGAACCTGCCTTCCAGTTAGAACTGCTGCTTCACACACATTGGGGTGTGTGTGACCTTCACTCAAGTGGCCTGGCTAGAGTCAGGGGCCACAGCAGAGGCTTCCTTCTTCCCTCCTGGGTTTGGGCCTCAGTTTCCTCCTCTATCAAATGAAGAGAGTTAGGTTTTCAAGTCTTTTGTGTATAATTTAATGATGAAATCCTACAGCCACCACAGACAAGAAGAATACTTCATGATGCAATCAACCATCCTTCTCCCTTCTGGAAGGAAAAGCATCAGGGCTAGGGCCCTGGGGGAAACTTAAAGAGTGATGATGCTGGCCCATCTCCTGCCTGCCTGCCTCGTACTACCTGCCGATTGGGAAGCAGCCTCCCTGCCCACCCACCCTACCTCCAATGATAAAAGGACTTTGGGAGGCTTAAACTAAAGTATTATGGCTTTTCTCTAACTGCTCACTACCATCTTGGGGCGAAATTTACACTTCTATGTGAATGGCTCTATACTCCTTTATCCTTCCCTGGAGCCATTTCGTCCACCGGATTATGAGCCCTTGAATCAGGAAGCAAGATTTTACCTTTAATGTCCTAGAAAATCATTGTAAGATATGTCACAAGGATGAAACAAAGTCATCATTTTTTTTTAACCTGAGGCTTTGATAACCCTTTCAGTCAGATGCTTTTGCATAAAGCCTAATCCTGGGTGAATTTACTCTGCCAGGAGTTAATGCATTTAGCAACAAGGCATTATGGCAAATGCCACTGCCTGTCAGTTGCATGACTTCAGGATCATAAAGAACCCGCTGCTCCAAGTCTCCCTTATCTTTCCTCTTCTCCCCGAAGATTGGCACTTGCTTCTGTTTTATTCAATCCTTGGATAAAAGACCAGAGGATTGCTTCTGAATTTGAACTTCTGTGTGGAACTACATTAGCTTGGCAAGTCCTAAACATTCATTATTTTCCTTATCCAAAACCCAATGTAATTTGTATTCTGATTTCAGAGACACCGTTTTAGGTGACCTTTAAGATGCTCTCTTGAAATAAATGACATGCTAGACAGCCAATCTTCGTATATGCAGGACCACTGTTTGTCTTTTGATATATTCAGCAGTCTGCCTGCTAATGTTTATGCGCCTCCAGATAGTCTTATTATATGTCATCATTCTTATTATCATCAGCATTCCGATGCTTGTTTTCTTTACTTTATCTGTTAAGCAGAAGTATATTCAGTGTTCAAAGTGATACATCATAAAGGTAGAAAAAGGTGAACCCTTTGATATATGACAAGTCTTTAATAGCATGAAATAACTATTGCCTATTATTTTACTCCTGACATTTTTATTTTTAAGGGAATTTCACTTGATTTGTTGTGCTGACACCTTTGATATGTTGTTTCCAGTGACCTTACATCCAAAATCAGTAGCGTGTGACATTTGATGGCCCAGATAGAAAACATTAATGGTGAAAGAGAGGGTTTATTTTCCTGGTCATAAATTAAGTTTAAATAACTCTGAATTTATTTTAAACTCTCCAGTACTTTTTACTGTCCACGCAATAAATGTATTTATTACTGGGGCCTACCCAGGTTTCCTACTCAGAGCCTTTTGGCTTGGCTGCTTCGAATCTTTTTCTTCTTTCTCATGGAAAGCTCTCTTTGCCTGTAAATGCTGATTTGCACAAACTGTTTTCTAATTTCTATAAGCAGGGATCAGAGAAAGGGCTGCTTATCAGAGAGGTAAACCAAAATGCGTCTGTTGTCAATCAGGTTAAGAAAAGCAGGAGTTCATAAAATGTTCACTGAGGCAGGTAATCTAGTCCAGAATGGATGCAGACGTGGTTTAGGGCAAGTTGAGAAACAGGCACCAGCGGTCGTGGCCCAATCATTCTACAGCTCTGTGTGGAAGGTTTGCTTTACTTCCCGATTTAAATTTTCACAAAAGCGGAAACCCATTTCTCTATTTTTATCTTATGTGTGTATGTGTATGTGTTTATAGTTCCCATTCATGAGATGTATCATAAACTTGTATTGAGAATTTCTCAGCTTAAAAATTTTATGATTTAAAAAATTCTATGTATATGTTCGAAAATTGCCTTATATATGTTTTATTGCAATATAATTCACATATCATAAAATTTACCATTTTAAAGTGTGCAATTCAGTGGGTTTTGGTCTATTCACAAACTGTGCAACCTCACCATCATCTAATTCCAGAACATATTCCGTCACCCAGGAAGGACACCTCGTACTCATTAGCAGTTACCTCACACACCTCCCCTCCCCAGCCCCGACAACTGCTAATCTACTTTATAGCTCTATGTATTTGCCTATTCTGCACATTTCATATAAATGAACCATACAGTATGTGGCCTTTTGTAGCTGACTAATTTTATTTAGCATAATGTTTCTAATGTCCATCCGTGTCATAGCATGTGTCAGTACTTCATTCTTTTTTGTGGTTGAATAATATTCCATTGTATAGCTGTCCCGCATTTTGCTTAGCCATTCATTGGTTGAGAGATTTTTTATTTAAAATTTTTGTCTATATGTTCAAAAGTTGACTTATAGTTACTTCACTAGGCATTTCTCCTGTTTAGAATATTTTTAAAAGTTAGACCTTTAAAAATGAGATAAAATATATGTCATTTTTCTATCTGCAATAATAACCATCATGTATCTTTTATTAATTGTGTATAAATTTCTTACAGAGTTTTCCACAAAATGGGAGAAAAGTATAAGAAGCTCTTCCTGCTATGGGTAAGGTAGTGAAATTACAAGTCATTCACTAAATATAAATTCAAATGTAAAGATATATGTGATTCTTGAATATATGAAATGTGTTCAGATAGTCTTTCAAGGAGCCCAGCTGCCTGACCCCTATAAGGACCCCAGGACACTGTCCTCTGGAGTGGAGCTGTATTTGATGTGTGTTTATCCATCACTAGACTGTAAGTGACAGATAAATCTTACAACAGGGCTCATGTCTGCTTTATCTTCATTTTATCTCCAGAGCCCCAATACAATGCTTCGTACCTAGAAGGCTCTCAGAAACAGAAATCTGGTGAATTAGTTAAATTATATGCTTCTCTGCCCTCTGCCCTCCATAAGAAAAAAAGAAAAGACCTATAAAAGGCATTCTGAACACTGGAGTTTGGCTCCTGTTTACCATGTACATCTAGAGAAGTGTACAATTCGTGCTTGTATGAAATAATGAATGTTCACAAAGTGAGTATACTTCTGTAAGCACTGCCTAAATCAAAAGCAGCAATGTGACCAGCCCCCCGGCCACCCTTGGTGCTCTCCCAAGCACTCCTCCACCATCCTCTCCAACTGCAACCGCTATCCTGATTTCTAACACCCTAGGGGAGTTTTGCCTAGTTTTAAATTTTACATGAATGGAGTCTCATCATATGTATTACTTTTACACTCATAATATTTTCAAGATAAGGATAAAAAGCAAAATTTTGGTCTTATCACAAAGATATACCTGAGATACACGATCTTTAGATTCTAAATGACAAAGACTGAACTAATCTAAAGGACAAAAATGCAAACTGCATTTTCACTTCTGGCTAAACTGAATTTTTAAAAAATTTCTCTTATGCTTTCTTATGTTTTAATGATCATTCATGATATTGCTTAATTTCAGAGCATAGAAAATTGTGAAGTACAGTAGCAAAGACATGGAATCAACCTAAATGCCCATCAGTGGTTGACTAGATAAAGAAAATGTGGTACATATACACCATAGAGTACTATGCAGCCATAAAAAGGATGATATCATGTCCTTTGCAGGAACGTGGATGGAGCTGGAGGCCGTTATCCTTAGCAAACTAATGCAGGAACAGAAAACCAAATACTGCTTGTTCTCATTTGTAAGTGGGCACTAAAAGATGGGAACACATGGACACAAAGAGGGGAACAACACACACTGGGGCCTATCAGAGGGTGGAGAGTAGGAGGAGGGAGAGGATCAGAAAAAAATAACTAACAGGTACCAAGCTAACTACCTAGGTGACGAAATAATCTGTACGACAAACCCCCATGACACAAGTTTACCTATATAACAAACCTGAACATTTACCCCTGAACTTAAAATAAAAGTTAAATTTTTAAAAAAGTGTCAAGCAGACTAAGTTTATACCACCTCCTTCTATCTTGATCTTTTCTCTCTCTCTCTTTTTCTCTCAGGGACCCTTTCCTAGCCTTCTTCATAATTTATCCCAACATAATTCTTCCCAACTGATAATGAAAGTGTTCAATAACGATTAGTGACCACTTCCTTCTAGGGGACCTCTCAAGGTTTGCAAGGTCTTAAATCCTCAGGAGATATTGGGATTTGAGCTGGTGTGGCTGTGAGCCATGGTACCCGTGAGAACAGGAAGCTGAGAGGAATGAGTATCTTGAGTTCAAGCAAACCTTTTGACAAAGTCGCTCAGGTTATCCCTGAGGACTGGAGGAAGAGGTGTGTGGCTGGCAGAATAACAGCCTGATGCAGAGCTAGGAAGTAAAACTGATCCACCAGGTGACAGAATTATGATGCAAAAAGGTCTTGACAGTCTAAAATGATAGCCCCAAACTCACTGAATTTGATGGCGATAACCATAAGATTCAGTCATCAGGATAAATAACCAATGACACACCTACAGGCTGAAGGGGGCTGACATCCAGTCAGCTGTAAAAAAGAGTCCTGGGGATCTCAGGTGACTGTCAGGGGACTATGGGGTGGCTGCCAATAGGCTGCTTTAATCATAGACTTCTCCAAAACAAAAGTGGTCACTGTTCCCCTTTGTTTTGCCAGAGTCAGATGTATTTGGGCTATTTTATTTGGTTTTGAGCACCTCGTTTTAAAAAGAACATAGTAACAGTGGAGAAGGTTAAGGCAGGATGAAAAGGATGGTAAGTGATTGGGAAACCTCGCCATGTGAGGAGTGGTTGGGGGCCTGGGCCTTCTTAGTCACAGGTGTTCTATAGCCTCCACCCATCTGAAGGGAGGCAGGAGGCAGGAGGCAGCTGCTAACCGGTGCATGACCTTGGAAGGCATCTAATCTTTTGCAAGTTGTGAATGTGTGTTCACCAGATGATCACTAAGTTCACACCTGATCAAAAAGCTGTGAGTTTTGTAACCCATATAAACCAGAGACATATGTGGCTCAGTCTCAGAGCAGTGTCCCATTCAAACATAGTTTAACAGCCAGACTTAATTAAAAATCAATTTCACTAAGAAACTGATTTTTGTCAATGGTCACTGTATTTACCACACTCACTCTGATCCATTAACCCACCCTCCCCTTTGCTGCCTTATCCCTTCCAAAAGTCCCCAGAAGAGAACTAACGTTAGTCAAACACTCAATATGTGCCAGGTCACTTTTATACAGTGTCTCATTTCATTTTCATGGGAACCATGTCATATATACACATGTTTGTATATATATACATATATATATATATATGTATATAATTATTCGTATGCCCATCATTTGACCGAGGTCACAGCTGGTGAGTAGAGTTGGGGATTTGAAGCGAGGTTTGCCCTCTCAAGTGGCAGCCGCCTCCCAGAGCTTGCCTGGGTTTGCCTGCAGTTGCCTGTTCTGTGTGCTGTGAGCTGTGTATCTGACTCCATGCTTCCAGCCTGGCTTTTGATCTGTGGACACAGAACCAGGCCAACATTATGGGGCAGGATTTTTGTTTTTTCCCTAAGAAAACTTTTCTCTGCTCCCTGGTTTGCTCTTCCATGTTGAGAATCCTTATGTCAGTCCTTCTTGTACTCCCTGACATACACATTGGAGACTGAGCTGACCCAAGGAGAAGAGACTCCAAGTGACAATACTGTATTTCCTTTAGACTCACCAAGGCTGAATGCTTGCTCTTCCCCCAGCTCAGTTCGCTTGTCTTTTATGCACCTGGCTTTGCTCTCCAGTTTCCTTGATTTACAAAGACTGCTCCACAGCCAACCAGAGACACAAATGTTTTCAATAAATTGTACCATCATTAGATAAGGCACTGGGGTTCAGGGGTCAGGCCACTAGGCTCCAGGGTGTACTGGCCCAGGCCTATTCAGAAAACTCCATTTTTTGTTTATATGAGAAAAGAAGATTGACTCTCCACATTCAGGGTCTAGTTCAATGCCTGCCAACAAATGCTTATCAAATGAATGAGCGAATGAATGAATGCACAGTGGCACGCTCAGCACGGCTTTCAGTAACTCCCAAGTGTTGTGGGGAGCCTGGGGTGCTGCTGCTTCCTGCCTGCCTATGTCCTGGGCAGCTCACTGGAGTTCTGACCTCCAAAAGTCAAGTACATTTGTAGAATATGCACTCATTAAATCCTCTGGTTAATCAAATAATGTATTAATGAAGTAAAGTTTATCCCAAGGATTTATTTTAAAAAGGCAAAGAAAAAAGAAAGAAAAGAATAGAAAGAGGAAAGATTGATTCTACACACCAGAGCTCATCAGAGTCACAGTGAGGGCAACTTTGAAAGCCTTTTCACTCATCACATTGCAAGAAATCTGAAGAAGCGCATCCACTCTCCTCGCACCCATTTGCTCCAGAGTAGAAAAGACTTGCAAAGCAAGAACAGCAGTGGGGGGAAAAACAGGTAATGGGGCAAGAAAACACTACATAGCAAAAAGAAAAAGGCTATCCTATCTTTTAGCTTCTCATGGAAGAGGGAGGCTGGATCACTCCATCATGGCAGAGGACAAAGCTGCAGAGAGGAAAGCTGACCTTCTGCTGGTTGGTGCTGAATATAGAGCCAGGCACTGTGGCATTTTCCAATGGAGGGGGTCTCTACTGAGCAGGAATGCAACATCTCATTAGTATGGGGCGCTGCTAATGATCTGATAAGCTCTTTCATCCATTACTGATGGACGCCTTCCAGAAGACCTCTGCACACATAAGCCCTCAGCCAATTCTGTGAACCCCTTTTCCCTGGTCTTCATCATTAACCCCAACACCTTCACTGCCAGGAACTCCTGCTTTAGTACTGGCTACCCCATCCCCATGGTTCTGATTTTTTTCTTGGAGGTTTGGGAGGGTCAGGAGGCAAGGGGGAAAGAAGTTTGGTTATCTTTTGAGTTTTCAGCAGGAATGCCCAGCTGCTCGCAGCCAGTCATGGTGAGTGAATGACTGTGAACACCAGGACTACCCTCCACCCCAGTTCAGACCCCTTCCTAACACCAACTAATTGATTAACCAAGGGCTCTTGAAGAGAACGATTTGAGGAGGGTAATTTATAGAGATGCTGTCTTTTGTCATCATTTGTCTTTGAAAACATAGAAGAAAACTGCTTTCAAGAGGATGTAGCCCGCCAACATGAGCAATGGCGGGCGGAACATCATCAGTTACAGCAGACTGCTCGATTGTGTGCCTTTCTAGCCAGTCACATATCCAATAACCACAAAGGGAAGAAAAAAATGCATCCTCGCTCCCTGTGTCTTAAACTTTTCCAGCACTGGCTTATGAAAATATTTGGGGTTGTTCACTGCTCTGCTCTCTGTAGCATAAACATTTATTTAAATGGGGCTGTCTCTAGTAATGAAGAATGAAGGAAAAACAATGGTCTGATTTTGACAAATTAACTTGTGATTTGGAGAGTCAGTGAAGCAGGGAAGAGACATTCCTAACTATACTAATTAAATGAGCTTGCAACATTTATTTTAATGCAATGGAACCAGCCATATGAAGATGAACATTTTAATTTATTTTGCAGTGACATTATGAAAAATTTCGCTGCTGCAGATTATCTACAAAAACAAATCTCATCAGCATCTAGGTTTGTGCAGGAAATTTCCATCTTTCACATGAGCCTAACCTTCCCTGGTGGAAGCAAGTGCGAATGAAAAGTTACTTGGAAAGTTTTTCTGAAGGTTGTCTTTCCACTGAGGCTGGCTTCACGTTCAAATGACTTCTGCGCCAAACACATCCATTTTTCATGGTGCAGCATAGATGAAAAATTCCAAATCCATTCTATGGGGAATGCAAATATAGCTCATTAGTTCTAAAACATTTTTCATGAAAGACTGCAGAGTGTTTGCCGGCAGATGAGGCTGCATAGTTCCAGCCAAGAATGAACACCACATGTCCCGCTGATTGTTTTTTAAAGTTGTTCCTTTTTTTCCTCTGGCACCCAGTAGCTATTGAAAATAGGGAACAATATGAAAAATGGACTTGGAGCCTAGCTCATTTTGACACTATTCAGTACTTGTGTCTTCGGGGTTTGTTTTTGTTTTTCCTTTTTCTTCCTCTCTCAACTTGCAGCTCTAATCTAGAACGAAAGAGTGGTTTGCAGACCACTGACAATTTTTGCCTCTCCTAGAGACACATAGACGTGATTGACTCTGGAGGGTCAACCGTGGCCTGAGGCAGTGTCCCTGGAGCCTTGTCCTCAGGCTGCAGGCTCAGGTGGCCCCTGATGCAGCACCAGCAGACAAAACGGCCGCCTTCCAGAGAGAGTGAGAGGGCTGCTGGCTCCTGGCCACCGCCACAGCCCGCTTAGAAAGTCATGCAGTCCAGGGACGTCTTCCAGGCTGACATTCCCACTGGAGCTCTGCCAGGGCACTGCAGAGGACAGCAGACCACCTCCCTCGCCAGGCCAAGGAAGGAGCTGGGGAAAGGGAATGGACGGTGGCTCTGGGCAGGGCTTGGTGGGCAAAGCCTCTCTTGCTTAGGAGACCCCCAAACCCACCTATTGTTTTCCATCTGAGGCACCAGAGATGGTCTATCTGGACCACACTGCTCTGAGGAAACCATTTAGTGCCTCTGTGTGGGCCTCAGGCCTCTTCTTACCCAAGTCATCACACGTGGTTGTGACTGAAGCTGAGACGAGGCCACCCCTCCTTGTTTCTTGGCCAGTTCTCTTCGGTTGTGGACTCGGCACACCCCGGGGGAGCTCCAAATGGGGTCTGCATTACCCGCTGGGGCTGAGTTTTCCAGCCCCTGGTTCTTAGCGTGATAGGGGCCTCAATGTCCTGCTCCTCTGTGCTGGCATTGGAGCGTAGGGCACAGGGGCAGCTGAGAATGTGTGTCTCACCCCTGCGCATCCTCATCCCCGGCATTTGCAGGACAAGGGGCTGCTGTTCCGCAAACATGCATGGCCCACCAGATGAGGTAGGGTGAACTACCTACATGGGAAGGGCCTGTTTTCTCCACCCTGACCTGGGTAACCTCAATAGGTTCTGAAACACCCATGCCACCTGCAAGCTTTGGGCAGGCACCTGGCAGCTGTGGGGTCTCCTGGAGGTCCCAGCCCTGTCTCCATTCAGTCTGAGGAGAAGGGGGACTTGTCCTTTGGCGAGGATTGGTTGCTGCAATGTGTCAAGCTCTGTGGGAATGAGAGCAGGCTCCTAATGTGTGCCCACAGTCTTGTTTAGAAAAGCAACTGTCACTGCTGTTTCTTCAATACAGAACATTGCCTCCAGTTCAGCTCCTATCTGTCATCTGAGGAATGACTACTTTGCATGAAAAAGTCACTGTGCTCAAAAGAAGAAATGCATGTTTTCTTATGGCAGGGAAGTAAAATGAATTACAGACAAACCTATTGATAGGACCAATTATTCCCATCTCTTCCTTTTCTCTGCCACCTCCCAGCAAAAGCCAAATAAGCCAGGTAAGGATTCAGAAAATTATAAATCACAGGCTAAGAAGGGCTTATTCAGGGTTCTGTTGGGGCTAAGCCAAAAGTCCCATGGTGATGTCCTAGAGGGTCCTATGAGATGATAGAATTAGGTTTCCTGGAATGAGGGTGATAAAAAAAACATCTCAGAAACTGACCTTCTGCAGAGAATCTGCCACACCCTGCCCCTTCATCCCACCCCTTTTAGTAGCCCTTACTTTAGATCCCAGTCCAAGCCCAAGGCTGCCTGGCACACAGCAGACATTCAAGAAATGCTTGTGAAATGAACAAGCTAGAAAACAATCTTTTGAGAGGGAGGGGCAAGTATATCTTGGAGTGAAAGTGTGCCCTGGCAGTAGGGACCTCTACAGACTCCTAAACTCAGGATGTGTGGACTGCCCTCTCCTCCCCAAAGCCAACCTATCAGCCACTGGTTTCCAATCCTAAAGGCAGCACAGTGAGGTGGCCCAGGCAGGACTATGGAGCCTGTCTCTGAGTTTGAAACCCAGCTCTAACACTTGCTGCAAATTATATTTTCAAATTATATAAAAGAGATGCAAATTATGTTTTTGACACATTTTCAGCACAATTACCTTGTTTCCTTGGGCAAGTTATTCCCTGTGTCTCAGTTTTCTTGTCAGTAAAATGGTGGTGGCAATAATAGGACCTTTTCTAAAGTGTTGTTGTGGGAATTGAATAGGTTAGGTTACTTAATATAGGACAACCTCTATAGCCACAGTCATGACTATGCTGCAGGTCTCCAAATGGCCCACTGGGGAGATAAAAGATGGAACAAGACATCTCAAACACTCATGCAAGAGGAGGCTTGAACAGGAATCTTAAAGGTCCATTAGTTCAACTCTTTTGTTTTACAAATGTGGAGACTGAGGTCCTGAAATGGAAACTGACTTGTTCAAGGTGCCATAGCTAATGTCAGGGTGGGGACCCACCCCAGGAGTCCTCAGCTAGGATTTTGAAGCTTGCTGCAAAACCTACAGACACACTCAAGTTCCACCAAAGCAGGGCAGCATCACTGCTTGGCTGACAAACATGGAGCTCTGTACTTGGCACCCTTTGATGTTTCTGCTCAAGGGGAGTTTATAACACAGTTGGGAAGATAAAATTATGTGAATGCCACCCTCTATTGTATTAAATGACACAGTACAGCTTACATATAGTAAGCAAGAGGGAGACAGAATAAAGGGTGGATGGGCAGGCATCATCTTTACAAACTCCCAAGATAATGAGTTTCTAGAATGTGGCGGTAGCTGGCCCCAAACCTGCCTCTCCCTGGGAAGAGGTGCCCTCCCCAGGTTCCTCTGTAGTAACTCACAAATTCAATCTAAATTACAGCTTGTGTGGGTAGAGAGAAGATTACTGTTTTATTTGCCTGTGACTAAACTAGCCTTGCTCTTGAGCCCCCACCTGCAGAGGGGGCAAAATGAACTCACTTTTAATCCTGTTGACATTTAGTCCAGATGACCTAGTCCCTATAGGTGATGTCAAAACTCTCTTTGATAAAAATGTTCCATCTCTCAGTGACGTCATTTCTGCCACTTCTTCTTTCCCTCAGAGGGTGTTTGGATATGTAGAGGGAGGAACAAGTCTGACCAGGTCACTCTGTGCAGGGCAGATTGGGGATCCCCGGGCATGAGGTCCTTGATCTCCTCTGGCCTCCAGGGTGATGCCCATGTCCACCTGGGAGCTACTTGCTCTGTTGGCAATGGTTCCTGAAGCCTGTGGCTGGGGAACTCCTAGTCTGGTTCTTTCTGCTGCTGACCCCGCTGGCTACCGACTTAGTCTCACCTGGCCCTGACTCAGGGGTCCACTCTGCAGCCAGGTCATCCCTCTCACAGCACCTGCTCTGGTAAGCTTTTCCCCAGCCAGACTCTGAGCAGCTTCTAGGTCCTGTCTATGCCACATGGGCTCCAAGAGATGAATTGAAAGCAAAAGCTTAAGATGTCTGTCTTAGTCTGCTTGGGCTGCCATAACAAAATGCCATATACTGGGTGGCCTAAGCAACAGGAACCTTTTTTCTCACAGTACTGGAGGCTGGAAGTCCCAGATTAAGGTCTGACAGGGTTGGTTTCTGGCAAGGGCTCTTTTCCTGGCTTGCAGAAGGCCACCTTCTCGTTTTGTTCTCACAGGACCTTTCCTCAGTCAGTGTTTGTGTGGAGAGAGAGATCTTGCTCTTCTTCTTCTAAGGCCACCACTTCTCTTGGATTAAGGGCAAAGCCTTATGAATTCATTTAACTATTTCCTAAAAGCCCAGTCTTGAAATACAGTCACAATGGGGGTTAGGGCTTCAACGTACACATTTTTTGGCAGGGGAGGTCACACAATACAGTTTCTAGCAGTTTCTCTCTCCCTGACCACACTGTGAGACCAAGTTCCCAGGGGAAACCTAAAAGGAAATTTCTTTCTAGAGTTCAAAATAGGATAGAAAGGACAGTGGCCTCCCTTGGCCCTAGGTATTGTCTAGTTGAGGAAAAACGATAGGCGTGTGGCTTGTAGATGAGGAAAAGAAACTAAGATGACATTTCTAACAGCAAAGCAGAATACTTGAGACTTGAGAGACTTGAGTTTTAATCTTCTACTGATTTTCTGTGTGACCCTAAAGTGACATAATCTCCTCTTTGGCTTTATTCCTTCTTCACTAACTGGGGGGATGTTGACTTGCTTCCTAAGGTGGTTGAAAGCAACCATCAAGACATAATTGCAAGTCTTTTTATTAAACAAAGATACTGTTAGATGCTATAAATAAAAATAATGCAAAAGAATATACCTCCTCTCGAAATCTATGACATCCACAGAGTAAAGCATGAGGGCTGATAATCAAAATCTCAGTTCCCCGTAGTTTGCAGGATTGCTAAGAGGAAAATGAATCTTACCATCTAGGGGTTATGGAGAAGCTTCGAGAAATTTGCCTAACTGAAGAGAGATGGATTCTGTGAAATTCAGGACATCAGAGAAAACATTCTGCATAATCCTCCAGTGAGAGTTTGTCAAAGAGAAGGAAATCCTTCAGGACATTCTCTTTAATATACTTTTAATAAATGTTTTATTGTATTGGATTATGGGAATTAGGGGAACAAAGGATCTATACCATATTTTTCAAAAGCAATATTTTTAGAATCACAAATTATATTGAAATCTTTATACCAAGCAAATAAAAACAAAGATCAGAAGAACTAAACAGCATTTATACATGTCTCTACAGAGATATATATGCATATTAGCAAATTGAAATATAGCAAATACACAAAAAAACACCCACATAAAAGAGATGCAAATTATATTTTTGACACATTTTCAGCATGATCACCTAATACAATTTTCTTTTATAGGCAGAGGTAATAAATAGTGCAAATGTATATTTATAGTGTATTTGACAATGTATTTGCTTTGAGTCAGAGGGAAAAGCTCAAGTGATTTTACCGTTGAAATGCATCTCATCTACCTCAACTGAATGGCTGTTCTTTCTTCTGGATTTTTCACTGTGACTGGGACTGAGGTGGGAAGCACCTTTCAGTCTCAAAGCTAGGTACATACTTGGAATGACAATTTGGAGCTCACCTGAAACTCAGGATATCATTAGACTTGTGTGTGTTCCCATCTCATCTCCCCTTATGACTGCATGCTTCTTGAGAGTAAGAACAAAGCCTGCTACTTCTCTGCAAACCTTTCAGCCTCTGGGGCAGTGACTTGCATGTAGCAGGTGCATCAGCAGATGGGCTGGCTGTCATTCTGGGGCGTGGCCTGCAGGGAACCAGACATGTGCTGTGAGCTCCCAGCAGATGATCCACTTCCAAGTTTCTGAGGACTAGAGGACTAATTGACTCTTAATTCAAGATCTGAGAGTATTTCCATAGCTAAGGAAGCCAGTTAGGTTCATTCCTTGAAGTGGATCTATCTCTCCAGTGTGTCACATGGAGGTGCAGTGTTGCCAGGTTGGTTTGGTCAAAGGGGCAGGTTAAATCAGGAGAGGGTGGCGTGCTCTGCAAGCCCAGGTAGGTGAGAACTGAGCCCAGAGGCTCAACTCTGGCAAGGAAGGGATAGCTGGAAGGTAGGAGTAGCAAATGAGGGTTTGGAAGCTGTGTCCCTCCACTAGAGAGCCCCTGCCCCATCCCCGCCTGTGTGTGCAGAAGGCCCTGGATGTGGAGTGTTGCCAGGGGGAGCCTGTGGGTGATCCACCCTCAAAGGAGGGACAGGGAACCATCCCACAGGAGGAGAGGGAATGGGGAGCCCTGAAGATAGGAGGGAGACAGGGATGTGGAGAAGCCATCAGACCCAGCCTCCCTCCTCCCCACCAGAGCCCAGTGGTGTTCACCATAAGGACAGTTTCTGGAGCAAATCCTTGGATGCTGGTGGCTAACATAACAGAGACTCAGCTGGTGGGCAGCCCTTTCTTCTCAATACCATGAAGCCAGAGGGCTCCTGGAGACAGCAAGCCTGCCAAGCATCAAATGCACTCTGCAAAGGAACTGCAGGGAAATGAGAGACCATTACTCTATATGGTCCTCCCCCTATTTGCTTCTCTTTCTCAGTTCCCCACTCTGGTCAGGGGGCCTCATTAGGAAGGCTGGTGTTTCCTTCCTTTAAACGTGCACATCTCTCTTCAGGCCTGGAGAAAATGAGATCAAAACCATCCCCACCACGCTGCTGTGAACAGATATATTTAAATTTCTTTAAGCTCGGGTGACGTCCTCGGATGAGGAGCTCTAAGTACCAAGTTATTGTTATTACTATGTAGTTACTGCCTAGCATGCAGCGAATCACCCTGCCCTGCTGTGTAAAAGATGTATAGTGGGATGGGAAGTGTGGAGGAAGGAGCGGCATCGAGACTACAGAGGAAGCAGAGTGAAACGTACTAGAGAGAGAAGGGAACAGGGGGCGCCCAGTGCATGGGAGTCTCTACCAGGCCTGCTCTTATGTCTGGAAACAAGAAGGAGTTTCTTTCCACTAAGCAAACATAAAACATCGTGAAGACAGTGGGATTAAAGAGAAAGTACAGCATGGGGTTTAAGAACATGGATTTAAATCCCAACTCCAACCCTTATTAACTGCACGCCTGGGACAAGCTCATGAGCCTGTCTGGGCCTCAGTGTGTGTTACCTGCATATAGAAAATTCTAAGTAACTGTAGTGATTATTATTACTACTGTGATTACGCCTTGGTACAGTTGTCAGTGATCTGCAGAAGGACCCAGTACGTGATCAGAAGTATTGTTTCTAATTAGAATAGGATTTTCTGGAAGGGGTCACAAAGAAATCCAGGAGAAATGGGAACCCATAGACACTATGGAATCACTGAAAGGGGCCAAATGGACACTTCCTAGAATTGCCAAGGGGACCCCAGTGGGGAGTCTCAACTCAACTTAAAAACAGGCAGTCTTGCTAATGAACTCTGAGATTTCTTTGTGGAAGAAGAGCCAACATCGCATACTATTGATCAATAAGGAGTAAGACCAACAACCTACGTCTGTCTCTCCAACAAGAGGCCCTGAGACTACTTTGGAAGCTGCACATCGTATACCTGGTTCTTCTCCAAGACATTTAGGAGCAGAGGTGGGGCTGGGTGATCTTACTGAAACTTAACATTGCGTCTCTGCTGTAAGCATGCCACACAAGGCTGGGACAAGTGCTGTGGTTCTACAGTCATGTTACAAGCTTTGCAGGGCCTAGGAAGTCTACTATATGAACTACCAAACATGGAGCTGCTCACAGATAACCAATGCCAGAGGACATAAGCAACCATGGAAAGTTCAGTAAGAGAGAAATGCAGGACAGGAAGCAAGTTCAACTGGAATGTGGGTTTGGAGAGCCCTTTCAGCTTCAGCGGCCAGGGAACGCATGGCTCCTTTTTGCGGGATCATGAGGCAGCTCAACATAAGAATATCTGATGTGGAATCCAAATACACACCTCCTCCCCCCAGAACTCTACACTGTTTAGTGATGTGCATATGCTGTCAAACCAACGTTTAAAAACTATCAAGTCATAGTAAACAGTTACCTGATCCACAGATGGGTTGAGATTGTTAGATTGCTTCCCACCCAATTATTTGGAATGATCTGGTGATGTGGGGATGGGTAACTAAGAGGCCCCTTAGGAATGGAGCAATGTGAAGTAATTCAAAACAACAGGCTTCTCCCTAACACCCGCAGTTCTTGAGGGGCAGGAACTACTGGGCTATTGGATGGGGCAGTTGCCCTTCTTAGCTGTCACGCCACTTCTTACTGTTTTCCTTTCATTCATCTCTATCTTGGTCTATTCCTGGGATCACAGAATTTCGAGGGACAAATATAGTTAAGTAATTGTTAACTCGGGCATTGATTGAAAGGTGTCCTTTCCATCTTCCCTCTAAAAGCCTCAAGGATTATTTCTCAAACTCCTCTCTCCATTAAACTAATAAAACAAAACAAAGCCACTTTTATAAAATAATAATACTCAATGGAACAGGCTGTGAGATGCCAAGCAATTTAAATTCTAACAGTATATTTTAATGATGCTTTTCTATTACAGGGAAACAAGGCAACTCAGAGGACTGAGAGACTCAGGACTTCCAGACAGAGGATCAGGCGTACCTCATGCATGGGTGTTTTGGAAGAAGGCCATTTTGAAACCTACTCTGTATCATTACAGACTTTCAGTGAATTAATTTAGAATAAATCCACCTCCTTCCCTGTATGTGGTAGAATTTCACTGGGATACAACGTGAGGACAGAGATTTGAACCCTCAGTCCCACTTATGATGCGGGGCTTCAGGGGCACCACGGACATGCTCCGCATTCACCCATCTGTGGGGGAGGACTAAGGAAGCTGCGCTGGTGTGTGAGAAAGTAATGGGCTCTTTTAAGCCCTTTTACTTAAAGCAATAAAAGAATAACTGCGTCATCTGCTGGAGTAAAAGTTTTCAACAGATGACCGGCTTGGTTCTTAAAACACACACACACACACACACACACACACGAGGAGTGAACCACACAGCATGCAAATGAGAGGAACAAACGCTTTTGTTTGTTGGAGATTAATTTTTATGGAAAGTTGTACATTGCAGATTGCAATCAACCTGACACATTCTCTCCCTCCTGCTCCTTCTCTCAGTTGGCTTTGAGGAGAGGCACTTCCAAGTTTGAGAATTCATCTTGTCTGATTAATGATGTGTACACAGAGATTTCAGTCTCATCTTCCTTCTCTGGGTCCTTTTTATTCAGTTGTTTGCTGTGCTACAACCCTGCGGATAGATGGTTCTGCCGTGATAAATGTAAAGTTTGCATAAGCCATGTAACAGCAGGACAGCCTATTATCACCGTACATTTTCCATGGCTGTGCAAACCTCTGTAGGCTATTTTATTGCTAATAGATCCACAGAGAAACAGTAGTGATTTTACGACTCTTTTTAAAATGGAAATTCATGTTTGAGAAATACAACTGGGAGGAAACAGATGTAAACCACTTAAGCATTTGCAGAAAATTGAGATGCACACTCTTATTTACAGACCTACATAGCCTCCATCGCTTTATTTTCAAAATTAAAATAAGCAATCTGTTTACCATGGGAAATGATGAACTGTAAACTTGTTGTTTTTCCTTTTACATGGCAATGGCCGCCATCGTTGGGTTTAATGGCAGAACTGAAGCAGGCAGCGTGGCAATTTTTTCCCCTTAGGTTTTATTGTCTGTAATGCATTCCCTCTGTAATCTGCGCGAGAGGTAGGTAAGTGGGAAAGATTTTCGTGTAACTGTATGTCTGAATTCACATTATGCTTGAACAGCTAAAATGATTACCAGACACATTAGAAAGATTTTAACCAGGTATTTAACACTATCTGTAAATTGCTTAAAATACTGGAAGAGTCAACCTCCACAAAAACGCTTTCACATGGCCAAACACAAAAGCACAACCCATCCAAAAACATTTATTCTGGCCTCGTCCCAACTTTCTCACATCTTTTGGAGTTGTGACAAATGTCACATGTTGGAAAGGAGATACAAATGGAAGCATCACAAAACAATATAGCAATGAGAAGTCTGTCCACCAGACTCATCAGAGCAAGCTCCTTGTGGCATGTGGAAGCTCCTCTGGTTTTTAATTTCAGCATTGATCTTTTTTTTTTTTTTTTTTTTTAGGTCTAGAACTACATTTTTTGTTGCGGCAAAATATATGCAACACAAAATTGACCGTTTTAACCATTTCTAAGTATACAATTCAGTGGCATGAAATGCATTCACATTGTCGTGCAACCAGCACCACCATCCAGCTCCAGAACTTCATCACAGACTGAAACTCTGTACCCATGAAAGCAAAGACTCGCCATTTCCCCCTCTTCTCCCAGCCCCTAGTAATTTCTATTCTACCTTCTGGCTGTATGAATTTGCCTATCCTAGGCACCTCATATAAGTGGAATTATACAGTACTTGTCCCTTTGTAACTAGCTTATTTCACTTAGCATAATGTCCTCAGGGTTCACCCATGTTGTAGCATGTATCAGAATGTCTTTCCTTTCTAAGGCTGAATAATATTCCATGGTGTGTATATACCACATTTTGTTTATCTGCCCTGTGTGGCTAGTCCTGGGATTTTAATATTGAGGAGGTATCCCCATCAACCCGGGGATGGAAGTGGCCTGCTTATTCGTGAGCACTGCAAAGCAGGACGGCTAAGGAGAATGAGAGGCGTCCAGACTAGGTCTGCAGAATCAGGCAGGGAGGGCTCCTGGAAACTATAGGTTTCTGGTCTCTGTATAACAATCACCAGCTGTGGGAATATTTTGCTTTCATCCTTAAGCTTTGTTTTAAATGTCAAAGGAGACTAAGCTAGACCCTCTTAGGAACTGAAATTTTTCTCGGAGACAAGATATGATGGACTTCGGCCCAAAGTCAGATAACAGAATGTGTTTCCAACCCCATGCCTCCCCAAGCCACTCACTGCCACTGGGGAAGGCACTCGGGAGACTCCCTGATCATGGCCCTTGGATTGCATCAAATGAGGCACAGCCACAGTGAGCAGGCTCTGAGCTCACTCACTCTTGGTGGAAACCATACTATATGGAGATGGTAATAAATGCACTTACAAACCTATTTGCCATGCACTCAACTCTGTTACAATAGATAAATTAAACAACTGCCCTCTATTTACCTTGCTATCTCATGGCCCATGTGATATAGAGGAGCTTCTGTTTATGGCCCCTTGGTGACATCAGCTAATGACAGACCTACGTGGAGGAGGCTTTGTGGCTCTTCTGCTGTTACTGCTGTCACAATTACCACAGTTTTCTATGGACTCAGCCATGTGCTCTGTATTGCTGGGTGTTGTCAGTAGCAAAGCAGGGTATTTCACAGTACCTGTGTAATTAATTTCCATCACCAGTGTATATTATTATCCAATAATTAAATAACCTTGGGAGTTTGCTTAAACATCTCTGACATTTTATAAGGAAAAATGGACATTTGTTGAAAGGACATCTTATTAATGGAGAATTTTTTTTGGCATTACATATGTGTTGTGGCATTACCATTGATGAAGTATTTTCACATACATCTATTTATTTATTTTATACGACAATCTCATGAGTTATTCAGGATAGAGCTAGTATCCTCATTTTACTGATGACATGAGGTGATTTGCCCACAATCATGGCACTAGTAAAAGGTAGAGAAGGGCTCTTTTATGGGGTACAAAAGAACCAGCTTTAATTCATTCTAAAGGTAGGGCAAGTAATTGGAAGCTTCATATCCAGAAGGAAGTGACAGAATGAAGGGAACTTGTATTAACTGAGCTTCCACAATATACATCATTTTGCTTTTACTGAGCTCCTACACTTATCTCATTTAATCTTCACAATGTCCCCTATACACTGAGATCCCATTTTTGTAGAAGAACCTCAAAGGTTATTGGCCCATGTTACACAGCTGGGATAGAGCAAGAAATCAACTGAATCCATCAGATTTAAGAGTTCATTCTCTTTCTAAAACATAATACAACTGCTGCTTAATTCCAAAGCTGGTACCTCAGTGCAATTCCCACATTGGTGCAAGTGCCCACCAGATGTCCTGTAGACACTGGTCCTCTGGAACACTCTTTTGCCAATAAAAAGTTACACTGTTCCAGCTGGGATTGAGAGAAGGTGCGTGTCTGGGGCCCCATCTCTAGGACCCTTCCCTTGCTCTCTCTAGGAGGAACTGTAGGACCCTCCAACACATCAATGAAAAGCTGCTGCATTGGGCCATTTGCTGAATACATCATTATTCTCTTATAGTCCCTGACCTGTTGCACCCCTTTCAAAGACAATGAAAGCAATCCCCATGATGGAACTCTATCCAGTCTTCAGCAAAAGCCAGATTCTTAGACGTCAATATCATGTAGAAGTTCTGTTTGTTCTTGTTTGCTAATTACCCACTTTGAGGTACCCAGAGCAAAATGGAGGAAGTCCAGCTGGGCACAGACATAAACCTGAAGTGTCCCCTTGCCACAGCCATGGGCTTCCCAAGCATTGGGTCACTGTGGCAAGATGCACACATATGTGCACAGTGATCCTGTAAGAAGCCTAACAAAGGTTATTCTTTAAATATTTACACCTCCACTTACAACTTTAGAGGAGATATTGAGCACCACGTGGTTCCAGGAGAGTGAGGGAGGATTGCTTGGTGGCAGACTTTGTGTCTCCACTGTTGTTCTGAGAAATTCTGCTCAGACTTTGAATTCCCATCCAAAGTCATTCCACTGAATCAGGCCCACAGCTGCCTCACCATCCTCTCTAGGAGACTGTTCAGCACCATCTTTTGTTATCTCAGCAAAATTGGTTTTTCCTCCACCTTTGATGTTCTCCTTGAGAAGAATCATTTTTTGCATCTCAGTGTATTCCCCGCAATGTTTCAGCATCCCAGCGGTTTCTAAACTTTGTAAGAGCTGGTGTCCTAGGTTTCTAGCTGCCTGGTCTATCCACTAATCCAGTGTGGGACACAGACATACAGAGAGACACACATCCTAATGCTCACACACACAGACGCAGATACACACATTCACACACACAGTGCAAATAGGCAACAGCTCTGTTGGCGCAGTATATATGCTGGATGTTCTATGTGACTTTGATCCTCTTTCTCCTCCTCTTTTCAATGACATTATGGCCCATTTGGATAGTTGTCCTGGTTCTTTTACCCGTTCAGGAGCTTCAGAATTTCTACTCTCTGGACTAGAGGAAAGATCACCGAAAGTGTGGAGGAAGACCAGTTCTTTCACTCACAAGCCTCATGTCTTATACATTTAATATTTTTCTTGTTTTAACAAAATTGAGCCAATATTGTTGTGCCTTTTTGCACATAAGTTCTGTTGAACTTACTTGCCCAACATCTGTTGTTGGTAGATACGCTCTTTATTCTTACAGATGGAGTTTAAAGACTTGGCTCATTGAAATACTTGGCCCTTTTCATTATTTTTCCTCCAGTTTCTTTTTCCATGCTCCTGAAATTTTTGTGTACATGACTACACCCACAAAAAGTGCCAATTTCTGAAATAGCTATGTCCCTTTGTATTTGGTTAAGAAGCACAAACATTCACATGTTTGGCACTTGCACTTGTGAACTTCAATCACTGTATGCGTCATCTGCAGTAGACTTTTAATTAGCATGTATTCAATAAAGGAGCGAAGTTGCGTCTGATCCCTTCCCACACATTCACACTGGGTGTTTAATTTCCTGTCTCCCTCTATGGACCAAGGGAAAAGCCTTATAAAAGCTTCTTTCATGTGGAATACAGGTCTCACTTTTTCAACGCAGTTCTCTCATTGAAATGCCTTCCATTTATTTTTCTTTTCTCACTCTCATAAGCTTCATTTTCCACTTTCTGTATTCCATGGCCTTGATGACAGTGGGTTTTACTCATATTTTTGTGATTGTATGTGTTGGTGATGATGTCCCCTAAGTCCTCCATCTGAGGGCAACTATCCCACCCCAGCCCCTGAAGCTTATAAGGGTTGGCTGTTTGCTGGTGGGTCCCGGGGCCTTCTGTGTTGCTGGTCACAGCTGAGTGGGTCCAGGGTCATCACCAGATCCAAGTGTAGCCTGAAGCTGACTCATGCTTTATAGCGAGACCTAGTCTGGAAAAGATGAACCAGCCAATGAGATTTCTTATGGAAATTTGAACCAAGAAACACAGAGAGAATCAATGGGGTAGTAGGGATGACAGAAACTGAAGGGCAGAAATAGAAGGTCACTTTTGGGGCTTGTGTGAGCTGATGATATCAGAGGGGTAGAGATGACAAATGGCTAAGAAAGAAGCCACATGACCCTGAGAGAGGAGGCAGCAGGAAGCATCACAGAGAAAAGGAAAGGGAGAGGAGAGACCTCGGCAGCCATGCATTCCCTCATCATCCTCAGCCCTTCTCCCGTGACCCTTGTGTCTGAAAGCTCTGGATCCTTGCGTCCTCTTCCTTGTCATGGATGTCAGGAAGTTGCTGCTTCTACGGAGGCCCGCACCATCTCTCCCAGCCACACCAACGTCACCTCAGTGCTCTCTCGCTCTCTCTGGTGGGGTGCCTGGCCCGTCACCCATTTCTCAGCCTCCCTGCAACTACGACTTTTCTAGATCATCCTCAGCCTTCGACCTTTAACTTCAGTCACTCCTCCAGCCACCTTCCCTGGAACAGAGGAGAACCCTTGGGGGAGCCTCCCCGCAGGCCAAGGATGCTGCCAGGCCTGGGTCACCTCCTTGTCCTGGTGACAGAACCATCTCCCAGGTGTGCACTGGTGTGCCTCGTACTAAGGTTAAATATAGTCTCTGCCAAATCCACTTCCTCAACACCTAGAACATGTTTCCTGTTAGGCATTGCATCAAGAGGTCATTTGTTGTTTTTAAGCATGCTTGCAATGTCTGGGCATGAGCTTAGGATCCGTCATCTCTGATTTCCCCTAAGCTCTCCCATGCTCCCATTGCCTCTGCTGTAACTCCCCCCACACAGCTGCTTACATTTCCAGGCAGCCTCCCACTGACACTCATATCACTGCAAACATTTCTTGAGTGTTACCTAAATATCAGACATGTGTTATCTCAATGAATCCTTGCAACAACCCTGTGAGATGGGTTCAGTTACCAGCTCCATTTTACAGATGAGGAAACCAAGGCACAGAGAGATAGAGTAACTTGCTCAAAGTCACACAGCTTGTCAGTGGTGGACAGGGGTTTGAACCCAGGCAGCCTGGCTCCAGAGCACATTGACTATTGCGCCCCAGCTAGCTCCTGGCCACACGTCACCATCTGCCTCCCTTTCTGTCATGGGTGCCCTATGTCTGCTACTTCCTTCTTGAAGAGACTGAGTTGAGTACTTGACCTTGGTCCACTAAGTGGAATCATGATAAAGTTCTTCCAATATTCCCAACACTTTTTAAAAAAATTTATGGCCTCCAGAATAAATCCAATTTATCTGCTGATGAAGCTCCTGGGCCAAACGGCTGCAAATGTTGACCCTCGGCTTGATTCCACTGGTAGCTAACTAGAGGGCTGGCTAACTAGAGGGCTGGCTAACTAGAGGGCTGGCAGGCCAGGTGCAAGGTCTTGTCACAGGTGAGGAGCATTCTCACGTATATTGTCCCTATTATTTTCCTCTGCCTTTTGCAGAAGATCTGGGGGTTCTTTTCTCTTCTCTTCTCTTCTCTTCTCTTCTCTTCTCTTCTCTTCTCTTCTCTTCTCTTCTCTTCTCCTCTCCTCTCCTCTCCTCCTCTCCTCTCTTCTCTTCTCTTCTCTTCTCTTCTCTTCTCTTCTCTTCTCTTCTTCTTCTCCTCTTCTCTTCTCTTCTCTTGTTGCTCATCTGGAAGATGAAAGCAGGCAGCCAGGCCCAGTTTTCCGTTTGCCCTCAGATCCCTTGTGAGTCTTCCTCCATCAACATCAGAAACTTGAGCCCTGTCCAGCTTCTCCTTCCAGCTGACTTGCTCCACGTGCCACTGGTACCTCTGACCCAAACCCATCTCCAAATTCATCCAGATTCATTCTGGTCACTATAGTTATTCTGGAAACTTTCTTCCCCGCACCGCCCCCACACACCAGCAGATTTTGGCAGCACTTACCCACTCCATCCCTCCCTGAGTTCTCATTCATCTCACCAGCTCCTCCTAGACACATGACATCATTGAACATGTCTTGAACCTCTTAGTACCCTGTGAGGTAGGGAGAAAAGACTCCCTAGCTGATCAACACAGTAAGTTCTTCCTCCTTCAGGAAGCCTTCTTTGATCACCCCTCTCAGACTTTTGTCTGAACTCACAACATCTACTTTCTGGCTTCCGCTTTCTGTGATTCCCTTCTGCTTGTGGTATTTCTTGTATCACTGTCATGCACTGCTATTAGTGTTTTATATACCTATGCTTTTGTCTCCTCAACTGAATTTTTAGTTTCTTAAAGGAGTTTATCCTTCTAATATTCTTCATACTGCCTTGATTTGAATAAATTTGCCATTTGATTAAAACTCTGGCTGGATAGCAAAATAAATCTTATTAAATGCTCAAAGAGGGTTAGGTGAGCCATTTTGAAGTTCCTTGAATTCCAGTTAATCATTTTCCCTTTGCCAATCAGGATGTTATTTCTAAATTAGTGAACAAACAAAGCAGCCCACACTGAGATGTCATCCTTCAGCTGGAACAAGAAAGGTTTTTCCAACGTGACTCTGCATGGCTTGAAAATAAAATTTTTAAAAGTTATAAAACAAATTCTTTATGGGTAGCAGAATTATTTACTGATTAAGAAGATAGATAAATGTAATTGGCTACATTATGTCTCCACCCCCACCACCCCTGCTCAAAATTCATCTGTTGAAGTCCTAACCCCCAGTATGTCATGGTGTCTGCGTTTGGATATAAGGTCTTGAAAGAGGTAAGCAAGTTAAAATGGGGATCTTTAGGGTGGGCCCTAATGCATTATGAATGGTGTTCTTATGAGAAGAGAAAATTTGGACACACACAGAGAGAACCAGACATGTCCACAGATCAAGGGGCCACCATGTGCAGCCATCTGCAAGTCCGGAAGAGAGCTTTTAGAGGAAACCAACACTGCCAGCACTTGGATACTGGACTTCCAGCCTCCAGAACTCTGAGAAAATAAATTCCTGTTGTTTAAACCACCCACTTTGTGATATTTTGTTACGACAACCCTAGCAAGTAATACAACATAATTTGTACTAAGACAAACTTAGGATTCCTTCTCTGTCATTTAGTCACAGGCCACCTTGGGCAAGGTACTTAGTTTGTCTGTCAGTTTCCTCATCTGCAAAATGGCAGTAGTGATACCTCTGTGTGTTGGGAGGATTAAATGAGACCATGCAAAGCAAGAACACAGTGCCTGGCATAAAATAAACACCATTAGTTAGCCACCAATTGTAGAAAATCAGGAAGAAAAAAGCATGCATTGTTCTATCACCAAAGTGACCCACTGTAAACATTTTGGTGATTCTCTAACCATCTTATTATTAAACATAACTACGGTCCTGCTGTATACACAATTTTAGATCCTGCTTTGTTTTATTCTACATTGTATCACAAGCATTCCCTGAGTTACTAAAACTAAAGGATAATAACTGGCTGCCATTTCAGTATTAGAGAATTACAATGAGGCAATTTATCCAAGAACTTATAGATTATGAAAATAGGCTCACCCTAAGAGTAAAACTTTACAATCAAACATAATGGATCACATACATACATACATACATACATACATACATACATACAATATATATGGAATAGGTTGGAGCCAGGAGATGTGGAGTCGCTGAGAGATAAAATGGCTCTCAGCCAATGCAGCTATAATTTGACAGACTGGGCTACTCTGTCTCAAGAGGGTACGTGGTCACGAGGAGAGAAGCCTGGAGAACAGAGAGCCAGTGCTGCTGGCTGCTCCCTGGGGCTGCTCTTCCTTCCCAGGAGAGGCCTTGGAGCTTCAAGGTGGACAGGGCTTTGGAGTTGAACTGTCCAGCATTTGAATCCAGCCTCTGTAGCTCATTTCACTGCAGAATCTTGGGGAATGATCCTTAACCTTATCGTGCCTTTCCTTATCTTTAAAATGGCTTGGAGGGGAGGTCACTACCTACCTCATTATGTTGTACTGAAGATTAAATGTGGATTTGTCATACAAGTTCCCAGTAAGTATTAGCTTCTCTTTCTTATTCTGGGGATAGGGAGTCTTGGACAATGGGTCTCAAATTCAAGATCATCCTAATAGGAGATGAGCATATCAAATTGCTTGGGCCTGATGCTGTTCAATGCTCAATTCCTCGCACTCCCTTTGCTGAGACTCCACACTTAAGAAGCAGCCTTCTGATTATGCTTCCCCAGGGGCCTACCAAGCAGGAGAAGACTTTGGTGATGTGCACTGAGTTTTCCAGTTCCTCTGACGATTGTATTTCTCCTTGTGAATCTGCCACTTCCTGACTTGCTTGGGCAGTAACTGAACTGCTCTGTCTTATTTTTCTCATTTGCAGAGAAGGGATAATGTCATTTAGAAACCACAATGAGATGAGGAGGATAAGTAGGAGGAGTAATAATGTCAGTTAACAAATATGGAGTACTTACTATGGGTTGGACATGTACTAAATGCTTTGCAAATGTGATCTCATTAAATGAGATATAGATAATTGCTTAGTGCAGTACCTGGTACACAAGACCCAATGAATAGTAGCAGGTAAATGGATGTGTTCAATAGGAGGTTGCATCCCATATAGTTTATTTCTAGGGAAAGAATGTGCTGATTATGCCAGTCTAAGTATTCCAGAGCTTGAAACAGATTTCTGGATATAAAATGACACGTCGAATTCTGCTTCAAGGTATCCATCTCACAACCTTGGTTAATGTGTGTCCATTCCTGAGAAACAGATCCCCATCTCAGTATGCCCACAGCCAGGTTTCTGATCTTAAGAGAAAAAGACCAGGCCGAGGCAGGCGGATCACCTGAGGTCAGGAGTTCGAGACCAGCCTGACCAATATGAAGAAACCCCATATCTACTAAAAATACAAAAATTAGCTGGGCATGGTGGCATGCACCTGTAATCCCAGCTACTTGGGAGGCTGAGACAGGAGAATCACTTGAACCTGGGAGGCAGAGGTTGCAGTGAGCTGAGATCATGTCATTGCACGGCAGCCTGAGCAACAAGAGGGAAACTCCATCTCAAAAAAAAAAAAAAGAAGAAAGAAGAAAGAAAGAGAAAGAAAGAAAGGAAAGAAGGAGAGAAAGAAGGAAAGAATGAAAGAAAAAGCAAGAAAGAAAGAAGAAAGAAAGAAAGAGAGAGAGAGAGGAAGGAAGGAAGGAAGGAAGAAAGAAGCCACACTTTGACCATGGAAGATCACCAAAGTAGGGGATGTATAAGGAGCTTTTGCTTTTTTTGCACTTCTGATTCTGGTGAACTTTATTTTTAACAGGTATGTTATAGATTGATGTTTAGCATAATTTATGTAGCCATTTCCCTATTCTAAGATACCTAGACTTAATCCTTTTCCTCCCGTTTTTATAAATCACACTACAAAGAAGACCTTGTATATAAAAGTTGGCTTTTTCCCTGCTTTGGGCTGTGGAACTGTTTCCGAAGATGCTAAATGATGGTAGGTGATGTCGATTAAGTTCACCAGGCTCCCCTCAAAAGACTCCAAAAGATTGAGGTTGGTTTCCTTTTTTTTCTTGCACCTGATTCCCATGGCAGTTTGCCATAGGCTCTTCAAAGATGGAGGCATTCAGTCCCATTTGGAGGGAGTGGATGGGGTTGAGATGGGCAATGAGGTAATAGAGGCAGAAGATTCAGGAATGTTCCCCTGGGGCATGCAGTGAGTCACTGCTGAAGCCATTTATGGAGAGCACGCCTCCAAACTCATCATCTTTGACTCTAATCACCCAGGCTGGCATTGCATAGCAGCACTTGGGAGACGTTGCCTTCAACAGCCATGTCTTAAGGGGCTGCACATGGGGCAATCAAGACTATTGAGAATGTAAGTTAAGGTTATTGCTTCCCGCGCGCACATTCCACTCGCAGGCTGATTAGTGCACTGAAGAGCTCTCATTGACATTTCGTGGTTTAACATAAAGATTTCTTGTGCATAGCTCAGGAAAGAGAGACAGATTTTCAAACAGCTGTCTAATATCTCTGTCAACATAGAAATTAAATAGATTTAGGAACTTCAGGAAAACATACGCACATTTAATGCCCAGTAATGATCAATTCAAATTTCCAGTTGCAGAGATAGGAATTGTTTTCAATGTGTTCTATGGGTTATTCCAAATAAACATCTGGCATCATTTTATTTCTTTTTAATTATTTGAATGGTGATATTATAGGTCTATCTATTTATTTGTCCAGCTATAAAGCTGATGATACTATGAAGATATTGAAATGAATCCAATGTCTCAATCAACTTTCAAATGAAAACATTCCATTGTTTTAAAGCAACCACTTTCGCTTTTAGCATGTATCAACTTTGGATTACAAACTTCCTCCAAACTTGTTAGCAGTATTTTTGTTTCTTCTTGTACTAGTGATAATGAAAGACAAAAACATCACCTTGCCTTCAGTGTCAGAGATGTGCTTCTGTTTGAAGGAGATCAACCCCTCAGAGTCCGTGTTGTAGAGAGAGGGTGCATGGGAGAACAACCTAACTCCTGACCCTGGTGTGACGTTCTGTCCATTGATTTGTTACTCTCATCCAAGCAGAACGACTCTTCTCATGTAGGTGCCATGCACAGTAGGAGGAGGAGAGGGTCTGGCTGATTAGGGTTCAAATCCTAGCTCTGCCCCTTTTTAATTTTGTGACATTGTTCAGTGTGATTCACTTCTCTGAGTCTCAGGTTCTTTCTCTTTCATACAAATTAGTAATAACACATCATTCAATGAGATGATATATATGGGGCATCTCAACTGTACAGTAGGTCTCAGGTGATAGCGATTTCTATTGTGAGGTAGATTCCAAGCCGCAGAGCCCCTCTCCCCGCAGTAAGCCTCCTCTGAACTGAGCTTGGGAACATGGGTGGGAGTGGGCCAGGCTGCCTACCTGCAGACACAATCCAGAGTAGCAATAATGAGAGCAAAGTCAAATTGACTTGGGTCTAGAGGGCCAACCCCTTCCTCTCTGAGGACCACCTCAAACACATAAGCAGTCCAGCCTCTATTCAGGAAGAATATGTGTGAATCACAGCCATCAGGCCCAGGCCTCTGCTGAGAGCAATAGAAACTAATCAAAATTATGGATCATTTTAATAAGAGGTCTTTTTGGAACCCCAAGGACAGTTATAGTTGGAATTGATTTAGGCTGGCCTGAGGATTGTAAAGAAAGTATGCCTGTGGTCTTTAAGTCCTAGAGCTTCCTTTGGGTAATTATAAAGAAATACAGCAGCACATAATTGCAGCTCTTCTTGATGCAGAGCACTAGGCTGTGTACCTGCAGACACACATCTGGGTCAATCCCCGGATGCAGACACACATCTGGGCCAGTTGAAGCCAGCAACTACACTCAGTGAAAGCTTGGTATAATGTGGCTTTCCTACTATATTAGATATTCTGTCCCCACACAAGGGCAATAAATGCATTCCTCAGCACAGATGCTATTTCAAATGCCATTTTGCTTTATCCAAATCAAATTCCTCAAAGCACCAGTTTTATTTTCTGACAATACAGCATGTGGACAAACAGCATTGCATCCAAATCTCAGCTCTTCCACATCCTAGTCACGTGACCAGTTTCCTTATCTGAGAAATGAGGATAATTATGGCAGGTACCTCAGGAGGGAGAAGGAAAATGAGCCAATGACTGACATATTTAGTCTAGCTCCTGGCACATAGTAAGTGTCCAAGAAAATGATAGAATGAATAGTAGCTGCTCATGTATGGCATACACAGATTATAATAGAAAGTATAAAGGGTAATTAAATCTCAGCTAAGCTAGATTTGCTTTAGGCTGAGGCATAACAAAGTTGATAAGAAGCCTATTGAAAGAACCATGGAAACAATGCTGGCCCACACAGCTGAGACCCCAGAGAAGTGGGAGAAGCCTAAGGAGTGTCACTTGTTCTTCCACTCACTTCTCTTTTGGTTTGAGTTTCTAAAGAATCAGTATTGATGGTGGAAAAGGTGAACGATTGACTTGGTGAAGCTATAAGAATGCAGGGAATGCCAAGGAAAAGTTTTATTTTTCTTTTCTTTTTTTTGAGATGGAGTCTTGCTCTGAGGCCCAGGCTGAAGTGCAATGGCGTGATCTCGGCTCACTGCAACCTCTGCCTCTCAGGTTCAAGCGATTCTCCTGCCTCAGCCTCCTGAGTAACTAGGTATACAGGCACCTGCCACCACACCTGGCTAATTTTTGTATTTTTAGTAGAGATGGGGTTTCACCATGTTGGCCAGGCTGGTCTCGAACTCCTGACCTCAGGTGATCCACCCGCCTCCAGCCTCCCAAAGTGCTGGGATTACAGGCATGAGCCACCGTGCCCGGACCGTTTTTCTTTTTTTAGTGATAAAAGTTATCATGCATATAAAAGGGTATATATTAAATTTTTGCTGGTTTAAAGGATAATAATCAAATGAGCACCTAGGTACCTACCACCCACTCAATAAAATATTGCCCACAACTCAGCCCTCCTGAGGGCCACCCTCATGTATTCTTTTCCCCCACTGCCCTGAGGAAATGCCGTTGTGTATTTTGTGTTAATCACTACCCTGCTTTACCTAAAGTTTTCTGCCTGTCCCTAAAAGATATGTCTGTAGATGTGCTGCTGTCATGCTCTTTTTGCCCAACATTGTGAAATTCATCCACATCGTTGTCTGTGGCCATATTCCTTGGTACAAATATAAAACAATTTATTCATGCAATCTACTGTTCATGGACACCTGTGTTGCTTCCAGTTCTTTGCTCCTACAAATATTCATACACATTCATGTATTGCATTTAGCTTGCAATAATTTTTCTAGGGTCCTTATGATGAACGGTTTTAGAATTTTACTGAATTCTTCACCTATTGAGATGATCATGAGGTTTTTCTCCTTTAATCTCTTAATGTGGCAAACTAAAGTAATAAATTTTTTTAATATTGAACCAACAGTGCATTTCTGGGATAAACCCTACTTGATCTCTTATTTGTTGGTAATTTTGGTTTACTTTTATTTTATTCAGTATTTTTGGATCTTGATCTGTTTTTGTCTACGTTTGGTATCACAAAATGAGTTTGAAAGGATTTCCTTCCTTCTTTCTTTTCCTTCCTCCCCCCCACCCCTTTCTTCCTGCCTTCCTCTCTTCTCTTAGTGTTTACTACACCTACAGTTATATCCTTTGTTAGGCCATTTTTGCATTACCATAAAGAAATATCTGAGACTGGGTAATTTATTTTAAAAAGGTTTAATTGGCTCACAGTTCTGCAGGCAGTACAGAGAGCATGGTGCTGGCATCTGCTCAGCTTCTGGTGAGGCCTCAGGAAACTTACAGTCATGACAGGCGAGAACTAGAGCAAGAGAGAGCAAGGGAAAATATGTCACACGATTTTAAACAGCCAGATCTCATGATAACTTCACTATTGTAAGGACAGTACCAAAAGGATGGTGCTAAACCACTCCTGAGAAATTCACCCTCATGATCCATTCACCTCCCATTAGGCCTCACCTCCAACACTAAAGATCACAATTCAACTCGAGATTTAGAGAGAACGACATCCAAACTAAGTCATATCCTTTTTCTCATTCCCAAAATTGTTAATTTGAGTCTTCTCTCTCTTTTTCAAGATCAGTCTTGCCAAGGGTTTGCCCATGTTATTGATCTTTACGGAGAACCACTTTTTAGCTGGGTCAATCTTCTGTACAGTACTTCTGTTGTTCTGATTTTATTAATTTCTGCTCTTTACTATTTTCTTCCATTTTATTTGAGCCTATTGTGCTATTATTTTCCTAATTTCTTATATTGCCAATTTTAAGCCTTTTCTTTTTAACATAAATGTTTAACTCTGTGAATGTACTACTTTCACTGCATCCCATAAGATTTTTTAATTGAATCTTTTATTTTGAGGTGATTGCAAGTTCACATGCAGTTGTAAGAAATAATACAGAGAGATTCCCTGTACCCTTGACCCTGTTTCCCCAAATGATAGCATCTTACAAAATTATAGTATGGTATCTTGGCCGGGATATTGACATTGACACAGCCAAGATACAGAACATTTCCATCACCACAAGCATCCCTCACACTGACCTTTGACAGCCACTCTCTCTTCCTCCTACTTCCACCCTCTGCTTAACTCCTAGCAATATCTAATCTATTTCTAAAATTTTGTCTTTCCAAGAATGTTATATAAATGGAATCATACATTATATCACCTGTCAGATTGGCTTTTGTCACTTACCATAACTCCCTGAAGATTTGTCTAGGTTGTTGTATCAATCATTTTTTCCTTTTTATTGCTGAATACTATTCCATGGTGTGAATGTACCATAATTTGTTTAACCGTTCACCCATTGAAGGGCATCTGGTTGTTTCCATATTGGGTATTGCCAATAGAGCTGCAATGAAGATTCATGTACAAGTTTGGTATTAATAGTTACATGCTTAGTTTTTTCAGAAGTTTCCAGAGTGGCTCTACCATTCTACATTCCCACCAGCAATGTGTGACTGATCCAGTTTCTCCACATCCTTGCCACCATACGGCTGTCATTATTTTTTATTTTAACCATTCTGTTAGGCTTGTAGTGATATCTCATTGCGGTTTTAATTTGCAGTTCCCTGGTGGCTAATGATGTTGAACATCTTTTCCTGTGTTTATTTGCCATCTGTACATATATATACATAAATTTTTTGGTGAAATGTCTCCTCATATCTTTTGCCCATGTTATAGTTGACTTGTTTGGTTTTTTATACTCAAGCTTTGAGAGTTCTTTATATGTTCCAAATATTAGTTCTTCATCCACCAAGTTTTAATTAATGTCATTTCCCCTCCATTTTTTTTTTCATTTTAAGCATCTTCTCATTTCTATCAGGATTTCTTCTTTGACCATGTTCTTTAAATGTTCAAAACAAATGGCTTAATATCTTTTTATAATTTATTTATAACTTAATTTCACCATTTATCAGTTAGTGAATATGGCTTAACTCATATCAAATATTTGTAATTTGTCAATACTTACTTTTGATTTATAATGTAGTCAATTTCCATAAATATTTTCTGTGTGTATTAAAATAACATCTATTCTATGGTTATTGGAGATAGTACTTATATATGTTCATTAAATTAACCTTGTGTTTCTGAAGTCTTTGATATTCTTACTGACTTTTTTCTCTGCTTGATTTATCAACCATTGAATGTCTCTCTTGATAGTGGTCTATTTTTCAGTTTCTTCTTGTATTCTGTCAATTCTTGTTTTATATATTTTGAAGCTTTGTTACTAAGTATATACATACTTCTGGTGAATTAAATCTTTTTAAAAAATATGTACTCATGCTCATTACCTATAGTAATGCCTTTTGCCTAAGGTCTGCTTCATCTGCTATTATACCAGCCCTCTTTGGTTATTTGCTTGTGTGACGAAGTTGTTCCTAAAATTTGTTCTCTGCGTCTTCTGTGATAACAGAATCCTCCCTCCAATTTTTAGCTGGAGACTTGACCTCCTGGAGTAAAGATTACATTTCTCAGCTTCCTTTGCAGCTAGATGTGGCCATACGACTAATGTCTGGTCAGGGAGATGAAAATACATGGGTTAACAGCTTCTGAGGACCTTCCTTAAAAGGCAGTGCAGGATATGCCATTTCTTCTTCTTCCTCCTTCCTTCCCTCATTATCCTGGACTGTCCAGGTGCTGCCATCTTGGACCTTGAGGTCAAGGGCTCCCAAGGTAGAGTCATAGAATAGAAAGAGTCTGGGTCCTTGATACAAGGCAGTACCATGGACACTGACCTACAACAGAGAAAAAGTACATTCTATCTTGTTTAAGCCTCTGTTGTTTGGAGTTTTCTGTCACTTGTAGTGAAATCTAGTCCCACTGAATACATCTGTTATATCCTTTTACTTTCTTTTACTATGAAGTTTCCATATCCTTATATTTTATGGATATTAATTATGAACATAATTCGGCTGAAGTTTTTTTTCCTGTTACTGCAGTGAATTCTCTTTTATTTTGAATCAGATCTGATGGCCTTAGTCTTTTAACTAGAAAACCTAGTCCATTTCCATTGAGTGTGATTATTAATATATTTGGATTCATTAAATTACTCTATCTTATTTTATCATTTCTATTTGTTCCATTTCTATACTTTGTCTTTCCTCTTTTCGGATTTAGTTTTCCCCTTCCTTCCATTTTTTTCCCCCTCTGCTAGTTTGAACAATCTTTTTTATTCTTTTATGGTTTAACTGATAAATTTTATTATGCCTATTTAATTAACATCTAAACAGTGTCACTGAGAATGCTGCAAATTCTGTGTGAAATTCTGAATTTGTCGATCCTGATAATGTTGGAGGATTCTTCCATGAAGGCATATTATAATATCCTCTTCCTTCACGGGGGAATGACACAGGTTCTGGCCCATTGATAAAAACACTAAGCTTCACAGCTGGGCATTTATCCCAGAGTCAGCCCTGAGTTTCTCAACCTTGTTAAGGTAAAGAGCCTGTTGATCACTGCTCCCCTGGTGACCCCCATGTTTTGGAAAAAATGTAACGTAGAATAAGAATTTTTATGCATGTGTTTATTTATGTCATGCCTGTGTCCATTGAGGCTTTTAGGACCACTTACAGGTATACAAACCTTACAGTAAGATAAAATAAAATAGTTGAATTTGAGGACAGAAATTGAGGAAAGGAAATTGCATTTATTAAGTAATTAATTACCACCCCTATTTTTATTAATCAAAGACATGGAACTGCCAGTTGGAACTTCTGATTAGCACAAGATAAGGAGCTTTGGCCCAGGGCATATGAAATTCCACCAGAACCCTGAGACATAGGCAGTTTCTTTGTCCTGCTTGCCTTATGCAGGTTCCATCCCACTTTTGGAAATGTGACGAGTCATCTCAGGGGCCTGTCCTTACCGTCACAAACTGTTAGGGGGCGGGGAACCTCCTGTAGGAATCCGTATTCTGATTTCCACTTGAAAGCTGGAAAAGATCATCCTTCTCTCACAGCCCCCACACTGCACAGGCCAATCTCCTCAGGCCTCCTTCTCCCTTCCTAGTGAACCCTTTCTTCTCCTCAGGTCTCAGCCTAGATATTATTATATTATTACCTCCTCTTGGAAGCCTTCCTTGACCAGCCTCCCAAACTTGAGTAGACAGTTGTACAGTGGGCTGCCATCCCACCCTGCCTGGGCTTGTCATTGTGTTGGAAGTCACCCATTTCCTTATCTCCACTTGATTCTTACCCCCCGTAAAGGTGGGCTCTGTGCCTGGATTTTTCATGGTTGTATCCCCAGTGTCCGGTGCAGTAACTGGCACAGAGGGGAGTGAACAATGTGATTAGTAGCTGAATAGATAGATGGATAGGTGAATGAATTAATGAAGCTAAAGCCACTATAACTGAGGTACAGGGGATGCACTCAAGATACCTAGAGAAGGATTTTGTTATTTGCCACCAGAAAAACTGTGACCAATACAGGCACTGATGTTCCAGGTGGATTCAGATGCCATCACAAAATTTTCTCCACTGATCAAAGACCCAGCCACAGAATGCACAAAACAGCTCTCAAGATCTCTGCATGCAATATCAGCACCCATGGGTCCTTGTGGCCATTTCTCAGTCCTGCCCATGAGCCACCATCATCTCTGCCTCATCTTCTGCGAGAGCCTCCCACCTGGTTGTCTCATGAGCTCCTCAACCCATTCTTCATACTGCAGCCAAAGCCATCTTTTCAGAATGTAAACCTGATGGTGCCACTCCTCTCTGATGAAATCATTCAGGGGCTTCACATTTCTGTGAAAGACCAAAATCCTAAATTTTTTTTGACCTTTACTCACAATAAGAAATACAGTTTATATTGAAACTCAGTACACTTAATGTATATTCTATAAAAGTGTCACAAGACAATACTTACCCTTTATTAACAAATACTTGCATGGCAGTTACTGATTGCAGATACTGTTCTTGGTATGCTGCGAATAGTAACTCAAAACTTCTCCAAACTGAAGACAAAGCTTTGGTGGGTAGGTTGTAAGATGACCTCCAACGGTCCTTGCCTTCTGGCATTCATGGCCTCATCCTCGTGTAATACCTTTAGTGTGGGATCTCTTCTAAAAAACAGAATATGACAGAATTGATTGAATGTTACTTTGGAGATTAGAAAGTCTGTGGATTCTGTCTTGGGTTCTCTCTCTGTCTCTCATCACTTGCCCTAGTGGAAGCAAGCTGCCATGTTGTGGGCAACCCTGTGGAGACGCCATGTGGTGTGGTGGACCCTGAAGCCCTGAGTGCAACAGCCTGCAAGGAGCTGAGGCCCGCCAGCAACTATGTAAGTGAGCGTGGAGGTAAAACTTTTGGCAGTAGTTGAGCCTTATAAGGTGACTGCTGTCCTGGCCAACTGTAGCCCTTGAGAGTACTTCACGGAGACCTGGAGCCAGATGCACTCAACTACGTCACTCCTGGTCCCCTGTCCCATGGAAAATGTGACATAATACATGTTTATTGTTTTCAGTAGCCAAGTTTGGGGTAATTTGTTATACAGCAATAGACTACACTCTAGTGTAGCAATAGACTACACTCGAGTGGCACCTCCAAGGTGCCAAGCTCTGTGCTAAGCACATTCATTCAGCTGAATCCTCATAGCCCTGCAAGGTGGGTAGCATTATGTCCACTGTACAGGCAAAGGAAATGCACTATACCGGGAGTGACGCCAGTATGTAACTCACTCTCTCCTCTCCTCCAACGCTGTTTCCTTTGATTGTGGTTGCAGGAAAGTCAGGAACACTGACTCTATTTAAAGTTAAGATGACTGACCCACGCTTCTCTCCCATCAGAGCTTCTCCCTGCCCATCTGCTAGTTGCTCTCAGGTACTAGGCAGCCATCAACAATTCCTGCTGGGCATCCTCAATAGCAAATATTGCCACCATCCTCAGTGTGCAGGTCAAGCCACAGCTGGTCAGTCTCCATGCACCAAGGGTCAGCTTTCCACACTCAAGCCCGTCACCTAGAGAGAAAGCCCTGGGCCCAAAATCCTCCGTGGAGCACATCATGCCCAGGTTGGCATCGGGGTCATAATGCCTGTGAGGTCAGGGACCTCAACAATGAATGCTTCTTGTCTTCCTCAAATCCAGTCCAAACACAAGTTTAATGTTTCAGTGTTTGAAAGCCTGCATCCTTAACTAAAGCAGAAAATAGCCAAGCAAAAGGCCCACTAAGAGGTTTGGGTTTTTTGGTTTTTGTTTTTAGTTGTTTTTTTTTTTTTGGCAAAAAGATTTCTTTATCAGAGATCATTTAGAAGAAAATACAGGATAATTAAGTCACACTGGGTTGCAAGTCACAAAGCAAAATATATTTCATTTCCAATAGGTTTTTTAATGTCATAATTAGTATTTATTTATTTATTTATTTTACTTTAAGTTCCAGGATACATGTGCAGAACGTGCAGGTTTGTTACATAGGTATACACGTGCCATGGTAGTTTGCTGTACCTATTGATCCATCCTCTAGTTTTCCTCCCCTCACCCCCAACTCCCCAGCAGGCCCTGGTGTGTGATGTTCCCCTTCTTGTGTTCATGTGTTCTCATTGCTCAACTCCCACTTATGAATGAGAAAATGCAGTGTTTGGTTTTCTGTTCCTGTGTTAGTTTGCTGAGGATGATAGCTTCCAGCTTCATCCATGTCCCTGCAAAGGACATGATCTCATTCCTTTTTATGGCTGTGTAGTATTCCATGGTGTATACTTACCACATTTTCTTTATCCAGTCTATCATCAATGGGCATTTGGGTTGGTTCCATGACTTTGCTGTTGCAAACAGTGCTGCAATAAACACAAGTGTCCATGTGCCTTTATAGTAGAAAGATTTATATTCCTTTGGGTATATACCCAGTAATGGGATTGCTGGGCTAAATGGTATTTCTGGTTCTAGATCCTTGAGGAATCACCATACTGTCTTCCACAATGCTTGAACTAATTTACATTCCTACCAACAGGAACTAATCTACATTACTACCAAAGCATTCCTATTTCTCCAAAGCCTCACCAGCATCTATTGTTTCTTGACTTTTTAATAATTGCCATTCTGACTGACGTGAAATGGTATCTCATTGTGGTTTTGATTTGCATTTCTCTAATGGTCAGTGATGTTGAGCTTTTTTTCATGTTTTTTGGCTGCATAAATGTCTTCTTTTGAGAAGTGTCTGTCCATATCCTTTGCCCACTTTTTGATGTTTTTTTTCTTGTAAATTTGTTTAACTTCCTTGCATACTCTGGATATTAGACCTTTTTCAGATGAGCAGATTGCAAAAAATTCCTCCCTAACTCATTTTATGAAGCCAGCATCATCCTGTTACCAAAACTGGGAAGAGACACAACAAAAAAAAGAAAACTTCAGGCCAGTATCACTGAAGAACATCGAGGTGAACATCCTCAATAAAATACTGGCAAACTGAATCCAGCAGCACATCAAAAAACTTATCCACTGCAATCAAGTTGGCTTCATCCCTTGGATGCAAGGTTGGTTCAACATATGCAAATCAATAAACGTAATCCATTACATAAAGAGTTTTAAAATGTGTTTCCTTGGCGTCCTATTAAATTCTTTTTCAGGTACATCTTATCATTGACATTTTGGCTTTTAAAATTAGCTATATGGGTCCAATATATGTCCCACTAACATTTGAGCTGAATTGGACTCAGAGCTGGGTAATGGAGAAGCACTGAGTCTGTGAAATCTTTCATCCTCAGTTTCTTGGACAGCTCCTCAGAACTTTAGGGCTGGTCTCCAACAGTTCCCTAATGCATACAGATTTTTTTTCTAAATAGGGAAATACAATTTTCTTTTACTAAATGCTAAAAGGGTACAATCCCTATGATTTTGCTCATGTTTGAAGTCTGTGTGGTGACACCTTGCAAGATTAATAATCTTCTGAAATAATTAGCAAATTAGCTATTTCCTTTTGTCTTTCTCTTGAGGTTAAAAAAAGGTTCAACCTGATAAAGTTTCTTATTCCAGTGTAGGAAGGTGTGTGCTTGCCAATAGCACCCTCTTATTGCACCAGTGCTTCTTAGGTTTTTGTGTGCTTTCTCTTCAGCTGGGGAACAGACTGAAACACACTTCTATAGATCCAGGAGGTTTAGAGAAAGGTTCAGGTATCTATTTTTTAATCAAATCCCCAGAAGATTATAATGTACCCCATTTAAGAACCAGGGCATCTTCTTCTCAAATTACCCATGCCTTCCTCCTCGGTGAGGTAAGGAGGGGCAGGAGGACCAGGGGCTGGCACACCAGGTGGGCTCTCCAGGGCTAGGCGGGTGGGTGATGATCATCCATGCCTACAGGGGGCGCTATACTAGAGGAGGGGGCAGAACAACAAGTTGAGTCTGCAGCTCAAGTTCATCAAACTGAAAAGAAACTGCCCAACATATTGTCAACACCAAAGGGCCCATGACTAGAAAGCCAGGAACCCAACAGGAAGCTGAAAAGCAAATGCAGAGGAAGGGCCAGGGCCATTGGGAAGATCAATATTGTCTTTACTTGCAGATGGAGGTTGGAGCATGGGCGGGGAAGTTGCACCTTAAGCACCAGCATTGTCTAACAATTGGAACAGATGCAATGAATCTGCAGTTTTGCCAGTGATATTCCAGGAACGTTTGACTGAGAGAGAGGTCTTTGGCATATTAGACAAAGGTCTAATATCCACACCTGGCTGTGGAAACATAACCACTAGATGTGCCGTTAGGCTGGCCAGCTCCTAAAGAGGTAAGTGCCGTGTGGTGGCAAGACCTCAGAGCCAGAAAACAGAAGACCGAGGTTGGAATCCTGACTCTGCCATCACCACTGTGTGACTTGGACAGATCAAAGTCATCTGGAAAAAGTAGTCTTCTCGAGATGCCATTTCCTCAAGTATAGATGGGAATAGTGCCTACTTCACAGGTTTGTTGTGAGAATGAGGAAAATGACTAACACTACGTTGGCATTTGGTCACTTTCGTTAAGCTTGAGAATAGAGTTTTTGTGCTTTTATTTTTTTTATCTTTGCGATCCATACAGCAGAGTGCTTTACACATGGTGAGTACTCAAAAAATATCTGTCGAATGAACAGATTCCTAAAAATAATAAAAACAATGTAGTCCAAGTGATGTGATCCATTGATAGATAAACCAGAGGCTTACTCTGTCTGAAACCTAGCCATGCTCAGTCCTGGTGAGATTTTCAAAGCAAATGGAAAAGTAAGGGTGATGAGGGCATAAAGACTATTTAATGAACAAATGAATGAATAAATAAATACATGAATGAATAATTGGGACTAAACTAGTGCGTGGCTATTTGAGCACAAGGTACTAAATATCCACATGAAAAATGGTGCCAAGTATTTGATATGTGCTATTAAAAATTCAAGTATTTTAGTTATGTTCAAATGCATATCTGGATATCTGGGTTAGGTAAGCCAAATAACTGATAATTGACTGCATTTTTCGCTTTTAATTGAGTCTGTTGGAGGGTCATGCAGACTGAGACACTCTTGAAAGCACAACGGAAGGGAAATGCAAGGGGAAGCCACGCCCTTAGGTGGCCTTGGACTCATGAGCCCAGGTTGCCAACAGAACTTCAAAGTCACAGTAGCCATTGCAGATTCACAGAGAAGGAATTACTTTTTGATTCCATCGTAATAAAATAGGGTTCGAAGTTTTCCAAGACCTTTATCTCATAGTTTTTAATTAATGAGAATTGCATTATCTCTTAGGTTAAGTATATAATCTGCTCTGAGCTATAAAGTCCAGCTGGCAGCCAGTTATATTTGAATCTGTTCAATGAAATTTCCTAATAAAATAACTGATCAATAAATATTTGTATTGTATATGCTCTGCACTAACACGTGGTGACATAAATGCCTAGTGAGAGGTGCGTGTATGTTTATGTACATTAAACTGACAGATTTATAACCTATCAGTTTTCAATATTTTCTGAACCTTTGAAGGAAAATCCCTTGTTCAGCTTAGGTTTCTGTTATTCAAATTTACATCCAGATTTTAGTCGCCAAATGTAAGTTAGTTACCTACCACTAAGCATTTTACAGGCAGATTTTATGGAGTTGCACTAAACTGAGCATTGCAAATCTATGGTTTGCCAATTTCCTGCTTTTTTATAATATAGTAACTGCAGAATAGTAAAATAAAAGAGGCAAGAATTTCTCACTCACCTCAATCCGTGGACTGAATGCAGCAATTCAATAAGTGCAAGAGTTCTACAAGCGTCTCGACTCAGTCTTAACATTTCTCCCCACACTATGCTACTTTTGTGCAATGTTTTTCTCTAACCCCAGGAAGGGAGGATTAAGTAAATAATGAATAAGCATGTCTCATTGAAGCGATTTTGACATTTCATCTAAGTTTACATGTTAATTAAGATAAGATTGTTCTAGTCCCCCAAAAGGATTTTCTGTTTTCCTTTGAGCAACTAGACTGAAATATAGTATAAAAGTGTATGAACACTCTCTTAAATGCACAGATTTAACCCTGCTGTTTTGCTCCTAATCATTATTAATTGCCTCCAGTGGTGGACATTAATTTCCCTATTGCAGCAACATGCATCTTGAGCTTGGGCATATCCTAATACATCAAATGGGACAGGTGATATAATTCAGCTGGTCACAGCTGGAAAGGAGACAGCCACCCACATGCAGGCAGTCTGTCAACCTTAGTTACACTGCAGACACCACCACAGCCTCTGAAACAACATTGTACATTTATCTCTGGGGATAACTTTACAAGAAGTATGGCTGCTTGGTTCATCCTATTTAATCTGTTATTGTCTTAGTAGCTACAAGAACGAAACAGTGGAAACTCAAAATTCTGAATTTGTTTGAAGCCATTGAAGAGGCAAAAAGTGGAGACATATGGTTGGGCTCATGGTGCAGATAAACTGTTAAGTACTGGGTTCAGAGTGGATTATATTTTAATATAGATGTCACTGAAAGATTTAGAGTGAGCTGCTGATAATGTTAGCTGGGATGTGACTTCAGGGTCCTGCCTTGTTCTGTGGGTGTTTAGGTAGATCCTTGACAAGTTGCCCAGAGTGCCTCATGTTTACATATGGCTCTGGCTCTTGGGAACAAAGTTATTAGCTTTGTTTTCCTTGGAAATTAGTGCAATGCTGCTTAGTAGTGATACAGAAAACAGAGGTAGGATGGTGTTAGCATCCTTGATTGCATGGTTGAGAAAAGTGAGACGTTGATGGGGTTGTGTCAGGTTAGGAGTCAACCTCAAAGCTATGACTTGAACTCAATTCCTTCATCTTGGCCTCTGGGCCTGGCTCTACCTTGCAGAGGTACTTCCACTTCCTCTACAGGACTGGTTCTAGGTTAGGAAAATTCATATCAAAACCACAGTGAGATATCACCTCACACCCATTAGGATGACTATGACCCAAAAACCAAAAAATTGCTAGTGTCAGCAAGGGTGTGGGGAAATTGGAGCCCTTGAGCACTGTTGGTGGGAATGTAAAATGGTGTAGCTATTATGGAAAACAGTGGGTGGTTACTCAAAAATTAAAAATTAAAATTACTTTAAATTCATTTACCAAATGATTCTATAGATTCTATGATTCTATTACCATATGATTCAGCAATTTCACTTCATGAGTATGCATCCAAAAGAATTGAAACCAGGGTCTCAAGGAGATATTTGCACACACACATGTTCATACCAGCACTCTTCACTGTAACCAAAAGGTGGAAGCCCAACCCAAATCCATCGATGGATGAATAAACAAAATGTGGTATCTCCATTTAATATGGTTTGGCTGTGTCCCCACTCAAATCTCATCTTGAATTGTAGCCACCATAATTCTCAAGTGTCATGGGAGGGACCTGGTGGGAGGTAATTGAATCATGGGAGCAGGTCTTTCCCATACTGGTCTCATAATAGTAAATAAGTCTCACAAGATCTGATGGTTTTATAAAGGGGAGATCCCCTGCACACACTCTCTTGCCTGCCGCCATGTAAGACGTGACTTTGCTCCTCATTTGCCTTCTGCCACAATGGTGAGGACTCTGGAACTGTGAGTCCATTTAACCTCTTTCCTTTATAAATTACCCAGTCTTGGGTATGTCTTTATTAGCAGCATGAGAATGGACTAATATGCCATTCAATGGAATATATTCAGCCTTAAAAAGGAAAGAAATTCTGAGACATGCTTCAACATGAATGAAACTTGAGGACATTATGCTAAGTGAAATAAGCTAGACAAGAAAGACATATACAGTATGATTCCACTTATATGAGGTATCTAGAGTAATCGAACTCATTAAAAACAGAAGCAGAGTGGTGGTTGCCAGAAACTAGGGGAATGGGAATAGGGAGTTGTTTAATGGGTACTATTCAGAGTTTTAGTTTTGCAAGATGATATGTTTTGGAGATTGGTTGCACCAGAATGTGAATATACAATGCTACTGAACTGTATACTCAAAAATGGTCAAGATAGTACATTTTATATTATGTTTATTTTATCACAATTAAAACATTCAAGCAAACATCAAAAACCCTCATTCTAGGGGGTGGCTGTGCTCATCTCCCCTGAGTGTGTCCGTGGCCTCCCTTGGCTGCTGGTCACCCTGACAAACAGAGTAATGTCACCACCTCCCCTACTTTGCCCAGTGAGTGAGATTACCATCATCTCTGTCAATCTAAAAGCAAAGAAAGCACTCTGTGCCTGATAATGCTGGTCTGTGCTTTTCCCAGGACTCAGAGATCCAGTATCCTCAGGTCAGGTCATTGTCCACCCAGATGACCCCACTCCCAGCTCATGGTATCTCACTTGTGGCTTCTACAGGGCCTTCTCCCCACACTGTGGGCCTACTTCGGCTCTACACACAGAGGAGCACAGCTGAAAGGGCAGCGCAGTCCACAGACCGCAACACAGGGGCCACCTCCTGCAGAGGACCTTCCAGATGGCAGCAGAAGCCTGGCTAAGAAGCACATATCAAAATATGTACCCATCAGTATAAAAAGATATTTGGAATATAAATGGTAAAAGCATATTATAACACCACATGTGTAATATATAATTTTAATTAAAAAAATAGATTGATAAATAGAAAAGTCTAATGGATTATCTCACACAATGTTCAGTGAATGGTAGAATTATGGGTGATATTTTCTTAATTTTTTCTTCATGCACCTATATTTGTACTTTTTTTGCTCTAATTATATATATTAAAATTCTGTTTAGAAGTTAGTTTGTCATAGTAACAACATTTTTAAAAATAGCCTAAAGTGGCTGGGCGTGGTGGCTCACGCCTGTAATCCCAGCACTTTGGGAGGCCGAGTTGGGCGGATCTTTTGAGGCCAGGAGTTCGAGGCCAGCCTGGCCAACATGGTGAAACCTTGTCTCTACTAAAAATACAAAAAATTAGCTGGGCATGGTGGTGCGTGCCTTAATCCCAGCTACTAGGGAAGCCGAGGCAGGAGAATTGCTTGAACCTGGGAGGCAGAGGTTGCAGTGAGCTGAGATCACGCCACTGCACTCCAGGCGGCGTGACAGAGCAAGACTCTGTCTCAAAAATAAAAAATAAAAAAAAATAGCCTAAAGCCCATAGGTGTCTTGCCAGAGAACACAGAAAGAGACAGTTGGAAAAACCAGGGGTGCCAGGTCAGTTGCTCTTGCAGACAGGTACTCAAGTGCTCCTCTTCTGCTTCAACTTCATGGACACAGACAACAAACCAGGCAGGGATTGCTGGACCTTCTACACCAAAGCATTCTTGGGATTTTCCTTACCACCCCACCCCCCACCACTTCCACTGTCCAAATTCTGCCCATCCATTAGAAGATAGTTCAAATAAAACCTCCCCCTAGTGAGGTGCAATCCCTCACGGCATTTTCTTTCATGTCCCTTTCTGCAGTTATTACATCCTGCCTCGTACTACAGTTACATGTGGACTTGCCTTCTCTTTCTTATTAGATTATAAGCTCATTGAGGGCAGACTCCACATCTGATGCATTTGTGTGTCCCCAGCACAGTGTCTGCCTCACAGCGAGCTCCGGTTGGATAGCTGCTGAATGAATGAGTCAGTGAGTGAGTGAGTGAATGAATGAATAAATGACACGATTGCTGAACTCTCCATGAGCAAAGCAACAAAGCAAGTCAGGCAGGGCAGATTTTTTTCATCATTTCTGGGTTGGTTTGTATTTTATCCAAAACACCAATTTTTACATTCAGAACTTCTTTTTCATCATCCCAGTTTTTATTCCTTGAGCTTAGTAAGAATTATAATAAGAACAAGTATAATGTTTGTAACTGTCATCTATCTCAGTTCATATTTTAAATAATATGGATCTATTTTCACCTCAGGAAAGGCAGATTTATATTACTTACATTTACTTTAACATGGAGCTCAGACATTTTATACCAAGAGTGAAGCAAACTGCCACACAGTATCAGATTTTAATAAGACAAATCCCACACTTGCGGTGACCCTGCTTCCTTCCTTGCTTTTCTCTCCCCTGCTTTTCCAGAGGAGATTCTTGCAGGATCCAGGACCTGGCGTTGTTCTCTTCCAAGTCCTCCACTGCAGCTGCATATCTCTCTCTCATTCTGCTTTTTCTCGGAAGAATCTTAGCTCCCCTGCAAAGCTGGCATCACATGTCTTTGAGCTTGAACTCAAAGGGCTGGCTTAGCTTCAGCACTAGGCCCTCCCTGCAAGGTTTGCTGTCCCTTACCTGCCTGCCAGTTCTGTTCAGCCTGTTTTCCACTACAGAGGAGGTGAGATTCACAGCCAGGCGGGCAATGAAGGGCTTCAGATGGCAGATAGACCACGTCCTGCCAGCGCTGCCTCAAACCTGGAGCTCCTCTGGGGTTGCTATCAGGGACTCAGGCATGACATTTTTGTTATCTAGGCAGAAAAGTGTGTTTGGGTTAAACTGCCAGGGCCATCATGTCACTGAGTTCTCTGCCGAGCCCCAGACAGGCATTCCCTATCAGTGATAGCTACAGCAGGCTGGGATCAGCTGCCTTGCCCCCCTGAGCAGCCTGCTTTCTGCTAGCCGTAGTGTTTACAGGGCATCTCGGGCAGCTGCCAGGGCTGGAATCAACATTCTCCCTGAGCTTGCAAGGAACAAAGACTGCTACTAAAGATGCACTTGAAGGGAAAAGCATGACAAAATGTCCTGTGACTTCAGAGATGCCTTTTGCAGCATCGTACAGTCATGCTGTTCATTAAAAGAGTTAAACTTGGAAACTAGACTTTGATGCAATACGTTGTTTCCATTCTTGGAAATACGTTCACGAGGAGCTAATAAATAATCCATGAATGCTAATCTTTTTAAGTCATTTCAAAGGCATGAAGTCAGCCTAGATAATTGTAAATGCAACGGCTCAACCTCAACTCCATTAAAATGTAAAGGTGAGAACTGATTACAGACACTCAACTGCTTTTGATAGAAGTCTTAAATTCAAATGCCACATCATTTGTTTTTAGCAAATGGAGTAATTACAATAATATTTTCTTCATTTCTAAGGTCAGATCTCTTAAATCCTATATGCTTGTACCCGATTTAACTACAACCGGAATCATTTTCCTTGTGTTCATTAATTAAATGTGTATGTTGCTTAAAGGTAACATCCACTCTTATTTTCTCTGAAGGAGAAATAAATAAATATTCTAAGTTGTCTAGCAACGAGGTTAGAGGGGAGAGTTGTAACATTATTTCATTTCAGATATTATTAATAAAACTGAAATTAACCTTATTTCCCACTCTAGTAACTGTTCTTGCTGAGAAAAGGTAGTTTTGTTTAAAGCAAAGGTGTTTTCCTACTGCTGTAGCTTGTCAAATATACTGTGATTTAAATTTTAAAAAATTAAGAAATAATTCACTTGACGATAAAGTCAACGCCTTTTAATATTCTTGCAGCATCACCGCCCAAAGTAGATTTTGTAAATATTTACCTCTTGTGGGAATTGTGGTATATTGACCAATATATATTTTTCCAGGATTTTGGTAAATATCTGAGAAGTTTCTTATAGGAGAAAACTATATACAAGGTTTTATTGTTTCAAGTGCACCTGGATTCTAACTAAGACCCAAAAAAGGAACTGATCACTTCTTACTATAAATTAAAAGGTTTCCTTTGCCCCCTACCTCCTGGCTGTCAGGTAATTAAGCTCCGGATGTTGGTCACCATGCAGAAGTAAAGTGAGGATGCCGGAAGCAGTCAATCCATTTGTTTAGGACAGGCAAGTCTGGTTATAGCTGGACCCAGAACCCTCCAGATGCAGCAGTCTTCTGCGCTGTCAAAATATTTAACTTTCCTGCAAACATGCAGCTGTCAGTCTACTTGCAGGAATCTACCAAAACCAAAGGATTAAGTGTGATTCAACAAAGCAATGAACACTGGCCAGATATGAGCCATGGGCCCAACTTGTCCAGTCCCTGGGCAGGGTTCTAACCAGAGGTGCCAATCTAGGGAGCGCCTTCCAAAATATCTATCTGCAGAGGTTCTGATTCCCGGGTCCGACAGCACCCCGATGTCTGTCATCTGGTGATTCTGGTATGCCATCCTAGGGAAGAAGCACTCATGCTTTATTTTTCATCTGCTTATGTTTTAGAAAGAAAGCATAGGGGTGAGGGTAGGCTGGAGGATCAACCTGGAAACATTTAACACAGGCTAACAGAAGCTGGGGGAAGCAGCACTCTTCTGACACCCAGAGCGGGACTGCAGTGTCATGTGGGTCTGTGTTTCAGTCTTGCTCATCTTGGCTGGGTAGCCTTGGAGCCACAATTTATCTTCCCCAAGACTCAGCTTTTCTGTCTGTAAAACAGGATAGTAATACTACCTCCTTCATCAAACTATTATGAGAATTAAGGGAGCTAATGTGCATAAAACAAAGGCAATTAACGTAATGTTTAGCACATAGTAAGTGCGGTGACTATTTGTAGTTTTGTAGAATGTCTGCAAATGATCTACAGGGCTCAGAAGGCTTTAAAGATGTTCTCATCCAACTCCCTCTTGTGTATCAATTACATTCCATGGGAAACTTGAATTGGTTGGCTCAGAGCAGGGATTCTGGGAGACATGTTTAGAGCACAGGGAGAGGCTAGTTTGAAAGGAGGGTTTGAAGATAACCTTGATGAAGGATTTTGAATGTCATTGTGATCAGCAAGGGAGGCAATTAAGACAAACTTTCCTTAGTGGATGTTACATGCTCCAAGCGTCAGTTTAGGACCCAAACAGATGGCTAGGCATAGACCCTGTGGATAGGAGGGAAGATGGCAGAGGTGGGAGTAGTTCTGTCATTTTGTGGGAGGGGTGTGAAATATGTGGTCTTGGCCTGGTGAGGACGAAGAGAATAGAAGAGCTGGGAAGGAAGAGAACAGCTGAAATCTAAAGAATGCATGGATGGAGTGGAAGATGAGACAAAGGTGGGGCTGGGGGTCACTTCTCTGTTTTGAGTCTGAGCAGAATTATTTCTGTGTTTGTGTGCGCCCTGGTGGTGAAAATTTCTGCAAGGAGCTTTAGGGTCATGCTGTCTTGTTAGCTTAATAATGGTTTGATTGCACCCATCTGTGTTCCCTGGGGCAGGATCTTTATCACCTGCATGTAGACTTACATCGCTGTGAATTCTGTACACATAGGAGGGTAATAAAAAGCAACCGAGGCTTATTTAACACTCACTGTGTGTGTGCCAGGCATTGAGGTAACTTTTTAGCTTTCATAACAACCCTAAGAGGGAGATATTATTGTTATCCCCATTTCACAGGTGAGGGAACTAAGGCACTGAGAGGTCAAGTGGTTTTTGAAAGCTTTCCACTGAGTCAAGGGGGAAGTAGCATTTGAACCCAGGCAGCAGTGTGGCTGCAGAGTCCTGGCCCTTGATTCCTGGGAAGAAATGAACACAATTTACCCAGTCTATGAGACTAAACAGGGATCTTACTGGGATTCAAACCAAGTTAGACTCCAAAGCCCAGGCTCTTTCCTTTGTGGCACACCTGACCCATTAGCAATTCAAAAACCACATTCAACCAATAAGGCAAAGGGGAAATGGGGTAAAAGTTGTCTAACGGCTCAGAGAAGCAACTTGGCAGTACTATAGGGAAGTAACATTTAGCAGATTTTCTCTTCATAGAATATAAAACTTGTATGAAAAGAGGCGCTTTCAAAAATATTTTGAGATTTTTTTGCACACTAAGCTCACACTACATAGGAAAAGGTCCATCAGCATAAATATGAAGTTATTCTATTGTTAGAGGGTTGGTAGGTGGGAATGAGAGTGTTTTGAAGTATCAGTTGTATAAAGGGGATTTTTTCACATTTTCCCATACGTCCCTTCTGTATCGTTTGAGTCTTTTTAAATGATATTGTATTTGAGGATTATTTTTCTAATTTAAAAATAATTTTGAAAAATAGAGAAATAGAAACTTCAGGTACTTAGGCAGAAATAAGAAAGTCCTAGTGACCCAGTGATATAAACACATATTTACAGTTAGTGTTCTGAAAACAAGTAAATAATTCCAATGTAACTAAACTTTACACCTATGTGTGTGTGTGTGTGTGTGTGTGTGCATGCATGGATGTCTGGATGCACATGTGTGTGCATGCATGGATGTCTGGATGCACATGTGTGTGCATGCCTGTGTGTGCGCGGGCGTGTGTGTGCACAGGCACACGTAGACACCTCACAGGAAGGCAGGCTGAGGTTGGATGCAGCAGGCTACTTAATTATCCCTCATTTCATTGAAGGAGGAATCTCACAGAAGCATCATAGATTCCAGGAGGCAAATCTACAAAACTTGGTAGTTACAGAAGAAATGATCCAGTATCAAGATGAGGCATTGCACCTTCAACGAGTGAGAGGAAAAAGCCAAGAAAAAGCCAGCCAACAGTTAAGCACCTGCTGCCTGTTACTGCTTCTACTCAGTGCACCTCTCAGTTCCACACATTCAGTAATGGGGCCAGCCTCACAGGCCAAGGGATGGCGAAGATGTATTCTCACATCCGTTTGTAAGAAGGGAGCTAAGCAGAGTGACACAAATCTAGTTTGCCTGGAACGATCCCAGTTGACCCCTTCTGAAGTCAGTCCTCTCCTGTCCTTTCCATCCCTCCTCTGCACTCCCTCTACCGAGGATAAGACAACACCCCTCTGGTCCCAGAAACTTACCTCTCTCCATTGCCCTGTGCAAGGTAGATGAAGTCTTACGTGTAGCTCAAGCTTCAGGTGAAGTCCTGGATGACGCGGAGAGGAGAAACTGAGGTCACCGGGGACCTCATAACAATGCTGAAGAAGTTAAACTCCTAGAGTGGAATAAAGCTGGGTGTGTGGAGAACACATTCAACACTCCTTTGACACCAAAACACCATGCAAATAAGCAGTCATGAGCCTGGAGTCCGAGAAAAGAAAGGAACACACACACACGTGTACACAACTCACACACACGGAGGAACACATGCTTTTAGAATGATCAGGTGCTTAAAGAAAATAAAAGGAGAATGGACATTGCCCTGTTCTTTTCTGAGAGGCAGTCACTGGAGTGGGTAAGAACCCCAGCTCCGGATTCAGACGTGCCTGAGTCTGCAACCCAGCTCAGCCACTAACTACGTAAACCTGTTTTATTAACTGTACAATGGGAATAATAAAAGCACCAGGCTCAAAGCATTGTTGTGAAGTTTTAAAGATTAATGTGATGATGCAGATAAAGTAACCACAGTAATTATTCAATAAATGTTAGCTAGTGCTGCTATTATTGTGGATACATTATGACAACATCATGATAAAGGTACATTGTGACCTTAAAAGAATATTTTACTGGAGCATTGTACATGCTGCATAAATGTTAATTGTTATTATTATTACAATTTTTAGTTCAGCCAGTGTAGCAATTTATCACTACAATGGCAAGAAATTGCTACTCTGGTTCTTGACAGTGGGTTTGCCACCTTCTGCTGTCTTCCTGGTTTTCACTCCACATGGGAGTGAGGCGGCCGCTGAATGCCAGGGCTATGTCAAGTCTGGGATTCTTAGTGGACTTCTCCACAAACACGGTGCCTATTAGGGGAAAAAGTCTCTAGAATTCTCCTGGCCCAGCCTTGAACATCTTCCAGTAGGAACTGAGGAGAGCTTCCGATGCAAAATAAGAGGAAAAGAAGGCAGTGGGGTAATTTACCACTGAAAAGATTTCCCCATTAGACATTTTTACAGCATCAAACTTGGTGGGGGAGGGGGTTTCTCCTGGCACGATTCTGTTTGTTTCCTCCTTTTGTGGCACGAACAACAGCATTTCATATTGAAACATGAAGCCTCTAAAATTAGGATGGCGGCCAGAAATTTGTAATGGGTGCTTCACACCGTTCACACTCCTGCTTCACCCTCCTGGCTCCACTCAGCCGAGGGCAGCTCCACCCTGCAAGAAACTCGCAGCTCAATTTGGAGCAAGTTTTGCTTGCTGAGGGGAGGCTGCTGTCAATGGCACCGAATGCCAAGCAAGGAAGCAGACCTGATTCGTTTCTAGGCTTCATCACCAGCTGCTTCTCCCTCGGCCTCCTCAGCCCCCAGCTGCCTGGGTTCGAATCCCAGCTCTCTGCTCATCAGGTGTGTAACCCTGGGCGATGACTCCACCTCTGTGAGCTTCCACGTCTGCAGCTGTCAGGTGAGAATAACAATGGGACTTGCATCAGACAGTCATTGGGATTAAGTGAGATAAGGAATGGGAAGGCACTGAGTGTACATAGTAACCACTCCTAGGTGTCATCTCCTTCCTCCTTCCTCCTTCTTCTTCCTCCTCCCTCTTCCTCCTCATTTTTCTTCTTCTTTTTTTTGACAGAGCCTGGCTCTGTTGCCCAGGCTGGAGTGTAGTGGCATGATCTCAGCTCACTGCAACCTCCACCTCCCAGTTCAAGCGATTCTCCTGCCTCAGCCTCCCAAGTAGCTGGAATTACAGGCACATGCCACCACGCCCGGCTAACTTTTAGTATTTTTTGTAGAGACAGAGTTTTACCATGTTGGCTAGGCTGGTCTCCAACTCCTGTCATCCCAGGACTTTGGGAGGTCTGCCCACCTCAGCCTCCCAAAGTGCTGGGATTACAGGCATGAGCTGCCACTCCCGGCCTCTCTTCTTATTATTAAGCAGATTGGCATTTCCTGAGCACCTGCTTTGTGCCACACCTGATGCCAGGTGCTTCACTCATGTGGTCTTGATGAATCTTCACAACCTTGAAGGGCAGGCGTTGTCATCTGCACGTATGTGCAAGGGAGCTGAGTTCCAGAGCTAAAGCCGCTTGTCTCCAGACAATCCCAGAGGGTACAACTGGGATTCCACTTTAGGCTCTCTGATTTCAAAATCTTGCTCTCCCTACCACACCCCCAACGTGGAGGCCTCACAAATAATGCCTTTCCGTGGGGCTCAGGGTCTTCAGACTGTGGTCTTGGCTTGGCTGTGGGTCTTTTCCCAAGAGCACGCAGCACAGCCGAGTCTGCTCCAGGCTTCGTGGTTCCTGCTCAAGCCATTTGTGGGGCAGGATGTGAGGTGAGGGGCGCTCATGTTGCCAGCCTGGCTTATCTGCTTTGGGGCCTTCCTGGCTCAGCCTACAGGTTCGTGACTTGGCACAATTACAGTGACCACAATGAAGCCACTGGCTTTGCCCAGAAGCTACTCAGGCCAGGAGCCTGAGAGGAAACAGGATGGGAGCTGGTTTATATTTCAAGGGCTGGAGATGACGGGACCAGCCCCACCCCAGCTTCCCACCTGATTTTATCTTGTAAAAACAGCCCTTTCATTATTCTGTTGGACCTCCCATTATTTCAAGAACCAAAAACTGAAAGAAAATGATTTTTTTCTCTCTCATACCTGGCCTGCTCTCTATTGCAAATGGCAGTTCTAGGGACAGTTGTCCACCTGCTGTTTTTCACCTGTAGGGGTCAGCTGCTGGCTGGGCTACCTGGCAGCCATTCCCCCTTCTTGGTTCCCGTGTCTGGATTTTCCTCTAGAGCACCCTTTCCCCTCTCTTAACTCTTGGGCTTTGGGTGGGCACCCACCCCGGGGCTCAGGGGTGCAGCACGTGCTCAGCTCGAGCCCATCTGAGCATAGCGTTGCACTGACCACAGGACTGGTATCAGTTCATTGAGATGGAAGTCCACTGAGATGATATCCACTCTACTGAGACAAAAAGAACTCTTTTCTAGGACTTCTCAAAACTCATTTTGAATTGCTTACCATCAAGGGAAGAAATAAAGAAGCTTTTCGCTGTCTTTACATCCTTTCTGGCATACCCCTGAGTATCCCTGGAGGTAGGTGTCCCCTGTTTGAGAAGCATGGGCCTACAGGTAAATTCCAAACCCCTATCCACTCCATGGAAAGCTCTTTACAATTTGACATAGCCAATCTATTCAGCCCCATCTCTGGCCACAGAGTTTCTTGCCATTTCGGGAACAAGCCATGCTCTGCCATTCCCCTCGACTTTTGCACAAGCTGTTCCCCTTGCCTGGAATATCTTTCCCCTTCTATACCTAGAAAATTCTACCCATGCATCCAACTAGAACCACATCAACTGTCTCCTCCTTAGAAGGAGGAGAATAACGTTCCATAATTTTAGCTGCTCTCTCATTGGTTAGAACACTCACTTGACCTTGGCTTGTCTGATTCTCTCTTCCTCACTGGACTATAAGCATGTCCTAAGCACATCTGCATCCCCAGAAGCTAACACAGAGCCTGACTAAAGGTTTATTGGATATGTGGGTGAGTGGATGAAGGGACCATTGAGCTTCGACCAGCTCATGCAACTGCCACAGCATCCTGCCCCATCAGTAACAGTAAACAACATTTATCCTGGTTCCTACACAGTCATAGTTCTATTTATTAATTGCCAAATTCATAACAATTAATTTCATTGCTCATGCCTGTTAAACTCTCGAATGTTCAATAAGGACAGGTGGGCAGCTGTTCTTCCTCCGTAGTCTACCTGCTTTCTGACATCAGCCAGTGAAGGAGTCAATCCCAGTGGTATGGCAGAATTGGGCTAGATGCTCATCCACCCCATTTCCTGTCTTTCTTGGGCACACAGCTAGACTATATTTCCCAGACTCCCTGGCTGTCAGGTGTGGCCATGTGACAGAATTCCAACCAATGGAATATGGACAAAAGTGACAAACCATTTCCAAGTCTGGGCCATGAGAACTACCCATGTGAAAACTTCTGTGCTTTCCCCAACCCCAAGCTGGAAGCAAAGGGTTCCGAGGCTCCTAAGAGGAATGGAGATTCAAAATGGAGAGAGCCTGGGTCCCTGAGTCACCATGTGGAGAGCCACTGTCAAATATCCATGCTGGACTGAGTTGTAAATGAGAAATATTTTCTATCCTGAAACTCAGTGGTGTGTGGAGCTGGCTTATATTAGCTTGTGAGAGCCAGCTGTTAAATTCTGAGGAATTTTGCAAGTCCATTGTTAAACACAGTCATTATCAAAGTTAAATTGTATAAACTTATAATTAAATGGGTTACATTTTAAGATATAATGAATATTCAAAACTCATCCCATCCTAATCATTTTATATAGTTAACTATTACATATGGCTCTTGAGGTTTATTTTCATGGAAGTACGATGGAATGGGAGTGTTGCAAACATTTCTTCCCAACTCTGTATTCAATAATGTCATGTTGGTAGCTTGAAATCAGCCACAGTGTCAGTATTTACACCATGGAAATTGGCAGACATTATAAACCAGGCTTTTCCCCTCCATCCCCTGAAAAAAGGCCAAACATTTACCAGTACACCATTCTAAGGTTTACCTGGTATGGAGCAAATACTCCCCTAACATACTGACTTTCTGCTTTAGTAAAAGAGAGTATAACAGATGAAATGCACCTTGGCTAAATGCAACTCGACATAAAGGAAAAGCAGCCAGAGTGCCCACAGCAGCAGCCCAGAGCCCTGGCAGATGAAGAATCATGCTGGTGCTCAACATGCCCAGGCTGAATGTGATATTGCGTGCTTGAGATCCTTGCTAATTTTCAGAGCATGAGATTATTATGACAGAGGCACAGCAGTTGTCATTGCCTGCTTTCACATGTATTGGGTGACAAGTGTAAGTAAGAGAGAATGGAAATATAGATGCTGAGTTTTAAGCCCAGCTCTTGCCTCAGAAAACAAAAATGGAGACACGCTAAGTTCCTGCCCTAAATTCTTTTGGGGAAAGGAATTTTTCCATATTTTCACTCTCAGGAAAAGCATGCATTTTGGAACAAGTCTCTAGAGTGGACCTATGCATAGCTGAGAAGCTGAGAAGGTGGGAAGCCCGTGGCCAAGGCAGGTCCCGGCTGCAGGTGTGAGGATAGCAGGCTTTGGGCCAGAGCCTGATCAACGGTGCTTGGAATTAACCAGGCCTGCACATGGCAAAATGATCCAAATAATTATCCTTTGTGGAAGCCGTAATATTTCACTTAGAGGAAGGCCGTCAGATCCTTGGGCAGCTCGGCCCTCCTCCGCAGGATATAAACTGCTGAAGTAGACCCCAGAGTGCAGGGCCATTTACGAAGACACACGCAATTCACAGGACGTTTCAGTGCAGACACTGAATGAACTAATTCTGCTAATAGAGTATTTGATTTAATGGCACATTAAAGGGGAAAGGGGAATGCTGAACACATCCTTCAGCGCAGCAGCTGATGGGTTACTGTAGATATCATAAGCGAAGGAGCCAAATTCTCTCCTGCCTTCAGAACAAGCGACAGTCGCCAGAGCAGAGGCAGGTCATTTTGCAAGTCAATTTTAGTTCAGCAGCTTAGAGCAGAAATCATCGAGTTCATACAGCTCTTCTGCATAAAGTTTATAGAGACTGGTTGTTAAGACTCTGACCTACAAGTCTCTTTTCCTTTTTGTTTAAAAAAAAAAAAATGTTGCCAGATCATGCCAAAGTGGAATAAAATAGAAATCGGGTCACTTGATGGATCAGCACATTACTTTTCTGAGTTGTTTGTTTTCCGTCTTTTGCCTTTTGGTTCCTTCTACCATTTTTGACTGTTTCCAATGTCCCGGTCTCTGTGCTAAGCTCTTCACAAGAATGTATATGTATTTACATGTATTTCATTGTTTTACCAGGAAGAAGGTGCTATTCCCAGCCTATTTTACAGGCAAAGAATCTGAGGTATGGAGGGGCAGGAATGAGATTTAAACTCAGGTTTTTCTGCCTCTGGAAGCTGGCTTCTTAATTAACTCTACAAAGCATGATCCTTTCAGCCAGAAGATGGAAGGTAGGACAGATTGTGCCAAGTCCTGGAGAATCTACAAGAAGCCTACTGTAGCCATTGTGTACAATGCAAACCAGAGGAAAAAGTAGCCAGATGGGGTGAGAGGTGAGCTGAGCTCATCAAACACCACCACCTCCCAAAAAAGCCCAAGCCATGGGATACTGAGGCAGGAGGATTGCTTGAGCCCAGGAGTTCAAGGCTGCAGTGAGCTGTGGTCACACCACTCCAACCTGGGCGACAAAGCAAGATCCTGTCCCCGCAAAAAATGTTTTTTAAATCCCAAGCCAGAAGCGATTTGTTTAGAGAATCAAACAAATATGTGTGTGTGCATGTGTATCCCCAAAAACATATATTCAGAGCAAATCTTTTAATTTTTCGATTTCAAATTCAGTTCAGTTTTTTAAAAAGTGCTTGCCTTAAAACAACCCAATTGGAATTTTATAGAATTTTTTTTTCAATAAAATTTTACCATCTATCTTTTCTCCCCCAAAAGCCAAACCGTAATTGTAAACAGTGGCAAATATGAGTGATTTTCATTTGTTCAGTTTGTAACTGTCCATAGCCCCCTCCTATCTATTGTTTCACTCAGCTGCCAGGATGTTTTCTCTGAAACTGAAATCTGATCTTGGCAATCCCTTCAAAGAGTTTTCTCATAAAATAGGGGCTCACTTTTCCAGCATGACCCCCTAAAGCCTCCACCGTCCAGTCCAGCTCACCTCTCTCCCCATCTGCCCACTTTTCCCTCTAGCTTGCATTGCACACAATGGCTACAAGAGGCTCCTTGTAGATTCTCCAGGACTTTGTGCAATGCGCCTTCCCCATTCTTTGACTAGATAATTCAGAATCCCTGCTTCTTTTTTGAAATCAGTGCAGTGTCTGCCCCTCCAGTGAGTCATTGTGGATTCATTCTCCTTGCCCTATCTGGGTTGGAGGCTGCTTCTATCAGAAGCCTGAGCTTACTTCTATCACAGCCGTGTTCCATTTTGTCACCCTGGACCATGAGGACAGGGACAATGTTCTGTGCACCATGGTATCCTCAGTGCCTGGCACAGCGACTCAATGTTGACTGCGTGATAGAATCACCCAGAAAGTCTGACTTAGTCAGAGGTAGGTAGGGTTGAGAACCTCTGGCCTAATCCAGGCTTGCTGACCAACTGATTGAATGAATGAAAGAATGAATGAACACACTGAGGCACACAGCCTTGAGACCCTGGCCAGCCTCCACCACTCACTCTGCCCTGAAGTACTTAGAATTTGTTTAACAAGGCTTCTTGGTCATGCACTGGGTCAGGAGGCTGCAAATCCAGACCCAGAATGTTCATGAACTCCTTGTTGACTTTAAGACTGAAAGTGAACTTCCACTTGGCCCAATACACAAAACCGGAATGATGATTCCTACCACAAGGAGAAACTTGAAAAATGCTTTCTGCAATTGGATGGCAGATGCTGTGAAATTACCAGTTCTGACTCAAAATGATCTCCCTTTTCTCCCTGATCAGCTCAGAATCAAGATGTCTGCCAGCCAAGAATACCAGAAGCCTTGGTGGCAGGAAGGAGTGCTACCGCTGCCTGAGAACCACTGGTAACACCTTCCTGTGCTAAGGGCCCATCGTCCTAACACAGGCTGTGCCTCAGGCAGAAGCTTCCTCTTCCTTCCTATATGCCCCATCTCTGAGATCACAGTAGGAGAAACCTCACCATCACAGCCAAGACCGGAATGCCAGTCATGGATCCATCCAACCTCATCCTTCCATTGCTGAGAACTGTAAGCATGGAGAGAGAGACCGCTGGCTAAGCCTGCACTCCTTTGTCCTCATTCTGAGGGGAAAAAAAGCCAGAAGTCCTAGAGAGTTTAGCTTGCAGAGCCCAATCTCACACACTATAAAATAGTTGGAGATCTCTTACATTTGAAAAATCACAGCTGCATGCTCTGCCTTCCAGCACCAGGCAGGAGAAATGAGACAAACAAGCTTTGAAAATAAATCTGACTCTCTCGCGGCTCCGGATAGCCGACAAGTGTTCGTCCATCTGCCGCAAGCGTTCACACTGTGAATTCATTGATTTGATAATACTCTCGCATAATTGATTAAGGAGAGACTGGCTTCTTGACTTGCCTCCATGTTTTCTGTCTGATGTCTTCCCAGCATTGCTCTCTGCTTTACGCATGGCGAGGAAGGAGAAACCAATGATTTTTTCCAGCACTTTTCAATGGGATACATGCATGCTATTGGTTATCCCAAAACGGTGTATTTTTCAAGTTCTTGAATGGCAGCAACTGTTAGGTGTGTGCTTCTTTCCCCCAAAATATTTCTCCCAATCTTCACAATGCCGTCTTCATCCTCTCCACCCCACTGCCCCATTGTATTTATAGGAAGTGAAGAAAAACCAGAGGTCCATTGGCGCCTAGCAGTCACCATCGCCTGACACAGAGCGATGGTAACTGCAGAATTGTCATATGAGATATTAGCCCAGGGAATAACACTGATCCTTCTCCTATCAGCAACTGCAACAACCCATCCGCCTCTCTGCAATTGTGACATTCAGATGTCACCACCATTTCATTAAATGGAATCAAAACAGCTGTGAGGATTGCTGTTTTATTTTATAGCACAAAGTCATCATAACTTACGTCACAAAGCAGCTTGCAGCTAGCAAGCACGGCTGAAATGGAAAAGCTGATTGCAAAAGGATGAATACGAAAGAGGGACAAACTGCCAAACAAACTGCTGGTGGAGCTGGGTGATAGCTGCGAGCCCCTGGCTCGCTGAAAATAACCCAGGAGCACACGGTCATGCAGTCACTTGCAATTGCCTATTAATCAAAGATGTATCATAGGACAAGTTGAGTTTAGCATCCCATGAACATGCACCTAGATGCTAAGATTCAGTTCAGCCTAAGAGAGATCACTATCTGGCCACTTCTAGGTGCAGAAGCTAAGGCAGTGTAACACTTCCAGTTCCCTTTCTCCTATCTGCAATACAGCACCCAGCCCTGACTCAGTGAAAAAAACCCTCAAAACTTGATTTTTAAAACTCGGGAGGCAGAGCTGGGCGCGGTGGCTCACGCCTGTAATCCCAGAACTTTGGGAGGCCGAGGCGGGCACATCACGAGGTCAGGAGATCGAAACCTTCCTAACACGGTGAAACCCCGTCTCTACTAAAAATACAAAAAAATTAGCCGGGCATGGTGGCAGGCACCTGTAGTCCCAGCTACTCGGGAGGCTGAGGCAGGAGAATGGCATGAACCCGGGAGGCAGAGCGTGCAGTGAGCCAAGATCTCGCCACTGCATTCCAGCCTGGGCGACGGAGCGAGACTCCGCCTCAAAAAAAAAAAAAAACTTGGGAGGCATGCCGCTTCCTCAGCTGGACAGCATGATCAGAACCATGTGGCTAAAAGGTTAAGTCACTGACTTTCAAGTGAGGCAGAAGCTGGGACTGCATTCTGCCTGTGCTGACTATTGTCTGTGTCACTGGGAGAACCAGTAAACCTCTACTTCCCAGTTTACTCATCTGTAAAGTGGGCTTCATAGGGTAGTAGGCCTTACCAGTGCCCTGCCCTGCCCTTCAGCCTTACCGCTGCCAACTGCATTCTTTGCCTTAAGGCTTTTTCTGGGGGTCAGAGCCCATGGTGCCTGCTCACCTGGCAGGCTAGGTCCACTAGAGAATTAATGCTCCCAGGAGCAGCTCTCAACTAATGAGGATGGGAACGAATGTATAAATGCGCATGATCTATACATACCTCAGCTCCCTTTCTCCTTGCCCCTTAATTCTAAGACATAGGTTTTCTGCCAATTCCTAGATTTCCCACAGCAGGCTCAAGCTCCGGTTGGCCACAGTGGTAACGTGCTTAACAACAAACCCTGTGTTAGCTGCCTCCCCTCTTTGTCTCATTTCTCCACTCACCTTCTGGGAGTTCCTGAAATCTTCTCACCCCACATCATATTTATGTAATGTGGCCGATCAGTGCTACATTCTGACAAAGTGAGCCACTTGCTGTCTCCCAGGGTCACAACCCCACTCCTCCAAGGACAGCACAGAAAACTTCTTTATCACAAACTCCATTTTTTCTTGACTTCTAGTATATAACTGGGACTATTTCTAGGAAAAAAAGAATCTGTGAATAAATTTTTCTCTCTTATCCTTGTAGGGTCTTATAAGGATTCAGGCATTCAAAAAAATGAGCAACTACACACCAAGGGCTTAGATTTCCTTGGTAATGATACTACTTCAAAATTAGCAGTTATTAATGGGAAGGTTGAAGTCTGGAGCTTGTTAGCACATTTAGTTGGAAGAAAGGTGTTAATGAAAATAGTGTTTGCATTTATTTCTCATCAAGGCTAAATGAAACTGGGTAGAGGAGTCAGATCAAGTTCATCTTCTGGTGGAAAAACAATTCAGAGCACATACTTTCTTTAATCGAGAGACAGTCACGTAGGGATAGCAGCCAATATTGTCATTACTCCCCATCATTTTAACACCGGCTTTTGGGTCAGGGCACCTATGCAAAGGAGTATCTGTGGCCTGGCATCTTGGAGCCATTTACAGCTACACAATGCAGTCGTGGCACTTGGCAGAGGCTGCCATTTTCTAGACGGCAGTACCAGCATCAACTCCCTTGTGTGAAGCCGATTCTTCTCTGAGGGTCTATAATCTTTGGGAAGTCTGGTGATTCTGAAGTATGTCTCAGGGTGACACTTGTTTCCCTTTTCCCCTCTTTTCAATCAGTTCAAAGTCAGACCCGTTTCAATGCTGATGGGCCAGCACCATCCTTAGGGAGTACTCATGATCCCTTTTCTGTTCATTTAAGGGATTTAGGAATGCTTGGTAGACAGCCTCTTATTGGAACCAATGAGTCCTGTGTGAAGTTTAAGGGATGCTGACAAACCTGCTCTGGGCTGTCAGAGGATTTCTTCCTCTAGTGTCCTGGACAGTCCCATAACTTGTCCATGGAAAGGGCTGCTTCAGAAAATTGCATTCTTTATGGTGGCAATTCAGTTTCACATCTGAGTCCTTGACAGTAAAAGGTATTTAAATTTAAAAGCATATTTTGATATAAAGTCTATGGAAACCCCCCTCTCTCCCGGTTTGTTTGGATACTCTTACCAAACAGAGACCTTGGGGCTGGCTGCTTCATGCCTATTTCGTTTTCCCATTCAATCCATTTTCACTGAAAAGGAGACATAAGCAGTGAAGCCAATATAGTTTTATTGGATCCAATGCACTACCACTAAAACAAATATATGTACACTCAGGCCAATACACTTTTATTAAAACAAATAGAATTTAATTCAAACCAGCATTCAATACGTTTTCTCAAAGCAATGAAATTAAGCTGTACCAGTACTTCTGCTCAATATGTTTTCCCAATCAAATCCATTTGAACAAAGTGAAATATATTTATCATAGATAGCACATTTTTATTAAAAACAAATTCACTGAAACCAAGTTTCCCTTTGAACTGATAGATAGAAATTCTAACCAATTGCACAATTAGATCATAGAAACGGATGTATTTTTACTTTAGCAAAAAGCATTTCTGTTCAGGTCCACTTTAAAACACACTAATGAATAATAAAAGTTGCTCCAACAATGTCTTTAATGGAATATTCTGTCCAAGGTATGTCCTTTGAGGTTGAAGCACAGTCTAGAAATTTTTTTTTAATGTAGGGAAAAGAATAGTGCTGAAATAGAATTACAATAACTTCAGATACTTAATGACTAAATATTTATCCTACCTATGTGTACTTAAAAGTGATGTTGTTGGATGTGTACAAATGAATTAAAGACATGCTTGGGGGTGTCCTTTTTAGTTGCATTTGCTACTATACCACATTAGCCAGAAAAAACTTTCCTTGTCATTGATGAAAAACACTCTCTCTTCTTACCTGTCTGAGGTTAACTAGGGATTGCCATGCATAGAGAGAACTTAATGGTATGGGAGGTCATTTATTTGTGTGGCTCTTTGGAGGGAATTTCAATTTTGGTGCCTAGATTACAAACCATATTCAAGTCTTCTGAAGAACCATGGAAAAGGAGAACAACTTACAAATGCCACACACCTTTTGGGAGGCAACAAACTCCCTACGAGCAAGAGTATCCAAATAACGTCCCACCTCTCTGCAGGGCCACTAATGCTCCCGACACAGGGCAGACCTCCAAGTAGAGAAGCATCTCTGGAGAAATTAGAGCCTCCCCACAAGGAATATGAGGGCTCCGATCAGTGGCCACAAGGAACCCCTCCCTGCTGCCTCCACAGTGGCCCCACACTCTGTCTTCTCTGCTCCCATCTTACCCCAAGGCTGCAGGACCTTGGGATAGAAATCTTCTCCCCTAAGCAGCCCAGAGAATGCTCCTTAACCCAAGACAGTGGGTTCTCAGTACTACTTCCTCCTTCCTGCCTGGAAAAGTGCAAAAAGTATAGATATGCCCACAGTTCACTGGGCAAATAATGTACTGACCTCCGGGGGATCCTGGCCTTGAATGGACTAGATCTGCCTTCTCTGAAACACAACTGGTCATGGAGGGTACCCTGCGAACAGATGTTCATCACAGAATTATTTAAAAAGATGAAATGTTAGAAACCCAAATATCTAGCATCCAGGGGATTGGTTAAACATATTGTAATAATATCTTCCTGATGTATTCTACAATATTAATATCAATACAGTATCATAAGCATTCAGTGTCACTGTAGAGGTATTTAATTGAATGGGAAATATTCATAGTACATTATCAAATAAAAACGTTTAAAAGATATAGTAATTTCTTATCTTTGCAAAATAGATATGCATATCTATGCATAAACAAAAACATGGGAAGATGACACTAAAATGTTAATAGTGGTGAGTGATAGATGATAGATTTCTCTCTCTCTCTCTCTCTCCACCTCTCTCTTTGAAGCTGTATTTTACAAATTTCCTGAAATTCACCTGTATTACTTTTGATATAAGCAAAAATTATTTTAAAAGTGGTTATTTTTTAAAATATGGCATTAAGTCCAATTTAAAAGGTAGTGAGCAAATGTTGGGTCGGCTTCTGTAGTCTTAATTCTGGTATCCTTTCAGAGAGGGTCAGTACTCCACGTCTCATTCTTTGTTCTTTTGCAAAACTTTATTTGAAGGCTTTCATCAACTGGTCATTCGACATGCACTTAAACAGGAACCCAGGTAATAAATTCTGCCTTGAGTTTGTTCCAGGAAGCAGTGCGGCTTGACACAAAGGATGTGCATGCTTTATGTTGTCAGATGATATAAACTGTGTTGCCCCAGATTCTGCCTTTTGCCTTAGCTCAGAGCCACCTGGCTGTTTTAATCATCTCATCTCAGATGCCTGGCAACATCTAATTCCTCAGCTCCTTTTCAGTAATTTCAGTTCTATTTTCTTACTCTATCATTCTGGTGTTTTCATTGCATTTTCTTATAAAAGAGATCCAGATTTATTTTGGAAATAGATTTGAATGACGAAAACATCCTATAGAAGCAAATCCTAAACAAATATAAATATTTGACCATGATTATGCAAAGAAAGCTCCTGCTTCCTCCTCTGTGTCACAGAGACCCTCGGGAGGAACTCCAGGGAGAATGGAAGCTTGGGAGTCATCCCAACCCTTGCTCAGGTGCGAAATCCCCTGCCCTCTGCCTGGCACTGATAGGGACGGATCAGTTTCTCTGCCTGGAGAGGCAGCCTCCTGTGACCTGGATACATTGGAGCCTGAACACGGGAACAGAAGGTATCCTCCCTCCTTCCTTAGTGGTCTCCGGGTGCCCTTCTGGGGAGGATTGGCTCTTCTGGGCTTCTTCATGCATATGATTCCTAGTCATGGCTTCAGCCCCTTTAGTTCACTGGGTCCTTATTCCGTGTTTTCCTGTGCCCAGCTGTGAGGCTAGAAAACGGAGAGGAGAAGGAAGAAGGGGACAGGGATGGTGTGGTGGTTGGTAGAAGAGAAAGAAAGATACAGACAGACAGACAGACAGAGAAACAAAACAGACCCTCAGACACTGAACATGTTTAATTAAGCCGACTTTATCCAGTTGCAGTTGAAACCAGGGTGGAAATAATTGATGTTCCTTGTATTGTTTTAGGTGAAAATGGTAGAAATAAATGGAACTGTCAAGGTTGTAAACCTTCCCATCTTCATTACAAATAAAGAATTAAGAAATGAACAGTAGTAAACAGATAGGGGTTCCAAGATGTCTTTTTCTTCCCCCAAGGCAATGTCCCCCTGGAACTTAGCACCAAGGCACCCTGTTTTCTGTCCTGACGGTTACTCCATTTTCTCCTCCCTTGAAAAGGGTTGCCCAGAGCACCCCCAACCCACTCCAAGGCCAGACCTCTCCCAGCCTGAACTTCTTCATAGACCTGTTATCATCCCTCACTCACCTTCAAAGCCTCCCACTCACCAGTTCTTCTTCCTAGTCCTGGGAAAATTCCTTCTCCAGAAGCTGCCTGTGCATTCACCAATCTAGCCCCCTTAATGACCCTTTGAGGCAGACACTTTATCCCCATTTCACAGAGGTGGAAACTAAGCCTCGTAGAAGGTGAGTAACTCAACCCAGGTCACACAGCTCGAGCTAAGGTTCAGGCCACTCAGCTGACTCCAGTACTGTGTGCCACCCTGCTCCTCACTGCTTTCCTCTGAAACCTCAGGGATTGTCTGGCTCAATGTGTACCTGGGGAAGATGAGAAAACTGAGGCCTAGAGAGGTGAAATGGCTTGCCCAAGACCACTCCAAATATCCCACCTATCCTTGGCCCCTTTCCACTCCACCATGCAGCATAGCGCATTATATTCAAATACTTTAGCTAATATGTTCAGATGCTAAAAACCTGCCCCTGAACTTACTGCAACCATCTTCCAAGAGAAAGCAGCTTAGTTTCAACCTCTTTCCACATCCTTTTTAAAAATCAGAAGTCTCTAATACAGCTGTGATTTTGTTCATCTCCTGTCATTCCCTCTCTCTGCCCTCAGATGGGGTGCCAATGTGTGACAACGTGGCTCTAAAATGGGCCAGCAGGAGGGGGAAAAGGGTTGGAAAAGACAGAAAGAGAACAAGCTCTCTCTCTTGCTCACTCTCACTCTCTCTTTCTCTTCCTTTCCACCCCGTGGTCCTCCCAGGGTCTCTGGGAATCCAATCTCAGTCTGTTGGGCTTACAAAGTGACCAAAGTCAAATGCTGGTCTGTGAGAGAAAGAGGAGGCAGACACATCGGGGGACCGAGAAATACTTTGAAGCACCCCGCTCACCATGGTATGGGGAAGAATTTGGCCACATCCCTGCCAACTGCTGCTTCTCTTGGACTGGGAAAGGGTCAGTTGCTTGTTTCTATCAGATTCATGGACACCACCAAGAAAAGAGGCCAGTCTGAGACATTCAATATTTGTTGAAACACAGAGGTTTAACTGATCATTGAGGTACACAGGGTGATAGGAAGAGTATGAACTTGAGAATCTGATGGATTTTGTTTAAAGTTAGGACTAGGCTACTGACTACCCACCCTGCTAATTGTCTTGGGGAAGTTATTTAACCTCTCTGAACCTCAGCTTCTCATCCACAAAATAGGACACTAGCACACAGTGGGCTATCTATATATATTTATTGAATTGAAATGGGAGTATTCAAAATTATTTGGGTTGTTGGCTTAAAATAAGCAGAATAATTCAATTCCTGTTCATCTGGAATCTAATTGTCCAATTTGGAGTTTCAGATGTAACAAAGATCCTAATGACCTAATATTATTGGGGTAATCCTAAAATTTATTAGGTGATCTGCAAGTTCCATGATGATTGTATACTGGAGGAAATGCACAATGCACACAGACCTTCCTAGGAGTAAAAGACTGATGTGAATTTGCAGCACTACTTAATTATAAGTAATTGTTGCATGAACACACACACAAACACACACCCACAGAACTCACACTATAAGATAGGAGGGGCAAATAATGACATTTGACAAAAATGAGCTCTTGCAGAGCTCAACGAGTCTAAGTTTCCTCCCTAATATCTTAACAGGCTACAGTATACACAGGCTTTTAAGTAATGTACTTGTTATCCAAACACTAGCAGACATTTAACTGGAATCCAGGAGCATTTTGTCAAGAAGGAAAAGAACTAACCAAAGAAAAAGAAAAGTAGAGAGTTTCCCAGCTGTTTTACCACATCACAACTTCAAAAAAACCAAGCCTGTCCTTGCCTTGTCCCTGATGGCTCTGCCAGCAGAGTGAATGAATTGGAGCAGATTTAGGTTTTAAAATGCCTCCTAATATCATTTGGGCAGATTAGCTTACATGGCTGGACATTGTGCTCCCAGCCACAGGGAATGTTCTTTTCCTGTTGGAAGCTCTGACAGCCACTGCCACGGTGAAATATCAGGAGCCTCCTAACATTTTTCTTGATTTCTTTAAGAGTGAACATTAGACATATTAAAAACAACAACCCAATCATTAAGCCCTGTGAGGTTTTCCTAGGAGCCAGCTCTATCGCTTTAATCAGATTACGGACAACTCATTCTCATCCCAGCCATTTATCTTCTTTGTTTACACACACACCAAGTGGCATTCTTCTTAGCATCAAAAAATAGTAATCAAAATTGAGAACAACAAAAGACCTTTCATTATTTACAGTGTTAAGTAACATCTATTTGCCTTCATTAGTTTCTAAACAACGAAGTACACTGGTTCTGATTAAAGCTGGCATGTGTTAATTATATCCGAGGTCTGGGATTGTTTTGTCTACAATAAAGGATTGCTGAAAGCTGAAATTTGAGGCGCCCAGGCCCCAGAAATCACCTGCCTCTATGTGTTTCCTCAGTGAGAGTTTCCAGCCTGAGAATGGCAGAAGCGGATGTGAGCTTGTCACAGAAAGTTTTTTTTGCTTTGTTTTGTTTTGTTTGGTTTTTAAGCCCTCGGTTTTATTGCCCATTTTATGGGCTGGAGTTAAATGGAAGTACAATGCAGTTTGCTGTCTTACTGCTCAGCACTAACAGCCATGATGAGCCATAATTAGAAGTAAAACCACCACATAAATAACATGGTAGAAAAATTGCCACAGTGAGAAGCCAGACTTTGGCGACGGGAAACTTCAGCGGGTCTTGAGTATCCATCATACTTAAGGGGCACCGCGTATTTTAGCCCATATTTGTCTTACTAAAGCCAAAATGGGAGCCATTTAGACTTTCGAACAAGCTTTTAAAAATAGAGAATGTAGGCTTAAACAGACTGCCTGCTGCTAAGTGTGATGAAGAAACCTGTCACCTGGAGGCTACGACAGCTGGAAGGGCTGGGAGGGAGAGCCCTGGGAGCCCAGGGGTGAGGAAGGGAAGATAAACAGGAGAGGAAGAGGAGGCCTGGACTCTCCACAACAGCAAGGTCTAGACATTTCACTGCAAAGCCTAAGAGTCTGCACACCGTTGAGCACAGCAGCTTAGACTTCCGCCGGGGAACGTGTGAGGCTGGGACGCCTTGCAGATTTTGCTTTCATGACCTGTACTCAGCGATGAAGTGGGAGCAGGTAGACTAGTTTTTTTTTTTTTTTTAATGGAGTCTCATTCTGTCACCCAGGCTGGAGTGCAGTGGCGTGATCTCGGTTCACTGCAACCTCTGCCACCCATGTTCAAGCGATTCTCCTGCCTCAGCCCCCTGAGTAGCTGGGATTACAGGTGCCTGCCACTGCGTCTGGCTAATTTTTGTATTTTTAGTAGAGATGGGGTTTCACCATCTTGGCCAGGCTGGTCTTGAACTCCTGACCTTGTGGTCCACCCGCCTCGGCCTCCCAAAATCCTGGGATTACATGCATGAGCCACGCGCCCAGCCTAGACTAGCATTTTTGAGTACCCACTATCTCCTTGGCATTTTACTTCCATTTTAATTCTCATAACAGCCTTAGGACGCCAATGAAAAGGAAGAGAAAATAAAGTGTGTTCTGTGCCTGAAAATGGCCTTAAAGAAACAAGGACCAACAGCTGGAGCAGAGTGGGGCTGCCCATACGCAAAGAGACAACAAGTAGGAATTAACATAAGGCATATCACGTGGATGCCATAGAACTATCACAGCAATTTCTTTTTTCCCCAAGTCAGCCTCTCTTGTACAGGGGATTAGAAAACAAACCCAAGAGAATAAACTTGAAATGGAAGGAACGTGCTTTGTAGTCGAGTGTTTTTCAAAGCCTGCATCATTTTAAAAACTGATTTAAGTATATTCATTTGCTTTCTAAAATAAGTCATATGTATGTTTCTACTGATCGGCCAGAATAGTTAAGGTCTGTCTGATCTTCATATGGAATGAAAGGGGACATTCTTTGGATATTCTGGAAGTCCACACGTGTTCTTTACAGAGTTTGGTTTGCTTTCTCCGTTTCTTCCTTCCTTTGCAAAATCAAACAAACAGGAATAAAAACCAAACCAAAACAAAATTAATGAAAACCCTTGTGTTGAGGACTTTGTTTTGTTTTAAATGTGTCTGGTATTAAGCAGTATGTTTAGTGAAATGACTTTAAACTTAAGTAGGAAATACAGCTCCATTTCACACGTGGATTTTGTCTGCATTTACATCTCTGCAGGCCTCACATGCCGTGACACCAGACATTTTTTTAATTAAGATATGAAGTGCTCATTTTTTTTTTGTGGAACTGCTGTATTCTAACAAATTTACTACACGTCTCAGAAAACACATAGCTTTGCCAAAGTTGGTGAGTAGCCCAGCATGGTTTATCTCCAGCCCACAGCTCTTTCCCTGAATTCAATACTGCAGGCACAATTTAATGCAAACCCAATTTATGACTTAATGCTCTAGGGACCGTAGTGGGAGATTGTTACATTATTCTTTTCTAATCCTATTTGTGTTTTAATTTGCTAAGTCTGTAATGAGGTGCATGCCTTGAATATTCAAGATCTTTGACATTGCTTTTGACTTTGTTTAATATAATAGATTTTACAGTTTGCATTAAATACCCAGGTGCTTCGGTCAGTATTATCTCTTTATTTTCTCAACTAGAGTGAATAAAATTACACGATGAAAGTAACTGTGTGCATGTTTCCTTGTTTATTGTAATGGTTTATTTCCTATTATAATTCTTGATTCAAATTATGTCTAGTTCTCCAAAAGTCAATTCTCCATGGACTCTTACTTCCCCTTTCCAAACAATTGTTAGCTTCCAAAGAGAATGGAGTCTTGGCTGACAACTGATTAGTTAAATAATAATAAAACAAGTTTTCTAGTCTCATTTATGATACTTTAATTGCACAGAAAGGGAGAAAGTGAGGAAGATAGGAAGGAAGGGAGGGAGTAATGGAGGGAGGGAGGGGAAGGGAAGGGAAGGTGCTGTGTCACTATATGCTGCTATTTGATTTCTGGTGTTGGGCTGAAATGTAGCATCCCTAATCAGAGCTGCTACATCACCCAACTCCACAGTGTGTCATTTGGTGTCCATAACTGTGTTATAGCCAATTATAGCTAAATTCTCTGTTCTGTATGCACAATCAAAGGGCGTCTGGAATGCATTTTGCTATTTTCTGAATCCTATTATTGCAGACATGTTTATTACATTCAGAAGATGGCTTTCTGAAATTACATTGGAATTGTATGACCCACCTGCCATTTACAAACAAAAGGACCTAAACATTTCTTAACAAGAAGAAAGTTCATTTAGCTCTTTCTTGGTAACTTTTCTCATGTTATTTTTTTTCGTAGCTATATCTTTAAGACTCATTGCCCAAGCCCCTACGTATTTATAAAAATATCTAAGCTCTCCAGTTAATGTTTAATAACCCAGCAGGTCAAAAAGGGGTTGCAAACCCCTTTTTGACTCCTGTGGTGAGTGCTGGCTACAATTTTCATTGTGAATTTTTTTTCAAACTATGAAAAAAGGGATTGTAAAATGGATCCCAAATTATAACAATTTGATAGCCCTGAAATAGTTCATTTAGGTTGCCTTTCAAAAGAAAGAATTTTCAGGTTATGTCTTTAAATTTTTTGCGGGGGTGCATTTTAAGAGGAAAGTGAGTGGTGTTAGAAAGACACATGATACCTATTTGAAAACATAGCATCTCATCATTAATTATTAAGGGAGAAGTGAAAGTGTTTCTAAACCAAATGCTTTCTTTTTCCCTTCTACTGGAGTTTACTTCTCTCATATTTTCCCCCCAAGCTTACTTTATTACTGGTATTTGCCTTGCAGAGCCAGGGGATATTACTACCTTTTTATTTGCTATTTTTACAGGACCCAACAAAGTGCTTTTAAAATATATAACCACTTAATTCAAGTCAAGCTTCTTCAATACTCCTTTCATTCAAGCCCTTTCTAATTTGTTTTCCTCCAGCCAGGAGCCTGCAGAAGACACTGTGATTTATGTTTTCATTTATTTATTTTATTTGGGCTTTTCATTTAAGAAAAGAAATTCTGCACAACCCCCACCACCCTCCATTCTCCCTCATCTCACTCCACCCCTGCCCCCACTTCTGTATTTGGACGATTAAGACTCTCAAGCCAGACTTCAGAGTTTTAAAGTCATGTCTTGAGAGCTTTGACCACAGACTGGATGAGGCTTGGTCTGGGCTTCTTACACCACTCCGAGTGGTATCAACCCAGTGCTTTAGATTCAGATCGTCTTGAGGGCAGCGCCTTTATCTTTGTCTTCCTTTATCACTTCACAGCCTGCTCAGTAAAGAGCATCCAGTATACAGCCTCGGAGGAATTCAGCCTTTTCCCAAAGATGAAAGATGCTATGCAGTGGGGTTTAAATTCCCACAAAGAGATGATTAAAGGTGTGTGTTTGGCAACAGACAGGATCTGTTTTCCTGTACACATTAAGGTATTGTTTTTTTTGGGAGCTGGGGGAAAGGAGGTGGAGGAAATCTCTGCATGACATGTAAGAGCTTGGGCTTGGGAGTCCAGCAGCCATGGGTAGAGTCTTGGTTCTGCTACCTCATTAGTGACTTTGAGTGAGTTACTCCTGCTCCTTACATGGATTCATCCATCCACTCATTCTGTCAGCAAATAGTTATTAGGCACCAACTGTATATCAGGCGCCGAGTGGGTAGCAGGTATGGACATAGACATGATTCCTGTCCATACTGACCTGGTGGGGTAAACAGTCAGACAAGCATTTACAAAAAAGCACGACAGGCATGAGAACAGGGGAAGCCGGGGAAGCCACGGAAGCCCTCTCCCAAAAAAGTGATATATAAGTGACATGAGATCAGTTTCTTCAAGTATAGAATAGGGCTTAATATAATGCCTGCCTCATAGAGTCCATATGAGAATAAGGAAGATAATGCACAACTAGGGCTTTGCATTGCTACCCTCATAAAGTAAAAAACTCAGGAAAAAAAATCAGTAAAGCAATTATTGTCATTATTGCTAAGTACCATCCCGGGATTCCTAAAGAAATTAATATTAGAGAATCATGACATTTTACCTGCAAGAATATGCAAGCTTTACCCTGTAGTTCTAATTCTTTTTTTATAGAGAGAACTAAACAATAATACTGTCTGCAGAACACTAAATTTGAAGATAAACAAGCTAAAGTGAATAGGCACTCTCAAGTAAAAATTGCTAGCAATGGAGTCTTGGAGTAACTACTACTCTAAGGCAGAAATGGATCAAACAACTCAATTCCATCCACTTCAAAAGAGGACTCATTTTCTCACTAAGTCCTGGACATCCCCAGCAGAGGAATCCTTCCCCAAAGCACTCTTACCAGTGTACTAAAGGTAATAAAACTTACTCTCATTTAAACATAGCCAAGAAGCATTTTTAAATGAATATTTATATATTTGGAATCATATTTGCTCATTGTAACTTCAGAAATGCATTCCCTCAGAAACAAACCTTGGCTCCACCTATAATCAAACAAGGGAGACCGAGGTTCATTCCAGGAGGTGCAATGCCTTGGTGGATAAAGAGTGGATAATGGAATTCTCCAACATAACTCCTGAAAATAATGAGATAATCAAATGTTAATGCTCATAATCTTTGAATAACTTGCATAAATATCACAAATATTGGGGGAAAGTATCTTAGCTGAGCTGTGGCAGAATTCCTCTTAGGGGAGAGAACTGCCTTCATTTTAGCAAATACTTAGACCATTTTGATGGCGTTTAGATGTAGTCCAAGACAGAGGTAAATTGCTCTGCATGATAACATTGGAGGAATTTTGAGGTTCTGGGATCAGCCTGAAAAACAGATAAAGGAGAGGAGAATTTTGACAGACAGACAAGCCGCTAGTCAGTGGTTGGGAGACATTTAGGAAGAAAGCTGACAGAGAGGTTTACATAAGCATGGGCATGTTAGAGGAACTATTATAAAAAATGATGTCCAACATTCAATTCTTGTAAAGCTGGATTTGTAAATTATTACAAATTTGTAAAGCTGGATTACTAGGTACCATCTCCTACACACACATGGAATTGTTACTATAGGTCTGTATACATTGCATTGAGTAGTGATTGGAGGCCCTCAAGGAAACTGGCAGTATCTTGGTGGCCACGGGGCAGAGAAACGAGAACAACCTTGGGGTCCAAGAGAAATAAGAGGTCAGCCAGAACAAGAGGTTGGAGGAAGGGACCATGAAAACATGAGCCCCTGGAAAGTCACAGAAATCATGGGCAAGGTAATGAGAGATTCATACCGCCTACGGACAAAAGAATTTGAGCCAGTCTTACCCAACCTGAGCTATATATCTATATGTAAAATATATTAAGATCTAATCCTCTTTCATTGGAATTTTTTTTTTTTTTGAGACAAGGTCTCATTGTGTTACCCAGGCTGGAGTGCAGTGGCACGATCTTGACTCACTGCAGCCTCGACCTCCCAGGCTCAAGCCATTCTCTCACTGCAGTCTCCCAAATATCTAGAATCACAGGTGCGAACCACCATGCCCAGCTAATTTTAATTTTTTTTTTATGCAGAGATGAGGTCTCGATGTGTTTTCCAATTCCAGGAATTTCCAATAATTCCAGGTCTCAAACTCCTGGGCTCAAGGGACCCGCCCACCCCGGCCTCCCAAATTGCTGGGATTACAGGTGTGAGCCACTACGCCTAGCTGGAAATTCTTACTAAATCAAAGTAATCTGAAAATTTAAGCAGCTATTCTGGCTCAGCCCTCACTTCGGATTTTGGAGTAATTGACAAGCTGAAAAGGCAAACTGGAGCTACTTTTTCAGTTTCAGAGATGCCAGCAACAGCTTATTTGCATTCTAATAGTACTGTCCCTTTAAGGAGGAGAACCCTGTCATCAATGAATGGTTGCTGATCTAATGACTAATTGATGGCAAAGAGTCTCTAATGACCAAATAGCTCATTAGGGTTGACTGAGCCAGCAGGGGTCTTTGAAAATGTTTTTTATTCCACTCTGAGGCTTTGTGAGTTTTCCTGCACACATCAGACCACTGCCCAGTTTATGAAACCTACAAATGTGAAACCACAACAAGAATGGGGCGGACCTACACAAATATAATTTGGAAGCACAAAGGCAAATATGGAACCCACATGACAGAGACATGTCACACTGCCAAAATTATATTATGGGAAGCTCCAGAGAGACATGCTGGGAACCAAATGCGTTCCCAATAGGTAACAACTTATGCCAAGAATTGAGTTGTCACCATGATAGCATGGAAATAGCTTCAGAGTGGGTAAATTCACCATTCATTCATTATTTAATAAATCAATGTTTATTAAATACCTATTACCCATATGGCAGTATACATAAAAACTTATGTACATTATATCAATTTATACAATTGCTATGGTCATTCGCATATGAGAAATATTAGGTTCTGGGAAGTTAGGAATATTGAAAGAGTTATATAACATATGCTCTATATAGAACTGAAATCCAGGTCTCTCCCCAAAATTCCTGCCTTTTTTCTTTTCACCATGTTGTTCCCTATTAGAGTTCAACAATTCAAGCACTTTATTTTTTGGATAACATTTGTCCCTAAAGACATAAGGAAAGGCCCTTACTGTCAGCATTCATCTGAAAACAAATAGCCAATTCTGGATTTTATGGAAAAGATAACGTGAATAATTGAAATATCCAGATAAGCCCCAAGTGATGGTGATGAATTCTCACTCAGTTCTTCTTTCTAACACAGAGTCCACCCACTTCTGGGCTACTACCAGAACAGGACATCCAGTGGATGAGTTTCCTTCCTGGCATCAATCCCCCCCCACTGATGAAGCTGGACCTGGAAATGGAGCAAGAGACAAGAAGCAAACACCCTGGAAGATTGGCCCTGCGTGCCGAAGTATCTCATTAAACTTAAGACACTGATTGTAATATTTTTCTTCAGCACAAGAAACCCCACCTTACATTTAACTGAAGTTTTGTGTTGTTTTTGTTTGTTTGTTTGTTTTGGTAAGACAGGGTTTTACTCTGTCGCCCAGGCTGGAGTACAGTGGGCAGGATCATGGCCCACTGCAGCCTCGACCTCCCATGCTCAAGTGATTCTCCCAGCTCAGCCTCCTGAATAGCTGGGACTACAGATGTTTGCCACCACACCTAATATTTTTCTTTTCTTTCCTTTTTTGGAGAGAGATGGGGGTCTCCCTATGTTTCCCAGGCTGGTCTCAAACTCCTGGGCTAAAGCCATCTTCCCACCTAAAATTTTAACTGAAAACAATCATCCGGGAAGCAACCAGGGTATCCAGAGCACAGCCAAGGGATTGATTTCAAGCAAGAAGTATGTCTATAAATGTGGCCAAGGTATTTATTCTCCAACTTCCACCTGCCATAGCCGAGGGCTACTCGCAGAGGCATTAATCCCCTGGTACTTTAGGCGTGGGCGCAGGCCTGCTGGTGGAGACACTTGCTGTAGGATGCTCGAGATTAGTGCCAAGAGGCTATGAACAGGGCTTTGAAAGCATCTGTTCCATCTGCTTTTTCTCTAGGAGAATGACTAGAACAGTCCCCAAGCCCACATCTGCCCATGAACATATAGAAGAGGGACATATTTCCAGCTTAGTAGTGTATAGTTGATACACGCTACCCAGTACCATGAGAGTATATAATGCTAGCATAAACATCCTGCAATATGTCAAGATATGGAGAGGCAGCTGTTTGTCCCTCTTTTGAAGGATTCAGGCAATCTTGGTTGACCTCTATTATAGAACTGGCATATATTAGCTGAAATAATACTTTAACAGTTTTTTAGTACCCAACTATATGTTCTGTTATAAGGAATAGCAAATGTTTAATCATAAATATTTTAATGGCTTCAGGGATTCATGGTATTCAATGACCATGTTAAATGATAATAATCACATCTGGTTTATTACTATAGTAATTCAGCAGCTTCTCTTCAGCAGTTATTTTTTATTATATGTGCTCTGCTACTGTCATGGTCATTTATAGCAGTAATATTTTAAAGTGGCTCATTTGTTTGTTTAAGGACAGTTTCACAATATATTTCTGTATTAATATACATTTTGTACTATTATTTCCAAGCTGCCACTGGAAAATTGATCCTAGCCTGTTAACGACTGGAGAGGCGGGAAGACATGTGAAATGTCCAAACAGAAATAGAGTGGGGGACCAGATGGGGCTGTCCCAGCACCCACTGGGGTTATGACAACTGCTGCTGGGCTTTATTCATAAGTGAGGAAGTGCATAGGAAAGAGTTAACAAATAATAGATGTAAAGAGAACACAGATTTGGAGAGGCAATTCAAGTGAAATACCATCCCGGAGGCAAAGGCTATGGGGAGGACCCAAAGACACGTGGTTAGCAGGGCCCAGGTAGTCGGCAGGCCTTGGCAGGCATCTCAGTTTCAGTAATGGAATGATAGTGAGGAAGCAAGAATGAAAAAATGAGAACTTGCAAGAGTGAAGCAAGGGCAGGCCAAGGTCACTCACTGGGTGGCTTAGACGCTGACATCAATTTCAAGTCTGCTCCAAGCGGGCAGCAGGAGTGAATCTCCGAGGCATGGACTGGCAGCGTCCCCTCCTCGGCCTTTCATTCCAACAGTTCAAAGCAGCAGGTGTTACCCAGGGCTTGTGTGTGATGCCTGCTGCGCTTCTGCCTCTTCTGGCACATCACAAGGTGTTGCTTGGGGAGGGGTAAATATTAGCCTGAAATCCTATATTGCTCCTTAGTGAGGAGGGGTCCTTGATAACCCAGGGGAGTTAATTTTCTGTGACATTCTGCTGAACCAGGTTGCGGAAACGCAGAGGAGCCCAAAGAAAACTTCCAGGCTACTGCTCAGCTTCCCCTTGGCTGAATCCTGATTGGTTGGGTGACAGAGGGCAAATGGCTTTTACGGCTATGAATGATGTATGACCGTAAAATGGTCTGTAACCAGAAGTGCCAACTGACATGCCTGCTGATTTAACGGACACCCTGGGTTATGTTTGCAGAGACGCTTAAATAAACACATGCTAGGTTTGAGGCCGTTTACCAAGCAATCATTTCTCTCGCTCTTCCTTTCCATTTTATTTTACTTCATCATAAAAATGAAGATAGTAAAGTGATGATTCCCTTTTTTATAATAATGAAGATTTACTCATTGCAGTGGCAGTTCCTCTTTCTTTCTTCCTTCCTTGCTGCTGTGTCTGGCTCTTTTTTGCTCTTTCCACCTACAGGGGTAGATGTGATGGACTTGGGGAAGCCCAGGCAGGGTTGGCCAGCACAGCCACTAGAATGAGCTGCCCTTTAAGAGTGGAAGAGATGTTGTTCAGTTGCGTTTGTGTTTGGCGAATTAGGAAAATAAAGCCCTGAGATCACGGTTAGACCAATGAATGAAACGGGAGGATTTCTGTTCAGCTACAAATCAGCAAAGGCATCAGAGACAAGGAAGACAACCCTTCTTATGATGGTCCTGTCACTGGGAAATATCCCATGAGTTCTTTGGCTCTGTAACCTTGGGCTTCTCTGATCGATGCGCTACACCCACAGCACTGATGATTAATGCAAAGTTAGATTTGGGTTTGGGAGCCTAATCTAGATGATTTTCATATGGCTACTGAATGGTCATTAGAAGGATGTAAATTACTGAATGTAGAAGTTTTCTCAAATAAATTGATCAGAAATCCATAGGACATCATAGAGTAATTCCTGGCTATCTCTGCAGAAAATATCATATAAGATCCATTTGACTTTACTTTCCAAGCTGAGTCAGGAATGGCAAACTAATCCCCAGTTTTTTCCCACTGGATCTCAACTGGGCCTCATAATCTCTTTCACTACCCACTGCTGCAAGCTGGCACTCAAGGTAATTTGCCACTCCTGTGCCCGAACTTTCCACTCTTTATTTTCTAAGCAAAGAAACTTACTGAACTTTTTTCCTTTTTCTATTGCTTGAATGGTATTTTAAAAACTAAATTATTTGTTTTTGTGAACCCATCTAATTCTGGTGCCTTTTTCAATGGTAAATCTTTAATCAATGTTCTTCTATAGTAATTGGCCCACTCAAGTTTTCATTTCTTCTAGGATCAATTTTGTTAGTGTTTGCTAGGAAATCATTTATTTTAGATGCTCAAATTTATTGTCAAAGAGCTGTATGCAATGTTCTCTTAGATTTTATTTTGATCTCTCCCGTATCCATATCTCCCTTTCTCATTGCTAATCTTGTATATTTTCGTTCTCTCCGTTTTCTTAGTCTAACTTCAAAGGGATCCTCTATTTTACTTGTCTTGACAACCATCTTTTGGACTTATTCACTCTTTCTACAATTTTTTATTTCCTATATCATTTGTTTCAGCTTTTGTCTTTATTAATTTTACTTTATAATTTCCTGTGTTTTGTGTCATTGTTGTCATCATTTTTCTGATTTCTTAAGGTTATTACTTAGATTATTTTTTACCTTTTTGTCCGTTATAATAATAGAAGCAAGGGTCAGCACACTATTATGCGTGGGCCAAATCAGACCCACAACCTGTTTTTGTACAACTTGGGGACTAAGAATTGTTTTTACATTTTAAAGTGTTGTAAACAAAACAAAAAGGAACCTTCAACAGAGACAATAGGGTCCACAAAGCTCTTGCCCTTTACAGAAAAAGTTTGCTGACCCTTGATACAGGCATTTCAGGCTATACTTCTTCCTCTGAGTACAGCTTTCACTCTGTCCCAGATTCACACAAACTATTCTACTTTCCCTTGCTTCCTAGATACTTTATAATTTACCTTTCAATTTTCTCTTTTATCAAAGGGTTGTTCAAGAGTAAATTTCATAACATCTAAGTATATTTTTATCCACCATTTGATTATTTATGTCTAATTTTATCAGCTTATGATAAGAGATCGTGGCCCAAGTCCATTCCATTTCTTCTATCTGACTGGCTCTTCCTGTCTGGTCCTGTAGGCAGTTGGGTTTACTTTGTAGAGTTTATTTTAATATAGTATTTTTTAGCCTTTCTAAACCCACGTTCCTCCTTCCCCTGAACACTTTTGATAAGATAAAGTCTTCTTGCCCTCCTTTAATAATAATTGACATTCAATCTAAATTAAATATTGAGACAAAAATAAATCAAAGCAATGAGACAAAATATTGGGGGTTTTTTAATAGTGCACACTCTTGAGATATTTACTCCAACCCTATGGTTAACTGTCACCACTCCACAGAAAATTGCTCTAGTCTGACATGTCACATTTTGGGCCTGGCAGGACTCCATAGTCCCCTTACTCACTGTGGTGTCTTCATTATAATCCAGATGACAGAGCTCCTTTGTGGAATGTGAGTGATATACACAGATGTATTTGAATCTGGGCATTGGTAAACTTACAAGCTCAATAAAATAGAGATGTCCAAGAATTCAGGCCAGGAAGGAAGAAGTAACACTGAGATTTCTGATACCATCATCACACACAAGGGAACAGACAAAAGAAATGATTTAATTACTATGTTTCACGGAAAGAAGCTTTCAGACTTCATAAACTATGTAGAATTTTTTAAGCCCATAATAAACATCACAGGCAGTAGCCCAGAAAGATTGGCTGGACCCCCTGTATCTGAGGGAGCATTTGCCTTCGAAAATTTACCCATCCAGACTCTGGCGTCAGCTCTACAGAAACATCACTTTGTCTATGATTGCAAGCTGGTTATACCTGGGGACACTGGTTTAGGCAAGTAAGTCTCAGAGAGACTTATAGTAAATCACATGCCAACTTATTTACTATGAGAAATGGAACTAATGCATGGATGGAACAGTACATTGCAATAAAGTCATTTGTCCTATAAAGTTATAAGCACATTGAACCTCTCTTATTCCTTCTATGTATTTTAACAGTTATGTCAAAAGTACCACTAAGTTCATCAGCAAATGAATGAATGAATAAAATCTGGTATATCCATACAATGGAATATTATTTGGCAATGAAAAGGAATAAGGTACTGATAAGTAATACAACATAGATAAATCCTGAAAACATGCTAAGCGAATGAAGCTTGTCACAAAATATTGCCTATTGCATGATTCCATTTATATGAACTGTCCAGAACAGGCAAATCCATAGAGACAGAAAGTAGATGAGTGATTGCCTAAGACTGGGGAGAGGGTCTAGGAGTTGGGGGAGTGGGAGGTAATCATTAAAGATATGGGTTTTTTTTGGAGGTTATGAACATGTTCTAAAATTGATTATGGTGATGGCTGCACAACACTGTGACTATATAAAGAACTAGCTAATTGCATACTTTTTTTTTTTTTTTGAGACGGAGTCTCTCCCTGTTGCCCAGGCTGGAGTGCAATGGTGCGATCTCGGCTCACTGCAACCTCCGCCTCCCCAGTTCAAGGGATTCTCCTGCCTCAGCCTCCCAAGTAGCTGGGACTACAGGTGCCTGCCACCACGCCCAGCTAATTTTTTGTATTTTTAGTAGAGACAGGATTTCACCATGTTAGCCAGGATGGTCTCGATCTCCTGACCTCATGATCCACCCGCCTCGGCCTCCCAAAGTGCTGGGATTACAGGTGTGAGCCACTACGCCCGGCCAATTGTATACTTTAAATGGTTGCTTTCTATGGTATTGAATTATATCTGAATAAAGCTGCCACCAAAAAAAAAAAAAGGATCATTGAGATAATTTGGGGTTATAGCTCTTCCAGACTGATACCTTCACATCTTTGTATTTTCATACATGAGCATTTCATTCAAGGGCATGTTCTTCTCACAGTAGATGACAGAAGTGTAAATGAAACCCAAGCACATTTAAGTGCAAGCAAAACCCAGGCATATTTAAAACTTCTACCTGTATCACAACCACTAACCTCCTATCAACCACGCAAGTTGCATGGCTAAACCTAATGTCAATGGTGAGAGGATGTATGTGCCGCCAGCTCCTCCAGGAGTCATGTGGGAAGGCTGTGGATGTACGATTGGATTACATCATGAATCGATGAAGGAGGTGGAAAATTTGGAAAAGAATCAAATCCACCACATGTACCATTTTCTTTCTGGGTGTGGGAGGTGGGTGTGTGGCCCTAACACAATGGAGTGCTGGTACTCTGGGTCTCCTTACCCTGTACACTGGGAACTCAGGTCCATCTCATCCACTGGACATAGTTTTCCTTGTTTTATTTTCTATCAACAAAAATCTTGAGATCTTTTAAACTGCTGTGAAAAAAAATGAACCATGATTTTTTTTTTTTTTTTGAGATGGAGTCTCGCTCTGTTGCCCAGGCTGGAGTACAGTGGCACGATCTCAGCTCACTGCAAGCTCCACCTCCCGGGTTCACGCCATTCTCCTGCCTCAGCCTTCCCAGTAGCTGGGTCTACAGGCGCCAGCCACCACGCCCGGCTAATTTTTTGTATTTTTAGTACAGACAGGGTTCACCGTGTTAGCCAAGATGGTCTCAATCTCCTGACCTCGTGATCTGCCAGCCTCGGCCTCCTTAAGTGCTGGGATTACAGGCGTGAGGCACCGAGCCCGGCCAATGAACCATGATTTTTATGTTTCACAACTTACAGAGTTGGCTTCATCTATTTGATAATTCTCTTAAAATATTTCTAACATTTTTAATTTTGTTACTCTAGGAAGCTGGGAGATGTACTAGCCTCCCATTCTCCTCCCTGCATTTCCTCCATCTCAGAGCCTCCCTTGCTTTCCTCCTGTCTTCCAGACACAGATATCTGCTTCCTCTCCTGGCTCCAACATAGTTCCCATGTCTGATTTGAAGTGATATGCCTATGATGTAAGTGGATGTCTCCCTGCACTAGAACTTGGCCTCCTTTTGCACATATAGGATGCAGGTCTAGGTTCCTAGGAAGATAAGGTTTAATATTTGTCAAATAAATGAGTTAACATATCCAAAATTACATAGATATTTGGCAGCAGGCAAGAGAAGGTAAGAGGTGTTGCAAAGAAAAAAGAGCTTATACTTTCCCCAAGTAATATACTGTGTAAAGCACAACAATCAAAGTCAAACTTCAATGCCAGTAATCATTTTCCAAATAGGAAGGGTTTCTGTTGGCCATGTTTTATTACTAATACATTACAGCACTGACTCAGAAATGTACACCCTCTTATTCATTTCAAAGTATGTAAACTCTGATAAGCTGTTTCTATCTGCTGCCAGAGGGTGAGTGCTGAGGGCCGAGAGAGACCACCACCAGCAGAATCTACCCCAGGCCTCATCAGACCTCGGCTCTGACTCAGAGCTTCACCCTGCCTTGACACAGGTGACAGGTGATTTTCACAAGAGCAGCACGGCCATGGGTGCCAGCTGTGATGACACCCTTTTCCTTTCCATTCAGTAATATCAGTTCACACAGAGCCTCCCTCTGTACCTACACGCCTTGTGGGGGATACCTCACTTCACCATTAACAACGAAGAATAAATACTATTAGGATCCCAATTTTTTTTCTTTTTCTTTTTAGGACCCCAATTTTATCAACGAAGAACTTGTGATATGGGAGGGTTCGTGGTAGAGCTGGGATGGGAACTCAGGTCATCCAATCCAGTCTGTTTATAGTTACCACCTTCCAAAGAAACATCAAAATACAAGTGGGTGAGAGAGAGACAAATTCACTCTATGGGAAAAAAACATATTATTCACAATATGAAGTAGTAACAAAAAAAATTGTATGCAACCTCGCAGCATACAGGGCCACGCTGTCACCATGCTGAGCTTGAGAGCAATTGCTCCAGCCCTCCATTGATGCCGTGTTTAGTCCAAGGGAGGCCTGGGAAACAGAGGGCATAGAGGAAGGCTTTGGGGCCAGCCCAACCTAAGTTCAAATCCCATCTCCTCCACTAACAGTAACCTTGAGCAAGACACTTTCTCAGTCAAGTTTCCCATCTGAGAAATGTAGAGATTATGACGCTTTCCTCATGCGCTGTCACAAGAATTAAACTAAATAATACACATAAGCAGCCCATAACATGAGTGTTCTATAACTGTTTCTCTTCCCTCTCTAAGGCAACAGGAAAGAAAAAACACAGAATGGCTATAAAGTATCAAAAATAAACAAGCCAGTTGCTCTAATTTAGCTACCATTGGTGTGTGTATCACGGGCCAAGGGTCTACATCCAAGAAAGGAGAAACATATTTGCTCTGCACCCCACAGTCTCTTGAGCTTTGCTGTTAACCGCAAATGGTAAATTAGTTCTATTGCAGGAGAACCAAATTCTACTCACTTTCTAAATGCACGTAATTGCCAAGCATAGGAGATTAATACCCTAGAAACTAACCTCAGAGACAGTTTGTTTAAAAACAAACAACCTAACTAAAAACCCAAAGCCGTTGAGTTCCAGAAACAACCACTCTGAAGCCAGCAGAAATTTCTGCATTTAACCCACCTGCACCCCGGCCCTCCCCCAGTTAAGGCAAAGTCTCTGATTGAGCTTTTAAGAAGAAGTTGGAGGGATCTGTTGCTGGAGATAGATGGGAAGATTTTATCAATCAGACAAGAGGTCTGTGGGGGCATTTCTAATGAGAAGCCAGTTAAGCGGCTATAATTAAAGGTGATCGAAGTGCCTGCAGTAGCCAGTCCTCGGGCCACTTGCCTGTTCTCTTACTGGCCTACACAGTGCCCGCCCCAGATGCACACAGCTGCTTTCACACGTGGCATTGATTCCACCCAGGCCACAGTGGCAAGAAGAGGCAGAAAAGCACAGCTTTCTCCCAAGTGTGGAGGAGCAAAGACCGGCACATCCTCCAGAACCACTGCCGCTGTTCCCAGCTTTGTGGGGTGGGGAGGGGTCAGGACCCAACCTGGAGTGAAGATTCCTCATTTGCTTACCCCTCTGTGCCTGAGGCTTGCCGAAGCCAAAGCTCCTACAGGGAAGCTGCCCAGGGGAAAAGCCACAATCACTGTACCCTCCCTCAGCTCCCATTCAGGCCCTGCTTCCAGCCCCTCTGAGCCTACAAGAAGTGGGATGGCATTGCAGGAGTGTCACCCACACTGGTTCACAGGCAGCACCTGCTGTGGAAGAGGGACAGGCTGAGGGCTTCCGACAGCAGCCAGTGCCCTACAGACCTTCAGGTTTATAACACGCTTCACAGAGACACTGGCACCCAGGACAGCCCAGCCCTGTGGAGCCATGTTAAATGATCCCCATTGCACAGACGAGGAAGACTGATGATGAATTGGCTAAAGGCAGGAATTCAGAGGCAGACATGCCTTGGACCCTACCACCCACTAGCTGAGGGGCCCCAGGTGAGTTTGCCTGGTCCCACTCTGCCTCAGTTCCATCACCTGTAGAACAGAGATGACACTACCCACATCTGTGAGCTTTAGCAAGGATTAAATGAGATAATAGACGAAAAGTACTTAGTACAGTGCATAGAACCCAGTGAACTCTCAAAAAATAATAGCCATAACCATTTTAGAAGGTTTCAGAAGTGAAGGAACACACCCAAGGTTGTGCAGAGAATGGGATTCACACCCATGCCTGTCTATTTCAAAACCCAGGCTCAAAGTATTATGCCACGTTGGTATATTCATAAGAACACACAGAATGCATATAATGTAAGTTATGAAAGAAAATAATGAAGTAAAATGCAATGGGGTCTTCCATAGCCTCTTCTGAGTGGCTTGCACAGAGCACACAATCAATAGGTATGTATTAAATGAAAAGTGGATGAATATTCATGTTTAACTCTCCCTTTCTACTTTTCCTAACTAATACCTGCATCTTACAGCAGTTGCACTTTCTAAATGAAGCAAAGGGCAGTGGATTACCTCTTCCCCAGAATGTTGAGTTTGTGCTGGGACACCTCCATCCCATCCTCTCTCCTGTTCTTTCCTGCGCTAGTCATGGTTCACAACCTGAGATCGAGTCCAGGGTACTCTTTTGTTTTCAGATGATGTCACTGTTTGTATCTTTTCAGCTTTTTAGGATTTTTGTCTTATATCTCCTTCTCAGGCAGATTCAACTTTCTGTCACTTCTTCATTTGCTCCATTCATTTTTACTGAGTGCCAGCTGTGGTCCTGGCATTGGGGATCCAATAGGGAACCACAGATAAGCTCCAGTTGCAGGGAGATAAACAGAAGAACAAAAAGTAAAATCTGGGCTGGGCGCAGTGGCTCACGCCTGTAATCCCAGCCCTGTGGGAGGCCGAGGCAGGTGGACCATGAGGTCAGGAGATCGAGACCATCCTGGCTAACAAGGTGAAACCCCATCTCTACTAAAAATACAAAAAATTAGCTGGGTGTGGTGGCACGCACCTATAGTCCCAGCTAATTGGGAGGCTGAGGCAGGAGAATCACTTGAAGACGGGAGGCAGAAGTTGCAGTGAGCCGAGATCGCGCCACTGCACTCTAGCCTGGGTGGCAAAGCAAGACTCCGTCTCAAAAAACAAAAAAAAGTAAAATCTGTCCAGGCATGATAGCTAACACCCATAATCCAAGCACTTTGGGAGGTCAAGACGGGTGGATCACTTGAGCCCAGGAGTTCAAGACCAGCCTGGGCAACATGGGGAAACCCCGTCTCTACCAAAAAAATACAAAAATTATCTGGGCGTGGTGGCACACGCTTGTAGTCCCAGCTACAAGCTGAGGTGGGAGGATCACTTGAGCCCAGGAGGTTGAGGCTGCAGTGAGCTGAGATGGCACCAATGCACTACAACCTGGGCGACAGAGTGAGACCCTATTTCAAAAAATAAAAATTTTTAAAAAGAGGTTAATCTATAATATGTCAGAGGGTGGTAAGTCCTGTGGAAAAGCTCCTACAGGGGAGAGGAATTGGAAGTGCTGGGTGGCCACCAGAGCCATCTCACATGGGGCTGACACGAAGGCCTCGTGCATGAGGCAATGTGTGAGCAAAGACCTGAAGACAGTGCCGGAGCCACCTAAAGTGGCAGTTGTGCAGAGAACACAAGCAGTCCAGACACCTGGGGGAAGAGTGATCCAAACAGAGGAACACTAAGAAGGTCAGTGTGCCTGGAGCAGAGTGAGCAACGGGAGGGGATGCATCGAGCTCGGAGAGGTAACAAGAGCAGGAGTCGGGGGCTTTGATACCCATAGGGGGATCTTGACTTGTTCTGCCTTAGGTGGGCAGTCCTTGGGGAGTCTTGAGCAAAGTCGTGACATGATCTGGCCTACTTTAACAGGCAACCTGGTGCTGGTGTTGAGAACAGACTGTGGAGGGGGAAGGGCAGATGCAAGGACACCAGGCAGGAGGCACCGGGACTATCCCAGGAACATCAACTGGCTGGTGGTGTGAGCTGGGAAGAGGTCGTGGGGTGCTGGGTATCCTTTGGAGGTGTTTGGAAATGAGACTCTCCGTGGAGACAACTGGGCTCAATTCCACACGGTTCCATCCAGGTCATCGTTGCACCTTATTCTCAGGGATTTACTTAAGTGCAGAAGCCAGAGTTTGGGGAAATATAAAATGCGTCTGGGCTTTCACACATAAATTGAACTCATCCCTCTTGTAGGTCATCTTCTAAAAGGAAAACCCACGCAGATACTGGTTTCCGTTTCACTCAAAACTTCCCCAAAGCAGTGAACATCCTTTCTTTTTTTTTTTTTTTTTGAGACGGAGTCTCGCTCTGTCGCCCAGGCTGGAGTGCAGTGGCGGGATCTCGGCTCACTGCAAGCTCCGCCTCCCGGGTTCACGCCATTCTCCTGCCTCAGCCTCCCAAGTAGCTGGGACTACAGGCGCCCGCCACTACGCCCGGCTAATTTTTTGTATTTTTAGTAGAGACGGGGTTTCACCGTTTTAGCCAGGATGGTCTCGATCTCCTGACCTCGTGATCCGCCCGCCTCGGCCTCCCAAAGTGCTGGGATTACAGGCGTGAGCCACCGCGCCCGGCCCAGTGAACATCCTTTCTCTATAGACAAATCCTCTTCACTTCTCCCCTCCTTTTCCTCCTGTCCCCACAGAGTTTTTGTAGATTTCCTGGGGACGCCCTGAAGCTGTGGGAACCACAAATCTTGAGTCCTTTGACCAGCACCCTCGGTGCCTTGAGACAGCCAGAAACCCAGGTGGCTGACCTCGCAGAAACTCCCCTGCTGGGCCTGGGACTCCAGCCAGGAGCAGGCTGTGCAGCCTGCAGCTAAGCCAGGGCAGATTGCTGGAGTTTGGTCAAGAGAACAGATGTGCATTATGGGCCAATCTGACCGCAGAGAAACATTTCCTGGTACCTTTTAAAGGTGCACAATTGCCTGGTTAAGCCAAGGCAATTTGACACACATTACCTTGTTCATAAACAGAGGGAGAGAATGAGAGAGAGAGCCCTTCCTCCCGGAGGGTGTGCAAAGGTAGGAAGCAAAGCCAAGCAACTCAGAAATGCTGCAGCAGAGCTTCGGGAAACAAATGTCGGTGGGAAGGGCCCAACAGCATATTAATGGCCTAGACGTTACCACACCCAGGCCAGATGCAAGAAGCTATTGATCGTCTGTTCACTCTTCATTTCAAGGCAGGAGTTGAGCTATCTTTATGCAGGAGGAGAAACACTCCATTTAAAGGAACCCTCCCATACAGACTCCCTCGTCACTCCCTCATCAAACACCTACCCAGCATCTGCTCTCCTTTTTCTCTTTCTTTAAAGTTTTAATTTTAGTTGACAAATAATAATTGTACATATTTATAGGATATAAGGTGATCTTTCAATACGTATGTACTTAATAGTGCCTGCTACTTTCTAGTAATTTCCTAAGGAATCCCAAGGAAATGACAAGCATCTTTATTCTTAAGACACTTAAACTAGAGTTGGGGAGACCAGATGTCTGATAAGTGAAATTCCCAAGGCAACAGAGTAGGAATCCTGAGAGAGAGAGAAAGGGCTTCATAAATAAGGCCAGTCCTGTATCTTCCCACTCTGCCTGAAATGCTTTCCATCTCCTCCCACCACTATCCCATCCACCTTACCTAGCGACTTCCATCTTCTCTAGCAACACTGAGCTCCCGAGTCAGTTGCTGGATGAAACCTCCCTGAAATCTGACCTCCCCCCGCACACACTCTTTCCTGCTCCCTGGGCACTTAACCCATAAATTCTTCTCCACACGTCTGCTTTTGCCACCAAACTATCACAATGCTTGGCATATAATGTGCGCTCATTAATATCAGTGCCCATGAAATGAAACTCTGGACTTTAGTTTATCTGAAGGAGCTCAAGGGGAAAGTCATTTCTATAAGGGAATAGGACAGAATATGAGCAACGTGGAGCTGAATGAAGCAAAAGCAACTCTTTCTTATCACGTGAGACATTAGCCAAGTGCTTTTCATGATATATGGAATGGAAAAAAAACCAAGATTACTCAAAATGTAAGGTTTTATAAACGTTGATTTTCAGGGGCCGTGGGAGAGGTAAGAGCCAGGGAAGAGGGAAGGCAGGGGCAGGTGTGCGAAGCTTGAAGCATTTAAAGGAATTCAGTTCCAAGACATGAAGGGGGAGGAGAGAAACACTGTGTACCAGGTATGAATATCTAGAACATTCTCTGGGCAAAACTCAGGGAGTTCATTATCTGGGGTGAGGTGATTTCAAGAAAGGCATTGTCACCCTGAAATCAAGGGGGCACCTAGAAGCCATTAGATAGAAGGACAGGGAACTCTGAGAAATAACTTTTCCAGGAATGAGGCTTTAGAAAAAAGAGGAAGTGAGGGAAGTGAAGGAAGATTAAAACAGCCTGCTGCACAGGGTTAACCTGGGCCGAGCTAGAAGATATGCCATGGCCCTGGACAGCAGTGGGGATGCCTTGTCCTCCACAAAACTTATACTCGGCAGAAAGGGGGTTTGAATTCTAAATCTCAACTAGTGGCTTTGAGAAGGAAAAAGTGATAGTGAGTTCCCACAACAGCACCTGAAGAGACCATTCACTCACTCATTCATTCATTCATTCATAGAACAAATATTTTTTTAGTAGCAAATATGTGCAAGATATTCTATTGAGTGCTGTGAGGGCTGAAACATGACTCTGTTGGTATCCAGACCCTCAGACCTTATAGCTAAACACAGTTTATCAAGAATGCTTTATTAACTAGGCTACTAGTTAAGAAAATCAACGTCCTAAGCCATATGCTATGAAAGTCCAGAGGAAGGTGAGGTTGTTTCCACGAAGAGAGGTCAGGAATGACCCCAGTGACACTACTGGGGGAAGTATCACTGGGACTGGGTTTTGATGGATAGTAGAAGTATTTTAAAAAGCTTGGGCCAGGCATGGTGGCTCACATCTGTAATCCCAGCACTTTGACAGGCGAGGCGGGTGGATCATGAGGTCAAGAGATTGAGACCATCCTGGCCAACATGGAGAAACCCCGTCTCTACTAAAAGTACAAAAATTAGCCAGGTATGGTGGCAGGTGCCTGTAGTCCCAGCTACTCGGGAGGCTGAGGCAGGAGAATCACTTGAACCCGGGAGGCAGAGGTTGCAGTGAGCCAAGATTGCAACACTGCACTCCAGCCTGGGTAACAGAGCAAGACTCTGTCTCAAAAAAAAAAAAAAAAAAAAGCTTGGACAGGACCCCATGCACATAGTAAATAGAGTAAATTATATGGGGGTTGTTAGTAATATTATAATTCAAGCTAATATACTTGTAATTAACCAAGCTATATGATGCCTTTCCTCATAATGGTCCTTCTGCTGGAATGCCCTTCCCCTCCCCAACTTCAGGTCATCACATCTCTACAAACATTCCCCTGACCCCTGCATCTTGCCCTCCGTCACGCCATCCCTGTGGTGGGTACCCTGAGCTCACCTCTGTAGTACACTTGCCACTACATCAGGGGCCATGTGTGGCCTCCGGTATTGACTGTGAGCACACAGAGGGCCCTGCCTGGGTTACAGTCACCTTCACAGACTCAGTATCAGGGCAGAGCAGATGCTGGATGGAGGAAAATGAGATTGCCAGGTGTCAAGAGAAGAGATAAGGCCCAAGAATAGATCTTTAAAAACTGTCTATATTTTGAAGGTAGTACAAAGAAAAACAATCCCAGGGAGAAGCCTTGTTTGCCTACACAGTGGACACAGAGGGTGACCTTGAATATCTCTGGGGCTTCTCTTACTCCTTGTTCCATCAGAGAGAAATAGCTCCTCTGTTGTCACAGGGATACTTGGTCAGGAACAGATCTTCAACAGCACAGGTCCCTGCTCCCCACCACACACAACACCTCCCCCAACATATTCATAACAGTTAGACAGGGCAGTGTTTTTATTTCCACTGTCTGTGCATCTGGGCCTATTTCCTACCTCCCAAAATGGCAGGGGTGAAGGCAGATATTGATCCATAGGGGACCTCACCCAGAACTACATGCAAATTGCCAATGAGAACCCCCCAGCGTCCAGACAGGAGCCCAGGTGAAGGGGGATTCTTTGTGGAACTTACAAAGGAATCAAATCTATTGTTTCATGATCTAAGATAACACAAGGACACACAATTTGGTATTTGCCTCTGTGTTCTCTAAAACACGGGTCATGCAAGAGGCCTTTCAATTTGAAAACCAGAACAAAAAATCAACCCCTGCCAACTTAACAAATTCCCAAAGGGGGACAGAGCTTAGTTTTGCAGTTAATTCCGTCTTCCTTCAGTACCTTCAGGACTCCTCCCAGGAAGCACTTGGTGTCCACAGAGCTTCTGTTTTCTAGGCGTGTTCCATGGAACACCGTAGGCATCCCTCCAACAGCACAAAGGCACTTTAATCTCGTTTTATGGAAGGGGGAATGCACCCAGACGCCATTCTAGAGCCTTGTTTATAACAGATGTCAGCAGCCCGCTATAAAATGCACACTTTTGTCAATGAAATATAATGTTCAAAGCAAAACATAGTATGTTTAATTATAAACTTTTTGCCATTTCATCAGTTAATAAAATAAGCTGACTCTTCATCAGACAGTACTTTTCTTAAGCCAGTGTGGAAATTCCTTTTCCCTTCTCCTGGCTCTAATGGGAAGCCAGTCAGTCTCACACTCTATACCACTGTGGAAATCTGGAAGGAGAGGGGAGGCAGCAGATTGAATATTTGTGAGTTTCATGGCACTATGTAGATAAATGGCCAGTGTCCTACCTCTCCTGGGCACTTGGGAAGGAAAAAAAAAAGGCAATAAGTAGGAATTGAATGATTCCCTCAAGGATTTTAAGGGAGCTCTTCCTCCCCTGCTGTTTCTGATTTTGACGGTGAATGTATCATTCACCTTCAAATGCCTTACATAGCAGTGAGAACATGGCCAAGATGAGGAGCTTTTCTTACATGTAACACTGTTCTATTTTATGAGAAAATTTGGTTAAGGAATTAGTGTATATATTTTGAACCCTTGATAAAAATAAAATGTGATTATTTATTCAAATTTTTTTATTACTTTTTACTGGTTTGTTATTTTTAAATCCATTTTTTGAGGTCTAACTCTACACAAATGCCTCCACTTTAAGTAGATAGTTCAATGAGTCTTGACAGCTGTGTACACCCATCATGTAACCATCATCCCAATCAAGAAACAGCCTACTACTATCACCAAAAAGCTTTCCTGTGTACTTTTGTAGTCATTCTCCCCCATCCCTAACCCCGAGACCACTGCTCTGCTTTCTGCTACCGTAGATTAGTTTTACCTTTTCTATGAGTTAATATAAATGAACTCATATTAATATTATGTGGTCTTTGGTATCTGGCTTCTTCCACTCTGCATCATGTATTTGAGATTCATCTGTTTTGCTTCAGGCATCAGCAGTCCTTTTCTTTTCACTGCTGAGTAGGAAAAGGACATCCATTGTGTGGATATCCTACAATTTGCTTCTCCACTCAATGGTTGATACACATTTGGGCAAACTGGAAACATCCAGTTTGTAATGATTATCAATAAATTCATGCATAAATTTTTGTGTGGACATATGTTTTGGTTTCTTTCAGTTAACTAACAAGAACTGTAGTGGAATTGTTGAGTAATATAGTAACAGTATATTTAACTTTATAAGAAATTACTAAACTGTTTTCCAAAGCAGTTGGACCATTTTTGTATCTCCACCAACAATGTATGAGCATTCTCATTGTTCCACATCCTCACCAACACCTTGGATTGTGAGTCTTTTTAAATTTTAACCATTCTCAAGGTATGTAGTGATACCTTGTTGTGGTTTTAATTTCTATTTCCTTGATGACTAGTGATGTTAAGCATCTTTTCATGTGCTTTTGGCCATTTATATATTTTCTTTTGTGAAGTTACTGCATTAGTCCATTCTTGCATTGCTATAAAGAACTACCTGAGACTGGGTAATTTATAAAGAAAAGAGGTTTAAGTGACTCACAGTTCCACAGGCTGTACAGGAAGCATGGCTGGGGAGGTCTCATGGAACTTAAAATCATGGCCGAAGCCAAAGGGGAAGTAGACACATTTTGCTACTTCAGAGGAGGAATAAAGAGAGAAGGGGGAGTGCTACACACTTTTCAATAACCAGATCTCACGAGAACTCACTCACTATCACAAGAACATCAAGGGCGAAATCCGCCCCCATGATCCAATCACCTCCCACCAGGCCCCTCCTCCAACATGGGGATTATAATTCGACATGAGATTTGGGCAGGGACATAAATCCAAACCATATCAGTTACTGTTCATATTTTTGTCTATTTTAAAAACTGAGTTATTTTTCCTGTTATTGAATTGTAAGAGTTCTTCATATATTCTGGATACATGCTTTTTGTCATATATATGTTTTGTGAATATCTTATTTGCCTATTCATTTTCTTATAAAGTCTTTCAAGTAATCAACATTTTTAATTTTATCAGGTTAAATTTATCTTTTTACAAAAATGATTAGTGCTTTTTGTGTCCTAGGAAAACTTTACGTAAGACAAGATCATGGAGATTTACTCCTATCTTTTCTTCTATAAGTTTTATAATTTCAACTTTTACATTTAAGTGATAGTGTGGGGTAAGAGTCAAGATTCTTTTTAAAAAAATAGATATCCAGTTGTTTCTGCACCATTTATTTAATAAAACTGTCCTTTTCCAATTGGTTTGCCTTGAAACCTTTGTCAAAACTCAATTGACCAAATATATGTTGAGTTTACTGGTTTTTAAAAAATCAAATATTAAACTTTGAATCTGATACATTTTAAAAATTAAGTTAGGCCGGGGGCGGTGGCTCACGCCTGTAATCCCAGCACTTTGGGAGGCCGAGGCGGGGGCATCACGAGGTCAGGAGATCGATACCATCCTGGCTAACACAGTGAAACCCCGTCTCTACTAAAAATACAAAAAATTAGCTGGGCGTGGTGGCCGGCGCCTGTAGTCCCAGCTACGCAGGAGGCTGAGGCAGAAGAATGGCGTGAACTCGGAAGGCAGAGCTTGCAGTGAGTCGAGATCTCGCCACTGCACTCTGGCCTGGGCGACAGAGTGAGACTACGTCTCAAAAAAAAAAAAAAAAGATTTAGTTAAATGCTATTTGAGATAGATCAACGAAGGGAGCATGTTCAGGACATTTAAAAAAGTAAAAATAACCCTGAAAAAAAACTGCCTATGTGTGTGTACACCCTTACCAGCACCCAAGCTCTCGGAGAGCTGAGGCTGTGCCTGACTTAGGCTTGTCTGCCCAGCGCCTGACATATAATAGGTTCTCAACACAGGTCACTGAATAAACAAAAGAATCAATGAATGAGGGAATGAGATCAGCTTTTTATGGGGCAGCACCAGAAAAAGAAACAGAGCTTCAGGAATATCAGTGCCTTCTTCAGAGGGGCTGTTTATTTGCATTCACCATAGTTACCAAGTGGTCCTTCCCTTCGATGAAAGAGTAACTTGGATAGAACCAGGAAGCTCTCACTGCCCTTGGGGGTGGGCAGAATCTCAGCAGAGGGGCTCCTGCATTCCTGCGTTAGTTCCCGTCTGGCTCCACTGCTTTACCTGCCTTTGCCTCCATTTTCCGAACTGTCCGTTACAGCATTTCGGTGCAGACTCACTGAGCTAATAATGCCTCCACAATCTTAGGTGTGCCAGAAAAAAATTCTCATAACTCAACTCATTTTCTATGAAAAGACGGCACAGCAGGCAGCCAGCTCACCCCACTCAGTCTGCAATGTCGCTGCCCGAGGGTCTACATTCTTGCCCAAATGGTCCATCTGGACCTGGCTGCTCTGGCTCTGAACCATGCAGGTGGCAGGAGTCTCTGTGGGGATTCCCCAGGCCACTCCCTGTCTGGGCTGTGGTACCTGCAGGCAGTCCCTCTGCCTAGGAAAGCAGGTGCACGGCCCCACCCTCGCCCTCCATCCTGTCTGCTCACATCGCCTCTCACGAAAAATTCTTTCTCATCTGAGGAGCGAAGCCTTTTCTTGTTTCTCCCAAACATTTGCCCATGACCCCACATCCTCTACACTCTATCCCATTTGTCCCCAGAGGTGATCGACACAGCTGCTTAAAAAGGAAGACAGAGTAAAGAGAAATGTCTGGGGCCAAAAGAACTACGGAGAAATGTTAACTTTTTTTTTTTTTTTTTTTTTTTTTTTGAGACGGAGTCTCGCTCTGTGACCCAGGCTGGAGTGCAGTGGTGCGATCTCCGCTCACTGCAAGCTCTGCCTTCCGGGTTCACGCCATTCTCCTGCCTCAGCCTCCTGAGTAGCTGGGACTACAGGTGCCCGCCACCACGCCCGGCTAATTTTTTTGTATTTTTAGTAGAGACAGTGTTTCACCGTGTTAGCCAGGATGGTCTCGATCTCCTGACCTCGTGATCCGCCCACCTCGGCCTCCCAAAGTGCTGGGATTACAGGCGTGAGCCACCGCGCCCGGCCGATTAACTTTATCTTAATAAGATAAAATGTCGTGAACTTGTATGTGATCAATTAATGTAAGTTATTATTATTATTATCATTATTATTATTAGAGGGGGAGCCAGAGAATGAGGAGCCCAGTTTATGATGAGAATTAGAACAAGGCTCTGCCACCATGCTGACCGCAGCAGGGGGCGCCTTCTTCCCCCTGCTGCTCAGGGAGGGAGTGCCAGCCAAGTTTCACCCATGTGACCACACTTCCATCCAAAACAATTTGAATTAATTTTGTGCATGAAATTTGGTGGGATGCAATGCCAAATGTTTAACTGAAATCAAGATGCAAACTTCCCTTCATTTACTCATTTTGTAAATGCTGTCAAAAATAAAATAAAAGCCATTAAGCTTGTCTGGCAACATTTGTCCTTTGTGCACCACGCTATTCGTCGTCACTGCCTCCCTTATCCTCTGTCTGCATGCCCCCCTCCTGCTCTCCTATATTTGTTCTGGTATATTTACAGTCCCTGGGCAGGCCCAGCACACTGTCAGCTCTACTGACTTTGCCAAGTCTAAGATCCCTTTTAGGGACTTATTTTATTTAAAGAGCACCCCATTAATGGGTTTAATGGCCTTTCAATCACTTAGTATGCATTGTCAATGAGGGAGAATCGATTTTCTGAGAATTCCTGTTCTGGGAGGAAAATAAACAGCCCTTCCTTCCCATTGCAATTTGGCCAATGAGCAGATGATGTAGAACTCAGCTCTATCCCAGACTCACAGAGCTTTTCTTGCAGCGGGCCTGCGAGTGTGCAGGCTCACCCAGCACCACACTGAGTAAAACTCACTCCTTTCTTTCTGTGTTGCTGTCTCCTTTTAAATTGTGACTTGCCAGGTTGTGGGGACACCCCGCATATGCTGCAAATGAACTTTGAATGAGCTCGACTGTTGCTCTCACAAGACTCACTTCTGGGTTTGTGCCACCCTCTTTGGTCAAGAATCAAACCATTACCCATGGAGATGTATTAGATCCTTCTGGTTCACAGTAATGGGTGGGAAAGAATGGCTGGCATTCCGAGACTCCCCCTACCTCATACACCCATCCCAGACATGAACATTTTTTGGAACACCATGGTCTTGAGTTCCAGAACCTTGAAGAAGTGATCAAACACATATCCTCTCTCTGAGGTAACCTCTAATTCCATCAATATCTGTTGATGACCTCCTCTGTAAAAGACATTATTCTTGGCACCATGAGAGATGCATTCAGGGGACACATGAAGGGTAAAGGCAGTCTCAGACAAAACACAGGGTTGTCTCCTCCAAGTTAGGATCTCTATTAGGTGGTGTTCAGCAAAACTCTCTCCCCCTCCTGTTCTTCCCACCCCTTCCCTCCTCCCCACTCTCTTCAACCCTTTCCCAATAATCCTGCACTAACCCTGCCGCCCGCCCACCATTCTCAATACCAACAGCTACATTTTATGGGCACTGACCGTGTGTCAGAGTTCCTGTCTGAGCACTTGACAAGCACGGTGGTCCTCACCACAACTCCGCAGAAGGGCTATTGTCATTGCGATCCCTATTTCACAGAGAAGGAAGCCGCATTGGAGGGAGGTCAGATCATTTACTGGAAAACCAGGTCCGTCTTACTTGACCTTTTCTCTTAAACTTTATGCTGACTTTGTCCTTTTCTTGCTCTTTTGGATGTATTTGGCTCTCCAGGGAGCCCTCACCAGCAGGTACCCACTACCCTAAGGTATGCGAAGCAAATTTGTTTATATCCAGCTATTTATAATAATAACAGTAATAGCTAGCACCTATGAAGGGCCCATCCTGTGCCAAATGCTTCATAGATTTTTTTTTTTTTTTTTTTACTTAATGCTCACAAAACCACCCCCAAGAAATGGAGAAAAGGACACCATGAGGTTAAGTGACTTGCTCAAGGTCTCACAATTATTCAGTAATAATAATGGTGAAATTGCTAGCATTGATTGAAGGCTTATATGTCAAGCACTGGGCTAAGGTTTTTATATCTATGTATTTTTAACTTCTAACAAGGTAAGTATTATTATTTAGAGCTTACAGATGAGGAAACTGAGGCTCAGAGATTTAAAGTAACTTGCCCAAGGTTATCCAGCCTGTAAGTGGTAGAGCCAGCATTTAAAACCAGGCAGGTTGATGCTTGTGCTTGTAATAACATGGACATGGTCACACCCCAAAGCCCATGTTATTCATATTGCACTGAAGCTACTTCTGTCCTCCCTCCCTTAAAGCCCCTCAGAAAATGGCCCATGAGTTTCCCCAAAGCAATAGTTGAACAGAAACCAGGGAGATTTCAGGTTTTGCAGCAGGGCTGTCTCTTAACAAGCTCCTGCCCTGCACTGGAATTGCATTTGCATTTGTCCTTCTGCAGTAGTTTCCAATTCCCAAGCAGAACACAATTTAACTGTAAAATTTGCCTTAACTAGGCAGCTGTCTGCTGCAGTCAGGCACCAGGCTCAGGTGCGACTCCCTGTAGGCTCTCCTGAATCAGTGTGCCAGCCTCTGTAAAGCAATGTAAAGTCACCTTCGAGAAATTAGATGCCACTTGGAAGAGGCGTATGCTGCCATGCCCATTTGTTGTCAGTTTGGAACAGTGCAGGGGGTGCCAATCATGACTCAATTACTCCCAGGATTTCTATCCTGAAAGCTTCTCTGTCATTTATGAGAACTGGCACAGGGCAGACTACCAACTGTCCTGAACCAGGGCTGTTTCTTGGGACAGCGTCTTGGAGGGGAAAGGTTATAGATTTACTTGGCTTCCCTTCACCACAATGTCAAGAGGACATCAAAACAAGGGATCCCGGCTGGGCACAGTGTTCACACCTATAATCTCAACACTTTGGGAGGCCTAGGCAGGAGGATCATTTGAGGCCAGGAGTTCAAGACCAGCCTGGGCAACATAGCAAGATTCTATTAAAGTAGCATCATTGTCTAGGTTAAATACCCAAGGTTTGTTGTCTCACGCCAAGGGAATCGAGGATGCAGACACACAAGAAGTGAGTTTAAGAGCAGAGGTTTAATAGGCGAAAGAAAGAGAAAAGAGAAAAGCTCTCTCTCCTGCAGAGACAGGAGGCACCTGAGTGGGTCTTCCGGTTTTGTGGTAAAATGCACAGGGTTTTATAGATGAGCTTGAGGAGGCAGTGTCTGATTTACACAGGGCTCAAGAGATTGGTCAGACCAAGTGTGACACTTGCGTAGTGCACGAAGAGGCCAGCCATCCCACCCTAATCTTTTATTATACAGATGGGGTCTCTACCTGGCTGGTGCCATGTTGCCTGCTCCTTACTGTACACTTGGTTGACAAAGAAAAGGGAAGCTAGAGCCACCATGTTGAACATTCCTGGCCCCCAGGTAGCCTTTTCCTATTGGCAGAGCTGCCAGCATTTACTGGTGCAAGCTTCCAGCTTGCTTATCTATGTCTGCAGCTTGAGGTTACAGGCTGCTCTTTGTTAGAAAAGAAATGATTTGAGGGCTGCTAGTCATTAAAAGGAAAACATTACTGAGGACTTCCTAACCCTTTCTATCTGCCTAAACAATTTCTTTTTAACTTCTATATCACTATCTCTACCAAAAAAAAAAAAAAAGACAAAAAAAATGAGAGATCCCAACATCCCACCATCCAATAGTTTGGGGATACAAATGCTATTCAGCAAATATCATCTGAGCTTCTACTATATTTACGACATTATGCTAGGGGGTACAAAGGTCAATCAAAAGCACAATCTCATCCTGACACGACCCCACAATTTAGGCACCTTAGAAAGGTCTAACCAATGAAACTCAAAGACATCTGCTTAGAGGCTTTAATTGAAACAGAGGAAGCAGACGAGACTATTGGAAGAAAGACTATACAAAATAGGAAATAAGAGAAAAACACCCAGAAGTGAACTTCTGCAGAGACCTAAATCTGTGGGGCAGAGGAAGTGGCAAAGATGTCCTAGAAAAGGAGAAAGGGAAAAGGGTGACAGCACAAAATCCCAGGAAGTACAGGGTGACACAGGAAAGAAACATGTCCATAGTGTCCAGAGCAACAGAGACGATGATCCAGGAGAAAAGGCCGGGGACGCAGCTACAGGGAGGGCGCTGACAGCCCTCAGGCAACAGTGTTGGGAAAAGGCGACCAGCAGCTGGCCCAAGGTCAAGGAGACAGGTAGCTGGTGATAGTACTCTTTTAAAACGTTTACTAATGAAAGGAAGGAGGGGTTGAGGTCGGTAAGGTGATTGGGGAGCAGGCCTAAGGCATGTGTTTTGAAGGAAGGGGCGATCCAAACATGCTTGCAGGTCCCGGAAAGGAGAGCTGGAAGATCCAAGGGGAGCATGCGTTCCTGATAGAGCGAGACTTTAGGGCAGCAGGAGGGACCAAGGGCACAGGGAGATGAACTCACAATGGAAGTAGAGAGATTCTTCAGAGACAGGAGCTCAGAACAGGCAAAGAGCTGGAGATGGAGAAGAGGATGCGAAGGAACTTACAGCGGGTGCCCTTGACTTTGCCATAATTTCAAAAATGATCTCCAAAAGAGTGATTGTCCTGTCACCATCATGTGGGGACTGCCCTAAAACGATCGTCTTCTGAAAGATGCTAAAGGAAATGGGGAAAGAGTCACTATATCCATTTTTCATCAAGCTAATTTTCATCTTTTTCTTTCTCATTGGTTATCTTAAAAATTACATTTGTCGTTGCAGTTGATTTCATTCCTCACCCTTCCCGCCCTTAGGACTGTCTTATAACCTTTACCTTCAGGATTTGCTTCCTATCATTACCATCAGCTCCAGAGCCCGCAGGGGCTGGTTATCCAGTCTGAAGATCACCTGGGTCTTTCTCTTCCTATCCCTGACTCCCTGCACCTTAGCCATTCCACTGCTCAGCCTTCCCTCCACCAGAGATGCGCAGTGGAAGCACAAAAAGCTAAAACTAAAACTAGTCCATTTCATTACTTATTTGGGCATCTACCCAAGTATTTTGAAGCTATTAGCTCAAATGAGCTTGGGGGTCCACAGTTATTTCATTCTCCCTGAACGGAACCACCACCCATGATTACTCCTAGTCAGAAAGACAGAAATGTCTAGGTGAGAAAAGAAGACATGCCGAGTGCCAGTCCCACTGGCAGAGGTCTAAATGAATATACCTCTTGCTTTTGACCATCTCCTTGCCCTTTACTCTGCATCTCACTTTCTCATCAGGGATGCCTAATTTGAAATTCCAGATGCAGCATTTTCAGGTTGGAAGCACTAAGCGTTGGTGTTGCCAATATTAACGGATCAGTGGTTCTTGCGGTCCCTGAAATGTGATTCTCAGAGTATTCATTGGCATTATGGTTAGGACAGCCTCTGATGCTTCAGATTCTCCCTGTCTCATTGACAGTGGAGCACAGGACATGATCTAATGGTGCCTGTTTTCTGTGACTTCTCACTCAACTTTGAGAGGTGTGTATTTTTAAAAGGTTCCAATAGGTTGTGATATTGTACTATAGGTTTGTGAGATGTTACCACTGGGGGAAGGTGAGTAAAAAGTATACGGGATATCTCTGTATTATTTCTTACAACTCTATATACATTTATAAGTACCTCAAAATAAAAAGTGTAATTTTAAAAGTCTCCTGGCGAAGGTAGAAATGAAGTGTTATTGTTCTCAATGCGTATAGAACTTCTATTTGGAACGATGAAAACATTCTGGAGAGCTGTTGTACAATAATGTGAATATACTTAACACTGCTGAACTACACTCAAAAACGGCTGAGATGATCAATTTTATGCTATGTGTTTTTTATTACAGTTAAAATTTTTAAAAATATATTTTTAAGGCTTCAAGGTCTTGCTATGAGAAGAACAACTAAACCTAACAATGATTTTTCATATACTCAACACAGCCACTAAAATGGCTACAATTTAAAAGACTGACCACACCAAATGTTGGCAAGGATGTGAAGGAAGTGGAACTCCCATATGCTGCTGGTGAGATATACAACCACTGTGGAAAACAGCTTGGCAATTTCTTATAAAATTATACATACACTTACAATATGATCCAGAAATTCCACTTGCAGGTATTTATTCAGGAGAAATGAAAACATATGTCTGCAAATAAGACTTGAACTTGGCACCTTTATTCAAAACAGCCCCAAACTGGAAATAGCCCAAATGTTCAACTGGTCAATGGATAAACAAATGATGATATATACAATGAAATACCACAGTGCGATACAATGCTAAAAACTACTGATAAATACAACATGAATGAATTTCGAAAACATTATGCTAAGTGAAAAAAATTTAGACATAGGAGCATATATTGTGCAATTCCATGTATTTGAAATCTGAACACAGACAACACTCGTCTATATGACGGGGAGCAGACCTGTGGTTGCCTGGGGCATGGGGAATCAAGAGTGGGGACTGACTACAAAAATCACAAAGGAACTTTTTGGGTTGATAGAAATATTTGATATCCTGATTGCGATAGTGATGGTTACTTAGGTGTATGTGTCTGTATATGCATTAGTCTGTTTTCATACTGCTATAAAGAACTGTCCGAGACTGGGTAATTTATAAAGGAAAGAGGTTTAATTGACTCACAGTTCCGCAGGACTGGGGAGGCCTCAGGAAACTTTCAATCGTGTAAGAAAGCGAAGGGGAAGCAAGACCCCTTCTTCACATGGTGGCAGGAAGGAAAATTAACGCAGGAAGAACTAGTAAACACATAAACCATCAGATCTCGTGAGAACTCACTCACTATCACGAGAACAACATCGGGGAAACTGCCCCCATGATTCAATTACTTCCACCTGGTCTCTCTCTTGACACGTGGGGATTATGATGATTATGGGGATTATAATTCAAGATGAGATTTTGGGTGGGGACACAGCCAAGCCATATCAGTATGTTTTATTTTTTTTTAATTATACCTCAGTCAAATTGATTGAGAAGAAAGAGAAGTCTCCAAGAGTCTCTAACCGATCAGAAAAATAAAATAAAGCCTAGCTAAGATTTTTTTATTCTCAATAGTTTAACTTCTTAAATGCATCTTCAAAAATTATCAGGTACCTGAGTCAACAGACTGTCTTAGATCTGCCAGTAGAGGGAACTCTTTCTCAAATCTCAAGGGGCCCAGAATAGCCAAAACATCCAGAAAAATGAAGAACAAAGTTGAAGGTCTCACACTTCCTGATTTCAAAACTTGCTATAAAGCTACCGTAATCAAAACAGAGTGGTCCTGGCATAAAGACAGACTCATAGACCAATGAAATCAGAAATAAACCTTAATATATAGGGTCAAATGATTTTCAACTAGGATGCCAAGACCACTCAATGGAGAAAAGACAGTCTTTTTTTCAATAAATAGTGCTGGGAAAACTGGATATCCACATGCAAAAGGATGAAGTTGTACCATTACCTTACATCATAAACAAAAATTAACTCAAAGTCATCAATGACCTAAACATAAGAGCTAAAACTATAAAACTCTTAGAAGAAAGGGGCAAAATTTCATGACATTGAATTTTGCAATGATTTCTTGGAATTAACACCAAAACACAGGCAATACAAGAAAAAATAGGTAAACTAGACTTCATCAAAATTAAAATATTTTGTGCATGAAAGGACATAGTCAAGGCAACACACAGAATAGGAAAAAAAATCAAATTATCTATTTGGTAAAGGATTAATATCCAGAATAAAGAACTCCCACAACCCAGCAACAACCTCCATTTAAAAATGGGCAAAGAACAATGGTTCCCAGAGGCTAAGGGGAAGCGGGAATGAGGAGTTATTGTTTAATGAGTAGAGTTTCAGTTTGGGATGACGAAGAAGGCTGGAGGTGGATGGTGTTGATGGTTGCATGACAGTGTGAATGTATTCAATGCCACAATGTATTCAACGCCACTTACACTTAAAAATAGTAAAATAGTAAATTTTATGTTACATATATTTTACCACAGTAAAAAACCTAAAAAAAATAAAATTAATTAGAAACATGAAACAGAGTACTTATTATGTGCCACTTTTCACATATTACTTGAGTTGATCCTCTCAACAATCCTATGAAGCAGTCACTTTTATCATCATCCCCATTTTATGGATGAGAAATGGAGGCTCAGAGAGGTCAAGTGCTTTGCCTTTGGAAATGAAGACAACGAGTGGTAGAGCCCAGAAAGTCAGGCTCCGGGCTCAGTCCCTGTAACCTGTACCCCACACATCTTCCTTGCTGGCTAGCAGATGATGAACATGACCTGTGTTTGGGTGGGGTGAGGCAAATCAAGGAGAGGCTGGGACCAGGCCTCCTCCCAGCCACTGGCCTTAATTGCAGGCTTTTGACTCAGCACTTATGCCGAACAGATCAGGTGTGCCCTGTGCCAGGGCCTTCTGACTTTTACTGCTGGTGGCAGAGCATGTGAAAGAGGTGTAGCCCCAGACACCTTCACTGTCAACACAAAGGGACTCATGGTCGGCCTCCCTAATGGGAAGGAAGAGGTTTCTTTAAACATTCTCCAAGAAAAGGCCTGAGGGATCATGTGCCCTTCCAAGATGTCTGGTGATTACCTGATCCCTCATTCAGCTACAAATCCATTGAAGTTTAAAGAAAAATGTAATAAGTAATTCTGTAGGGTGAATCATTCACTAAAATACCTGCACAATCTGGATTTGGGGAAAATTCTTGGATTGGAGATTTGAAAATGTTAATGTTTTACCAATGTGTATGGTGGTTTTCCATATATTATTTATTATTAGTATCCTGGTTTTTGATATAATAGTATATTGAATTAATCAGTATTAATTCACAGTATTATGCCTTTAATATATTAATATATTTTTATTTTCTGTAATCTTTCTCTCTTTCTGGCTGTAAAAGAGAATAGTGTCAACACAAGGGCTCTATATTATTAATTTTTTTTTTTTTGAGATGAAGTCTGGTTCTGTCACCTAGGCTGGAGTGCAGTGGCATGATCTGGGCTCAAAGCAACCTCCACCTCTCAGGTTCAAGTGATTCTCTTGCCTCAGCCTCCCGAGCAGCTGGGATTACAGGCACCCACCACCATGCCTGGCTAATTTTTTGTATTTTTAGTAGAGATGGGGTTTCACCATGTTTGTCAGGGCGTTCTCAAACTCCTGACCTCAAGGGATCCACCCGCCTTGGCCTCTCAAAGTGCTGGGATTACAGGTGTGAGCCACTGTGCCCAGTATTATTAATATTTATTGAGAGCTTACTACATGCAAGCTCTTTACATGTATTAGTTCATTCTCACACCACCATTTTTACCTAACCTCTATGTGTTTATGAGAAAACACATAGAGCCTAAATAACCTATCCAATATCAAGCAGCAAGTATGGGGACAGCTGAGGGTCCCACCCTGCTGTCTGGTCCAGATCCTTGCTGTAAGCCAGCCTCATGACCTCAGGACATCCCCTCTTCACTCTTTGGGGCCCCTTTTCCTTATCTGTGAAATGAGAGAATTGGATCAGACATGTAAGATTTTCTTCCAGCTCAAATATGTCTATTTCCTTATTTCTGCACGCAAATGATCCTCCACCAGGCCCTCCCAGGTGTATCCACCAGCACTCCCCTGCTGGATTCTGGGTGCCATCCACGCCATGGACCTGGGAAAGAGAGTTGGGCCTGGCTGAAACTGACCGTGCCCCAGAGCAGGGGCCTGAATTGCAGGCCTTTGACTCAGCACTCGCTTACGCCGGACAGATCACGTGTCCTGGTGCTAGGTCCTTCTCCCGACTTTTACTGCTGGTGGCAGAGCACTTGAAAGAGTGCTATCATTCTTTTGTCTGCCCCAAACAGCCTTTACTCTTCAACTGCACTCACCCCTCTACCTACCTAAATATTTCAACTGTCTTAACAAAATCTACCCACCCTCTGAAATGACCCAATTAAAGAAAGCAACGGATAAAATACTCAAGTTGATATTCTCATTACACTTCCCTCTTTCATCTCCTGGAATCACAGAATTTCTTCTCACTTGTGAATTTCCTAACAAGTCTAGGCAGTGGTGTGCTGGTAAATGTTTAACACTTAGTTCCCGGGAAAAAAGAAAGCTCTCTAATATGAATCATTTTCTCAGTTATTTAGTTTAAATATTCCCACCATGGCTGATGTCAAGCTACCAAGGCAAAGTCACTGAACACAAAGTTGAAAAGAGACGCAAGTAGGAGCTGGTGCCAGCATACCACTGAGTCTGTTTCATAGAATTACGTCCTCTGAAAGCCTATAGCCTAAAGCATTGCTCATTCATTTGTTCTTTAATTCATTCAATGAACTTCTTAAAAATAATAGGAATTGAACTGATACTTATTAAAATAGTTATTACAAATCAAAAGCCCTATTGGGCTTATTAGAAAGCATTATTTTTCCAGTACTTCCCCCAGAGGTTCCTTAGAACAAGAGAGGTGGAAGGGTGGTTCTTCTACTTTCAAATAATTGACTTACCCAAATTAGATGAGATTATTTTCTTCTCTTGGATTAGCAATTCTCATTAACATCCTAAACATTGGGGAAGGTGACATCAGAATATTCTGCTTTGACTGATATAAAGTCCAACCTGCTTTATTGTTGAAAGTTTACAAACCCAATGCAAAAAAACAGTCACTTCTGGAAAATGCTTACCTAGACATATGCTTGCTATAATTCTTTTTCTCTACATTGTTATATTCAAGATAGATGTGGTATGTGAAGAGTATGAACTCTGGAGCCTGAATGCCTGGATTCTAATCACAGTTCCACCACTTAGTAGCTATGTGATCTTGGGCAAATTACTTAACCTCTCCATGTTTCAGTTTTCTCACTATAAAACAGGATTCATAATAACAGTAGTAGCTGTTGTGAGAGCTGAGTAAATATACATACATATATTTGTATGTTTGTATATAGCATATAGAAAATTCCATGTAACTGTTAGCAGTTATGTGTCATCAGACATGATCAGCGTTTCTCAAATGTTGTCTAGGCATCTTTCTAACAAGACGGTGCAGTCCTTGAAGTCTTTCTGCAGTCCCTCCACAGTGCCTAGCGTATAGCATGACTTTAGTAAATTCCTATTGAATAAATAAAGTAATTAATTTATTAAATGCAACTGATCAATGCAAAACATCCTTGCCACAAAATATCCTTGCCACAAAAAATAAACCATCTGCTCTGTTATCAGGATCTTAGGCACACTTTATGTCTCCATAACCCCTCCAAATGTAGGGAAGGTGATCAAGAATAAGGGCATGGCTGGGCACAGCGGCTCACGCCTGTAATCCCAGCACTTTGGGAGGCTGAGATGGGTGGATCTCTTGAAGCCAGGAGTTCAACACCAGCCTGGTCAACATGGTGAAACCCCATCTCTACCAAAAAATACAAAAATTAGCCAGGCATGGTGGTGCACGCCTGTGGTCCCACTACTCGGGAGGCTGAGGAACAAAAATCTCTTGAACCCGGGAGGCAGAGATCATGCCATTGTATTCCAGCCTGGGTGACAGAGTGAGACCCTGTCTCAAAAAAAAAAAAAAAAAAAGAAAGAAAGAAAGAAAAAGAATAAGGGCATGGAGTAATTTTCAGAGCTGTTAACATGTATTTATGTTCAAGAATGTTTATTTTATATAAGCAAGAAAAAATGAAAGCAACCTAAATGTTCATCAACAAGGAAAAGGTAATAAATTTTGATGTAACCATTAGATATTTATGTTTTCAGGAAGTATTTATTAACATGAAAAAAGTCCTAATTGTAATAAGTGAAAAAGCAGCATTTAGAGTTGTATAAACAATATAATACCAGTGTCCATTCTTTAAAAATGTGTTTGCATGAAGACAGAAATAAAGAGACTTACAATAAATATACCACAATCATTAATAGCTGTCTCTGGTTGGTGGGATTTTGGGTCATTTTTAAATTTTTTTTCTTCTTGATATATTTCTGTATTTTCTAGTTTTCCCTAAAATGATAAACAGAAAAGAATTGCTGTTAAGTAAAGGAATTGCTGTTAAAATAGAGACACTAATTCCAACTTTGGAATTACGTATCCACCCTGTCTGATGTTATTCACTGCCACCCATCCCCATCCCATTCCCAACCTCCCAAAGTGTCCCAAATCTGACATGATGGCATAATCTATGCATTGCAAATATGACACCATCATCCAGCTATTTGGAGACATTAATAATTACCTTAATTTTTCACACTCTTTCAGGTATCTGGCATTGGGTAAATACAGTTAACCTCACGTAGACATATTTTCAGCTATTAAAAACCAAGCACATTTGTGTTAGCTCCTGCCCTTGAGGTGCCTGATACAAGGGAAGCATGATTGAATACCTCACTGATAAGGCTGAACAAATATGTCCTTTGAAAGAGGCTATAGGAAAAGCCCAGATTAGAGATGTGTGATGCACATTAAAGTCTAGCTAAATTTGGGTAAAAGGTGGGTCTCGATTTAATGAAGTGCTCATTCTAGAATATTGGCTTTAAAAAGACCATTTCTATTACTTTCAAATCCAATGGGCTTGAAGTGCAATATTCTCTAAACGGAGGTAGCAAGTGCACAACAGGCCCCCGCTTTTAGGAATAGGTGAGAATTATTTATAACGAGCCGATCAGTCAGCTATGATTTGGTCCCTCTGATGCATTTAAGAACAAATTATTCAAGATAATGAAAAAAGCAACTAATTCCCTTAAGTGGTGCAATTTTTTGCAATCTTATTTTTATTCTTAATTTGTGTACCTACACCATTCCTCAAGGCAATCTCAGGCCAAAGCCTATCTAAAGCATCATAAATTTCAAACAACTGAGCTACATCAATAGGGTTTTATAGGACATCTTAAAGAAAACGAAGAAAAGGCATCACTTACCTAAATGTAGCTGGAGAAATGCACAGAAGTTATTTCTGTCTAGGCTCCCTTGCTATGGATGGAGGAACCAGACAGTCCTATTTTCATTCACGAGGAGCATCTCAAAACCTGGGCACATCATGGGATGCAATCAGCCCCAAGGAAGAGGAAACAGGAGAGCAGCTTGGCAGCCCCTGAAATACTTTAGGAGAAGAAATTATTAATACCAAGGAATATTTTACCATGGACCAAATTGTGTTCCCTCTGTTGGTGAGTCAATGATTTCTTGGAACTAATTTATTTACATTACGTTTGTTAATTGCCCCATTTACCTATTGGGCATTATTCTTCATGGCACATGTCACTAACATATATATTTGACTTCATTATTTTTATTTTATCTGTCTCCCCCAGTCCGAATGCAATCCCCTTGAAGGAATGGGTTTTTCTTTTTTTTCATTTTGGTTTTTGTTGGATGCATTTAGAATATGCCAGTACATTGGAGATGGACAACAGATATTTGTTGAATGAATCAAGCTCCCTTATACTCAAGGGGCATGTGTCTATGGTGAAGTAGAAAGAGCACTGGATTCAGAGTCCAAAGTAAGGAGCACTTTGCTTGGCTCACAGTAGACAATTGATGACCATTTGGGGAGTGGACAAATGGGTGGATGGACGGATGGACAGATGCGTGAATGGATGAGTGGGCAATGGAGCAATGTTATAATGGTAATTCTCTATCTATAAAATAAGTATAACAACTCATTAATAAAACTGAAAACAGTTGTGACTTCTTAGTTGCTCAGTAACTCCTTTTTTTTTTCTTGTAGCTGATGTAGAGAAAGAAAAAACAGGGTGATGAAAATCCTAGCAGTGTAAAACAAGGAAAGAAAGCATTTAATCTGCGTAAATGAGAGGAGATAGGAATGTGGGTAGAAGTATCTGTTTTCACTCTGCCTTGTAGTGCTGCCAAGCCACGACAGTGTTTGAGCGGAGGCTGCAAGAGGCAGGGAAGTGGAGCAGGTGGATGGGCCGCTGGCTTCCAAGGAAAACCAGCCTTCAGTTTCACTCAGTGGCCTCCTTGAACTGAGAGGCATTAGAGGGTCAGGCAGGGTAATGACAGCCCTCCATAGTCATTGTGGTCTTGGGGGTCTCAGCTCTGGTCATTAAATCTCAGGGGTAGTCCAGCCCGGGGTTCTTGTTCTTAATGTTGCTCTTCCTGCCACAGGAGACAAAGCCTTCGCTGAGCAGGCTGCCTTGCTGGGTCCTTGCAGAGCTTCCAGACTTGCAGTGTGGGTGGTGGCTAGCTCTGGCGTCTTCTGAGTGCAGCAGCATCTTCTTTGGGGTGGGCCAGGATGTCTCTGAGCATATCCACTTCAGATCCAGATAGCTGGGGTTGCTGGTGCTCTTGGAGACATCTCTGGTACTGGGAAGCAGAGGGGAAGGGAGATCATTATTAACCAGAGTGGGAGCGGGTGCCCTGGCGACCCATCTGTCTTGGTTGGCCACCCCTCTTCCTAGAGATGGTGTCCTAAGAGAACAAGCTAGAGTGAAAGAGCAGAAGAGAACCACAGGCCAGCAGTGGGGTGGGCCTGGGCCCTTTCAATAGAAACAACAGGTTTGCAAGGTGTCCCAGGGCCTGGAGACGCAGTCCCTGCTGAGGAACTCTGAAATACCCATTGGTAGCACACTGGGGTAACCTGGCTAAGAATGGAGTTTTTTCCCTACTGTCGTTGCCTCAGGCCTGTACCTAAAGTGCCCCAGAGCTGTGCCTAATGCTGAGATGTGCTTAAGAAAATCCCCTTGTTTGGGGCCCTTGGCCCATGCTTCCTTATTAACTGGTTCAAGAAGCAAACTCTCTTCCTACCCATAAGAGACCGGCAGACTCCCCTGGGCACCAGCCATCAGTACTGTGCATGTGGATTGCTCTAAATATCCATTGCTGCAGGGCCTGCAGGAGGCCAGACTGCAGGCAACCTTGAAAACCAAGCCCTGGCATAGGGGCTGCCGGGAAACCCCAAATATGCCTTTTTCCCAGAGCTCAGCTAACACAAGCTCTCCTGTGTTTGGAGGTGACATTCCTGCTTCTGTCCATAGGAATGGTAAGGCTGCACAGATGTCCTAAAATACAGAAAGGATGAGAGAACAGCACTGAGCTTGGCGGGTTTCCCACCCGTAATTGACATGGAAACTATACCTCTTAATCTCCAACAGGCAAAACAACTCCTGCTGCCATGTGCAAGATCTGTGGCTCCAGCTGTAATTACTTCCTCCATGCCTTTTTATTGTTGTTGTCCCAAGAAACAGTTCGTGGAAATGAATGTGCCACCCTAACTTCCACAGAGTCACCTCCATTGCTGAGTGTCTTAGGTGCTCAAATCTTGACCCCTGGGAGCAGAGGCCAGCACCATGGTAAACCAGACAAGGTAAATGGAGGGAAGGAATGAATTGAGGAAGAGATCTGGAAACTGCTTTCAAGGGAAGTCTGAGTATAGTTTCATGCCTAACTAAACCCATTCTTCTGTCAGTGCTGCTGAAACCCAGAAAAAGACGAGAAGGCCAACAGCAGGTTCCAGGGAGAGGCAGCTGGGGCTAACCTGAGCTCGGGGCAGGGGTGAGGGAGGCTCTTGACCACATCACTGGGTACCCCCTACCCCGTAAGAGGACACGGACCCATGTGCTAGACTCAACTGTGGGAGTTTTGCGTTCCAGCTACCAATGGGGAATGGACCCAGGTCTCTCTGATGGTGTGGGTGATCATGTGGCCCCCTCATTCTCCCCTTCCCACTGCTCACTCTGGGGTTCAGTAGAAGTAGTATATGGAGGTTACCCTATCACAAGCTCAGCCACGCTTCTCTCCAACCTCACACGCAGCCCACCCCACCAGGATCCAAGCTGGCTGGGTCGCATAACACTAGCCACCATTCACTGATGTGATCCAAATGCCTAGAACAATCCCTGGCACATAGCAGGTGCTTAATAAGTAGTCGCTGTATACGTGTACCTATTGAACTCTTCCTATGCGCCCGACACTATGCTGAAAGCTTTACAATTATTATTCCATTTATTTTTCACAAGAATCTTGTGAGGTAAATATCAACTCATTTTCAGATGAGGAAATCAAAGCTCGGAGATGTTGAACAAATTATTCAAGGTCCCACTGTCTGGTGTAACAGGAAGTTAAACCTGTCTCCCACCCTCCTCACTGCCATCTCCAAAAGCTGAGCTCCTAAACACAGTATTTTTCTGCTTTTCTCTCCCATTATTCGAGGCCAGAAGCAGGAACCAGAACACGCAAAGGAAAGAGGGACAGAAAGTGAGCTGGATTTTCACACCCCCAGCCCTGGCGATGGGCTCTTGGAGCTGGGCCAGGTGCCTGGAGGAGGCAAGTCCCCTGCAAGTCTCCAGCTAAGTGGCCCATCGCCTTGAGATTCTACCCATCAAGATGCTCCCCTCCCTCCTCTCTGACTCTTGGCCACATCTTTCAGAATAGGGTCTGGAGGGATGGTGCATAGAAGTACAATTTCGAAGTATAGTTGTTAGGTGAGGATAATGTCACGGATCACACCTCATCATTTCATTTACAGGTTTCTTTGTTTATCCAAGATGGGTGCGTACAGCTGCCCTTAAAGCTGGGTCACTAAGTCCTTTACTATGAATAATCTCACTGTGTGTGGGGGGGGTGTGTGTCTGCGTGTGTGTGCATGTTCCTTCAGAGTAGCTTAGCTGAATCCACCTGGAATTATGCCAGCAGAGCTTTTAAACATATTTCTCTGTGGAGCAAGTTGCTTTAGCATATATAGCAGGTGACACCTATGGGTGGGAATGTTCTACAAGGAGAAAACGCTGCACCTCCTGGTACTTTTCCACTGTGAGGCTCTAAGAAATCAAGCCCCTCTTCGGTCTCAGAAAACCTACTCATGAGCCAGTCTGTGGGCGTTAATGGGCTGGATAATCCCAAAAAAGCATATGGTTCAGGAGGGAACTGGAAATGGAGCATTCCCAGAAGCCACTCGGTTTATCAGTATCATTCAGTCAGCCAGATGGCCTGAGGGAGCATCTTATGAGAGGTGTGGAAAGTATGAAATTGCAGCAGACCCTGCCCTCCCTGTCCTGTCATCCAGTTAGGGAGATGCCCTGTGCATATCCAGTGAGCCGCCCAGGCAGGGATAGGTGTCAAATAAACACCACAGGCCATGAGGACTAGGAGTGCTCAGGGACTAGAGAGGCTCTCCAAGGGCTAGGCTTTCTGGAAAAGCTTAGGGAATAGGTGGAAAACACCCAATGCCTTGCGGGATGGCTCAGAGAGGTGGAGAAGGGAGGAGCCTCAGGAGAGGTGGGGACACTTTGTACATGTATGACAGGAGCACACTCGTCCCAGCCCAGTGACTGAGGCTCAGATTCGGCAGACTCAGCAGGGCAGCTGTTGGGCATGCAGCCATTCCTGCTTGCTCCTCCATGGCATGGTGCACCCAGAGCTGCCTCACAGGCTGCTGAGTTATGTCTTTTAAGCCAACACTTGGCTTCTGCCCTGAGCTAAGCTTCTGACTGGCTTTGTGAAGGATTACCATGGTATTTCCAATCCTTCACACAGCATCTTTGTGATCCAAACCAAAAGTGCTTTTGGCTCAAGTCTCGCAGGTTCCCAAACCCACCCATCACTAGTATTCTTACTTTCTTCTCTGAGCATCTCAAATTTGCATTTTCTTTTCTGTGTCATTCGCTACTGCCTCACCCCAGGCACTATCCCCTGCAGGGCTCACCACATTTAGATTACTATGGCCTCTCCCACTGCCCCAGCTGGTCTTCATAAGAAACTCATTCACTAAAAGATTTGAAAATGTGCACACCTTTTGACCCATTAATTCCATTTTTCAAAATTTATCGATGACTAACTTATCTTTTCTACTCATTCTTTTGTTTGTTCATTCAGTGTGAACCAGGAGACTTTCTAAGTGCCAGGGCTACACAATGATGA